>NC_000012.12:53710128-54960128 GCF_000001405.40 Homo sapiens
TATTAATTAAATCATTGTTATAATTAACTTTCATTAAAGGAGGATCAATAAAGAGGGGTTGGGATGGAGAGAGGAGAGATCCATTATCTCTAATTTCCTTGGAAGGGATTCAGGGAACGGGATGGGGTTGCTAGGAGACGGAGACGTGAGGGAAGAAGGAACGATGTAAGAAGTCATCCAGGTGGGGCTGGAAAGGGGGTGGACAGGAGCATTTCAGGTGAATGGAGAAAGGGAATGGTGGGGGTGGTCCACACAGGGGCCCTGAAGGGAGAGGAGGGCAGCTGAGAAGGGAGCTATTGGGTTGGAGGACGAGGGGGTTGTAGGCATGTGCTTGTGCAGGCCATTGCTGAGAGCCTTGGTGAGCGTGCAGGTCCTTAACAAATGCTTTACGATGCTGTGTATGTGTCTGTCTAGCCTGTGAAGCTGGTTAGAGTGGATGAATGTGTTTTTGTGACTGTTGAGGCAGAGTGTGCATACAGGTATGAGGGGATGGCAACAGAGAAAGAAACAGAAACAGAAACAGGAGGAATATAAAATCGCCTTTAGAGGTATGAGGCTTAGGGCATTTTTTACTAAGTAGATACTCAAAGGTGTACGCTCTTGACAGGAATAAAGCCTGTCCTTTGGCATAAGGTACAGTGATGGCTGCTATGAAGGGTGAAGTTCTCGGCAGTGGGAAACTTGTCCCACTTTTCCATGGCATGCACCCACCCTGGGACTAAACCCTGAGCAGAAGTGACAGGGACCCATGAGTTTGCTCCCTCCCCAACTGCCGCATTATCCAAGCCAGACTCCCACTTGAGACAACCCACTCATGGCCAGCACACCAGGAGGCACGACAGGACAGTAACTGCCCAGCATCCCCTGCCATGAGGCAGGGATGCGTCCCCTCTTTCCCTCCTCCCTCCACCAGGGTCTAAGAGCTGGAGGTCTGGGCCCTGTGTTCCAGTCACACCTCATGATAAGAACACATTTTGTGACAACAGTCATACATATCATATAAATATATTTGTTCAAACTACAAAGGGATGGATATCAGGGGGAAGCTTTTATTGCTGTGGGGGGACCTGGAGAGGGAGGGGGGCCTTGGAAATGGGGATACCTGGGACCACTTGTTCCCCCCATTCCTCACAGAAGGCACAAATACATTATTTCTTTCCATGTGAGGAGATGCGAGGAGAGGATACAGAATACAGGAATCCTCAAAAATACAAAAAACCCCTCCAAACTGAATACCTAAGGTTATGGAAAAGGCTAGGGTGGGGCACAGAAGTCAATGGGGGAACAGAAAGAGGAACCAATGAAACTGAGAACCAAAAGGGACCTGAGAGGCCATGATGTCCATGCTGCTGCCTCTGTGCAGACCCCAGAGAAAACTCAGGTAAACCAACGGAAACTCCAAATAAGAGAGGGTAGGGTGCCCCAGGAATTGGCTTTGGGGCATCAGACAAGGGAGTGTGAGTGTGAGTGTGTGTGTGCAGTGGCTGTGTATCAGAAGCAACCAGGGCTAGGAGTGGACGATTCTATTCCCACAGGGGAAGGCCTCCTCCATCCCGGTTCCTCCAAAACCACTTTCAGGGGATAAATTCAGCCACTGCTTCCGAACAGGACCCCTCCCTGGGACAAAAGAGCCAGGTAGGAGAGGATGAAGTGAGAAATCTTGGGATGAAAACAGGGCACACAGAAGCAGTTCTTAGGGAACAGAATATCATGGAGCCCAGTGTGATAGAAAATGGGCATGAAACCTAAGTGTATGCATGTGTGTGAGTGTGTGTGTGCATGAGTGTGTATTTGTGCATGTACGAGGGAGTAAGATCACTCAAAGGTGAAGGGGTCCTGGGTGCTGAAAAAGAAGTGTCCATCCATGTGGTCCTCCAGGGCATCCTTGTCACTCTCAGCAGGAAAGCGCTCCTTACAGATAGGACACTCCTTCCATGTGGGGGTGGCAGGGCCCCCAGTGCTGGTTTCTGACAGGGTACCCACTGTAAAGCCACTAAGAGAGACAGAGGGGAAAGGGAGAGGGTCGGCGTGCTCTGTTCCCTTCTTGACTTGCAGACTTCGGAGAGCAGGACCCATGTGCCTGGGTTCCCAGGTTATCCTGTGCCTAATGCAGCATCCTGGCCTCTCCCACAGCGTCTTTCTCCCCACAATCCTGGAAGGCTTATTTTTCCAGTTCCCCATGTCCTCTCTTCTTTAGTCCCTGCTGGTCTCTGCAGTGCAGAGCCCATCCCCCAGCCTCCTGCTCTCCTCCCTCCATCTCCGTCTGCTGCCTAATGAGGCTGAAAATGAGTCTGACATCGTCCTTCATCTTCCTGCTCCAGCCGAGAAGGATGACAGCATCACCCCCTCCCTGCCCTGAGCCCATCTCACATCCAGGCAAAACCGGGACTAGATGATCAAATCTCTCTTCCCTGTGCCTGCCCCCTTGAACCTGGGAATAAAAGGGAAGGCAGAAGGGGACAATCTGATACCTGAAACCCCCACCTCTATAGGTTCCCTTCCCTAAGGGTTACCCAGGGAAGTCAGGGAAGAGGGAAAGCATTTCAGTTGTAGCCAGATGGATGCTGGATCCCAGTCTTCTCTCTGCTCCTATCCCTGGGGGCCATGGTCACCTCCCTTCCTCCCCGGAGGACCCTAGGTACCTACCTGGTGGTTGGGGAAGGGGTAGAGGCAGGAGAGAGGGGAAGCAGGGCAATTTGGGCTCTGCAGAAGATGGTGCTAGAACAACATAGAAGCCAGTTAAAGGCAGGACCTCTGAGTGCATTGATAAGATAGGGGTAGGGATTACCTGAAGGCATCTGGGATTTGGAGCAGTGAGTCATTTTCCTTGTTAACCATACCTGTATCTCCTTTTCTTGGCTGAGGCCAAGAAGGGCAGGGGTTGGGAGCAGGGCCTGGTGACTGTCCACACAGATGCCCTTTCCCTCTGACCTCCTCCCACCTCCCTCCTGGCCTTGCTGGTTGAACTCACCTGGCCATGTCATAGAAGGCACTGCCCAGTTCAGGAAGCAGTAAGTTGGCCTCCTCACCCCCACTCTGCACAGCTGCCATCAGGACTGACTTCTCATCTTCAGCCTCCTGGATGCCAAAGAGACAGGGTTGGGCTTTGGGGTGGTGTCCCAAGATGGGGGAGCAGCACATTGGGACAGGTATGGGAAGAGCAGCCAAGGCTAGGACAGTGACCTGAGGGGCTTAGGAAGAGTGAGGCAGGAGAGGCGTTTTGAGGGGCTGGTGAATAATAAGAGAATGACTGTGGGGGAGAAGCAGTGAGGCTATTGGGCTGGTCTGGGTTTTGGGATGATATCTACTGGTGTGGCACTGAAGAGAGGCTGGGCCTGCCTCCTCTCCCCTGGGAAAAAGAGAGCCCTGGATAGCTAAGATTCCTTCTCTAATTAGCCGGGGGTGCCTGCCTGTGGTCCCAGCTACTCTTGGGAGACTGAGGTGGGAGGATCGCTTCAGCCCAGGAGGCAGAGGCTGCAGTGAGCCAAGATCGTGCTGCACTCCAGGCTGGGACACTTGGGTTTGGCCCTGCCCCTCCTTACTGCTTCTGCACAGGCTCCTCCACTGCTCACCGAGTCAGAGCTACTGTCCTCAGCTGGCCCAGAGAGGTGAGGAGAAATGGGAGCCGGCTGGCTGATGACAACAAGGGGAGAAGCCTCTCGAGGCCCAGCAGGAGAGGAGCCTGGGTCTCCACGCTCACAAAGGCCATAGGGTGGGAGCCTCATGTCTTCTGGGGACTCGTCCTCTGAGTCTGTCAGAGCTGCCGGGCAGCCTGTAGGAGATGAAGCAGGCAGAGAAGAAAAAAGGATGTGTTGTGAGGAGTTGGACCAGCTGTCTCCTCTGGATGAGGGGTATCATTAGACTAAACAGGGGCCAGGGTCTGGGAAAGAAAAGGCAAAACACATAGAAGGCAAAGGCAGCTCCCAGCAAGGTTACATGGAGCCTTCCTCAACAGCGGGAGGTAGAGTGGGGAAGAGGTGTTACAAGATTGGGGCTACACGGACTCAGCCCCACAGCGGCCTCCTCATCCTCTGTGGTGGCATCCTCATTCCACTTCTCATCTGCCACCTTCTCCAGGCGGGCCTCTAGCTTTCTCATGTACTCTAGCAATTCCTGGAATTGGGAAGGAAAAAGGCAGGTGCTAGAGAATGGGAAGGTGCCAACCTTGCTAGCCTGCAGAAGCTGCACCCAAGAAGAACTCTTAGCTCCTCAGCATTAGATGCCTTCAGCAAAGATTGGGGCAACTTCAGGCAGACACTCCCCCCAGCACCCCTGCTTCACCACTTACATCCCTCCCTTCTCCCAGAGATCATCCGCTGTCCTGCCAAATCAGCTAATAAGAGAAGCCAGGGTACGGGCCCTCTTGGAGAGAACAGTTTCTAAGCCAAGAGATGACAGGAATTTACAAAGTTTCTAGCCCTCAAGTCCTCACCTGTGGCATCCACGGGGCCTGGGTTATGGGTGCTCACCTGTTTCTCCTCCTGTAACTGCTCCTTTTCCTTCTGGAGCACACGCAGGGCTGACCGCAGCTCTGTCAGCTCCCGCTTACTTTCTGACAACTGTACCTGAGGGAAGAGGGCCCAATGGAATCTGGAGCCTAGAATGTACCTCCAAGAACCTGGACTCTGGGACCAGGACCAACAATCTAGAACCAGGTCTCCCCATGCCTCTGCTTCTTCCCTGCTCTGACACACACACACAGGAATTCCCAACACTTCCTCCATGAGTACTTTGTCTTGGGCCACAGATACTCAGTTTTCTAAGTCTTAGTCTCTGCCTCTCGAGTGGGGACCTGCATGACTTCCTCTAGGCTGGGGTGCAGAGGCCTTGGTCATACCAAGGGGCCACTCTATAATTCTCCTAAGTCACCTCTACTGGGCCCAGATGTGTGCCCTGAGAGCAGAAAAAAATGCACATTTCAAACCAATGAGGGCTTGCGTGTGCAAGTGAAATGCCACCCAACATGGTAGTGGACACCTAGCACTTCTGAGCCCATACCCAAGACAGAGAGAAGGGGTATGGATGCCTCAGGAGGCCATAGGACAGGACCCTTGGTGGCTGGATGCCTCACCAGGCTAGAATCCTTCTCCCGGGCCAGCTCAGTCTTGAACACTTGGTTTTGGGTCCTCTCCTCCTGAACTGCCTTCTCCAATCGAAGTATCTCTGCACTCAGCTTCAGGATCTTGTCCTTCTCTGCCTGAGAGATAGCCAAGAAGGAAAATGGGAGGGTGGAGGGGGAAGAAAAAGGAACGCCACTGTCAACAGCACCATCCCTTACTGTGTCCTTTCCTTTATTTAAAGCATCATTTTTAGAGCACTTTCCCCTTTTTGCCTTCATTTCCTATACCCTCTGAATGAAGGACAGGACATGACGGCAGGTGCTGCTTGATCAGGAATGGGCATTATGGCAGGGCCTGGGGTCTAGGACAGAAAATGTTTCTGTTCCAAGGAAGGTACTCTGGTGATCAGGATTGGGATACCCCGGTTAGGGATGGGTCATGCCTAGAAAGTAAAGTGTACCTCCCTCAAAGCCCCTCTCCACCCAAGTCCTCTAAGGTTCTCAACCCCTCTTCTCTCCTCCCAGAGGGTCTGACCACATGTAGGAGTCCCCACAGAGGTGGGGGCAGTGGCCATCAGATTGCCAGGTACCCCCCATCCCTCTACCTCCACACTCTGCAGCAGCCCTGCCCGCTCCTTGCTCCATTGGCATTTTTCTTCCTTCAAGTGCAAACCGAGCTCAGCCAGCCTGCCGTTAACTTCAGCCACTTCCAGGCGGCTGCGGTGTAGTTCGGCTATGGTGCGGTCCCTGGCTGCTGCTGCACTGGCCAACTCCTCCCCAAGAAGGGTGGCTTTCTGCTGGCTTGAGGCTGCAAGCTCCTGGGCCCCTCGAAGCTGCTCCTTCAAGGGCTCCAGCTCGGCCTCAGGAGAAAGGAGGAGATGGAGATCAGAGTTCCTAGTGAATCATTCATCAGCCAGGGAGGTAAACGCTCCCTCCACTCCACTGCATTAGGACTCGGGGTTGTGTTGTTTAGTCTTTAGCCATGTCTCTCCCCTTCTCTTTAGACACGCAGGCTTCTCTACAACTTGCCCTTGGAATTTCCCGTTTCCTGTTGCCAAGGGGCCTCACTCACCACCCGCTGCTGGGCCTGGCCTAGGGTGTCCTTCATCTGGGCCACCTTGTCTTTCAGTCGCTGAGCCTGAGCACTCTGCTCCTCTTGCCAGCTCTTCGCCTCCTTCAGGTCCAAATTTAAGTGATGGTTCTCCTGTTGTGCCACTTGGAGCTCAGCCTGAGGGAAGTGGAAAGCAGGTAAGGAAAGGGGTATGTGTGTTGGGGTGGCTCGGGAGGTGAACCATTGTGATGAGAGAGGTCAAGGTTCCACTTCTCAGATTTAACACACACTCAAGCCTTCAGCTATTGCCAGCCCTTCTTGGGTTCTCAGCTCAAATAACTCAATCCTGCATATCCAGTCTCCAGCTCCCAAATTGAGGTATCCAGCATCGCAGCCTTGGGTCTTCTGTGTAGGCATTCCATGTACCATTTCTGCTACTCTATTCTTTCTCTTAAATCAAAACTCAGTCTTCATGCCCTACAGGCCCCTTAAACTCAACAGTCTACCTCTCACCCCATCCCAGTCTTTCCTACTCTTATTTCCGTCCAGGGTACCAACTAGCTCCCACGTTACTCAGGATGGAGTAACCTGGTGCCCTTGGTGCCATGCTTGGCTCTGTCCTCTCCCTAGCGGCCCACAGAAAAACCTATTGCTTCTCCATCCTGGTCACAGCCATTTTCCCTTCTCTATTACCACCACAACCACGTTATCTCAGACTCTGGTCATTTCTTGCTTGGACTACTGAATAACTTCATAAATAGTTCATTCTCCACAAGGGAATCAGATTATTCTTCTTTAGGTACAGTTCTGATTCTTTAAATACAGTTATTTTCTTTTTTAGAGATAGGGTCTGGCTCTGTCGCCAAGACTGGAGTGAAGTAGCATGGTCACAGCTCACTGCAGCCTCCAACTCCTGGGCTTAAGCAATTGTCTCAACTCAGCCTCCCCAGTAGCTGGGATTATAGGTGTGTGCCACCACGCCTGCCTAATTTTTGTATTTTTTTGTAGAGATGAGACAGGGTCTCACTATGTTGCCCAGGCTTGTCTTGAACTCCTGAGCTCGAGGGATCCTCCTGCCTTCACCTCCCAAAATGTTGGGATTACAGGCGTGGGCCACTACACCTGGCCATAAGTACAGTACACGTCACCCCTGCTTGAAAAATCATCAAAGCCTTTCACGCTTGTGGAATAAAAATGAAGCTCAAGATCCACCACAGTCTAACCTAGGCCTTATCTCAAACACTTCACCCGCACATTCAACTGCCCTGAGTGTTCTGGCCTTTAAGCCTTTGCTCACGTCTTTCTCTGTTCCTAGAATAGCCTCACACTCATCTCTGTCTACTCATATTCTACCTATTCTCACTGCTGAGCAAAGGGTTTTTTAACAATCTTCCACATAAACCCAGGGTACTGAAGAAGGGATTTAGGAGTTCTGCAGATACTTGATTTGAATGTCTTCTAAATTATTAACAATTATGTTAAAAAAAGAAAAACAACACAAGGCCAGGTGCAGTGGCTCATGCCTGCAATCTCGGCATGATTTGGGAGGCCGAGGTGGGCGGATCACCTGAGGTCAGAAGTTCCAGACCAGCCTGGCCAACATGGTGAAACCCCATCTCTACTAAAAATACAAAAAATTAGCTGGGCGTGGTGGCGGGTGCCTGTAATCCCAGCTACTCAGGAGGCTGAGACAGAAGAATCTCTTGAACCCGGAAGGCAGAAGTTGCAGTGAGCCGAGATCGCGCCACTGCACTCCAGCCTGGGCAACAAGATGAAACTCCGTCTCAAAACAAACAAACAAAACAAATAAAACCCATAAAATCACAAGTTAACACACTGGAGATCACCAATTGACATATGTTTCCAGGTTAATTCATTTTTTTGCAAAGCTCAGAATAGTTTCTACTGTATTTTCTATTGAATTGAAGAGTAAACTGAGTTGCAAGGTGGACAGTTTAAAAATTGTTATTTGCACCTACTTGTGTGTGACTCAAGGTGTTCTTGATATTGTACAACCAAAATAAAATACGGAAATACATTAGTTGCTGAGGCTGGCAGAACAGTCTTCGATAGCCTCTCATTTCAAAGTTTGGTATGCCTCAAAATTACCTAAGTGCTTTCATTACCTTTTAAGTAAAGGTTATACATTCAAATTTATAAAAATAAATTTATAGTAATAAAACATTGTTTTTGTTTATTCAGTGAGATTCCACACAAGATTAAAAACTTTATTGGTGGGAGGAGAGGAAAGGGTTCTGCTAAAAAGGTTTGAAAGTACTAGGCCCCACACCCCACCCCTTTTTTTTCTGAGACAGAATCTTGCTCTGTCACCCAGGCTGAAGTTCAGGGGTGCGATCACAGCACACTGCAGCCTTGACCTCCTGGGCTCAAGCAATCCTTCCACCTCAGCTTCCTGAGTAGCTGGGACTACAGGTGCATGCCACCATGCCTGGCTAATTTTTAAAATTTTTTGTAGAGATGGGGTCTCACTACGTTGCCCAGGCTGGTTTTGAACCCCTGGGCTTGAACAATCCTCTCGCCTTGGCCTCCCAAAGTGTTATGATCACAGGTGTGAGCTACCACGCCCAGCCATGGCCCTCCCTTTTTTTTTTTTTTTTTTTTTTTTTGGCACAGAGTCTCACTCTGTTGCCCAGGCTGGAGAGCCGTAGTGTGATCTAGGCTCACTGCAATTTCTGCCTCCCGGGTTCAAGTGATTCTCCTGCCTCAGCCTCCTGAGTAGCTGGGATTACAGGCACCTGACACCACACCTGGCTAATTTTTGTATTTTTAGTAGAGATGGGGTTTCACCATGTTGGCCAGGCTGGTCTTGAACTGACCTCAGGGGATCCGCCTGCCTCTGCCTCCCAAAGTGCTGGGATTACAGGCATGAGCCACTGTGCCTGGCCTCCACACCCATTTTAAAAAGACTTTTCTAATGTCTCTAACAAGATGTGTACTCATACACCTCCCTGGAGCTCCACAATACTTTATTAGATTTCTCTTGAGGCCAGGCGCAGTGGCTCACACCTGTAATCCCAGCAATTTGGGAAGCTGAGGTGGGTGGATCACTTGAGGTCAAGAGTTCGAGACCAGCCTGCCCAACATGGTGAAACCCTGTCTCTACTAAAAATACAAAAGTTAGCTGGGCATGGTGGCACATGGCTGTAATCCCCGCTGCTCAGGTAACTGAGACGTGAGAGTTGCTTGAACCCAGGAGGCAGAGGTTGCACTGAGCTAAGATCGTACCACTGCACTTCAGCACAGGAGACAAAGTAAGACTCTGTCTCCAAAAAACAAACAAAAAAAATTTCTCTTGTGACACTCTTATATTCCACTTTTCCACTCTGACTAATCCTGATTTAGGTATATGTCTTATGTTCCCTAGTAGAGTGCACACAATGTCTTCTTTACATTTTTATTCCCTTTGGTGTCTGGCTCTCGAGAGGGAATCAAACACTGGCTGGACAATGGAGAAAGCAAATCAACTCTGAGCCCCTTACCTCACTTTGCTCCTTGTCTGCTTGTACTTCTTTCAGTTGCCCAAGGAGCTTCTCTTGTTCCCGAGTCAGGGCCTTCACTGTGTCTCTAAGCCTGTGATTGGTGGGATGACATGTCAGACAATCTGCTCCACCCAGAGAAGGAATGGACTCAGGCCTCTGTCTTGTGCTCTGCTGCTGCTGCTCTAGGCCCAGAGCTCCATTTCACTCTGGGATGCATAAATCCCCAAGCCAGCTGATCCAGTTCTAAGCCCCAGGAAACCAAGATTCCAGGTTCTAGAGAACAATTTAGACAGAAATAGTTTTTCTTATCTTTTTGTGTAATATTTTAAGGAATGTTTTGCTGATGGCTCCCATTGTTTTCACTCAATCAAGAGACTAGAATCTAGTCTTTTTGAGACAAGGGCAGTCATTATTGATTATAAACTTTTGATCTAGACCAGAAGTTGGCAGACTCTTTCTGTAAAGGGCCTGATAGTAAAGATTTTATGCTTTGCAGTCCATGTGGTCTCTGTGGCAACTACTCAACTCTGCCATTGTAGTGCAGGACCATCCATTGACAGTATGTAAACGAATGAGCATGATGTTTCAATAAAACTTGAACACAGATTTGAAGTTCATACAACTTTCACATGTCACAAAATATTCTTCTTTTAATTTGTTCTTAACCATTAAAAGATGTAAAAACTATTCTTACCTGTGGGATATACAACAGGTGGCAGGCTAGATTTGGCTTGTGGGCCATAGTTGTTGACCTCTGGTCTAGATAGCCCCTAATCTTTTCCAGATGCTCAATCTGACCACTGCTTTTCTAACCTATGACTTAGAATGTAGACATCTAATATCTCCCTAGGGTGAGACTAACATATCCTGAAGAAGCCTCTCAGACGAACTCACTTATTACTTTGGGCCTTGGATAGAATGCCTCTTTCTTTTAAACAGTTTTTTAAAATATCACACCTACCAGTAGTAAATGAAACATAATTTTGTCATTTAATGAAATAAGGAACTAGAGTGTTTAAACTGGTGAAAATTTGAAGGATGGACATGGGAGGTGGTGGTTAATATTTATGCTACTTGGTAGAGAAAACAATTTTCTGGAAGAAGAAAGAAATTTATTCTGTGTGGCTCCAGAGGTCTCAGGACCCCCTGGTAAGTTATAGGAGAGGAGAGTTTGGCTCAATACAAGAGATACAAAAATGACAGCTGTCAAATGTTAAAGAGGCTGCCTCCTGAGGGTGACCTCTTACATACCCTCATACATATCTTACAATCCCAGTGCTAAGAGTTTATGATTTGCATCTTTTTTTTCCAGGGCAGAGATTCCATAACATTCCTGGATCACCAGTTATAATGTTTCTTAATAGTAAGAACACAGTCTAATCTTATCTTTCCTGTGGCCACATCTGAAATCCATCCTCTCTTATCTTGCACTGACTTCCATCCATTCTCTTCTTCCAAATCCTCCACTCCTAGCTCTTGCTCAGCTTTTGCTGTACAATAAGTGGTAACTATGATTATTTCTGAAGTGGAGGAATACAGAATAGCATTTGGAAAGATGGTAGAGAGCTCGGCAGAAAAGGGTATCCCCAGTAACTAGCTTGAGTGAGGGTGAGAGGGAAAGAGAAAGCGTGTGAGGCAGACAGCAGGTCTGCTTGCCTGAGAGAGGGGGCTGGAGTGCGGGGGTCATGGAAGGGAGAGGAAGTGACGGGGTCAGTGGACTCCCCTCACCTGTCCAGCTCCACTTCCTTCGTCAGCACTTTCTCACTGATGGTCTGGATGTCATCCTCTAGCTCCAGGATGCGTGCCACATGGTCTCCCTGTTGCCGGCTCAGGATGTCCCTCTCTTCTGTGATCTCCCCATGGGACCGGGAAATCCCCTGAAATTAAGTTTCCCCCAGAAGAAAAGGGAGGTTGGGACTCATCTCTCAAGTGGTGGAACAAAGGCTTAGGAAGAGCACACCAGGGTCTGACTGCTTCCACCTGGCTATCACATTGCCTTCCTTGAAAAAGAAACTGTAAGGGAACATTCCCTTACCTATCAACGTGGCCACCTCCACCTTACCCCAGCATTCCTATGTTCAAAGAACTGAGTCTCATTACACGTTTGGAACATGTCTCTTGTCACATCAAGTTTAATCCCAGCCACTACCCCTTAAACCTATTTCCTTGATGCCAGAACCATTGTAAAAGCCCACTAACATCTCTCCTTCACCCTCTTCACTGGGTTCAGATTTTGGATGCTGGGTGAGCAGCCAGGCCCTGTCCCCTACCTGGCCCAGCTCCCACCTTGTACTGTTCCATCAGCTCCGTGTGCTCCTGCCTGGCAGTTGCCAGAGCCCTCTCGAGCTCCTGCACTCGGCTCCTCAGCTCTGTCACCTGTCCCTCCAGCTGTAGCTTCAGCTGCATCAGGTCATTCCGTTCTTGCTGGCTCTCATCGAGCTGGTTCTACAGGCAGCAGAAGGAGAAGGGGAGTGTGCTGGTGGAGTACCCCTTCTAAGGTCCCATCCTCACCACTCTCCAGGTGCATTTTGGGTTTGGGAAGTTACATAGCTTTGGGTTATAAAGAGGTGAGGAAGGGGATGCTCAGTGTGCTACCGAATCCCGTCCACCACCCAGTCAGATGCACCAGCTCATGGCACTCTGAATTGCCCATCTCTCTTACCCCTCCCCACTCTAGGCCTGGCCCTTTCCTCATCCAGCAATTGCAGGAATCCCTCATGTGGCACAAGTCAATGAACACAGACACAAGGGATGGGTCCCCTAATTTTACCCTATCTGCTCTGGAGTTGGACAGACTTGGGTTCAAATCTTCAGTGCAATTTTTACTAGCTATGTGATTTTTTTTAAAGATAGGGTCTCACTGTGTTGCCCAGGCTGGAGTGCAGTGGCTAGCCATAGGTGCAACCATAGCATACCATACCTCAAACTCCTGGCCTCAAGCCATCCTTCCACCTCAGTGTCTCCCCCAGTAGCTGGGACTACAGATGCATGCCACTACACCCAGCTAGCTATGTGATTTTGAACAAGCTTCTTAACTTCTCTAAGTCTCTGTGTCCTCATCTGTAACATGATCCCTTAGTCTGAATTGTTGTAAGGCTCAAATGAGAATCACGATTGTGAAACCGCAACAGAGAGTAGGAGCTCACACATCTTTCACTTACGTGAGATATAAACATCTTCCTGGGTGACAGAGCAAGGCTGTCTCAAAAAAAAAAAAAAAAAAGAAAAGAAAAGAAAAGAAAAACCCAAAAAACAAACAAAAAAACCCCAAACAGTATCATTTCAACATGTAGTCAAAATAAAAATTATTGAAGTCTTTTACATTCTCTTTAAAAAATACTAAGTCTTCAAAATCTGGAGTATATTTTACCCTTATAGTACATCTCAGTTTGGATTAATTGCATTTGAAGTGCTCAAGAGCCATATATAGTTAAGAGCCTTTGGTATTGGACAGTACAGGTCTGGGGCCTTGCCTATCTGCTCTCACTCCCCACTCGTCCTAGAAGCAGGTCCTGTGCTCCCCTTTCTCTGAATGTTCCCTGGAGTAGCCTCTCTCCACCCTTTGATCTTCCTCTAGGGCATAGGGCAGGATGCAGTGCATGGAGAAGGAAGGCTGCAAAAGTTCTTATGAAATCCTGAGTTACACTGGCCTGTGGGTGGTCTCCTTTCCTGCCTTACATGTTCGTGTATGTCTATGTTAGACTGAGACTCTCCTGGAGGCAGGACTTTGTCTAACTTTCAACGAGGTCTTTAGTTGGCGCCACAGATGAGGGGAGGGTAAGGTGGGAAGGGTCCTCTTGCAATGCTGTCTCCCACTCCCTTGTCTGGGAATAACTCTGTTGCTCTTTTCTCACCTGTAACACAGTTGCCTTGGGGACAACCAGCAGGATGTCAGAGCCCCCATCAGCCTCCTCCAGGGTCACCAGTTCATCCATGGGCCTTGGCTCTCGGAACTGGAAAGGGGGGCTCTGCCCACACACCTGGCCCTGGCGGTTCACATATCGGAACTGGTAGAGCTGAGCTCCTGGTTTGGGCAGGTAGCTGGCTGTGGGAAGAAGAATGGACCCAGGACCCCAATAATCCACTGTCCTTGGCCCCAGCCCCTTGCTCGGTGTTCCATATACTGTTTCTTCTCTTCTCCACCTCCCACAGGCCATACTCTTCTCCCTCCTTTCTGCCTGTCCCTCTCCTTCCTTTCTTTCCCAAACCCACTGCCCCTCTATCATAATCATAATAATGCTAGTTACCATGTAGTGAGTGCGTACCATGTACCAGACACTGTGGTAACACTTTTTATTTTATTTTATCTTGAGACAGAGTCTTGCTCCATCGCCCAGGCTGGAGTGCAGTGGCGCGATCTTGGCTTGTTGCAACCTCTGCCTCCCGGGTTCAAGAGATTCTCCTGCCTCAGCCTTGTGAGTAGCTGGGACTACAGGCATGCACCACCACGCCTGGCCTGCAGCTTTCATTTTAAATCCTCGTAATGTCCCTATAAGCCAGGCATCCCCTTTTACTGTTAAGATAACCGACACAGGGAGGTTATGTAATTTGCCCAAGGCCAAACAGCTTGTAAGTGTTAGAGGTGAGATTTGAACCCAGGTCTTTCCCTCTTCTCACCACATAATTCTACCTTTCCCTCTTCCTTACTCCCCCATTTTTCCTTCTTTGGGTAGGACAGGGGACTAGATGCCCTCTGAAGTTCCTTCTGTTTCTATGTCCCTGATTCTGCGATAATCCCGTGATTCTCTATCCGCTGAGCGCTGTTGGATATATTCTCATTATATTTATTTTCGTTTATTTTTCCTTGTCCTTTGTGCCTAACTTTTAATGTTTCTGAGCCCACTACCTTCTTTCAAACCTCCACTCCCTTGGCTCCTCTCTCCCAATTTTCCATCTTCCCTTGTACCTTGGAACTGGACACTGGTGTGAATGGGGGAACCATCAGTTGTACTTTCAGGCACGGAAGACCACACAAATGTGTGGTAATCCCGAACACAGGCAGCCTCCACCTGTGAAAGCCCAAGGTTGGAGAAAGGTATGGTCATGGAACTACCTTCTATGGATGGAAGAAAGGGCTGAGGGGTTGAATAAGGGGGGCAGGATGGAGCTACAGTGGCAACAATGACAAGAGAAAGGGAAAGTGGAGGGACACTAATGTGTCAGTAAAGAACAAGGCTAAGATGGAGAAAATATGTGCTTTGGTTATACAGGCGGCCTCTGTCATCTGTGACATCTTTCTCTCTTCTTCTCTATCAACCTGAGGTTGAGAATCCAAGAGCCCAATCATTCCCCTTATTCCAACCAACTCACAGCCCATAAACCTAAGCCAAAAGGGGTTCCAGAGATACCTTGAAGATGCCAATCCAGTCACTGGCACTGGGCATGGTGCCTGGGGGAAGGGTGTAGTGACATTCCACCTTGGTGTTGGGGATGTAGGTCCGGGCTACATTGAGAAAGTTGACTCCACCACGGGATGGTGCCCGGCTTAGTGGTGATTCTTCCATCCTGGCCTTGAGATATCTGTCCTCCTATGAAAGAAAGGGTTGATAGCCTAAAGTCTTTCCAGTCCACCTCCTTCCCCCCACAGCTCCAGCACCACACACTCACAGCCCCTGCCACTACACCTGGAGATAAGGCATACCTGGTTTCTAGTCCCTGAGGGTTACGGGACATTTTTGAGGTATCACTCTTAGTCTCTAGGACGTAGGTCTGGCCTTCCAAGTCCGTCCCCATCCTGTCTCACACTGTACCCGCTCTGGCTCATAGACCCTTCTGAGGGTTCAGACTTCTCTAATTTTGCTCCCAAAAGGACACTGACGGGGACAGAGCCTGGGATACTGCGACTTGGTCGACAGCCTCCATTTCTCCATCCCATCTCCCACACATCCTGGCTCTTGAATACAAAATCCAACTGAGGTGTGGGGCCCTCTCATTGAGAGAGGTGTCCTTACCTACTCCTAAGCTTGTTGACCCAGCTGTATCCAGGAATGAGTTATGACATCAGAAAGCAGCAACTAATCTCTGAAAGGAATGGTTGAGTTTTCAGAGCTAGAATATGGCTGGGGGTCGAGGGGAACTGAGCCCAAATCCTTAGGCTCCTGAGCTCTCAGCTCTTTTCATCTCTCTGAGCTGCCTACCCCCATGAATTCTAGGGAAGCAGAAAGCTTCTGCTGGCATCCAAGAGACAAAGGGAAGGGGAGGATATAAGGAAAGACAGGTTCTGTCCCTTGACTTATTATTCCAGGAAGTCAAGAATTCTGGAGGCGGCAACTTCAAGGGTGGAGTGAGGCGCTTAGCAGGAACGTGGTGGGGGTGGGGAGATGGAATGTGGGGGCCTGGAGCCAGGAAAGCCCCACCCCAGGGCAGGGAACAGACTAGAAAGTGGGAAGTAAGGGGCCCCAAGAAGTGGAAATGTATATTTAACGTTGAGGAAAGGGGAGATAGTTCAAAAAGAACCTAACATTCTTCTCTCCAGACTGTGCCTGCAGCAGGACTAGAAACCTACTGGTTTCACTTTAGTATTTCTCTCCTCATTTTCTCTCTGCTCCCCTCAGCCTCCATCCTTCCATCTGTTTGTATTGGTAGCTGGAGACACACTACAGGATGGGGTTGAGAGGAAGGGGTGTTCCAAGTTAGCTGGGGAGAGTTAATTGGAAAATATGAGGGTGGGGTGAGGACAGATAACAATAATAACGATCAAAAGAACTCCTCAGTCCAGGGCTGTGAGATGGCCCTCTTATTCATCACTCCTTTCCAGCCCACTAATCTATTTCCTGTGTCACTCACAGCTGACATGTCCAACCAGCCATTGTCACTAGTCATATGCACGCCCCCAAACATCACAAACCCACACCAGGCTGAAGTCCAGGGGACAGGAACTTTAAAAGAAAACAGAAACTCAGTGGATAAAGGTGAGCCAGCAACACAAAAAGGAGCAACTTCTGTCCCCCAAATAGGTAGAACAAAAAGTTTTTTTTAATGTTCATCTCCCTGAAAAATTCCTGGTTGAAACTAATCCATGTTTTCTCCAAATGCAATTCTTCCAGCTTTCTAAGGGTGGGGGTAAATTGTCCCCAAAGATATACCTGGAGAACCCTAAAATACACCCCACAAAGAAAATCCGTAACAGCTGTAAACGTTCTTCATGTCCGAAAGAAAGTTTTGGGCACCTAAGATGTAGGTGTGTAGCCTGATTCAGATGTTCACATGATGGGGCGGAGAGCGGGTGTCCCATCCCCTACTCTGTAGGGCTCTAGAGTTCCTTGACATTCTACACCTTGGAAGGTCCCCCTTCCTCCCCAGGGATTCAGCGTCGTAAAGGCCTTTGGATTTGCGTAGGGGAGAGAGGGAAGACGTGTAGGGGACACGTCTTGCCTGGGAGCGAATAAGCAGATTTCAGCTCCCTTGAAGGGATCAGCTTTATAGAGACGCATTGAGAAGAAGGAGAGGACGACGAGGGGGCGCCCCCCACCCCCAATCAGAGTCCCCTTGAAACCAAGAACTCCCCAAACAGCGGGGGTGGCTTCTCCAGTACGGAAAGGGTTACAACCCAAACGCTCCTGTATTCCCCTTCGACAGTTCCCTTACGTTATCCTTCCCCAAACTGGAAAGTGGGGTGACCCTCCCCTCCCATAAGATCGCCCCCAATTAGGCCAAGTTTCTTACCCAACAGACGGATCAGCTGTTCCCCTCACCTTTCACCAACAACAAAAACAGCACTCCGACTTCTGGAGGGGAGGGAGAAGAGTGGGCGCGAGGGCTTCTGGGGTTTGTGGTTCTTCTGCGCCCTTTTGCCGCTGCGTGCTCGGATCTAGGACTATACATCCCAGAAGGCTGCGCGCAAGGAGGGCGGGGAAGAGGGCGTCCGTGACGGCGGCCTCACCGCGGCATCCTGGGAGGCGTAGTTCTCACTCCTATGACAGAAAACGAGGGTGTGGCCAGCAAAGGACTTCAAGGCCCATGATCCCTTAGGAGGGGGCCGGCTGCATTAGGGGTGGCTGCTGGTTTGTAACGTGCGTTGTTGGGGGCTGGGGAGGATTTACGGCTCTAAAGCCTTCCATATAACGCTTTAACGGTGGGCAGAGCGGTTTCTGTTGCGTCCCGTCCTGTACTTTTCGCACCCACCTGTGAGATAGGCGTTAAGCGTTATGCACGCTTTATAGATGTAGAAAGTGAAGTACGGTTAAGGAGGCGGTGTGAAGTGTCAAAGCTATGAAATGTAGAACTGCATTAGCCTTGGCTAATTCCACGTCATATATTCTTGCCACTACACCACAGCTACCCACCATTTTGGGGATGGGAAACTGATAGCTGGGGTATAGCAGTTTCTTCTTTACTTCAATCTCAGGGACAGACCTTGTAAGAATGATGTCTTCTGCACAGCTGACCATTTTTTTCCAACTTGAGGATTTCAGTGCTAAGGGGCCTGACCATATCCACATCTGGACTGGGCTCCCCCAGAGTGGCTTCTGGGTCTAGGAAGAGGATACAATTGACTGAGGTGGTGGTAGGAGCGGTGGAATGAGAAGAATGAAATTGAAAAGGGAGCTTGGCATAATTCAGGACCTGTCACAATTCACAAACAAGCCACTTATGGGGCCTGTTTGCCCAAGCCTTTTAAGTGGCTTAAATTAATTAGGATAACAATACATGTTGACGTTCCGGTTTTTATTTAGGAGAGGTGAAAGATTGACACGTCTCCCACACCCCAAGTCACGTTATAGACTTGGGCATCCTGTCCCCCCTCTCGCTATTCTCCATCCCTGTAGTCGGAGGCATTCAGAATTACCTCTTTCTCTGGCTCTGCATTAAAGGATTACAGTCTTAAGGATTGATTTCCTCTTCCTAGGTGCCTGCTTTAATTCTCTACTGCACTAAGTTATGGAGCTTCTGCCTTTTCCAAGTTTTTTGGTAGTGTTTTGCTTTTATGACTGAATGCGGTGTCTGCCCTCAGTGTCTTTCATCTGAAGATCTCCAGGCACTTAAAAATTAGTTACTGGGCTGCACAAACATTAAGGTGATGTGTCTGTGTCATTAGTCAGGATTTATGAGTTAGGGAACCAGTTTCTGGATGAGGAGGTAGCTCAAGGTCTGGAGTGGGTTAAGAGTGAGGTCTGTTCAAGGACCCAAGTCTCAAGAGTTCTTGGCTCTTGTCTTCCGCCCAAAATAAAGGTCTACGAGAAAACAGTCTCGGAGCTAAAAATGGTAACAACTTCCATTTCTTGGGTGCTTATGATCTGTTCAAACTATGCTAAGAATTTTCCCATTTAATACAACAGGCTTATGTAATACGCCTTGTTATTATCCCCATTTTACACATGATGAGATTGAGGCACAATTAATGACTTGCCTGGAGTCATCCAGCTAGTGAGTGGCAGAATCAAGATTTAAGCACAAGCAGTCACCATACTCCCAGTCCAGAAACTCTGGCATGTGATACTAACTCCCATTGTTCTAAGGAACAGTGCTGGTTCATTAACAGGAGACAAATGTTCACTGAGCATTTATGTGCTCAGTGCAAGGCACAAAGTAATGTGAAACAGATTCATTCAACAAATATGTGGCAGGTACTATGCTAGGTATTCAGTTACTTTTATTGAAAGAATGAATAGTAAATATTCATTATTTTAAAATAATATATGTAATTCATTATTTTAAAATAATAAATGTAATTCATTATTTTAATTATAGTCATTACTTTCAAATATTCAAGTATTTGAAGGATAGATTAAATTTGGATAGTTTGGCAAGATGGGGACTGGGGAGGGTAAGCTTCTTCTAGGCCAAAGCAAAGATTTGGAGGTGGGAATGGATAATGAGCCTAGAGTCACATAATAGCACATCAATTTCAACCTTTATTTATGTATTTAGGCAAACTCAGATTATTGGTAATGTCTGCCTGAAATGTTGTGTTGAGGATTCTGAGGAAAGAGTGCTGGGTAGTAATGTCTGCCATGTACTCCAGATGGAAAATGGCAGTTGTAGTGGATGGACTAATTGTTTGAAATTATTTCCTCTCTCATTCCTGCCCACTGCCATGTGACTTGCAGTATCTCCTGTAGAAGGAATAGATGTCTCATGTCATTGACTTTGGGCTTTGTCATGTTTCATAATTTGGCTGATGGGATGTGAACAGATGTGACTCATGCCATGTTTGAACACATGAGTTTCCACTTTCTTGTTCTTCTCTGCCACTAGAATGGGAATAATCCACATGAGAGTTGCTCCTTCTGCCTGGGCCTGGGAATGAGAAGACCTGTGGAGCTGAGCTACTGCTTACCCACAACCTGCATATACATAAATCAGAAGCCAGCACTGGTTGTTGTGAGTCGCTTAGATTTTGGGGTAGGTTGTGATTGCAGCAAAGCTGAATAAAAGCTACAGTTGGAGGCCAGGCGTGGTAGCTTGCTCCTGTAATCCCAGCACTTTGGGAGGCCAAGGTGGGCGGATCACTTGAGGTCAGGAGTTCAAGACCAGCCTGGCCAACTGGTGAAACCCCATCTCTACCAAAAATACAAAAATTAGCCAGGTATGGTGGCGCGTGCCTGTAATCCCGGCTACTTGGGAGGCTGAGGCAGGAGAATCGCTTGAACCCAGGAGGCAGAGGTTGCAGTGAGCCAGAATGGTACCACTGTTCTCCAGCCTGGGCAACAGAGTGACACTCTGTCTCAAAAAACAAAACAAACAACAACAACAACAACAACAACAACAAAAAGAAGCTACAGTTGGATAATTGGATAATGGAAGATAAAATTGGAAAGACAGACTTAAGCCAGAGTATAGAGAGTTTTGAATGTCAAGTGAGCCAGAGCCTATGTGTTTATCAGAACCTGTTTCTTTCTTTTTCTTGGACACACAGCTGTACCACATTTTTTTATTTTTTTATTTTTATTTTTTATTTTTTTATTTTTTTGAGACGGAGTCTTGCTCTGTCGCCCAGGCTGGAGTGCAGTGGCGCCATCTCAGCTCACTGCAAGCTCCGCCTCCCAGGTTCATGCCGTTCTCCTGCCTCAGCCTCCCAAGTAGCTGAGACTACAGGTGCCCGTCACCACACCTGGCTAATTTTTTTGTATTTTTGGTAGAGACGGGGTTTCACCGTGTTAGCCAGGATGGTCTCGATCTCCTGACCTCGTGATCCGCCCGCTTCGGCCTCCCAAAGTGCTGGGATTACAGGCAAGAGTCACCGCGCCCGGCCTAGCTATACCACATTTTTAAGCTTCTCCTTTAATTAATGTGTTCCATTTTCAAGTCTGGCCCATAAAACCCTCCAAAAAAGTTCCTTCCTATTTTTTTTCCTGTCTAGCTTGATGAAGATGACCTTAGGCACAGTGACCCTGAAGGCCACATGTTAAAGACAGTGGAGCCACAGGATGGAAGGAAGCTGGTTCCCTGAATCATCACGTGGCAGAGAGCGGACCACTAATCAGGATCATGTGTTTCAGATTTCACTTGACCAATAAATCAATTTCAATTTTGTTACACTGCTAAAATGGGTTTATTTTTTATAGTAGCTACTGTTTTCCTCATCAATACATCATGTACAAAGGTTTGGACTTCACTCCCATCAGGAATGGGAAGTTAGTCACTGAAGATTTTTTGAAAAAGGGGAATAATACTGTGAAGACAGGTGGAAGTTACAGTTATTGGGATCAAAGAATATTTCTGAGTGAGAGTGGGAGATTTGGGGACTGTTGTTTTTTTTTTAAGAATATAGTTTAACTCGTCTGGGGAAGGGAGATGACTGCCATGATTGTCGAAGGGCTCCGTAGAACTTGGGAAGGAGCTGCTGAAAAGTGAATCCATTTCCCTGAAATGTTGTCTCTTTTCTCTTTTGCAAAAGTCCTAATTCTGGTATTGCCTCATGTAGTTCGGTGCCCACCACATAATAAATGTTTAATGGAAGCTGGCCCTGGACTCTGGGAATGCTTTGAGGAGCTACCACTAGTTGAGTGCCTACTATGTGAGAGGTGCTCTTTCACCCATTGAATCATCACAATAACTGTGCAAGGTGCTATCCAGATTTTACAGATGAAGAGACTGAGACTTTAAGAGTAACTTACTGGCTGGGCGCGGTGGCTCATGTCTATAATCTCAGCATTTTGGGAGGCCAACGCCGGCAGATTGCTTGAGCACAGGAATTAGAGACCAGCCTGGGCAACATGGCAAAACCTGTTTCTACTAAAAATACAAAAATTAACCAGGTGTGGTGGTGCACACCTGTAGCCCCAGCTACTCGGGAGGCTGTGGTGGGAGAATCACCTGAGCCTGGGAAATCAAAGCTGCAGTGAGCCATGAATGCACCAACTGTACTCCAGCCTGGGCGACGAGAATGTGACCGGTCTAAAAAAAAAAAAGCCTCTAAGAACAATCTTATTCTGAAACCTATACCTTTCCCAATATAACAAGATGCTTTCTGAGAAAATAATGATGGCCAGTGTTATTAATAGTACTGAGTGTCTGCCATGTATCAGGCACTCTGCTGGGTGCTTTACAAACACTCAGAAGCAGCTCTATCAGATATTGTAGGCTGTTCTGAATGTTTCCAAACTGTGGACTCTGTGGGAAGTAGGAAAAACATTGATGTAATTTTAGCGCAAAGTTTGATATCCTTGGGGCTTTTCTTTAAGGTCTCCGGCCCATTTTCTTTTGTCCTCTTAGTTCCTTGGTTGACCTAGGGCTGGGTGGAAGAATGGTTTAGAGTTCTCAACTATACTCAGGTCTGCAGCTCCTTCACTCCGCAGACCCGTCAACCCACTCTACTATCAAAGTGTTCAGATCATATTATTATTATATAATTTTTATCAATGAAAAAAACCAAAGTTCAGAAAGATTAAATAACTTGAGCAAAGCCACATAGCTAGTATGAGGTTTATTTATTTATTTTTGAGAGAGAGTCTTACTCTGTCACCCAGGCTGGAGTGCAGTGGCATGATTTCAGCTCACTGCAAACTCTGCCTCCAGGGTTCAAGCAATTCTCCTGCCTCAGCCTCCCGAGTAGCTGGGATTACATGTGCCTGCCACTATGCCTGGCTAACTTTTGTATTTTTAGTAGAGACGGGGTTTCACTGTGTTGGCCAGGCTGGTCTCGAACTCCTGATCTCAAGTGATCCGCCCGCCTTGGCCTCCCAAAAAGCTGGGATTACAGGCATGAACCACTGTACCCAGCCCCTAGTATGAGATTTAAATCAAGAATTCCTGACTCGAGAGTGCTCTCCTATGCCCTCTGCCAGTCCAAATTCGACAGTGTTACAAGTCTGTTTTTTTGCCATTTTGGCCTCATTACCTTGATTCGTGTATTAGAATAGATATAACAGCTGCAACAGACAACCCCCAGATCTCAGTGTCTTAACATGATAAGAATTTATGTATCACATAAGTCCAATGTGGATATTTGTGGTCAGGTGACTCAAGAATCCAGATCTGTTCATGCTGTGGATCTGCCATCTGAAATATGTGGCTTCAGATTGCCCAGGTGTCACCGCCAGCAGATGGGGAAGAGCGAGCATGTGGAGAAGGCACACACTAAACTTTCACAGCTTGGGAGTAACACATTACTTCCACTTATATCCTATTGGTGAGAACCCATCATATGGCCTCATATAATAGGGGCTGGAGATAGAATCTAGTCTTGTGCCCATTCCATGCTCTATCAACATGGGTTGAATCAACATTCTAGAATCAGTAGAGTTGTCCTGGGAGAAGAGATACCTCTGATGAGAAGACTTTTGATTCTAATCTGGCCACATGCTCATACCTCTATTAGTGTCACATTTATTCCACTGAAATTTATAGAGCATCAACTTTGTGAATCACACATAAGCAAAGATCCCCTGCTGAAGAAAGACTGGAATTCAGCCAACCAAAATGTTGGTGGGGCATAAGGCCACAGGCTGATTGGTCATGAATGTGGCTGATTTCCCTCAAGATAGTGTTATTCATATGGTTATAGGGTTTCTTTATTTTTATTATTCTATTGATAAAAAGTTTGAAACTTTTTACCCTGTCACAAAATAAATAGCTGTGTGTTGTGGTCACAATTTAAGTAGCTGATTTAATGTACTTTGCAATTCTATCAGCTTTCTGGCAGTTTCAAAATACTTCTCTCTGGGAAACTGTGTGTCTTGGCCTGTCCCCTATGCTTCTCTGGCCTCCCTAGCGCTATGGGAATCGGGGGAAGCGGGGAGGTTAACCCTGGAGCCTGAGAACGCAACAAGGAAGCAGCTCAGTTATCTTGCTAAGACCTGTCTCTCGTCTGCCACAGAGAATGCAGCAAATTGGATAGACACAGAGATATTTAGGAAGTAGCATGCAGGATGTGGGCAATGAAGGAAACAGGACATTTTGATTTTTGAAGTAATGATTTTGAATGTCTGTAGACATGTGATGCTAAAAAAGTTAAACTTTTAGCTTAAAAAAATCACTTAAGGGGGTCAGGTGTGGTGGCTCATGCCTGTAATCCCAGGACTTTGGGAGGCTGAAGTGGGAGGATTGCTTGAGCTCAGGAGTTCAAGACCAGCCTGGACAACATGGCAAAACCTTGTCTCTACAAAAAATACAAAAATTAGCTGAGCATGGTGGCGTATGCCTGTGGTCCCAGCTACTTAGGGGCTGAGGTGGGAGGATGACTTGAGTCCAGGAGGTCGAGGCTGCAGTGAGCTGTGTTTGCATCACTGTACTCCAGCCTGGGTAACAAAGTGAGACCCTGTCTCAAAAAAGAAAAAAAAAGTCACTAAGTCATTTAATACATGCAACAGGCTCCCATGTCTCATCCTAACCTGAAGGAAGGGTCATGGCTGATCCCAGGGTACTGGCTTGGGCATCTGAGTGGATGCAGTCCTTCCCTGAGAGGGGACGTTGGCAGAAGGAGTAGGTTTATTTATTTATTTATTTATTTATTTATTTTTGAGACGAAGTCTCGCTCTGTCACCAGTCTGGAGCGCAGTGATCTCCGTTCACTGTAACCTTACTGTAACAATCGCTCAGGTTCAAGTGATTCTCCTGCCTCCACCTCCCCCAGTAGCTGGGATTATAAGCGTGCGCCACCACGCCCAGCTAGTTTTTGTTGTTGTTGTTGTTATTTTTAGTAGAGACACGGTTTTTGACCAGTCTGGTCTCAAACTCCTGACCTCAAATGATCCACCCGCCTCAGCCTCCCAAAGTGCTGGTATTACAGGTGTAAGCCACCGTGCCCAGCCAGGAGTAGGTTTACAGGTGGGCATGGGTAAGGCTGGCATGGGGGGGGTTGCTCTCCTTCTGGACAAAGAGGATTTGAGGTACATCTGAGTCTCCAGAAAGCCTTTCCTTGTATCGTGGATCCCAACCTTCCTGGCCATCTTTGTGTAGTTCCAAACTTGCTCTTAAGGGATAAGACGGAAGATAGTTTAGAAACCTACGTGCTGGGAAAAACAGTCCAGCTAATCATATAGAGTGTGTGTGTGTGTGTGTGTGTGTGTGTGTGTGTGTGTGTGTGTTTGTATTAGTACCAAGAGGAGCTGGTTCGGGATTGCAAAGGCAATAGATGTTCATCTGCATTCCACATAACATTTGTGCATTCCACATAACATTTGTATATTAATTAGCTCACATAAAAATGCATGCAGACCTCCCAAGTCTCAGCCCCTCTCCTAATAGAGGAGTCATTCTTATTATTGTTTCTGATTGTACCCCCACAATCTAGTTTTGCTGTTGGTGAGGTTGGGCTAGTCATTCTTGAAAATAACTGGTTGTCCTCTCTTGTTTGTGGTGACTTCCTTTGTGCCTGGGTCAGTGTTGTAGGGGTGGGAGCGGCTGTTGAAGGGTCAGAGATTGACTTAGTCTGGTCTCAGGGGGTGTCCTCGTCTGAATCTATCTGAGTCCCTCTTTCTGTTTCTCTCCACTCACAGATTGTGTGGCATTTTGGAAGGTGGAGTGCCTGGGCACCTAGCCCACCACTTCCCGCCCCAATCTGGCCCTGGGCACAAGCCACATGGTGCTGGCCATCAGCCTGGCCTCTTGCCCATCTATTACAGCCTCAGCTGCCAGGCTGGCACAGGTGCTAAAGGAACTAGGCCCTGCCCTCCCCCAGTGCTGTTCCTGGGGCCTAAGCAGGAGAGAGTCAGATGGGGAGAGCACACTCTGGAGTGGGAGGCCAAGTCCAACATCCCTTAATGGTGGAAGGGAGGTGTCTGTGCCTTAAGGAGTACTGCTGAGGTACTATAGTAGTGGAAGAAGACCAGCTGCTTAACATGTGCATGGGCAGGGGACAGTGTTGGGAGGAGACAGGAGCGGTTGCTGTGGTGTGAAGGAAGACTCCCCACTAGGTCCTAGGAGATGTTTCTTCTCCTCCTTCCATGTCTATGACTATACAAAGCTTGAGAGACTTGCATATGTTTCATACTTGTGGGCATATTCCCAGGTGGGAGTGTGGGCAGGGATTCCAGTACTATGGGGAGGGACCTGTAGCTATGCCCAGGTAGCACTGAGGTGGACTTGGAGTGAATACTGTATCTCAGGACAGATGACTCTGTCCCATGTGACAGTGTCACCCGTGAGACTGCTAATGGGCCACAATATAGACGTACACGCATTGGCTACGGCATGGGATCTTTCGCCCCTTGATACGGGACATGTGACTCTGCTATATGGGGCACCATATACTTGGACCCACCCTGGTTGTGGAAGACATGAACCCTCATTTCTGATGACAGTGGCCAGGTCTGGGTGTAGACTGGATCTATGTATGGGCAGTGAGGGATGGGGTGAACGCTGTCTTTGTGAATGCTGTGTCCGTGGGGAGTGCTGGTCATGCCTTGCCTTTACACCCATGTGAATGGCATGTTCAAATATGTGAATACCCTGGAGAGATGTTGGGTGGTGAGGGGGTGGGAAGCCTGAAAAAGATGTAGAATTTATGAGCTGCTTTTGTCGGGAGACAGTCGTAATGAAGAAAATTCAATTTTCTGCAGCTCAGAGAGTCAATATGTTAAATCTCGGAGAAGCTGTGGAGTGACAGCAGAATGGCAAAGTCAATGGGACGTGTGTGGGAGGGAAGCCGTCTATCTGTGTCTGCAGTGAGGCCGCCTCCTCTCTGTACCCTTGAACTGCAGCTGAGGAACAGGATGGCACCAGATACCTGAGTTCCTGGAACTTCCCCTTTTTCCCTTCCTCTTCCACCTCACAGGCCATTTTCCCTTGGCTGCTTCTTGTAGGAAGAAAGGCTGTCCTTTGTCAGGTCCAATTCTACCATTGCAATGGCCTCATCAGGAAGTCCTTCTTGTAGTCCACCAGCACACCCTCTTATTGCAGTTACTAATTCCATAGTGTCTGTTTACAGCCTAAAGTGATTTGTAGGAGAATTCTTCTTTCTAACTTTTCAGTCCCACTCTCACCTCAGCTACTCCATGGCTGGCCTCCTGTTCCCCAGCGTTTCAACTTTTCCCCATCTAGTCTTCACATCCTCCCTTCCAGCCTCCTGTTCCCAGAGGCAGGAGTGTAGGGGAAGGTGGGAGGAGGGAAGTGGGGATTCTTCTGTAAGCCACAGTGTCACCAGGAGCCGTGATTAGCCGAGCTGCTAGCTGTGTAATTGGCATGTGCCGGCGTCCCGGGGGTCTGGTATGTTAACAGCGGGTCCCTGTGGTGAGTAACGAGATTGTGCCTACGGCTGGTTGCACACGCTAATTAATTAGTGCTCCTCTGGTGTTGAGGAATGAGGAGGAGCTGGGGGAGTTTGTGATGAGGGTGTCTCAAAGCCTAAGAGGCCAGCTCTGCAGAGCCCAGAGGTCACCTAAAGTCCTGTTGGAATGGGAGCATTCAAGCTGCAGTCCAGGATTAAGGGTGACAGTGAAGGTCAGAGATCTAGGGGCCCCGGCCGAAGACAGGGTGTGTGTGGGATACAGCCTCTTGGTTGTGGGTGTCCTGTGTCCTGGGCTGGGCTGGATAGAGGCAGAGGGAAGGGAGGACACCCCCGACTCCCGTGCAGCTTAGGGAGGTCTCCAGGCCCAGGGCCTATCTCACAGCATCCTTTCCCCAGGTGGCCCAGAAAGGAAGGGAGTAGAAGGGGAAGGAGGCATGTCAGATGCCTCCAGCCTCATTCCTGTCCCCTCTGCCTGCCCTCTCCTCACTCAGGCCAGCTTCTGTCAGCCATTGCATACTCATTACATGCTCACTGCGTGGACAGAGCTCCAAAGGGCTTTGGGGCTCCTCTCACCTTAACAATCACTGCTTTCCCCTTGCTGCCCATGCAGGCACCCAGGCTTCTTAGCCGCTGGGTTAACTTTGGGGTCCAGAAGCCTATTCTGAAACCGGGGGTCTGGAACCCAGATATTTGAGGAAAATACCGTGGAAAGCCTGAAGAAGTGGCAGTAGGGGAGAAGGTTGGGAGAGAACCCCACAGCCTCCCAGTACAGTACGGTCACTTAGAGCAGCAAGAAGGCTGAAGGTGAGAGGGGAAGGAAGGACTCCCAGTGAGCAAACAGACTCTACCTCGTGTTTTCTGAGGCAGAAAACCTAGGCCTGATGTCGAGAGGGGTCAGGATGAAATGGGACCCCGAGCAGGAGATCCCCTCCGCCTGAGTTTTGGGATTCAGCGAGGTGTGGCGGGGGAAGGGGAGACAAAATAGAGAAAACAGGCAGCAAATGAGATGAGACTGCGGCGGGGAATCTTTGGCTTCCATGTGGAGGCGCGAGTCCCGTTCCCGCACACGGTAATTGCTAAATTACCCGCCATCTGCTCCGCTCTCAGACATAAATTACCTGCGAGGAGGAAAGACGCAGAGGCTGCGCACTTTCCTTCCTCTCCCCCAGACCCGCGCAAGGCGCTGAGGGGGTCCTCCCTCCGGCAAAGGCGGAGGGACGGCCTGACAGGAACAGTGTGCACTTGCCTCTGTCCTCCCCCGAGGGACAGTGGCCTGGGGTGACCGAGAAACCTGGCCCTCCCAAGGTCCCCGGGCTGCCAAGGAGGACCCTTCGGCCTTAGGGCGGAGCCTCCCCCGCCGCTCAGGGGAGGTGGAGCTCGTTGTGGTGGGCGGGGCTTTCTCCAGGTGGGACCCATCGCCTAGGCAGGTTTCCCCGGCCACCCTCTTCCTTCTCCCCCACTCCCTGGCGCCCACCACTCTGCTGGTGGGGAGGTGTCCCCAGCTCTCGTTGACTCCCCTCCCAGTATCCCAGAAAGAAGAGAGGAGAGCAGGCAGAGGGCAGGAGGAGAGAGAAAAGGGTCACACCCCCTTCCTTTCATTCTGCTCTGAACTTTGTCCCTCCCCCGCTAGATTCTGAAGGGTGAGCGAGGTGTGAAAGCAGATGTAGGAGAGATGACTTGAAATGGGGCACAGTGTAGGGTGCAGCCGGTTAGAGCGAGGGAGGGAATGGGAAAGCTATGCCCACTGCCAGGCGGGGTTCTTTGGGGAGATGGGCAGGCAGCCTGGGTAGGGTGGAAAGTGGTCAGGCTGGGGAAGTGAGCAGAGTGGGAGGTGGGCAGGAAGAGGGGGTCGGAGGGATGGAGGCGGGGCAGGATGGGAGGTGGGAGAAGCGGGATGAAGACTCAGAAACGAGCAGGTAGTGAGTCGTCTGGGTGATGAGCTAGAGGAGGATCAGAGTCGGAGAGAGGGGAGACAGCAAGACGTTTAGAAGCAGTTCAGGCCCTGGAAGGAATGCAGGGAGCAAAGGCTATGGCAGGGAAGGCAAGGGTGTTTGTGGGTCCTTGCAGGGTCCCAGGAAGGTGAGGGTGAGAGCCCCAGAGCCACTTCTTGCTCTGTGGCCGAGGCCTGACTTCGGAGGGGAGCCGAGGAGGCCACCTATGCAGCAGGGATGGGCGCCAGCCCTCCTTCTCCAACCCCAGGCACCTGCAGGGGTGTGCCCATCAGGGTGGGAGACGGAGTAAGCCGAGTCCCAGCTCTGAGCGCAGAAGCTAGTGGGGTTTCTTCGGAGCGATTGTTTAGTATTCATGGGGCGACGCAATCTCTCCCACATCTGCTTAGCACAGCAAGTCCTGTCATATAACTGTCTCCCGCACTGTCTGTCCATAAAGAATGTCTCGGAATTGGTGTAATTCAGAGAAATTAATGACGACTTTCCGCGGGACGGCTCCCTGGGGGATGATTAACACTTCATCGTCCATCTGATGCGCGGGGCCCAGCACTCCATCGCGAACATTTGGGCCGTGGCCAGCCGCATTAAAGGTTATTACGGAAAACGCGACCTGCAAACGGGCGAGAGGCATGATGGACCAGGAGGGGCGGGGGCCGAGGGCGAGGGCGGGGGCGGGGGCCGAGGGCGAGGGCGGGGGCGGGGGAGTCAGATCGGAGCTGCCCAAGTCCGAGATTAAGTTTCCCGAAGTTTGCGCACCTGTGGGGTCTGAGGCTGAAGGAGACTGGGTTTCTGCTTCAGTGACGGCAGGACAGGGAGGGTGTTGGGGAGCCGCTCTCCCTCCACCTCCACTGCAGGGGCTAGGGAAGGGAATGGGGACCCTTTTCATGGGTGGGCACATTGCTGTTGGAGGTTTTCCCTGCCTTTTACTCCTCACAGCATTACTGGGTTTTATTAACCTCACCTTACAGGTGATGAAACTGAGGCTCAGAGAGGTTATGTAATGTTCCCAAGGTAACACAGCTTGTTGAGACGGAGGCAGTATTTGAACTCAGGTCCTTGTCTCATGAGCTCTTGCTCTTTCCACTACACTAGGGGGCAGAAGTTCTTATGCTTTTATGTGTCTACCTCAGCTTCCTGCACATAGGTGGCAGGTGTTCGAAAACGTCTGTTGCATGAATGAATGAGTTACCTTTGCAGGCTCCATTTCCGTGATCTGGACCAGAGGTCCAGAGATCTGGAGGCAGGGAAGAGGATATGGTAAAGAAGTTCTAGTTTGGGCTAAGAAACTCAAAATAGGTTTCCTGTGAGTTTACATGCATTCTGCTGGACATTCTAAATCTCTAGAATCTAGAAGCCTGGGTTCTTGATCCTTAGTCAGTAGAAAGGAATAGCAGAGGATGTGCGCATGAGTGTGAACAAGTGTGTTTGATGAGTGAGTATGTGTAAGTTTGCATGTGATGTGTGTCTGTAAATGTGGGTGAGTTTATGAGTATGTGTATGTTGCATGTATGTGAGAGTGTTTGTGATGAGGGTGTGTGTGCATATGCTTGTATTTTGAGGTTATGTGTGTCCATGTATGATGCATGTATGAGTATGCACCTGTGTATCTGCATGTGTGCAGGCGAACGTGTGCATATGTGTATGTGTGCATGTGGTGTGCCTTGGGGGAGCTGGAAGACTCAGGTGAAGATATCTTTGATTTATGCAAATCTCTAGCAGGTTCCAGCATGTGGTATGTGGTGATGCTGAGGTGGGAGGCCAGGAGAGGAAGGCTGTTCCTACTTGGTTGGGGAGCCTGAGAAGTGTGTGCTTTTGCCCTTCCAGGCACAGGGGGACAGCATCAGGGTCCGGGGTCTGAGATGGAGACTAGGATCTGAGGCCTTCAATCAGGGTTTGAATTGGAAGTGCTCAGAGGCTCTGGTCTGACCTGGGAGGGTGATAAAGAGGTGGGGTCAGGACGGGAGGCTGCCTAGTCTGTGAAGAATTCAGGCCTACTCACTTCTCTCCTCTGCCACCCACTCCACAGGTTTTGACCATTAGCTTCTAACCAACCTGCACTTCCTAACTCTAGATTCACCCTACTCCACTTCAGGGTGGTAGAATTACCAGAAGTCTTTTTTTTTTTTTTTTTTTTTTGAGATGGAGTCTCGCTCTGTCACCCGGGCTGGAGAGCAGTGGTGCTATCTCGGCTCATTGCAAGCTCTGCCTCCCAGATTCAAGCAATTCTTCTGCCTCAGCCTCCTGAATAGCTGGGACTACAGGCGCCCACCACCACGCCAGGATAATTTTTTGTATTTTTAGTAGAGACGGGGTTTCACCGTGTTAGCCATGATGGTCTGGATTTCCTGACCTCGTGATCTGCCTGCGTTGGCCTCCCAAAGTGCTGGGATTACAGGCGTGAGCCACTGCGCCCGGCCCCCAGAAGTCTTTATGTGCAACCTTCTAACTAGGAGGACCATAACCACAGTCAAAACTTCTCTCTGTCTCATTGGCACTATTCAGAGGTCCAAAACAGTTTCCTGGTCTCTTGGACGCCATTGGTATATATTACTTCTTTCTTTCTTTCTTTTTCTTTTTCTTTCTTTTTTTTTTTTTGACACAGAGTCTCACTCTGTTGCCCAGGCTGGAGTGCAGTGGCACCATCTTGGCTCACTGCAACCTCTGCCTCCCGGGTTCAAGCGATTCTCCTGCCTCAGCCTCCTGAGTAGTTGGGATTACAGGCACACGCCACCATGCCCGGTTAATTTTTGTATTTCTAGTAGAGATGGGGTTTCACCATGTTGGTCAGGCTGGTCGGTCTCAAATTCCTGACCTCATAATCTGCCTGCCTCGGCCTCCCAAAGTGCTGGGATTACAGGTGTGAGCCACCGTGCCTGGCCGGCCACTAGTATATATTCTTAATGCACTTCACACAAGCTGAGGTTTTCAGGCCACTTGTGTTGGGAAGTTCTTCCTTGAGTCTAACTTCAGATCCTCTTTGTCATGTTTGATGCCCAATAGGCCCAGGCTAAGTTCGTGAAACTGGGGCCTTGCACCTCCATCCCTCCACCACAGAAATGGAATAATTTCTTCTGGATGGAGGAGTGTGTCTGGAGTATAGGGACACTGAGAGAAGGAGGACTAAAGCCTGGCAGGTCACAGATGAGTCAGATCATTCTTTGGGAGGAGGGCAGTCATCAACAGGACAGTCTCAGAAAAGGGAGGTCAGAGAGCATCAGTTTCAGCCTGTACAGACAGCAGCCAGAGTCCTCAGAGGGGGGAAGATTTACCCAGTGTCCCCTGTTATGCAGTAGCTGCTTCTGAAAAACCCAGGCCCCTGACTCCTGGTCTAGGAGTCCTTCTTGTGCCCTGTTTGGAGGATCCTATATTCTGTTCTTATTCTCCTGGCTATGTGGGGGTCGGGGAGAGGGAGGATATTCAGCTAGGCCCAGGTGCTGCCCAGCTGTGCCAGCTGGGTCTTGAGGCCTCATTGCCTCACATGCACCATGCCTGTTCCTTCAACTCCCCATTCTCCCGCTGCAGGGTGGTGTGGTCTCTAAGCTCCACCTGAGCAGCCATCCACGTATTTAGTCGTCCCCTGACCCCAAATAGTTTCATACATATAGTCTGTCTTCAGCCTGAACTATCTCTCTCCTTTTTCCAGACCAGCCTCTCAGCATTTTACAAGATTGTCCCATACTGTCCTCCTCTAGGAAGCCCTCCTTGACTGATCCTCCTGGTTCCGGATCCCAAATGTTTCCTTTCGAAACCACTGCCAAGGTGCTTGCAGGCCTCTTCCTGTTATCTTGCCTGTTCCCCACATACTGGCACCTCCCTGTGAGCAGGGCTGTTTTTCTTCTCTCTAGGGATCTGCCTTCTTTCTTCTTTCCTGTCTTCCAGGACCCTCTTCCCGCACCAGGAGAATCAGTGCTGCAGGGGAGATTGACTGAACCCTTCCCTGTTTAATGTTTTCTGGGAATGGCAGGGATAACGGAGTCCCGTTGGGTCTCATGGTCTCATACTGAGGAGGAGGAGGTGGCGCAGACCCTTTCCCTGACCGGATCTTGGTGGCTTACTCTGGTGTAGGCTCCCCCAACCCCAGCTCCTGGTACTTCTGCTCTGGTTGCCTCTGGGCAAGTTAACAGCTCTAGGCTGCTGTGCTGGAGCCCCTGGGGCGCTGGGTGTGGTGTGGGCAGCGGCAGGCAGCCCCTCTGTGATTCTCAACTTGGGCTTCTCACCGCACCTGACTGCCTGCTCCCCCACTTCCAGGTTCGTGTTTCTCCGGTTTGTGTTTCTCCGGTTTCCCTTGCACCTTCCCTTTCCTTCTCCCTCCCAATCCTCACCCAGCCCATTTATCCGAAGAGCTGGAGTCCTTCCAGAACGTTTCTCCTTTCCTGGGTCCTTCGGGGTTGGCAGCCCCCAGGTGGGGAAGGGGTGAGTGGAGAATGGGTCCTGGCTCTAGTGAGGCACCAGGTCTAGCTCTGGATCAATCGATGCTTTGGCTGCCACCTTGTGGCAGATACGGAGAACTGCAGGATTGGGGTCCCTGCGCTGAAAGTGGGATCTTCTGGAGAGGGAGGAGGAGATGATGGCAGAGGTGTACATTATGAGGGTAGCAAACCTCAGATTTCCAAATTGACATTGGGGTCTCCTAATTCCTGACTGACAGGGAAGTAGAAACCTGCCAAGTAGCAAGGACACTTAAGGATGGAGACAGAGAATTAAAACACTGTCCTTCAGTCTCAAACCTATTGTTCTAATCCTCCTTCCCTAAAACAAAAACAAAAACAAAAACAAAAACCCTAAAAGGGCAACAGCCTGAAACTGAAGCAGAAGGAGCTGAGGTCTGATCTGCAGAAGTTCCTGTAAGTCCCAAAGTGTATTTGGATGCTCTGCCTGTGACTGTTGCACGGCTTTTTCATAGCTCCTCTCCACCCCCAGTCAGTGAGTCTCCCACCTTCTCCAGGCTCCTTAATCCCATCATGCTCAGTTCATTGGTCCTATTCAGAAAATCCTAGGTTCCTTAGCCTTTCTACCCAATCCTGGGTTGTGCCTATGACCAAGATGCTGATCTGGGAAGTCCCTTCTCTAGTCTAACTCCAATTCTTCCTATAGCACTGGAAATGGAGAGAACCACCATGCAGCTATCAGAGCTGCAGATGGGAAGCTGGGACCCTAAGAAAGTGGGGAAGATGAGGAAGGTTCTGAGGGAGGGCGGCTCTGCCACAGTTTCTCCTGCCATCTTCCTCTCCCCTGCCCCCTTGGATCCTTGGAGATGAAGGGGATGCGACAGAGTGGCCCACCTCACTGGAGAATTCTCTCCACTTGGGCTCCAGGATTCATAGGTACTGGGGGAAAGCGGAACTTCTGAGTTCCAACCATGAGCCTTGTTATTCTCCTCTGTAGAGTGGGTATTGGGGAGAGTGAAGATGGGGGTATTTGTCTCTATCAGGCCTTCTGGTCTCACTTAAGAGTCCTTCTGAAGTGTTTTTCTTTCTTTCCACTTAAATCCCAGGCTCTCAGAAGCTCTTATAATGATTCTTGGAGCTCCTATATCACTCCCCCTCAGTCCAGCTCCCTTCTCTGGTGAGCCAAGGGTCACCAAATCCTCCCTGCCATTCTCTCTCTGCTTCCCCTGGCAGTTCTTGGAGATCTTGGCCAGGAGCCTCGGCTCTGCAGGTCCCGGCGCCCTCCCTCTGAGGTGCCATTCCTCCCCTGCCTCATTTGCTGCCACTGACCTTACTGAGTTAAATTAAAAAGCAATGTTCTGTGTGCGGCTCCAGCCCTGTGGAGCTTGACTCTGGGAAGACGAAGACAATTACTGGCCCCTCCATCTCCCTCTCATCTGGCTGCCTTATAATTTTTCCCCCCGCTGCCTGGTATGCAACATTTATGTTTTTAATAACACCAGAATGGTTTTGACCTTGGGAATTCATAGCAGAATGGGCACTGCAAGAGGCCCCGACGTGATTGGCGTTTGTCTCAGTCCTTTGCAGGGACAAGACTCTGGTGCCTCCTGGATTCTGGGGAAGGTGTGTAGGGGCTGCACCCCATGCGGTTTAAGAAGAAATCTCAAAAACCAGAGTGGACAAGGACATGGGAAGGGGGGAAACAGAGGGGGAGGGTGTTGTCTTTTTAGGTTTCCCCTGGAGGATGAAAGTTAGAATAAGGTGTTTGAGAGGTTGGGATGTTTTTCTCCTCTTGTTTTATAGGAGGAATCCTAGATTGGGGATGGCATGGAATACGTGTGTGTGGGGGGGCAATGGGGAAGGGGTGGTGTGTGATGCAAGTGTATACACACACTCAGGCCATCAGTGCACAAGCTTGCACATATACCCCCGACACAATTGGATCCATTTCTCCTCATTTACTCTCAGCTTCTCTAGCTCTTTAGCTTCAAGGAGAGTAGATAAAATGAGGACTAGCCAGAGGACTGAGGTCAGACTGTAAGTAGAACTTACCAGCTGAGAGTAAAGGGGGCAGGGACAGAGTCCTCTTCTGGCTTGTAGACAGATTTTCTTCCCAATCCCTCCTACCTTTCTTCCTTTCTCTTTTCTATGCCTACCTCCCTGGGTGGCTCAGCTTTTGAGATGAAAGGAGAACCAGTGGCAGCAAGAAGAATCTGGAGGAGGCATGGGTTGGTCAGCAGAGGGACGGGAGAGGCAAGAAGCAGTGGTGGGACCAGCTGAGGGGATGCCTGGGAAGAGAGAGCTGAAGATCACGTGCAGGCCCTCTCCTCCAGGTGTAAAGGGCTGTGGTAAGATGGACCAAGGTTAGAACTGGGAAAGGGCTTCTGTGTCTACAGCTTTGAGGAGTTTCTGGAACTCCAGTGAAAAGGCCAAATTATAAATGAAGAGAAGCTTCTTTTGCAGTTCAGAAAGTAGGAAGAGAAGGGACAGAGGGCCATGTACCTGAGGATGAGGGGTGCACAGCCAGGTAGCTACAGCACACATCTGTGTCCTGGGTTAACAGTCTTGTATGCACCAGTTCCATATGTAAACATATGGAACACAGTAGCTTTGGCATTGATTGTTTAAGCCAGGGATTTGAGATGCTGTCTGGTTGTGGCCTGTAGGGTATGGTTTTATTTCAGGAGCTGCAGCTGACACAATGGGAAGACCCCTGCGCAGAGAACCAAGAAGTCGTGGGTTCTAGTTCTAGCTCCAGTTATCAGCTGGGACCCTAGGGAATGTCACGGAGGAGCGTGGGTGTCATCTGCTATACCATGAAGGAAAAGCCACAGGGTCCTTCTGTGCCAGCAGCCCCAGTGCTAGGAGAACGAGAAATGGAAGGGAGGCTGAGGAGGGCGATGGCATTTCAGGGACTAGAGAGCTTGAGAAGGGATGCAAGGATTCCTGAATTCTGAAATTCATGGGTTTTTGCTCGAGCTAAAGACGTCCCCGGCCTAGGGCAGCCCAGCCTGGCCTTGCCTGGATTCCAGACAGCATCCAGGGCCGACGTCTGGATCTGTAGGGAGCGCTGTTCTCTGCCGCCCTCCTGTGGCCGCTGAGCCCTTCGCAGATCGCTGCTGAGAAGATTCCGCTCCTCCGCAGAGCCGCGTTCCTCGCCCCCTGGTGGAAATTGCGTATATTACAAGAAGCGATCTTGGGTTTCTAGCCGCAGCTTTCCCCCAACAGTTTCCCTAGTTTTGGAGGCATTCACAACCTCTTCAAAGCTGGGAAGGTCTTCCGGAGATTTAACACTCTATACCTTTGCCTGAAGTTTTAAGTTCTGGTTTTGGAAAGTGGATAGTGGAGACAAGGGGCCGAGATTGAACAGAGGGCAATTTCTCTTCTTCCTCTTTGGGTTTCAGCCTACAACCCTGTATTCCTAGGGTCACTCAGAGTTTTAAAATCAGGGTCTGGTGACATTCCTGGAGAAAATGGATCTGGAGCAGACCAGGCATTGTGCTTCTGGGCTTCTTGGAAGTTGCACCTGAGCGCAGTCCGTCAGTGTCGGCAGGGAGATGGATTGGCAGGAGCCAGGAGGCAGGAGGCAGGCATGATGGAGGGAGATGGCATATTTGACAGATGCTGACAGGGCTCGTTATTTGCTAGCTTTGGAATCCCCTCCCACCCACCAGGCTGCCCTTGGCCCTCCCCTCCCTGCACTCAATGCTCATTAGTGATTGCCTGTCTTTGGGGGAGAAACCCAGTGGGCCAAGCTCCGTGGGGGTGGGCAAGGGAGGGAGAGGAAGAGGAAGAGGAAGGGGCAGGGACACAAGGCAGATGCTGGATAAGTCGTGGTTGGAATGACTGGGATTTGGAGCTGAGATTTGATGATTACTGGGATGCTTGGCAGGTGTAGCTGGGGATATTGTCCAGGGGCCAGATACTGAGTTACTGGGGGTGGTGGGTCGGGAGGCATATTAAAAGGAATTGAGTTCCACTGATTTAGGCACTGATTTGGGGAGAACTGATAAAATAGGAGCTGACCATTTTACTGGGGACTTACTATGTACAGGGTAGGTCTACAGGTGCTATGAGGGGATAAAAGACGCACTCCACCTATTTCCTGCTCCCCTTCCTGTGTTTTGAGACCTGCCACATCTCCCTGCACTTGTTGCTCCATGTGTGTCTGAGGGGTGCAAGGTGCTGCCGGGCTGGGGATGTGGAGACAACTCTCCCAAGCAGTTTGTGACCTTCCCACACCCCCTTCCAGTAAAGCTCCTCCAGTCGGCTTCCCACCTCTCCTCATTCCTTTTCTCTTAGAATGTACAAGACATGTAGATATCTGGGTGGGAGAGGGGGCCCTTGGGTGCCCTCCCAGAATTTCCAGTGGCTCCCAGTGGAGGAACTGGGTTGGGGGCAGTGGTAAGCCATACTATCCCGAGAGGCCAGGGGAGCAGGCAGGGAGGGGATCTCCATTTGGAGTGTGGAGAATGTTCGATGAGGAGGAGAATGCTGCAGTCAGAGACCGCGCTGCATCCTAATCAGCGCTGCGGAGGCTGCACCGCGGGCCGTCAATCTTCCACACAAAGGGCCGCCCGCCCTCTTCCCTCTCCAAGCCCTCCGCGCCAGCGCCCCCCCAACTCCATCCCCAACACTGCGGGGCAGGAAAAGAGGCAGAGAAGGGGGGAGATGACGGACACACAGACAGGGACAGAAAGACCCAGTAAATTGAAGCCAAGATGGACAGAGTGGGACCCATAAGGCAGAGTGGGTCCCAGCACTCTGGAGATGAAGAGAGACGGACAGAGGGAACAGAGACACTGCCGAGTGGAAAGGGAAAGACAGAGGAGAGACAGACCTAGAGACAGGACAGAGCCAAGACAGAGGAGCATCCAGAGAGCAGACAGAAAGATCGAAGACTCACACAAGGCCAGAGCCACCCAGAAACCAGCCATAGCAGAGCAGTCACGGACACAGAGGCATGAGAAGGTCCCAGGCCCAGGGAGAAACTGAAAGCCATGTACCCCGAGCCAAAGGCACACTGACCCAGGGCCAGGACCAGGGCCAGGGCCAGGGCCGATAATATACCAGAATGTATCAGTAGACTGAGAGAAGCAGAGAAGGGGAGGGAGAAGATGGGTTTCCAAGGAGAAAGGAAATGAGAGTGATGGTGGGGAGGCAGTAAGAAGGGTCAGGTAGAGGTTGCAGGGGGTGAGATGGGGATTCTGGGTTGAGGGCTCTGCTGGCCTTCCAGGGCCTGGGACTCAGGTGGGCGGGGAGGCCTATATGTGTGAGTGTGTATGGGTGTGTGTGTGTTGTGTGTGTGTGTGAGCAGGAACCTGGCAATTCCAAGCTCTTCAAAATGCCAGAGTTGTCTGGTGCTGAACCAGACAGCCACACACCCTCCCTCTGCATGGACAGCTTGGAGCAGTTATGGTGGGGTGTAGGGGAGAGAACAGAAGAAAGATGGAAGTTAGAGAAAGACTGAGAAAGAAAAAGAATGGCAGAGCCCCAGCAGAGATCAAGGGGAGAGAAAATGATATTGAAAAAGGGAGTAGAGAAATTGGCAGAGGACAGTCAGAGAAAGACAGAGGTGGAGAAAGAAATATGATGGAGGCAAGAAGTGTGTGTGTGTGTGTGTATATATATATATAAAAGACAGGGAGCAGAGAGTGCCTCTAACTGCAGGAGGGCGAGAGGGGCACGGAGAGAGAGGGGGCTGTTGAGAGGGAGGCAGACTAAGGGGAAATGGGGAGGGAAGGCAGGCAGGGCACCTATCTACCTGGAGATGCTGGGCTGGAATCAACCCAGCATCATGTTTACCTGATGAAACAACCCTGCAGTGAGTTGGGGAGGCAATCAATGAGTTTTTCTTTCTTTCTTTTTTTTTAGGGTGACCCTGTCATTTTCTTTAAGTACAAAGAACCTATTCCAATGCATGCTATCTCCTTTAACATAGCAGGTTTCAGCAACTGCTGCAGGTGCCTGGGTCATTCCTGGCAATTTCTCTTTGGGGATCACCTTTAGAGCCTGCAGTATAGCTCTGAGCATCTGCACCAGAGGCAAATTTGTATCCTTTAGGGGTAGATCTAATTTTTGAAAACAGCCTAAGTGTTAGCAATCAAGGCTGGAGAGTCAGGTGAGGACCCAGCTGGGGAGCAGTATTTCCAGTTAAAAAGAAGGTGAAAATGGGAAGACATAGAGGAGGGTGTGCCCTCCTCCAAAGTGGCTCTGAAAGGCAATCCTGAAGGGGAACCTTGCAAGATATGACAGAAGGAGATCTTCCAGTGGCTGCTTGAGGGCCAGTTTCATTTTTCTGTCTATTAAAACTGGGCAGTAATGTTCCCAGGAGCATTCACAACCTGGCACTGGAGGGATGAGGCCTGGCATCTGATGATCTTGGGCACAGTGGTGCTGGCCTTGGGGATCTTACAGTCATCCTCCCTGCCAACATTATGTTTATAGGTGCAAAGTTACCCCGTTGACATTCACCACAGCAAAGATCAACAAGTGCAAATGACTAGGGCAAATTCAGAATCCAAGCCAGTTAGTTCATCAGGGAAGGCTGCTAGGAGTGGGGGAGTTAGAGAGGTGTGCAAAGAGAAACCCAACAGGGCATGCAATAGATTAGGAGAAGAGCAGGAGTACCTCTGGCTGATGGTGCTGAGGCAGGTGAGCAAACCACAAATGAGGCTGTGGACAGCTTTGCTAGCCTGGAGCAACGAGCTGGATTCAGGAACCAGCATGAAGGGGAATGGAAGGGGGCAGGTTTTGAAGTCAGGCTGGGTGATCTGAATTTGCTGAGAGAAACTGGGGCCCAATGGGGATGCACTAACGTGTCAGGTAGAGTGTGTGAGTGTGTGTGTGTGTGCACTCACACTTGTCTGGATAGGTGTGTACTTAAGTTTGCATGTTTTTTTCTGTGTGCGTGTGTAGGGGCATATACATCCAGGTGGCTTTGTGCCATGTGGCTTTGTACCCCAGGCTCTTGTCTATCCATCTGTGTGACTGGCATGTGGCTATGCCTGAATGCGTTTGTTCATTTGTGTGTTTCCATGTGGTCATGTGCGAATGGTATCTCAGTTGCTTTTTGTGTATTTTACTTGGCTACGTGTGGCGAAGGGCAGCGTGTGTGTTTTGCGCGCGTGTGTGTGTGCGTGCTCGTGTCTGCAGGAGGAGTGGGGCCGGCAGGGAGCCCTGGCTACCCAAGCATTGCCGTCTGTCTCTCTCCCTCCACTGGCTCCATCTGCCGTCGCTGAGGTCGTGACAAGGAGGCAAACAGCAAAACGGCAAACAGCTACGGCGGGAGAAACAAGAACATTGTAAGCCCCGCGCAGACTGTCCCTGTGGAGGAGAAAGGCACATGAGCAGCCAAAGGGACGGACACTCACACACACACACACGCACACACTCACTCCTGCGCACACAGGCTGCTCCGCGGACACGCTTCACGGAGCAGGTGTGCCCACGCGCAATACCCTCCTGGCCCACAGGCCTCCGCACGCACAGGACACACACACACACTCTCTCCTGGCCTCCCTCCCGCCGCCCCTCCTCTGAGCCCTGCGGCCCGGCCTTCCGCACCTCCCAACGCCTGCAGGGGTTGGGGGCGCTGGGGCTCGGGGCGCTCACTCGGACCTCGGAGCCAATCGCCAGAGATCTAATGGCTCCTTTGGCAGTGGGAAGGGGTGTGCGTGGGTGTCCTCTCCTTCACTCTTTCCCCAGCCCTGTCGCCTCCCACCCCCCTTCCGGCCGCGGCAGTTTCCGAAATCGCCCGGCGGCCGCGAATTCATTAGTGGGGGGCGGATGTAAACGCAGCGCGGTGGAACGTTTTAATTAGGCCTGAACAATAAACAAGCTAAACGAGGCGCGCAGGACTCCCTGGTGGGCCCTCAGCCTCCTCCGCGCGGCGCGGACTCATTACGGCTGCAGCCAATTTCATGCCAGCGCCGAGCACTGGCTGGGCCGGGAGTGGGGTCGGGGGTGCGTGCGGGTGCGATCCGGGCCTGCAGGGTGCGGAGCGGGGGCGTCCCGGGGCGAGGGCAGCGGGCCGGTTCCCGCCCGCCCGGGGCCGCGGCTTCCGCATTTCTGCACCATCCACCTGCCTTTTTCAGTGTCCTTGAGATGACGCTCCCTCCCCACACCAGAGCGGCCGGCTGGAGAGTCTAGCTTGCTTTTTAGGGTCTCTCTCCCGCCTCTTTTCCTCCCCCGCTCCCTCTCTCCTTGCGGCTGACTCCAGCTCCCCCTCGGTGCCCGTAACCCTCCTTTCCTCTTTTTGCCGCAGTCTCCGTCTCTCTTCCACAGGGTCTCTCCCTCCCCCTCTCCCCGTGGTTGTCAGACTTTCTCCTGGACTTTCTCCGCCCCGCACCGCCCGCCCCGGATGCCGAGCGTGGTAGACTCTGCAGCCGGGCTCCTCGCTGCCCGCTGGCGCTGCCTACACCCCCTTGGGCTCCCCTCCAAGGTCCCCTCCGCTCGCCCCTCTCTGCCCGCTGCCGCCGCCGCCGCCGCCTTCCAGGCCTCTCTCCACCCTCTGTCTCTTTCTGCCTGGGTTCTTCCTTTGGGCCGTCTACCCTCGGGTTTCAGGTTGGGCATTGCTCCCGCACCCTACTAATTGGGGCTCTTCTGGACCGATCCAACCAGCGAAGTCGAATTTGGCTCGTGTCCTTCTCTCCCTTTTTTGCGAAGCTGCAGACACTGCTTGCTGGCCCTCCGGCTCTGCCGGGACTTCCCTGGTTCTAGGTGGCGGTGGGTCTGTGGCTAAGTTTGAATCCCAGCCCTGGGCCTCACCATGTGAGTCTTAACCTGGGCTTGCTCAGCTGTAAAATGTAGGAAATAATTTTAGGTGCTTCATGTTGTGGGAATTAGCGCTGTGATAACGAATGTAACATGCTTGGCACATGGGACTTAGTCTATTAGCTCTTCCCTTCTGCCTTTCCTCAATCTGCTCCTCTCCCTAGCCTGGAGCTTTCTTAAAGGGTTTTGAGGAGAGAAAAACCAAGGTCACAGACTTTATAGGCCCCCCAAAATTGAATATCAGAAATTGTAAATGGTTCAACCTAACAAATGCACTAGGCTCTGATTGCAAGAAGTGCTGCTGAGTGTGTACAAGAAGGGAGGACCGGGATTGGACTGAACTGCAGAACAAAGGAAACCATGTGGACTGGCACACTGGACTGAGCAAATTAAAACCTAAGGGACACGTCAACCCGCATTAGTCCTGCCTCAGCAGTATGGCTGCCCTCTTAGGGCTGCAGAGTCATGGGACTGTGTCCTCTTGGGGGCTGCAGTGGATCTAGGAGTCCAGCTCCCCCAAGACTCCTGCACCAAGGCAGGAACCAGACTCCTAGAACCTCATACCATCATACTTCTCTCCCATCTATACATCACACACACACACACACACACACACACACACACACACAGAGAGAGACACACGTGTCCTTTGAGATTTTTAAAGGAAAATTACAAAGTGTGGGCCTGGAATTCTGTCTCTGCTTCAGTTTCTTTCCCTAGTTCCCTCCTGACTCCTAAGAAGCAGAATCAGCGAGTCGCACACCTTCCCCTGTGTGTGCTGCCCATTGTATTGGGCACTGAGGGGAGATCCAGAGGGAGGAGCACAAATCCTGCCCTGCTGGAACTCCTAGGCTCATGGTAAGATGAGGCTGGTCGTCAAGACCAACCAAGAGGCATGGAGCTCTGGGCATGCCCTCAACAAAGGCTTATCAGTTGAGTTGGTCAGGAGCAGCTGGAACAAGTCCTGTGACTCTGGCACTGGGGAGACCAGGAATGACCAAACAAGAAAGGGTGGAGGAAGATCTGAAGGAAGTCTAGGAGGGTTCCTAGAGGATAGGGAGAATGGTATTCATTTAGTTAGCAGGGAGCAGCAAAACTGAAAGAAGAGAACTAGCAAGTTAGAGCTCTCAGTGAAGTGCATTATCTTGGGGTAAGGGATGGCTAATGTGAACCTTGGAGGCAGATGGGGAAGGAATGCATAGGGGTGTGTGTGTGTGTGTGTGTGTGTGTGTGTGTGTGTGTATGTGTGTGTGTCTGTGTGTTGGGGCATATGTACTGAGGAGACCGAGGCAGGGAGGATGCAGGGCTTGGGAGGGCAGGTTTGCTGGGCTGCAGCAGAGAGCCTGGGCTGAGATGTTCTTGAAGACACCTGGGATAGGATAGCAGTGGTGGTAGAGGTATAGGACAGCAATGTAAAATGTCCTGCTGTTGTAGCTCTACCGTGACCCTGGGCTGGGTAGGCAAGAAGCTAGGAAGCCAGGCTGACTTCCTGGGCCCTGATATGTCCTCGTGGGGCGTGAAGATGAATGAGTCTGTATTTCATGGGCTAGTGAACCATGGCTAGGTGGAGACATCTGCTCAGGCTATGAAATGTAGGGAGAGGCCTCCAGAAGTCCCCAAACACAAAGAGGGAGGAGATAGAGGTGGGGATGGGGATGGATAATGGGAAGATGGAAGGCTTGAGACCTCTTTCCTGGCTATCTCCTTTACTCACTCCTTTCATGGATTGAATTATTCATTTTAAAGCTAAAAAATCTTCAACAAATTATCTAGTCTAGACTTTCACCTTCAAAGGGTTCGATATTACTTCCCCATTTCACAGATGAGGCTACACAAGTTAACCAACTTGATCGAGATCTCCCAGGCAGAACAGGTTGAAAAGGGCATGAGGAAGAAGGTCTTTCGCCCTGGGTAGGGGAGATGGGGGTTAATCTCTCTCTATGCAATCAGGCTCTAAAATTGGCTGCTTCCCGGAACAGAAACGGCAGGAGTTGGCATCAGAATGCAGCAACTTGATTCCTGGCTACTTACCAGTTCCGTGACCTGAGGCAAGTTACTTAACCTCTCTGTGTCTTTATTTTATTATCTATAAAATGACAACACTAATACTTGCTCCCGTGGCTTGTTACTGAGAATAAAATGAGATTTATGCAAAAAGAACTGTGTACAGTTGAATCTAAGTTTATTAGGCTTTAAAAATCATCCTCCTCTTTGATATCATCCCAGCTTATTCTCTTCATACCTGCTAGGGACATCAGTCTTCCTCCTCCCAACCCCTTTGCACTCTCTCCAGCCTCTCAACCTGGCATTTACTTCCCTCTGATCTTGCTTCATACTTTCAATCTCTGTTTTCACTCTCCTGTGCATGTTTCAGCACTAAAAGGATCTGTTTACACTCTACTGATTTATATGCTGAATTTTTTTTCTCTGCTTTGGTTTCTTGTCTTTTGTGTCTTCCTTCTCACATCCCAGAGAGCAAGACCCTGTCCTCTCCTGCCTTTGCACTCCTTCCCTCTCTCCAGGACTGGGTTCATAGGGTGCGTCCAAATAATGGACACGAGGTGCAGAGAGGTTAAGATAAAACAGGAGAGGGAGGGCTTGGAGAGAAGCCACCAAGCTGCATGCAGGGCTCTTAACCACATGCTATGTGATCCTTGAGCAGGGCATTTGCCAAGATCTGGAGAGGGAAACAATCATCTTCCTTCTGGAGTGAAGGGTGGGACGGGAGTTATTTTCCTAATATTTAGAGAGGCTGTTTTGTCCCACGATGTGAGACACATCACCTGGAGGCCAATCCCCTAGAAAAAGAATAGCAGTTGAGAGACGGCTTTCCTTTTCCTGTTTGGGGTGTGTGTGTGTGTGTGTGTGTGTGTGTGTGTGTGGTAGGAAATGTGTTGTTGGAGATTCTATATCATTTCATTTTCCCTAGCATTTACCAACCCTAACTCAAAGGAAATCCTTTCTAAAGTCTATTCTACATTTCTTTTGCTGACAGTAAGCCCACCTCTTTAGTGGAGGTATTATCTAAAGTCCAGGATCTGGCTCAATGTCTTTTGTAAAAGATGTGTGTATGTCGGGGAGGGGAAAGTAAAAGATGGAACTTGAAGAAATGGAATGACCCAGCTCCTGGCTTTAATTACAGTAAGCCCTGAACATTCTGAACTTTATTAACCTCTTAAGTGTCCACAGGGGTGGGATGGACCTGGTGGGTTTTGCTCCCTGGTCCTCTCTGCAGGGCGTCTCTGGAGGGTCCCCTCTCTACGCTCTTTGCCCATCCCAGCCTTTGGCTGCACACCATTTCTCCTGGCCTCAGGTGGCGCTATAAATCACCTCTCCCAGAAAGGAGGCTACCACCTACCTATCCAGTCCATGTCTCACCAGCTGTCTTCATCTTGCCCAAGATCCTCTGGTTCTTTCTTCTCTGCAAATCCCATATGCTTTCCCCAGCACCAGTTTTTTGGATAACCTGATTAGCTGTTTTGGAGAGAGGGGCTCTTTTTGCAGGGACCCCTTTCTCCTCCTAAGTGTCTTACTAATTACAAACAGAGAAAGCCTGGTCTGTGAAGTTAGCCTGCCCCCAGCTCCCTGGCTTGGTGGAGGGAACCAGGAGCTAGGGGATTTAAAGCGCAATTTCCTGTGGCCTTTTCATTTCCTGCTGGGGGTTGTGGAGAGCAATAAGCAAGGTGGGTGGCAAGGGCCAGAAGGACCGGCCAGGTGGGGGATGGGCTGGGGGAGCCTTCCCTCCATGTACTCTTCTACCATCCCCTTTTCTGGCTCTCGAGGTAAGTTCTTTGGGGATGAAGCACCTGATAAATGAGGACCTGGAACTCCTTACAATCTCCCTCTTACCTCCCCAAAGTAAGAGAACGGAGTAGAGAGGAGTGGGAAAAGATCTGATTATTGTAATAATAGATGATACCACAGGAAGGAACCTTGGAAATCAGTTGGATCCCTTGAGGTTTTATTTTATTTTAAATAGAGATGGGGGTCTTGCTATGTTGCTCAGGCTAGGCCTTGAAATCCTGGGCTCAGGCGATCCTCCTGCCTCAGCCTTCCAAAGTGCTGGGATCACAGACGTGAGCCACTGCACTTGGCCTCTTTCAGGTTTCAGATGAGGAAATGGAGGCCTTGGAGAGGGCAGGTAACCTGCTCAAGGTTATGTATGTAAGTGGTGAGCTGGTGTGGCTGGGATTTAGCTAACTCTCATGATTCACTGTTTAGTGCTCTTTCCTCAGTCAGAGTCAGAGTGGGCTGTGGGTCAGTGATGTGTGTGTGTGTGTGTGTGTGTGTACTGGGGAGGGGGGATGAGATGGGAGGAAGTGGGGTAGGGAGCAGGGGATCTGGGGAGGTACCTGGATAGCAGGGGACTCCGGGTCCTGAAATGTTCACTCTTTGGTAGGTCCTGTGGAAGAGCGCAGGCAAGTCCTGACTTAGGGAAGCTTTTGTGAGCTGGCTCAGGAAACAGATGTGTGGATAAAAAGGAGGGGAGAGGGAGGAACTGTGGCCCTTGGAAACTATTAGCCCAACATCTCTTCTTCCCCTCTCCACAGTCAGAGGTGGATGAGGTGGGGGAGGGGCATGGCAGAGGACAAAGGAGCCAATTATTGAGTGAGTGGATTAATTGATTAATTGTCCAGAAGCTTCCAGTGCTCCCCAACAATGACATCCCCTCCCCCGACCCCAGTCAGGCATGGCCTCGGTTGGCCTGGATTATTAATTAGGGCTTGAAGTCATTTAACGATGATTTCATTATCGACGTGCTGTCTGTCTCGGGCTCAGCCCGGTTGCCAGGGCGACTCTGATCGATTGCCTTCCGGTCTTCTTGGCTTGGCCGGCTGCTTCCTTTCTGGAGCCTGGCTGTTGGCGAGCACTCCCTAGCGGCCCTCTCTGGTACTGCAGAGCTTCCCGGTTGCAGGCTTGAGAGACTCAGGCGAGGAACAGAGAGCTACAGCTGCCTTGGGGGTCTTTTCAGCTACTGACTGACCTAGCTGTTGCCTGGGAACCGGCTTTTCTCCTTTTCTCCTAGGTTGTGAAGTCCTTCTGATTCTGTCCCCTGGCCTTCTACCCATACCCCTTTGGGATGGGTGTAGGAATAGGTAGGGACCTCAGTTGTTTCCTCGCAGCCTTTCAATTTACCTCTGGGAGGCCCAGATAAGCTGTGATAAAGTTATTCCTGCTGCTAAGGAGACTCCTTAGGCTCTGTCTATCCTGGGACATCTGGCCTCTTGGACCTTGCATGAGGCTGGCAGGGAAGGAGTGGATGTGGGGATAATTTCCCCTTAGATTGCCTGAGTTAATGTTCTTAGGGTCTTCCCCGGCCGTGAGAGGAGCTGGGGGAGCTGGTCTTTGCAGAGCTCAGCTACTTCCTCAGCCTCAAGAAAGCCTGGGGAAAAAAGGCAGGGTCCAGGTTGTCATGCTAAGTCTTAGGTCTTCAGAAACTTGGCTGGTTACTCTATCTGTGGTCCCTGAAAACCTAGATTCATGCACATTCAGTGGTCTCAGGATCTCTACTCTATGCCTCAGTTTCTCCTTTCATGGGTTTCATGTATATATTTGTGGGGTCTGTTAGTAGAGAGTTGCTTGAAGGCATCGGTCATGGCTTCTCAGTAGGTGTCTAAATTGTTGACCCCAAAGTAATTGGGCGTCACTGGTGTCTTATCTCCCTTATCCTTTGCATGCTGCTAATTTTATTCTCAAATGCAGATCTCTCCTCAGTCCTTACCTCTCTTTACTCCTCTCCCCTTGACCCCTGACCAAAGACTGTCCCCAGCACCCTCCCCAGAACATGCCTCCCTTGCCTGCCTTCCTCTATTTCTCCTCCTCCTCTGCCCCACTTCCCCTTCTACTGGTTGTGCCAGGCTGCGTTAGCTCTGAAAAATTAAGAGCTGGGCTTCAGTCCTCTCTGGACTGCAGCATTTTTGGGGACAGGGAGGCAGGTTGGGTTGTCATGTCCATGTAGGGGTCTCTGCGAGCCCCCCAGGTTGGCTCTGGGAGAGAGCCTCAGCATATCAGCTTTCTGAGCACATCCGCCACTGAGCAGCACCTGAGAGGGGAAGCGGCTCAGCAGCGAGCTGAGTGAGATTGAAGAGGATCATAAAGAAAATATATATCCCCCTCCCTGGCCTCACTCCCTCCTCCTGCTCCACACTTGCCTCCTTCTCTCTCTTTGTCTCACTCCCTCCCCCCTTTTCACTGCAACCCTGTTTTCTTTGTTCCTTCTTTGCCTCCGTCACCCTCACCTCTGTCAGGCAGGTCTGTCTGTCTGTCTGTCGGCCATTCTGTCTATCTCCTTGACTCCACATATTTTTTGGTCTGAGTTTTTCTAGGACTGTGTCCGCCGTCAGCCTTTCTCTCTCCCTCCCCGCTTCCCTCCCTCAGTCTGGGAGGGTCTCTCATACCATCATGTCTTTATGAGTTTCACTGTGTGTGCCTTTTAGTCTCTCCATCCACCTCCCCTCCCATCTGTCTCGTTTGGCTGTCTCCCCATCGCTCTTCGCATCTCTCTTCCCATCTCTTGCCCTCCCTTTCATCTCTCCTTTTTGCTTCTCTTCTCCCTGTCTCTTTCAGCGTCTTCTCCTCTCTCTGGCTCACACCTCTGCCTGCCTCTCATCCTCCCCACTCCCACCCCTCAAGGTTCAGATACTTCATGCGAAATCACCTGGATGGGCTCCAACTGTCAGGGTCCCCCATTCTGTACCCCCTTCTCCCAGGGCGATTTACAGCCCCAACTCGGCATCTTCTGCATTCCCCCCAGCCCTGGGCCAGTTCTTTTCATTACCTGGTGATTATCTGGGGGCCCTGGCATTTCCCCCAGCCTCCCACCCTCTACCCAGCAGGCAGTGAACAGCATAGGGAGAAAGGAGAAGGGATTGCTCTTGGGACCAGAGGCAAGGACATGGAGACCCTCCCCCTGTGCCGCCCTTCTTTCCCTCAAGCAGATGCACATCTGGGAAAATCCCAGCTTGAGGCAGGGGAAGACAGCTTAGGACTGTTGGAGCAGACATAAATCAAGCACCCAGATGCCCCTCCCCTACTGTTCTGTCATTAGAGCCATCCTTCCAATTCCTGCCTGTCTCCTTTGCCTCTAGGCATCCTGGCTCTATAGTCTTGACTGGGGCCACTCATCCACTACCCAGCGTAGTGCCAGGCTCAAAGGAGGTGCTCAGTTAATGCCCTTGGTCCATGTCTAATAGAGAAGCACTATCGCAAAGTCAATGTGATGTTTAGGTTTTTCTCAGTTGGCAATTCTTTGTGAGATCTGGAGCAATTCTCTCTGCTTTAATTCCAATATTATGTCTTAGTATATAATTAGTATAGACTCTACTTCCAGAGTCTTGCCTCTACCCTTCTCCTCCCCTCTCTCGCCTCCACCCCAGTCTTTCTTTCATCTCATTTAGGGTGTAGAGGATTAGCAGCCCTATTGAGTCAAGGCAGCAGTACTCCTTTCCCTTGAGACCAGTGGCTTCTTGAGCTGATCACTTGTCCATTCAGCCCTTAGTCTCTATGCCGACTCCACCTATTCCGTCCCTGGGAGTCCAGTCTCGTCTGTTTGAAGATTGACATCAGGGAAAGAGGAGATACCTTCCTTTGGTCACCTGTTTCAGGGCCTTGGAAGCCCTACTGTTTGAATATCTCCATTCCAGAGAGCAGGAAACTCTGTAGGCAGGGACTATATCTTTTTCATCTTTATTTCCTCCATCACAATAATCAATGAGTAGTCAGTTAACATATGCTGTGAATGATGAATGACTGTCTTAGGAGGTCTCCCACAGTGAAGCCTAAACCAGCTCCCTTTTAATTTTATTTCTGGGGTGAGGGACAATGTGGGTAGGGGGGTGAGAATTGGGAGATGATGGTAGAGGAACCCAGTAGGGGTGTTTCGAGAGAGGTTGGGGGCCTGGTGCGTCTATCCTTGTTGAAAGGGCTCCTGAGTGGAGGTTCTTTATCTGGACCTGGGACTGACTCTCATATTTTATTTTATCTTTTTTTTTTTTGAGACAGAATCTCCCTCTGTCGCCCAGGCTGGAGTGCAGTGGCGCAATCTCAGCTCACTGCAACCTCCGCCTCCCAGGTTCAAGCGATTCTCATGCCTCAGCCTCCCCAGTAGCTGGGATTACAGGCATAATCCACACCTGGATAATTTTTGTAGTTTTAGTAGAGACTAAGTTTTGCCATGTTGGCCAGGCTGGTCTCGAACTCCTGGCTTCACGTGATTCCCCCACCTCGGCCTCGCAAAGTGCTGGGATTATAGGTGTGAGCCACCATATCCGGCCCCGATCCCCGTATTTTCACAGGCAAGGCACCAACCCCTTCCCAGCCTCTCCTTCAACCAGTCAGGGCCTCTTCCATATCCAGTACTCCCTTGGCACACATGCTTACTTCAAAATCCATTTTCTGGCCAGGCGCGGTAACTAACTAATGCCTGTAATCCCAGCACTTTGGGAGGCTGAGGCAGGTGGATCACCTGAGGTCAGGAGTTCAAGACCAGCCTGGCCAACATGGAGAAACCCCGTCTCTACTAAAGATACAAAAATTAGTTGGGTGTGGTGGCTCACGCCTGTAGTCCCAGCTACTCGGTAGGCAGAGGCAGGAGAGTCGGGTGAACCTAGGAGGCGGAGGTTGCAGTAAGCCGAGATTGTGACATTGCACTCCAGCCTGGGTGACAGAGCGAGACTCCATCTTAAAAAAAAAAAAAATCCATTTCCTGTTGCCCGGTCTCCAACCAAGTTCCATTTAAGCCTCCACTCCACTGTCTCTCCGAACTGGGTGCCCCTGCTTCTCCCATTGCCTACCTCCAGCTTTCTTCCTGGATTCTGGGCTATGCCACCTCCTTCACACTGTTCCTCCCCTTTCCTAAACTCCCTTCAAAAGTTCCACTACTTCCAGCCTCCTTGGGGTCCCACTTCCTGCCCTCTTCCCCAACCAGAAAAAGACCTGGATAAGTGATTCCTCATGGTTATGGGGTTGGTAAAATAACTGAGATAGCCAGGGAGGAAGAAGGCTGAGCAGACTGGGTCTGGAGTGGTGCCAGTGTAGAACCCCTGAGGGCTTTGAGCAGAGAGCATTCCATGGTGCCAGGGCAGAGCTCTGGATTGAGGAGTGCAGACCAGGAGGCCTTGTGGGCCTGAGGAGGGTGGGTAAGTTTGCTGGGGGTGGAGTGATTTGGGGGCTACATTCCATTCTACTCCAAGCCAGAAAACTTCAGTAGAGCTGGTCCTAGGAACTTGTAAGCTAGGGGAGGTTATTTCCTAGCCTTCCTCCTCCAGCATCCTTCCCTCCTTTTTGCATGCCCCCATTCCTGGCTTTCCCTTCTGGCCTGGTTTATTTATTTAGGGCTTGCTTTATTTATCTTTATCTTTCCCACAGGGTCCAGCACATGGTATGTGCACAGACATGTTGTTTGAATGAATGAAGATTTTCCCACCTGGGTCTGCTGCCTCCTTCATGTTTTACCACCTGGTGTCACTTCAGATTCTGAAACTATCTGTGGCTCATCTACTTAGGGAGGACACTGATGTGGACATTGCAGAATATCAGCTCCAGTTTGATAAGGTGGTGCACAATGATGAGAGAGAGGACTTTGAGGGTTTTCTTCCTAGGTGCTCAAGTAGCTAAAAAATAAATAAATAAAAAAATAGAATACAATAAAAAACAAGCAGTGGTGGGAATTACAGATTAGCTATAGAAGGAAAGATTACCAAATTCCGTTGGGGTGTGGCTGCTAGTGGTCTTTAAAACACTGAAGGCAGGCTTGTCTCAGGTCCCAAGTATATTGCAAATGAGCCAGCACTAAATAAACCTTGAAACCTGATGGCTCCATTCTCTCTCTTGGAATCTATCAATTTTATATACATGATAAGCATATTTATTGATTGATAAAGGCTTAGCAGAGAAGCCTGAAATAGGACTGGCTTCCTTGGCCTCCAAGAGGCAGTTTCCTTCTATCACAAAACATGTTTAAAGCTCTTTAATTTTGAAGGTCCTTGGAGTCTTAAATTGTTCCCCACCTCCCACACACATACACTTTCGGCAATACCCCCAATACCAGAAACCCAGACAATACCTATCCATGTATGACACCTGAGTTATTGACTATATGTGGCAATTGTTTAATTCTAGGTTCACTTTCTCTTGCCGTCCAGTGCTCTTGGAAAACATCTCTATTATCAGTTAACATGTGAGTCTCCAGAAGGCAGACTCATTTCAATCTTAGTTTAAGCAAAATCATGTGGAAAATCCAATTTCCTTTAAAAAGTATATTCCAAGTTAATAAAAATAATTTTTGATTTTTTTTTTGGTTTATCTTTGTCACTTTTTTTTTTTTGAGACAGGATCTCACTCTGTTGTTTGGGCTGGAGTGCAGCGGTGTGATCATGGCTCACTGCAGCCTCTAACTCCTGGGCTTAAGCGATTTCTCTGCCTTAGCCTCCTGAGTAGCTGGGACCACAGATGCATGCCACCATGCCTGGCTAATTTTTTGGAGGGGTATTTTTGTAGCAGTGGGGTCTTGCTATGTTGCCCAGGCTGGTCTTAAACTCCTGGCCTTAAGCAATCCTCCTGCCTTGACCTCTCAAAGTGCTAGGATTACAGGTGTGAGCCACTGTGTCTGGTCTTTTTTCTTTTATGATCACAGAAATCACAAGGCAGATGAGGGAATAGAAAGAACCAGGGAATGAGGATAAGGAATGTACCCTAAAAAGCATGCTGTCGGAGGCTCTTTGTGGTAGATTATGACATAATAAGCAAGAGTGAGGCAGGTGGGTTCTGGTTGGAGAAGTCCTATTGATCTATATGGATAAAAACTCAGGACTTTGAGATATGATACAGCCTTCATTTAACTCAGATGACCTGACATCTTTCCTACAACAAAATAAAACAAATTAACTTTCTAAGGGCGATGGTGGGGGTATGGAGCATCTGCCTAAGGCTATGAGAGGAATTCAGCAGAGCCTTGTAAGAGAGGATAGAGAGACAGCCAACCATTTACAGGGGAGGACAGAATGATACATTTGAAGGCATGAAGGAAGATAACCAGAGAGACAGCTGGAATTTCCTGTGCTACCTGGTGTGTAGCACATTATGGTGGGTGTTGGGAGGAGATACATGGAAGAAGGGGCCATTCACAATGACCATTCACAATGGCTAGTCTAAGAGTAGAGACAGGATATAGTGATAGACGGGACCACTGGGTGGACTTCTACAGTCTATGCTTACAAGAAAATGAAGGGTTTTGGGAAAGAAACAGAACCAAGTTTGGTTAGCAAGCCTTCTTAGAAAAAATGAGTGTGGATCAGGATTCATTGCAGACAAAGGCCATCCTATGTTTCAGTTGCATATTGGAAAGTAAGGTGGACATGCAGATGGATTTCCTTTTACTAATTTCTTGTGAGGACTTTTCTGAGGAGTGCTGGGTTGATACGATGCTGGGTTGAGAAAAGGGGAGTAGAGAATCAAAGGGGAGGAAGGGAGAAAAGTAACTGATTTTTGCTGTTCAATGTATCACATCACTTTTTTTATTTTTTGAGGGGGAGTCTCGCTCTGTTGCCCAGGCTGGAGCACAATGGCATGATCTTGGCTCACTGCAACCTTGGCCTCCTGGGTTCAAGCGATTCTCTTGTCTCAGCCTCCCAAGTAGCTGAGATTACAGGCACCCACCAACACGCCCAGCTAATTTTTATATTTTTCTTAGAGATGGGGTTTCACCATGTTTGGTCAGGCTGGTCTCAAACTCCTGACCTCAGGTGATCCACCCACCTTGGCCTCCCAAAGTGCTGGGATTACAGGCGTGAGCCACCGCACCCAGCCACACATCGCTTTTTAAATCTCTTAATCTTTTTTCTTTTTTTTGTTTTTGAGACGGAGTCTTGCTCCGTCACCCAGGTTGGAGTGCCGGGGCTTGATCTCGGCTCACTGCAACCTCCGCCACCTGGGTTCAAGCGATTCTCCTGCCTCAGCCTCCCGAGTAGCTGGGACTACAGGTATGTGCCACCACACCTGGCTAATTTTTTGTGTTTTTGGTAGAGATAGGGTTTCACAGGGTTAGTCAGGATGGTCTCGATCTCCTGACCTCGTGATCCGCCCACCTCGGCCTCCCAAAGTGCTTGGATTACAGGCTTGAGCCACTGTGCCCAGCCTAAATCTCTAATCTTTTACACCCTCCCTGGCTTTTCCCAGTTCTCGTTGTGATTCTGTTTGGAAAATCTAATTCTGATTCATCCTGGTAGCCCATCTAATTTCTGAAGAGCTCTAGAAGCAGAAGCCCAGGCTTTTCTGATTTGTCAAGTTGATAATCTTTTTTGGTGTGATAGAAATGTTAAGAATTTCCAAAATTGGATTCTGACTAAAACTAAACCTGTGAATGTGTCAAATCTTGAATGAAGAGATCCGGATTTGACTCTGCCATCTCTGAAGTTGTCCCAGAGAGACTCAGAAAAGCCACCTTATTCACAACCATTCCGAAATGACACCAGATAATAGGAAGTATGCGTAGCCTCTGGAGAAGCTTTGGATGTCTGATTATTTACCCAAATCATAGCACAATGGTACTAGTGTAGTGTCTGCATGTAGCTGGGACTGCATAATACGGAGGGAAGAAAGCAAAAATGTTTTGGTCTGCATCTAGATGAATTTTGTCTACATCTGGATAGATTTTGTCTACATCATTTTGGTGTACATTTGGCCTGTAGTGGATTGGTCTACATCAGAATGGGTTTTCTTGGAATTTGGCCTCTGCCCAGCTAGAATGAGGTTTAAGAGTTGCAGTGCTGGGGTGGTAGGGTAGGTAGGTGAATTGGAGGAGGTGGCTGTGTTTCCCCTTGGTCTCCTGAGCAGTTCGGGGGCTGTCATAGTTTTCAAGTTCAATACTTGGTTGAGCTAGTAATATTTATTGCAGAATTATAATTTCTAGCTTAGTGTGTGAACATAAAACAGTTTCTACCCTAAGGAGTTTTTTTTTTAGATAGGGAGACAAAGTATTCTCTCAAGTATCATTCAGACAGAATTCAGGACACAGAAAGTTCACAGGTGTGGGAGGATGCCTGATAAGCAGTCAGTTTTGTGGGGTCATTCTCAGAAGACTCCTGGGAGATAAGCTTGGATATTTATTTTCTTTAGTCTGAGCTAGATTTGGTTACCATAGCTTTCTTTCCAACCTTTTAGGGAAGCCATCTCAGCTTTACTTCTCTTTCCCTACGGAGAAGTAACACATTCATTGGTACTGAAATTGTTTCTTTCTATTTTCCTTTTCAGCACAGACCAAGACTGAGAATTATTATTATTATATTTTGGTATTTAGATTTGTATTAGAATCTGTAGTAAACATTTAACTGGATAAGTGCAGTTAAGCGAACTGGATTTACTGGTTCAAAGCATATGTAGAGTTTATTTATTTATTTATTTTTGTTTTTGATGGGAGGCATGGAAGGAAGGCCTAAGTGAGGTTTGATTTATTGGCTCATAGCAAAGCTTCTCACCACCATGAAGATGTAGACTGAACTGATGTTTCCCAGGGAAACCAAATCCCCATATGGAGCAATTACCCCCTCTTCCACGAAGGTTTCTCAGACTGACCTGAGGTGCAGGGAAGATACTCCCTAATCTTGCCAACACTGGAAAATGAAGCCCTTCCCACTCATATCTTCTGTCAACTATGATGTCATCTGGGATCTTGGCATGCCCTTGCCTCTGATATAAACACTTTTCTGTGTATTTCTGATTGAGGATTATACGTTTCAGTCCATGGTTTACATATCTTTTACTTATTTTGAGGAGTGGGGAAGTAGCCACAAAATCTCTTAAATGTAAGCTCCCAAAGAGGGGAATTCTTTATTTGCCACCATTTGTCTTGCATTGTGTGTGAGTGTGTGGTGATTTGGTGGTCGTTGTGGTGGTAATAATTTAGGGAAAAAAGACATTGCTTTTGCTCGAATTCCTTTGCAAAAGGAATCATTTTGGTGCTTGAATTTTCTAATTTGGAATTTGTCTTTGTATTCACTTACACTTAGTTGAAATCTGATTTTCAGTAGTTTGAATCCAGCCTTTGTCACTTAGAAACTTTCAGTGGTATTCACTTGAGGGAAACATCAAACCATATAGAGGTCATCCAATTTCTCACTGTAGACCCAATCCAAACTAAACAGAATGCATCTGTGAACTTATTTATAGACAGTACAGGACAAATGGTAGTAAACAGAGAAAATTCTCTTTCCTAGGAGCTTACAATATAAAAGTACTTCATGGACACTTCCCCATCCTCCCAAAACAAATGAAAGTCCTATTCTAAACAATATTCAACCATTTGATCATTGGAGCACCCCTCCTTTCTGCAGTCTAAGCTGAGATTTCTTTATTGCAGTTTGAGTATCACACCAGGTTGCCTAAAGCCAAAGTATTAGGTGACTTATTTTCACAATTAACTAAAGCAATGAAAGTAATAAAACTGTATTGTTTGTCAATTTGGTCATTGGACTTCAAGGGGATGACACTGGAGCCAATAGTGTCACAGATAACGTCCTTAGTCCCAGCCAGTTTGGGTTACTTCCTTTGCATTTTCACTTTGTGGTGTGGAAGAGACTTGGACCTGCATTCTTGTTTCATTATCTCTGTTGTCACCACATTGGGCTGTAGATCATGGGGTGCTTCCTTGGCTGTGGCCAGTTAACTCTATACCTCAGGCTTCAGCTGGGGAAGAAGAGGCAAGCTGAAAGTGTCATCAGGCAAGAGCTGTGCTACTTCGCTGCACCTAACCATCTACCACTGCTACCCTCTTCTCTAACCAGGCGTCTTCCCAGTGCAAAGTTCTAGGCCAGTGAGTTATGCCATTCTGTCCTAAAACCTCCTGTGCAAGAGACCCATATTCACTGCCAACCAATCCAAAGGAACGGGGAGCAGAGGAGGTCAGTCTGATGGAGAAGGCTGGACACATAATCAAGGCACAGACACTGGCAGTGCAGCAAGGAAACAAGTTAGGAGCAAATGGACAGAACTCTGGACAGTAATGAGGGGACGAGAGCAGGCAAAGAGGGCATAGCAGAGAGGTCAGATATCTGTAGGTGTGGTTAGATATGCTTCCTGAAGGAGAGTCTTGTTGAACAGTTTGGAAAAAGGGTGTTCTAGGCAGAGAGGGACTGTCCATGTGATGGTTGAGGTGATGATAGCAAGATGTTCGTATATGGGGAAAGATTGGTCCTGTTCAAGCAAAGAGCCACAGAAAAGGTTAATAATAAGAGTAACGGTTAGGGGAACAATGAAAAGAAAGATCTGGAAATACAATCTTAAAAGTTTGGATTTAACAGAGAGCAGAAAACTGCAGGTCTGGTAGGGAGAAGGTGTAGGGTGTGTGTGTGTGTGTGTGTGTGTGTGTGTGTGTGTGTTGCTTTCAATCCTTGAAGAACGTGTCATTTTCCAGAAGGAGGGTAGAGGGCACTCACACTTCAGTTATCTGCTGCAATGCAGCAATCATGGTGAATGTGATTTAGGGCTGTAGCCTGCTTTAAAGAAGGGCAGCACTCGGCCGGGCGTGGTGGCTCACGCCTGTAATCCCAGCACTTTGGGAGGCCGAGGCGGGTGGATCATGAGGTCAGAAGATCGAGACCATCCTGGCTAACAAGGTGAAACCCCGTCTCTACTAAAAATACAAAAAATTAGCCGGGCGCGGTGGCGGGCGCCTGTAGTCCCAGCTACTCGGGAGGCTGAGGCAGGAGAATGGCGTGAACCCGGGAAGCAGAGCTTGCAGTGAGCCGAGATTGCGCCACTGCAGTCCGCAGTCCGGCCTGGGCGACAGAGCGAGACTCCGTCTCAAAAAAAAAAAAAAAAAAAAAAAGAAGGGCAGCACTCTCTGATGGTTGCTGGGGTGAATCTGAGTGAGATCTGTGAGGATCTCATTGTTTAGAGTTACCAACGTTAAAGGCCAGGAGGGTGGATCAGGGAGTATAGCAGGAGGCTGGGATGCAGTCTTTGCCAACTGTAGGAATCTACTAGATAGAGTTCTGGTGGGAAAAATGGCATGTCAGCTAGGTTGAATTCAGGCCTTGGAAAATATATATCTGAAACCAGTGATTTCAGCTGAGATTCCTTAGGTTTAATCCAAATTTTCATGCAACGCCCCCGAATAAAATAAGGATGCTTTGAGGCTGCTTTGCCAATCCCCTTGTCTTTGGCCATATCTGGGGCTTTCTTCCCTTGGAAACTGAAATGGAAAAGTAATTTATCTTCTTCATGGATTTTCCTATACTGATAGCATGTTGAGAAAACTCATTATTTCTTATCTCAAGTTCATATTCTTTAATAACCTTAAAAAAGAACGAGGCAATCTAAAAATAGAAAGGCTAAGAGATCAGTGTTGATGCCGGATATCCATTGGTCTTTATGATTATTTCCATGAATGATTAATAAATATTAGAAATGCTCTAGTTGTCATGAGCTCAGAGCTAGACATGGACATGGGGCACACTAATACCTGTTTTTGATATTCTGCTAAGTAAGGCCTCTGGCTGTCAAGAACAACCAAACCAGACCGAGCAACCTCACGTAGCTCAAGTCCTTCTCCCCAGTATCACCATGAATTGTTAGCTCTGGAATGGGGTTAATCATATTTTAGAATGACTGACAAGCTGACATTTTTCTGGTACTGGGTTCTCCTGAGTTAAGGATCAGGGATTGCCATTCTCTGGCAAGCATCCCCCCACAGTCTGCTTCTGATTGGCAGCCAAGTCTGGGGAGCAAATGGCCAAGTGAATTAGAAAGCTTAAAAGATGTTTTGTTAAACCATCCTCATTAAACTGGCACCGTCTGCCTTCCTACTCTCCTTTGTCCCAGTTGGGGCTGTTCTTCGTGACAGATGTTTCCTAACGGTGTGTGCTGGTAGCATCTGGAATCCTTAGGTGACTGCTGAGGTTTGGGAAGGCCAAATCTGGAGGTATGTAGATTGTCAGGGAAATTGCAACCATTTTCCTGCCATTGGGCTACCATAAAAAAAAAATACCCGCTTCCCTTCCCACCACCCCATTTTCCTTTGGCCAGTGAAAATCAAGCTTTCATTTCCTTCTCTAGCACTTCCTAACCTGCACTGAAGATGGTTTTTTTCCTCTCAAGAATGAGGTAGTGAGTAGACAAGATTTGGAATATGATGAAAGAACAGTGTGATGGAAGAAGTCTCAGAGGGGTTACTTATGTTTGGCATCTAGAGATCTTTTATCCTGTATTTTCCACTAAAAATCAAGCAAAAGCCAATGGGTTAAAGTTGTGGGAGTAGGAATTATAATTAGATGTAAAATTGTGTCTATGAACTATTGGAATAGTTACAGGGATGCTTTGGAATCTCCTTTCTTGGCATCTAAAAAGATTGTCTGGAGAATTTTGGCACCTGATTGGATTAGAATTTTAGCAGGAAATGGTTAAGATGGAACTTTCAGATTTAATGATTTCTCTGCTTCCAGCTCTGGCCTATCAGTGTCTATGTGGGAGGAAAGAGAAGACATTGGCAGGGGATGACCTGGGCATAAGGGTAAGAACTGGTTCAAATCCTCTTTTAATAGCCATGCCCTTAGACTCCTTGTTCTTTGTGGAGACTGGGTGCCACAGTAGGAAGAACATGGGCTTTGACTTCATGAAGAACCATGTTCAAATTCTAACTCTTCTTTTTACTGGCTATATGATCTTGAAAAAGTTATTTAACCTCTCTTCATCTTCAAGATCAAAGAATAATACTTCTGTCATGGAGTAAATAGGGGTTAAATGAAATAGCATATGAACCTTGCTTGCAGCTCAACACATTCTGGTTCCTTTCACCCCTCTTTCCACGTAACTCTAATTCTTGCACATAATTCTATCCCTGGCATGCCATTTGACAGATATTTTGCTCTGTCTCCAGCCTCTGCACATCTTCCCCAATGCTTCTTAGCATTCAAGCCTAGAGCTCTGATTTATTAATTTGTGTTAGTCCCACAAAATGGCAATAACAGTATGTACTTTTTATAACCATACTAACATGAGTCAAGGTTGTGGTTTCATTCCAGGCATTTTTACTTGCTGACAATTTTGGTTGTAAATCAGAGACAAAGGAGTTCTATCTTCCCACCCACCTCTCTGATCTAGAGTTCTTGATTCAGGGCTAGATCATCTGGATAGGATTTCCTTCCAATAAAAAAATGATGGCAAGTTTGTTTATAAGATTATTCAGAGAAGAAAAATCCATAACCTTTACTGTTGGAATATTCTTGTTTTCCTCCCAACCTTTTAATTTGAAAAATATTAACCTACAGAAAAGTTGTAAAATAGTGTAATTAATACCCATTCATTTTTCACCAAGATTGACAAATTGCTAATATTTTGCCACATTTGTGTGCTCTCCCCTTCTCTCTCATATATATATATGTGTGTATATATACACACATATGTAAAGCAGTGCCTATTCAAATTTTGCTAATTGTCCACTGATTTTTTTTTGAGACAGGGTGTCACTCTATTGCCCAGGCTGGAGTGCAAGTGGCATGATCACAGCTCACTGCAGCCTCTACCTCCTGGGCTCTGGTGAACCTCCTGCCTCAGCCTCCCAAGCAACTGGGACTACTGGCACATGCCACCATGCCAGACTAATTTTTTTTTTTTTTTTATAGAGGCAGGGTTTCACCATCTTGCCTAGGCTGGTCTCAGACTCCTGGGCTCAAGTGATCTGCCCTCCTTGGCCTCACAAAGTGCTAGGATTACAGGTGTGAGCCACTGCGCTAGCTGAATAATTTGTTTTATAGTGAAATGTTTCTCCCTAGCCCTGATCCAATTGAAGTTTATGCACTGTATTTTGTTATCATGCCTCTTTATTCTCCTTTAATCTGGAATCATTCCTTAGCCTGTTGTTCATAGCATTCACAGTTTTGAAGAGTACTGGTCAGTTGTTTTGTAGAAAGTCACTGGGTCTAAATTTGACGGATTATTTTCATCATTAGATTCAGATTAGGCGTTTCTGGCACTTTTGGATTAGATAAGAACATTTTTAAAGACAGTGCCACGTAGACAGGGAACATGTCTTTCCCCTGCCTGTTGTGTTCTTAGCACCAAGCACAGCGACTGGCATATAGTAGGTGCTTAATACTTATTGAATGAATGAATGAATGACCTAAAACTTTCACTGCCATGTAGGTCCATTATTTTTCTACCTGAAGAGAGAGAGAAGAGCAGCCTTCTCCTAAATCCTAGTTTCATTTTTATTATAAATCTTTGGGCTGAAAAGGGTAACCCAAGACTTCTTTAATGAGACCACCGAGAAGGGAATATGAGGGAGGGACTATGGCCTGAGGGAAGCCACGGAGTTTCTGTTTACCCAGGGCGAGTGGTGGTGGTGTTCATACTGTGTAGAGACAGGGGGATGAACAAGGTGGTCCTCAGATGGAAGGAAAAATAACACACAGAATCCTAGAGTACCTGGCCTGTTTGCTTACTGAGAAAAATTAGTCATTTAGGTTCCCAGATTTGACCATACTTCCCTCTCCTAGCCCCCATTTGAATCCTAAGAATGCCACAGTGAAAATTGATTTCTGGCCCTCCTCCTCTCCCAGAGGGGACAACTCCATAATTCTCTCTTTCTCCACTTTCCACCCCCCTGCCCTCACCACACACAAGTGTGTATTTTCTAGCATTTATAAACGGTGGTTGGGAGGCCATTCTCTCCAGATTATTTATTGTTGAGAAAATCTATAACTCCTTGGACTTCTCATTTTGATGTAGAAGCTTTCATCCCTGTTGCCTGGGGGAAGTGAGGTTATGAGAGGTACTCTCTGCCTCTCAAAAATGTGTTTTCAGGCTTCCCTTTGGGGCCCTTTCTCTCCCTAGCTCTGATCATCTCAGACATTTCTGACAATCCTTGCTGAGGCATCCAGGGCTTGGGACTGAATTCATCTATTTAATTTTGCAAGGCTGGTGAGTGCCTGATTCACATTGCTCCTGCCCCTTTTCTGAGAATCTACCTGCCTTTGTCTTTGCAGTCCTTAATTTCACCAGTTTCTGGGAAAAAGTATCCTTCATCTCCATATCGGCTCTTGGTTACCAAGAAAAATGGAGGAGATAATCCAAAATAGTGAATGAGACGAAGATTATTATTTTTTTTAAGTGATTGAATCCTGGCTAAAGATAATCCATGAAGTGAACAATCTGGATGAAAGTAATCCATCATGTTACTCTTCCATGGGTGGGTATATGGCATCTGGAGAGGGAGGCTGGTGGGAGAGGGCCTCAGCTTGTTTAGCTCTCACTTTTTTGTCAGAACCATGAGATGTCTGTGGAGAACTCTGCAGAACCCATTTCTATGCTGTATTTTTAAACTCTGGAGGAGGCCTGTTCCATAGTTTGAGAACCAAATACTTAGTTCAAAGAACATGACAATCAGTAGCCAATATGCAAAACTGCCACTTCATCTAGGGTTTCCATGATACCCAGTGTGAAAGTCAAAGTCCTCACAGTGACTCTATGGCCCGCCATGAATGATCCGGCCTCCTGATTTCTCTCTGACCTCATCCCCGACTACTTCTTCCTATCTCACTCTGTGCCAGCCCAAGATGGTCAGGTGCCATTCCACACCCATCAGGATGGCTATTATTAAAAAAACAGAAAATAGCAAGTGTTGGCGAGAATGTGGAGAAATTGGAACCTTTGTGTACTGCTGGTTGGCAAGTAAAATGGTGCAGCCACCGTGGAAAACAGTAAATTGGTGATTCCTAAAAAAGTAAACTTAGAATTACCATATGACCCAGAAATTCCACCTCTGGGAATATATCCAAAAGAAATGAAAGCAGGGACTCAAATTGATATATGTACACCCACGTTCATAGTAACATTATTCAGAATAGCCAAAAGGGAGAGGCAACCCAAGCATCTATTGATAGATAGACAAACAAACAGATAAACAAAATGTGGTATATACATAGAGAGAAATATTAGTCACTCTAAAAAAGGAAGAAAATTCTAATACACGCTACAACACGGATACTCTTGAAGACGTTATGCTAAATAAAATAAGCCAGACACAAGCAGACAAATATTGTATGATTCTATTTATATGAGGTACCCAGAATAGTCAAATTCATACAGACAGAAAGTAAAGTGGTGGTTTCTAAGGAATGGGAGCAGGAGGGAATGGGAATTTAATGTTTAATGGGCACAGAGTTTTAGTTGGGTAAGATGGCAAAGGTTTGGAGGTGGATGGTGACGATGATTGACCCTCATGTGAATGTATTTAATGCTGCATTTATTTATTTATGAGACGCAGTCTCACTCTGTTGCCCAGGCTGGAGTGCAGTGGCACGATCTTGCCTCACTGCAACCTCCGCCTCCTGGGTTCAAGCAATTCTTCTGCCTCAGCCTCCCAAGTAGCCGGGACTACAGGTGCCTGCCACCACGCCCAGCTAATTTTTGTATTTTTAGTAAAGATGGGGTTTTACCATGTTGGCCAGGATGGTCTCAATCTCTTGACCTTGTGATCCACTTGCCTTGGCCTCCCAAAGTGCTGGGATTACAAGCGTGAGTCACTGCGCCCTGCCTTATATACTTTTATTTTTACTTTTTTAGAGACAAGGTCTTGCTCTGTCACCAGGCTGGAGTGCAGTGGCATGATCACAGCTCACTGCAGACTTGACCTCCCAAGGCTCAGGTTATTCTCCCACTTCAGCCTCCTGAGTAGCTGGGATTACAGGCGCTTGCCACCACATCTGGCTAATTTTTCTATTTTTTGTAGAGATGAGGTTTTGCCATGTTTGCTGGTCTCAAACTCCTGGTCTCAGAAGATCTGCCCGCCTTGGCCTCCCAAAGTGCTGGGATTACAGGTGTGAGCCACCATGCCTGGCCTAATGCCACATTTAAAAACAGTTAAAATGGTAAATTTTATGTTATGTACATTTTACCACTATAAACAATGGCCAGAGTCTTTATATTTGCACTTCTCAGAGATCTGCACCATTGCTTTTTCCTGCACCTGCTCCTGGCTGCTGGTGAAGTGTCATCTCAGCAAGGCCTTCTTGGACCACTTGTTTTAAAATCTCAACTCCCATCCTGATCACATCCTAACCTTTACTTGCTTTACTTTACAGCACAAACCACAATCTAACACAATATATATTCTGTTTTTTTTTTTTTTTTTGAGATGGAGTCTTGCTCTGTCACCCAGGCTGGAGTGCAGTGGCATGATCTCGGCTCACCGCAAGCTCTGCCTCCTGGGTTCACGCCATTCTCCTACCTCAGCCTCCCGAGTAGCTGGGATTACAGGTGCCCGCCACCACACCTGGCTAATTTTTTTGTATTTTTAGTAGAGACAGGGTTTCACCGTGTTAGCCAGGATGGTCTCGATCTCCTGACCTCGTGATCCACCCGCCTCAGCCTCCCAAAGTGCTGGGATTACAGGCGTGAGCCACTGCGCCCGGCCTAACACAATATGTATTCTTACTACTTGTTGTTGTTTGCTTCTTCTTGCTGGAATGTAAGTGACTTGAGTGGAGGGATTTTTTTGTGTGTGTGTTTTAATTGCTGTATCCCCAGTGCTGAATAGTTGAGGACCGGTAAATATTTGTTGAATGAATGAATAAGGGACCATGACTAGACATAGACTTCTAGAGAAGGCACACACAGAAAGAGAATATGAGAAGATTCTGTTTTTTGTTTGGCCTTAACTAATTTCTTCTAGACCTTGGATATATAACTCAGACCCTGTGTTCATGATGGCTTTTATACAGTTTACCTTTTCTTACGTGTTTTGAACTGTTTGCATTTAGAGCTGTTGGTGCACTGCGTACGCCATGGTTATTATTATTTAAAGCGGTCACCTTGAACACAAAGCCTCTACTCTTGTATTTCTGATTGCCTCCAACCATAATTGCAGAGGTACTTGAGTCAGGGCTTTGGAAACTCTGGGAAAGCTTAGATATCCAGAAACCTTTACTTTTTTTTCTTTTTCTTTTTTTTTTTGAGACATTGGTTTGACTGGCTCCAGAGTTTTCATTCTCTGGAAATTTTAAGGAAGAGCAAACTTATATAATTTGGGATCAGGAAAGGAGTTGTATTTACAAGCAAAGAGATTGATATAATCTCTAGGAGATGTTGCATTTTAAAGTCCACTTCTTGGAAGCTTTGAGACCTGAAATAATTATGTAGCAGCTCCATTGCTTTCCTCTCGTGAACGTTTATCAAGTTTCTAGGAGAGCACTTTGTGTCCACACTCTATTTGAAGTTGTTCAGCAGGAGCCATGAGGCCAAACTTCCGGATTGGCAAGATTGTTAGCACCCCAGCACGGGAACCAGTGGAACTTACTTCCTTGGAAAAATGTTTTGAAAAGGAAAGGTCCTGAGTGAGGGTAGTGCCCTTCTTAGAGACAGAGGAATGAACACAATGACCTTCAGGATGAAGGAGAGTGGGTGGGGTTGGCTGGGAAAACAAGACAGCCTTCAATGTAGTGGGCGGATTGTTGGATTCGACATGAGTTCTTCTTGGCTACTTGGGATGGAACTTTTGTTTTGGAGTTTGGAAAGAGCTCAGAGAATGAGAGAAACACAGGGAGTAGAAGGGAGGGAAGGAGGGAGCCAGGGGCATGATGGAATTCATACAAGCTGGCTTCATGTTCTCTGGCCTTTCTCTGTATTTCTTTAAGCACCTCCCCTGGGCCAAGCACCTCCTTTGGGAGAGACTGTTTCCTAATTAAACTGAGATCCACAGGCCCAGGGCCCTTATTAGGAAATATCCTTAGGAAATGCTCTTTAAATAGAAGATTGTGCGTATTCTAGTCTCCTGTTCCCACCTCTGTCTGGCCCTTTCTCTCTTTCAAAAAAAAAAATTCCTATTTCTAGGCATCCCAAGACATAGTTGTTAATCAATACAGCTATGTGTTTATTTTCTCTGTCCTAAGTGTCTCTTTTGGTTGCTCGGTACAATTGAGTAGATCCTTGTCCTGCGTAGCAAGGGTCGGTGGTGGGAGCATGGAATTCGGAAGGAACAGGTACATAGATCATGGCCCTGCCCTCTGGAGGCTTTTAGATATAAAGGAATTTAAGGGACATACCCAGGACACCATCAGACAGAAAGGGAAAACTAATTTCGGCTGAGCATCAGGGTTAGCTGTCAGTGCTGATGAAATGGGAAGGAAGGTTGGAGATAGGGAAATCAGTCAGGATGGCATAGGGAAGGCTTCTAGAAGTGGGGGAAAGATTGTAGAATAGGATTGAGAAGAGCTAGAGGGCCAAGACCAGATAGAAAGGAGTGAGGAGGGCACCTCTTGGCCACACCAGTAATTGATGCAGGCCAAACTTGCTGCATGCAGGGTAAGTCACAATGTGAGGAGCTGAGTTAGGAGTGGGGTAATAGGCTTGAGGGTAGAGGTGGGCATGATTAGGAAGGGGCTCTGACAGCTGGTTTGAAGAACCCAGACTGAATATAAACCATTAGAATAATTGCAGATTATTGCACAGGGAAAGATATTTCTGAGAATTGCATTCAAGGAAGATGTTTCTCTTTATTGTTAGACACTGGGCTGCAGTTAGGCTTTCTCAGGAGTCCCAATCATCTGTTTGCTTTTTCTTCTGTCAGTCTGGTTGTTTGTTTGTTTGTTTGTTCTGCATGCTTCTGTTTGAGTCATGGGTTTTGACTCAAACCCATGTAAGGCCCCTTTTCGGTTCCTTCTATTTTTCCCTTTCACCCCTCACCTCTATTTCTCATTTCCTTTCCTTGTGGGAGCCATCTGCTTTCATGTATTTAGTTAGTGCTCTTCCAATCCAAACTCTATATGTTTATTTAGAGACATTCAGCCATTCACCAAATATAAAGTGCCTGCTATGTGTTGAACAGAGTTGCAGGTGCTGAGAAGTTGTAGGTGCACAGTTGTAGGTGTTCACAGCAGTGAACAAAACAATCAAAACCTGCATTTGTGTTGCTTACGTTCTAGTGGGGTGAGAGGATTGTGAACAAATAAATGAGTGGATACGTTAAATAGTGATAAGTGCTATGCAAACAAAAAATCAGGGTAGGGGATAAGTTGTATTGTGGGTGGTCAGGAGCAGATTGCCGCTTTCTTCAGGGTGATGTAAGAAAGCTTCACTGAAACGTGTGGTGCATCAAATGCACATTAAAGACCAGCCATATGGACATCTAGGGTAGGAGTGGTTCAGGTGTGGGTGGACAGCAAGTACAAAGGCCCTGAGGCAGGTCTTGCCTGGTATGTTAGGAGGCCAGAAGGGTCAGTATAGGCCAATGCCCAGAGCAAAATGAGTGAGAAAAGAGAGAGAAACAGAAGGCTGGGAGGTAGCTGGGTCAGTGGCAAATCATGCAAGACTTTGTGGACCACTGTAAGCTCAGATCTTGGCTTATACTCTGAATAAGGAGGGAAACCAGGGGAAGGTTTTGAGCAGAGGAATTACATGATCTGATTTACATTTTAAAATAGATCTATCTGTATCCTTAAAAAATATAGTGTTATTTTGACCGCTTTTTAATGTACATAAATGACATTGTGCTATATGCTTTATCCTGCTTTTACTTTTTCCACTTAACATTGTTTCTGAGCTTTATCTATGTTGCTGTATGGAAATCAACTTCATTATTTCTGACCGCTATGCTCATACAGTAGATTTTATTACATATTCACCTAGTAATAGACATTTGGGTTGCCTCCAACTTTTTACTACCACAAACAGTGCTGTGATAAATATCCTTATCTCAGCCTCTTTATGAACCCAGAGAGTTTTCCTGCGGTGTATACCTAGCAGTGGGATTGCTGGGTTAGAGAGCGTGTGCACATTTAATTCCATGAAGACTGTACCAGGATGGTGGCCCTCACCAGCAGTGTGTGATAGTTTGTATCTTCTCATTTATTTCTCATATTGATCCTGTAAGGCAAATATTATCATTTCCATTTTATGGATAAGAGAACTGAGGCTTAGAGAGATTAAGCAAGTTATCAAAATTTATACAGTTAAGCAGAAGAGCTATGGCTCCACTCCAGAAAATTACTCAATATTCTTTGCTCTTACTACTGTAGTACCCAGTACTGCCTCTTCCAGAAATAACGTGAAGCAAATTGTTCATGCTGTGTTCCTCTTTTAATCATTTCTTCCTTTTAGGGCTGGCTGGACAGAAGACAGTATTCTTGAGGTCCAAAGAGCCACTAAAGGGAATCTGTGGCCTCCCTCTCAATCTGTGTCCATTTTAGGAATTGGGGTGTTGAAGGAAACTTGTGTACAATCCCAACAGAGCGGTAGGGAAGCAGGGCAGCGTGGCATAGGAGTTCACTTGAGTTTTGGCATCAGACAGTCTTTGTTCAAATCCTGGCACAACCATTTGTTCTCTGTGTGACTTTGCACGAGTTCTTGGCTTATCTAAATCTCAGTTTTCTAACGTACACAATGAAGACAACAATAGGACTTGTCTCTTAGAGTTGTTGTGAGGAAGCACAGGTAAAATACTCAATGTAGTGCCCATAGTAAATGTTCAATAAATGTCAGTTATTATTTTTGCTATAATATTTGAGCCTTGCCCTTTTCTTTCTTTCTTTTTTTTTTTTTTTGGGATGGAGTCTCACTGTCACCCAGGCTGGAGCGCAATGGCGTGATCTTGGCTCACTGAAACCTCTGCCTCCCAGGTTCAAGTGATTCTCCTGCCTTAGTCTCCCGAGAAGCTGGGATTACAGCTGTCTGCCACCATGCCCGGCTAATTTTTTGTATTTTTAGTAGAGATTGGGCTTCGCCATGTTGCCCAGGCTGGTCTCGAACTCCTGACCTTAGGTGATCCATCTGCCTTGGCCTCCCGAAGTGCTGGAATTACAGGCATGAGCCACTGTGCCTGGCTGAGCCTTGGCCTTTTCAATGCCTGCTCTAACTCAGTAAGACTAGGACCCTCCAAAGTGTTTACCAGTAGCAGGCCCAAGGGTATCTGATTAGAGTTCTCAGAGATTCAAGGTAAATTATACAGAATAAAACAGTCTTTATTTTCTCATGAGGGCCAGCCAACAAGCTTAAGTTTCAGTGGGTGATTTTGAGGCTAGACATTTAAAAAGATGAATTCATTTTCAAAGTTGGAGGACTTTGGATCAAATTTTAATATTAAGTATTAGGTAGATTGTATTAAGTACATATTGTTTTGCTAAGTACTGAGCTAAGTACTTTTCAAGCATTACTGCATTTGATCTTCCTAACAACCCTATGAAGTTTATTTACTCCCATTTTTCAGTTGTGGAAACTAAAGCACATAGAGGGTAAATAATTTGTCCAGAGACAAAATTAGCTGGGCATGGTGGCGAGTGCCTTTAATCCTAGCTACTTGGGAGGCTGAGGCAAGAGAATCACTTGAATCCTGGAGGCTGAGGTTGCAGTGAGCTGCGATCGCGCCACTGCACTCCAGTCTGGGTGACAGAGCAAGACTCCGTCTCAAAACAAAACATAAATAAATAAATAAATAAATAAATAAATAAATAAATAAAATAAGGATAAGAATCTGTCCAAAATCATGTAGCTGTGAAATGGTTGAGCTGAGATTTGACCCCAGCAGTCTATCTACAGAGCTCTTACTCTTAACTAGTAAACTACGCTGCCTTCCTGTGAAGGAAAGTTTTAGAGTCTCGTCCCTTTTAAATCTAGGACAGGTTCTTGTCATTTGGGATGGTTTAGAGCAGTCACAAGAAGTAAGGGGCTAGTTGTAAAATAATCTCCAGAGGGTAAGGATATGAAGTTTGAAAATATTCCCCAGGTATCTTAATTATGGCCCCTCGAGTGACAACCTCTGGCTTAGGGGATGTCCTACGGAGAGCTGAGCATGATGCCTTCAGATAAGTAGGGACCTGCTAACTGAGGGTTAGAAGGTTCCCTGCAATCCAAGGCAGGCTGATATTTCTAAAACAAGCATCCACAATGGCAAACAATTCTTTATCGCCTACATGTGGCTTATACATGCCATGAATTATCTGCGGTCAAGGTTTTATCACAGTTGGTTTTCCCTTCACGCTTTTCATTTTGATTGCCTTCTACAAGGAATGTAATACCATTTATATATTTACCTGAGTCAGATTTATAAAGGTTGCTTGGCTACAAAGTATGTATCTCAAAGTCAAGCAGATAGGAATTTTGGATTATCTGCTCTTTCAGGTTTTCTCTTCTCTGTTTGTACATTTGTTCAACAAATATTTATTAGCTCCTAACTCAGAGTCTAGTGGAGGAGACAGGCAGCTGAACTGGAATCTTGATAATTTATGCCAAGTGGGGCAAGCACAGATGCTATGAGAGGATATAGGAAGGGCACCTAATCCAGAGAAAAAGCCAGGGGAGGCTTCCCAGGGAAGCAATTTCTAAACTGGGAATTGAAAAATAAGTAGGAATCCGCTGAGTGAAAGGGCCGAGCGGGGATTAGAGGCAGGGGAGCAGGGTGAGTGGAACTGCATGGCAGGAGCACGACCTGGGAAGATGATGGTACTAGAGGAATAAGCAGAGTGAAATTATGAAGAAATTGGGAAGGGCTAGGCTAAGGACTTTAGACTTTATCCTGAGGGCAGAAGGGAACCACGGAAGGGTTTTAAGTGGGGGAACAACTCAATCAGATTTATAGTTTAGAAAGAGTCCATGAGTTAAAAATTGACTGTGTATCTACCCCACTTACTTGCAAGGAAATCATAATATTGGGACTGGTAATATTACGGCAAATAAAGGAGTCTAGATGGATTTGTAGAGAGATGATTTGATCCAATAACCCAAGAGTCCCTTTGGATAATCTGTAGAGAAGAGTTTTCAATTTTGACTTGATCTTTCTGTTTTTATAAACCTGTTAACATCTCCTGAAATTCCTGAAGTTCTCTCAAAACCAAAGCCTGAGTAGGGAGGAAAGTGTGAGCCTTGTGTCTTGGTTTTCTCTGTTCCCCACTACTCATTTCCGGGGCATTGCTGTGAATAGTTCATCCAAGCCCTGCGCCCCATGAGGAAGGGACCATTTGAATAGCAGCAGGAGAGGAGGGGAAGGAGGAACCACACGCCAGGCTCGTTCATTAAGAAAATATATTTGGCATATTCAGACAATGGTTTGAGCAAGTTAAAAATAACTCCTCGTGAAAAATTAATAGGGAGTTATAAGTGAGTGTTTTAATACAAGCTCCCAGAGCAGGGCAGATTCTCCAGGCAGCTGGCAGCTGACATCACAGATGGTGCAGGGTGTTTATAGAGCATGGTGTGGCCAGTGAGTAGAGTCATCTGCAGAAGTGAGCTCACCTTCTCTCCCAGAACCCTGGGGAGAGAGGAGACAGTAGGAATTGTTTTTAGTTATGAGTTACTGAGCCAGGTGACTTATTTCTTCTCTCCCTACCCATCACACTCTCCTAACTGTGGACATAAACATTGTAGTGAATTTTGCCTTGTTGCTTTGGGTAAGGTTTATTGAATGTCAGAATTCATAAAAGTCTTTTCTGGCCCTTCTCCTTTCTTAGTAATAGACCCTTAGTTGGCTGCAGGATCCATTTCTGCAGTGTTTCCTTACCCAAGGACCAGCTCCTCTCTCTCTCTTGCAGATAGTTATAAAGTCTCTGCCCCATTCTCCCTCTTCCTCTCTTTTCACAGTGCCCCTCTGATTCTAGGGAAGTAAAACGAAGAATTGGACTCTACATTCTTTGCCATCAGAACAGCTAAGTTGATAAAGCAGAATGAGGAGAAAGGAGGCTAGCTGCATTTTGGGGCTAAGGGTTTTAAGACTGGGGAGACCAATATTTGTATTTTAAACCCAGATGATATTTAAAAAATGGTTCTGTAATTGCAATGAGGCCCTCTAGGCCGTGAATTAATGTGTCATAACTCACGCCCAAGCACTGCGCAAACATTCTGCGTGTGAATTATTGCACAATAAATTCATGCCCTGTTGTGTCTTACAGCTTAATTAGTACATGAAGCTACATGAGTTAGACGAACCCAAATGGGATTATGTCATGTGGTGCGTAAAAAAGCAAAATGTTGGGAGGTATTTGGAGCTTTTTCTGGGGGGAAAGCAGGGTTGATTTTTCTATGATGTCCTTCAGTGTCAGTTTCTGTGATGTTTGGGCTGCAACAGGTGACATGTTCCCTGACATGTGACTTCTGAGCTTTGGTTGGCTGGTTAAATAATGGATTTAGTAAATATTTATTGTATATCATGTTCTAGGCATTATGAAACGATAGCACATGTAATGAAGTATGGCCCCTGCCCTTAAGGAGCTTATATTCTAATACAAAAAGTAAGGTATAGCCGCAATACAAAGTAGAAAGTGATAAGTGCCATAAGTAACATATGAGTAAATAAAGGGTCTTGGGAATTCAGAGTGGAGGATGATCCTTTTGGGTTGGCACAGTGGTGAGGGTTGATTGGTGAAATCAGAGACATTTTTTGGAGGAATGGCATTTGAGTTGGCTCTCTTAAAGGACAGATAGGATTTCACCACCTGGGCAGGTTTGGCGGGGGGTGCTGGTCTGGGCAGTGGATTCTAGGCAGAGGGAGTAATGCTAGGGAAAGCACAGGAAAGTGAAGCAGTGTCCTGAGCACACCGAGCGGGCTGTGTTGCTTGAGGCTTGGCTGTGTGAAGGGGCAAAATGGACAGGCGGATTGGAGCCAGAGCTTTCCTGTGCATACAAAGCACTTGGGCTTTAAGCCCACTAACCCCTGGGATTGGTTCTTCTACTGGGTGATATCTGTACTCTTGGACTTGAATTTTTCTCTACTATTGTCTTCTTTGGTCTACCTGCTCAGAGAGTACACAGCTGAGGGCCAGGTGTCCTGGGTTCTAGTCTTGTCTCTGCTGCTAAATAGCAACATGACCTTGAGCAAGCCACCCAAATCCTTCAGTGCTTTGCTTCTTTATCTTTAACATGAGAGGTAAGAATGGATGATTTCTAAGCTTCCATATAGTTAAAACATTCTAGGATTTCCTCTAGCTCTTCTGCTCTCTTACCCCCTCAACTAGGTCTCTCTGCTGCAAGTAGTCTGAACCCGCATCCTGCCAGCTCTTCGCTTAAACCCACTTTTGGAGTTGGTGAGAGTCAGCAGGCTGGCTTTGGAAACAAAATCAACAGGGAAAACCCAATTTCTCCCCTCCTATGTTCAGTACCATTGATTAATCAAGACCTAGGAGACATACGGGTATTTAAACCATCAGCTTTAAATCTGCAGCTGTGTTGGCTTGCTAATACCGCACCACCAAATTAGACAGACTTACTCTGCTGAACGCCCATCTGCCTCCTACTACAGGGCTAGAGGCTGCTTTTATTAGAATTTTGCCGTGTATGAACAGGTTGGAATGCATGTGTACTGTGGGCAGGCTGGCTCTGAAAACAAAAGCAACAACAACAACAACAACAAGAACAAAAACAAAAAATCAAGCTGGGCGCTGTGGCTTACATCTGTAATCCCAACACTTTGGGAGGCTGAGGCAGGTGGATCACTTGAGGTCAGGAGTTTGAGAAGAGCCTGGCTAACATGGTAAAACCCCATCTTTACTAAAAATACAAAAATTAACTGGGCATAGTGGCGAGTGCCTGTAATCCCAGAGACTTGGGAGGCTGAGGCAGGGGAATTGCTTGAACCCCAGATGCAGAGGTTGCAGTGAGCTGAGATTGCACCACTGCACTCCAGCCTGGGAGACAGAGGCAGACCCCATCTCAAAAAAAAAAAAAAATTGGAAGGGTATCGGGCTGGGTACACTCAGTGCCATCTCTTCAACTCATTAATCAAAGAAAGTGAGAGAGTGGAGACAGGCTAGGGATATCACCCTGATCAGTGGTTCTCAACCTTCAGGATGTGTCAACACTACCTGGAGGACTGGTTAAAACACAGATAGCTGAGCCCCACCACCAGTGTTTCAAATTCAGTAGGCCTAGGTGGTGGTGGCGGTGGGGGGATGTGCCCAGAATTTGCATTTTTTTCTTCTTATTGTTATTTTTTGAGATGGAGTTTTGCTCTTTTTGCCCAGGCTGGAGTGCAATGGTGTAATCTCGGCTCACTGCAACCTCTGCCTCCTGGGTTCAAGCTATTTTCCTGCCTCAGCCTCCTGAGTTGCTGAGATTACACGTGCCCGCCACCATGCCAAGCTAATTTTTGTAATTTTTTGTAGAGACGGGATTTCGCCATGTTGGCCAGGCTGGTCTTGAACTCCTGACCTCAGGTGATCCACCTGCCTCGGCCTCCCAAAGTGCTGGGATTACAGACGTGAGCCAACGTGCCTGGCCCAGAATTTGCATTTCTAACAAGTTCCCAAGTGATGCTAATGCTGTTGGTCCAGGGACCACACTTTGAAAACCAAAACTCCAGCTGAAGCCTCTCCACATATAAAGATGAAGCGAGGGAAACGAAGACTCCCTTCTAACACTCGCCTTCATTTAATAGTACACCTAGATTAAAATAGCAGTTTTCTGTGTGTCTTTATTTTCTTTCTTTTTCCCCTAGATTGTAGCTCGTAGGTAAGGAGCATCTCTTGTTCACTCCTGCACAGCACCCACTAGATGCCAGGCATGTAATGTGCATTTAATAAATAGCTGTTTAATTGAATTGAGCCTTATACATTTCCTTGCTACAAAAGATTCTCCTTCTTTTCAGACTAGTACTATCTCCTTTAAAACTATCTTCTAGGACACTTCTTTGTCAAACAGCCTTTCTCCCCATTCTTCTAGCATCTAGAACTGTACCCAGCTCCTGCTTCTAATTTTGCCTTTGTTTGGCTCTGCCTGAGTCCTGGTCACTATCCTGTCTATTCCATTGTACTGGAATCTTATTCAGGGCAAGCACTAGGTTCTCTCCTTCCTTTAGACCTCCTCCCCCAACAGTGAGAGCAGTGTTGTTCATTCAAAGAGCAACAAGGGATCCCACAACCTGGGGCAGGAGAATGCTTGTAACAACCTCCCTTGGTCCCTCTCCATCTATTCCCAAGGAATTTGGGGAGGAGCAGGAAGTGGTGAAGTTGATAGAAGGCCCAACCCACTCTACCTGGCTCCATGGAATCCCTGAAGACTAGACTGGCTCCAGCGTGGGCACAACAGGCATCTTTCCTGAAGCAGTCAGAGATTTATGCTTTGGTATGGAAGAAGGGTCAGTGTTTTCCTTCTGTATTTATACACAGGGCCCGTCCTGGAAAGGAGGACTGGAAAGCTACTCTCTTACTTGTGGGATTTCTGAAATAGTCCCTACAGAGAGTAGGTGACACCAGGGCAATCTTCTAGAGGCAGGGGTTCCCCATATCCTTGCCAACTCATTTAGGTGTGTTTTTTTTTTTTTTTTTTTGAGCTGGGTGCAAAAACTTTGTGAGAGTATCTAAGATTCTTTGTGGTAAGAATTCACACCCAAAATGGTGAAAAAGACTGGGGCTAAAATAAAATAAAAGAGAATAGTAAGGAGACAGGGACTGAAACCTCATTACTTTGGAAAGGGAAGGTATGAGTAGAAACTGAGAAAGAGATATTTATGAAGAGATGCTTCCTGAAAAAGGATGTCTATGGAGAAATTTTGGAAATAAAAGAGGGATAGGCAGATTTGAAAAGAAATGTGACAGTAATCCTAGGCTACATGGATCTTTGGAGTCATGAATGAGACTCTTGTGAAGGTTGCACTTTTTTCACATTTGAATTGAAATTTATAAACCAGGTTTGTATTGTGTATTATGCCATGGAGGGAGGTTTCTGAATCAGGAAGGCCTGAGATACGGTTCTCATTACTATCTGGAGGATAAGTAGACAGATGGAATTGGATAGCTGGACGCTTCCTGGGAGATACTTGTAGAAATTGCTATAGTCATTGAGATCCCTGCTTTTCGAAGTATGGTCCATGGGCCAAGTATCATGGGCATCACTTGGGATCTTGTTAGAAATACAGAATCTTAGGCCCTAACCCAGACCTAATGAATTGGAATCTGCATTTTTAACACGCTCCCTGAGTGATCTGCATGTTCTTGAAAGTTTGAGAAGCACAGGTCTAGATGATTGGTGAGAGGCATCTGGCATAGAGTGGGCACTATGGAAGGGAATAGATAGGGGCTGAGGAACTTTGGAATTGGGAGCACTAGGGTAGAGGCTCAGGCTGGAGAAACTGAATCTGCGGAGGGGGGAAGAGTGTGGGCCCTGGCTCACCTCCCTGTCTCCAGGCCTCCCACACCAGTCGCCATGCCAGGCTTTGGCACTCGGCCCACTCTGGGAAAATGCCTGCTGTGCCCATGCTGGAGTCTGCCTGGTGCTCAGGGGCTCCCCTTGGGCAAGCGTTGCGTGGGTTAGGACTGCTGCCAATTTTGCTTCCCCTACTTCGTATGGATGGACGGACTGAAAGGGACTGGGAGGTCAGATCAGTCATGCCCCTGCCTGAGTGTTGTACTGTCCCTTAATCAAATGAGTGACAATTTGATGATACTAATGATACTAATTGAGGAGACTAGGGGGGTGGAGGGATTGAAGTAGCAGTTCTTAACTACCTGTAATGGAAATTAGGATATTTTGTTTTCTTCCAAAGGCGTAAAGGAGAGACCAGATGAATGGGTAAAGGGTTATACCCTTGGAGGGGCCAAATTAATGCTTTTTAAAGGATCTTGTGATGATATTTAATGGGCTAATGACGAAATATACAAGACATAGAGTTCCAGAGACCTGAAGTCATCGTCAATGCAAAAAAGTTATCAAGTGCCATTTCAGAACTTTTCTTAAGCTTTTGAAGGGTTTGTGTACTTTACCTCCAATAAGAATAAATAACAAGGAAAGATCAGTATTGAAGCGGCATGGATTGAAATTGAACATAAAACATTTTCTGGAGTTAAAGGGAGGATTGAAGGGGATGGCCAGGTTTTTCTGGCCATGCATGTGGGTGCCTCAGTTTGGTTTGGAATGCCTAGGAGGGCTCCTGCTCTGAAACAGGGAAATGCACAAAATAAACTCTCAAAATCTTTTCTATCCCAAGGATTCTCCATTCAGCTCCATAAATGAAAGGCTACGTGGATGTGTGGTGAATTTAAGATGATGGGCATGGGGATGAGGAATGATAGAAGAAAACAATAATTTCATCAGAGCTTTAAAACCCTTGCTAAAAATTTCAAAATAGGGCTAAGATTTAGGAGAATAAGTTGCATTTTAGGTCTCAAATAACAGTTTTAAGTTTCTATGTTCTTTGTCTCTCCATGTATCTATCTTGTCTTAGGTTTCTAAAACTCTCAAGGAAAAAGAACATCTGTTTTACTTACACATATTCTTTTCTTTCTTTCTTTTTTTTTTTTTTGAGACAGGATCTTGCTTTGTCACTCAGGCTGGAGTGCAGTGGTGCAACCATGGCTTACTGCAGCCTCCATCTCCCGGGTGCAAGTGATCCTCCTGCCTCAGCCTCCCAAGTAGCTGGGATTACAGGTGTGTGCCATCACGGGGCCAATTAAATTTTTTTTTTTTTTTTTTTTTTTTTTTTTTTGTAGAGACAGGGTTTTGCCATGTTGCCCAGGCTGGTCTCAAACTCAAGGTGGGCTCAAGGTGGGCTGGTCTCAAACTTGAGGTGGGCTCAAGGAATCCATCCACTGGGCCTCCCAAAGTGTTGGGATTACAGACATGAGCCACCATGCCCGGCTTACTCATATATATGTATATATATATATATATATATTCTTTTTTTTTTTGAGATGGAGTCTTGCTCTGTCACCCAGGCTGGAGTGCAGTGCCGTGACCTCGGCTCACTGCAACCTCTGCCTCCCAAGTTCCAGTGATTCTCCTGCCTCAGCCTCCTGGGTAGCTGGGATTACAGGCTCCTGCCACCATGTCTGGCTAATTTTTGTATTTTTTTTTTTTTTTTACTAGATATGGGGTTTCACCATGTTGGTCGGGCTGGTCTTGAACTCCTGACCTCAAGCAATCCACCTGCCTCAGCCTCCCAAAGTGCTGGGATTACAGGTGTGAGCCACCACGCTGGGCCCCATGTATATTCTTTATATATCTTAAATGTCTAATACAATGATGGTGATAATAGCTACCATTTGTTGAGTACTGTGCCCTATACATTGTTCTAAGTGCTTTGCATGATTATCTAAGGTAATACAACAGTTCTATGAAGTAAGTATTGTTATCCCCATTTTACAGAAGTTGAAACTAAGGCTCAGAGAGGTTAAGTAATTTGTGCAAGGTAAGTAGTAAAGCTAGCATTTGCATCAAGTTTGAGCAAAACTTGTGCTGCTAACCCCTGAGCTATATTCTGCACAGAGTAGTGGCTCAGTAAGGGATAGATGATCATTGAAACTTAATGGTGTACTTAGAGGTAATCAAAAACAGTAGATAATCCAAACAGTGAATAATAAAGAAACAATTTCTATTTGCTTTTTGGAATATAGAAGAGACACACTTAGTGACACATGCAAGCTTATATTCAGACATTCTCTCATTCACCTTCACTGTGTCCCACCCTGCAGTCAGTAGCTTGGAAAGGGTGAGGGGCTAGGTATAAAATAACTCATTGAAAGTCATGTGTGTATACATGCTTTGTGGACACATGTTTGCATTGGGCTGGAAATAGGCATTAAAGAGTAAGGTATGCTTATCTCCGTAGGTCCATCAACATATTTGTTAGACTTTTTGTGTATGTTGTGTATGTGTGTGTACAAATCCTGAATGAGTTAAACCAGCTATAGGGAACTGGCTGCCTTCCACCCCTGATCTTGGCTGATGTGTTTGTACCAAACCCTGATATTTATTTTTCATCACCTCTCAAGGGAACTTCAATGAGTTTTCTTTCTGGGAAGTTTATGGCTAAGATGCTGGGCTGCTTTGGGGCCCTTATAAATCTGCTATAATCAGAGGAGGTTTGCAGAGAAAGAGAAACAGCAGCCACAAGGCAATCCTCTCCTGTCCTTTACTTTCTAGCCTAACACACAGTCGCCCTTGTATGAGTACCACCCACATCTACCATCACTCTCCTAGAACCCCTTGATAGAAGGTGCTCAGATAATTCGTTTTATTTATTTCTTTGCTTCTAAGTGGGCCTCTATACTTTGTCAGAAAGAGGAGAATTAAAAAATGTACAAATACATCTACAGTTGAGATTATGAGAAACTGGTTATTTAAACAGTGGTTCTGTTTTATTAAAAAAAAACAAAAAGAATGAGAACAAACTTTTGCAGAAGCAAGGATGGTAAGAGGAGTTGAAAGCCCCTGCATGCTTTTGTAGAAAACTTTAAGAAAAGATTGTCTGTGATGCTCCTGGAAGCAAAAAGCTGGATGATCTGAACATTATTAGGAGGCAAACACAACACAGGAATTCCCTTCCTCCATCTTTCAATGCTGGTAGTTGGGAGATTTTTTTATGAGGGATTTTTATGACAAACTTTACTTTATATTTGACATTTAACAGCATCTCCTGTCCAGGGCATGAGGAAATATAGATATTTATTGACATATGGTGTCAGAAGATCGAGGAAAATTGACTCTGGAGAAGGAAGGGGGAGGGGTTTCTCCCTTTCCCTAGGTATGCAAATTACCCAGCTTAATTTGTGTAGCATATGCTTTTCTGTGCTTTGTGCTTTTCTCAGTAATGAGATTAAGAAATCATTTCATTGTTAATAAAGAACTCAGTGGGGGAAGAGGGAAGATGAGAGACATATAGAAGGAAGCACAATGGGCACCCTGTCCTGTTTGAACCTTATATGCATTCCTTAAATAACACTGGATACAATAGACGTGGGGACAAATGGAACCTGAACTGGGATCCAGGTCCTGGTTCTTGTCATCCTTTTTTAAAACCTCAAGCTTCTGCAGTTTTATCTTGAATTTCACTGTTCTTTGCATTTCTAATAATAAATAGCAGTTCCATATCAAATGATCCCCAAAATCAAGAATTCCTTCCCATTAGCTGTCTTTTCCCTGGAATTCCTTCCTCCCAATTTCTGACTGCTGAAATCCTACACAATCATCATGGCTTAGCTTAGATGTTACCCCCTGTCCGAGCCTTCCTGGATAGCCCTACCTGGAAGCAATTTCTTTACTTTCAACTCCTATCCTCCTTTGACTGATTGTCAGCTATAGTTGTGCGTCTTCTGTTTCTCCCTTACTCAACTATAAGCTTTTGGAGCAGAGGGACTGTGTCCTGAATATTTTATATTCTCTACACAATGTTTAACATAGAGCAAACAATTGTTAAATAAATTTAATGAAGCGGCCGGGCGCGGTGGCTCACACCTGTAATCCCAGCACTTTGGGAGGCCGAGGTGGGCAGATCATGAGGTCAGGAGATCGAGACCATCCTGGCTAACACAGTGAAACCCCGACTCTACTAAAAAAAAAAAAATACAAAAAAATTAGTCGGGCATGGTGGTGGGCGCCTGTAGTCCCAGCTTCTCGGGAGGCTGAGGCAGGAGAATGGCGTGAACCCGGGAGGCGGAGCTTGCAGTGAGCAGAGATCACGCCACTGCACTCCAGCCTGGGCAAGAGAGCGAGATTCCATCTCAAAAAACAAAAAACAACAACAAAAAAATAAATTTAATGAGTGGTATACAGTTGTAAGTAAGAGGCCATGGGTAGAGATGTGGAAGTAAGGGCATTATGGATATTTTAAAGACATTAGTGTTGGCAGGGCGTGACGGCTCACGCCTGTAATCCCAGCACTTTGGGAGGCCGAAGCAGGAGGATCATGAGGTCAGGAGATCGAGACCATCCTGGCCAACATGGTGAAAAATCCCGTCTCTAATAAAAATACAAAAATTAGCTGGGCGTGGTGACACGTGCCTGTAATCCCAGCTACTTGGGAGGCTGAGGCAGGAGAATCGCTTGAACCAGGGAGTCGGAGGTTGCAGTGAGCCGAGATTGCGCCACTCCTCTGCCTGGAGGCAGAGCGAGACTCTGTCTCAAAAATAAATAAGTAAATAAATAAAATAAGATATTATTGTTAATACATGATGATCTCACTCCAACTTGAACTCTAATATGTTGTCATAAAAAGGCTATTTACGTGAGTTTATAATAGCATAAAATGTATATGATGGTGTATTTTTTTAAGTGTATATTATTTTTATTTTTAAGTGTATGTTATTTAAGCAATGTAAAAAATTGTTCATAGAAAAATCTGGAAATAAACGTCAAAATGCTAAGAAAGAAGATACTATTGTTATTAAGATCTGGACATGATATATATCATATTATAGGGAAGTTTTTATCCCTCTGGTAGGTTTATTCCCTTATAACTTATTTATTCATCATCCATTCTTTTTTTCATTTAAATATAGAGCTTTTTCTAGTGCGGAACAGTCAATAAGCAAGAAAACAAGCAATTAAATGATTACAGATTATGATAAATACCTGAAGGACATAAACAGGTTCTTGCTATAGAGACTAACAGGGAATCTTCCTTCTTTAGATAAGAAGATTATGAAAGGCCTTTCTTGTCACTGTAATATATTTACCCTACTATAATTATGAGTTAATTCAATGTATAACCTGAATAACAGTAATAATAAAATCAATAATTGAATAAGAATGACAGCCTTCCCACCAGGGGGCGTTGTTCCAACTGAGCCTTAGGTTTGGCTCCTACCTTGGGCCACCCTTGCACCCTCCCTTCTGCCTTGGGAAGAGGCACAGTCAGGGCCCTCCCCTTGCCTCAGGATGGACCCTGCCCCCTCTTCTCTAGCCTAGGAGCCAGCAAGCAAAACAGGTGTTAAGAGCTTTGATCTTGCAGGAGACTTGGAGACAGATCAAGGTAGAGGCCTCTGAAATAATGACTGGGGATGTGAGAAGCTGGGGGAAGAGATGGAGACAGAGGCAGACAAAAGGAGACACAAATTGCTGTCACAGAGACTTCCTTTTAGCCTCCCATCTCAGTCTCAGTAGGTTCTGGGCTCTGTACTTCTTGGGGGAGCAGGTCAGGGCCTTTAGGGTTTTGAGGAGAGGAAGGATGTCCCCTGGGTGACTTTAGAGACCCTCTTGGTCATTCCCGGATCCTGATATAAGGCTAAAGGCAACCAAGGCTTTGAGAAGCATGCGGTCTGCCAATTCCCCAGCAGCCTCAGGTAGTCCTTTCATTGCCAGGGTCTTGCTTTGACCACGTTCCTGCCCCTCTCCTCCTGGTACAAGTTGGTGGCATGAGTTCATGTCTCTTGTAGAGTATTGATCACATGCCCCACCACTGCTTCCTGTTGGGATAACACACTTCGGTTGTTAGCTCAGGAATAATCATTCCCCTTCTCACAAAGGACTTGACCTCCTTGGTCATGCTGAGGAACACCTCAGACTGCTGAGAAGTTCTTACTTCAGTTAATGCAAGTTTCTCTAATTAAAGTTGTAGCCTTCACCTCTCTTCAGCCTTCTCCCACCCCGCTGAGACCAGCCTCTCTGCAAGCAACATCCTGAACAAGGATAGAGATTATACTTTTGCTTCAAGATAAACCGTACCTCTTTGCTCCACTCATGCACTTAGAGGACTCATATTGCTGGCTTTGAAGAGGTACTTAGAAGAGAAAGAACTGCAATTCCTACTAGCTGCTAAGGTTGTGCATAAGACAGACTTCTGATCATCAGAGATGGACACGGACTTTAGAATAGTGGTACCTCCATAGCCTTTGAAGTCAAACAGCTAAATTCTTGTCTTAGCTGGATCACTTACATCACCTAAAGTATGAGGCATGGAAGAGCAGTTGCACAGCTTCTTCCATCTGCACTTGGGCCAGAACCTGAGATTATACACTGAAGTTGGCTTTAGGTCTGGTCAGGAACTTTATGCTGTGGGTGCAAGGTAAATGAGGTGGAAGAGAAAGTAACATTGCTTGAAAGAGGAAAGGAAGAGTGAAACAAGAACATATATGGAGGGAGTGGAATAGTTAAGCTGACTCCTGAACCCACGGATCCCAGATTTAGATAGGGCACAGAGTTAATAATCTCTTAGATTATTATTATCTTACTATCTTAGTTCTTGGCTGGAAGTCCTTTGGAGTCTATCCCTCAGTGGGTGGCCCTGTTATTTGTTCCCTTTTTAAGCAGATGGAACAGGGCTCAGTGCAGGCCAGTGTGGATTCTGGTGCCAGGGTGACATTAGTGCAGGCAAATATGACAGATTTTCCCGAGGAACTATGTTCAAAAACAGTAGGAGAGGAGGAAAGGATGGGAGCTGGAGGAAGAAAGAGGGTTAGATTATCCTCTCTGGGTTCCTTGAATGAGGGGATGAGATAGAAGATGAGACTTTAGTCAAAATCATGGTCTCTATCAACTACTTTGCTCTCATGCTTTATCCTTTTTCAACTACTTTCCAAAAAACCACATTGCTAATAATTTCCCTGATCCTTTACTCCACATCATGTGAGTTTATCTTGTCAAGTTACCCCTGAGCAGACACTCCTATGGCCCACGTCAGTCAGGGGAACATCTTGAAGTCCCAAGTCTCTTCCACAGCAGGCTCTGCAACACCAAGGCAGCATCTGTATTGGGAATTTCTCTCTTAGACCTAAACTCATTTCCCTTTCCTGTGAACAGCTGTCTGCCTATCTCCCCATTAGTCTCTCCTCTTCTTTTTTCCCCCTTCTCACCAGGCCTATTTCTTTCTATAACCACGGAGCAGAGTCAGGGAGACTGTTCTGTACGTTTCATTCACTCTACTCCATTCTTCCCCTGCAACCCCGCTCACCCCTGTCTCCAATCCTCTTAACTCCTTCCATCCACCACCTGGCCAGTCCTTCTTGCTTGCTTGCTTTCTCATTTCCATTCCCTTTCTTCCCTCCCAATTTTCTTCATCTATGATTCTAAGCTTGAGGAGGTGGGAAGATAAGTTATAGGGGCAGTGTGCATGAGGGAGTGGGCTTCGGGCACAGCAGAAGTCACTGTGGTTAGGCATCAGGAAGGACTAGCAGGAAGAACCTGCTAGACATTGACATGGGTGGCCTAAGGGGCAGTTACCTCCTGACTCATCTTTCCTAATAGATGGGGCAGGGGTGAAGGTGATAGAGACTTAAATAAAATGTGGTTAGAATAAAGGGACAGAGAAAGGGAACTCCTTAGTCCTATAGAGCAGCATTTTCTTACCCATTCTTTCTTCTCAATTTCTTAATTCAGAATTTGCTTCGTGGGCTTATAATGTAAGTGGTGATCCTTAAGGAGGTGGTAGGGGGCATGATTATATCCTAGACTCTTGCTCTATCCCAGCCTCAGCATAGGTTACCTTCTCTGGCCACATTATTGCTTAGACATAACCTCAGCCTTTGCCTTCATTTAGTTGATAATAGCTCAATTTTGGAAGTTGGGTGGCTACAGAAACATGGTGACTACAGGTTCTTTGGTGAATGGGATTCCTATTTTTATTTGTTCGTTTATCCTATTATGAGTAGGCCAGAGATAATAATGATGTTGATAATAACAGCAGCAACAACTATTTATTGAGCAGTTATAATACATTAATACTGGGTACATACTCCATCTTATTTAATTCTACAAGGAGTCTGTGAAATAGGCAGCATTATTCCTGTTTTACAGTTAAGGGTCTGATGTTCCTTGCTCATGAAATTATGCCCATTTGACTCTAAAATCTTGCTCCTCACTACCACTGTGCTATATTGTACAACTATCTTTTGGAGATCTTTAGGTAAAAAGAATTCTTCTTATCCTTAGTGCCCCTGTTTGGTTTGAAGCAGCATCTGGAACATCTAAGAGGTATTGACTATCAGCTGTGGAAAACTGGTAGATTTTGAAGGAGATGGTGGAACCGTTTTTCTCAGTAATGATAGGAGGATGGCTGAGAGACCCTTTTGAACACAGACAGAAATGCTTTTTAGCTGTACCTAGAACAATGTGTGGCATATGATAGGAACTGTGGGTTTAGTGAAGAGAATGCCCGTAGTCAATCTGGAAGTAGTGAACCTTATAAGAATCCAGAGTAATCTGTGATCATTACCTAATCTCCTCTACACCGCCTCAGAGGGATGGTGATTCCGGGGTGTCTGGGGTTGTTGGCAGAAGAATGATCATCTGTTTTCTGGATTATTTGTGGCAGAGTTTGAATCCTAGACTAGTTCAACTCAATGACAGTCTCCTTGCCCAAACCAATTCTCCCTGCTCTGTGCTAGCCCTACTATAGAACTTCTAATATTTATTTGAGTTAAATGGAATTAATAAGGCAAGTTTTAAATAAAATATTATGTAGCACTTTCTGGAGTCTCTGCATCAATTGAGGGGACAGTCATGGATAAACCTAATTAATAATCAAATTTTTAAGTAACCAAAATGCCATTTTAGTTTAGAATTGATCCTGAAACAGAACATATATTGTGTTCTTAGAATTCACAAAATTTCAGATGGAGTAGTGGGGCTTCCCTAAGGAGGTTCAAATTGTCTCAGGGAGACAGACACTCTCTGGTCTCCATTTGCTCCCTGTGTCCACCCTCTGAACAGGCTACCACAAGTAACCTGCCTATGCAGACAGGACCTTCCTTTTTGTTAATCAAATTAAATATTGTCATCATTTATTTTTAATGGTGCCATCTGAAAGACAGAAGGGTGCCCATGATGACCAGCTCAGGTCTAGGAATGTGAGATCCTCAGGCACTGGATTCTGCAGCCCTGCATCTCAAGGGCTGAGGAAAAAGCTTTGCAGCTGGTGAAGGTGACAAAATCAAGCTGCTTTATAGACCTGAGAGAACTTAAGTGAGGGAGAATGTGGAAGGGGGGTAGGTTGGAATAAGCAGGCGGCTTGGGATGCTCCTTGGTACTGGCTCCTTGGCAACGGTTACTTAGCAACCCTCATTCACCTCTCGGCTGCCTTCTCCTGCCACCCCCCGCCCCATCTCCCTCCCTTAGCTGCTGCAAGGAGCTAGAGAGCTTGGAGTGAATGACAATTTGGAGAAACAGCCGCAGCCTGAAGATCTAAGAGGCTCTAAAGAAGATGGATAAGAAAATCGATGCATAATAAAAACTGCAGGCAAAGCCACCTTGACGGAGGGCGGGTGGCTCTCTCCTCCCACCCTCGTTAGTCTCTCCAGGCTCAAGTCCTCTACCTTATCCCCGTGTCCTCTCTTTCTTTGCATCTACCTTTTTGTGGTTTAGGGAGGGCTATTTGCCTTTGACATGGAAAGGGAAGCAAGGAACATAGGGCAGAAGAAAACAACGTATATGCGGGATGTATGTAGGGGTGCTGGGGTAAGGCAGGGAAGCTTGCTAAGGCAGGGATTATAAGAGAGATGCTTTGAATGCAAAGGGGTTTAAACTGCACCATAAAGTAATGCCCTTATTCAAAAGGAAAGCCTCAATAATGGAGGTGGGAAGGCACATGTGTGAAGTTACCCTCTTGCTTACCCTCTGTAAGATATTAAAGAAAAAGGTATAAGCAACCTTTCTGGAAGGGCTGGGCTGGAGTATGGCCTGGATAAATGAGTTACTGTATATATAAGTACCTATGACAGGCACCTAGTAGGGATACTATAAATATCACTTTCTTTTCTTTCTCAGAAGCTAAGGCTAGAGGAAAAGACATTTTGGAGGTACCATGTTGGCCTGAGAAGCTGTGGACCAATTCTGTGACTATCACTGGTTCTGGCTCTTCAGAGATTTCCATTCACAGGGTCAGGAAGTCCTTTATGATATTAAATTTCATCCCATTTTGTTGAAGTTAGACATTTGATCTATTAATCAACCCTTTATTCCTTAGTGTTTCATGAGCACCAGCTAGCTACCAGACACTGTGAAATAGGTGCTAGGAGCCCCATGTCTATTTGTGATACAGAGTTTCAGTATTATGCATGGCGGGTGGAATAGAGATTCAGTAGGGAGTGGGAGTCTCACATGAGATTGTACATATGAGTGTGCTTTGAGAATTGTAAAGGATGATATCGTTGTAAGTGGTATTGATGAGGGGATTGATTTCAGGGTTTGAAGTTCTGCCCTCTAGTAGGGAGTAGAAGGGATTTGGGGCTGGGGGTGGGGTAGAACTCATTCCAACCAGTCCAGTCCTGTTGGGAACATGCTCTGTTCCAGGGAACGCTAGGGCCTAGGACCACAGTGCTGAGTGGTGAAGGACTGGGACTGAAGAAAAATCCTGCTGCTGCCTGGCCCAGGCATATCTGCCATGCTCCCCTTCTGCTTGTTTACTTTCTACTTTCTTTCAAAGAGGGTGAGGCTCTTAGTAAGTCATCTATTTCCTGTCATTCAAGGCATTCAAAAAGTTCCTTCTTTTCAAGGATGCTTTCCTGGACTAGAGGAGAGCTGGTGACTTCCTTGGTCTCACTGTGCCTGGACGTGGAACGCCCCCCCATTTCCTACCCCTCTCCCACCTCAATTTTAAAATTCCGTCCTCCTCTCTCAATTTGCACACGTCTTGGTCCTTATTCTCAATTACATTGACTTCTGTGGGGTATTATAATTTCATATTTCAGCCTATTATCTTTTGATTTTTTCTTTTTTTTGGATTCATTTGTCCTTTATTTATTATATCATTGTGACTATTTTATGAGGCCTTAAAGTGCAAAAGACTATCTATGTAATTTCTCTGTATAACACCCAGCCCAGAAGTATGTGCATATGAACAATGAAGAAAAACTTAATGATGGTACCCTTGTGTCCTGGTGCCTCCTATATCAAATATACATCCCACATTCCCACCTTTGTGATCTTCTACCCATCACTGCCCACCTCCTCCCTCCCCAGGTTGCCCACTCTGTTTTTTATAACTCTGCAACTTGGACTCTTTTTGTGCTTGATTCTGAACATAAAACACTCAAAATATTATTGAGGGGGAGGAGGAGCTCTTAGTTTAAGAAGGAGTCAGGCTATACAAGTCAGAGCCAGATAAATGCAGACAAATAAAATTGTACATTGGATACCAGATACTAAGAGTACATAGTATAAAAGTGGTGTTGGAATTAGAAATTTGACTTACTCAGGGAAGGCTTCCTGGAGGAGAATACTGAGCAGGCTTTGAAAGAAAGAAAGACATAGACCTTTTGAAAGAAAGGAATGGATAGATAAAAAGACATAATAATGTGTCAGAGGTCTATGTCTTTGGAGGCAGAGAGAAGAGAAGCAGATTTGCTTTGCTGAAAGCAAAGAGTGAGCATCGTGGAATCATAGCATAAAGTTAAGCTCTGAAACTTAAGCTGAGGAATAGCGATTTGAAATTAGGGACAATTGTGAGCCACTGCTGGCCTCCCACAAGGGGATAAGTCAGGATGATGGTGAAAGTTAAGGTTGTTGAGTAGAGAATGGATAGATGGAAACCAGAAGCTCTTAGGAGGCTGCTTCTATTGTCTTAATTCTGACCAAAGACTTGGTCAATGATCCGACTAGAGTGTGGGGAGAATAGGGAGGTGAAGGCCTGATGGGTGGGGAGGGGGTGAAGAAACAAGGAACACATTGTTTCCCTAGAGCTTGCATCACAGACTTCTCTTTGAACAAAACCCTCTGTTTTCAGCCTGTGCTGACTCATCCCTCGCCTTTCCCCCTTCTCTACCAGAGGAGCTCTTGCAGCCCTAGTAGACACCTGTTGCCACTGCTGGTGGTCACAATGATGGGACAGGATGTCCCCACTGGCCAGAACTCCTGGATTTTAACCTTTTGTGTTTCTGTTTTGTCTGTTTTTTTAGATCTTCACCTGAGTCCAAAGAAAAATGGAAAGAAACTTTGACACTCACTCTCCTTCTGGGTTGGATGACCCTTGAGTTATTTCAGATTTCATGTGGAGGTGCTAGAATTTCCTGGGCTTTCCTTGGCCATTGTGTTGCTCAGGTCGCTGTCCCCAAGCTTTTTCACAATATCTGTGAGGGGCTGGGAGAGGTGGTGGTTAAGGTTGAGGAGGAGAATGGGCTCCTTGCTGGGGTGTTGAGATCCTTAGACCTAATACCCTAAAAGGTTTATTCAGAAAAGGTAAATAAGATGATGTCAGGCCTAGGAATGGCAGGATGGAGAAAATCATTTCTCCAGACTTGGAGTTTAGGACTACTGGGAGAAACTAGAGTAGGAAGCTTCCTAGAGAAGGGGAGTTGGGATATAACAAATGTGATAAAGTAGGCTAGATGCTGAGGGTTTCAAGAATAAAGATAGAGAGAAAGTCAGCAGTGATTGAGTAGGTTAGTGTTTCTCTCTTAGGTGTATTCCTGTGGGCCTACACAAGCTGAAGTAGGAAGGCCCCTATGTTAGTCCATTTGTGTTGCTATAAAAGAACTTTAGAAAGAAAAGGAGTTTATTTGGCTCGTGTCCTGCAGGCGGTATAAGTAGCTTGATGCCAACATCTGCTCCTGATAAGGGCCTCAGCCTGCTTCCACTCATGGTAGAAAGTGAAGTGGAGCCAGTTTGTGCAGAGATCACATGGCAAGAAAGGAAGCAAGAGGGAGGGGAGGGAAGTGCCAGGCTCTTTTTAACAACCAGCTCTTGTTGGAGCTAATAAGAATGAGAACTCACTTACCACCCCTACTCAGAAGGACATTAATCCATTCATGAGGGATCCACCCCTATGACCCAAATACCTCCCATTAGGTGCCACCTCCAACATTGGGGATCAAATTTCAACATGAGGTTTGGGGTAATAAACATTCAAACTGTAGCAGCCCCCAAAGCAGGTTATCCTACCCAACCTGCCTTACTAGAACCAAACTGAAATGAAGGAAGTGAGTATTTATAGAGCATTTACTAGGTTCTAGGCACTAGTCTACTCTTTCCACATGTTTTCTCATTAAGTTAAATCCTCATTAAAAAACCCATACATGGCCAGCCATGGTGGTTCACGCCTGTAATCACAGCACTTTGGGAGGCTGAGGCAGGTGGATTACCTGAGGTCAGGAGTTCAAGACCAGCCTGGCTAACATGGTGAGACCCGTCTCTACTAAAAATACAAAAGTAGCCGGGCATGGTCGTGGGCACCTATAGTCGCAGCTACTTGGGAGGCTGAGGCAGGAGAATCACTTGAACCCGGGAGGCAGAGGTTGCAGTGAGCTGAGATCATGCCACTGCACTCCAGCCTGGGTGACAGAGCGAGACTCCGTCTCAAAACAAAAAACAAAAAACAAAAAACAAACCCATATACTAGGCACAGAATTTAAGGTCTCAGCTAATAACTGGTGGAGCAGGAAGGCAAACTCACTTTTTCTGACTTAAGAATCATTGCTTTTTCCATGACACTATAATGCATTTCTATTTCAGAAATTCCCTTCTTCAGTTGGGCACTATGGTGTCTTCAATCACATTACATGCATAATCACGTGTGTAAGGCACAACATTAAATGCCATGAGTAAAAAAGAAAGGCAGTCCCTACACTCCAGATGCTTGAAATCATTTGGGGACACACACACACACACACACACACACGCACACAGTATATTTAAGTATGGCATTAGAAAACTATGTCAGTCAGTAAGACAATGCCCTGTGAGTGGTAACCACAATTAAGTGCTATTGGAATTCTGGGAAGGGAGGGAGAATTGTGATGGACTGGCTAGAGAAAACTTCATAGAAGTGGTAGGATTTTAAGAAAAATTTTGAGAATAGACAGAACATTCTACATTAATGAAATGACTCATAGTTATGGAAGCAAGAAAGCAAAAGGTATTCTACACACACTAAACAGAGCTTTCTCTAAACTTTTTGAAGTCCAGGATGATATATATTCACATTTGATTTCTTAGCATACCGAATATATAGTAGCTAGATGTTCAATGTATATTTGTTCAATGAATGAAACAATGAATGACCCATTTATCTGGCACAGAGGGTTCATGTGAGGGCATTTTGAAAGAGATGAATAGAACTGTAGGCTCTAGAAGAGGGGATGAAAAGATGTGTAAAAACTGCTTAAATGAGATCTTTCTTGAGTCAGTGGGCAGATAACTTAGAAAAGAGATGAGAGGCAGGGAGAACTTTTAGGATGCTTATGTAGAAGCTTAGATGATAAATGCTAAAAGACTAAACTAGGACCATGGCATGCAAATAGAAATGCATGGATGGAAGTACCAACATTGTGAAAATGTGATGAACAAAACTTGGTTACTAATGGACTTTGGTGGCGTAGCGGTGGGGAGGGTGGGTAAGACGGGAGAAAAGGGAAAATAAAGAGGAGTCAAAGATGAGGGTAGAGGTTCTCAGCTTTGATTATTAGTAGAATAGTGGTACCACTAACAGAAAAAGAGGATGCTAGAAGAAGAGCCTGGTTTTGAAGGGAGTGTAAATTACATTTTAAATTAAGTCGGTTTAAGGTGCTGGTGGAGCCCCCATTCATCATACACTAGAAGTGGGAGACTATAGGGAATGTGACCAGCTCTGGAAGAACAGATTCAGAACTCACCCACACAGAAGTAAAAATTGAAGCCATGAAATGGATGAGATAATTGAGGGAAAACAGTGTCGAGAGGGAAAACTGGAAAGTTGAAGGTAACTTTGGGAAGGAGATAGTATACAATAGGGCCACTTTAACATCTTCTGATGTTGTTACCAGCTCTTTAGTGTCTTGTTCTTGAGAGACAAGGTTAAATAACCCTCTAGAAACATAACAGATCTTATTCTTAGTCCTCTGTAAGTCTTCCTTTCTCTATGGAAGTCCAGATCTTGACCAGAACAGTAATAGGCTGGACTTACATGAACACATTTTAGGTCATCTGGCTGAAACAGATGGAGGCTATCTTAGGCACATGTTTGTCTTCTCAATTTTCAGCTCCCTACAGAAGCAGCAAAGGCTTGGGCAGTTCTGCACAGGCTAGCTTAAAGTGCTCATGCTTCAATGCAAATCTGTTTTACACACCTATGAAAGACTAAGAACCTCAGTCTGGGAAGTGGGTGGGTGGGGTGGACAGTGATTTACTCTTGAGCCCCAGACGCTTCACCTGACTTTTTCACAACTCCCCACCCTTTTTACTTTTCATCCAGAGATCTCAAAGCTCTAAACAAGCCTTGATCCTCCCTGACCCCCTGAGTCATCCTCTGTTTCCATTTTCCCAGATAGGAGAGGTTGGGCAGTGGAATACCATGTTTTGGGATGGGTGCTTGGTGGGTGGGTAGGGGAGATTGCAGGGGCAACCATAGGGATCCAGGGGCCCCTTTTCAATCATGGGGTGGGGCGAGGGGCAGGCATCAAGGTGGTTCTAGGTAGTTGGGTTTCAGCTTGTCCTTTTGAGGTTGTTTTATGACTGAAGAGACTCGGATAAAGAGTCCGAGCTGGAGAAATTGAAGAACAAACAAAGCCGTAAAAGACGCCGATAAAATTTCTCCCAGCACAGAATAGTCTTTGGAGCCTCCCTCAAGAATCTTAGAGTAATCTGGGAAGGCTAATTAAGTCTCACAGCCCACACTGGGCACTGGGGCAGGACGAGGGAAAGGGGAAGAGAGCACTGAGAGAGATTTCCCTTCTCCCTCTCTTCTCTCAAGGGCGCACAGGTGTTCAAACATTCAATATGGAGACTGAATTAAGACTTGGTGGGGGGATGGGTGAGAATGGGGAACGAATGATGGGAAATATCAATATTTTTAAAGACTCCTTTTAATAAGGAAGTGCTTGAGAATATGCAGAACGATAGGAGGACCCTGAATTGTAGAATATTAAGAATGGAGAGTACCTGGGTGGGAATGAGAGGCTCTGGGACTGTGAACATGGTACGTCTGCATGCAGGTGGCATGAAGAATGGGTCTAGATGGGGATGAAGGCAGCTGGATTCAGAGCATGGCAGTCTGAGGCTGAGGGGGGTCTGAACTGAAGGCTTTTGAAGCTAAAGGACCCACATTTGGGGACGAATAGGACAGGAGTTCTATCTGGGGGGATCTATGTGAGCATAGGGAGAAGGCACCAGAGGGATGGTGAGATGAGAGTGGGGCTGTGTGTGAGAGAAGAGGACGTGATGATCTGGGAGGGAACCTCAGCCCTAGGGGAGTGGTTAGAAAGCCAGGGGTCAGCCTATTTTCTCCAAACTAGCTATTTTTCTGTTCTTTGTTCCAAATGAATTGGTGGATTGACCACAAAGAGAAATCTTATGAGCTTATATGACGTAGAGGTGGGAGGGAAAGAGTTGATGGGGAGTGTGCATGAGGGGAAGACATAGAAACTGCCAGTTTCCATGGTGATAGCTGAAATATTTATTTCTATTTTCCTGATTTCTGCAGCATGTCAGAAGACGCTGTAAGTGAGAAATGCTACCTTTTCATCTCCTCTAATCCCAGCAGTTTGGGAGGCTGAGGCAGGTGGATCACCTGAGGTCAGGTGTTTGAGACCAGCCTGGCCAACATGATGAAACCCCGTCTCTACTAAAAAAACAAAAATTAGCTGGGCATGGTGGCAGGCGCCTGTAATCCCAGCTACTTGGGAGGCTGAGGTAGGAGAATTGCTTGAACCCGGGAGGTGGAGGTTACAGCGAGATTGTGCCATTGCACTACAGCCTGGGAACAAGAGTGAAACTCCATCTCAAAAAAAAAAAAAAAAAAAGAATCAAGATCTGAGGTGGGATGAGAAGGTTAGTGAGGGTATGGGTCTTTAGCAGGGCAGTGTCTCTAGCTTCCAAGATTAATTGAGCGACCTCCTCTGGTATCTCTAGGTACATGCAAGAAGTTTGTGGATACAGAGCAGCAGCAGGAACCAGACACTTCTTATCAGTGGGGTGGGTTGGAACTTCAGGAAGCGCCTTCACAACAGTGCCATCCTAATTGGAGTATAGACGGATGGGCCTCTCTGAAACCAGAGACTAAGTTTGGGTCTCTATGGTCCAGTAACCTTCCTTGAAATTCCCCCTGGAACACTAGGAACCTATTTCCTACATGCTAAATCTCTCCAGCTCTTCAAGGAGCCTCAACACAGTGTGCCTGCTATTGGGCACTGGGGACTGAATCAGGAAGAAGAGGTTGATGATGGTGGGTGGGTAGGAAAGGCCAGTGAAAAAGATGTTGCCAAATGTGCAGGTGTCAAACCTGTAAGACTTGGATATTGTAAAAATCCTAGCTGTCCAATTCTATCCACTTTCCCCGTGAGGGCCAGAAAGTTTGAGTGACTCACCAAAAAAATACATAGCACATCCAGGATTCAAACTTGCTTCCTGTCCAAGAGTACCCTGACTTTTGCCCCAGTCATACCCATTTTGTAATTGGCTCTCAGTTGAGGTGGGTACCCAGATGCCCAGCATAGTGAGATCATGTCTTAGGCACAGTAGCTCCTATGTGCTCCCCGAATTCCTTCCACCTGCCCGACTTGTCTAGTGACTTCAGAGTAAAGCAGCTGCCAAAGCTGGCTCCTCCATCCTTGGAGAATAGGCTCCAAGATGTTTGCTGAGTAAATACCTGTCTCCTGCTTGTTTGTCCTGTGCATAGTTCTTCTTGGCCATCATGTCCTTAGCTCCTGACATAGCCTCTGGTTTACAGGATCCTGGAGAAGGAACTGCCACCAATAGGAGGCACCAACTGCTGGGGCCATAAGGGAATGTTTCTTGCCCAGACATTCCCCTACACCCTTCTATTTTTCTCTGTGACCTCCTTCCATTCTGTTTTCACTGGTGTCCTGGCAATCCCTAATTCTCTTGCTCCTGTGTCCCCCCAAGGCCTGCCTTTTTTTTCTCTCGTGTTTACTGTAGCTTCTGTGCCATTCCTGGGTCCCCTTAGCTCTCTTCTCCTTCCCCTAGTTTCTTCTCAGCCTCTGCTCACGCCCCCTTCAGCCTTTCCTACCTTCCTTTTTTCCTTTCTCCCTTCCCCCTTCCTTCATCACGTATTTATTGAGTACTTGTTTAACGCCAGGCCCTCTGGTTAGCTCTGAGGCTGTAACAGTGAACCGCCACAGACTCTGAGCTGTCTGCGGAAGCTTAGGGTCTAGCAGGGAAGACACACAAGTACTACAGCAATTTTGATATGATATGACAAGTGAAGCCCCTTGGCCTTGTTTTTCCAAAGCCCTCTTTCAGCTATGACGAGTTGGATTGACTCACATTCCCTGAGTAGTGAATTCCAATGTTTCACAATTCCTACAGAGGGCAAGTTTTTCTTGATGCCTAGACTTAGTTACTCCTGAAGTTAAGATCATTCCCTGGGCTCTAATTTACTCCCCTATACTTTTTATTTTTAAAATGAGTATCATAATGTCCACTTTCCTCATATCCTGCGATGTTTGTGAAGGCGGGTTGAAATGATAGGTGTCAAAGTCCTCTGAAAACTTTGTGAATCTTAGATAGGATTCTCTCTAAACTTCTTGTTGGGAATGGAGAACTTTTTTCTCCTACAAGTAGAACAGCTCAAAAGATAATTTTAAATAACTCTGAATTGCCTCAAACTTATTCTCTTTTCTATTTACTTATTATTTATAGGAAACAATTCTTTGATCTTTATAGCTGAGATCCATGTCCCTTTTAAACAATTTTCTTGAAGAAAAAAATGCCTCTTATTGCAGTAATCGAGATTGAGGGAGAACTTCAGAAAGGAGGCCTTAAGCACTTAGGTGTGAAAACATAAGTCAGAGGACAAATCCCCCCATCACAATGCGGCTCCTTTGCATTATTATTGGAGTCAAGGGATTTGGCATGATGGTCCAGGAGGAGCCTGAGGATTACATGGGAGAGCGATAGTGATGCTTGATCCTAGATGATGGATTTCCAAGAGGGATGAAGAGTCTGACTAGGTTGCCTGAGTCAGAACATATCATCAAGCTCTGCTCCTATTAATGACTTAAGAGCAGCTGACTCGATTCACTCCATTACCTTCTGAGGGAGGAGGCAGAGAGCAGGAACAGAAGCTGCTTAGGGGCAGAGAACTCTCCTGGATGCCAGGATAGGAAGGGCCAGTCTCTTCCCAGCTCTCTGGAGTCCCGTTCTGGGCTAACTTTGATGGATGGGTGGCAATGGGGTATCAGTCTGTTGCTTCTCCATTCAGTGGATCCACATAACGGGTTTCAGGAAAACGGCCTGACTTTCCAGGGTTTCCTTTCTCTTCTACCTGCCTCCAGACTGACCCAAGCAAATGTTTTAGGTTTCCTGATCTCCCTTCTCAGCTCCCCTTAATACTGTCAGGGATTTCTTCTAGTTGTCTAGCTTGAGGTTCCCTCCTTTACTATAGCAATCCCATGTCTTCACAGCCTGGGCCTGGTAGAAACTTTTATATATTGTGCTGGTATCCTATTGTTTTTAGCTCCTTCTCTTTAAAGAGAAAGGATACACTTTCTCTTTTTTTCCTGCTCTTTCTTTTTTCCTTCTTTTTCTGTGTCTCCCATGCCTGCCTCCTTAGGCAGAGCTGCTGCCTTTCTGCCTTGGCCTCTAGGGTAGCCACTCTTTTCTTCTTGGGAATGTTTCCAACTTTGATGGCTGATAGGTTGTTTTCACAGTTTGTTGTCGTTTTCTACCAGTTCAGCTCATCCCTCTTCTCCCTAATGTCCTTGTGGAGCCAGAAAACAGCAGCATGTTTCCAAGGACTCTGAGCCTGGGCATTTTAAGAGCCTACCTTCCCCCATCATTTCAGTTTCATCTGCAGGCTGCAGAGTGAGCAGACGCATGTATGGCACCGGCAGAGCGGCTCGTAATGACTCAAGATGAACAGGTCGAGCTCAAAGGCACAACAGAAACCCATTTGTAATGGAGTTGTTTTTCTTTCAAATCCTTAAGAACATAAGCAACCTATCTTATGATAGAAGAGTGAAGGGGGAGGGGAGGGATTGAGTCAGAGTTTGTTTTCATTTCAGGAGGCCCGTCTTTCAGCATGTTCTCAGCCTAGGGTGGGCTTGGATTTTAGTCACATTTAGATAGCAATGCTTATGCCTTCACTGCGATTTTAAATTGTAGTAAAATATACATAAGATGTGCCATTTTAACTATTTTTAGGTATGCAGTTTGGTGACATTAAATACATTCACACTGTTATGCAACCATCAACACCATCCATCTCCAGAGTTTTCTCATCTTCCCAAACAGAAACTCCATACCCATTAAACATGAGCTCCCCATACCCCCTTCCTCCTAGCCCATGACATCTTTCCACTATGATTTGACTTGGCTTCTTAAAGCACCATTCTGACCACAGAGCCTCTATTTCTTCTTCTTTTAAATCTCAGCTCCTCCGACAGAATTTCAAGACCTTCTCCATTGGCACCTGCAGACTCACTCCATGCAGCTTCTGTCGTCACTTCTTGGCTCAGAGAGGCACTTCTTGCCTCTCTGAGAGGCAATTCTGAGTCCTAGTCCTCATTCAAGTGACCTCTTCCCTGCCTGATCCTGCGTGAATCGCCCTTCCTCATTCTTCTCTTCAGCCTGGTTTGGCCCTTACTTTAGACTCCTGCTTTAGGACATCCTGATGTTCTAATATGCCCCACCCTCTGTTACATGACCCACCCACTTCCCAACCTCTATCTAGTATTCTGCCTGGTTGCTCTTATCCTGTTCTTGCTTCTTTATCTGCGTCTTATTTCTCTCTCAGACTGGAGGCAACCTCAAGTCGTGAGCTTCTCGCTGAAATCTATGCTAGGATTAGTGTACTCTATTCTATGTCCTTGCTACTCAGAATGTGGTCTGGGGTCTAGAGGCATTGGCGTCACTCAGGAGCTTGTTAGAAATGCATCGGAGACTCCACCCCTGACTTACTGAAGAGGAATCTGCATTTTAACGAGATCTCTAGATTATTGGCATGCACATTAAAGTTTGAGAAGCCCTGCTGAAGGATGGGTGATAAATAATTTATATTGTAGGTGTGCATAACTAAAATTATCTAAGTAACACCTCTAGACTACATTCAAACTGTATGGATATTTTTGAGGAGAGGAAGAAAGATATTTTGTGTCCTTCAAACTTATGAGTCTCTAACAGAATTGCCTAGAAAGCCAGGAACTGACGCTTCAAAGGTGAGAGGGTACAGGAGTCAGTGTCCCCAATGGGAAGGCATGAGGCTTACATAATGAGAAACTCCCTGGCTGGCTGTCTCATAGTTAGGCAGACAGGGGCAAAGTTCCCTGAAGTTCACTTTGAGGCTGGCTGATAGTGTTTCCCCAGAATTAAACACTTGTCCCCAAACAGACATTTGTCACCAAAGTCCTAGGGGGAAGCAGGGCTCCAGGTCTCAAAATAACCTGGTTTCTGTCCCCATGGCTGGGGCTGATTCATATTTTGTAGGAGGTTTGATTGTAGCTGGGAATGGCTGAGGAGCTGGTGTAATTCTCCCCTCCTTCCTCATCCCACTGAGAGGGAGTGAGGAGGGGCATGAAGAGCGGAGATAGGGTGTGGGAGTCAAACCTGTTCTTCACATAGCAATTGTCTCGTCTCACTCCTTGCTCTCACTCCGACAAGTTGAGTCCACAGCTGGGAAAACTTGGAGCCGGTCTCTGAGTCTGCTTGGCTCATATCCAGCCTCCCTCTTTTTTTTGTTCCTTCTCCCCTTGGGAACATCTTTCCCTATTCTCCCACTTTCAGGTACAAGAGAGCCGTGATGTACTGGAGTAAAGGCTGTGAGCTGGGAAGGGCTTGGAATTCTTTAGATTAGAGCCTCCCTCTTCCTGGTCATCTCCAGGAGAACATGCCAGATTCCACTGCTTCATTACTTTTTAGGGCATGAAGGGATTAGAAAGCAACTGGAGGGCAAAGTAGTTTGGGGTAAACTAGGGAGGAGGTGGCCTGTCAAGTGGAAAAATAATGTAAATAAGAGATGTTTCCCAGAATCATGGGAAAAAATTTCTCTGAGTCTTTGTCATGTTTTTGTGAGCCCCTAGGTGTCTGAGTTTTGCTCTGTTGGTGGAGTGATATGTTTCTTGTTCTTCTCATAGTGTTGGTTTCTAGAGCAGAGGCCTTCAGATATTACCGCTTGAGCAGACGACCTCATGTGTGTCTTTTGTCATCTCCAAAAGTGTTTATCTTTCGAAGCCATACCCTTTGAATTTTACCACATGCTATTATCTAATCCTTGAGTGTCATTGCAGGACCACAAGTGGCAGGGTGAGGCACTGTGGCCTGGTGGTGAGGATGAGGAGAGGATGCACAGCCCAGGCCTTTCAGAGTACAGTGTCCAGCATGTCAGTCATTCTGAGTAAATACTAATACCCTTCACTGCTCTTTTCTCTTGGGGTGGCATGGAGTTGATCACTTCATCTTACCACCATGTTATTTCACTCTTCTATTTTGTACCAGCTCTGAGACTTGACTCTTAGAACCATTGCTGTAGCATTTGGCTCAGTATTTCCGTGTTCTAAACAGTCCATTTTCCCCATGAAGCTGAGGGCTCCCCGAGGGCAAGGACAGCACCCCCTTTCTCCATATCTCACTTCGTACTGATGTCAGTACAGACTGGCTGATGAGGAGAGAATGTAAGGAAATCCCATCTTTCTGGTTCAAAAAGTATCTAAGATATAGACTCATTTGCACATAGTTCCTCTATGAGGGAAGGAATTGGCATTTTAAAAACTCCTCAATTGCTAGGTCAATTTGTGTTGGTTCAGCTGAGCAAACTTCTGACAAGGCTGTAGCTTTGATCTGTAGTCTGTCTTGGGATTCTTCTAAGGAAGACTCAATGTTTTGGTCACTTGGAGGTAGAAGGATATTGGTAATGACTGGGATATGGAGAAAACATGAAATCTTAGCCAGGAGAAGCTATCTCAGGAATCTGTAATGAGTGCGTGTTATTTCTTTTCCAACAGGCTGCATAATTTTTATGACCAATTATTCCATTTGTAATGACGCTGAGATAACAGAGATCTCATCTCATGCTCCATGGCACACGCCAGGCACTCATGGGAACTAGACGAAACCATCCCTTATACAAGAATTGGATAGGCAGAGTGTTTCCACCAAGATTTAGTTCTAGCAGGAGAGACAGACATAAGTGCTAAGAAAAAACTTTGTGAACAGCAAAGGGTATAAGGAACTGGAAGACGGGCCTGGAGAGGACTGAAGCTTTAAAATGAAGGAGGGATTTATTAGGGATACATAAAAGAGTTGTCTTCTAGCCTTAGAATTTTGTGGTCTGGTGTTGCTTTTGATGATGTTATTTACATGTAACAAATGAACAGGTGTCTTTGGCTGTGAGATAGTGTCATCCCAAGCCACAAGGAACCAGCCTTTTCCCACAAAGATTTTGAGAGCTCAGTTGGAAAGAATTGGCTTTGGGACGTTTAGAAAAAGACTAGGTCCAGATTGTGGGGCATGATGCTCTTCCTGGGGCTAGTGGTCCTCTTTTCCCTTATACCCAACTTTTGAGTCAGGAGAGTGCTGATGATCTCCTAATCAGATCTGGTAATTAGTTCATCATGTCTGAATAGAGGCAAGCTAAGGGTTCACATCTAGTTGCTCCCACTGATTGGTCTCAAACATTTACCTCCTCCTGCCTCCACAGTTTTCTCCAGAATCTTCCCCAACTATTTGCCCTTTTACCACTCTTCTCTCTGGTATTTCTTATCCATTAATTGATAAGGGCGGGGTAGTTGAAGCCAGGCAGGCCTGGGTTTGAATCCCAGCTCTGTCACTATTGTGTCACTTAGACTTTTTGATCTTGTTTTCCCATCTATAAAATGGGAATAAGACCCACTGCTCAGGTTAGTTGTAAAGGTTGAATAAGAGAATGTTTAAGTGAGGGCTTGGCACTTAGCATGTGCTTATAATAAAAGGTAGTTGATCATTTTCTTTAGAATTCCCTCTCTCTACTCCTTGACTACTTTTCATTAGAGTAGAGAGAATTGGGGAGAGAAAGAGTGATGCCCAAATAGATGGATATAATAGAGTGATTGTAAGGAAAATGGAAGGATAACAAGAGGGACGGATATCATGGAGACAGATAAACAAAGATAGTTATAGTTAGAGGAACAGATAGTGAAAACCAGTCAGAAGCAAGATTAAGTGAAAGATACAAAGATGGACAAAGGAGAGAGGAGCAGTGAAAGGTAAGTGAAGGAATGAAGAGGTGGAAAGTCAGATGGAAAGGCAGAGACATGAGTTGAGAGCCAGACAAAGACTGCCAGAGGACAGAGATGGAGAGTTAATTTGTGGAACTTGGTGTAAAACCCCTGGAATAAGAGCTCTCCTGGCTTCTTGCCCCTTGTTATTGTGTGACTTGAGTTCTAAGTCTCTGGTTCCCTCAACCCTTTTCCTCCCTGTTTATGCCACTGCCAAACCACTTATACAGATCTGCCTCTACACTGAAGCTTGAGCGGCCCTGCCCCCTTCTCTTCTACACTCTGCATCCCACACCATCTTAGTTACCTAAGTCCATAGGGATTTTTCATTTCAAAAAAACTGTTTGGAGTGCAAAAGCATCATGGTGTCAGCCAGTCAGTGCAATAACCAGGTGCAGTTTTACAGTCGCTCCCCCGACTGTAACTGCACTTTCATATATCTCTGGCTGCGACAGCCAATTTTCTTTCAAAGATTGTTTTTTCTGGAGCCTGTGATTTCTACTCTCGCCTCCAACCTCTGGGATATTAAAACGGGGTCAGTGGCTCTTGGCAGGCTGACCAATTTGTGGTCACTCCCTAGCTCCTCTATTCACTCTCCCTGTTGCTATCTCCAATCTTGTCATCCCTCTGCCTCTGCACGCCATCTAGTCACGCTAGAGGAAAATGGCTCTGGTGGTTAAAGCTCTCCAGAGAGATGCCTCAGCCTTCTGGGAGGTTACAGTCCTTCGCACTGAGAGGTTTTGTCATGTGTCTAACCTTAAGAGTTGAGGTTAAGTGCGGTGGGGAAGGGGATCCAGGAGCAGATTCACCTTCTAAGCCTTTCCCTATCCTTCTCCTCAACCCTGCCCTGCCCCATTGTGTTCTGGGATGGAGCTGTCAGTTCCTTTCCATGAGAATACTGTAGCTTTTCTTTCTTTCTTTCTTTCTTTCTTTCTTTCTTTCTTTCTTTCTTTCTTTCTTTCTTTCTTGCTTGCTTTCTTGCTTTCTTTCTTGCTTTCTTTCTCTCTCTTTCTCCCTTTCTTTCCTTCCTTCTTTCCTCTTTCTTTCTCTCTCTCTTTCTCTTTCTCTCTTTTCTTCTTTCTCTCTTTTCTTTCTTTCTTTCTTTCTTTCTTTCCTTCCTTCCTTTCTTTCTTCTTTCTTTCCTTCTTTCTTTCTCTCTCTTTCTTTCTTCCTTCCTTCCTTTCTTCCTTTCTTTCTTGCTTTCCTTCTTTCTTTCTTTCCTTCTTTCCTTCTTTCTTCCTTCCTTCCTTCCTTCCTTCCTTCCTTCCTTCCTTCCTTCCTTTCTTCTTTCTTTCTTTCTTTCTTTCTTTCTTTCTTTCTTTCTTTCTTTCTTTCCTTCTTTCTTTCTTTCTTTCTTTCCTTCTTTCTTTCCTTCCTTCCTTCTTTGACAGAGTCTGGCTCTGTCACCCAGCCTGGAGTGCATGGCAGGATAATAGCTCGGTGCAGCCTCAAACTCCTGGGTTCATGCCATCCTCCTGCCTCAGCCTCCCAAGTAGCTCGGACTGCAAGCATGTACCATTGTGCTGGGCTTATTATTATTATTATTGTTTTTAGGGATGGGGTCTTGCTATGTTGCTCCGGCTGGTCTTGAATTCCTAGCCTCCAGCAATCCTCCTGCCTCAGAGTCCCAAAGTGTTGGGATTACAGGCATGAGACAGTGTACCTGCCTCAGTAGCTTATTTTCTAAGGGGAACATTTTGAAGAACTGGGGGAATAGAATTAGGGTTTAACATTAGGGAGTTTTCTTTGCTAGAAACTGAGAGTGGGGTGAGGTGGGAAAGCTCGTACAATCTCTTTTTCTGGGAAATTGGGAGAATAGGAGGAATTCCCATATAGGTGAAGGGCTGGGTTAGTGGACATTTAGCACATGGGGAAGGGATATGGAAATGTTTGGATCCCTACCTCCCTGATGAGAGATTGTGATTCTGCTCTTGCTGATAAAAGCAATCTCTTCCCACCAAAAGCAGTCTCTTCCATTGTTTGCCGGTATGGTATTTGCTGGCCAGCAAAATGCCTTCTTTCTGTCACCCAGGTAGGGTTTTTTTTTTTTTTTTCTTGGAAGAAAGACTTGTATCTGCCTTTGGGGTTGTCCATTTGGGGATTTTTCTATTTCCTTCCTTGGCCCATGGCCTGATGCAAAATACTTCCTGTGGCCTAACTCTTGTTCCTCTTGCTTTACTAACAGGTTGAACCCTCTTGAAAAACAACATGATACAGCACACTCCCCCTCCTCACTCATATCATCCCTTGTTTTTATTAAATAAAAGTAAGTGGAGCTATAAGATGTGACTGGCCTGGATCCCAGCTTCATAAAACAAAACTAACACCCTCTTTATCAAGGGGCTGAGGCATCCGGAGAAGATTTCTTAGGCCATTTTGCTGTCACGTAAATGGGAATCAATATTCAATAAGCCCTTGATGCACTACGCTAGCAGTTCACTTAATACCGGCTTCCAGTACAGTAAGTGGCGTTGATATAGGGAGGGCTTGTTTGTAAAATAACACTGCAGCCCTCACCTCCTGGATATTGGATCTGGCTTCTCCTAAGCAAGAAGATTCAAAACTCTGAGGAAGCAGGAGAGTCTTTTTGCCAATCCCATTGCCTCAGGACAGACTCACCTATAATCTAGCTTGCAAAAGAGAACAGATTCTGTGCTTGTATTAAAACCAATCAGTCTAAGAGATCCTGGAGGTTAATAGGCCCACATTCCTATCAGGAAGATTTCCACTGTGTCTGCCCTGATTGCCTCCTTCTTCAATAAATTAGTCAAATTGAAAACAGATTTAAGGATAGAATTGATTCCACTGCTACTAACGTTATGAGGATAGACCCTTCTGTGTCCTGAAAGCCTGCAGTGGCTGGAAATAATACCTCCTTTCTCCCAGCCCCTGTGTTTGCTATCGGGAAGGACTGCTGGCTGCCTTGGCCCCTGGTGGATGGTGGCAGGTCCAGGTTTCTCCGTGCATAGTCACTGTGAGAATCTGGTAGGAAATGGGCTGTTTCAAAATGGTCAATTATTTCTTTTTCCATTCTGTGACATCTTTGCTGGGGATTTGTAACCTTAGGCTTGCTTCTCCTCCACAGCTCTAAACAAGCATGTGTTAAGGAAAAGCAATCTGATGTCTGCCTAAATATAACAGGTGAATATTGTACCAAAGCTTCATATAATACGTTTCAGAACCAAGTAGATTTTAGCCATTCTTTTTCAGTGCCAGTGTTCACAGAGTTTAGGAATTAACAATTTGGGGTTGAAGTAGGAACATATAGAGAGATTTATCCTGCATTATGGTTGTGACGATTTCTTATCCCATTTTAGGGGGTTCGATGTTTGGGAGGAAGCTGAAGGTAGAGGACTTTTCAGCACTACTGTTTGGGGATATGCTGATGGAGGTCAGTCCCACTCTTTCTAGTGACCCTGTAACTGTCCCTCCAGGAGAGGTGTCCTTTCTTAAGTCTCCTAGAGTCACTTTATTTTTATTAAATTAAATTAATTAATTAATTTTTGAGATGGAGTCTTGCTCTGTCACCCAGGCTGGAGTGCAGTGGCATGATCTTGGCTCACTGCAACCTCCACCTCCAGGGTTCAAGTGATCCTCCTGCCTCAGCCTCACGAGTAGGTGGGATTACAGGTGTGTACCACCACGGCTGCCTAAGTTTTTATATTTTTAATAGAGTCGGGGTTTCACCATGTTGGCCAGGCTGGTCTCTAACTCTCAACCTCAGGTGATCCACCCACTTTGGCCTCCCAAAGTGCTGGGATTACAGGCATGAGCCACTGCACCTGGCCTCCTAGAGCCACTTTAGATCAAAGCTTTCAGTCCATCCTGTCACAGATAGGTTTAGTGAACCTAAAGCAGGAGTCTAGTATTTGGCCTCTCTGCTTGGGCATGGATTACAGGGGAGATCAGCCTGCAGTATTTGCCCATGTTAAGTTGTTTTTGTAGGGTGAACCCTCCAAAGATATTGAGTAATGGGTACATATTTTGTGTTCTGTTTTGTTAGAGACAGGATCTTGCTCTGTTGCCCAGGCTGGGGTTCAGTGGCACGATCTCTGCTCACTGTAGCCTCTGCTTCCTGGGCTCAAGTGACCCTCCCACTTCAGCCTCCTGAATAGCTGGGACTACAGGCATGCACCACCATGCCCAGCTAATTTTTGTATTTTTTGTAGAGAGTGTTTCGCCATGTTGGCCAGGCTTGCTAATTTTTTTGTATTTTTAGTAGAGATGGGGTTTTGTCATGTTGCCCAAGCTGGTCTCGAACTCTTGGCCTCAAGCAATCCTTCTGCTCGGCCTTCTGAAGTGCTGGGATTATAGGCATGAGCCACCTAGCCCAGCCTTAGGATGTTTCTTGTCTTCAAAATTCCTCACATGGCCCAGCCTGGTAGCCTTGAGAAGAGTACAGCAAGGGTACTGGAGAGGGCTGAGTTCAGAGGGGGCTGAGGGGCTTGATAACCTATCTTAGAATTCCTGGGTTCCCAAATGAAGGAGAATATTATTAGTTGCTAGTCTCATCTTCCAAATAAGAGAAAAAGAGATAAGTTAAAGCTGGAGGTACTGAAATTAAGCTTAACAAAGGACTTCTACTTCTATTTATTTATTTATTTATTTATTTGAGACAAGGTCTTGCTCTGTCACCCAGGCTGGGGTGCAGTGGTATGATCATGGCTCACTGAAGCCTCTACCTCCCAGGCTCAAGCAATTCTCCTACCTTAGCCTCCCAAGTAGCTGGGACTACAGGTGCATGCCACCACACTCGGCTAAATTTTTAATTTTTTTATAGAGACAGGGTCTCACTATATTGCCCAGGCTGGTCTCAAACTGCCGGGCTCAAGCAGTCCTCCTGCCTTGGCCTCCCAAAGTGCTTGGATTACAGATATGAGCCACTGTGCATGACTAGCAAAGGACTTCTTGATAGTTGGCACACAACCGACTCATTTAGTTTGGAGTCCATTCTGTCTTCCTCCTGGGCCTTGTTTTCTGCTGCTCCATGTTGGGGCGAGGGCTAAGTGTGGTTCTGACATCTCTCACTTCATCCATTTCCAGGCTGACCTGGCTGACTAGATGGGAGTCCCTACCTCCCTCTCCTTTTCATGTATGTCCTTCTTGAAGCTACATAGTTTTTTTTAAAAAACAACAACAACAGAGAAGCACTTTTCTTTGGTTAGACACAAGGATCTGTCCTTCTTGCTAAACTGTCAAACGAGCTCCCTGTGTTAGTGAGGTCTGCACATAGGATGAGGCCAGACCAAGAAGTTGGATGACAAAGCAGATTCCAGGGGCTAGAACTCCTAGGGGATAGTGAGCCCTCAAATTACTTTCCTAGGGAAAGAGGTCATGAGTGAGATTTAAAGCTCTCACCACTCTCTCAGATGGTTGGGCTTCTCCCATACATGGCCAAATGTTGTCTTGGAGAGTCCTGTCATGCCACACTCTAACCTTTTTCTTTTGTAGTCTGCTTACACTGGGAATGAACCAGTTATAATGGAGCAGTAGCATCTCAACATAGGGTATTATTGATGACCAAGCCCCTCTCCCCCTCTGGCTAAACTCCCATTCAATCATTCGCTACCTCTGGCAGTTCATTTCTTGCCACAACTTGCATTCTGGCATCATTGCTCCCCCCACGCAACAGCTGATGACATCTCTTGGCCTCCCCCATCCATTCAGCAATACCTCTCCCCCCAACCCGCCTCCTCTGCCTGCTGTCCCAGCCTGTAACCCTGATCTCATTTCCTCCTACCTCTCACACCATTTTGAGACCTCTTGCCTCAGCCTGTGCCTGAGCTCCTTCCTTTGCTGCTCCTCTTATTCCTTTGCAGAGCCCACTATGCTCTGATCTAGGATTGTACCTGCACATTTGTATCTTGCCCAAGAATCCAGGAACCAGAGGACTCCCCAGAGAAAAGGGTGGCTCCTATCCCCATGTTGCCCCCAGCTCCTCAGTGGGGTGGATTTCATGCCTGGGTTGTGTGTTGTTTGTCTGTCTCAGACTTTGCAGCCCCTGAGGCAATGGCTCTGTCTTTGCAGGCTCAGGAAAGCCTTGGCAGCCAACAAATAATAAATAACACCCTGGTAACACCACCTGCAACTTGCTAATGAGTGTCTTTTCTCCTGCCTTCCCCACCTCTTGGAGGTTGGGGGTGGGGACCCCCAATCTCTTGGCAAATGGATACCTTCCTCTTGTTCATGTCTAGAAGAGTTGATGTTGGAGATTTGTGGGTGAGAAGAGGCAGAGGGATACAGAGGTGACTTTTAGGAGTACATTAGTCATTTCTGGTTTCAGAGTTTTGGAGAGACTGTAGTCTTCAAGAGTAGGGTCATCCTTCTGGGGGGTCTTTGGGTTTCTTGAGGGCTCCTGGGCTTTGGTTTCCAGAGGCAAGCCAGGGAGCTATCACCCGACCCCATCTCTTCCCACAAAGAATATTTCCCTAAGTCGTTGGTTGGTTTTCTAAATTTGACACTCAGGTTGTCATCTTCTTCTAAATCCACAGGTTAGGTCACTAAGTGACTCTACTGTCTTCTTTTTGGTTTAAAGTATTAAAGTTAATGTCTAAGATTGAGAAGAGAGATGGGTGCTTGGTGCAGTTTCCCTGAAGGCACCTGTGCTTGAAATTCCAGCAATTGCCAACAGGTGAATCTGTGTCTTGTCTTTGGGTCATCCAAAGAGAGCAGAAGAAGTATGCAATCTTGTTCGCTTATGCATTTTCATATTGTTACCAAAATGCCATTATTTTAAAGTATATCTTATGATGTAGGCATGACTCTATTCTAAAACACATACGCCGTCTGGCAAAAGCCTTTTAGACCTTCATTTCCTTGTAGCAGCAAAAGGGAGTGAGTGGAATACATGCTTGTCTGAGACAGTCTCTCTAGTGCCCCATCTGAATCCTCCATGGAGTTAGCCTGTGATCCATTTTTCCAGAGGCAGGAAAATGAAGCTCAGCTCCTCCATGCCTTGCCAAGAAGTGTCACTCTAAAGGACTGAATTTCCCAGAATCATCATCCTCTGATCCCCCTCTTGATTCAGGGAGTGTTTCCTCAGCTACTGTCCATCTCCTTTAAGAGGAGATGCTTCCTTAATTTCTGCTTCTGTCTTCCAAATTTACCCCCCCAAAATTGCCCATTCCCTCACACTTCGTGCCAGTTCTTGGGGTGTAAACAGTCTTGTCTGGTATTTGGGGTAAATGAGCTCTGTGTTTGATTAATTCTACATGATCCTGCTTGTAGACGCTGGGGGAGGAGCTAGCCTCCTTTCCATCCCCCTGGAGTCGGAACCCAGACCTGGGCCAAGGAGGTTCATTTTCCCACGTGTAGGAAGCTGATGGGCCCCTATTCCCTGCAACATTTGGCTCCTTAGGTTCTCTGAGTCACCCCCTGACCCTAATCATCTGCAGCAAGGGCTCAGATCCATCGGGCCAACCTCACCCAAGAGGGCTTAATGAGCACCTGGCAGCTAAGTGCTTTGAGATCTTTCAGATGAAAAGGGCTGTCAGTTGTTCTGGGGTTATTAATGCCAGGGTAGTGGCGGCAGCAATTACTCTAGACGATCAGGACATCCAGCTTCCTTTGTCCTTGAAGTGAGTGCCTGGTTCTAGGAGGAATGGCTGACTGCCTTGCTATATCTGCCTTGGGTGCTGATGGGATGCTAACAAGGTTCTTTTTACTGTTTGCCATCCTCCCTCCACAGCTGGACAGGTAGCACTGCAGAAGCTCAGTAAATTCTGAAATACTCACTCTCTAGGGGGTGAAGTGACTCTGAAGAGTGTAGAATGACAGAAGCGAGAAGCCAGGGCTAGAGGATAGCCACCTCATTTGTGTCTTCTGTGTCTAGAATTGAAAGGAGAGAGGAGTGCTGGGTGCAGGAGAACTTGAAAAAAACAATTTTGCAGAAGGGCTTGAAAAAACCAATTTTATATGTAGGCATGAGAAGAAAAGGAAAGGAGTTCTAACCACAGCTGCTCAGAAATAATATTAAATTTGTAGAAGAGATAGGAAGCATGACAAACCAAGGAAGTGGTAGAGGCACCTTCTCTGCAGAGTTTTAAATGAAGAAAGAGGAGGACCATTGCAGGGGCAGAAGGATCACCCAGGATAACCTTAAGGACTCTGAGGTCCTGAGTGAACAAATCCACAGGGCACAACCACATTCCACTTTTCTACCTGAAAGGGGTGAGGTTTATGTTCTGGGCTTTAGTCTCTAATAACCGTGGATGGTAGCAATGTATTTTGAGGGGGTAACAATGGACTTGCCGCTCCATTCCTCCTGCAAGCACTGGGGTGGCGCGGATGGGCAGGAGGATCACAGGCAGAGAGAATGGAGCCTCAAGTGCCTATTTCCCAGCTTGTCCTTGTCCTAAGCACCTTTACTCTGGGAACAAACACCATTTCTTTACCATCTCCACAAACACAATCATCTTCCTTGGGAAGGAAAAAAGTCACAGATTTTTGTTGAAAAGTCATTTTGTCTTGTTCTCCTGGGAAGTTATGTTTACTTCCTGAAAAATCTAACCCAGACAGGAGAGATGCTCTTTTATGTTTAAAGGCCTGAAATGAAGATGTCACATACTCTAGCATTAACATTCTTACCTTAACCACAGAGACTGTCCTCTTTTCCCTTGCTTTTAAAACCACAAATTTGGACAGTGCCATCTTCACTCACATCTACGCTGGATCAGTTATTATCGTCCCAGTCTACAGGTCCCTGGGGTTTGGTCTATAGCTCTGCATTGTTTGCTGCCAAAAGTGCCTGTTATGGCACAACCCTATCTTTACTAAAATGCAAAAAACTAGCCAGGCATGGTGGCGTGTACCTGTAGTCCCAGCTACTCAGGAGGCTGAGGCGGGGGAATCGCATGAACCTGGGAGGTGGAGGTTGCAGTGAGCCGAGATGGCGCCATTGTACTCCAGCCTGGCAACAGAGCAAGACTTCATCTCAAAAAAACCCAAAAAAACAAAAACAAACAAAACAAAAACAAAAACAAAAAAAAAGGTGCCTGTTATTTAGATAATAAAATAAAAGTGCCTGTTATTTAGATAATTTTACCCACTCTGAATTATGTGCTATTTACTACAATTGCTAGAGGTCTAGAAAAGTGTTTTTTAAAAGTCACATGGCTTTGATAAAAGGGTATCAGTAAGAAAGTAGTGATTTATATGGAGAAGAGAAAGGTCAGGAATGGAGGAGGGAGAGAGAGGAAACAGGGAGAAAAGAAACTGCTGATCAATGAATTTAAAGTATTGCAAGCTCAAGAACAGGAGAATAGTGACCTTTCCTGAGGCCAGAAGAGAAACAACTGGGACTGTAAACATGAAGGGTTAGGATTAGACTAAAGGAAGCACTGCCTTACTGGGGAGTCAAATGAGGCTACTGTTGAGAAAGACTGGAATCTACTGTTCTTGGAAATTCTATGCAAAGGAACCGTGAAAGTGTAGGGGGAGCCAGGGTAGAAAGGACTGACTGCAATAATCCTTTGCCACTCTCCTCCCTGGCTGTTTCCTGCCCTCCCTTATCTGGCAGGACTGTCCAATCCTGCTCTCTGAATCAGATTTGATGACTCAACACTGACCAATTAGGCGTTAACACATCTATCTCTTGGGCTATCTAGCCATCTTTATGGAGAACAGGATCTTAAATCTCTGCTCATCGGGACAGCCAGAGGCTTTGCCTAAATGGTGGAAAGAGCTGTAGACATTTTTCATAATTATAATGACTTTTTACAGGGAGAGCCATAACTCCTGCTCCATAACTCCAGGGTGAGAGAAGAGCCCATTTCAGATTCTGTGATGTGGGGAATGGAGCCATCTGATGGCTGTCTTCTCTAGGCAGTCTTTGCTTTCCTAATATGAACAACTTCTGGGAGCAAAATTCACAAAGGAGGATAAGACTGTTTCTATTCTAGGAGCCCTTCCACTGAGATGAGACAGGCTGTAGTCTCTAGAGGCATACAGTGAGTGACAAAAGGTCAAGAAATCAATGAGTAGTACATGGCCTGGCTAAGCTCTAAATATCTGTGTGTGGGAAAAGGCATTTTAGTTATGGAAGGCTTCCTGGAGGAGGCAAATAAGGAGCTGAAAAGGAGGAGGTCATTCTTAGATAGAGTAAATGACTTTTTTTTTTCTTTTTAGAGACAGGGTCTCACTCTGCCACTCAGCCTGAAATGCAGTGACGTGATCATAGCTCACTGCAGCCTCGAGTTCCTGGGCTCAAGCAATGGAAATAGCCTTTGGGTAGAGGAAGGTGATTTTGAGATGTTGACCATCTTAGGAGCATAGATCTCATTATGAATCATCTAGAGTCTTGCCATTTTAGTTTTCCAGTTGATTAATTAGCTCATATTACTGTCACTCTCTCCTAATGATCCCCTACGGTACACCTCCAGCTTTATAAGAACTTCATGACACCCTACAAATCAGGCCGGAGATCTCCTATTTTACTACTACTCTGCTTGTTCCACTCCTGTTCAATAACTTTTTGGTCTATTTCCTCTTCCCCTATAATGCTGAACATTGTTCCAAATTGCACTTCAGGCCTTGATTTCAATTACTAGATCCTCAAACTACTAGATCCTCAAACTACTAGATTGTCTTTTTCTCATCCTTCCAGCAATGTGCTGTTTCCTTATGATACCTAAGCAACTCTCATGGGCCAATAAGTGTGTCAAAATGTTAATGATCAGCAAACTCTGTTCTTTCCCAAGCCAAGTACCTCTGAGCCTTATCTTGTCTGATGTCTTTCTTTGGCTAATGGTATAGCATTAATGGTCTTCAACTTTCTTGTGTTAATCTTACTGATGTGTGTTTCAGTCCAGGAGTTCCTGGAAGCAAGGCCTGTGTTTGCACTTTTTGCTTTATTCCACACCTCTCATAGCACACTTTAGACCCCGAATTCATATTTTCCAAGTTGCTAGAGGTGAACAATTAGCTAGATAATTTGATCTGTGTAGATAACTTTTGTTTTTCTGAAGCATGTTTGAAGAGTTAAAATATGCATATTATTGCTTCTATAACCTCCTCCTCCTCCTCCTTCTTCTCCCTCCTCCTCCTCCCTCTTCTTCTTCCTCCGCTGCTTCTTCTTCTTCTTCTTCTTCTTTCTCCTCCTCCTCTTCCTTCTCCTTTTTTCAGACAGGTCTCATTCTATCACCCAGACTGGAGCACAGTGGTGTGATCATAGCTCACTGCAACCTGGACTCCTGGGTTCAAGTGATCCTCCTACCTCAGCCTCCCAAGTAGCTGGGACTATAGGTGCACACCAAAATGCCTGGATAATTTTTTTTTTTAATACTGAGCCTCACTCTGTTGCCCAGGCTGGAGTGAAATGGCAGGATCTCAGCTCACTGCAACCTCTGCCTCCCTGGTTCAAGCAATTCTCCTGCCTCAACCTCCCAAGTAGCTGGGATTACAGGTGCACACCACCATGCCCGGCTAATTTTTGTATTTTTAGTGGAGATGGGGTTTCGCCATGTTGCCCAGGCTGGTCTCGAACTCCTGACCTCAGGTGATCCGCCTGCCTCGGCCTCCCAAAGTGCTGGGATTACAGGTGCAAGCCACCATACCTAGCTTCCTGGATAATTTAAATTTTTTTTTTATTTTTAGTAGAGACAAGGTCTTACTGTATTACCCAGGCTGGTCTCAAACTCCTTGGCTCAAGTGATCTTCCAGCTTTGGCCCCCCGAAGTTCTGGAGTTATAGGCATGAGCCACCACACCCAGCCTGTAATCCTCTGTGGCTAAGTAGACACAATGTGATGAGGATATGTATATCATAGAAATTGATCTTTGATATTCTTCTAAAAGTCTTTCTTTGTTCAAAACACAGAAAGGATGACTTGTTGTGCTTCATTGATTTATTCAACAAATTGCCTTATTTTTATTGCTACTATTCTGGACAAGGGATGCAAAAATGAAGAAGATAAGGTCTTTACCTTTTAGGTGCTTTCAGGTTGGTGGGAAGATAAAGAAGTAAACCAGAATTTACAATAGAGCATGAGAAGAGCTGTGACAGAGGAGTGCCTAGGGTACTGGGATAAAGCAGTAGACACCTAACTCTGGTGCAGGGAGATGTCATTTATGGGCCCAGCCAGCAGCAGGGGAGAGTGGTTGTGACAGCATCAGACTAAGGCTAGCCACTAGGAAGACCTTCTCAGTTAGATTGTGATTTCTCAATCTATGCATTCATGCACAGAATGGTCACACGCTAAGTACTATGTGCCAGTCACTACGCTAGCTCTTATTTAGAGTGGTGGACAGAGAATACAATATGCTAAAGGCTGGGGTAGAAGCTGACACTATCTCAATTAAAGCCAGTTGAAATGTTATGCTGCTCAGAATGTGGAAGAGGAAAAAGGAGGATAATTTCAATGACTTACCCTCTTACTCCTTTCAAGTCTGTGAATAGGTTGATACAAATTCCGCTGCGCAGTTTATTTATCATCTGGAATCCCAGCAGTTGAAGGATCCGGAATATATCAAACTTCCTAGGTCTCTGTTTGGACACCCTTCCTAGTTCAGGAAGCAATTAGTCTGAGAGAGACAGAAGTGAGAGTGTAGGAGCAGAATATATATCCTTTTAAAATAATTTAGTAACAACTCTAGGTAAGTGACCAATAATTTATAGAGTCTATTCTTTTTATAGAGATATTTCCTTGCTGCTCAACCAGCGAGCTTGCTGGGTTTAGAGGATTAATCTTTGACGTAGTAAATATGCTCAAGTTGTAATTCAGTCTCAGGGATAAAGGGAACTTAGACTTGTCTTGTATAAGGGAAAAAATATTAAATGGATTTGTTGAGGACCCGCCGTGGTAGTCCTTATTGTCTCTTGTACCTCAGCATTGCAGCTTTGGAACTGCAAGGGACCTTATTAATCTTCTCATACAATGTCCTTATTTTACAGATGAGGAGACTGAGATTTATGGTACATGAGGTGGTGGCAGATCCAGGGCTGAAACCCGTGTCTCTTGACTCACACTTTTGAAACTGCACTGTGCTACTGCGCATCACAAACTCTAGCCTCACTTGCAAGGCTCCCCTTAACCGCCTTCCCCTCGGTTCTTTTCTGTCCCTTCCTGTTGTCTATTTTCGGCAAACTGAGCTCCTCCCTGGCCTCCTGTCCATGCCACACGTTTTCTGCCTCTGAAACCTCCTGTAAGCACTCCCCCTCCTCAGGCTGGATTGCCTTTACTTTTCTCTCCCTTCTGCTCCTTGCTTCCTCTCCAACCCAATTCCACACTCCCTCTTGCAGGAAACCTTCCCAAAATAACCCCTTCTTACTTGGAATATTTCTTGACTCTGCATCTTTTCAGCCCCATTGTTGGTTTATACTTGCTGCTGCTTTATTGCTTAATAAGCATTTTGAAGTCTTTTTTTTTTTTTTTTGAGACAGAGTTTCACTCTTGTTGCCCAGGCTGGAGTGCAATGGTGCAATCTCGGCTCACCGCAACCTCCTCCTCCCAGGTTCAAGCAATTCTCCTGCCTCAGTCTCCTGAGTAGCTGGGATTACAGGCATGCACCACCATGCCCGGCTAATTTTGTATTTTTAGTAGAGACGAGGTTTCTCCATGTTGTTCAGGCTGGTCTAGAATTCCCCACCTCAGGTGATCCGCCTGTCTTGGCCGCTGAAAGTGCTGGGATTACAGGTGTGAGCCACTGTGCCCGGCCTCTGAAGTCATTTTTTAGATATTTGTGTTCTGTCAATTTACTTAGATGAGGAACTTCTTAAGGGGAAGGCCCCTCAGAACACACACGGGGAGCTTATACTGCTGCCTGACTAGAGCTAGACCTGGGATAGTCTGAGAAAGTTCAAATGACCTCTGCATTTCAGGAAAGAAAAGAAGACTGTCAACTTAGGGGTAGTGGGAATGCTGATCCCATTTAGAGGCAGTTGGCACCTATTTGAAATTCCTTCTTATGGTTATTTCCAGTCCTGGGATTCTGTAACCCTATGAACCAACTTGGTTATGCCCTTGCCTGATCTTGATGCTATTACCAATTTTGTGGCCTGTATTAAATAATAAGACATCCCATAACTAGTAGGTGGCAGATTGGTGTGTCCACTGCAGGTTATAAAATAAAAAACTAGCTTGGTGGAGGGACCTTCCTATGTGTAATGCATTGTTAGGTAGAGCACCTGGCTGCCCAATGGATAACCTCAGTTGCTGCCTGGAGGCCTCTACCTCGGGGAAGGGAGGCCTTGAGAGCCATTTTGACCCAAGTTCAAATTCTCTAGAACAAACAAGCCGATCTCTTGCTCCAAGCTCCAGTCAAAGAGGCTCCAGTGTGTTTATTGACTCTTGCATGACCCTGCCCTGGAGAACAAACAAACAGCTCAACCTGACTCATTCCCTCCACCAACTATACTCAGGTCCATTGCTGGGGTTTGCCAGAAAAATCCCTCAGGCCCTGTGGAAAATTAGAGAGCCAAAGGTTAGGGCTCTCTGGTCATATATTCCTACTCTTTCTTCCCATAGAACGTTAACCCTCCCTGGAGGTGCAGAAGACTAGCAGTGACTTCCAATTCATTTGACTTGGGCCCTCTCCATTGCTTGAGGCAAATCAGCTTGCTTCACTGATTCATTCATTTGACAAATATTTATTGAACACCTGCTATATGTGAGGCTCTCCTCTCTTAGGATGGGAGCTTACTGATTTTTGCTATGGAGAATGCTGATGCTTCCATCTTTATTTATTTATTTACTTATTTATTTATTTATTTATTTGAGACAGAGTCTCGCTCTGTCAACCAGGCTGGAGTGCAATGGTGCGATCTCGGCTCACTGTAACCTCCACCTCCTGGGTTCCAGTGATTCTCCTGCCTCAGCCTCCCAAATAGGTGGGACTACAGGTGTGCGCCACCATGCCTGGTTAATTTTTGTTTTTAGTAGAGACGGGGTTTTGCCATGTTGGCCAGGCTGGTCTTGAACTCCTGACCTCAGGTGATTGCCCCCCTTGGCCTCCCAAAGTGCTGGGAATACAGGTGTGAGCCATTGCGCCCAGCCCAATGCTTCCATCTTTTAACTAAAAGGTTTGAAGTACCCTTTTCCAGACATCTTGTAAGAATAACAATACATTTTCTCTCCCTTACCACCATTGGAAGAACTTAGTTCTGAACCCAAACCATCTCCTTTCATTAAGCCTTTGGTGGATCATTTTTACTCTTGGGATTTCATCAAGCCCTGCTCCCCATTTTCCCTCACAGAAGAGGAGGCAGCCTCTTGCGCGTGTATGTGTGCTCAGCTTATTCCTTCTCAATGATTTTTAAAAAGAAGGAACCCAACTCAGCCCCTCCTCCTTGTTGTGTTTAAGGGAGTGCTGTTTCCTAAACTGTGTAATCCTCAAAGCACTGAGGTTTCACCTAATGTTAATAAGGGTTTCTTGAAAAAGCATTGAATCAGGTCATTTTAGGAGACAGTGAATGAGACAAAATTAAAATCTTAAGCAGCAGGGCTTCTCAGAACCTTTAACATATTAATATTCATTTGAAATCTCAAGAGGGAGACATCATTTGCAATATTTTCCAAATTATTAGACCATGGAAGCCACTTTTAAAGGAAAACCTCTTATTCGTTCTTGGGACATTAGCATTCCATTAAATTCAGTTTGAGAAATGCTGATGTAGTAGCAGGAATATTGAATTAAGAGACAGGAACCTGAACTTGCATCCCTCTTTGACACTCAGTTTTGTGACTCTGGAAAAATCACTTCTCCTCTATGGACCTCCATTTCTTTACCTGGAAAATGAGAAGGCTGAATTAAATTATCCTTCAGTCCTCTTCTAGTTCTGTACAAAGGCATCCACAGGTAGGCCCAATCTCCTAAGAACCAGAAACAAAATCTTAGGTGGATATCTTGACATACCAGTAAAGGATATACAAATAATACAATAAAGCTTTAAACCAATCTGTGACTAAAGAGAGCTGGAGTAAATGCATTTTACAAGAAAGGAAAGATATTTGTGGAAAGAAAATATGGTTGTTCCATATGCAGCTGAATGTCTTAAGGGAAAGATCTGAGAAGGCTGCTTGGAAGAGGAGCATTGGTATCAAGAGAAGAGAGCATACTCTCTGCTGACAGGAGTGGGTGTGGAGAGGTGGGGTATCCCTGGTTTATGGGGCAAACTACTTGGTTGATAATTCAAAGAGAGTTGAAGAAAGTTCATCTGGGAATTGTGATGGAATAACCCAGATCCTGGGAGTCAATAAAGGTAAAGGAGCTTGACCTGGAGCACCTAGGAAGGTGGGTCAGTGCATATTTCATTCCCAGTCATCTGTGGTGAGGTCAAGGCTCCAGGGTGCTTACAAAAGACATGTGCATATGTGGATGGCCTTGGAGACAGACAGGTTCCCTAGTGGGTGGCCCAAACCTCTTGCCTCTTCTTGCATTGTGTGTGATGGGCTAGAGCTCTAGATTAAATCCATGCCTATGAGCACTGTCACTAAGAGAAGATAAGAACTATGAGCAGAGATGCTTATCTTTATAGCTATTCTGGTTTGATTTATATATATATATATTGTGTGTGTGTATGTGTGTGTGTGTGTGTGTGTGTGTTGGGTCTATATGCACCTATGTGTATGAATGTGTTTTTATGTAAGTGTGCGCTTGGACATGTATGTGAAAATGTGACCATGTTTTATATGTATATATGGGTCTGCAAAGTGCTTATATGTCTACCTAGGCTGTGTCTGTGGTAAAAAAAAAGTGAGGTTTAATTTTATGTATGTGTGTAAAATGGTGTGTACACTACATGTGCATATGGATAGTGGTCTAGTTTATATATTTGAGGCATGTATTAATATTATATTCACATTCATATTTATGTGCGAATGTTTATATGTATTTATATGTCTGTATCTTAGGTTGCATCTTTTTGAACTACTTATTTTTATATTTCTTTGTATTTAGGGGTGGGATTGTTTCCTGAATTCAAAAAGTGTTTATTGAGAGCCTACTATGTGCAGGGTATATTCCTATGTATGTATGTGGGGTGTGCCTAAGTCTATAAATATGCTTGGAAGGTACACATGCCCTTATGTATATGCCATCAAGTTCATTAAATGCTTAAGTGTATACTGATATCCTCACCTATCTAATTTTTTTTTTTTTTTTTGAGATGGAGTCTTGCACTGTCGCCTGGGCTAGAGTGCAATGGCACGATCTTGGCTCACTGCAACCTCCGCCTCCCAGGTTCAAGAGATTCTCCTGCCTCAGCCTCCCAAGTAGCTGGGATTACAGGCACCTGCCACCACACTCGGCTAAGTTTTTGTATTTTCAGTAGAAACGGGGCTTCACTGTGTTGGCCAGGCTGTTTTCAAACTCCTGACCTCATGATCCACCCGCCTTGGCCTCCCAAAGTGCTGGGATTATAGGCGTGAGCAACCGCGCCTGGCTACCTATCTAATTTTTAAATCCTCTATTAAATGTCATCACTGTAATCTCTTCCTAATTATTTTTTGGAAGAAGCAGGAGATAACTAAAAAGATTGAGTATGAGCATGTGTATGCATCTAATGCAGGTATGTCTGTGTGACGTAAGATTGTGCCCTCTTTATTTTTTCATTTATTTTCATTTTCGACCTCCTGCTAGATCTTTGTGCCATCTCACTCTAAGCACTTCTTGCTCCCTTACAGCTTGGAAAAATACCTAAGACACTCATTCACCACTATGAATGAATGCCTTGTTTTCTCTTCCTGGTGTGTCCAACCCAGGAAGAAAGGATGAGAGACAGTTAACAACTGATATTAAGCTCTAGCTGTCTAAGAAAATTTTTCTTTTTGCCTCTCCCTGGCCCTATCTTGTCTATCCTTCAACCAGTTCTCCTAATCCCTCGAAAGAGAGACACAGGTTTTCTTTTCCCCAGAGAAACCAGAGGGAGAGGAAGAGAGATTTTACTCCAAGGGAATCTGCTCCCATTTTATGGGGTTTGTCAATAATGTTCCTTCATTAAGATAGCATCTCAGAATGAAAGAGGCCTCTGCTCTTCGTGAAAAGAGTTGTTTTTTCTTAAGGGGGGAGTGTAGGGGGCATTAAATAAACCTGTTTGTTAAAAAAGTACCTTTGCAGCAGGAAATGTGTTATTATTGTAATTGTCTGATGCTAATTATACTTATTACTATAATAACCATTTTGTTGTAACAAATGATGTAATCCTCTTCATTTCTGTCACTGCCAGAGGCAGAAGTGAGTGGAGTGTCTATAGCAAGAGGGGGTACTGGGGGGTGTTCTTGGTGGGGAGGTGCAGTCAGGCCTAGTGAAGGTGGGGAGCATGTGCTGGTGGCTGGCTTTGCTGCTGAGGAGGTGGGAGATGCAGGGCAGAAGATACCTAGACTGTTTCACTCCCCAAGCCTGCTTTTCTCTGGAACTCCGTTCTAGGGCCTTTCCTGAAAGCATTTACTCATTCAGTCAGACCTCCGTTTATTAACTCAACAAGCACTCATTTAGTACCTGCTGTGTTCCATATGTTAGAGTCAGCCCTAGTGATATAGAGTAAACCAGATAGGATTTTTACTGCTGAGATGTTCACAGTCTAGTGGTGGAAAGTGTTTGTAAGCTTGCAAACATTATTTTCAGTGCACTAGAATAAGTGTGGTATAGAGTATTTAGAGTGCTATGAGTATATGCATAGAAGAGGTGACTTATTCTGGGTACAGAAGCCTGAAAAGCTGGATCTTTTGGAGGAACACTAGGAGTTTGCAGCACAGAGAAGGGAGTTAGCATGTCCAGGGAGAAGGAACTATATTACTAAAGGTATGGAGGCATGATAAAGGCTATTTGTTTTTGTTAATATTAATAATAATTAAAAAATGATAAAAATAGCTCATATTCATATCATACACTGTTCTAGGAACTTGCATGTGTTGATTCACTTAATCTTCACAACAATGCTATGTAGTTGCTCTGTAGTGAAAATTAAGTGATCAATAGATGCAAAGTGCTTAGAACAGTGCCTGATATGAATAAGCTATTTTTATTATTGTTTTGTTATTACTATTTAACATATGCAAAAACAGAGACTTAGGTTGAGTAACTTGCCCTGTTTCACATATACAGTAAGCAACAGAGCTTAGGTTTGAATCCCAGTTCTGAGTAGAGCTCCAGTTTTCAGCCACTCTTGTAGTTAGGATATGGAGTGCATGCTAGGGAGGGGTGGTAATTTGTAATGAGACTGCCAAATAGTTTGGGGCTAGAGTGTAAATGGCCTTGTATACCATTAGAGGTTTTTAAACAGAGGAGTAACAAGATAGGACCTGCATTTTAGAAAGGCAATTCCCCAAAACTAGGACTGTGTGGACAACAGGCCCACTGGATCTTCCCATCTCAAAGTGAAGCTGAGGGTTCAGCTTCTAAAATAGCCAGCTCTTGGTCATCGCATTCAGCTCCACAGTTGATCCAGCCAACTGAGCTGCAGAGCTGCTCTAGCTGGCTGCCTATGAGAAGTGGAAGGAAAGAGAATTGGAGCAACTATCAGGTTAATAAACTCTGTGGAGAGAGCCAAACCAAATTTCCAAGGCCCCACGATTAGTTTGTCTAAATGAAGCACAACAACATAATGCTGATAGGCCTGACTTCCTTTAGTGTTAATGGACCTTACAGATCTTCTCTAACTTCTGGGCTGTGGCCTTGTCTGTCTTGTTTACCACAATATCTCTAGTACCAGCAGAGGGCCTGCCAATGGTACATGTTGATAAATCTATGATATGAATGACCAGTCACTTGTCCTGGAGCTCTGGGTACCCCAAGCTTGGCTGAATGCTCCCACAATTGAGTCATTATTAATTAAAGAAGTAGGCCAGGCACGGTGGCCCACACCTGTAATCCCAGCACGTTGGGAGGCCGAGGTGGGTGGATCACGAGGTCAAGAGATCGAGACCATCCTGGCCAACATGGTGAAACCCCATCTCTACTAAAAATACAAAAATTAGCTGGGCATGGTGGCATGTGCCTGTAGTCCCAGGTACCTGGGAGGCTGAGGCAGAAGAATTGCTTGAACCCGGGAGGCAGAGGTTGCAGTGAGCTGAGATTGCGCCACTGCACTCCAGCTTGGTGATAGAGCGAGACTCCGTCTCAAAAAAAAAAAAAAATTCCTCCTGTTGTCAGTGCCCTTCTCTCCATTCCACCACACACACACAAACATATATTCTCCCCACTTATCACTTCGAGGTCTGTCTTTTCACCATAAAGGAGTGCATCAAAGATAATATTAATAATGGCTAGTAGTCACTGAATGCCTACCAGTGCCAGGCATTGTTCTAAGCCTTTCATGTGTTAACTAAGGTCTTACAGCAATTGGATGAGGAGATACTATTATCATTCCCGCTTTATAGATCAGGAAACTGAGCTATGAAGAAGTCAAATAACTTGCTCAAGGTCACACAGCTGTTAACTAGTAAACCCTTATCCTCTTCATTAATGCATTGAAATATTAATAAGCATGCAAATCAGCTGAAGCCTTGTTAAAGTGCATATTCTGATTCAGTGACTCTATAGTGGGGTCTGAAAATTCTGCATGTTTAGTAAGCCTCCAAGTGATGCCAATGCTCTCCGTCCATGAGTACATCTTGCTCAGTGAGGCTCTGTAGTGTGTTTGCAAGCTCTTTGTACCAACCATTTTCTGACTCCTGTTGTCATTAGCTATCAGAGTTATTTCCTGACTTGATATGACATTTGTTTAAAAGAAGAAACTGACACCTATGGTGTCATGGTATACAAGGCCATTTACACTATGGCCACTGGCCAGTTATTTTGAATGAATGTCTTTGGTGCAAAGAACTGATCCTAAGCAAAGGGAGGGCGGCTCTAGTCTTAATGGCTTTGAGCCCAGCTCATACTGCAGGCCCTGATCATGTCTACTGGTTGATGGCCACTGGGGGAGTCTCCCCTACTTTTATTCCATTGAGGCCACTAATTGAATTAGCCCTAGGTATTTAGGGTGAAGGTGTCCTCACTTCAAGGCTCCCGTGATAGACCATTGATTAGCTGTGCCTCTGGAATTCCCAAGCTCAAATGTCTGGAATTCTTTGCTCCTTCCAAATGCAGAGTTAGTAAGAGAAGGTAGGAAGACATATGAGGGCAAAGCTCCATGAAAAGAGTAGATTAATACATTTACTAACAAGTATATTTGAGGCCCTGATATTACAATGAAATTATTTTATCCTAACCCCCAGGTCTCAGGTGAGCTGCAGGAATAATGGAGTCAACTCTCATTCAATGTCTTTTCCTAATCAAGACTGCCTTCTCCTTTATTCCCCAGCAAGGTGTACTTATGAGACATAATTTCTAAGACAATTCTGAAGGTAGATGCACATTTTTGGAACATTAAAAAAAAGCCTACATTAAAAAGTCCCAAATAAATAATTTTCATTTTTTAAAAACTGACTTGACAAGAACTGTGTCACAGCCCTCCCACGTTAGCCCAGAAAACTTGGAGTTGACCACAACCATTCTGATGGGAAGCTGCATCTCTAAGGTCCTTTCTCACTTTAAGATTCTCTGATTCCATTCCAATCAGGTCTAGGGCTCTGGTACTCAAGAGAAGCTGTTAAGACCCCTGGGGGCAGTCATAGCTCCCAGACAGCTTGGGTTTTCTCTTGGAAAAACTTTAGGCAGTTCAACTCTTAGAGAGAAGGAACTCCCAGTGGGGGAAGTACAGAGCTTGGTATTGTGGGGTTTCTCTCCTCCTTTCCATTTCTTCTTGTCCCACGGCTATCCTTACAATCAAGAGCAGTGTCATTACCTGTCCAGCTAGCACTAGCCACCTGAGTGAGTGTTTAATCTTCAGACCCTTCCTCATTTCTCCCATTGAAGTTAAAAAAAGCAAAACAAAACAACTAGGTTTTAAATTTTAAAGTACCTATTATGAATAACACATTGGTCTAGTTGCTATGGAATGTACAAAAATGAATGAGATGTAACATTTTTTTAAGACAGGGAAAATGGCATGTGAAGATGAAGGCAAGGGCCCAGGTAATGTGTTTACAAGCCAAGGAACACCAAAGATTCCCAGCAGAGCACCAGAAGCTAGGGGAGAGGCACGGGACGGGTTTTCCCTCACAGCCCTCAGAAGGAATCAACCCTCCTGACACTGTGGTCTTGGACTTCCAGCCTCCAGAATGGAGAGACAATAAATTTCTCTTGCTTAAGCCACTTAATTTGTGATACTTTGTTACAACAGTTCTAGCAGGTTAGTAAAGATGCTAACTGTATAAAGGCAGAAAGAAAAAAAAAAGAATAGCCTAGTAGAGTAAACAGTTACGAACTGGAATATGTTCTATGTGATAGGTACAGAATCTTATGGAGATTCAAAGAAGCAAGAACAAGTAAAATAATGTACATGAAAGAAAATTTTTAAAGCTGTCAATACTGTGTAAATATAAATTTCTAACTTCCTCAAGCAAGGAAAAGAGAACAAGGTTGGGAATCAGGAGGCCTGACCCTAGACCAGGGGTTGGCAAACTAAAGCCCAAGCTTGTTTTTATACAACCCTCAAGCTAAGAATGGTTGTAACATTTTTAAAAGGGTTGTATTAAACAATAACAGCAACAACAAAGAGAAATATACAACAGAGACTGAATGCTGCTTGCAAAGCCTAAAATACTTACTGTCTGGTCCTTTATAGAGAAAGTTTGCCAACCTCCTGATCTAGACAAGATTTTGCCATAACTGTGTGACTACTGACAAATCTGGCTGAGGAATTGGACCTTATCCAGTAAGTAATGGTGTTCATCAAGTGGATAAGATGGCTAGATCTATTGGTAGTAGGAGGATGAACTGGAATGGGAATCATGCATAGAAATGTCTAGGAGGCAATTTAAAATTCTAATCTAGAAAGCCAGGAGAGATGTAAATTTGGGAATCATTAGCACACATTCAGGGCTTGACAATAGAATGGATGAAAGCACCCAAGGACAAGACCAAAGATGGAAACTTGGGCATGCCCACTTTAAGGGAAGGAGAATAGAACAAAAGAAGAGTGAAAGAGACTGAGAAAAACTGATCCGGGAAGTAGGAGAACAAGAGATGAACAGCATTACAGATAGAGTAGCTTGTCAACAATGTTAAATGCCAAAGAGAGGGAAAGTGGAATGAAGAATGAAAAGAAGCCTTGGATACGTCACTGGTGACCTTGTGACACCAGTTTCAGTAGAGTGGTAGAGTTGGGAGTAGGGGCAGGATAGTGCCTTTCAGGATGTTGGTAGTCAAGGGAAGGATGGAGACCAGCTCATAGGCTAAGTGGAAGCAGAGTCAACTGAGGCAGAAAGCATCCATTTTGCCTACCATGCAAGGTACCTGAGGCTCCAATTAAATAACACATGTGAAAGTGCTTTGCGAACTATAGAGTACTATACTAATAAAAGGCATGATATTGTTATAAACTAAAGTAATTCTAAATTCTATGGTCATATGAAACCATGATTGTTCTCTTCCCTAAGTTTACAACTTAGAATCAAAGCATTTCTATTGCCCATCAAGTCTAAACTGTCCATTCTGGAAGACCTTTCTAGCAGCTGACTATGGCCAACCTCATCTTCCTATGCTTTTTTAAATTTTTTATTTATTTTTTATTTTTATTTTTTATTTGAGACAGAGTCTTTCTCTGTTGCCCAGGCTGGAGTGCAGCAGTGCAATCTTGGCTCACTGCAACCTCCGCCTCCCGAGTTCAAGTGATTCTCCTGCCTCAGCCTCCTGAGTAACTGGGATTACAGGCATGTGCCACTGTGCCCAGCCCATCTTCCTATTTTTTGACTTCCCACTCTGGAACTCTCTGCACCAACCCGGTAAACATAATTTTCATCCTCCCCACAAGCCTTGTTTTCCTATTCTTTTGAGCTTTTACTCAGGCCATTTGCCTTGCTTTAAGGCTTAAGAGTTGCTTGCTTTAAATGCTGACAGATTTAGGAAATAAGAATACAGGGTGCTAGTTAAATTTGAATTTCAGATAAACAAGTAATTTTTAGTGTATGTCCCATGAAATATTTGGGCATGGGTGTCCTGTATTTTATCTGGCAAACCACACTTCCCCTCCTCTCTTAGTTTATCCATATGTGTCTCTTTCTTTAGAACTCAACTTAAAGCTCATCTCTGCTCCTTGACATGATGATTTAATAAAATAATACAGCTTTTTGTCAACAAAAAGACATAGAGTCAAACCCTGGCCCTCTACTTACATGTGTGTGGTCTTCATTAAATCTTTTAGTTTCTCTGAATTTGTAAATTACCTTTCAAGGCTCTTATTAGGATGGAGTTAAACAACACTTGGTTTATTTGCTTAAGACTTACATTGTTTTTGGTTTTGTTTTTGTTTTTGAGGCAGGGTCTGGCTCTGTCGCCCAGGCTGGAGTGCAGTGGTGTGATCTCCACTCACTGCAGCCTTGACCTGAGGATCAAGTGATCCTCTCAGCTCAGCCTCCTGAGGAGCTGAGAACACAGGTGTGTGCCACCACATCCAGCTAATTTGAAAACTTTTTGTAGAGACAGGGTCTCCCTGTGTTGCCTAGGCTGGTCTCAAATTCCTAGGCTCAAGTGATCCCAAAGTTCTGGGATTACAGGCATGAGCCTCCACACCCGGCCCAAAACTTACATATTTATTTAAGCCTACAGATAATTTATTTGCTCTGTGTGCCCTCTCTGCTTAGACACTCAGTTTGTACTTCTTCATTTGTATTGCTGCTTAGAGTCCTGAGGAGTGGGTTTTGCCTTTCCCATCAACCAGGATGCAATCTATTTGGGTCATTCCTTCTAGCATCTAAGGCTGGCATCTACCCACAGGGAGCCTTAGGATAGGGATGGACTGATGGGCTCCCGTTCCCTTCTCTCAGAATCACTGGAGGGTTGTATTCCTTAGGGACCTCAAAAGCAGTTCTTCCAGCCCACATACTCTCAGAACTGCTATGCTAGCTTTGCATGGGTTTTCTGAGTGGGTTGATGGTGAAAAAAGGTGTGGTAAGCCCTTTGGGTGAGGAGTGGGGAATGGAGGGAAGCCGGAGTAATCATCATTACTAATGTTCTTCTCTGTGACTCAGATTAATTATAAATACCGAAATTCGTAAGAGAGAATTATAGTGATGGAATGCAGGTAGGAAGGTGAAGGTCTCTAGTGTATTTTCTTTTGAACTCCCGAACGCCCAGCCAGAGGACATAACTTTATTTGCCCAGTTGGGCTTCTGTGTCTGCCCCAGATACTCCTAAGTGGCAGGAGGGGGGTAGAATCTGATGCCCCTGTTTCCTCTTGCCTGAAGCTGACTTGGAACCATCCTTACTGTAATACCAATTCACTTCCTCTCCCCTAGCTGCTGGGGATATGGGTAAGCAGCCAGGTTATCTACATCTCCCAGCTCTGATTTTTATCTCAAGCCCAGGAAAAAAAAACAAAAAAAATCTACACCTGACCAAACTCAGTAATAGAAAGTGGTTTTCTTTTTCCCCTTTCCTTTCCCTGGTCCCCTGGAGCTTATTTCACTGGAAGGGAACACAGGTTGATGTATTTTTAAATGGCTTTGATTTTATCACCTTGCTTAATGATTTGGCACGTTATTTATTAGATGGGGAGCTTCCCAGAGGGGCCTGGCCCATTAACGTATAAATAATGTGGCAAATAGTTCAATAGAGCCATAAAAAAAGTGATTTAGAAATAAATTGACCCCTGTTTGTTACATGTAAACGAAGGCCCAGGGTCATAATGTATTTCATGCCCTTAAGCTGGGATGGTGGGATTGGGGTGGAGAGGGATGAGCAGGGGGCTAGTGCAGACACTGGGGGGATTTTTCTTCGCGGTCCTTTTTTCTCTACCATGGTTGGGGGTGTGGCAGGTGTGATTTGGGCTGCATGTGGTGTGTGTGCAGCTGGGTGAATAGTACTTATGGTCTGGGGTGGCCATGTGGTTGGCAAAAATGCAGCGGGGTTTGAGGTGGGAGTTTCCTCCTGGATGCAAATCCTGGTTTGTGATTTTGTCATTTTTGAGAAGTTAACATTTAACCCAAGTATATGGAAAGAGATGTGGATGGTTTGGATGGCTCCTCGTGTCTGAGGAGAAGCAGGAGCTGTCTTGGTACATTCAGGTCACTGTATTGAGCTCCTTTGATGGGAATGCTGTCCAGTTCATCTCCTTCTAGCACAGTGTGTAGCACGTAGTGGGGCATCAGTAAATGTCTATTAGAAATAAGAAGCACACGTCCACATGCATACCATGATTGGCGGAGGGAAGAAATGGTACAGATACTTTCTGAACTAGTGGTGGATGAATGATGGATATAATAGACAACATTTACTGAGATCTTAGTATGTAGTAGGCATTTTGTTATGCACTTTACATAGATAACCTAATTAAATGCTTTATATGTTTAGATTGTGAAATATGACACATTCATAAGAGTGCATAAAGAATACACATGCATTTAATGAATAATGCAGCAAATAGAAACAATCATATAATCACCACTCAGATTAAATTTTTTTTTTTTTTGGCCAGCACCTTAGAAGCCCCCTGTATGTTCTTTCTCATCACAGTCCTTTCCCCTTCCCAAAACTAACTATTCCGTATTTTGTGATAGTAATTCTCTGGCTTTTCATCATGGTTTTATTACCTCGAACAATGTAGTTTGGCTATTTTTGAATTTTATGTGAATGAACTCACACTGTGTATATTCTTTTGTGCCTTGCACTTCTTACTCCACATTTTATTTGTGATGTTCATCCATGTTGTTGCATGTAGTTGCAATTTGTTTATTTTCATTGCTGTATGTATTTTATTGTATGAATATACCATAACGTATCCTTTCTACTGGTGATGGACATCTGCATCCTTTCCAGTTTTTATCAGTTGAAAGCAACACTGCTCTGAACATTCTTGAATACATATCTTAGTGCACATGTGCCCACATTTTGTAGGGTATATAGTTATTAGTGGGATTTCCAGGTTATGGGTTATGTGAACATTCATGTTTACTCAGTAACACCAAATTGTTTTCCAAAGTAGTTGCACCACTTCTCACTCTGACCAGAGTACCTGAACTTTTCTGTTGTTCTACCATTTTTGCCAACTCTTGGTAGTATCAGAGTTTTTCAATTTAACTTTTACAGTATCATATTATGTTTGAATTATTATTACTCCTATTTTTTAGATGATTAAACTGAGGCCCAGGGTGTTTAAATTTAAGCAACTTGCTCAAAGTTATATAACTGGTAAATGGCAGAGCCAGTATTTGAAATTCAGCCTGACTTCATAAGCTCAGTTTTAATCTTGATATTTACACTTTGCCTTGATAATGAATACTTGATAGATTTTAGATAAATTGTATAACAAAAATTTAAAGTACATTTAACTATGTTAAATATTTTTAAAAATATTATGTTAAATGGAATTTGATAGACTGTCCTTCTTTATGCTTACTACCAGTTCATGCAGTGGGAGAGGTGGCTTGATTCATGCTGGTGATGGGGGGAACCGTTTAAGGAAGAAATATTTGTGGGAAGGTATCTAACATGGAGTTGATTGTAAGATTTCCAAAAGGAGCTTCTGAGATGATCCAGAGCCCCCTCTCCATAGGCAGGTGAAAGATCTGTAAACAACTCCAGAGGAAGAGACTCCACCCAGGAGCCAGAAAGTGCTTTTTTCAGGTTACCTTAATTCCTGCTACCGTTTTAACTCATTCCCTCTAGTTCATTCTTCCAAAGACAACCCTTAATATATGATCAAAGGCCCCCTTTCTGGTTTCAGGGTATCTTGTTGGCTGGGCAGAGTTTCCAATAGAGTCAGGGCTTTAGAGTGTCTTTCATCCCAAGAGCTCAAAGCCTCCCACGGACATGAACCCATTAATCACCAAGCTGCTCTTGAAGTTGAGAACTAATCAGTGGGAGCCTCCCCCGCTTCCCAGGTAGAGAAACTGAGTCCATGACTTGTCCAGAACTGCCCAAGGAGTCAGGGTGGAGCCAGGCAAGGAACCTAGGTGTCCAGGGAGATTAACTCCTCTATTGTCAGTGATTCAGGTCTCCAGTTTTCTGCACATTCAGCAGAAAGAAGAACTCACTGGAGAATGGTGAAAGTTGAGGCTGGTGGTAAAGGAGATCAGGATTCTTCTAGGATTGCTGGGGAAAATGGCCTTGCCCAAGGAGATTTGTGTTCCTCAAGACCAGGGCTAGGGTCATTCATTTTCATATTTCGGTTCCTAGACCTGTGTTTGGTACATAGAAGGCCCTTAATAACTGTTTGCTGAATTAATGTGTGAATGAATGAATGAATCCATGAACAAATGGCAGCCTGGCTAAATTTGTCTTATGGATCTGATACTCTTCCCTGGTCCCAACTTTTCCTTCTAACACTAACATCTTTGGGAAAGGGAATGGGGATGAGAAATTGAACTGCCAGTTGAACTTCTCTGGATGGGACGTGAGCCTGGGTGGAGGAGTGAGAAGACATACCGTGGGTGGATGGGCTGGGGATGGAAGAGGGTGAGGTCTTAGGAGTTCCTGAGACTCACCCTCACTTTGCCTGTGAAGATCTACAAATAAAACTAAAATTTAAGCTTATTTCAGGAATTCTGTGAGTTCCTATTCCTCACTTGCTGGAGTATACGTCTGGGACAAGCAACTTCACCAGTTGTAGCCTTCATCCATTCCACTGCAAGCAGCAGAGCTCTGGGTCATGTGGCCAAATAAGAACATGAACTTTATTTTCTCCCTGTGTCCATCATCTTGGTGACTTTCTCAATGCGCCCCTGTTCTGGGGGAGCAGTTACTGTATATCACTTTAAAATGCTCTCAGTGTGCAGAGATCCCAAAACCAGAGTTTTTTTTAGAGCTACAGGAAATCCCTAAGGTCATGGCTTACAAATTCCTGTGTTTGAGTAGAAGACACCTAACTCAGTTATGAGATGAGTTGGAGGAGAATTACCTTGTTTAGAATGTTTGTGTATAGGAGACTGAGGTGTGTATATCTCCACATAGGACTATAAATGCACATCGGTTTAACTGTTATATGTAAGAATCTTTATGAGGGAATGAACAAGGATTCACTTCTACAGGAAGTGGCTGTGGGGAGGTCCACATTTGTGAGGGTCCCCTTGCTTCCTTTGGGCCTGGTGGAGCTTTTCTCCATCTTCAGACCCTCCTTTCCCCCACCCCTCACTTGTTGCTGGGACCAGCCTGGCCAACAAGGTGAAACCCCGTCTCTACTGCTGGGGAAACTCCTAAGGAAATCTTCAGGCCAAGGATACTCACTCCCATCTTTTCTCCTGACATGTCTTCATTTCTGCCACCCATCTGATCCCATCCCCATCCCTAGGCGGGCTCCCTGCCACCTGCGTTTATCTCCCTGTTTTATGATGTCATTTAATTAGCTCGCACTTGATGGTTTTATGGGACAAACATGGCCTTGTTTGCCTTATAGCTGGATTTCATGGCTCTGTGGGGACAGGTCAGGAAATATCAGCCTAGCAGTATTTGAAGTTTGGGAATGCTGGATCTTTAGGAACCTGGGCACTTTGGGGATGGCCTTAAAGCTCTATCTTCCACAAACTGGAAAAGAGTCACCTATCACTTCTCTAGCTCCCTGTCCCATAGCATGTGAATAACCCCTTTGGGAAAGTGGGAAGGCTTTGCTAAACATTAGGGGCCAGGGATACCTGTCTTGAATCTCTGTTGCTCGTGTGACTGTCATACGTACTACTTTTAGCCCCTAGATAGAGTGGCTGTTATTACAGGATGCTTATAAGCCTCCTAAACATCAACTTTAGGAGAATAAGATACTGATATTGTAGGGCATACATTAAAATAGGGCTTGTGAGAAAAATAGAGAGAATTTCATTCCTTTCACAGAGGGATTTGTGGATCAAGAGAGACAATTGGGGTGTTGAACTGAATAGGATTCATCTAGATGCTAACTAGGGAAATGGGGGTTACTACGTATTATTTAGGAATACTTAGTACTTAGTAGTACTTGGTTTATATTAAGAATACAATGTATTTTGGGGTTTTGTTTGGGTTCTTTTTTCGGTTTCGTTTGTTGTTGTTGTTTCATTAGTTGGTTAGGTCAGGAAATTCTGGGAAAATGTAAGAATGAATTATTGGGCCAGGCATTGTGGCTCATGCTCATAATCCCAGCACTTTGGGAGGCCAAGGCAGGAGAAGGGCTTGAGACTAGGAGTTTGAGACTAGCTGGGCAGCATAGCAAGACCTCATCTCTACCAAAAAAATAAAAAATTAGCCAGGCATGATGGTACATGCCTGTGGTCCCAGCTACGTGGGAGGCTGAGGCAGGAGGATTGCTTGCACTCAGGAGTTTGAGGTTACAGTGAACAATGATCACACCACTGTACTCCAGCCTGAGCAAAAGAGTGAGACCTTGTCTCAATAATTAATAATAATAATAATAATAATAAATTATCAAGAAGCATCCTAGACAGATGAGTTCCATCTGGTTTTCTAACATCTCTGGTGAATGAGACTCTGCCCCAGCTGCCGTGTGTGGCAACCTTTTGCCATGGCAGCGTTCCTTCTCCCCCTGCCCCTAAGGTAACTAGTATACCTACACAGGCACACATTAGAAATGTCTGCGAGCAATTCCTTGATAAATACATGTTTCTTTTCTCAGCTTTAGACAACACATTTCTTTGGCTTGGTGCTGCGAGTAACCAAGCCTGTGAAATCAGCACTGAGCCAAGGGACGGGCTAAAGGAGCCATGAGAAATCTCTGCTTCTTCTGCTCTCCCCGCACTCTCCTTCTGGGTTGAGATCCTAAACCTTAGGCCCTGGCTCCTGTCTTCTACCCGTTCTTCTCCCCCTCCTCACTCTTGCTCCCCATCTTTCACATCTCCCTCCTTGGGCTGTCCCTCTGTTCCACGTATTTTTGGGGTCCTGAAACTCATCATTCTGATTTCTCTAAAACCTTAGCAGAAAGATGTGGATGCAAAGTGGCCTGGAAAGGGGTAAGCAGTACTTCTAGGAAAAGGGACATTGTTGAGGCAAATGTAAGTCTGGGATTGGGAAAAATGTTAGAGAGAGAAGAAATCGGGGGAGGAGCACCCTAAATTATAACTAGAACTAATAAAAGCATAGTAACCCAAATCTCAGACACAGGGTCTTATTTCAATAAATTAATATATTAAAAATTTTAAATGGGACCTTTAGGCCAGGCACAGTGGCTCACAGCTGTAATCCCAGCACTTTGGGAGGCTGAGGCTGGCGGATCACCTGAGGTCAGGAGTTCGAGACCAACCTGGCTAACATGGTGAAACCCTGTCTCTACTAAAAATACAAAAAAACTAGCCAGGTGTGGTGGCACACACCTATAATTCCAGCTATTCAGGCAGCTGAGGCAGGAGAATCTTTTGAACCTGGGAGGCGGAGGTTGCAGTGAGCCAAGATCACGCCACTGTACTCCAGCCTGGGTGACAGAGCGAGACTCTGTCTCAAGAAAAAAAAAAAAAAGGATCTTTAAAACATCATTCTTCCCACCTTCTGGAATAGTCTAGATCTAGTTCTATCTGGGGACAGAAGGTGAGACTGAACCTCTCAAAGGAAAGGACTCAATCTCTCTGGAGCCCCTGTCTCCAGAACCTACCTGGTCAGGATGTCCTCAGAAAATTTAGCCTAAATCCCTCCTGCTGCTCTTTGCAACATCTTTCAAGACCGGTGATGCATACAATTCATCTTGAATGTCCCCTCCTCCCTGGGAGCTTGTGACAGCACATCTCACCTGAAAAACCATTAGACTCTGAAAGTGTTGGGACTGGCCCTGGCACGCCTTCGCCCTTCCGTGCTGTCCTCTCTCTGGATGACTTCAGAGGAGGTGAGGGTGGTGTTCGATGGATGCTGCAGCTTCCCCCTCCTCTTTCACTGAATTGCCAATATATTTTCTCTGACAGTTTGCACAGATAGTTAAGATACTGTGTAATTACTGTTGCGTTTGAAAGCCAAACATGATTTATTTCTGACAAGCTCAGTCATCTTTGGGATGACTTGGTGTGTGTCTGTGGGTGTGTGTGTGTCTGTGTGTCTGTGTATGTGTGTGTACATTGGTTATGTCTTTTTGTAGAAGGAAAGTAGGTATTAGCCCCTATGTCTCTCTCTCACTCAGTTACCTTCCTTTACTGAATCAAGAATCATTGAAGAATACAGAATACTGGAGGGAGAGGCAGAGTCCCTACCCTCAGGAGACTCCTGGTGTGATGGGGATGATGTGACACACAACAGACGCAGACATGAAGACAAGGGCAGAGATCCTGGCAGTGATGGAGGATGGAGAGGGACTACTGAATGGAATGCGGTGGCTTGTCCACAGAAGCCTTCCTTCAGAAGGCTTGTCAGGGAGTGTTTGGAAGAGAAGGTTTAGGGCCAAAGAGTAAAGGGAAGGAGGGTGTCTTTGATGAGAGAGAAGAGTGAGCTTTAAGGTAGAAAGAGGGAAATTTGCATGGATGGAAGACATTTTTCCTAGCTGAGGCAGAATGTCTGAAAGATGGAGTCACAGGAAAGTGGAAGCATGGGAAGAGGAGTGTCCCAGTGGGAAGAGGGGTCAAAGTGTTTGTTGGTGGTGTTTTGTCAAACAGCTGCTGTGAGGCATTTAGGTAGTGCCTTTGAAACACCAGGTCCACAGAGGGAAGGCTCCCACCTGTTGCAAGGGATGGGGCCTGACAAGGGCAAGGAAGAGATGAGGGCAGCTAGGAGGGAAGAGGATACAAAGACTGGAGAAGGCGCTGCAGGGCCTTTCTGACTCCTGCTTCTGAGCTTGTGAAGAGGAAAGAGCAGATGGTTCTTTTCCAGTTTCCTTCTAATTCCAATAGGAGAGTTTAGGGTTGGACAAAAGAAAGGATTATAGAATTGTCCAAAGCAAATGCACCATTTCATTGTCTTCTGTGCCCTAAAATATGTGTGGCCTGTGAGGAGGGCACCTGCTCTAAGGCAGAAAGGTGCACAGGGATGGAGCTGATCTTCAGCTCCTGCAGTGGATGGGGAGTGGGGGCAGTTGGTGCTCTTAAGTGTTGCTCTCGGCGTCTCTGGCTCAGGCTTCTGTAAGTACAGACCTGCATCTGAGCCCCGCCCCAAGTGTTGATTATACCCCTTGGGATGCATCATTGCTAAGAAAGCAGATGTGCCAGATGTGACATGTTTGAAAGAAAAAAAAATCCCTCGCCTCTGAGCCTTGAGGGGGGCAGCTCATCACCATCTTGCTGCTGCTTATGGGGAAGGCAGCTGAGGTTGGGCTTAGCCAGCTTCGTACCCTCCTAGTCCCTCCACAGAAGGGTCTCCAAGCACTAAAGGAGCCAGATGTGGGGAAGGAGAGTGAGGAAAGAAGGAAGAGACACTGAGGCCCCATTTCAAATGGAAGAGATTTTGGTTGCCCAGTAGTGGGTGGGCTGCCAGCTAGTTCACCTTACTGGGTTGGGCTCCTCATGTAAGGAGGTGTTGATATGTGTGCATGTGCGTGTGTGTGTGTGTGTGTGTGTGTGAACAGTCTCTAAGTATGAGTTTCTAGGAATTCAACCCCATAATACCACTCTGGTTTATCTTCCAACTTCTCCTGAATGCCTCCCATGACTTCCTGGGAAGCCTCCTGCTCCATACCTCCCTGCTGCCCTTGCAGTTTTCCTAGTTTTATTTTCTTCCTGCCCTCAGAAATTGAGCTCAGAACTTGCTGTATGTCTTGTCCTTTGCCTGAGGGAGAACCTCTTGAGCTGTGCTGACAGATGTCTCAGTCTGGGAAGACGCAGAATGCTTTGCTGGGTACCTCTCTGCCAAGGTGGCACCCAAGATACCCAAATATCAGGGTCTTGGTTCTTCAGTTACTCCCCCAGTCATTCTCAATGCTGATGGGATAAAGGAACAATTCATTCAATAAGACAAGGAAAGGACTCGGGAAAGAAATCCAAGAAAGACTCTTGAGTATACTAGAAAGTTCTAAGACTGAGGTCAAGGTAAAGTCACAAAATACTGCACAATGCCTGGGGAATGGATTTAATGGTTCTAAAGTATCAACAACCCTTAGAATGTTTCCAGACATTCCAGGCATTCCAGAAAGCCTCTGCTTAGATTCCTAGAGGTGATTCTTGATTACATCTTTAAGTGTTGACATTTCCTATTTTCTAAATTAGATTCTAACCCTTCTAATCTGAGCCCAAGAAAAGTGGACCTGTCACCAAGACATCTTGGCGGCTAACCCAAGACTTGAATACTTGTAAGTTAGCAGAGTTCTGTTTCTACCAGCTAAAAGTCCACTGACTAAACCAAATCCTACAAAGTAGCTCTGGCTCTATCCCTAACCTTATCTTTAATCCTGATCCTGAAATTAACCCTAACCCAAATCCCAATTCTAACCCTGCTTACCTCTCCCGTCCCCCACACCCACTACCTGGAATGATTTGAGAGTGGGAGGGGTTGGGGAGGAGAGGGCAAGATGAGGAATGCCTCTGGGGCAACGGAGGAGGAGATCCAGCCAGAGCGACCTGGAGGAGCCAGTGTGGTATCTGGGAGCCTGGGGCATAATCCTGGTACTTGCCAAGCCATGAGTCACAACATCATTCTCCATGGCATTTTGTTGGAGGGTGTCTGGGCTGGCAGCTGGTAAACAGGCTTGCTTAGAATAAGGTGTGCCCCACTGCCCCTCTCCATAATTTGGGGGAGAAGGGAGAAAGTCTTCTGTCCTGAGGGTCCTTCTTTCCTCTGTCCTTTTAGATTTCACAAGACTCAGTCAAAGCAAGAGGAAATACTTGGAACTTAGAAATTCTTTGTTGCTAGTTGCAAGGAAATTATGGAGAGATGAAATCATTGAGAATGCAGAGTCTTGAAGCTTCCAAACGTGAGAGGTGCCCTAGTCCAGCCCCCTAAGCGTTATCCCCCCAAGCGTCATCCCCCTGAGGGATGCCAGGTTGCCCCATTCTGCCCTGTGCCCTCTCATGGCAATGCCCATGCTACTCCACCACCCTCCCACTGCAGTCACTGCCAAAATTCAGATAGGCATCCACTGCGGCTGGATAGAGATCTTTATGGGGGTAAACATGTGCTTGTGGATAAAATAGCAACTGGAAACACCTGGACTTTTTTCCTGAACTTGGTACCTATCCCAGCTAGCATCAGTCATGATGCGTCAGTTTTCTATCTACAAAATGGGACCAACTCTGAGCCTTACTCTTGGGGAAGGTTTAGAAGGAGCAGTACACTAATGACTATTTTCTGACATCGAGAGATGATGATTGGGGTTATTATTGTTTATTCCTTGAGGATGCAAGACAGCCATCAGCCTGACTCTAAACACATGTAGTTCATTGCAATTGCTGTCTTTGGGGCTCAGAGAAGCTCTGCTCCTTGTTTCCCTATCCTTAGCCCGTATCTGCCAATCCTACTATTACTATTTATACTATAAATAGGACTTCAGGGAAGGAGGGTGCCTGGTTGCTTGATGTCTTCCCTCTAGGCCTTATTTTCACACCTTGGAGCAGAATTTACACACCCCTCCCATTACAGATTTAGCTCCTGTCCCAGCATCCTTTGCCGGGTTTGGAGGTTAAAAGTTCTTTAAATCCAGCTAGGAACTGACAGTTGCAGGACCTAACCTGCAGTATGTTATGAGAGACCCCCAATGCTTCATCCTTTGAACGCCACACAACAGTCACTTCAACGAAGTCTTCTAAACTCCCAGGTGCTACCCACTTGGCAGACACCAGTGTTTCAGTTTGTTGAGGATTTCAAAAATACTGTTTGATTTAGAAAAAAGTCAAATGTATAAATCAAACTATGTAAATCAAAAGAGGTTTGGTGTCACAATTCCTGCCAACTGCCTCCTTTTCTCTCTCTCTCTCCATAATACTGAAACATTGTAGTAATAATAATAACTAACATTTAAAGAGCATTTTACAGTTCCAAAGTGTTGTCATTTATCATCATTCGATGATAAACCTGTGTGCTTGGAATTCTTACCCACATTTTACAGATGAGAAAACTGAGGAACAGAGTGTTTAGTGAGTTCCTCAAGGTTACAAAACTAGTAAGTGACCCAGTTGGCATTTGATCAAAATGTAGTGACTGTTACAAGGAGGCTGAAAGTCTTTTTATTGTCCAACTATGGAAAAAGGAGTTAGGGAGCCCTTTCTGAAGAACTTTTCAGGATGGGGAATACAGAATTTCTAATTCACAGAAGTGTTCCTAACTCACAGAATCAGGATAAGATGACCTTGGCCTGGGGCCCAAAAGATATCAGGTGTAAAATACACAGTAAATCTAACTGTAAGGTCAGATAAATATTAAGAAAAATGAGAAAAAAATGCCATCATTTACATGCAGATAGTATTTAATTGCTGAAGTTTTGAACATTCTAAGCAGTCTTATTTAGAAGTAATCCCCAGAGGCTAATCTGTCCAGGGTCCCATCTCTAGGCCATACTGTTAACACGTGGTTGGATGCCCTGTTCTTTTATTTATTTATTTATTTAATTTTTAAAATTTCCGCTTTTATTTTAGGTTCAGGAGGTGCACGTGAAAGTTTGTTGCATGGGGGAATTGTGTGATGCTGAGGTTTGGGGTAGGAATGATCCCATCACCCAGGTAGTGAGCATAGTACCCAACAGGTAGTTTTTCAACCCTCATCCCCGCCTTCCTTCCTCGTTTAGTATTCCTCAGTGTCTATTGTTTCCATCTTTATGTCCATATGTACTCAGTGTTTAGCTCCCACTTATACGTGAGAACATGTGGTATTTGGTTTTCTTCTGTGTTAATTTGGTTAGGATAATGGCCTCCAGCTGCATCCATGTTGCTGCAAAGGACATAATTTCATTCTTCTTTTTTTTTTTTAAATGGGATGCCCAGTTCTTAAAGATGTCAGGGGAACAAGAGCTCATGTAGTATTTGATTCACCTATTATTAACTTTATCTTAGACCCAATCTAAATATCTTTTGCTGTTATCCCACTAGTTCTGTGTTAGTGGGAGTAGAGTAAAGCTTTCCAATCTCCACCTCTCTCTCTCTCTCTCTCTGCCACTTTTCTGCTTAGAAACTTTTGCTGGTTTCCCACAGCCACCTTATTGGGTGCTTACTATGTGTCAGGCACTGGTGCTTTATATGCACGATCTAATTAGATTGCTACATCAACCCTGTGAGGTAGGGGCTTTTGCTTTCTTCATTTTAACATAAGAAACAAAGAATAGTTAAAAAATTTGTCTGGCATCCCATGACCGGAAAGTGGCAGAGCTGAGAAACTCTGTGTATATTAAAATGTATATTTTATGTCTCTTGATGGCAGGACCTGACATCTCTTGTACCAAACACCAAGCATAGCCCTCCAGTAATGCTCAATAAATGCTTGCTGATGACTATGTTGATGAAGAAAAAAACAGTTCTATGATCAAAATAATCAGGAGGAAGGGGAATTTTAATTTGGACTATCCAATTTGCATAGGAGAACAAACCTCTTGATTCTTACCGACTTTGGTGATGCCATTTCAAGAGCCCCTGCTATGTGCAGAGCTCTCCATTCAGTGGAGGAACCCTCTAGGGCTAAGACCTGATTTCTGTCCTTAGGGAGCTCAAAGGTCAACGGAGGCGACTGCACTCAGATCTAAGACACAGACATTTTTACTGAATTAACATGACCGTTGCAGGTTCTGACACTACCCAAGAAGAGTTTGGAGGCTCTGGTATGCTCTGATGGTAGGAGGAGATGGTACAGGGAGGCCACAAAGACTGATGCTCTTTGGTTCTCCAGTTGTCTTTCAGGAGGTGTAGCCTGGTTGTGGCCTGGGGAGTTTGGCTGTTCTGTGTGGTGTGCCTCCACGGTGTGGTCTCCAGTGAGCTGCTCAGCAGGTAAGGCGGTCCAGAGATGATTTACCCCAGAACAAGGTGAAGAGATGAGAGGACAGGAAGAAGCTCCTCAAGGCCACAGAGCAGCAGAACTGAAACAAGAACCAAACGAATCCACGTAAATGTCTCAGCCTCACAGGGTGCGGGTGGAGAGGAGGTGCCATTTCTGTCAGAATGACCCGGTGCTCCAATCGCTCCCATGTGCCTCCTTTCACTCCCACCACCCGCACTTTGCTTAAGCACCCTGCCCTGAAGCAAGAGCTGAGATGTCAGTTTTTGGGGAAAGTGAGATGCAGAGTTGCCTGACAAATGGGTGGGTCCCCCCAACCCCGCCTAGTTTATGAGCCCAGGGTGGCTCCTCCCTTCTAACACCCTCCCTCTCTTTATGACCCTGCGCAATCTTTGATGTCTTCTTCTTGTGAAGGGTGGTGAGGGAGAAAGAAGACAACCTCAGCCAAAGAGGCCCTGCCCACGATAGTTCTCGGGTGAGGGAAGGGGCTCCAGGGAGTAGGGCAGGGATTTTGCACAAAGAGCGGTAAGTTGGACAAGCTGACACACTGACCATCCCTCCAGATCTGTATCTACTTGGGAAACATCGGCACTACATTTGGTCTCTTTCATGGCAATAGAAAGAACATGCTTAGGCTTTGAGCAAGCCAGGCCTGGGTTCAAATCCTAGAACTTCAACATTCTAGCTTTTTGACCTTGGGCAAATTGCTTAACCCCTTGAGCTTCAGTTTCCTCAACTAAATTAAGTAATACACTATACATTTCATAAGATGTCATGAAAAACTAAGTAAAACATGCTTACATAAAGTGCCAACATCCATCAAGTGTCTTGCATACAAACTTGTCCCTCTAATTAAAAGATACATTTCTTGACAGCAGGGATGTCAATGGCTTGCTGCCCTCCACACCCCTCCACTATTTCCAACACCACAGACCTCTTTGCCTCTCTGTTTTATGTAGAGAGGCATTTTTTACTGAAGCATGTTCTGCTTTCCTTACAAATGCACAAATCCCAGGATTTGTGCCAATCTTTTCTGTCTTCTGCAGGCCCCCATCTCAAAAGCCACAAAAAGAAAAGGTGGCCAGAGAGCTTCTCCTACCCTGGAGAATCCTGTAAGCAACTTTTTCTTCACACTTGGCAGTTTTCCCTCTTCTCTGCCATGCTCCCTTTCTCCTCCATTAAAATGATTTTATTTGCTTTGCTCCTATTCTTATCCATCTATATATTATTTTTTATTTTATAGCTATCCTATAATGGTCTGGGGCTATCCCTCCTGAATCACCAACTAGGCTTACTTTAGGATTTAATTTGGTTTTATTAAAATTACCAAAATTCTCTCTGGGCAGGTGTAGACCCGGGCAGGGCGAAGCTCTCTGGGCTGTTGACTGTGAGGCCCCTCCCCACCGGTAGATTTCCAAGCCTCTTCAGTTTTGCATTCAGCCACAGCAGGTGAGTGTTTCTGGTGCATGTGGACTGTGTGTGCGTGTATGTGTGTGTCCTTACCCTATTTTGTCTTATAAAATCTCATAAAATGGGTTTCCCACTCTCACTACCTTTACTTATCCATGTCTACACTCTTGTTGGGAGCTAATGCTTGCCTACATGATTTTTGCCTTTTCTAAATTCATAAGTAGGAATTTAGAGGAATCCCAGGTAGCCGGTGTAAGTGCATCTGAAACCAGTGAATGCACCACAGGTGTCTGATATGGATATAGGGAGGGGATGTGTGTGGGTGTGTGCATGTGTGTTTGTCTAAATGTAGCTTGAAGTGTAGATGTTTCCCCAAGTGGCTAGACACTACAATCTCAGAACTATAAGAACACAGATTTATACTGCCTAAGGAAAGGCTGTAATGTATCTTAAGAGGTGAAAGAAGCTGCCTACAAGAGGACACAATACCTGCTCTGGGGGGGGGTATAGACACATCCTAATATGTAGATTCTATCAGAGATCATTTTTGGTGTAAACTATAGTAATAGGTTTTAGGCTGCTTTACTCTTTCTTTTCAGAAAAGTAGTGTAGGAAAAGCTTGGCGGGGGAAACAGATTTCCATTTAAATTTTCCAATATATTACTTTTTCCCTTGAATAAAGATATCTTCATTAGGATTCAGAAATTTTTGCTTTAGGGGGGCTGCACCCAGAAGTAGTAGAATAGGAAATAGGAATCAAAGAAAATGAGAATGGTGAAACTGAAAAGAAACCTCCTGAATTGGATTTCTCATATTTATCTTGGTGGTCGATCATTGTCCCCCAAGGCCACCAACCCACACATTGAGAGGTAGAACTCAGGCAAAACTTCTCCCCCAGTTCTGTCTTAGTCTAGTTTTCCTGCCTGAAGAGAGACATTTTCAATTCATCAGAGCTTGTGCCTCCCTCCAACTTAAGATCTAAATGAGTGTTTTCCCACCTCTGTCTATCTACTCACATCCCAAATATCTCCAAAGAAACTGGGGAAGAGCTCTCTAATGGGGAACGTGAACATTCCACTTCTCTATTAGAGAATCCCACAAAATTATGTCAGAGAGCTGCTGGACCAGGAGTCTCTGTTTCTCAGTACCCTGACTTTTGCTCCCTCCCCACTGCTTTGCTTGGCTGGAATCAATTGACATTGAACCTGCCTATTGCATTTAAGAGAAGTGGGAGTACAGAAAGGGTTTTTAAAAAGTTAGCTTCAATCCCAGCACTTTGGGAGGCCGAGGCGGGTGGATCATGAGGTCAGGAGATCGAGACCATCCTGGCTAACAAGGTGAAACCCCGTCTCTACTAAAAATACAAAAAATTAGCCGGGCGCGGTGGCGGGCGCCTGTAGTCCCAGCTACTCGGGAGGCTGAGGCAGGAGAATGGCGTGAACCCGGGAAGCGGAGCTTGCAGTGAGCCGAGACTGCGCCACTGCAGTCCGCAGTCCGGCCTGGGCGACAGAGCGAGACTCCGTCTCAAAAAAAAAAAAAAAAAAGTTAGCTTCATGTTAGGAATAATGCAAGGACTCAAGTGCCTCCCTAAGGATCTAATTTTGAATCTACAGGGTTGAATGAGAAACTAGTCCATTTGAGGCAGCCTAACATGGGGCACTTGAAAATGGACATTTTCTCACGATCTGTCCTTTCCTTTAAAAAAATAATGTAACTTAGAAGAATATGATTATCCTAAAACATTTTATTTTTTAATTAAAGAGGGTTCATTATGCTACCCGTCTCATCTCGTCTCAGAGGAGGAAAACCCTGTGTTCAGCAAGTTTGCTAAGAAATAATTATAGGTTCAGATCTTCCCCAGGCCCCGAAATTCAATTAAAATTTTTTTGTTTTAAGTTGCTAGCAGTCACATGGTATGTATGTGTGTGTGCGTGCGTGCGTGTGTGTGTGTGTGTGCATGTGTATGCCCCAGTTTTCCTTGTAAGTATTCTGGGAATAGGTTCTCAAATGTGACAGTCATCTTCACATTCTCAGCCCAATTTCTTTGGCTGTATCTAGGTGAGCAGATATTAACATGGTGAAAAATCTTCTGCAAAAGGAAGCTCACTTTGATTTTTGTTTGTTGGCTTAATTTTTGGCTAGAATCACCCCAATTGTCTACCAGTCCCCAGTTCCTGGGATACTTCTCTGCCTTATACTGAATTAGGTCAGTATAAAGGTACAGTGGCTCTCAATCTTCACTGTGGATCTGAATCATCTGGGGAACTTTTAAACCATAGAGGTTCCTGGGTCCCACTCCTAGATGTATAGAGTCAACTGGTGCACCATGAGACCCAGACATCCATATTTTTAAAAAGCTCCTTGGGTGATTCTAATATGCAGCCAGGGATGAGAACTACTGAAGAGATGGCAGCTGTGTTTGGATCTCACAAATGATGTGAGATTTGGGTGATTAGTAAAGACACCCAAACAGGATCATGAGGCTCAATTTGACTCTCTGCATTGCTCGGCTCATTGTATAGTTATTTTACGTCATGTAAGCATAGGGGCAGAGCGTTACCTGTTTATCCTGACTGAGTTATATTTAAACCTAGGTGGGAACAGGATTCCATAATTTTCCCCCTACCACCTCTTTCCCCTTTCCAGGAGAGGTGACAGTTCTATTGAAGCTCTATCCCTGTTTACATATAGAAGGACATAAAGATTATTTAGGGAGGACAGTGGACCTTCCATAGGTGACAGGTGCTGTATGGGCAGGCTGGCACACCTAGGACATTCCAGGGCATGGGGATGTATTTATGAGTTCACTTAAGCCATGGCTGACCTCTCCCACAGTTTAAAGAAAATAAATAAAACCACTCCCCAGGCTTCAGGACACAAGCCCTCCTGGCAGCCAGAACTATGGAAAGAGGGTGGATAGGGATGTGTGAGGCCAGATTCTTACCATATAATAAACCAAAATAGACATGTTTAATAGAAATCTAATAAATGAATTAATAAAATAAATAACAAATGTGCCTATGAATCCCCATATATCTCAGCCTATAAACATATAGGTTTATATATATTAGTAGCTTACATATTGTGTATGCAAGTGTGTAGATTTAAATAGATTGCTATATAAATTTATTTATATAATGACAATAGCCTTATGGGGCATGGAAATAATTATGAAGCTATTTCAGGCATATTTTTTGAGAATTGTAGCCATTTTAATATTTTGACTGAAAATTTCATCAATATTCTGATCCTTCCAAGTTATTTAGATTTATTTATTTGTTTATTTATTTATTTATTTGAGACGGAGTCTCGCTCTGTCTCCCAGGCTGGAGTTCAGTGGCGCGATCTTGGCTCACTGCAAGCTCAGCCTCCCGGGTTCACGCCATTCTCCTGCCTCAGCCTCCCAAGTAGCTGGGACTACAGGTGCCCGCCACCACGCCCAGCTAATTTTTTGTGTTTTTAGTAGAGACGGGGTTTCTCTGTGTTAGCCAGGATGGCCTCTATCTCCTGACCTTGTGATCCGCCTGCCTCGGCCTCCCAAAGTGCTGGGATTACAGGCGTGAGCCACCGCACCTGGCGTTATTTAGATTTATAAAGTATGTATACATTTTCTATTTTGTATACAGATGTTCATTGTTATCTATCTTAGCTTTTTCAAAGAGACGGTACCGAATCTGTGTGTAGATAGCCAAAGTGGGCAATTCAGACACAAATAATCTACTCTGGGGCTTAGATAATCTGAGTTTACTAATTATATGAATCTGATTCTAAACTCTTCACTTATTTGGTGCTATATAGACATAGCTTCTGTAATTTGAACCAGATGAATGCACTTCATTTTACTTTGAGGATGCATGTGTGTGAATAGCTAGTAGGACCTTTGGGTCAACTTTTACTTATCTGCACTCTTGGAGGGAGGGAGTAGAAAATTATCCAAGAAATAGCTAAGAAAAATAATTTTAATTTGGCTTTGTAATGAAGTCAGAATCTCAATCTCTCTCTCTCTTTAGCCTCCTCTCACATACAGGTGCCAAATAAGTGAATACACACACACACATGCACACGCGCGCACACACACACACACACTCGGTCTTTTGTCAAACAGACCCTAATATCTTTCTGGGCTTGAATGACTGCATCTTGATGGCCCATGAAGGGGAGGAAGTGAACCTAAGTGATCTCCAGAGACAACGATAGACTAGCACACAGTATCCATATATGTCGATATGTGCTAACATATGTAGAGATATGCTTTTGTCCCCAAAGGCCTTAAGAAATTGTCTACAAACCACTATAAAATCCTTATCTGATTTCTATGCCATTTCTGCTTATCTGGTAACATAGTTTGATTTTGCATTCAAAACGGAACAGATATTGGAATTGTGTCTCCCCAGACCACCTCCCAGAGCTGGGGCTCAGGGTCACACAGTGAACAGTGGAGGGTGGGAAGGAAGCCATCCACTACCATCTTCCTGTCCCCTGTGGGTAGTTGGAGCTCAGCCAATTACAGAGGCTCCCGAGACACTGTTTAACAGGTCCATTTATGGTGATATTTTATGAAAAAGAATATAGATGAGTTTTAATAAGACTTCTCTCTCTGAGCTGGCTCTGCAACAACTTAGCTTTAAATATGCATCTCATTCTCCTAACTGCTTCTCTTCACTTGTCGGCAAGACCAAAATGAGGCATATGGGGAGACAAAAACAAACCTGGTCTTGGAAAAAGACAACTCTGTCCAAAGCCAAGACTGGCTACCCATGCATGAACTAAAAAGGGAATTTTCTGGATTACTCAGTCTTAGATATCCCATTTCATTAAATATGTACAACATGAAATCAACTTTGTTGTTTTCTTGAATCCAAATCTCCCCTTTGGCAGGGCTGTGTAGGAAAAGGGAGTAGAACTGCTCTGTGAATTTCATAGAATTGCTGTTTCACCCACACTACTGGTGATCCACTAGTTACAGTGTGGACATATCAGCTTTCCAGTTTTCACCTGGGAGATATACGGTCACATATTATGTGGGTTTGTGCCAGCAGAATGAAGTGGGATGAGGAGGATTGGACCGGCTCCTCATTTATTCATTCAATGAAGGTTTATTGAACCATCTACGATGTACCAGGTGCTGTGCTAGGTTCTGGGATGGCAAAGAACAAGATCTTTGCCTACAATGTACTCACTGAATTAGCAGAAGAAATCAACATATCAACAGATAATTATAATATAGTGTTTTAAGTGTACTGATAGAAATAACGCACAAGGTATTATGAATGCACAAGCTATTATGAACACACAAAGGAGCAGAATCTAATCCACTCTTTGGGGTGGGGGCTGCACAGAGAGTGTCCTCTCCAGAAGCAGATGGCAAGCACTGGAACTTTATTTTATTCACCTTTGTATCTCCTAGTCCTAACGATCATGCCATGTTTGTTCCATGAATTGACCAAGGATTTAAGTCTCTTTAAATGCAGTGGCAAAAGCACTGTAATAGGAGTCAGGAGGTCTGGATTCTGGTCTAGGCTCTGCTATTGCAGTTTGTGGCTGGGCCATGTCACTGCTTGTCAAGATGAAATTAGAGGAAGATCCTGGACCAATACTAGGCCACCACTTCCCTATTTAAATAAAATATACTGCCCCTCCTTCCAGTATGTCTATAATGTATAAGAAATAAAATCAAAGTTTTCTTTCTATAATCCATTCATAAAGTAGTTGTCAGCTCTCCATAACCTTGCCCTTTTCTAGTTTTCTGTGACACTTTTAAAAGTTAGGGCAGGTTGACTAGTACTAAGGAAGCTGGAACCTGGGAGAAAGTGAGATCATATTAAAAAGCCTGTTTGGCTTATTTCTGCCAGTGCTGAAAAACAGTTTAAACCCAGCCCGCACTTAGGGCAGTGGGGCAGCAGAGCATGGGGACCGCATTGTGTCCTCCATAGAACTACTGTTTGCTTCTCTGCTTGAGCCCAGCAGAGAGCGAGGCGGGTAGCCAAAGCGTGCTGACCTGGTTGCAACAGGAGGGCTTGCATCCCTTGTAATCATGCTTCCTCTTCCTTTTTCTTGAAGGAAGGGAAATAAAACCCAAATGTTGTACATCTAATCAAACAACTCAGTGTTAAAGCTGGAGGGCCTGATCCTTCTCATAGTATCCTTTGCTTTTTGCCTCCAGAACACTAAAACTCTTGTTTACCTCCATCTTCTTTTCTGTAATATGGGGGCTGCGCAGAGGGTGGCCTCTCGAGAAGCAGATGGCAAGCAATAGAACTTTATTTTATTCACAATTCCTGCCCTACTATTTAATGTGTGTTTCTTTTATAGTACTTACCAAAATTTATAATTTATGTTTGATTAATATGTCTTTCTAACTAGATGGTAAGATTCATGAATGCAGGGATTGTATTTGTTTTCTTCTCCATTTAATTCCCAGCATCTAGTATGGTGTTTCCAGATAGTAGTCACTCAATAAATACTTTATTTTTTATATTTTTAGACATAGGATCATGCTCTGTCACCCAGGCTAGAGTGCAGTTGCATGATCATAGCTCACCATAACCTCAAACTCCTGGGCATAAGTGATGCTCTCGCCTCAGCCTCCAATGTAGCTGGGACTACAGGGGTACACCACCATGCTGGGCTAATTTTTTATTTTTTATAGAGATGGGAGGTGTCTCACCATGTTTCCCAGGCTGGTCTTAAACTCCTGGCCTCAAGCGATTCTCCTGCCTCGGCCTCCAAAAGTGCTGGGATTAGAGCTCCAGCCTGTGCTCACAGCCCCAGCCTGTGCTCAGCCTCATAAATACTTTTGAGTCACTGTGCCCAGCCTCATACATACTTTTGAGTAAATGGATGAATGGTGTTGTCAAAGTCAAATATTATGAAGTATTTGAAATCACTTCAAAAAATTATAAAGGAGAAACATGTAAAGCATTGTTTCTTCTCAACTAGATTGTAAGTTTCTTCATTTTAGGAACTGAGTCTTATACTCTTTATTTCCCATCAATCTAGCATTTCCACCTAGTAGGTACTCTGTAAATAATTATGCGTATCACTACAGTGTTTAAAAGAACATGATAATACTTGCAACAAACAACCTGAAAATGAATTTAAGAAAAAAAATCCCATTTATAATACCATCAAAAATAATAAAATCCTTAGAGATGAATTTAACAAAGAAGCACAAAACTTATACTCTGAAAAGTACAAAACACTGTTGAAAGAAGTTAGAGAAGACCTAAATAAATGTAAAAACATCCCATGTTCTTGGCAATATTTTCCAAGTTGATCAAAAGATTAAACACAATCACTGTCAAATCCCAACTGGCTTCTTTGCAGAAATTGACAAACAGATCCCAGGATTTATATAGAAATCCAAGGGACCCAAAATACCCAAAACAATCTTGAAAAAGAGGAGCAAGATTGAAGAACTCACATTCCTTATTTTAAAACTTACTACAAAGCTACTGTAATCAAGACAGCATGGTAGTGGCATAAGGATAGACATATGGCTATCCAGTGGAATAGAGTTAAAAGTCCAAGAATAAACTCTCACATTTTCAGTCGGTTGCTTTTTGACATAAGTGCCAAGACAATTCAGTGGGGAAAAATAGTCTTTTCAAGTAGTGCTAGGACAACCGCATAGCCACATGCAAAAGAATTAAATTGGATTTCTATTTCACACTACATACAAAAATTAACTCAAAATGAGTCAAAGACCTAAATCCAAGAGTTAATTAAAACTATAAAACTCTTAGAAGGAAACATAGGTGTAAGTCTTTGTGACCTTGGATAATGCAATGATTCCTTAGATAAAGGCACAATTTAAAAAATAGATCGAGTGGACCTCATCAAAATTAAAAACTTTTGCTTCAAATCACACCATTGAGGAAGTGAGAAGACAACTCACAGAGTGGAAGAAAATGTTTGCAATTCATATATCTGATAAGAGACTTGTATCTAGAATATATAAAAAACTCTAACTCAAAAGGATAAAGACAAGTAGCCCAATTTAAAAATGGACTAAGGGGCCGGGCGCGGTGGCTCACGTCTGTAATCCCAGCACTTCGGGGTCCAAGGAGGGCAGATCACGAGGTCAGGAGATCGAGATCATCCTGGCTAACACGGTGAAACTCCGTCTCTACTAAAAATTAGCTGGGCGCGGTGGCGGGCGCCTGTAGTCCCAGCTACTTGGGAGGCTGAGGCAAGAGAATGGCATAAACCCAGGCGGCGGAGCTTGCAGTGAGCCGATATCTCGCCACTGCACTCCAGCCTGGGTGACAGAGCGAGACTCCATCTTAGAAAAAAAAAAAAAAAGATCTGAATAGAAATTTCTTCAAAGAAGATATACAAATGGCCAGTAAGCACATTAAAATGTTTCCTACATATTCCTAACATTATTAGCTATCAAGAAAATACAAATCAAAACGACTATGTGATACCACTAGGATGGTTACAACAATAATAAATACAAGGTAATAATAAGTGTTGGTGAGGATGTGGAAAAATTGGAATCCTCATACATTGCTGGTGGGAATATAAAATGATGCGGCCACCTTGGAAAACAGCATTTCCTCAAAATGTTAAACCTAGAGTTACCACATGACCCAGTAGTTCCACTTCTAGGTATATACCTAAGAGAAATGAAAACATGTATCTACATAAAAACTTGTATATGAATGTTCATGGCAGCATTGTTCATAGTAGCAGAAAACCCAAATGTCCATCAATTGATAATGGATAAATAAAATGTGGGACATCCATATAATGGAATATTATTTGGCAATAAAAAAGTAATGAAATATTGATATATGCTATGACATGGAAGAACCTTGAAAACATTATGCCAACTGAAAGTAGCTGGTCATAAAAGAATACATATTGTATAATTTCATTTATATGAATTATTCAGTGTATAGGTATACTCTATATTTGGAGTAGAGGTATTCAGGGTACAGGTAAAGGTATAGGTACATGCTATAGTCAGGGTATAAGTTCAGGGTATAGGTAAAGCTATAGAGACAGTAGATTAGTGGTTGCCTAAAGCTAGGGATATTGTGGGGAATAGGGAGTGACTGCTAATAGATACAGGTTTTCTCTTTGGGGTGTGGAAATATATATACATATACATATATATGTACACATATACATATATATACACACATATACATATATACACACATATACATATATATATACATATACATATATATATATATATATACACACATATACATAATATATATATTTTTGAGATGGAGTCTAGTTCTGTTGCCCAGGCTGGAGTGTAGTGGCATGATCTCAGCTCACTGCAACTTCCGCCTCCCGGGTTCAAGTGATTCTCCTGACTCAGCCTTCCAAGTAGCTGGGATTACAGGAGCCTGCTACCACGCCCAGCTAATTTTTGTATTTTTAGTAGAGATGGGGTTTCACCATGTTGGTCAGGCTGGTCGGTCTCGAACTCCTGACCTCATAATCTGCCTGCCTTGGCCTCCCAAAGCGCTGGGATTACAGGTGTGAGCCACTGCAACCAGCCTATTTCTTCATTTTTCTATCAGCTCAGTGCTTTGGAGCATAGAATGAAAGTTGTAGGCAGATTATTCTTTTCTTTTCTTTTTTTGAGATGGGGTCTCACTCTGTGGCCCAGGTTGGAGTGCAGTGGCACGATCTCAGCTCACTGCAACCTCTGCCTTCTGGGTTCAAGCGATTCTCCTGCTTCAGCCTCCCTGAGTACCTGGGATTACAGGCGTGTGCCATCATGCCCAGCTAATTTTTGTATTTTTAGTAGAGACTGGGTTTTGCCATGTTGCCCAGGCTGGTCTCAAACTTCTGAGCTCAAGTGATCTGCCCGCTTCAGCTTCCCAAAGTGCTGGGATTTCAGGTGTGAGCCCGTGTGCCCGGCCAGTAGGGTGGATCTTAAAGGAGAAACAAGAGGTGGAACAAGGACGAAAGGGAATTCAATTTGCTGAGTTTTTTGGGGAAAGCTGAGAAGCGTGTTCACTTTCCTAGCCAATGTAATTAGGTAAGTTTAATGTCAAGACTCCAAATGTGACTGTTTTTTATTGAGATTTCTAGTTTTGGTTGTGGTGTTTGAAACTTAATTGACCCAGCCACCTTCTTTGGGTCCAGAGACACTTAAAATGTGAAACATTGACCTTTTGTCCTTAGTGTCCTTCATCTTTCTGAAGATCTGGATAATTGGTGGGTGTGGAAGAAAGCCAGGGAGAACCTTGTGTCTGTCTTGAGAATGAAAGGGTGACAGGAAACCAGGGAGTGACTCAGGGAGACTGGAGTCTAGAAACACAATGCTCTGAAGACTTCCCTGGGTATATAATGGGAAGGAACTTGGAGGTCTTGATGACTGCTTGGACTCCTACTTTGCTGCAGTTTCTATTCTAATCTCTATTTTTGTCCTTTCTCCAGGATCCAAACTTCAGTGACCTGAGTACCTGTCACACCTATTTGTTCTGAATAGCCCCTTTGAACAGAGCCTTTCTTGACAGAGAAAAGGAGTATTGGTAGGTGTGGGAGGCAGGGAGATCTAGCAAAAAAGAAAAAAAAAGAATTATTAATAGCTGTAGTCATTGGGAAACTCAGCCTGATGGGGAAAACAATAATCAGATTTAAGAACTAAGAATCAACAAATATAAAGACTTTCTTCATTAGAACAAAAGCTTCCTTGATAAAAAAAAAAAACGTTGAGCTAGATTTTAAAGGACCTTTAGAATGCATATTGTGGCAAAGGAGAAGAAACTCCACCCAAGGCAGCCAGCATAAGCATGGTGGAGGAAGCATTTTCTCCCATAATGTTGGGCCTCAGCCACAGGAATAAGCGCTGCCCAGAGCTAGTTAGCTGTGACCCTGTTCCTGCATATCCTGAGTGATTTGATGTGACTAGCTGAAGTCCAGTTAAGGGTCAATTGAGGGAGCAAGTGAGGGGATACTATGAAGTAACAGTTTGGCTTGGGTCTTGACTGGAGAATTCAGTGCGTTTGAGGTTGCCTCTAAGAGGAGTAGAAATAAGAGCATTAGGAGCCCTTGCTGCCGTTTGGGTTACCTACACCAAAACAGATTTGTGTTCTGCTCTCTGGCCAGCCCTATTCTCTGCTCTTCTTATCCCAACTTGCCTAATTGATACCTTGGCCGATGGTGTCATTAACAATGCTTGAATAATAGCCTGACTGGCTGATTTCAAAATGAGAGACATGATTAATATGTCGGAAATCCAGCTGGGGGGAGCAGGAAAGGGGATGTCCCAAGAAAAAGAAAATGGGGGAGGGGTCCTTCACTCCCTTACTGCCAGTCCACTGTCTTCAGCAGAAGGGAAGAACTTGGGGATAGGAGTCTGACTTCAGCTCCTTCTTGGTTTGCTGATCCCTCTCCATTTCTCTCCCCTACCTCCCCCAACAGCACACGTTCTGACACCTACAAGCTCGTTACATGATGATGACCTATATTTTTATCTTTTTTATGAGCATCAAACACACATTGTCTTGCAAGCACATGTGTTTTTTTCCCCTGTTGACGTGTGAGTGCCTTTGATGGTAATTTATTGTAGGGTTGAACAGCCAGGTCTTAATTGTACCCTGAAATTGCTTACCATTTTGATGCCTCCAAACCATCCCAAAATGTACCTTTTTCCTACAGAAGGGTATGGGGCAATCTCTTTTTTACTGTGTTATATGGTGGAATGTGAAGCTTAGAGAGAACATGAGGGAAAGATTCCCTAGCTGGGTTTCAGGGACGCCTTGGTCCCCAGCTTCTAATTGCAGTTGGGCTGTCTGAAAGTTCTGCTCTACTCAACAAAATTTAGACTCAGTTTTTCCCTCATGGTATAGGGTCAACATGACTTCACTGGTTGCTTAGAATGGTCAACGGGCAGTTTCTACTCCAGCATTCAGACTTTTGGGGAAATTTCCATTGTGGCCACTTGTATCTGTGACTGTAGACGGGATTAGAAATGAGAATGTGGGCATTAACCTAGGGAGCCTGGGCTATGAGAGGCAGCATATCAGGCCTTCTGCAGTATCCTGTAATAACCTCTACCTCCACATCTGACCACTTCCTCCCTTGGCTTAGGTAGAATTCAACATTCCTGTGTGCAGGGGAATATAGGAATACCAGAGAACACAAAAGCCCAACAGAACTTAGTGGTTTGGTTTTGTTTGGTTTTTGAGACAGGGTCTCACTCTGTCACCCAGGGCAGAGTGCAGTGGTGCAGTCTCAGCTCACTGAAGTCTCGCCCTCCCGGGCTCAAGCGATCTTCCCACCTCAGCCTCCTGAGTAGCTGGGACTATAGGCGTGTGCCGCCATACCTGGCTAATTGTTTTTTTGGCGGAGACAGAGTCTCACTATGTTGCCCAGGCTGGTCTTGAATTCCTGGGTTCAAGCAATCCTCCCACCTCGGCCTCTCAAGGTGCTGGGATTACAGTTGTGAGCCACCACACCTGGCCAGAGCTTAGTTTTTAATTATAATTTGAGTTTGGGCCTAATAGTCTCCTTTGCTGTGGCCTCACTTTGTCCCTCAGTACAATAGACAGCATCATACCCTAGGACACTCACATTCATTACAGAAGGATGAGTCAGTGTTCCAGAACAACTAGAAATGTAACCCATGTCTCATGAAAATATAAGGAGAAAAGAAAGACTGAAATTCCTATCATTCCCTCTGGAGAGGCCAGGGGTAGTATCCAATGTTAACCCAGGCTGCTGTGCTGGAAACCGGTCTACCTGCAGACTGGATCCGTGTTAGTTCTTGCTACAGACTCTCCATTCCAGCTGAGTTCATTCTTCTGTCTCTCACACATGATGCTCATTGCATGTGCTTGTTCATACTTGCCTCCAAACATGTATACAGGCCAGTTTCCTCCTCTCCTACTCCAGGTACTGTTTCTCCATCCTCCCTGTCCAACTTTGTCCATTTTCTTTGTAGATACCCAGTCCTACCTGAGCTCACTTCCACCAGAAAACTTTCTTAATTGGCCTTCCCTGGCTCCAAGGACTGTACTATTCTATAGTTCCTCAACATTGTATTATTTGCACTTATTTCTGTGATCTACTGTCTGCCTGTGTCCATGGAGGGATGTTGTGTATCTGTCTCAATGAGCCTCCTGACTGAGAGCAGAGCTATTACTACTGTCACCTTCTTCAGTGGATTAAAATCTCTTCTGTTAAAGGCCTCTCTCTTCTGAGAGACTTTACACTCTTCCTTGGTGTCCGTGGCAGTGGAGTTGTATAGGAGCAAATGAGCTTGAGAAAGACAGCAGCTTCCATGATGGAGTCCATGTGAAATCTCATTTTCCTATAATAACTAGGACATTATTGATTCTCAAACTTCAGAAAATGAGTTGGTTATCTGGAAATTTCAAAGAAATATGGTGCATCTCTTAATTACCTGGTTTTCCAATATACAGATAATAAAATTAGAATTCTGTTGCTTGATCTTCAGAGCCCTCCACGGCGACAATAATATTGGGATCAACATTCTTTTACATAACCTAGACTGCAATCTCATGGGTCTACTTGAGTTTCTTCAACTTGTTCTATGCCTCCAGACCTTTGCATGTGCTATTCTTTCTGTCTGGAATGCCATCCTTTCCTCATCAACTTGCCAAGATCTGATCCTTCATTTAAAGCCTAGCTTAAAATCTTCTCCAAGATTACGTCCCAGATCGCTCTAGCGAGAATTATTTCTGACCCTCCTGCAACTATAGTGTCACATTGTTTGAGTCTCTATTATACTACTAGAATAATATTTACATATGTATTTATCTCTTTTACTATTTTGTAGGTTATGAGAAGGTGGAAATTGTATATATTTTTTTCTCTTCTTTTTTTCCTCCTTATTCTCTGCCATCTTGTATCAATTTGAAACTAACTCCCCCAAGATTGTTTATGTTTTAACTGTATATCCCTTTATATTCCTGGGCTTAACATAATGCCTTGCATAGGAGATGCTCAAGAAATATAAATTAATTTGGATAATAGAGCCAGGTTTTTTTTTCTTGTTTTCAACTTTTATTTTAGATTTCAGGGCTACACATGCAGGTTTGTTACAAAGGTATATTATGTGATGCTGTGGTTTGGAGTACAATTGAACCCTTCACCCAGGAAGTGAGCATAATACCCAGTAGGGAGTTTTTCAGTTCTTAACCCCCTCCCACCTGTAAAGAGAGTTTACACTCTTCCTTGTTCTCCCATTTTTATGTCCATGGCAGCAGAGTTGTATAGCTTTATCAAGCTCATCTTCATTCCTCAGTACTCCCATCAACTACTCACTCTCCCACCATTTCAGTTCTCCTGACTTTCAACAAAGCCTTTTCATGCTAAGATAAACCTTCCATAGTTACCCTGTGTCATTTCTGATGGTCTGCACGGCTGTTCTGTTCTGTCCTATTCTTGTGTGCTCAATCCTGTAGCTTCGTTCTTGCCAAGCTCTGGTCTATTATCTCCTCTTCCTCCTCTGGAAAGTCTACTTTAACTAGCTTCCATAAATGTCCTTACCCCTCATTCTCCCAGCATTGATAGCGAAGATGGTACTCCAGCATTAATTCTCTGTTTATCTGTATCTTGTTTTCCATTGTATGGGAAACTTCCCCATACTGATATTCCTTTTCCTGTTAACCAGAGTTCATATTCATCCCCATAGCTTCCAGTTCCTCTAGTCAGAGAAATCATTGACTGGCTTTCTCTTGCTTGGAAAGTCAACCAACTTTAGCAAGTGACAATAAAGAGAGATTTAGAACCTACTGACCCTCTCAATCCCTTCCTTGCCCTCTCAGGCCCCCCTTTCAACCTTTCCTTCCTTCCACAAATGCTGGCTGAGCCTGCGTTATGTGCTAGGCGCTGCTATAGGTTACCATGCTTCTCCCCTGTATAAAGCTTATACTCGATGCTCCTTCTGAATGGGAGTTTAGATATTGGTCTGATACTAGAAACACTTAATCAAATGCTCCCAAACAATGTCATAAGTGTGAATTCTGATGGAGTACAGAATTAGGATATCTCTTCTCTGTAAGCCATTCTCTCCATTCTTGAAATTGCTATTCATCTTTGGCCCATCTCTCAGAACTTGATACAGAATAGTTTTTGTGTCTCATTCTGTGATGAGCAGTTAGTCCATCTCAAAAATAATTTTAGCGTTTACTGAAGAACCCCAAGGAGAGGAGTGGGGAAACTAGATAGTCTAATCTCCCACTGTCCCATAGAAACACATACATGTGAACTCACCTGCAGGCTTATGTAATTACATGTTGTTGAAACTAAATGGCTAAGTTAAACTGGAGTAAAGAAGTAATCTCAATTAGTTGCAGTTATAAGGGAAGACTCTGCAAGAAAAGGATTTGAGCTGGGTTTTGATGGGAGATTGTGGGAAGCAGTCTGTGAAGACAACACTCTAGGTGATGAGAGACATTCATTGTTCAGTCTGAGGCTTAAATGTGAGAAGAGTCAGGCTATGGGGGTTAGTGAAAGTGTTATCTTGGCTGAAGCATAGCTCTAAGTTGGAAAATTCCAAAGAAATGGGTTTAGTGAGAAATTAGGATGAAATTGCTAGAGGACCTAAATGACCAACCTAGGATGTGTCTTCCTAGCTGAAGGCAGGGCCATAAATAGAATAATTTCAGGAGGGCTAAAATGTTTATTCTTCCCCTTAGCTTTTGAGAACAAGAGACTAAGGTTTCTGGGACTCTGACTTTATATGACTAAGGTGCTCCTCTCACATGAAGTAAAGCATAAAGACCAAGTATAATGTAAACCTAATGTCTAGATTTTTCTATAATATTGTTTAAATTTCAGTTGTAATTATCTGTCCAAATGGACTCCACACTTTGTTTTGCCTCGTTCTATTCTGGAATCATATGATGGCCTGCAGAATTTAACTTAACCAGCCACATGCTCCTTGCCTCATTCAGCCTACCCATTTTTTCTGTATGAAAAGGTTTCACAGTAAAGCAAAGAAACTTTTACACCTGGCATCTATCCCTTGACCTTTAACTTTCTGGAGTCACCTTACTTGAAGGAAGGAAATACCACCTAGAAACTGCCCCTGGATTTTTCCCAGCCTGTTGCACAGAGGTCTTCCAAACCTGGGTTATGCTAACTGATGGCAGAGGAGAAGAGTCCCAGCCCTAGCTTCCCAAATTTTTGTGATATTTTCACCTTGAACCTCTGCTGGAATTTTCTCTGAAGCAGAAAGAAGAGGTGGTCACTTTTCAAATTGTTTATGCTTTTATACTTTTCAGATTATGAGGGGGAAATATTATAATGTGTCTACCTCTTCCCCTTGGCATATTTAGATTTAAAAGACAAAATATCAAGAAAGGAATTAATTTTGTAGAGAAATAATAAATAGAATTAGCAAAGAAGAACTTTCCAACAGCATGGTTTACTGAAGGAAACTGGGCAGTCCCTCTATCTGAGGATCTAGAAGAATAGGGTCAATTAGCATTTGTCTGCAGATTTTGAAGGCAGTGAAATGAATGAGAAGACTCTCCAAAGCTCTGTCTGCAGGCCAGACTCAGTGATATCAGAACGGGACATAGAGAGAGGAAGCAAGGGTGACTCAAACCCATCTTTTAAGGCCTCTCTTCCCTATGGTTGCGTGCACCTCTGGTTTCTAAAAAAATTTTTTTTTGCCTCGTTTGCTTCAGAGATGGGTGGCTTTGAGGAAGTGAAGATAAAATTTATTCAACCTAGATGTGTAAATAGAATTTTGTGACCAATTTTGATATGACTTTTATATCTAGACTTATAGCCAGGGGTGAATTTTCATACTGGCATAGGGTCAACTCCTTATTCCTGATTTGTGCACTATCCACTTTGTGGATTTTTGCAGACTCCATACTTCCACTGCCTTGGGTTTGACAGAAACACTGAGTCAGAGCAAGCATCAGGGATAGACTCAAAGGGTGTGTTTGTATGTATGTGTATGAGTGTAGGTATCCAAAGATAAAGCAATGAGGATTTATTTCACTTCTCTTTTCTCTTTGTAACACTAATTACATTTGTGAAACTGTTTAATGGTGGCCTCTACTACTAGACAGTAAGCTACATACAAGGCTTGTGCACCATTGAATACTTAGCACTTAGCATAGGACTTGGCACATGGCAGACACTCAGCAAATGACAAAATCATGTGGCCTCTGCTCTCATCCACTGACTCAGATAATGAGAAGTGTCTCCTCCTCAGGGGCCAGGGGGATGCTCTGCTATGGCAAGTGGAGGAATCAGAGATGATCCATGGAGCCTGTGATATGACCTCCCCAGTGAGGCTGTCAGCCCTAGGGTAGATTCCTTGTTGACTATCCTCTTCTTATCACTGGTAGCATCTTATCACAATACTTGGGGCACGGGCCAGGGAGTTACCCAGGGCTGAGGATGGGAGGAGGTAAGTCCTGGCTATCAGGATAGACATCTTATTCCAGCAGCAGTTGTCCTAGATGTGGCCTGTTTCCCAGCCCACTGACCTTTAGGGCACAGTGGGGGGTTGGGAGCATGAGTCAGAGAGGAATGTGGGACTGGTTGCTTGGGAGTTTCACTCTCTGGGGAGAAGCTGGTTCCCCATGCCTATCAGTTTTCTAATGGCATCTCTAGAGGCAGAGCCTAGAAACAATTACTTGAAGGAGTCGGACGAAGCACCCACACTCTTTTGAACCCCTAGGATGTTGGCAGGAAGATAATTTAAATAGATTTTAACAGGCACAGGACAGAAAAGTATTGTAGAGTATTTCAATAGAAATCTGAGGCTGGGTACAATGGCTCATGCATGTAATCCCAGCACTTTGGGAGGCCAAAGCGGGAGGATCACTTTAGCCCAGGAGTTCAAGACCAGCCAGAGCAGTATAGTAGGACCCCGTATCTACTAAAAACAAAAAGCCAGATGTGGGAGCACGTGCCTGTAGTCCCAGCTATTCAGGAGACTGAGGTGAGAGGATTGCTTGAGCCCAGGACGTTGAAGCTGCAGTGAGCCCTGTTCATGCCTCTGCACTCCAGCCTGGGTGACAGAGCGAGACCCTGTCTCAACAAAACAAAACAAAACACACGCACACACACACGCTCAAAAAAAAAGAAAAAAAAGAAAAAGAAAGGAAAATTTAAGATATCCTCTTATCCATACTTCTGCCTCCATCCCAGATAAATACAAAATCTCTCTTTGAAGATTTTCTAAAGTGAGGGGATTCCACTGTTAGGTAACCATGGTAACCACTACACCACAGCACACTTATGAGAACATTCTACTGTTAAATCTAGCTGAATGTAGCCTGCAACATGGAAGCCATGACCAGGACAGTGGAAGTGCAGTGTGAATTATCCAAGCAATCATTTCCTCATTCCTTGGGTGGGAGTGGGCAGACACGCCCAGGAGTCCCTCACCCTGCCTCCCACGATGCTCTGCTTCTTCATACAGTGCACACAGTGGTGGGAGATGGCAGCAGGGGCAGAGAGGCCCTCATTCTGGAGAGGGGACCTATGAATCTTGTAAATATGATGACATCAGCAATGACAGACTCTTCAGCCGCCTGGTAGTCTGTCATTGAAGCCAGGAATTCAGCACACGCTCAGACACACCCAGCCTTCACCATGGGTTCCCAGAAGCAAGTTCTCGCATAGCCACTAGGCTGGGAGGACCCTCACTTAACCAACCCTCCCTGACAAGCTCCAAGGCCTCAGAGTCGAATCCTAAATTTCCAACTTAGCAATAATTTTTTTTAAATTGCATGATGCTGAGGCTTGGGGTATGGATGATCCCGTCACCCAGGTAATGAGCATAGTACCCAGTAGATAGTTTTTCATTCCTTGCCCCTCTCCCTCCTTCCCCTCTCCAGTAGTCCCCAGTGTCTGTTGTTGCCATCTTTATGTCCATGTGCGCTCAATGTTTAGCTCTCACTTATAAGTGAAAAGATGCGGTATTTCGTTTTCTATTCCTGTGTTAGTTCACTTAGGATAATGGCCTCCAGCTACATCCATGTTGCTGCAAAGGACGTGATTTCATTCTTTTTTATGGCTGCATCCAACTTAGCAATAATTTTTATCCCTCTCTGTTTTCATTCTCAACAGTGCCTAAGTTGTTCATGCTGGTTGTTCTCAGGTGTTTTAACCTCCCCAGTGAGTGAGATCCAAGATTCATGGCATTATCATGGGAAATTCTTTCATTTTGGTTTAACTGAAATTTGTTTTTGTTATTATCATCAGAGTCTAAAACTGATCAAGCCAGAAAACTTCTACACTGCTCTGAAGTCCCAGACAAATAGGCTGGAGATTTTTCCTGCTGTTCTCCACCTCTCTCCATAATGAGATGCTTTGTTTCCATGAATTGGCCCTGATCCAGACTTCTAGACTCTATGACAGGACATTTCATCCCTCCCTCTGCCTCCAGGCAGGACTGAACTTAACTCATGCCAGGCTGAAGGGTGTCTCCTTCAGACCTTGTTTCAAGATTTCCTGACTCTTTGGCCTCTTTCAGGTAAAAGCGCACAGCTGATTGCCCCAATGCCTAATCTTAATTTCCTAATGGCAATTCTAGCTCATTTCTTTTCATTGTGGAAAGGAAGATCCACATCTCCCTTATACCTTTCCAGCTAAAATTATCTCAGTTCTTTTATAATGCTTCTCAGATATTAATTTGATCCCATATCTTCTTTGTGCTAGAGGAGGAAAATTAGTGTTAGATGAAATGCGCTCCATTATCTGAGTATTGTTGGCCTGAGCTAGTATTCCATATTTTTATCACTTTTGTTATTGTGCTCCTCACCAACATATCTCATTCTTTCTTTGCATGGAGACTTCAAATATCAGTTTTATCTACCTGGAATGCCTTTCCCTCTCTCATCAGTCTTGACCTTCCATTACTTCCAAATCCTGTTCCATTCTCCCTCTCTAGACGACGTTTCCTAACTCTGCATTTTCTGTGTATTCCTGATTCTTCTGAATCCTACTAGTGGCAATGTAAAGAACTTCATTCAGCTGGCCTTAAGATCTGCCCTTGCCTCACTCTCTCCGAGTATGAAGCATGGATAAGAAGAGTTCTGAGAGCTTGCAGGGAACCAGTAGCACAGCGTAGTGGGATGTATATAGCAAGTCAAGAACTTGGGAGTTCTAGTGTGGGTCTATAACCCTGTGCACCTCATAACCTCTCTGGCCTTTCCACTTAATTATGTATGGACAAGGAAGCATTGAATTAGGCCATCTCGAAGAATTCTTTAACTTTATAAATGTTGTGAATTTGTGCTTTCCTCTCTTTCTTGGTCTCTTTCAATATCATGGACAGAACTCTACAAGCAGAGAAATCACAGAATAGGAGAATATGAACTAAAAGGCATAGTCGATAGGGAAAAACTTCATTTTAATATGGAGGTAGTGCTGGTCATAATAATTGGAAATTTGTAGTGAGAATGGGGGCAGGCTGCTGCACCTCCTTAACCTCTTGCAATCTTTTTTTTTTTTTTTTTTTTTTAGACGGAGTCTCGCTCTGTCACCCAGGCTAGAGTGCAGTGGTGCGATCTCTGCTCACTGCAAGCTCCGCCTCCCGGGTTCACGCCATTCTCCTGCCTCAGCCTCCCCAGTAGCTGGGACTATAGGTGCCCGCCACCACGCCTGGCTAATTTTTTGTATTTTTCATAGAGACAGGGTTTCACCGTGTTAGCCAGGATGGTCTCGATCTCCTGACCTCATGATCTGCCTGCCTCGGCCTCCCAAAGTGCTGGGATTACAGGTGTGAGCCACTGTGCCTGGCCTCCTCTTGCAATCTTACAAACATTGCTGTGATGTGTTTTAAAGAGTAAGGAGGCTGGGCACAGTGGCTCATGCCTGTGATCCCAGCAATTTGGGAGGCCAAGGTGGGCTGATCACCTGAAGTCAGGAGTTTGAGAACAGCCTGGCCAACTTGGCAAAACCTCATCTCTACTAAAAGTACAAAAGTTAGCTGGGCATAGTGGCACATGCCTGTAGTCCCAGCTACTTGGGAGGCTGAGACAGAAGAATTGCTTGAACCCAGGAGGCGGAGGTTGCAGTGAGCCAAGATTGTGCCACTGAACTCCAGCCTGGGCAACAGAGCCAGACTCTGTCTCAAAAGAGAAAAAAAAGGTAAGGAAATGGAAGTGGCTCTGGCCTAATTTCTACCTCCTCAGCACAGTGGCCATCAGGCATATCCTAGCAATATGCTTGTACTAATGTAAAAAGCTTGCTCCACCCTCATTCAAGTCACTGAAGGAAGATCCTACATTAAGTTGTTACTCATTTCTTTCTTGGGAAATTCCCAAGTCCTATATGAGTAGAGAAGAACATTTCTATCTGGAGTCCAAAAGTCTTCATTTTCTAAATAGAACTTAAGTTTGTTCTATGATATGTTGGTCATTATGCTTCATAACAATCCCTGAAAATAAAGACTGTAAAAGAAGTAATTTATAAGGTTATGTGGTCTTGTGTGCGTGTGTGTGTGTGTGTGTGTGTGTGTGTGTTTGAGATAGAGAGAGACAGAAATTCATGTGATTTTCACTGTGGACTAGAGGAGTCTTAGAGAAATGTCATACTGACCATGCCACTTACTCTAAGCAGGGATAGATTCACATGTTATTTATTTTGAATCACATTATCTTAAGCATCTGGACAACTTAGATTTTATTCAAAGCTGAAGAGCTAGAGGAGAGAGGGGAGGGAAAGTAAGTATAGGGTATTTATTAAATACCTACTGTATGTTAGGTATTGTGAAAGACTTTATATATCATATATACTCAACATAAGGTGAGATTTTATCTTCCCAAGCTACTTTCTCAGAAAAGAGGAAGTTATTTTATATTTGAATCCTTACAAAGTCTTACATTATAGGGTACTTTCTCAATTGCTTTTTAAGGAAGACACATTAGTCTGTAAAAGCAAAAAGCAAACAACCTCTTCACCCCCAAACAAACAAAAAATAACCAGTGAGGGTTTGGATTACCTATAGAGGCCATTTGATGGGATTTCTTTTTTAAGTGGACTTCAGTTTCTGGGAATGTGAAAGGCTTGGGCTGGGTTATTTGAATCAACGTTCCTGCTGAAAATAGCTTTAAAATGCTGGATAAAATAGTTAAGACATCTTAAAAGCATGAAAGAGCCAACAAAATAGTAGGGAAATATCAGGTCAAAATCTAGTTGAAAGTGAAAACTCAAAGTGATAAGTGAAACAAAAAGGCTACTTTTAACCAGAAGGTATTTGCTGATAGAAGCAAACTTGCACTCTGGTTTTGATGGCTGGTCTGAGAACTTCAAACTCATGGCTGGCCCGAAGTTATGAATCTAATAGGAGACTGACCCCATATAAAACTGAAAAATCAAAGAGTTATACCCTTAGTGTAAGGTGAAATAGAAGTAAACCTAGGCTGGGCATGGTGGGTCATGCCTGTAATCCCAGCATTTTGGGAGACCAAGGTAGGAGGATTTCTTGAGCCAAGGAGTTCAAGACCAGCCTGGGCAACATAGGAAGACCCAGTCTCTACAACTAACAAAATCAGCTGGGTGTGGTGGCACACACTTATGGTTCCAGGTACTTGGGAGGCTGAGGCTACAGTGAGCCATGATTGTGCCACTGCACTCCAGCCTGGGTGACAGGATGAGACCCTGTCTCCAAGAAAAAAAAAAGTAAACCTACCCCCTCTGCCACATCTCCAAGGGACTATAAGAAAGTTTCCTTGGTGCTGAGCAGAGCAGAAGGAAAAAGTCCAAGCCAGCCTGATTTGCAGCCCAAATTTATATCACCTAGGTAGTAAAAGAAAACCTCAAACCTTGAATTTAATTTTAAATGATTCCAGATTAGTATTTCCTTTGGGGACCTAGCAAAAGCAAAGGCAAATCCTCCCTCAATGAAGACCTCTTCATCCTAAGCCTCAAAAATCTCCACAAGTAATTCTTCAAAGGCAGTGAGCAAATAAGCACATAGGGAGAGAAGGCACCGTGAGTAAGAATCAGCAAAAACAACAGACAGCAGAAACAGATGCACAAAGCCTCCAGAGATTGAAACTACCTGTTAGGCACATGTTAAAAAACAAGCCTGAAAATATTTCCGGGAATGTAAAAAGTGATCTAATGGATTTAAAGCAGAACCAAGTAGAATGATTCTAACAGCAAATTGGACCCAATTGAAGAGATAATTAGTAAATTAGGAGACAGATCAAAAGAAATCCAGAATGAAGCACAATGTGGTGAAAGTATGAAAATATCAAACAGAGTTGAGATATATGGAAAATAGAGGGAGAAGACCCGTATCAACCAATAATTAAGGCTCCAAAATTAAACAAGACAAAGAATAGAACAGAGGCAATGTTTGAAGAAATAATGACAGGATTTTCTTAAACTGATTAAAGTCACTCAGAAGCCCAGTGAATTCCAAGCAAGATAAATAAATAAAAAAAATAAATCCAACCCTAACATATGAAACTACAGAACATGAAATATGAAGAGAAAAATAAGGAGATAAGAAAAAAGATAAAAATAAGAAAAATAAGGAGATAAGAAACTTCTGCTTCTGGTCACAAAGAAGTAACTGACATGAAACTTGTCCTTCCATCCTAAACAAGTGCTATATACATGAAAATATATATATATATATATTTACTGAATGGGTTTAATAACAGATTTGACACTACAGAAGAAAAGATAAATGCGCTTGAAGACATAGAAAGAAACCATACAAACGGAGGCATAGATAGAAAAAATACTGAAAAACAAAAAGAAGGCATTAATGACTGCAGGGACAATATCAAGTAGTTTAACATTTATGTAATAGGATTAAGAAAATTTTGATGGAATAATGGATAGCTTCCCCTCAATTTAATAAAAACTATAAACCTATAAATTTAAGAAGCTCAGTGACCCTAGGCTGGCTAAACATAAAGACAACTACACCAAGGCACATCATAATCAAATTGCTGAAAAATTTTAAAGTAGCTAGGGAAGATATATTAAATATAAGGGAACAAAGATAAGAATTATTAGACATGGTTTGTCAGCATCAATGTAAGCCAGGAGACATTGGAAGAACATTTTTTTTTTCACCTAGCAAATTAGCAATTTTTATTTCTTTGTTTCGTTTTATTTTATTTTATTATTATTATACTTTAAGTTTTAGGGTACATGTGCACAACGTGCAGGTTTGTTACATATGTATACATGTGCCATGTTGGTGTGCTGCATCCATTAACTCGTCATTTACATTAGGTATATCTCCTAATGCTATCCCTCCCCTGCTCCCCCCACCCCACAACAGGCCCCGGTGTGTGATGTTCCCCTTCCCGTGTCCATGTGTTCTCATTGTTCAATTCCCACCTATGAGTGAGAACATGCGGTGTTTGGTTCTTTGTCCTTGCAATAGTTTGCTGAGAATGATGGTTTCCAGTTTCATCCATGTCCCTACAAAGGACATGAACTCATCATTTTTATGGCTGCATAGTATTCCATGGTGTATATGTGCCACATTTTCTTAATCCAGTCTATCGTTGTTGGACATTTAAGTTGATTCCAAGTCTTTGCTATTGTGAATAGTGCCGCAATAAACATACGTGTGCATGTGTCTTTACAGCAGCATGATTTATAATCCTTTGGGTATATACCCAGTAATGGGATGGCTGGGTCAAATGGTATTTCTAGTTCTAGATCCCTGAGGAATCGCCACACTGTCTTCCACAATGGTTGAACTAGTTTACAGTCTGGAAGAACATTTTTAAAGTACTGAATGAAAAATATGTGCCAACCTGAAATTCTATGTCCAGTTAAAATGTTTTTCAAAGTAAAGGTTAATAAAGACTTGTTTCCACACAAACAGAATCCGAATGAATACTGAGTGCTAAAGGAAGATTTTTAGGTTGAATGAAAAGGATATTGAATAGAAACTTGGACTTATAAGAGTTTCAGAAATGGTAAGTATATGGGTAAATATTAAGACTTTTTCTTGTTTTTAAATTTTCTTTAAAAGTTAACAGGCTATTTACGAGGTGGGCAGATCACTTTGAGCCCAGGAGTTCGAGACCAGCCTGGGCAACATGGCAAAACCCTGTTTCTGCAAAAAATACAAAAATTAGCCAGACATGGTGGCACATGCCTATATTCCCAGCTACTCAGGAGGCTGAGGTGGGAGAATTGCTTGAACCTGGGAGGTGGAGGTTGCAATGAGCTGAGATGATGCCACTGCAGTCCAGCCTGGGCGACAGAGCGAGACGCTGTCTCAATAAATAAATAAATAAATAAATAAATAAATAAATAAATAAATTTTAAAGGAAAAAAGTTTTAAAAAAGGATAACAAGTTATTTAAAACAAAAGAGAAAGCAATGTATTTTGGGGTTTATAACATACATAGCAGTAAAATGTATGACGATAATAGCACAAAGGAGATGGAAGCAAACTATTGTCCCTACTTTGTATGTGACAGGGTATATTATTTGAATATAGGCATTGATAGTTAAAATTGCATAATATAAATCCCATAAAATAGTCAATAAAATAACCAAATGAAAAAGTATAGCTATCCTAAAACTTATTCAATCCAAAAGAGGAATCCTAAAACTTACTCAATTTATCCAAAAGAGGAAAGAGGAAACAAGGGATGACCAGACTTAATGTCAACTATATTGATAATTACATTAAATATAAATAGTCTAAACCTTCCAATTAAAAGCTAGAAATTGTCAAATAGAATAAATAAGCATGATTAAACAATATGCTGTCTGCAGGAAATGCATTTTAAATATTTAGATTAAAAGTAAAGGGTGGGAAAACAGGTAGCATGCAAACATAAATAATAAGAAAGCTGAAGGTGCTATATTAATCCCAGGCAAAGGAGACTTCAGTACATGGAATAGTAAGACAGATAAAGAGGGACATTTCATAATGATAAAAGGTTCAGATGATCAAAAGGAAATAACAATAATAATAGTAAATAATTGGCAAATTACAGAACATCGAAATACATGGAGCAGAAGTGCCATAACTATAAAGAGAAATAGACAAACTCACCATTAGAATAGATTTTAAACTCTGTTCTCTCAGGAATTGATAGAACAAGTTGTCATAATACCACTAAAGATTTAGAAGGCTTGAACAACATAACTAACTAACTTGATTGAGTCTTCCTTCATAGAACGTTACCTGCGGTGATTGCAGAACACATGTTATTTTCAAGTATATATGGAACAGTCACCAAGGTAAACCATTTTGACCATAAAACAAGCATTGCTAAATTTAAAAGGATTGAAATCATATAGAGTATACTCTGATCACATCAGAATTAGATTAAAAACCTAACCAAAAGTATATCTGAAAAATTCCCATAGTTTAGAAAATTAAACATAATATTCCTAAATAGTCCATGAAACACAAATCACAAGGTAAAATAGAAAATACTTTGACTCTTAAAAAAACAAAGCACAATATTTTAAAATTTGTGAATGTAGCTACGGAAGTATCTAAAAGGAAACCTATATCTGTAAATGTTTTTGTTAGAAAAGAAGAAAGATCCCAAATCAATTATCTAAGATTCCATTTTAAAGACTTATAAAAAGAAGCACAAAATGAAGCAAAAGTAGAAGAATGAAATAATAAAAATTAGGGTGGAAATCACTGAAATAAAGAACAGAAAAATAATAGATAGTCAATGATATGAAAAGCAGTATCACTGAATAAATTAACAAAATTGATAAACCTCTAGTTAGAAAGATTATAAAAAGCAAAGAAGATACAGCTTACAAATATCAGGAATGAAAAAAGGAGATACCATAGATCAACAGGCTTTATTTTATTTTATTTTATTTTATTTTTATTTATTTATTTTTTTGAGACAGAGTCTTGCTCTGTCGCCCAGGCTGGAGTGCAATGGTGCGATCTCTGCTCACTGCAACCTCTGCTTCCCATGTTCAAGCAATTCTTATGCCTCAGCCTCCCAAACAACTGGGGTTGCAGGTGTACGCCACCATGCCCAGTTAAGTTTTTGTATTTTTAGTAGTGATGGGGTTTCACTATGTTGGCCAGGCTGGTCTTGAACTCCTGGCCTCAAGTGATACCCCGCATTGGCCTCCCAAAGTGCTGGGATTACAAGCGTGAGCCACCGTGCTTGGCCAATTCAACAGACTTTAAAGGCTAATAAGGAAATATTATGAACAGCCTTATGTTAATAAATTTGACAACTTAGATGAAATGGATAAATTTCTGAAAAACACAAGTCGCCAAAACTGACATATAAGTTGAAAAATGTGAACAACTCTAGCTCTATTGAAAAAACTGAATTTATAATTTTAAAACCTTCCCTTGAAGAAAAACACCAAAGCAAGATGGCTTCACTGGTGAATTCTATCAGACCCTGAATGAAGAAATCATACCAATCCTGCAGATTTCAGAAAATATGAGAGGAGGAAACACTTCATAACTCATTTTATGGTGCCAAAATTACTCTGACATCAAAATCATACAAAAACATCATAAGAAAATAAACGTGTAGTTTAATATCTATCATAAACACAGATATAAGAATTCTTGATATCTATGTATATATTTATTATACTTTAAGTTCTAGGGTACATGTGCACAATGTGCAGGTTTGTTACATATGTATACATGTGCCATGTTGGTGTGCTGCACCCATTAACTTGTCATTTACATTAGGTATATCTCCTAATGCTATCCCTCCCCCCTCTCCCCACCCCACAACAGGCTCCAGTGTGTGATGTTCCCCTTCCTGTGTCCAAGTGTTCTCATTGTTCAATTCCCACCTATGAGTGAGAACGTGCAGTGTTTGGTTTTTGTCCTTGCGATAGTTTGCTGAGAATGATGGTTTCCAGCTTCATCCATGTCCCTCCAAAGGACATGAACTCATCCTTTTTTATGGCTGCATAGTATTCCATGGTGTATATGTGCCACATTTTCTTAATCCAGTCTATCATTGTTGGACATTTGGGTTGGTTCCAAGTCTTTGCTATTGTGAATAGTGCTGCAAAAACATACGTGTGCATGTGTCTTTATAGCAGCATGATTTATATTACTTTGGGTATACACCCAGTAATGGGATGGCTGGGTCAAATGGTATTTCTAGTTCTAGATCCCTGAGGAATCGCCACACTGTCTTCCACAATGGTTGAACTCCTTTACAGTCCCACCAACAGTGTAAAATGTTCCTATTTCTTCACATCCTCTCCAGCACCTGTTGTTTCCTGACTTTTTAATGATCACCATTCTAACTGGTGGGAGATTGTATCTCATTGTGGTTTTGATTTGCATTTCTCTGATGGCCAGTGATGATAAGCATTTTTTCATGTGTCTGTTGTCTGCATAAATGTCTTCTTTTGAGAAGTGTCTGTTCATATGTTTTGCCCACTTTTTGATGAGGTTGTTTTTTTCTTGTAAATTTGTTTGAGTTCTTTGTAGATTCTGGATATTACCCTTTGTCAGATGAGTAGATGGCAAAAATTTTCTCCCATTCTGTAGGTTGCCTGTTCACTCTGATGGTAATTTCTTTTGCTGTGCAGAAGCTCTTTCGTTTAATTAGATCCCATTTGTCAATTTTGGCTTTTGTTGCCATTGCTTTTGGTGTTTTAGACATGAAGTCCTTGCCCATGCCTATGTCCTGAATGGTAATGCCTAGGTTTTCTTCTAGGGTTTTTATGGTTTTAGGTCTAACATTTAAGTCTTTAATCCATCTTGAATTAATTTTTGTATAAGGTGTAAGGAAGGGATCCAGTTTCAGCTTTCTACATATGGCAAGCCAGTTTTCCCAGCACCATTTGTTAAATAGCGAATCCTTTCCCCATTTCTTGTTTTTGTCAGGTTTGTCAAAGATCAGATAGTTGTAGATGTGTGGTATTATTTCTGAGAGCTCTGTTCTGTTCCGTTGGTCTATATCTCTGTTTTGGTACCAGTAGCATGCTGTTTTGGTTACTGTAGCGTTGTAGTATAGTTTGAAGTCAGGTAGCGTGATGCCTCCAGCTTTGTTCTTTTGGCTTAGGATTGACTTGGCAATGCGGGCTGTTTTTTGGTTCCATATGAACTTTAAAGTAGTTTTTTTCAATTCTATGAAGAAAGTCATTGGTAGCTTGATGGGGATGGCATTGAATCTATAAATTACCTTGGGCACTATGGCCATTTTCACGATATTGATTCTTAGTATCCATGAACATGGAATGTTCTCCCATTTGTTTGTGTCCTCTTTTATTTCTTTGAGCAGTGGTTTGTAGTTCTCCTTGAAGAGATCCTTCACATCCCTTGTAAGTTGGATTCCTAGGTATTTTATTCTCTTTGAAGCAATTGTGAATGGGAGTTCACTCATGATTTGACTCTCTGTTTGTCTGTTATTGGTGGATAAGAATGCTTGTGATTTTTGCACACTGATTTTGTATCCTGAGACTTTGCTGAAGTTGCTTATCAGCTTAAGGAGATTTTGGGCTGAGACAATGGGGTTTTCTAGATATACAATCATGTCATCTGCAAACAGGGACAATTTGACTTCCTCTTTTCCTAATTGAATACCCTTTATTTCTTTCTCCTGCCTGATTGCCCTGGCCAGAACTTCCAAAAGAATTCTTAATAAAATATTAACAAATTGAATCCAGCAAAGTCAGTTTAACATTTGACTATCAATCAATATATTTCACCATATAAACAAAAAAATGGAGACACCATGTGATCACCTCAGCAGATTCAGAATAAGTACTTGACAAAATTCAACACTAATAATTCTCCAGACTAGAAATAGAAAAAAACTTTTCTCAGTCTGATAAGGAGCATCTACAGAAAATCTACAGTTAACATCATATTTAATGGTGAACACTTTCCCCCTAAGATCAAGAACAAGGCAAATATGCTCATTCCTACGAGTTCTGTTCAGTGTTGTGCTGGAGATCCTAGCCTGTAAACTAAGGCAAGAAAAAGAAATAAAAATCATACACAGTGAAAAGAAAAAAGTAAAATTGTTTTTATTTGCAGGTAACATGATTGCATATATATATAAAATCCAAAGCAATCTAGAAAAAATCTGTTAGAACTAATAAAATTAGATATGTTGCAGGATATAAGGTCAACGTGTGGAAAAAATCAATTGTATTCTCATACTAGCTATGAACAATTAGAAAGTAAAAAGTTTAAAACTACTATCTATAATAACATCTAAAAATTCATGAAATATTTAAGGATTAATTTGACAAAGTCTGTGCAGGACCTGAACACTGAAAACAACAAAACAATCAAAATTGTCAAAATTATTTTCCAATTTTTTATTGTGTAAAATACATATAACATAGAATTTACCATCATAGCTATTTAAATGTACAATTCATTGGTTTTAGATAAATTCATAATGTTTGTTTTACCACCATCTCCATCATCCATCTCCGTAACTGCTTTCATCTATAAAACTGAAACTCTATACCCATTAAACAATAACTTCCCATTTTTCTTCTCCTCCAGCCCCTAGAAACTACCGTTCTACTCTCTGTTTCTATTATTTTGTTGGCCAGTTTTGGATAAAGGTGCCAAGGTATTTCAATGTAGGAAAGGATACTATTATAACAAATTATGCTAGAACAACTAGATATCCATCACAACAACAACTTTGACCCTTACCTCACATCATAGACAGAAATTAGTTTGAGACAGAGCAAAGACTTTTCTAGAATAAAACATAGAAGGAATCTTCACAACATTGGGATAGGTAAAAATTTCTGAGATAGGACACAAAAAGCAGGATCCATGAAATTTTTAAAGTATGAATTTGATTTTGAAATTAAGAACTTCTGCTCTTTGAAAGAGACTTTTAAGCAAAGGAAAAGACAACACAAGACCATGACAAAAAATCTGTCTATCTATCTATCTACCTATCTATCTATCTATCTATCTATCTATGCCATTCTCCTCAGCCTCCCGAGTAGCTGGAATTACAGCCACCTGCCACACCCAGTTATATATACATATGTCTCTGACAAGGGACATGTGTAGTCCTTTGCACAGACAAAGAACTCTTCTTACAAGTCATCAATAACAAGGCAAACTAATTTAAAGATGGACAGAGGCTGTGAACAGGCTTCACAAAAAAGATATGCAAATGTTTAATAAATGCATAAAAAGTTGCTCACTACCTTTAGTCATCAGGGAAATGCAAATTAAAGTCACACTGAGATACCACTACACACCACTAGAATGGCTCAAAATAAAAAGACTGACAATAACACATGTCGATGAAAATATGGAGCAACTGAAACTCTCATACACTTCTGATGGGAATGGAAAATGGTACAATCACTTTGGAAAATAGTTTAGCAGTTTCTTGTTAAGTTAAACATACACTTGTTGTAAAAATCCAGCAATTGGCTTCCTAGGTTTTTACCCAAGATAAATGAACACATATGTTCCCACAAAGACTTGTACACAGGATGTTCATAGCAACTTTATTCACAGTAGTTAAAAACTAGAGACAACCCATATATCCATCAGCTGGTGAATGATTATACAAAGGGTGGTAGGTACATATAAAGGAATACTTTTGAGCAATAAAAATAATAAATTACCAATACATGCAACTTTAGAACACTGGAGAGCATTTATTCATATTTGAGTTTCCTCACATCCTTTATATGTTAGTCTATTAGGGTTGTTATCTTTTCTTATTTATTAACATGAGAATAAATAGAAATAATAGAATAGAGTAGGATAATAGAAGTAATAGGATAATAGAAAATGGGTATTTTCTATTCAGAGAATGGTTCATGACCAGCAATATTGGCAGTACCTGGAGCTTATAAGACATGCATAATCTTGGATCCTGTCCTGAACCTACTGATTCAAGATCCACTTTTAAACAAGATCCCCAGGTTTTTCAAATGCATACTAAAGTTTGCAAAGTACTGGTCTAGGTAAAGTCTTTTATGAAATTTAAATATTACAACTTTTTTTTTCCAATCTACCATCTTTCTGTTAATTTTACTTATGCATTCTTCATGTTCTTTATCGGAAACAAATTCTTATTTGATGAAATAATATTTACCAAAACTTTTTTATTTTTTCACCTTTTCTGTTTCTTATTTGATAGACGGAGTTTTTAGAAGTTCCTATGGTTTTTCCCTTGACTTAATAGCCATATTCTTGTTATTTACCCCTTTACTATTTCTTAAATATGGCATTATCTCAGATCCTAACAGGACAAGTTCTTTAGCATTCTGTTGGATCTCTTGTTTTCCATAACTCATTCCTCTATCATGTTGATATTGTCTGGATTTTTAGTTTATAGTTTCACAGGTATACCTTTTTTATTTTGTTTAATTCTAGCTTTTTAAAAAACAATAAACTTTATCAAAATACTTAATCACCCTTCCTTTCCATGTCTCCTTACTGGGTTACTTTTATTGGCGCGATCTTGGTTCACTGCAACCTCTGCCTCCCCAGACTCAAGCGATTCTCCTGCCTCAGCCTCCTGAGTAGCTGGGACTACAGGCACCTACCATGCCCTGCTAATTTTTGTATTTTTAGGCAGGGTTTCACCATGTTGGTCAGGCTGGTCTTGAACTACTGACCTTACGTGATCCACCCACCTCGGCCTCCCAAAGTTCTGGGATTACAGGCGTGAGTCTTTTTCCTCTCAAAGTGCGGCCTTTTTCCTCTAACTCTTTAAAGATTCTACTCCATTGTTTCTTTCATCCTATGTTCTATTGACATCTAATGTCAGCTTGATGCTTATTCCTTAATTAGTAATCTACTCTTTCTCCCTTAAAATTCTCTATTTGTCTTTGATATTCTTAAAATTCAGTATAATGTATTTAATTGTGCATTTTTGCTATCTGTTTTATTTGGCCCTGTATGAGCCCTTCCAATCTAAGGTCTTTCGTCTTTAATTTTGTAGAGTGTTTCTTCTTTGTTTCTTTAAATATTTTCTCGTCCACTTTTCTCTCCTGGGGCTTCTATTGTTAGACTGTTGGACCTGCTATTTCTAACCTTTATAGCCTTTAGATTTTCTTTAAATTAAAGAAAAAAAAATTCTCTTTATTCTTTCCTGCTACCTACTGTGGAAGCCTGTTCTTTATAACTACTCATCTTTGAATGAGATAAGTTTTCCCTGTATCACTATTCATAGGAAGACTGAGTGGTTGAGAGCTCGGAGTTCCAGGCTAAGAGAAATTTTTCTTATGTCTCAGGTTTATTTATGAATTTTTTCCTTTATATTTCCCCAGCCAATGGATATAGGTTGCTGTAGGACTAGTCGAGAGGCAAGGTTTATATTCTCCCTCCATCACACTGCTTTCTGAAAATACGCTTGTTTGTGTAATTCCTTCAGCTCCACTTCTTTTGTTTCTCTGAAGCAAAGTAGGTCTAGGAAAGCTCTTGCTGCAAGCCTATACACCCTGCTGTGAGAGATTTTGGTTTTGTATTGAAGATGTGCTCCTAGAAGCAGTGTACCTACTGATTCTTTACATCTGCAGCTGGGTGCATCCTCTCTTCTCCCCAGTCCTGTTCATGGCTACTCCTTTTGATGCCTTTCTATCTCTCTCTTGGTTCATCTTTCTTGTAGCTTCATTGAAGATTTCTCATTCTCCTTGTCATTTTTTAATTTTTGGTGATTTACAAGAGGAGAAAAGGAATATGTCATTTTTATACTGCCATCTTCACGTTGCCGTCTTCAAACAGGAAGTCTAAGCCATCTTAGAAATTCTTGTATTTTCAGCTTATAGCAATTATTTCACGGTAATGAGTTCTATTAGTCTGCTAACTGAATGTAAAACAGTTTATTCATTTGTTTCAAAATGTGCCTCTCTTGTTCCATTATTTCAGGATTGGCAAATACTATATTTACCCACAGGATAGCCATCTTGAATTTAAATATTTTCACTATATCCTACCCTCCAAATTTTATCTTTTTACATAAAGATCACTATTGTCATAAGCCAGCCACTCAATCCTCTTCCATGGGCTATCTCTAACTTTATTATGTGTCTTAAAGAGAAGAATCTAAAACTGAGTTCATTATCCTATGTGTGGCCACACCATTGTCTTGTACAAAGTCACCCCTGAATATTGGTTTGTGAGCATTCTAGTATTCCTTGCTGCCAATGCCAAAGAGCAGAGCTCTGCCCTCCAATGACAGATGACAGTGATATTTAAAAAATAAATCAATGAAAGTCATTCCTTGCCTTCTGGAATCTCCCATTCTAAAGTCTAGTTTAGGAAAGTTCTCTCACTCTCTCTGATACACACACACACACACACACTACCACCACCATCACCAACAACAATAAAAGGCTTAAGAACACTTAATAATGTGTAAAAAGTGGCAAAGTAGCAAAACAAAACTATATTTGTAACTGCTGTGGAGTCACAGAGCAGTAGCATTGTCACTGTTGGGTTAAGGGAAGTCTCCCTGCAAATAGGAAGTTTTACGTGGAGTTTAAACAAACGATAGTTTAAGTCATTGCTGGGCAATTTATTAGCTATATAATCTTGAGCAAAATGACTGGTCTTTCCAAAAACCAGTTAACTAACTCTGTCATAAAATAGTATCCGCCTCAAAGAGATTTTTTAAGTTAACTGAGATGACACATGCAAAACCCTTAGCACAATGCATGGCACATAATAAGTATTCAGGAAATCTCAGCTATTATTATTTTTATAAGGAGAGAAATTGAGTTACTGCAGAGGAGGTGAACATTTTTGGCATGAAGGCCTGAGGTTTTGCATGAGGATGTCATGTATGAAAGAGAGGAAGTAGAGTACATAAACCAGAGAAGAGATTCCATTTAGAAAGCCATTAGATGGAGGTGTGGTGGTGGGTGGGAGTGGTGAGGAGAGGGAGCTGTACAAACGATGAATTAAGGCCAAGTGGAAGAGCTTTAATTTGATATGATGAACAACAATAGCTACCGCATAACAAGGGGATCCCGTGAAAGCAGCTTTCACGGATTCCCTGGGACTGCATTCCTCAATAAAGTATTATCACATAAATTTTTACTTCTGGCTTTAATTCTTAGGGAAACCAGGCCAAGAAAGAAGAATAAACTCTAAGAAATACTACGATGGAGGAATGAGGACTTGGTAGTGGTGTAACTGTGTATGGCAAAGATTAGGGGGAAGTTTAAAGATTAGCTCCAAGTTTGTGGGCCTGGGGACCTGGGGATGGAGGTGGAGTGAAGGTAATTTTCATAGTGGTGAGGAAAGGGGGAAGTTAAGAATCAGCCCTAGTCCTCCTTACGGTATGAGAGGGGCTTGTCTATATCCCAAATATATGGTTTAAAAGTCTCTGGGTCTCCTGGGTTACAGTCCTCACCCTGTATCCCCTTATCACTCTTTGATAGGTCTACATTTAATATGAGGTTGGGACAATCTGAGTGTGACCCTTAATTATTTTATGGCATAAGGTTTAATAAAGAGGAATCCAGTCAGGATGACAGACTTATGAAATCATTTTCCAAATCTTTATTTTAATATATAGTTTAACAACAGAAAAACCTAAACACAACACTACGAGTTATTTTAGAAAAAAAAAAAAGCAGACTAAAGTAGCAAAGGCATCTGTCTAAATTGGCTGTAATGAGACCAAAGAACCCTTCTAAAGCAGATACAAAAACAAAAGCAAGGACTGGAGTGTGAAGGAGAAGGTTTCTCTGGGAAAACATTTGAAAACCTTTATTTCCAAGCCTACCAATCAATAAATATTATCCCCCATTGTGAATGAACCCCATATGAGGCTCTCTGCAGGTGGATACTAAAGAAACCCCAGGCATCAGACATATTCTCAGAGAACATGAAATGTGGTAGGAGGTATAGGCCTCATGAGAATAAACTAAATCAGGATATTTACACAGATCCATCAAGTCCAGTACAGACTGAAGTATGCAGCTGCTGTCCACCCAAAGTAGCTCAAATTTTACGTGCTCAAAAGTAGAACTCACCTGCTCTTTCTTTTGTAGTTCCTATTTCAGTTGGAGGCATCCAGTTGCTTGTGCCAGAAACCTGGTTACCATTCTTGACTCCTTCTTCTCTATCATTATTTGAATGACCAAATACTATCGGCTTTAACCCAAATGTTTTTCAAATCTGCCTCTAGGGGAGGCAGCCTTTGTAAACAGCAGTGTAGGCTAACATTATTCCAGCTTAGATATCTATGGGGAGGAATCTCTTTAGACTCAAATTTCTTTTCTAAGTGAGTGAAATACAATGACTGTCAGACCTAACAAAATCAGGAACTTGTCTGCACCCTTCCATCTCTGGGAAATTGACATGGACTCCTAAAGATTGCTGTACCTGTCAAACCAAATGGCAGATAGAAAAGATGGGGCCTGTTGGGGGGTAGAGGCAAGGGGAGGGAGAACATTAGGACAAATACCTAATGCATGCGGGGCTTAAAACCTAGATGATGGGTTGATAGGTGCAGCAAACCACCAGTCACATGTATACCTATGTAACAAGCCTGCATGTTCTGCACATGCATCCCAGAACTTAAAATAAAATAAAATAAAATAAAATAAAATAAAATAAAATAAAATAAAATAAAAGGTGGTTGAGGACCCAAAGAACCCTACATAATGTCAACAGAAACACATTTTATTGGACATTCTTAAGTCTTCCTATGACTTGGTACTGCATGTGCTAATCTTGGGAAAGTCAGCTGCCAGAACTTTGGGAAGCAGAAAATTGGATACATGAGCTTGATTATTCAAATAAATGATTTGATACCTAAATTATCTGGATAATTGCCTCCTTATGGTCTAGGACAACCTGACCCCCCATACTCCTAGAGCCACAGGAAATCTGAGAGTCATAATTGCCTGTGGGAAACTAAATAGAGTGTCTGAGGGGGTGTCTGCAGAGTAGGAAATGAAAACCGACTGTTCAAAGTGGCAAATGAGTAACGTGTTCATTGTGACAGGTAGAAAATCAGCCCAGGCTGGGAGTAAGTCGGGGGAGTAAATTTTGGTTGGTGTCTGACAATTTCCTTATCCTGTCTATTTTTTAAACTTTGGTTGATTCATTCCCAAGTAACCCTCATCCAGTGTTAGTTTCTTGTTTATTCTATGCTCACATAGCACCAGGGGACTGTCTGTACCACATATTTGCACTTATTTATATGCTGCTTTGTAAATGTTTTTAAGCCCTTTTTCTATATGTGTGCCATGTTTTCTGAAGTGGATTTATGTTCTCTGATGTAGTCTCCTCAATAGTCATTTCCCACTTTCCTCTCATCTGCATTTTACAGCTCTGTTCGTTTGATGTTGTCTCATAAAGACCTCCATGTAACTTCTTAATACCTTTATCTACACTTCGCCCTCCTTCTGCTGTTGAGTAAAAGTATGAAAGTGATGCTGCATGTGCAGTCAAGATATAGTACACCTGCTATTAGGTTTCCGCTTTACAATGATCTGCTTTAAGACAACAACTTGAGCAACTCTGCATCTAAAAGCCTGGATTCCTTGTGCATACTTTGTGTCATTGTCCATGATGCACAACAAGCTGAGCCCCTTCCTGTTCCCACATAACAACATGGACTTTGCCCTACTCTGCTTGGAAACCCCTTTCCCCTTCTGCACTTGGGAAGTCAGCAAGAAACTCATGCTTCAAACCCTAGCTCAGAGGGTTGAGAACCTAGCTCCTCTCCCAGGCAAATATTCACTCATCTCATCTGCTCCCAGAATGCTTTTTACAAACATTTTCTAAGGCCCATGCCCATTTTATAATTTTGTTTTGTTTTCACATCGGTCTTCACCAAAATGCATACTTCAAGACCACAGCTTATTCATTTTTATAACCATATTACCAAATACTGCAGCTGTCACACAATGGATACTCATAAAATATTGGAGAATAAATATTCAGGGAATAAGTTCTTGTGTAGAATGTTGATAGTTCTCTGCTCTATATTCCCATCCCTCGAAGGAGCCTGCCAGGATGAATTCTTCCAGCTTCATTCTTCATATGCCTTCTCTGCCTCAAGAACCAGTGTCCTGCTGGTCCCAGTCCATCCCTGCTGTCATCCCAACTCTTCCATTAATTGGCAGAGGCAGAATGGGGCCCTGAGGTGGTTTAAATAAACCATTTGTTCATTTATCAGATATTTATTCCAGTATTTGTCTCAATATTTATTTCATGTCTACCCTGTGCCAGGTGCAGTTTGTTTTACGTGCTGTTCATATACCAGTTAACAAGATAGTCAAAGTCCCCATCCTCCTGATGCTTATATTTTAATGATTTAGTTTGGAAAGTGAGCTGATGGACAGATTAAAAATGGAAAACAAAGCTTTTTGCCTACATTGTCTGATCAATTCAATTCAAAGCTATATAAATCTTCATTTTTCCACTTGAGTTTGGTAATTGAGTCCTATCTGCATGTGTCTTTCTGTAGTCATACTTCCCAGAAAAAAAAAACAACATATACCATGGCCACACTTGCCCCTAGCACCTATGCCATGCTATAGGTAGACACATACACCTATACATATATACACATATACACAGCTATACAATGTATACACTCACTGATCATCCATTCACCCAAATATCAAACCTCCCAAGGTATAAGGTATGCCACCTTCCCCTCCACTAATACATATCCATTCTGATGCATTTCTTTCCTTCTTTTCTTCCTTCCTTCCTCCCTCCGTCTTCTTTCTTTCTTTCTTTCTTTCTTTCTTTCTTTCTTTCTTTCTTTCTTTCTTTCTCTTTCTTTCTTTCTCTCTCTCTTTCTTCTTCTTTCTTTCTTCTCTCTCCCTTTCTTTCTTTCTTCCTCCTTCCTCCCTTCCTTTCTTTCTTTTCTTTCTTTCTTTCTTTTTCTTTCTTTCTTTCCTTTTTCTTTCTTTCTTTTCTTTCCTTTCCTTTCTCTTTTCTTTTCTTTCCTTTCCTTTCCTTTCTTCCTTCCTTCGTTCCTTCCTTCCTTTCTTTCTTTCTTTCTTTCTTTCTTTCTTTCTTTCTTTCTTTCTTTCTTTCTTTCTTTCTTTCTCTCTCTCTCTCTCTCTCTCTCTCTCTCTCTTTCTTTCTTTCTTTCGTCTCACTCTGTTGCCCAGGCTACAGTGCAGTGGCACAAACATGGCTCACTGCAGCCTCACCTCCTGGGCTCAAGCGATCCTCCTGCTTCAGCAGCCTCCTGAGTAGCTGGGACCACAGGTTTGTGCCACCACACCTGGCTAATTTTTTAAATTTTTGTAGAGACGGGATCTGGCCATTTTGCTCAGGCTGGCCTCTAACTCCTGGCCTCAAGCCATCCTCCTGCCTGGGCCTCCCAAAGTACTGGAATTACAAGCGTGAGCCACTGCACCTGGCCTGGATGCATTTTCTAATGCATGTGCATGCAGATGCACATAGAACAAACATGACCACACACACAGGCACATGTGCATATAGTGGCAGTTAGAAAAACACTTTCACAGAGGGCCTAATGATAACTTTTATTTCTTTGTGTGTGGTGATTTGCAATTTCTAAATGTTTTCCCATCCATTGAACTCCTTTGATCTTCCTGCCAAATTCTCTAAGGCAGTCTATGCCCATTTTCTATTTAAGGAAACTGAGGATGAGCAAAAAAAAGAGAGAGAAAGAGAAAGATCTGTATTTACTGAAGAAATGACTACAGCATGCACGCATGCATACACACACACACACACACACACACACACACACACACACACACAACCTGGGCCTGGTCATGGAGCTATGCATTTTTGCACATATCATCTCTGTGAAATATCATTTTACCCATCTTACAGATGAGGTAGCATTTGAACTATATCATGAAACATTGCACGGACCCCTATTTTCTCACGAGTCCAGCAAATTGGCATTTAAGTCATCCCAGATGGATGGCTATTATAAGGGCTGTCCTAAGGGGTACCAAAGAGGAGAGTCTTTTCCATCAGGATTTTTTTTTCCTCTAACTCAGTCCCAGCCTCTGTAGCTTCATTCTATTTCCTTGTGGTTTTTACTTCCTCAGAAAGAATGAAGCACAGCTGCCAGTTGTCCTCTGAATAACTCTTCAGAGATTTGAAGCCTGTTATGCTGTTGAAGACAGGTATCTCCCAGTTCCCATCACTTCATGTTAGAGTGGACTTAATAATTAAGTGTTCCTCAGTAAAGGCTCAAAGCCATAATGTAAAGAGCACCCCCTCTTTTTCATTATCTTGACGCAAAGACATGTTTCACACAGGTCAGATAACCTTGCAAAAATCTACTGGCCTGCCCACCAATGTTGAGTGTGGATTTGTATAAATAGTCATGGAGGACAGAAGGCTTGGGACCCAGTTTTCAGCATCTTTTATAGCACGCCTCCCTGCCTTTCACATCCTAGACTTCTCCCCCGGACTTTCCTTGCTTCTCTCCACAGATCTAAGTTTACCCCTTTTCCCCGCTCTTTCCTGCCGCTCCTTGTAAAGTACACACGCAGAGGCACACACATGGAATCTTGTCCATGGCCCATCACTTTGGTCCTTTACTCCCTGACTTGGTTTTTCTCTATTTAGTTTCCTTACATCTTTCTAGCACTTACCTTGGAGCTCAGCAAGCTGCCTCCTGGTTCTGTCCTTGTCTCTCTTTGCTGTGGTCTCTGCTTCACGAGTGCTTTCCAATCTCCCCCATGGTACAGAACTCTCCCAGTGGGAAGGGACTATATCTCCTCCTTTTGAATTTTCTCCCTATTCCCTGAACACATGGTGGCCATCTCAGAAGTGACTGACCTACACAAGATGTGATGATCCTCCAAGTCAGTGGATTTTTTTTACAAGTTTTATTTTGTTTTTAATTGTCACATAATAATTGTACATATTCATGGGGAACAGTGTGATGTTTCCATACATGGATACATCATGTAATAACCAAATCAGGGTAATTAGCAGATCTTTCACCTCAAACATTTATCAAGTCTTTGTGGTGAAAACATCCAAAACCCTCTCTTCTACCTATTTTGGAGTTATTTCTTAAATTCCTATTTAAGGCCTTGCTCTAGTTTTGGATATGAATTCAGCTTTAGTAAAGAACAATTTTTCATGCTTATGGCATTAGCTCAGGATGACAGAGAAAGTGTAAGAGAGGAAAAAAATATGATTCTGTGGATGAACACAATTTCTTGGGCCAATTAACTGAGACAGTTAACACGTTTATTATGTTTAAACTATTCAGTGATTAATTTAGGGAATTTTATAGACAGTTTAATACTGTCCCAGCATAAGGAATAAGCCATTTTATATAAAAGAAGAGAGAAAGAACCCTGAGATATATCTACCTCTGATGATGAATATTACAAATGAAAAATGGGGACATTAGAAATTTTTCTTTAAATTGTATAGTTCAGAATGAAGGTACAAATAGTCAACCCCCAAATGTTGGGGCATGTATATTACCTCTAGGAAATTTAAAATCCTGATTTGACCATTTTTTGCCCTTCAGCGTACACCTTGGCTTCCCTACCCTAGTCATTCCCAAGTTGACACTGCAAACACTTTCCAATGAATGCTTATGTAAACCATATATTGCTAAGGCAACTGCTTGGGCAAAAAACAAATTTAAAAACTAGTCTGTTGATCTCTGTTTTTTTTATTGTCCACTGTAATTTTATTGGCCAGGATCAATAGTTGCCTGGGTTTAAACCAAGAATATTTATTGAGTGCCTGGGATAGGTATGGTAGAGGTGGCAAGGTGAGGTCAACGCAAGACATTACAAGAACTAATTGTGTTACTTGAAGTGGATGTGGCTGTCTGGATCATCTCTACACCTACTCTATTTACTGCCTGAAATGCCCATTCTGCCCCACACCTCATGGTTCAGTCTTGTTTACTTCACCTTTTCTATTCTCTGGTTTTCCCACCTGTACCTTTTCAGGACTGCTGTACATACATGTACATGAAAAACAAACAAACAAACAAACAAACAAACAAAAAACCTCATTTCCTCCTTCCCTTCCTCTTTTCCTCTCTTTTGGTTACTAGATGCATATGTGTGGTACTAAAGGTGCCTTCTGATGTTGTCAACTCGGTCATGCAATTGGTCATTTTAGTGGAGAGTCCGGTGGGGGAGTGCTTCCATGAAGGGGTCACTTGATCAGGTAGCCCAGTATAGACATACCATCAGCTTGTTCTCTGCATGCATTTGCTCCTATTATTCTGTCTCTCTGTAATCATTCATCTATTCAACAAATATCTGTTATATGCCTACTATGTGCCAAGAATTCTACTATTCCTGTGTTTTAATAGTGACATGATATTGCTGTTTCTTTCTGATTAACAGATATTTTCAAAGGTGAATGAAGAAAGCTGTATTAGGAAAACTGTTATAAGATGAAGTTGATTTTTTTTCTGATCTCTGAAGGCTTTTATTAGTGCGAGGGGGGCAGGAAAGGAGGAACAATATAGCTGGTCAGAGATTCCTTTCTCACACTAGCTCCTGCCCTGGATAGCAGGGCAGTGGGTGGGAGGTAGGGCATTGCCTACAGTCATAATCCCCCCCACAAACCTTCTTACCCTCATTTTCTTGCCCCAGGGCCCCCCAACCAAAAGGGAGTCTGTCACTGTAATTAAGCAGTCTGTAATCAACAAAGTCCCATTAAGAAATAATGAGGCCAGTAATGCAGTGGGTGCCATTGGTGGGGGATTAGTGAAACTCATGTGGTTTCCTGCAACTCTCTCACTTTCTGAGGAAGTGTTGGGGAGAGGATAAGTGGATAAATTGTTGACTCAGCACTATTAGCATTAGTCCCTGCACTCTCCCCCATACTCTCCAGTTAAACACCTTGCTGAAGTTGGTTGGATGTGTTGGGTGGGACATTGTTCCCAGCTCTGATAAAGGCATGCATGTGAGTTCCTTGCTGGCAGGGTTACATCATAGTCATCTCTGCATTCCCAGTGCCTGGCACATCATAAGTGCCCAATAAATGTTCCATGAATGCCAGGAGAGGGTGTGTTAGAAGTACACATTGAGCCTAAAACCCAAATGTCCCACCTTCTTGCTTAAGACGTTCTCAAAAAGATTGTGGCTCCATGAGCGTCTGGGTAAATATGATTGACTGAAGAGGATCTTGGTACTAAGGACTTTAAGCTCTTTTCACACTCTTCGCATATTGAATCTTGCTTTTGTTTTAATTACCTATATATGAGGGCATAAGTTCTTGGAGGGATATGACCATTTTATATACTTTTATATTCCACAGAGTATATGTCGGGTGTAAAACTCTAATGTATATTTTGCAGCGGCAAGTATTGAAACTAGACATATGGAAAAGTTGCCGTGCCACAAAGTCAATGCCAAAGGTCCCCAGAATACACTTTTCTATTAATTTTAGAGTCCAGTAAAATAGTAAAAGCTAAATTGGGAGGGAACTAATCAATCTGGAGTTGTCCAAAATGCATTATATGATCTGTGTCAGGGGAGCTTGCTCTGCATGAAAATGTAGCTCATTCACCTTCCTAACATGAATCCTGTGGCGTCTAAAGAGTCTTACATGTGGCCAGGCATGGTGGTTCATGCCTGTAATCCTAGCACTTTGGGAGGCTGAGGTGGGTGGATCATGAGGTCAGGAGTTCGAGACCAGCCTGGCCAACATAGTGAAACCCCCGTCTCTACTAAAAATACAAAAAATTAGCCTGGCCTGGTGGCATGCACCTGTAGTCCCAGCTACTTGGAAGGCTGAGGCAGGAGAATGGCTTGAACCCAGAAGGTGGAGGTTGCAGTGAGCCGAGATCACGCCATTGCACTCCAGCCTGGGCAACAGAGCGAGACTCCATCTCAAAAAAAAAAAGAAAAGAAAAAAGTCTTACATGTGGAAGCAGCAGAATGATCTTTCCAAGTGTGTTTCAGCCCAAGGCCCCTGGGAGCTTGTGCAACATTAGCATCTTTTGAGCTTGTGGTTTTTATTGTTTTCCTCAGCCTAGAACTAGATGGCCCAGTCAGGAAACTGAAGGATAGCAATCCATATCATTCATTCGTTTACTTTCACAACACTGCCTCTAAGTTGTACAAACTCTTCTCAAGCAAAGACAGCTCATAACTTCTTTCAAGGTAGAAAGTTCTTCTAAAGAAGGAGTCAATATGGGGTGGGGGTTATGGACACCTACTTCAAGTCACATAGATTTGGGTTTTAACCCAGAACAGTTTCAATGCATTCTCCTGTTTACTTAAACAAATTACTTAATCTTATGTCTGAAATAGTGCTAACAATACCTATCACACAGTTTGTGAGGATTAAAAGAAAAGAAGGTACGTAGAGCACCTCCTAGCACTGTGCCTGGCTCACAGTGAATGCTCAAAATGGCAGTTAAGGAGAATAGAGCTAAATTCAGCTTCAGTCTGTCCTTTTCCAGTATGTGCTGCATAATTCTGCCTAGGTTTACGTGAGCTCTGCGATTGTTCCTCACGTGTCTTTATGTTTTGTTTCTCTACTTAGGCTGTAAGCACCCCTTACCAGGATCTGATATTCTTTCATATTATTGAATTCCACAGAAGTCTTTACGGCAGGACCCCTGCTCAGGCATCAAATAATTATAATTCGTCCATCTGCCATTTCAAGTTCATGAAATGTGTTATTTGATCTTCTACATCAGCAGACTTTGCTCTGTATTAAGATACAGTTTATCTACTTTCCTTAAGTGCATCCAGTGGAGACTAAAAAGCCTTATATGTGGTTTGAAGAAAAAAGAAGGTCAGGAACATCAGTGTACCTTGAAGGTGGTAGAAGAGTAGAGAGAACCTTCAAGGCTGGGTGAGAAAATTGGGTCTGTTAGACTTGACTGAATCCACGCATTGAATAGAGTCTTCTCTTCCAAGGCTGCAGGCATGAGCTTTGCAAGTTTGAGCACACAAACTCTTGGCCTGAAACCACAGCTTCAGAATGAGCCTGGCACTAGGAGTTATCTCCATAATCTCCTTCCCTTCCCCAAATTAGAGTTATTTTTCCCTTCTTTCTTCTGATGATGAGGATATAATCCTGGCAAGAGTTGACCATTTCCCCAATATTATCTGTTCATTTTTACCATTATTTGGTGTGTTATTCATTTTTGGAATGATTTGCAGTGAATGTTTTATTGTGGCCCAGCATGCTCCTGTTATCCTGCATTCTTCAGCACAGCCATCTCTTCACTCATCATTTGGCAAGGGCTAGAATAAAACAAATCTTCTGAATATTTGTTCCTCTTACAGAAACTCTTCTTGCTAAGTCAGACCCCTCAGGGAGCACCTTCCTGTGTTGTATCTGAAATCTCCTGTTTTGGCTATCAGTGTCATAGTTTGCTACCAGAAGTATGGTAATTGAGACCACGGAGAACCCTCCCCAAAATGGTGAAAAGCCTTAGAAGCCTTTGTTTTAAAAGATGTGGAGATGAATTCCTGAGAGTTTAGATGCTTCTCCTACCCCTCCTCCTCTGGCCTCATGATGTCCTGCCATTCGTACATTTGAGACATGTGCTAAAGAATATCTACCCATCCTGCACATCTTCACCTGGAAAAATGCTGGCTGATTCCATGTGTCCCACAGGGGGATGTGTTGATTTGGATAGTGGGCAGCAGAAAGCCTTTGCTATTCAGAATATGGAAATGGGAGAAATGGAGCCAGAAAATGTTTACAGAACAGTGAGAGAAGAAAAGGAAAACTACCCAAAGGACAGCTGACCTGTTTAAAAGCAGAATATACTTAAAATACCCCAAGGACTGAGGCTTTTGTAACATGAGTGATGAGTATTAAAGGTAAAAGATTCCTGTTTTCAAACAGAGATATTCCTAAACCTACCAAGCAAAGGAGAATCCACAATATCTGTTGTGGTAGGAAGTTCTTCTGAAGTCTAACATTAATCCCTCCGATGTTATTTTATTTGCCTATATTAATGTGTTGCTTTGTAATTGTTCTAAGGTTGCTTTTATTGTGTGTGTTTTGCCCTCACAGGTAAACTCCTCCAGGGCAGGACCTGACTCTTCAGAGGAATTTTTTAATCCCCCTCCCCAGAAGTGCCCACGTCAAGGCCATAGTAGAGAAGGAGCTCAAGAGCAATCCCTAAGCAACCACGCTTGGAAGCATCCTGCAACAGAGGGATTTGTTCCAGACTCAGATTTAATCCACTATTACCTTTTCGTAAGACAAGTGTTGTCTGAAGGAGTCTGTGTGTAATTTTGAGACAAAAGGATTGCAGAACTCAGCTCCCAGGTTGTCTCATATCTGATTCTTCGAAAGAGGAAAAGAAGCGAACTCTTCTGCACAATAGCTGAGCAGATAGGAGAGAAAAAGCTTGAAGATTCACAGTGGAGCAAGGCTAATTGGAGCCTTCCTCAGAGCAGCTCAACTATCCCAGTTTTACCTATCCCATTCCTTGCCATTCCCACTTGTAATTCTGTCTTGGCAAGAACACCATACTGAAGGTTCTTAAAGCAGTTTGTAGACTTTAATTAGTTCTGTGGAAAGTCAGTCAAAGCTCAGCCTTCATTCTGCCAACAGAGACAACAGTGGTGGGTGTGGAAGGAAGGCAAGAAGAAGATGGACACCCAGAGCAGTTGTGCAACTTACTGAAGGCCATGTGGATAGGAGGAACTGGGTTTAAAACCCCTGAGTCTTGATAAAAGTGTCTTAGCCTTCTAGATTCCTAAACAGGTAGTGGGCTCATCCTACTAACCTACTTTGCTAGGGTGTTGTTGATGAATGCTTATAAACCCTGTCCTAGATGATAGGTTTGGAAGATTGTTAAAGAAAGCATGTCATTAAGTCCCTACTCACCCCCTCCTTGACAAATAGCCCTGGAGGGAAATGAATATTAGCCAGAATCGTAGGGCCTCCACTTCAATGGAATGAACTGAGATTCAACAACAAGAGAAATGTTCCAACAGTGAGGGAAATCAACAATGTGCTGGGGGTGAAGGGTAGGGGTTGGGAAGGCCTAAACAGGTGACCATTGCCAGACAGCCCAGACAAGATCATCACAGAATAGCTGATTCCCATTAGACACTGTGGGTGATCATTATCTTAAAATTCAGGACACTATTTTTGTAGTAGTTTCCCTTCCTCTCTTTGTAAGAGCAGAAGACCTCTCTGGGGCCTATCACAAGACAAGCGGGTGTTTGCAAATGAGGGACGTACTTTGAGACTGAATTGCTCTGTGCTTCTCTAAAAGACATGGTTAAGAGTTTGGGCGCTGATGTTAGAGACTGAGATTAAAATCCTTCCTTGCCACTTCCATCAGTATAAATTTGGATAAGTTTCTTAACTTCTCTAAGCCTTGATTTTCTCACCTATAAAATGGGCCTAATAATAGTGCCTAACTTAGAGGTTTGTTGTAAAGGTTAAATGCAATTATTCAGGTAAAGCCTTAATGGAGCCTGATATGTAGTAAGCACTCAATCCATTTTATCTACTGACTCTTTTCTCTGTGTGGGTTACCCACTTTGGAGATTGTCCCCAGTAATTTCTTTGGTCAAGTCTTGATCTCCCTGGCCCCTTGGCTGTCTTCTCCCACCATGATCAGTGAGAAGTTGAGGAGCACTAATACCAAATTCTTTTTCATGTTAGTTAGGAGAAAGCAGAATTACGAAGGTCAACCTGCTGGTGTAAAAAAATATTACATAGATTAGCCCTGCTCTACATATTAGATATGTTCTCAAAATGCCTAAGTGGCCTTTTTTTTTTTTTTTAATTTAAGTTCTAGGGTACATGTGCACAACGTGCAGGTTTGTTACATGTGTATACATGTGCCATGTTGGTGTGTGGCACCCATTAACTTGTCATTTACATTAGGTATATCTCCTAATGCTATCCCTCCCACCCCCACCCCCTGGCAGGCCCTGGTGTGTGATGTTCCCCACCCTGTGTCCATGTGTTCTCGTTGTTCAATTCCCACCTATGAGTGAGAACACACGTGTTTGGGTTTTTGTCCTTGCGATACTTTGCCAAGAATGATGGTTTCCAGCTTCATCCATGTCCCTACAAAGGACATGAACTCATCATTTTTATGGCTGCATAGTATTCCATGGTGTATATGTGCCACATTTTCTTAATCCAGTCTATCATTGATGGACATTTGGGTTGGTTCCAAGTCTTTGCTATTATGAATAGTGCCACAATAAACGTATGTGTACCTGTGTCTTTATAACAGCATGATTTATAATCCTTTGGGTATGTGCCCAGTAATGGGATGGCTGGGTCAAATGGTATTTCTAGTTCTAGATCCTTGAGGAATTGCCTAAGTGGCCATGTTTATATTGGGTAATCTTTAAATGACTTTATTTGCAAGTCTGAGTAATATACTCATAGAAACAAGAATCACAGTTAAGGGAAGGGAAACTAATATTTGAGCTTGAGACACTTTCCATATCCAAGTCCAATTGAATCCTCCCAATCACCCAATAAAGAGATCTTATTATTCCCATTTTATATGTTAAACAACCAAAACTCAGAGAGGTTAATTAATACTCTCAAAATCACTCTTCTAGGGGTGGTGGAGCCTAAGTTTGAATGCAGCTCTGGCTCCCAAACCTGTCCATTTTCTACTATGTCATGCTCAAAGGCATATTCTGCTTTTGTCCATTGTCAGCCTATGTGCATTTAAGTTTCCCACACAAATTCAAGAAGAATTTTATCCATCAATTCACATGACCTTGAGTATTAATTTAGTTTAAAAATCTTTCCCCTTATGATTTAAAAAATATTCACTTTAAGAAATTATCTGCCATGTGCAGGATTATCATAGGATTAAAAAAAAAAAAGAAATTAGCAGCCGGTTGTGGTGGTTCATGCCTGTAATCCCAGCACTTTGGGAGACTGAGGTGGGAGCATTGCTTGAGGCCAGGAGTTCAAGACCAGCCTGGGTAGCATAGTGAGACTCTGCCTCTACAAAAAATTAAAAATTAGCCAAGCATGGTGACACACGCCTGTAGTCCCAGCTACTCAGGAGGCTGAGGCAAGAAGATTACTTGAGCCCAGAAGGTTGAGGCTGCAGTGAGCTATGACCACTACATTCCAATCTGGGTGAGGGGTGAGAGAAGAAAGAAAGATAAAGAAGGAAAGAAAGAAAGTAAGAAAGAGAAGGAAAAAGGAGAAGGAGGGAGGGAATGAAGGGAGGGAAGGGAAGAAGGAAGGAAGGGAAGGAGGAAGGGAAGGAAGGGAGGGAGGGAGGCAGAGAGGGAGGGAAGGAAGAAGGAAGGAAGGAGGGAGAGAATGAAGGAAGGAAGGGAAAAAGGAAGGGAAGCAGGAAGGGAAGGACGGAAGGAAAGAAGGAAGGAAGGGAGGGAGGAAAGGAGGGGAGGAGGGAAGGAAGGAAGGAAGGAAAGAAGGGAAAATTATCCACATTTACTTCCATTACTATGGTTTGTCAAAAGCTGACTGTTGAACCAGGTGCAGTTTCTCACACCTGTAATGACAACACTTTGGGAGGCCGAGATGGGAGGATCACTTGAGCCCAGGAGTTTGAGCTCTCGTCCTACAAAATATAAATAAAAATTAGCTAGGTGTGGTGGTGTGCTCCTGTGGTCCCAGCTACTCGAGAGGCTGAAGCTGGAAGATCTCTTGAGTCTAGGAGTTCGAGGCTGCAGCAAGCAATGACCATGCCACTGCACTTCAGCCTGGGTGACAGAGTGAGACCATGTCTCAAAAAAAAAAAAAAAAAAAGCTGACTGTTGCCAGATAATAAAGTACATAATATATGATTCTAGAAAATGCAAGCTATTCCACGGCGACAGAAATCAGATCATTGGTTGCCTGGGCAGGGGTGAGGGCTGGAGGAGAAGATGGCAAAGAAACTTCTGCGGATGATGGATACATTTATTATCTTGAATGTAATGATGGTTTTACAAATGTACACTTATGTCAAAATTTATTAAAACTTTTAAAAGCTGACTGCATATTAGTCATCTACACACAGAAGAAGTAATGCTACATTAAAAGTAAAAACAGAGCACGGATTTCCCTGCAGCTCATTGTATATATACATACTGCCTTCTACCTACCAAGAGGGAAGCTGCTCCCCTAGACTGTGAGCTTTCCAATGGGAAAGGTTGTGTTTTGCTTGTCCTTGAGTCCCTAGCATCTAGTGTAGTGCCTATTACATCGGTTCTCAATAAATGTTGAATTGAACTAGATGTTTCTTTGAGAGTTTACACTGATTCCATAGAGCTCAAATGTGTAAGCAGCTTACTAAATATTAAGCAGATTTCCTGAACTGGCCAGAAGCTTTTGTAGATGTTTCAGTGCTCAGGGGTTCTAATTTTGCATGTAACCATAAAAATGGGAAGAAATGACACTGATCTGCTAAATTGAGTTGTTTTGCTGTCAACCAACTTTGTGAGTCTCCAGGTCTACTTGCAAGAAAGAGTTTCTGAGAGACCTGATGATAGATAAGACAAACATCTAGAGAACAGAAAGTGTTTTTAAGATGAGCAGTTGCAGATTGCAAGTGTGGCTTAAAATTGCAATCTTGTTAATATATGTAAATAAGAAAGTACATGTACTAAGGTATTCTCACACCTCACGTCTCCTATTCACCCTCAATAGGTCAGATTTTCTCTTACATCTCCCCCCGAATTACAGCCATCTGATGCTAACTCCCTTAACTTCTCTTCCCTTGGCCCCTAAACTTTATTATAAGCACCCAGCCTTCCCTCCACATCTCTTATACTAATTAGAGAAAGACGTAGCCTTACTTTTAGGTCAACCTCTCCACCTCTGTTCAAACACCATATTCTTCTTTCTCCTGTCCTTGGCCCATATTCTCATTTCCTCACCCAGAGTAAGTTCTCCTTGAGTCTCTTTTCCCTAAAACTTCAATTCTCTTTTATTCTTCAACCCATCATCTTTCCAGAGCATTCCTCCTCTCAGTTTCAGACTCACCATTCGCCCAGTCTCTCAGGCTAAAAACTTCGCAATTATCCTCAACTCCCTGTCTTCCTTATCAAATTAATCACTCAGGCCAATTGAATTGCATTTCAGAAATATCTCTTGAATACATTTATTCTTTGTCTCCTCTTTGCCTTGCTTTGGCTCAAATTTTGATAGCCATTTCCCTGAACTATTGCAATAGCCACCATATACTTCTTTCTACCAGATGTCTTTTCTTTTCCAGGTCAACTTCTACATCAACACCACCACCTGAATTATTTTTCAAATAATGAATCTGATTGGTTTACTTCTCTGCTCAAACTTTGGCTCTGCATTGCTGATCAAATAGAGACCAAGCTCTTGGGCGTGGCACTAACTGCCCATCAATCCTACTTTGCATTGCTTACCCTAGGCTGCTGCCACATTGAGCTTCCTGCTGTCCCATGCCCTGGGATGCCACAAGCCTCTTCATATGTCGGTTCTTCTGTCTGGAATGCCTTTCTCGTTCTCCTCCCGAGAAATTCCTACCTGGTCTTCAATGTTGCCTAAACAGCACCACTTCTGAGAAGTCAACATTGATGTGTTGCTCTCTGAAGAGTTAGATGCCCCCTCTTCTGTGTGCCAATAGCACACAGAATAATGTTTTATATTTCCATTTTAACGCTTATGTTGTTTTAAAGATTTTTGAAAAAAAATCTCTCATTCTTTACTGCTACTCTACAAACTAAACTCCTTGAGGACAGGAATCAAATTTTATTTGTCTTTGTATCCCCTATATCCAGGGCAGTGATGGACATGTAGTAGAGACATTTATTGAGTGAGTGATGGAAGCAGCAGCAGTTTTCTCCTGAGCAGTTCCAGGCAGTGGGTGTGAAGTTAGCAATACTTTTTTAAAAACTATGCAAGAGAAAGTACATTAAGTGAATAGGCTACTCTGGCAGGGTAATATACCCCAAAGACAAGTACAAATGATATTTACTTTTTTCTTATTATTTGGATCAACTGATACTGTAGATTACTATTTGGGTGAACTCTGTCTCTTCTTCCTTCCTGTAATATTGATCTAATTGAGAATATAAGTCCTGCTCTTAGATTACCCACACCATTGTGCCCCTTGCCCAGCATAAACGGTTGGGAGTTACCTATAATTGCTGTCTCATTCTGGGATAACCAATTTGGGTGCTATATCCCGGACAATTGTGGGTCATACATAACAGAACTTGGTATGGGTTCTCCAAAATTTTCCCTGGCTGAAATATTTATTTTAAGTGTTTGCTGTTTTCACCTTCAAACTCTGGAAACTTTTTCTTTCCATTTTGTTCACTCCTATATCTCAAGCAATTGTAACAGTGACTGATACATAGTCGGTACTTGATAAATGGTTTTCGAATGAGTGAAAGCATTTTTATTATCTTCAGATATTTCATACATATAAAATAATATATATAACTTAAATATAAGATGAAATAATTAGGACATATACCCATGTCCTACCACACAGCTTAAGAGATAGATTATTGTTAATATTGGTGAAGCCTGTTTGGTGTCCCTATCTGATTATATCTCTTTTCATTCCCTTTGGAGGAAACCTCCACTCCAGATTTTGCATTTATCATTCATCGCATTTCATTACATTTTGGCTACATATAGATTCTTTACAATATATTATTTAGTTTCTGATGTGTTTTACTGTGTGTAAAAGTTCTGTCATAATATATGAATTATGTGGCAACCTGCTTTTTTCTCTCAACATTATGTTATGATACTCATCCCTATTGCTGGATATAGCTTTATTTCATTTTTACTGCTGTATTATACTTAAATAAATAAACACACCACAATTTGTTTGGCCATTCTCCTGTCAATAGTTAGTCCAGTTGTTTTTAGGTCTTTGTTTTTTATAAACGATACTGTTATAAATATTGTTGTACATGTCTCTAGAAATATATTTACAAAATTTTCTCTAGAATACATATTTAAGAACTTCTGGACACAGATAACTTTATACTCAGTAGTGAAACATTGAAAGCTTTCTCTCTAAAAGCAGGAACAAAGCAAGGATGCCTGCTCTTGCCACTTCTATTCAACATAGCCCTGGAATTCCTGGCCAGAGCAGTCAAGCTAAAAAAATAAATAAATAAATTAAAGGTCAAATGATCTTTGACAAAAGTGCCAAGACACATAAAGGTGAAAGGATTATCTCTTCAACAAATGGAGTTGAGAAAACTGAATGAGAAAGAATGAAACTGGACCATTACCTAAGGCCCTGTAGAAAAATTAACTCAAATTGTGTTAGAGACCCAAACATAAGACCGAAAACTATAAGACTTGCCAAAAAAATAGGAGAAAAGCTGCATGACATTAGATTTGACATGATTTCTTGGACATGACATAAAAGTACAGGCAACAGAAGCAAAAATAGGCAATTGAAACTACATCAAACTTAAAAACTTCTGCACAGCAAAGGAAACAATCAACAGAGTGAAAAAGCAACCTATGGAATAGGAGAAAATATTTGCAAGCCATATGTCTGATAAGGGGTTAATATCCAGAATATATAAAGAAGTCCTACAACTCACAAACAACACAAAATATAATTTATTAGAAAATGGGCAAAGGACTTGAATAGATATTTCTTCAAAGAAGATACACAAGTGGCCAAGAAGTATATGAAGAGATGCTTTACATCACTAATCATTGGGGAAATGCAAATCAAAGCCACAAGGAGATCCTGGACAATTGTGGGTCATACCTAACAGCACTTGGTATGGGTTTTCTAAAATTTTCCCTGTGTGAAATATTTATTTTAAGCATTTCCTGTTTTCATCTTCAAACTCCAGAAACTTTTTTTCTTTCTGTTTTGTTTACTCTTCTTTTCTGTTTTGTTCACCACCTCACATGTTAGGATAGTCATTATTTTAAAAATTAAAAAATAACAAGTGTTGGTTAGGATGTGGAGAACTGTAACCCTTGTGTACTGTTGGCAAGGGTGTAACATGATGCAGCTGCCTTGGAAAACAGGATTGAGGTTTCTCAAAAAAATAAAAATATAGCGCTGGTGTGGTGGCTCACGTCTATAATTTCAGCAGTTTGGGAGGCCAAGGTGGGCGGATCACCTGAGGTCAGGAGTTTCAGACCAGCCTGCCCAATATGGCGAAACCCTGTCTCTATTAAAAATATAAAAAATTAGCCAGTTATGGTAGTGGGCACCTGTAATCCCAGCTACTCGGGAGGCTGAGGCAGGAGAATCGCTTGAACTCGGAAGGTGGAGTTTGCAGTGAGCTAAGATTGTGCCACTGCACTCCAGCCTGGGTGACAAGAGGGAAACTCCATCTCCCAAAAAAAAAAAAAAAAAAAAAAAAAAAAAAAAAAATTGGCACTTTGGGAGGCCAAGATGGGCAGATCATGAGGTCAGGAGATCGAGACCATCCTGGCTAACATGGTGAAACCCTGTCTGTACTAAAAATCCAAAAAAAAAAAAAAAAAAAAAAAAAATTAGCCGGGCCTGGGGGGGGCACCTGTAGTCCCAGCTACTCGGGAGGTTGAGGCAAGAGAATGGCGTGAACCTGGGAGGTGGAGCTTGCAGTGAGCCGAGATGGTGCCACTGCATTCCAGCCTGGGCGACAGAGTGAGACTATGTCTCAAAAAATAATAATAATAAAAAAATAAAAATTAAAATATAATTACCATATGATCTAGCAATCCCACTTTTAGGTATTTATCCGAAAGAATTGAAAATAGGGTCTCAGAGATATTTGTAGTTGTGTTCATTGCAGTATTACTCACAATAATCAAGAGGTAAAACCAACCTAAATGTCCACAAACTGATAAATGGACTTAAAAATGTGGTGTATTATCCAGCCTTAAAAAAAAAAAAAAGGAAATCTTGTCATATGCTACAATACGGATGAACCTTGAAGATATTATGTTAAGTGAAATAAGCCAGTCACAAAAAGACAAATCCTGTGTAATTCCACTTTTATAAGATATCTAAAATAGCCAAACTCTTAGAAACAGAAAGTAGAATTGTTGCTAAGGGCCGTGGGGAGGGCGAAAAGGATTGCTTGTTCAATGCATATAGAGTTTCAGCTTTGCAAATTGAAAAAGGTCTAGAGATCTATAGCACAACAATGTACATACAGTTAACACTACTGTACTATATACTTAAAGTTAAAATGATAAATTTTAAGTTATGTGGTTTTGATCACAATTTAAAAAAAAGAACTGGCAGATGATGGGGTATGCACATCTTCAACTGCAGAAGATAAACCTAAATTGTTTCCAAAGTCATTGTGCCAATGTACACACTCACTAGCAGTGTATAAGACTTCCAGTTGCTCCATATCCTCATCAGCATTTGGTATTATCATACCCTTTTCCTCCTAAACACTAGATAGCCAGGTATATACTTCTTAAATTTTACTAATCTGATGGATTATTTTAATTTGCATTTTATTGATTACTAGAGTTTGAGAATCTTTTTGGCTATTTATTGGCTATTTGGATTTTCACTTAAGTGAATAGCCTATGCATGTCTTTTGCACATTATTCTATTGTTCCAGTTGTCTTTTTTTACAGATTTAAAAAATCAATTCTTTACATATTCTGTGTACAAATTCTTTATAAGTCATTGAGTAACATATATCTTCCAGTTTGTGACTTGTCTTGTAGCCTTGTAAATGGAGCCTTTAAAGAAAACAAGTTTTTAATGTAGTTGAATTTATTCATCTCTTCCATTATGATTTGCTCTTTTTATATCTTACTCTAAGAAATCTTCCCCTACCCTGAGATCATAAAGACATTCTGTGTTTTCTCATAAAACATTAAAGTTGTGCTAGAATTGATTTTTGAAGAGGTATGAGGCCTGGGAATAGAAATCAAGAGAGGCTTTCCTTCTTTACACAGAAGGCAGATGCCAAAGGTAGTCTATCTGCATAGAATTAGAGCTGAAGCTGCTGCAGAGAAAGTTGGTTTAACCTCAGGAAGTGTTGTCTGTCCATGAGGGTTTGCAAAGTTTCAGTGACTCACTGAAGCAATGGAATCCATTTAATTTTGTTTGGTGGCAGGAGTTGGGTTCTTAGAGGTTACTAACACTGGGGAGATTATAGTTCAACCAAGAGGGGAGAGGTGAAGAGGCAAGGGACAGACAAAGTGACTCTGATTCTCTGTAATCCCAGCACTTTGGGAGGCTGAGGTGGGTGGATTGCTTGAGGCCAGGAGTTCGAGGCCAGCCTGGCCAACACGAAGAAACCCTGTCTCTACCAAAAAATACAAAAATTAGCCGGACTTGGTGGCACACCCCTATAATCCCAGCTACTCGGGAGGATGAGGCAGGAGAATAACTTGATCCCGGGAGGCAGAGGTTGCAGTGAGCCGAGATCGTGCCACTGCACTCCAGCCTGGATGACAGAGTGAGAATCTGTTTCAAAACAAACAAACAAACAACAAAAACAACAAAAAACAAGTGTGTACTACACTACCCAGCATTCTCTGTCCCTGCCTCCCTACTTCCCTTATCCTTCACCTGAAACTTCCTATTTAGTGGAAACAAAATAATCTCAACAGAACATGGCCAAAAATCACAATAGGAAGGATAAAAGAGAGTTACAAATACTCTACTTGAGGATCAACAGCAGACTAGACTCACTTTCCCTAGAGCCTTTCCAAGTCGAACTATGATGGCTTTGAGTGGAAGAAAGAGAAGATGACTTCTAGAGATGACTTGTATTTGGATCTCCGTGGAGGATATTTTCTGAGTCTTATGGTTTGGTCAGCTGAAAAATCCTTCTTGTGCTTCTTAACCTAGGGTGGCTGCCCCAAAGAGGAAGTTTCAGAAGGAGTCAATGGAGGAGGTCTGGGGGAGAAAAAGAGAAAGGCTGTCCTCTGGAGCAGAACAGAAACAGTGGACTGTGGAGGAAAGCTTTAGAGGGATAGATGACAGAGTGGGATGGATGGCACTCCTGGCTCCTCCAAAGGATATCATCATCAATCTTTAGTTTTTCATCCTATGCAAGTGAAGGAGAGCAAGAGAGGAAATTATTACATGGCCCTTGGTTTTCTCAGTACTGCCAATAAAAGAGATTTATGGAGTGAAACTTAGAGCATAGGGTTCTAGAAAATGCTCACATAGCCTTCAGGAACACTCACCAACCGGATTTGTGCATGTGTGCATGCATACACCACTCCCCACCCTATGTGAATACGCATACATTCACCTCCATAGAAACAGCGTGTATGCAACAGTGAGCAACACAATTTCACTATACTTTTCAGAAGTAACCCTGTCCATTCTTCTGTTTCCACATAGGCTCTAAGCTAGGTCCCACCACTCTTGTAGATTTTCTTCAAGTTGACATGGTGTGAGGCTGTCAAAGTGATGAGGAGTTGCAGAAGTCTGCACTAAAGATTTTGGATTGAATGTGGTAAATGATTGCTCTTGAGGAAGGACATGAGGAAATTAGCGTTAACGACATACAAGAGAGAGTTAGCTCTGATTCACTAGAGACAGGGAGAATCAGGAGACTATGCTGTGAAACAGATGCAAAAGGTGACTCCTGCAAACTTGAGCTAAGAAATCAGGACTGCAACTGCAAAGACCAGACAGACGGAACCTGGGGGAATTTGAATCTGTCTCCCGTCTGCTCTCTATTTTGAATTTCTTGTGAGTTGGTGTACAGCCAGGGCTGAGGGAGAGAGAACTTTGATTTCATGTTGTGGGGTGTTCTAATGAGGAAGGCTGCTGCCCTGTCTGGACCTCTCCAGAGTTTTCTTGGAGGCCTGCAAACAAGGACTTCTGAGCCAAAACCATGGCTAAGTCCTGGCTGGTTTGAAGCAGCCTCTTAGACAAACTGAGAGAGAGAAAAGGAAAGGAAGATTTGGGCTGTGGAGGGAGCAACTCAGCCGTCTTCTAGCCCACTGTTGGGACTTTTAATTCACCTCACACTGATCATCACCACTCTTTCCTCAAAAGCCTTCTTTCCTTTCCTTGATTTCAGTGTTAATGGCTGGGAAGTTACTTTTGGTGTTCAACTTCACTCCCTTGTGCTTCACTGGTAACAACATTTAGGACATGCATGCAGAAGACTTTAGTAAGTTTAAAATTAATTACAGAGTCATCATAGAACCTCATTTGTTTTTATTTGCCATTTATTAAGTTTTCATTTTTAAAATAAGTTTTATTTTTATTTTATTTGCCATTTATTAAGTTGAACCATACGTAACTGCTGGCATATTTGACCACTTTAGCCTACAAAAATTACAGTCTACAAGTTTCTTTCTTTCTCTCTTTTTCAGACAGGGTCTTGGTCTGTCACCCATGCTGGAGTGCAGTGGTACCATGTCTGCTCATTGCAACCTCCGCTTCCTGGGCTCAAGCAATCCTCCCCCCTCAGCCTCCTGAGTAGCTGGGACTACAGGTGCACCCCACCAGTCCTGGCTAATTTGTTCATTTTTTGTAGAGAATGGAGTTTCGCCATGTTGCCCAGGCTGGTTTCAATTCCTGGGCTCAAGTGATCCTCTCACCTCAGCCTCCTAAAGCGTTGGGATTACAAGTGTGAGCCACTGCGCCAGTTTCAACACAATATTAAGAACCTATGTGTGCTCAATAAGACTATGAGGCAATTTGGTAATGGTTAAAAACTGCTTTTTTTTTTTCCTTCCAGCTCAGCTCCACCATCTAGTTTTGAGTAAGTTACTTAACTTCTCTATGTCTCTGTTTCCTCTTCCTTAGGATGAAGATAATAATAGGACTTAACTTCACAGGGTTGTTGTGAGAATTTAAATGAGCTGTTATATGTAACACTTAGAAAAGTGCCTAACTCAAAGCAAGCTCTATATAAATATTGGCTATTATTATTATACACCAATCACTCTTATGTCACTTAATTTTATTACTATTCTAAGCATACACAAATATATAGATAGTAAGAAAATTAACACCTGTATGCCCACCTCCCAGGTTAGACATAACACATTAAAAATATAATGGAAACCCAATGGGTGTTCTTTCCCTCTCACATTACTGTCCCTTTATTCTTGGAGATAACCTCTGTTCTGAATTTGGTGCTTAACCTTACCATTAACGTTTCTCTATTTTAGTACATGTGTATGTAACATATGCCAGATGCAGTACTATTTATGTTTCTTAATTTTTATAAATGGTGTCATATCATACTTCTCCCTTTTCATCTTGCTTTTGTTGCTTAATATTATGTTTTTGATACTTATCTATGTGACTGCATGAAGCTTTAATTGTATTCATTTTAACTGCTGTGTAACATGCCAATGTACAGAATGTGTGATAGTTTACTTAGCTATTCTCCTTTGGGAGAATATTGAGATTGCTTTCAAATCTTTGCTGTTACCAACTATTTAATTTAGTCAACCAATTTTTATTGAGTGCCTACTACATCCAGGTACTCTTTCAGCAACTGGGAATTCAGCAGGGAAAACAAGGCATAAATATGTGTCCTCATGGAGCTTACAGAGTAGAGGGGGGAAACAATTATAAACTTAATAAACAGGTAAACTACGTAATTTGTTGGATGTGCTACGAGGAAAAAAAGGAAGATAAAGGGATAGAGGAGTACCAAGGTGGTTTGCAAATTTAACAGGGTGGTCAAGAAAGGCCTCATTGAAAAAGTAACGTCTGGGCTGGGTGTAGTGGCTCATGCCTGTAATCCCAGCACTTTGGGAGGCCAAGGCAGGTAGATCACCTGAGATCAGGAGTTTGAGACCAGCCTGGCCAACATGGTGAAACCCTGTCTCTACTAAAAAATACAGAAAAAAAAAAAAATTAGCCGGGCGTGGTGATGGGCAGCTATAATCCCAGCTACTCAGGAGGCTGAGGCAGGAGAATTGCTTGAATCTGGGAGGTGGAGGTTGCAGTGAGCTGAGATCATGCCACTGCACTCCAGCCTGGGCAACAAGAGTGCAACTGAAAAAAAAAAAAAAAGAAGAAGAAGAAAAGAAAGAAAGAAAAGAAAAGAAAAAGTAACATTTGGACAAAGACATGAGGAAGGTGAGGGAGTGCCATGTGGGTATCTGAAGGAAGTTCTAGGCAGAGGGAATGTTAGCAAAAGGTTCAGTGTTGGAGAAATGCTACAGAGAATATTCCAGTTCGTTTCTCCTTGTGCCCAAGAGCAAGTGCTTCCCCAGAGTATACAGTGGGGAGTGGAATTGCTGGGTTGCAGAGTATGTACACCTTCAAAGATACTTCATATAGCCAAATTGCTCTCCAAGGAGGTTATACCAATTTGTAATACCACCAGAAGTATGAAAGTTCCAATTATTTCATAACCTTTTCAGTACTTGGTATTGGCAGGCTTTTTTATTTTGCTGATAAGATGGTGTGAAATTATTCCTTTTTTTTTTTATTTTTTAATTTTTTTAATTTTTTTTATCTTTTTATTTATTTTTTTTTTTTGAGATGGAGTTTCACTCTTGTTGCCCAGGCTGGAGTGCAACGGTGTGATCTCGGCTCACTGCAACCTCTGCCTCCCGGGTTCTAGCGATTCTCCTGCCTCAGCTTCCTGAGTAGCTGGGATTACAGGCATGTGCCACCACACCCAGCTAATTTTGTATTTTTAGTAGAGATGGGGTTTCTCCATGTTGGTCAGGCTGGTCTTGAACTCCTGACCTCAGGTCATCCGCCTGCCTTGGCATTATTCCCATTTTTAACATGTGTTTTTCTGATTTTCTGAGAGTTGAACATCTTTTCATATTTTAGTAGCCTTTTAGATTTCCTCTCCTCTGTGACTTTCCTGTTCATATCCTTTGCTCTTTTTTTTTTTTTGAAACAGGATCTCACTCTGTTGCTGGAGTGTAGTGGTGTGATCTCAGCTCACTGCAGCCTCAAACTCCCAGGCTCAAGTGATCCTTCTGCCCCAGCCTCCCCAGTAGCTGGGACCACAGCCACGTGCCACCATGCCCAGCTAATTTTTGCACTTTTTGCAGAGAAGGGGTTTCACCATGCTGCCTAGGCTTATCTTGAACTCCTGGGCTCAAGCAGTCCTCCCACCTTGGCCTCCCAAAGTGCTGGGATTACAGGCATGAGCCACCGCACCTGGCCTGCTCATTATTTTTTTAAATTGAATTGTCTTTTTCTTATTGATTTTTAGAGTCCTTCACATATCTTGAATGTTAATACTTTGTCTAATATCTGCATTGTAAATACCTTCTGCCAGTCTGCAACTTATATAGCAGTGATAGTTAATGGTGTTTTTAAAAGAATGAAGAGTATTTAATCTAATTTTATCAAATTTTTTCAAACTTTTCCTTATGATTTTGTTTTCTGTGTCGTGTTTAGGCAAATATTTCCTATTCCAAGGTCATACAGGTTTCTCATTTATTCCCTCATTTGCTTATTTATTTGACAAATATACTGAATGCGTACTTTGTGCCAGGTACTGTTCTAGGCTTGGCAGAAACAACTGTGAGTAAGACAAAAGACCCAACCTTAATGACTTAGATTCTAGTGTGGGAGAGAGACAATAAACAATAGATAAATAGAAAATAAAACATGAAGAGAAAGTAAGATACAGAGATAAAGAGAAACCAATGGGCTGCTCTGTTAGAGTGGTCAGGAAAGGCCTCCCTGAGAAGGTAACATTCAGCAGAAAACAGAATATGATGAGGGAGCAAGAAATGGGAATATCTAAAGAGAAGAACATTCCAGGCAGGGGAAACAGCAAGTCCAAAGGCCCTAAGATGTTGGCGTGATTGATGGGTTATAGAACAGTCGAGAAAATGGCTAGTGTAGCTAACTGGCATACATAAGGGGAAGAGCGGTAAGTGCTTACTTAGAGAAGTAACCAGGGATTTTATTCTGTGATGAGAAGCCACTGGAGGATGTTAAGCAGGGAATTGATTTACTTTTCACATGTTCATTATGACCACTATCATAACATCCAGGAGGCAAAAACGGAAGCATGTAGATGGGTTAAGAGTTTATTGCTATAGTCTAAATGAAAGGCGATAGTGACTTAGACCAGGGCAGTAGCAGAGAAAATTGTGAGAAGTGGTCAGATTCACACTATACAACATGACCCCAAAAGCACAGGCAACAAAAACAAAAACAGACAAATGGGATTGCATCAAACTTAAAAGTTTCTGTACAATAAAGGAACCAATTAACACAGTGAAGAGGCAACTCATAGATTGGGAGAAAATATTTGCCAATCATATATCAGATGGGGGCTTATATCCAAAATATATAAGGAACTCAATAATAAGAAAACAAACTACTCAAACTACTCAATAATAAGAAAATTAAAAACTCTATTAAAAAAAAGCAAAGGACATGAATAGACATTTCTCAAAAGAAGACATATAAATGGCCAATAGATAGATGAAAAAATGCACAATATATTTTGAAGTTAGACCTAGTAAGATTTTCCAATGGATTTGATGAGGATGTTAGCACTATTTTCTTAAATGGGAACGTTGCAGGAGGAGAAGTTTTGGTGGTAAAATGCATACTTTGTTTTTGATCATGCTAATTTTGAGATGCCTATTAGAGGTCTAATTTGAAACTTTTTTTTTTTTTTTTTGGTAGAGAAGGGGTTTTGCTTTGTTACCCAGGCTAGTCTTGAACTCCTGCCCTCAAGTGATCCCCCTGCCTTGGCCACCCAAAGTGCTGGGGTTACAGGTGTGAGCCACCTTGCCCAGCCAGCCAAGTTGAAATTCTGAACTGAATGTTGAATATATGAGTGTGGAGTTTAGGGAATAGATAGAGATGTAAATTTGAAAGTCACTAGCATAATGTTTCTTGCCTTAAATTCTCATATATTTTCCTCTAAAGGTTCTGTGCTTTTCCTTCCTTCCTTCCTTCCTTCCTTCTTTCTTTCTTTTTTTTTTTTTTCATTTGACGGAGTTTCACTCTTGTTGCCTAAGCTGGAGTGCAATAATGCAATCTCAGCTAACTGCAACCTCCACCTCCCGGGCATAAGCAATTCTCCTGCCTCAGCCTCCCTAGTAGCTGGGATTACAGGTGCCTGCTACCATGCCCAGCTAATTTTTGTATTTTTAGTAGAGATGGAATTTCACCATGTTGACCAGGGTGGTCTCGAACTGCAGACCTCAGGTGATCCACCCACCTGGGCCTCCCAAATTGCTGGGATTACAGGTGTGAGCCACCGCGCCTGGCCTGCTTTTGCTTTTTCATGTTTAGGTCTTTAATCCATTTGGAATTAATTTTTTTATATAGTGAGAGAAAAAGATTGAACTCTCCCCTCCCTGTGCCCATGAGTAGGCTTTCCCTCACTGGTTTGAAATGTCAGATATCAGATTTAAACAGCACAGATCTGTTTTCTGGGTTCTCTATTCTTTTAAGTTGGTCAATTTGACTATCAAAGATTCATTATCACTGCTATCATAATATCCAGGAGGCAAAAATGGAAGCAAGAAGACTGGTTAAGGGTTTATTGCTATAGTCTAAATGAGAAGTTATAACTTAGAACAGGGTCTGTGCAAATACTACACTGTCTTAATCATTACATGATTCAGTCAGGGCTTAGTGCAAGAACAACTCTAGATATTTCAAGCAGAAAGGAATTTACTACAGGGAATCTGATGCTTACAGAGTTGTTGGAAAGGCTAAAAAGAGCAGGAGTCAAATATGGCTCACACACTCGGTCTTGTAAGACGGCACCCCAGCCTCACAAGGTGTTGTCTTCCAGCTGGCTGTGTAACTCTCTTCATTAGACCATTCTACCATTCCATAGTGTCAGCTGGGATTACAGGCATGAGCCTCCGCACTTGGCCCTTTAGGTATCTTAAAGTCAATTTTATCTCATATTATAGCATCTATTCTGGCCAGGCGCAGTGGCTCAGGGCTGTAATCCCAGCACGTTGGGAGGCTGAGGCGGGCGGATCACCTGAGGTCAGGAGTTCAAGATCAGCCTGGCCCATATAGTGAAACCCTCTCTACTAAAGATACAAAAAAATTAGCTGGGTGTCGTGGCACGTGCCTGTAATCTCAGCTACTCAGGAGGCTGAGGTGGCAGAATCACTTGAACCCGGGAGGTGGAGGTTGCAGTGAGCCGAGATGAGCACCACTGCACTCCAGCCTGGGCAACAGAGCAAGATTCCATCTCAAAAAAAAAAAAAAAAAAAAGATTTATTCCAGTGAGGGCAAAAACACTGCCTTCTGCATGATGGAGGGGGACCACTATAATCAACTCGCCTTGGCTGGTCCCTATGGTTAGAATGCCATATGGCTTGTTATTGGTCTCTGCTGTTGGCGGATTATCTCTTAGGAGACATAGTACCAAGATCTGCCGTGGTGAGAGAAAATATGTTTTGTTGAGCCCAGGCATAATTTCCAACTTGCCATCACGGCTACTGTGCTAGTGAGTCCTTTTAGCAATTCCTGGGTGGCTTGATAAAGAGGCTGACTGACATTTGCAGAACCAGGTCATCTCGTCCACCCAATTACCAAGACCTGTCAGTGCCCTTTGGTGAGTGAACATTCACCAATTTGTAGTTTTGTTGATTCTCCCTCGTGTATTTTTGTTTCCTAATTTTCACTCTTACATTGATTATTTCTTTCCACCTTTTTTGGTGGCAAGGGGAGGTTGCTGTGACATTATTTTTGTAATTTCTTGAGTTGGAATCTTAGCTCTGTTTTTTCTTTCTTCTCTTCTAATGTATTACAGCTATAAATCTGCTTTAAATGCTACTTTAGCTGTATTCCACATTTTTTAAAGATAATTTTTTAAAGCAGTTTTAGATTCACAGCAAAATTGAGAGGAAGGTAGAGAGATTCCCCGTATACCCCCTGCCCCACACACGCATAGGCTCCCCCATTATCAAAATCCCTTGCCAGAGCAGTAGATTTGCTGTAATTGGTAAACCTACATCAACACATCATAATCACCCAAAGTCCATAGCTCGCATTAGGGTTTTGCTCTTGGTGCTATTTCCACACATTTTGATTGTGTATTTTCTGTATTGTTCAGTCTATATTTTATCTAATTTCCATTATTAATTATGTTTTGAAATCTGTTCCTAAATTTCCAAGCTTTGGGAATTTTACCTTTCTGTTATTGATATCTAAATTAATTGTTTGTGTTTGGAGACATGCGGCCTGTATAATACTGATTCTTTTTATTTGTTGAGATTTGTTTTGTGGTACAGTGCATGGTCAATTTTTGAAATGTTCTCTATGTTCTTTAAACAACTATATATTCTCTAACTGCTGCATAAAGGATTCTATGTACATCTATCAGAACATGTCAGAACATGCTGATTGTGTTATTCAAATCTCCCATGTCTCTACTAATTTTTGTCTGCCAATTTATCAATATACTAGAGAGCTATGACTTTTAAAATATTCAGCTATCATGGTGAATTTCGCAATTGCTCCTTTTTTTTTTTTTTGAGATGGAGTTTCGCTCTTGTTGCCGAGGCTGGAGTGCAATGGCGCATGCAATCTCAGCTCACCGCAACCTCCGCCTCCTGGGTTCAAGTGATTCTCCTGCCTCAGCCTCCTGAGTAGCTGAGATTACAGACATGAGCCACCATGCCCAGCTAATTTTGTATTTTTAGTAGAGATGGGGTTTCTCCATGTTGGTCAGGCTGGTCTCGAACTCCCGACCTCAGGTGATCCGCCCACCTTGGCCTCTCAAAGTTCTGGGATTACAGGCGTGAGCCACCGCACCCAGCTTGCAATTGCTTCTTATAGTTTTGTTTCATGTATCTGAAGTGGTTACATCAAGGTAAAGAATTGCTATATCTTCCTGGTGAACTGTTACTTTTATGATTATATAGTAACTACATTTTTAAAATCTTAAAGTCTTATTTTTTATAGTGATACAATATACTAAAATATAATTTGCCACTTTACCATGTTTAAGTGTGCAGTTCAGTGACATTACTACTCACAGGCATATTGTTGTGCAGCCGTCACACTATCCACTTCCAGAATGTTTTCTCATCTCAAACTAAAACTCTATACCCATTAAACACGAACTCCCCATTATACTCTCCTCCCAGCCCCTAGTAATCACTATTCTATGTGTCTTAAAATAATTTTTTTTGGGTAAAGATAGTCTCACTATGTTGCCCAGGCTGTCCTCAAATTCCTGGCCTCAGGTGCTGGGATCCTTCTGCCTTGGCCTCCCAAAATGCTGGGATTACTGGTGTGAGCCACCACACTTGGCCCTCTATATATCTTGAAGTAAATTTCGTCTCATATTAGTATAGCAATACTATCTGATTTGTTATCTTTTTCCATTTTTTTAGTCTTAGCCATTCTGTGTCATTATGACTTATAACAGCACATAACTAAAAGTTTTTATCCCGTCTGACAATTCCTATCTTTTAACTGGTGAGTTTAGTTCATTTACACTTGTTGAGTTTACTGACAAATTTTGTTTTATATATACCATCTTATTTTGTGCTAATATTTTCCATGCATCTCTCTTCCTGCTTTCTACTGAAATGAAAGTTTTTAAAACTCATTTTCTCCTTTATTGACTTGAAAGTTATATATATTCTATTTCTATTTCTTTCATGATTTGCCTTAATTTTAAATTAAAAATAATCATAATGGCTTAATCAATATTTCTACTCCCCTTATAATATAATTCAAGAGCCTTGGAATACTTTAACTCTGGTTATATATCTCTTATATATGTCATTGTTGTTTAGTATTATAAGGTCATCTTATTTTCGTGTTCGCAAATTAACCACTGTTATTATTGTTTGTACAGTCAATGCTTGTTTAGATATACTCACATGTTTTCCAATTTCTTTACTCACCGTAAGTATTTTCCAAGCTCCTATTTTTATCTCATTTCTTTCTTATGGGTGGAAATTTTCATCAGCAAATTTCCTGAAGAAAATTCCTTCAGTGAAAGGTTTATTTGTGATAACAAATCTGTCTCGTTTGTCTGGAAATTTATTTATTTTATTTCTACTCTTGCATAATAGTATAGCTGAGTGAAGAATTCTTGATGGGTTTTTCACTCTGCACTTTGAATATATTATTCATTGTCCCCTGTTCTGTATTGTTGATTTTGGAAAGTCTATTGTGAATGTAATTGTTGTTATATTGAATGTATTTTTCTCTCTGACCTTAGAATTCTTTCATTCATGGCAATATATATGGGTATAAATTTAGTTTAATTGATCCTGCTGAGGACTTGTATTATCTAAATCTGAGGATTCATGTCTTCTATTAATTCTGGTAAATTCTCACCCATAATCTCTTTGAATGTTGCCTCCCCCAGTTTTCCTTGTTTTCTCCCCCAAGAACTTGTAATATGTCTATGTTGTACCTTTTTATTCTCCAGTGTTTTTTTTTTTAGCCTCTAATATTTCCTACCTTTTTATCTGCTTGTGCAATCTACTGGAAAATTTCATCATAACTCTCCTCCAACCATAATTCTCTTGTTACCTATGCCTAGATCTCTTTTTAGTCATCCATTTAGTGGTTTTTTGTTGTCGTTGTTGTTGTTTTTGAGACAGAGTCTCGCTCTGTTACCCAGTTTGTAGTACAGTGGCGTGATCTCAGCTCACTGCAACCACTGCCTCCTCTGTTCAAGCAATTCTTGTGCCTCAGCCTCCCCAGTAGCTGGGGCTATAGGCGTGCACCACCATGCCTGGCTAATTTTTTGTATTTTTAGTAGAGATGGGGGTTTTGCCATGTTGGCCAGGCTGGTCTCGAACTCCTGGTCTCAAGTGATCTGCCTGCCTTGGACTCTATTTAGTTTCTTTTTAAACTTAAAAAAAGTTTGAAGTATAACACACATATATAAAAGCACATAAAACATAAATGTATTATTGAAATAATTACTGTAGCTGAGTTACCGATCAAGAAATAAAATGTTGCCAGACTCCAAGTGCCTTCCACGCACCCCTTACTGATCACAGCTCTCTTCCTTTTCACTAAAGGTAACCATAACCCTGACATTTATGGGAATCATGTCTTTGCTTTAAAAAAAAAAAAGTTCTACCACATTCCTAACAATTAATACGCATTCTTAAACAATATAGTTTATTTTCTTCTTTTCTGAACTTTTTTAGTTTTTTGAGACAGGGTATCGCTCTGTTGCCCAGGCTGGAGTGCAGTGGTGCAGTCATGACTCACTGCAGCCTCGTCCTCCTGGGCTCAAGCAATCCTCCCACCTCAGCCTCCCAAGTAGCTGGGATTACAGGCATACTCCACAACTCCTAGCTAATTTTTGTGTTTTTTGTAGAGACAAGGTTTTGCCATGTTGCCCAGGCTGGTCCTGAACTCCTGAGCTTAAGCAATCTGTCTGCTTCTACCTCCCAAAGTGCTGGGATTATAGGTATGAGCCACTGCATCCAGCCTTCTTTTCTGGACTTTTAAAAATAATAAAAACTGTATGTAAGTTTTTGTGTCTTGATATTTTGACCAATATTATATATTAATTATTCACCTCTGTTGTTGTGTTTGGCAGATGCTCATTCATTTTTGTGTGTTTACAAAATAATTTACTGTCTAATATACTAAATATTTAGCTGTTTTACTGCTATAAACATTTTTTGTTTCCAGTTTGGAGCTGTTATGAACAATGCTGCTATGAACATTATGGTATCTGCTTAGTCCATTTTGTGCTGCTATAACGGAATCCGTGAGACTGGGTAGTTATAAATAACAGAGATTTATTTCTTATAATTCTAGAGGCTGGGAAGTCCAAGGTCAAGGGGCCCACATCTAGGGAGGGCTCTCTTGCTGAGTTATCACATGGCAGAAGGTGGAAGGGCAAGAAAGCAGGGGTACTGAACTCATCCCTTTATCAGAAACTGGCTCCTGAGATAACTAACCCACTCCCACAATAACATCATTAATCCACTCATGAGGGCAGAGCCCTCATGACCTAATCATCTCTTAAATGTCCCACCCCTCAACACTGTTGCATTGTTCAACACATGAACTCTGGATGACACATTCACACCATAGCAATACCTGTATACTAGTGCATACAGGTGTGCATTTTTATAGTTTAAATACTTAGAAATACAATTGTTGGGTCCCAAGGTATGCATGCCTTCAATCTTATCAGATAATGCCAGACTGTTTTTCAAAGTTGTACTAAATTACACTCCTGTCAACAGTATATGAGCAACCCCATTCCTCAACAATCTTATCAATGCTTGGTGTTATTATTTATCTGATCTTTTAATTTGACCCAGTCTGGTGGGTACATAACAGTATCTTTGATAGATACTTTCTATCATAGAAATACTTTCTAATGAGTAATTTCATAAACTGACAATTAAGTGATACACTTCTATCCACTTGATTTTTATTCTTAGCGACTCTCCTAGATATGGTCTATTGGCATTCAACATCCTTCTCATTCTCTTCTATTTACCTTTTCATATAAGAGGATCTAGAAAGCAAAACCAGCAAATACCTACCCACGTTTCCCAGGTTTGGGATACAAATTAGTTTCCACCAGAAAGATGTACTCATGAAGAATTTAGAGTGCAGAAGCAAGGTGGGGGCCACCTTTCTGAGGCATCACTTTTAGTGCTGCATCTATCTTTGCTAATGTGAAAGGCAGGTGTAATAATGACAATAAGTTGACCTGGACTTGCACTCCCCCAGCCCATTCGATGATTTGTAAGCACCTAATTCCCCACTGTTTAAAATACGTAGAGAAATTTCTTTTCAATCTGGACTCTGGCTGATACAATGACAATTGTACTTCACATAATTTAAGATACTCTCAAAGGTAAGAAGCACCATTATTTCACTGACACTAAGAAAGCCATTGTTGCAGTTAAACTATGACAAGTGCTTTCTTGACACTTAGAATTTTCCTCTAACTATTTAAAGAGTTATTTTATTTTATTTTATTTTATTTTATTTGGAGACACATTTTGCTCGGCCACCCCGACTGGAGTGTAGTGGCACAATCATAGCTTACTGTAGGCTTGAACTCCTGGGCTCCAGCAATCCTTCCATGTCAGCCTCCCAAAGTGCTGGGATTACAGGTATGAGCCACTGTGCCCAGCCTAAAGAGTCATTTTAGACTTTAGACATTGGTGTTATAATTTATAATTTATAATTTATAATCTCTCCCTTTACCAGTGGACAGATATTTTTCCTACCCTTTATTTGGGCTGAACTTTGATTCTTATTTCTACATGACCATTAAAACCCTTTGGTTACTGAGATCAGCAACTACCTCTAAACACACTCCAGGAAGCTCCAGGATCAGCTCCCACATTTGCCATCCAGGTTTTTAGTTCTCTTCTTATTTTTGGTTCCTTGGAGGATTTTTCTTTTTTTTTCCTATCAAGCTCAGCTGTGCATTTAAAAGAAAATTTTGTATTTTGGCCACTGTTTCTAGGTGCTTTATAGTAAAATATTCTAGTTTGTTATAACACTAGAAACACAAGTCCATCTCATTACTATGGACTATAACATTTCCATTTAACAAATGAGAAAATTAAGTCTCATAGAAGTTAAATAATTTCTCCAAATTCACACAGATAAAAAGTTGTGGGACCAAGATTCAAACTGAGATTTTTTTGTGTCTAAAACTCATTCTCTTAGCATTGAACCACACCTAGGAAGACTTGCTTTAAATTTTCTGATACTACAGTGATCATTTGCATACTTCCAGCTGATTGAATGATTACATTCCTATCTATTATAACAGACTTGAGTTAATTTGTACTTTACCAAAATGCCACAATGAAACTGATGAATTTCTGACTGTGATATTTTTAAAATAGACTTCTGGGCTTGGAAGCCACTTTAAAGGGGCATCTTGCCATCCGCTTGCTTCAGACAGAGCCAACCTCCAGCCATTATTCACAGTCTCTGATAGATGATCATTTCCCTGGGATCTCAGGTACAATAGAAGACAAAGTATAAATTTTTAAAATCAAACTCTTGGCCTTAGTGAGTCTCACTGGCAGGGTTTTTCCTCCTTAATTCTGAACTAATTCTCTCCTGCACCTCCAGCCACTCTGTCCATGGGAGAGGGACAAAAGAGCTTTCCTTGCCCTCTTTACATAGCATATCTGCCCCTCCCCATTACTGAGTAACCACATACCCCTACGGGATTACTCAAATCCTTTCAGCTTTCTCTTCTTTCCTCCTTTTTGGTCATGAATTTTGTCCTTGGCTGTAACTCCTGGTGACTGATCTCCCATTAATGATGCTGACATACAGGACCCAGATAAAGTGCTATATAAATGCTAAGTAATCACAGCCAGGCTTGACTTTGTGATACAGGTTATCTCAGGCTGCTGTGATATGAGATCAGCCCCCTGTTGACATTCAAGGTGAAGTTTACCAGCTGCAAACCTTTTTTTTTTTTTTTTGCCGTGGAATATTGTGACAAGTGCTAATTCTCTACCACGGGCCTTGAAAAGAAAGCATGCAGGCCTGTCGGAGGGTGGGAGGCAAGGGGAGGGAGAGCATTAGGACAAATACTTAAGATATGTGAGGCTTGAAACCGAGATGATGGGATGATAGGTGCAGCAAACCGCAAACCACCATGGCACAGGTATACCTGTGTAACAAACCTGCATGTTCTGCACATGTATCCCAAGACTTAAAGTAAAATAAAATAAAATAACAAAAAAAGAAAAGAAAGCATGCTATTATTGATGGTCTGTCTGTTATTCAATATACATATACATGGAGAATATTAAGGTATATTGGTATATACTATAGACTTTCAGAATGTGGCCACTCCAGGAGACCTAAGCAAATTCTCTTGCTGGGTATTGGTGGTGGGGGTGAGAGAGATCCAGAGAGAAAAGGGCCCAAGCATCTCTTATAGTGGAAGTGGGTGCACCCATAACTGACAAAGAGTGGATCTGCTTAAAATGTAAAAAAAAAAAAAAAAATGTTTTGACTACCCAATGTCAAATGGCCAACGTACTTAATTTTTTTTCACTGACTTAACTAAATCATCTTATTGTTGTGACATTGTGTCATAATCAAAGCACTGATTTCCAAGATTTGTGTGAAACAGGTGACTACAGACCTGTTCATTCTCAGGTTTTGAAAGATAAACTTTTCTGTCATTAACTCCTTAGTCCTTACAATGTCAAAAATCATATTTGGAGTTTTGTCATTAGAAAACAGAACTGAAACATTGTTTGGACATTTTGTAGACAATTGTGGTCATCCTCTAATTTTCTGGGCACTTGGATAATATGTGTGAAAGAGAGAGACAGAGAGAGATCTTACATATGTGTGTGTGTGTGTGTGTGTGTGTGTGTGTGTGTGTGTGTGTGTATGTATATATATCCTAAGACTATAGCTAGAAGAAACTTTAGATTTTATAGACAACTTTCACACTTAATAGAGGAAGAATCAGAGTCAGACAGATGACTTACTGAAGAATATTTTACCATTAGGAGACAGATGTGGACTAATAATCCTTTTGACTCCAGTGGGATTCAGTGCACTTTCCTAGACAGTACACATACTAGTAGGGGCTAGAGACTGGGACAAATAGTCCCAGTTAATAGTTCTTTCAGAAAACGAGGCATTATGTTGCTTGAAGGAGTTGGTAAGCTGGCATTCTTTCTTATAGACAAAAGAATAGATAAGATGATTTAAATGCCATTTCAAATCTACTTTTCTCTTAGTCTTTCCTACAGCATACCTATGAAATGGATGGCAGTTATTCAATAGAATTTGTGTCTTTTCCATATTTAAAATATGTCTTTGTACATGTGCACGTCTAATATTCAAATGAATGTTATTCAACATCTGCGTGTGTGTATGTGTATATGGAGTAGAAGGCTTTGTATTATGTTTTCCTCCATGGGTGTATATTACTCAGACCCTCTCATGAGTCTGCCTACTAATTTAATGTATTAGTTTATTGTTACATCATTTCTATACTTTTCTAAAGCGCTTCAGATGCAGCCCAATCAGAACATAAAAACACATGTGCAAGCAGCCTTACACACACACACACTTGCACACAAGGAGACATATATAGACATGTGCTGCCACACATTCCCTAGATCTTCCTTGCATACCCCTGCTATAGCTGGGCAGACATTATTGTCACTTCAAGCTGGAACAAGTGAAGCAGCCTGCTTTTTCTGTTTATGCTGTACAGCTGATGACAGATAACTGCATCATGCTCATCTGCTTAGACTTTACCTCTTTTCTAAAGGGCGGCCAGAACAAAAGCTTCTTCCTATCAGCATTTTTGTAAGAAACACCTTTTCCCAGAAATCCCTATTTGGTTCATACTGTCCTGCCAGATTTACAGTTCCTCGGTTTCCCAGCCTCTTCTCCCTGACTCCCTAATGTAGAATTTCTGCTCAGCCAGACGAGTGCCTTCTCTCCAGCAGCACATACCTTGTCCTCTCCAGGCTCTAAACTGCACAAGCCATTGCCCAAGTTGGGACACAAGTCTTTTCCTACTTCTCCCTTGGGGCCCTTTTCTGCTCTCCTCCCCAAGTGTCTCTCCCCTCTGAAGGAATGACTGTCTTGTCTGATTCATCTCGCTTCTGCTGCAGCTCCCGCTCCTCCTCCTCCCTGCATTGTGGTCCCTCATTTCTCTTGTCACTCAATCTTCTCACCTTTCTTTCTGCCTGGGTCCTGAGTATATGCTCCATCTCCCTGCACAGATAGGGTGTGGCTCCCCACATTCAGCAACTGGCTTTGTCTCTTGTTTCCTGGTGCTCCCCTCCCACAGCCCAGGCAATGCCTTGTTCCTGACAGAGTGTTGACTGACAGACTGGCTGGAGTTGAAGCTCAGCCTTAATACTTCTTCCATCTCTTTTCTTGATTAATTTGATGTGTTTGGCATCACCTCTGCTGCTGGAGGGGTATTTTCTAGGAGGCAGAAGAGTGTCGGAGGCCTTGCTCCTTTTCCTTCCCTTCCCAGATAGACTAGTATTTCAACCTGACAGCTCCCAGCTGGTCCTCTGGCTATGGAGCATTGAGTGTTTATTTTCCTGATGTTTTTATTCCAAAGTCTTTGCCAGGGTCATGTTGTTGAAATCCACCAAGTGACAGCAGCCCCTGACCCTGCTACTGAATCCGAACACATTTTACAGGTACAGCTGTTGTCAGAAAATTACAGAAGCCAAAGGCAAAAAAAAGAGGCCTTGAGAGGTCATCTTGGATATGCCCCTGTTTCCAGTCTAGTTTCTGCTCAGGTAAATTAGAAAAGACTAGTTTCAAAGTGCTACACAAGGGAAATGGATGTCTCACTCTTAAATCCCACTCCATTATCTAGCTATTCCCACCATCAGAGTGTTTCATTATAGGGACCCACAACCTCACCTTTGAATGCCAGGCCCTTTCCACTTCTGTTGTTGCCAGAAAGTTGATGATGATGAATATAACCCACTATATACTTGAAAAAGAAAATTAGATTAGAAATAATCCAGAGAAAGCGGTCATCCATGACCAAGTGGTCATCCATGATGGATAATTCAATCTTCAACACAATCTACATTCTTTCCAAAGACCAGAGTAATTTCCAGACTGACTTAACTGTTAACCATGAACATCCAAAATCCTCCCTGGCTCACAGTGGTAAGTAGGTTTCCAAGTCTGGATTAGTCTTACCCTTAGATTTAAATGTTTTTTATTTGCCCACATCCCACTCTATGGCTCTTCCCCCAGCCCAGGCTGAGAGAGTGCTGGTGCCACTCAATGGTGTCCACACATAATAAGGGTCTGTGTAATGCCAAGCAACCGGCTGTAAGCAAGAGAAAAATGTTATCTGGCTAATCCATCCACTTGTTAACATATATTTGGATATTTGGAAATAATCCAATGAAGGACTGAAGTTTTCCTTTGTCAGCATGTAGGCAGTCCTAAAATATCATAGTCAAGCAATGTCCATAGACAAAGTTAACTGCATCATTAACACTTCTTTTTTTCACTTGGCATGCTATATCTGACAGGCTTTCTCCCCACCTGGTGACCCAACGCTGGTCTGAGTGGCTTGGCATTCATTATAAAGAGAGATGCCAATGTCTCAAAAGTGCCAGAGAGGCTGGCAGACTGCCTAACTATAAGGCAGCTGCTGTGATTTCCATAAGAGAATAAGCAGAATGCAAAACAAAACTGCAAGAAGGAGGCTGCCCAGTTCTTGTTGTTGGCAGGGGCCAAAAAAGCAGGAACTCATTTCCTCATCTCCTGTGACTGGGTCTGGCCTACATATCCAGGGACTAGGAGGGAGAAATTTGGGTGAACCAATGCAAAAGAATGTATTCTCATCACCTCTGGAAAAAAATGCTTTTGTGCCAGCTGTTTTTCCAAGGGACCAACTGGAGCTATTACCATACAATCTAGTGAAATGAATGGTGGTTCTTTCCTTAGATCTGGAAATATATCAAACTGAACAATTCAGGAAATCTACGGTTTTGGTAGTGAGTTGCCAAAACTCTGCTTTATTTGGTGCTATGCAGTTTCAACTATAGTAGCCCTGATCTAGTTGGCTTATCTCTACAATTCAAACCATTAGAAAACTGTTTGAGCCAATCCTTCACTCTCTTCATCCCTTGAAACCCTAGTGAGCCTGAAACAACAGATAAGGGTCGGGCGGGGGGTGCGGGGGAAGAAGAGAAACACAAGGTTAAAAAATTACCCCTCGTTCCTTCTACACACATCTAGGCTAAAGCAAACTTGAGTGAGGGAAGGAAGAAAATATCACATTAAACCGAGCTCAGAGTCTTGAAGCTACATTGCACTGGACATTCTCCCTAAGATTTGAAATTGTGTATATGACTTGAAGTTGTTACAGGATTGTCTATTACCTAAGAGCAGGCAGAAGAGTCTGGGGCCCCCTGGAGTTTTAATCCAAGAGCCAAGAAGTGTTAGCTAACATCCATTGACATTGATAAAGGGTGACAGAACACAAAAATGAAATTGTATTTCGCCTTTTAAAGAGTAAAGGATGGACTGGGATATGATTGTAAATAAACCCCAAAACATATAGTCACTTAAATACAATAGAAACTTATTCCTTCCTCAGGTAAAGTCCTAGGCAGATGATTCTTGCCAGTGGGTGGCTGCCCTCTCCATGTGGTTCAGGGATCCAGGCTCTTCCTATCGCGTGTCTGAACTATTCCCTAGGGTGCCATGGTGGACATCCTCACAGAGGAAGAAGACAGAGAGCACGGAGGAGAATGGGAACACACCCACTTGTTAAAAGCTTTGGCCAGGAAACGGCACATGCATTCCATTAATTAGAACTAAGTCACACATCCATATGAAACTGCAAAAAATGCTGGGGGTGTAGTCCAGCTGCAGGCCCAGGATTTGGAGGGAGCAGTTGCTATATCTTTATAATGGTTGAAATTTTACTGGCTTCTGTGTCCAGTGGCAAATTTGGATATAGAAGATCCTCATGGGGTACCAGACGTTCAACCATCATAGGCAGCAATCTTATGAGAGTATTTCTTTCTCCAAAAGGAAGGTCATCACTCCCCAAAGGGACTTTTCTCTGAATGGTGCAGGTTGATGGATGGCGGGGAGAAAAAAAGGGACTGGGAGAGAAAAGGATTTCTGTGAAAGAGCAGAGCAAAGGTAGCCATGCTCAGCTGCCTCTTGAAGATAAGGAAGGCTCCTGTAGCTTGACTACTGAGACCTACTCGCAGGAGATTTGTTCCTTCCCCCAATGGAACTTCTCATCCCTTGTGTAATGAATATGCACCTGAAACTCCTAGGTCTCAGAGAGCCTGAAAGTGAACACGACCCTAAAATATCCGAGCTACTGAAAACAATCTGGTAAAATGTGCCACTGGACACAGAAGCCAGTAAAATCCATGAAGGCAGAAGAATTGCCTGGCCCTTCAACCCCAAATAAAATAAACATATTTCACATCTTATTAATTCCAAAACTGGATTCAATTTTTTAAAGTGCCGCATTCTGGTGAGATCAGAAGACACATCTGGCAAGAATGAGGTCATTACAAGAAGAGTTTGACTATTTCTAATAATCATTAAAAAACACCCGCCGCCCTTGGATTCTCACTCGGGGTGGGGAGCGAAGAGCTTTGCAGGACCCATCAAGGAAAGCAAAGATTCTGGCAACACAATTCCCCCTGTTAACTATATTCCCGGCCTCTAGGTCGCTATTTAAACTAAAAGGGCGTCTCCATTCTCCCCCAGAGGTACCGTTCTACAGCCACACTCACTACTTTATCCATGTCTGTGTGCAGTGAGCATTTTTCTGTTCTTCTAGTTTCACTGGAGTTTTATTTTATGCACCCTTCCCCTGCCCCATTTCTTGAGACCAGCTGGACCGCATGCTGGAAAAACAAAACAGGAGAGAGGGGAAGGTCCCTCAGATTCCAAAGCAGAACACAACCAAGGCTTCCTAAGTAAATGAAAAGGACTTGGAGAAGACATAACACTTCAGTGTAGACACTTAAGTTGAAATTTCTGCCCTGTCGTTCCAATGCCATGATGGAGAAGGACCCCTAAAATCGCCTTTGGCGTGTGCAGCTCGAGCGTTACAACGATGCAAAGTGCGGTCTTTGGAGGATGCGGGAGTCGGTAACCCCTCAATTCACTCTCGCCGTTCCTTCTCTCCAGTCTGCGCGAAAGCCAGGTCCGAGGGCTTCGAAGATCTGGGGGACCCGAGCTGCGCACAGTGGCGGGAAACGAGCGGGCTCAGCTGGCCGGGCCGCGTCCCCTAGCCACCGCCCGCCCGCCCGCTGCTTTGGCCTCCGGAGAAGCCTGGAGAGGGGCCTGCGCCTCTTGAAAAATGGCTTTTGGGGGCGGTAGGTCTCGGGAGGGCGACTGGGGAAAGTGACTTGCCGCGGCTTCGAGTAGAGACGTTGGTGCGGGACCCAACTCCTGGGGAAGGCGGGGAGCGCTGGGCGGATGCCTGGCCCTAGTGCGGCGCCAACACATACAAGTTCCGCTGTGAATGTTTGAAAGTGTAAGTTTCTCTCGGATTGATTTTTTTTTCCTTTAAATGTATCCCCTTCAAAAAAAAAAAAAAACAAACAAACAAAAAAAAAAAAAACAAAGACGTGGACAGGCAGGCGCCACCCGGTCTGGGAGCTGAGGTTCGTGACTGCTGCCGATTTCGTTTGGTTCAAGTTGAGAAAATAAGGGTCTCCCCGTCCCAGGCTGGGAGCGTGGGGACTTCCGTCTCTGGACTGTGCAAACCGTCTGGGGCTGCCTCCCAGACTGGCATGCTCTCCCCGCCCCCTGAAACCTAGGGAAGGTTTCCTGGAGGCACTGGACTCCAGATCCCTGCAGGGCGGGACGGAGAAAAAGCCCTGAATACCACTGCCCACACCCCTCCAAGTCGGGAGCCCCCACGCGCCAGTCGAGCCTACGCAGCTGTGGGGTGGGAAGGAGAAGACAAGTCCTCCGCCAAGAACTCCCCCACGCAGCTCCTGCCATTCCCTCCGCCTGATTTCTGCTGGAGGAGGTCGTCAGTTTGCAGGGGCAGAATACGAAGCCTCCGGGGAATTAGACAAGACAATATTCCTGAGCTCTTTGAACGGCCCAGGTAGAGAAGAAAATTAAACAATGTAACTCATCTCTCTGCAAGTAAAGATCTAGAGCGAGATTAAGACCCTCATCCCCGGCTTTTCCTCTGAAGCTCCCCCAGAATAAGCCCGCAGGTTAGAGCTGGCTAGGTCAGGGAGTGCAAGAAGAGGTGCCTTTCGACATGGAGAAAGAGTACTCTCCCCCACAGATTTTGATACTTGATGCTGAAGCTACCAAGTAAAGGTTGAAGAAATGTTGGAGAGGGAGGTGCGGCGGGTGGGGATGTTCCTTACTGTCCTAGGTATTTGTAACCAAGGTAGATTTTGAAGTTATTACAAACATGTTCCCTGTTCAAATAGCATGGACCCCATTCTCCAGGCTCCACTGTGTGAGGCGGGTTTACAGCCTCAAGGTTCTCCCTGAGGTTGGGGATAGGGAATAACGCTAATCCTGCATTATAAAAAATAAAATAAAATAAAATAAAAATCCTGAAAGCTTAATTATCGAATAATTCAGATAAGTCCTCCTCCCGTCACTCACCTTTCGATTATTTGAATAATTCAGGAAAATGCAAATTCTGATTGTTTGTGGAGACTCATCATCGCTGGACAGTAAAAAGAGAGAGAAACAAGGAAAATCTAATAGAGAACAGCGCTCCAAGATGGTGAAATGGGTCTTCTGTGCATTTTTCCTTGTGTAGAAAGATAGAGTTGCCTTCCTGGGCATTATTTCCTGGAAGATATTGTATCTGTTGTGATAAAATGTAGAGTTAGATCAAGTCACCAAAATGCATATATGTGTGTGTGTATATATGTGTGTATATACATGAGAGAGAGAGAAGAGGGAACAAACATGGGTTTCTACTTGTGTCTATGAAAAATTTTATTTCTTGGCAGAAAGAATATTTGGGCTCCATTTTGTTTGTTTGTTCTTTGTTTTTTTCCAAGAAGATCATAGCTGGGTAGGACCAGTCTCCTCCACATAGTTTTTAAGCTGAATATGCACTTGCAAAGTGAAGTTGGGGCATCACCCACATAGCCTTCAGGTGGAAACTCGACTTGAAACTGCAAATTCAGATTTGTCTTCCAGGTGTACTGGCAGAGCATCTGAGATCCCCTGTTGGCTTCACAGCCTGAGGAGTGAGCCCAGAGAAGCCAGGAGACTGCAGTGGGTGTCTCCGGACCTTGCAAAGAACTCACTTTCCTAAAGGCTGAACTCAGAGCTAGACATCCTGAAGGATCAAGTCATCAAGGATCAAGGAGCAGTCATGTTTGACGGGGAGAGGGTTGGTTGGGCTTTCTTCTTCCCAGGATTAACCACATTTGGGAAACTTTTTTCAAGGGTGAGGGTGAGGCTAAACTTTGAAAGGTAGTGAATCCGCTTTTCTTATTGGTAATATTTGGAAGGAAAAATTCACCACTGTTTATGACCTTGCCCCTACTACTTAAAGTACAGAGCATTTTAAAGATAAGACTTAAAATAGGAAATTTGTAGACCCCAGTGCACCAAGTTTAGAAGTAGATTTGAAACATGACCAACTGTGAGTGCATGTTGTCATTGTAGGCTTCTGTATAAGACATAACCATGCCATTTCATATGTATTATATTCAGCAAATGACAACAAATACACAGCCACATCAAAATTAATAATAAGATTCCTGAGAGCTGAATAGTTTGCTTTCTTCCTTTGCCGTTATTCCAGCTAAGATTAACCAGCTTTTCAGAAGTCTATTATCATGGTTTCTTTCCCTTTGGTTCCCAGCCCTTGCCCACCACCTCCTACTTCCCCACATTTCTTTTTGAGCCCGAGATTCACTCAACCTTCTTTGACAAATCTTTATAGGTGTATGATTATCTTTGTCACACTTTCCTACCCCAAAACTGGGCATAAACCACAGAAAATAGTCTTTTTATTCCTTTGTTTCCCCATTTGGGAGGACCCCTTTCCACAGGGACCTGTGAGGGGAGAAGAAAGGGAAGGCTGATTCTTGGTTCACACAAGCATGCTCATGAATGCCCAGGCCCTAGGGTGAGTCCGCTGTCTACCCACACACTCAGAGCTCTCCAGGAACTTACTTGAGTCTCTCCTACCCCCACAAATAAATGTACCCACCTGTGTGCTCAGCAATAGGTGCACATAACGTGCACACAGGGCATCAGTCAGGATTGCGTGTGTGACTATGCCTGCCCCACTGGACCTGCTCTGGCGCCAGGTAGTGTCGCGGGCGCTTCCTAGTGCGGGCACTCATCCTGCCGCTCTCCGGTCGGCCATTTATTGTCTTGTGGGGAAGGGCTTTCGCCAAGAAACTTGGTCTGGGTTAGTGAAATAAAATACTAAACAATTACTATATGTAAAATTTTAAAACCAGCATATTAAAATAAACTAAGGAACTCTCTGTCGTGGGAGAAATCCACAGGAAAAGGAAGAGAAGGAGTTAGATGCTGGCGCCGAGTTCCTGGCGGAGCCAGGCGGCGGTGACTCCTCAGGCTGAGCGGAATCGCCATCCAGGCGCCGGAAACGACCCGAATCCCAAAATCCGTGGAAGAAAATTGCGCTGAAAGAACAGAGCCAACGCCCCCGTCCTGCCAAGTTTGGCGAGACGGCAAGTTGGCTTCAGGAGCACAATGCCGCTAAATGATGCCTAAGAGAAAAATTCTCCCAGAGAATTGTCTGGGAGCAACAGCAAAGACATGGTGTTTTTATTCTCTTAGACATGGTGTTTTTATTATCTATTAAAAATACAACTCTAAAAAGCATCTCTGCACTTACATATACCTACATACCATTTCCGTTTAATGGCTGACTGCATTAGAAAACAACATGAATGGAAATGCATTAACAAAGCATCTGTACTAATACACATCTTTACCCACAGAACTATACGTTGGTCAAGCCTCCCCCCATCTCAGCATGAGCATAAACACAATTAAAGCCTTTAAGCTTTTTCATTAAACATAACTATGTTGTCATATTCAAAGAATATATTATTTTTTAAAAATTGTAAGATTGTTATATGGATAATAAGGTAATCCTAATTATATGGATATGGGTATCTGAGGACACATTTCTTATGTTAATATTTATCTGAAGTTCCTATAACACCAAACAAAACATGTATTACATACTTTCTTGTCTAGAAATAAGTCTATAATAGATAAGAGGAATAAATCTGTATTTCTTCTTTGGAGGGAAATTCATTAATAAGCCAAGCACTGAAAAGAGAGCTACAAGTGCTTTAAATCACAAATACAGGCTATAGCAGACTATTCTCCCAAGGCCTTGGAGTAGGAGAAGAATTGCACAAGGTCCCCTCTTTTTGGGCTTTAAGAAATGCAGCTCTGCAAACTTGAGGATGTTCTTCTTTCCCAGCTATTTGCTTATAGTGGTTAAGCCTAAGGAGAGATGACTGCCTTTGAATAGAGCAGTTGGGTCTTTCCCAAGCTCACAGTCTAACAATGTTTTCTTCCTTTTCAGGTCCACCTCACCAGCCTGCCCCAACCAGCACCCCTGTTACAACACCCACAAATGTCTCCATACTACACAAGCACAATGCATACTTGTTTTAACACATGTTCCACAGCATGTGCACTGTCCAAAAACCAGGACTTAGCAATCATGTTCCGCGGAAATGCTAAAGACTATCAAATTTGAGGTGTCTGGGGTGGTCTCTTTGCCTTGAAAGATATTTCCTCTGATCTGAGTTAAATTTTTTTCTGACTATGCAGGTGATACATAATTCCAATATTTTGGAAAAGGAAAAATGAATGCCCCCATTCTCCTTTCTAGTTCCTTAGACTTCATCAGCTTTGCTGCATGTACAAGGCAACACGACGGCTAAGATTTAAAAAGTGCCTCTAAATACTCCCTGAAGGGGGGAAATTTGGATGAGAGGGAGGAGGCAGTGAGGGAGGGAAAGTTTAACACTCCCCAACCCCAAGGATATCAGAGTGATAGTTTCCCTCCAGTCACCAAAACTGTACCAAATTATATATGTTTAGGATGATTTAATTAATTACTACCAGCAAGAATCTTGTCCCAGATACCCAAATATACAAGCTCCCTTCTACCTTTTTGTTCCATAGATCCCAGTCAAGGTTAGTCATTTTAGCAAAAAGGTGTTTCTTTCCCCCTTTAGTTGAGCCTTGGGTCTCTCTTCCCTCTCTTTTGGAAGTGGAGGGGTTAAATTTTCTTTCTTTTGATGAGGCATCTTTTGAAAATCCTTTAATTTCTTGTGTTCTGCTCAGTGATTTTCATATTAGAATGTGCTTTGGCTGCAACTGCTGAGGTGTCTGGTCATGGAGAGAGCTAGGCTGTGATCCATCTAGGATATAATTTTTCCTCTTTCCTGTGATGAAATATATATATATATTCCTTCCATTATCTCCCTTTTAGGACCCCACCAAATTCCAGTTCCCACACCATGGTGGGACTAAGGAGGCCCCTCACCTCATAAGAGGTGAAATGCTCGGCCCTTCAGCTATGCCTTTTGTATTTGGTCATTCTTTGGGACAGGTTAACCAGTGCACTTTGACCCAGAAGAATGCCGTATTGAGGCCCATCCCCTCCCTGCCCTAAGAAAAATGTTATTTTCCATATCTGTTTTTAAAGTAACTGGAAATCTTTTAAAAGAAGGAAAAAAAGATTGGCTGGTCTGCCTCCCTTCTAGGAGCCTCAAGCCTAAACTTTAAAAGGTGAAGGTAATGATCGAAAGTGATAAATACCTTTTCCAGGCATTCGGTTTGTTGGCTTTCTGACCAAAAGGGGCTTTTGTTAGGTCTGTACGAGGAAGCCAAATTCAGCCCCCAGCAAATACTCCTCCACCTCTTCCCCATCCCCCCTCAGCTCTCTTGTCTAATTTGAAAATGAACTTGGACTTCCCTCTCAGACAGGCCCTAAAACCGAGAGAGATTTTACTTGTCTGTTTCTGAAGGGCTTCCTAAAAGGGGAAGGGTGTTTAGTGGGAAGGGAAGGGGACAGGAGGCCTTTTCCCCCAGTAGAGGACAGGGTGGGGGTAGGGGATGTAGTGAAGCCAGAAGGCGGGAGGAGATACTTTGTTAATTTCTTAACTCTGTGTTTATTCCCTGAACTTCTTTTGTCAATGAAAGGTAAGAGTAGGGAGGGGGCCAAGTGACAGACTGAGATATTGCCCAAAAAGAAAAGGGGGTGGATGGGGTAAGGGCTAGAAAAGGGCTGAGGAAGGAGGGGATGAGGAAGGTTGGGGAAGGGGCTCTGTGATGAGCTTGGCAGGGCTAGGAGCGCGGGGAAGCTGTGAAAGAAAGAGGACTGGGGTTAGGGACTCCAGAAGCCTCCAGAGGAGGCATTCTGACAGTTCTCCATGGAAGGGGCCACTTGACGTCCCCCGACCAAACCCAGTACACCACCAAGCAGAGTCTGCAGCTGGGGGCATCCTGGAGGAGAAACCAGGAGAAGATTTGTGATAGCCTAAACTTGGACCCCCTGTATGGATCCCTGCAGAGCCAGAGAGGAAAAGGTCTTCCGGGTGACCCCAAACCTTAGCCAGCACTGCAAGTCCTAACTAGGCAGCAGAGAGGAATGGATTTCCCTGATATCTATCACAGGAAAATAAGTGGGGCCTGGAGGTAGGCAAGTTTGGGTTTAAGAGCGGAAAACTCTGAAACAAGGAGCAAAGTGATGCTTCAGCTACCCTGGTCCCATCTTCCCTCAAGCTGGGGGCCTAGGGAGGGAGAACACTAAAGGTGGAAGATGCCAGGATGGCAGCTGCTGTCCAGGAGGTGAGTTCCCAAGCTAGTAGAAGAGGCCTAGTTGCCATTTTCAGAGGCTGGGCTGTGGGAGTAGAGAGATCAAAGTAGAGCAGGTTCCAGAGGGATCCAGGAGCCTGGGAGGAGGCATCCATGTCTGCAGGGTCCATGGCTGCAGGGACGAAGGGACCTCCTGGAGCCCAGAGAAGTGGAGGGAACGGAAAAAGGAGGGGAGGGTATTGGGCAGGTCCAGGGAGCTGCAGGATCAGCCAGTTTTCTTTCCTTCTCTACCAATATCACCCTCTGCAGCCCATCAGGAATTTTCTCCAAGCATGTGGGAGGGTCTTCCCACACTGACACACCCTCAAGGGTATACCCCCTCATATGCCCTTTCTGAACCCCCAATCCCTTCCTATAAGTGGCCTCTCTCAAACATCCCTTTCTTGGCTAGCTCAGGCCCTGTCTTCCTCTATCCTCCACAAATCTCCTCTTCCATCGGCAGCCTGAACCTTGGACAGGAAAGGGCCCCCAAACCCTTTGCCTGCCCTATAAGGCCCCAAGTCTGGGCCAGAATCCAGACCCCATGGTGGTGAGGCTCTTTGTTCTCCTACAGCCTCAACCCACCCCCACCTTTTTTAAAACTGGAATTTCTCCCATTAAAAGCGGGTTGGGGGAGCAGGAGCTTCAGCGCTTTAAGCTCCCCCCCGCCCCCCGCCCATATGGAGGAAACAGAGAAAAGGGCTGCAGGGAGAGAAATCATCTGACACCTAATTTTCAGAGGAGAAAATCTGGGCATTGAATAAGGGACACAGAAACGCCATTTCTTTCATCCTTTTCCCTAGCCTAGCATTGAAGCTACACCCAGCCCTCAAATGTGTGCATCAGGCTTGCACCCTCCGCTTGCAAATGTTGCTAAGTTACACCTCTGACTTCGTCTTAGATACAGTGGGGCATGAATTCCACCCCTCGACTTCAAAAAGACACAGACATCTGCTTCTTCATTTTTCTATATTTTCCTGGGGGATGTCTTTGTAAGTAGCGTAGGAAGAACATGTAAATTAAAAGTGTATACAGACAGACAAGCAGAGACCTTTATTTGCATACAGAGGATTTAGGCAGAGAGCTGGGTATCTTTAGGAACTCATTTGGGCTGTGTCCACAAGGCCGTGTGCTGAAACGGTGCAGGCAGCCTGCACCCATCCCTAAACTCACAGGCACGCAAGCGCACGCGCACACGCACATACACAGACGCTTCCCGTGAAAAAGCATATTAAATATCTCCTTTCTGTGTTGGATCATTTAAAAGAAAACATTTCAGAGTTGAACTTAGCCGAGAGCTTGGTTCATGAGCTGTAGCTGAGGGCAGAGTGGCTTCTGCCGCTCCGCGGTTGTAGAAGTCCCTTTGAAAAAGCAGCCGAGAGCAGAGCCGGGGCTTCCCGACGAGGCTGAGGAGCCGTTTTCCATTTTCCTTTCGTATAATTAAATGCTCCGTCTTTCTCCGCATACCAGCAGCTGGATTTTCTCTAAACTTCATCCACAGTCAAACCTCACTGCCTCATCCCCGAAGGCCGGCGGGGCGCGCCCGGGTGAGCACCGCAGCCGAGGGTTTCAGCGCCAGGCCCTGGAAAGGCTTTCTAGGGCGAGATCGCCTTGGAGATGTAATTACTACGTTTCTAGTGGTGCATATTCTCCTGGAGTGTTTAATTTGATTTTACTTGTGTCTCAGCGAGATCCACATTTTTTTTTCGGGGGAGGGGGAAGAAACCACCCCAGGCTTAAAGTTAATTAACCAGCAAGGCTTTACTTTCCACCGCCCTCCTGCAGGCTCTTGCCTCGGCGCCTCCCTTCCCGATCCCGGCTCGCCCCAGACTTGGAGACTGCGTTTGCAGGCGCGAAAGGTCTTGGGGAACCAAGCAAAAGAAGAGGGAATTGTTCAGAGCAAGCGGACTTCCCCAGCCGCCTTTAGCGCCCTTAGCCCAAACTTTCCCCTCCAGCCTTCCCACTCCTCCAAGTCGCTTTAGGGGCCTACAACTTCGGCTGGTCTTCTTGAGGAAGAGGACTATGGTTCCCTTTCTTTCTTCTCGCCACTAAATTTTGGCCGCATAGTGCTCCTAATAAATGGAATTGTAAAGTTGCCGGATTAATTAAATCTATATCTCATTGCAATAGGAATAGTTAATGCCCTCATATAAACCTGGAAAAGACCATACTATTAATTTTATTTATTGCTTGGCCGCCCTGCACCCAGATCCTTCACGCCGTTCTGGTTCCCACTCCCGCCATTCTGGTTCCTACTCCCAAAGGCTGGGGACGTGTCTTTGAGTCCTGGCCCGCGGAAAACGGGTCCGGCGTTGGGCCTGACCGGGGAGGGAGCCCCAAGAATGGGGTGGGCGTTTCAGGCCCTTTGTTTCTCCTGGCAGCCCTGCAGAACCCTGTCCACAGCGCCCCACTACTTCCACCTGGGAGCAGCACTTCACAGAAGGGGAGGCCAGGATCTGGGTTCCACTTCTACTACCCGCGGCTGGAAAAAGGCAGGCGTCTCCACCCACCCACCCCCACCAGCCAGGCCTTAGGCAAGGGGGCCAACGTCATACAACCCAGTCTAGACTTGGCCAGGCCCTGTTTGCTCTCCTCGTTTTACCTTGACCTTGGACTCCAGCAGCAGGATAAGCAGTTTCCTAGCAGAGCCGGCTCCCAGCAAGACCCTATCTTCCACTGGGCTCATCTCTCCCCGCCCCTCCCTCATTGCCCTCAATGCACACTCGAGCTGGTCTCCTTATGTCTTAACTCTCTTTCTGTTGTATTTTTCCTCCTAATGCCAGCCCAGCCCGCAGCCTGCTTTCTGAACTCTGAGCTGACCCTTCTGGATGAAGATCACGCAGATAAGAATTACTATCCTAACTCACCGATGTCCGGGTGCTCTCAACCGTCAAACACCACCTTCTCCCCACAAAGAGGAGGGAGGTGGCCCGAAGGGGTTTCTGCAGACCTGTCCATTTGCTCTCCACTTGAGGGGTGCAGTAGGTCTGGCTGAGCGAGGCGCTGCTCTGTGGCCATGGTCTGTGCGCTGGCTGCACACGAGCACTCAGCATTTAAAACCTGTGGCAGAGGGAGGAAAGAAGGAAACGCTGCAGCCCCTTTCCCCTCTTATTTTTCTCTCTTCATTACGATTTCTCAGGGAGGTCCTGTGCTGAAAGGGAACTTGACTCAATTCCACGGAGATGCTCCCTTAGAAAGGGGTGACTCTATTGAGGCTCCTGACAAGTTGGGAGATTGGGAGGAAAGAAGGGAGAGCTTTTGAAGAATCAGTAAGTTGGTGTTAATTTTTTCTTTGAAATAGGGGGCAGTTTTAGATCATGAAACTATTCCTCACTAAAAGAGGGTGACCTAAGAAAGCCGTGGGAGCTCCATTGCGGGTATTCAAACTGGGGACTGTGTCATGTGGCTTAACCCAGGCCCCTGAGGGCAGAGGTGGGTTCTGCAGGGTCCCCCAGAGTGGCGCCAGAGAGAGGTCCCTCCAAAGGTGTAGCACTGAATCTCCCCCATTTTCCACGTTTTCTTTTGTATACCTATAGAAAGCGCGCTCTCCTTCGCATCCAGGGCTTTTAGCTTTCCCAGGCTGAATCTTGCGCCCCCACCACCCGCATTTCTTTGAAAAACCTCACTCTGAGATTTTTTATTTCTATTACATATTGAAATATCAGTCTATTCTATTGCTTTTATTTCCCTCGTTTTATTCTTTCTCCATTTATTGCCGAGTATATTCCATTGCCTCTCGATCCCCTGCCCCAGGTGATGAATTCTGTATTTGGGGGTTGTCACACCCCTCTCCGCTTGAGAAAAATCCAGCGAGGTAAAGCAGAGTGTCCTTTTCAGACATCTAGAGTTTTGGGGAATGTGGCTGAAGGTAGGAAATGGAAACACAATCCCGGCATCAAAGGCTCGCTACGCAGCATCGGGTTCTTTCCAGCCGCGAGCGGAGGCGAGCTGCCAGGGCCAGAGCGCTCCTGACTGTTTTCTATTATCTTCATTTATTATTTTTTAAAACCTGGTTTCTTCCCCACCCTTAGCTTCAAGCCCCAATCCAGAGACTTCAGCAGTCACAGTGATCGGCTTGGCGGTAGGGGGTCTGTCTCTCCGGTGCACATCCTATGCCTAGGCGGAGGCGCCCAGTTACAGCGCTCTCCTCCCTACACCCCTTTGCGTCGGCCAAATTCAGCCTCCCCCCCCTCCCTCTCCCTCCCTGGGGCCTGCCGGGGGCGTCTCCCTGTCCCTTTAAATCTCCCAGCTCCCGCCTCCTTTGGCCTACCTGAGATCCAATCAGCACAGACTTTTTCCCTTTCGCCCCGCCCCACCTCGAGGGGAGGGAACCCCAGGAGACCTGGCCGGGGCATCACGTGCGCAGAGCGGGTCACGTGGGCGCGGGAGGGGTGCTGAGAGGTGGAGAGCGGGAGCCGGCGGATTTCTTAATGAAGTGTCTCCGCATGCGTAGAGGGAATGTAGGGAGGGAGGTGGAAGCACTAGGAGGAGGGGAGGGGTGGAGAGAAAAGAGGGGAGGGATGGGGGGAGGGGAAACAGGAGCGAGGTGTCTCCCTAGCTCGCTGCCTCTGGCAAGTGGAGTTTTTAAAAAGCTCCAGCAGATCATGTCATGACGACTTCGCTGCTCCTGCATCCACGCTGGCCGGAGAGCCTTATGTACGTCTATGAGGACAGCGCGGCGGAGAGCGGCATCGGCGGCGGCGGCGGAGGAGGAGGCGGCGGCACGGGCGGAGCGGGGGGTGGCTGCAGCGGAGCGAGCCCCGGCAAAGCCCCGAGCATGGATGGTCTGGGCAGCAGCTGCCCGGCCAGCCACTGCCGCGACCTGCTTCCGCACCCCGTGCTGGGCCGCCCGCCGGCTCCCCTGGGCGCCCCTCAGGGCGCCGTCTATACGGACATCCCGGCCCCGGAGGCGGCGCGCCAGTGTGCCCCGCCGCCCGCACCCCCCACCTCGTCCAGCGCCACCCTGGGCTACGGCTACCCCTTCGGGGGCAGCTACTACGGCTGCCGCCTGTCGCACAACGTGAACCTGCAGCAGAAGCCTTGCGCCTACCACCCGGGCGATAAATACCCGGAGCCGTCGGGCGCCCTGCCCGGTGACGACCTGTCCTCTAGGGCCAAGGAGTTCGCCTTCTACCCCAGCTTCGCCAGCTCCTACCAGGCGATGCCCGGCTACCTGGACGTGTCGGTGGTGCCCGGGATCAGCGGGCACCCGGAGCCGCGTCACGACGCCCTCATCCCCGTCGAAGGCTACCAGCACTGGGCTCTCTCCAATGGCTGGGACAGTCAGGTGTACTGCTCCAAGGAGCAGTCGCAGTCCGCCCACCTCTGGAAGTCTCCCTTCCCAGGTAAGGAAGGGACCCGAGCGCCGCCGCCGCCGGGGACCCCTCCCCGCCCTGCCTGCCCCGGGGCTCCGCGCCCCAACCACCCCCGCCGTCTGGCCCCGGCGCGCCCGCTCGGCTGGGCTGCCTATGGAGCCGGCCGGGCGAGCTGCACTGAGGAATGCGCCGGGGAAGAAATCTGCTCCGACACGTTCTCTGTAGCTGCCCGGCCGAGAATGAAGCAATCACAGGCGCCCGAAAGCCGGGCCGCCGGCTCTGCTCTGTCCGGTAGCTCGCCTCCGCCTCCCCTTGCAGGCTCCAGCCTCCCGCCGGGCTCTTGGCCCCTAAACCTGCTTCCGGCAAGGGATGGGGGCGGGGTGGGCCTATAGTGCCTTGGAATCCAGGACAAAACCCCCAACCCACCGAATAACTGGGGAGGGCGGAGAATAAGAACCCCCACTTTCTTTGACAGAATTCGCAGGATCGTTCAGGCACTAGACAGTATTTTTTAAATAGGGGACTAATTTGCTGGGGTCTACAGAAATGTGAGATTTATTTTTTTCCTTTCCTGACTTATTTTAAAAATCTGGCCACGAATTTCCTGATTGTTGAGGGAACAGAAGATCCAAAATCTCTGGAGAGGGAGTGGAGAGGAGGCTAGAATCCCTCCCCAGCATTGTAAAGTTTTCCTTGCCTCTTTGGTATATTGAGCTCAAACCTATAGACATTTCCACTGCCAACTCCCCCATATGTGGTCGAGAAAGAGAGTTAGTTATTGGTGCCCCAGACACAGAAAGAAGGGCGTGGGGATGAGAAATGGGAGAGGAAGACCTGTTCAAGACCTGTTCAGGGGCTTCTGGAGTCCAGACCCAGGCTGGGGACCCCTTGGTCTTGTCTGGCTAAGGATGGGAAGGGAGAATTCATTCCCCTCTTGTTCCGTCTCCAGTTGAAGAGAGAAAGGCTCCTGTAAATCCCACCGCTCTCCTTGCGGACAAGACCAGTCCCAGGTTTCCCAAAACCACACCAAGAGCTTTGGATCCTGCCTTGTGCTGAGAAATCAGGATTCCGGTCTAGGGAGTCCAGCATTTGAGTCTGTTCTCCCTGTAAGCAGAGCTCAGTGGGAGAGCGTTCTCCCTTCTGATACCTACAGAGGTCTTTGGGGGTGGGGGGCCCAGGGCAGCCACAGATGTCTCCCGACAGTGCCCAGCTCCCCGACCAGCTCCACGTGCCAAGCTCAGGGATGTTTTCCTTGGAAAGCATAGACCCAAAGACCTCCTAAGGGTGGGCCTGAAATTCCTCTGCATACGGAATTGGAAGAAGAGGTAGGTGGTTTAAAAAAAAATACTGAGTGATATTAGAGAGTGTAGCAAATAACATTCTTGTGAATATTATGAAATTACTTAGTATAACACAACTCAATACCAGGGTATGACCTACACTAGGCACCCTGACTTCTGATTGCCAGAATTAAGGATGGTGCAATTTTAGTACATGGTATTATGCATCACCTACCCTGTATTGGCTGTAATATTTTTATATAATATGATTTCTTTTATTAACTACCTAATATGAAATATACAATAATAGATTTCTAGAAAGACAATTCACATGTTCATAATACAGCAATGTATTTTAGAGAGATGGCCCTTTAATTCTCTATCTCACCAAAACACAAAGCTTCTTAGGAGATTGGGGTCCAGCAGGAATTCCTGGGGCAGGGAAGCCAATGGGCTATGCCAAGGGGCTAAGGGGTAAGGGATCAGGTGCCCACCAAACCCACTGTGGATTGGGGGCACAGGCCCAGAGCAATGTGCAATGGGTTTAGTGTGAAGAGGTAGAAGAGAAGGAGCTGTTCTATGTATGAATGTGGTGTGGAGTAGGGGTGAAGGATTGGAGAGAAGCTGAGAAATATCTTTGAGCAAAATAAACATCTCAAAGATTCCTAGGACACAAAACAAAACAAAACAAAACAAAACAAAACTCCACTAAAAATAAATACTTTTTTGATCACAGCCTCCTAGAGAAAAATATCTTTGAAATAAAAAAAGTATATCCCAATTGAGATTTAATACACTTGCAAATTATGGCATGGAAATGGATATAAAACCTAGCATGCCTCAGCAGCTATGTGCTCCCACAATCCCCGTGTGGAAATAGAATTGGGCTGATGTATCTCAGTGAGTGCAGAGGTACAGACAAGAGGCAGACGAATAAGAAATTATCTTCAGACACTCTCCATCTTTCTACCCACTCAGAGATCTTTTAGAAGTAGTGAGATTTCAAGATAACTCTGTCTGTGCAATTGTGGTTTGTTCGGCAACATGTAGGCATAAACACTGCTGTCTCTCTACAGTGCCTCTGGCTCTGAGAATCCTCATCTGTGGTAGTCTGGGCTGGTGTGGGAGATGGAGGCAATTGTTCAGCAAGATCCAGATAATTAGGGCCAAGATGTGTCGTGGCTTCTTCCTTCTCCCAATTATACAGACTCTTGCTTTATTGCTCTGGTTTTTTTTTTTTTCTCCCTACGGTGAGTGTAGACTTTTTTTTTTTTTTTTTTTTTTTTTTTTTTTTTTTTTGAGAGAGAGAGAGAAGCAGAAATTCCAGGAGAGAATCAGAAAGGGAGAAAAAGAGAGATGGGGTTTAGGAGAGAGAAAGAGGGAGAAAGAAACAGTGGGCTATTTGGACCACACTAGAAGTCTTTACTGACAAGCCTTTGGATTTGGGTTGGGAAGAGTAGCAAGCTGGATTTCTAGCTGGACAAGGCACTCTTCAGAGCCCAGAGCTTGCCTGTGGGGGGGCGGGTGGTCAAGGGTGGGTGGGCTGTGGGGAGCTGAACAGAGGGGCCCCGAAGCCCAAAAAGAAAGCCATGGCTGAGCATTGAGATGATTTTTATTTACTCCTCAAAGGTGTCTATTAGGTTTCCAGGCATGAAGTCATTCGTGTATGTGATCTGGAGGGAGACTAGGGAAGGGGTGATTGTAAGATTAATAACTAAGCCCCCACTCACTTTAGGCAGTGTACGCACATCTCCAGGTCCAAGCTACCAGATGTTTCTTCATCTCTACATACCATTTCCTTTCCAGATAAGGCAGCAGACAAAGAAAGGGGGCTTCTTTGAGAAGGCAAGACTGGAGTTATTTCCCCAGGAGGCCAAACCAACCTGCAGTTGGTCTGATCCAGGACAAATTGGCTAAATCAATCCTTGGCATCCTATAGAGAAAAATAACCAGTTTAAACCAGTTGTCTACTTTTTAAACTGATTTTTTTTAGGGTTGATTAAATCTCATTGGAAATTTAGAGCTAGAATTTAGGAAACCAAAATTGGATAGGTAATTGTGAGAGTTTAAAGAGAGTAAAGTAAAAAATTAGGGACAATTATCTGGCTAATTCAGAAACAAAAACCCACCTTTACCCTACTGTATTCTTCTCCAGGGAAAAGGAGGTGTTTTAAAGCTGGATTGTATTAGCTGGCCTATTTCCATTTTAAAACTTACTGTATCATTTTAAGAGTCAGAAAGTCTGGCTTTAAAATCTGGTTCTGCCACTTAAGTTATTTTACCCACTCTGAGCCTCAGATTCCTAATCTTGTAAAATGAGTTTAACAAAATAATCCTGAAAAAATGTTCTGAGGATTAAAAACAACAATAACAACAACAAAAGCAACAAACTCATGGTATCACTACATATCCTCTTCATTCTATTCTTGTCAACAAATCGTCAATTTCCCAAATCATGGTTACCTCTGTAAGAGTAAAACAAATTTGAGAACTGAGAGATTTAAAGATAATGGTCGTGTTCAAAAACAAATCCTTTTTAACCTAAAGGATCCATACTGTTTAAATAAAGTTATTTTGTTTTTTAGATTTTTTTAAATCATAGTTTATTCTCACAGAGGCAGAGAAAAATGCCAGGTCCAACAGTTTTCCTGAGAAATTGTCACCAGAAGACAGTCAAATGAGGCCATTGGACCCCGTCTCCCATTTTCTTCCTGAGCATTTTGTTTTCCCCTGTGTCTCACTGTGACCACTACTCTTCCCATTGTGTATAGAGTCCATGAGAGAAAGCAGACCCAATGGGGATGGGTACAGGGAAAGTGTTCTGTGAGGGTGGGATGGGAACAAACATTTCAGAAAGAACTTTGTGTCTTCCCTCTGGGCTGTGTCTATAGTTTCAAAATGTGGTAGGAATGAAGGGGAAACCCCAAATATTCAGCCCTCCTCATTAGCTTTCACCTAAAGTCTAATAATTACATGGAAAAAATTGAGGGCTGAGCTATCCAGATAATCTCCCTAGTTCCCCCACTTCCCCTTGAAAGTGTTGCGTGACCTTTATTGACAGGGATGAGGGTGGAGTAGAAAATGGAGTTAGAAGTGATATATATTGGTTTTAGTTTCTGTGAAATTCTCAGAGCCTAAAGAAACAGAACTGGTAATATTGGTTTGGATGACAGGCATCTAGGGTTTAGGGTTATGGTTGGTGCAAGGGATGTAGACAGTTTCCTTCAGCTGTGAAGGAATGGAGAGGGAAGGCGGTTGGAACAGAATTTGTTCTGTTTTGGTGGGACTGCAGTGTGGACCCCCTACTTCCAGAGACACCTGATTCCCTATATCTCAGGTTCAGGACCCCCCACCTTGGGTGTTAGGTGGTTCATAACATTGGACCCCAATTCCTAGAGTGTGGACCTCCAAGCAGGCTGGCTTCACCTGGACACTTATCTTCTATCTGTGCCTCACATCCCTAACGTAGGGCCAGTGTCCAAAGGCGTGAAGACTCATCTGGTGGTCTGGGCCCACTGAAGCTGACCCCCTGCCTGCCATGCCCTCCCTGAAATATACAACAGAATGTCTTCCTCTGGCAACGGGGCAGAATATAAACTAATAAGGACCCAAGCGATCTAACTGCAGGAAGGAGGGATTTTTCTGAATATCTGAAATTCTGCAAGCATGGCAGGCCAGGCTGGAATTTGGAGGGTCCCTTCTAAATATACAAGGATCCTAATATTGAGTGCTGTGAAGAGCCATATTGGGGCCTGAAACAAAAGAAAATCAGTAATACCGAACCCATGTTTATTTTTTTAATTGATATTTTGTTCATCATGGATGTTTTTGTATTCGTTTTGCTTTTTTAAACATTGCATTAAAATATCGTCTTGATTACTGAGTTTTTGGCGCCCCCTCCCTTAAACTTCGAGCCCAGTGGCCTCATCATAGTTGTGGTCTTGCTAAAATAACAGAAATGAAAAGCATTAGGGAGCTTCACTATGCAGTGCAATCCTCTGGCCCCGTTGAGCCCCTGCCAGAACTCTGTGCCTAGGCAGCCTCGGGTCCTCTATCTCAGTCCAGCCGCTTGCCTCACTTCTTCCCGCTTGCCTTATCTCCCCGCAGACGTGGTTCCCCTGCAGCCCGAGGTGAGCAGCTACCGGCGCGGGCGCAAGAAACGCGTGCCCTACACTAAGGTGCAGCTGAAGGAGCTAGAGAAGGAATACGCGGCTAGCAAGTTCATCACCAAAGAGAAGCGCCGGCGCATCTCCGCCACCACGAACCTCTCTGAGCGCCAGGTAACCATCTGGTTCCAGAACCGGCGGGTCAAAGAGAAGAAGGTGGTCAGCAAATCGAAAGCGCCTCATCTCCACTCCACCTGACCACCCACCCGCTGCTTGCCCCATCTATTTATGTCTCCGCTTTGTACCATAACCGAACCCACGGAAAGACGCTGCGCGGGTGCAGAAGAGTATTTAATGTTAAGGAAAGAGAAGAACCGCGCCGCCCGGAGGCAGAGAGGCTCCATGGCCGTGCTGCTGGGCCATCCCCAACTCCCTATCCCATCCCCAGCCTCCACCCCCATCCAGATGGGACTCACGTGGCTTCAACAGCTTTGGAAATGGGTCCCGAGTGGGCCGTGCGAGGAAGGCTGTCGACCTCTACTCCTCCTTGCGCTCACCTTGCCAGAAAGTCTGGTGGCAGCGCAGAGCCCAATCATTCCAACCAAAGCAGGGTTGGGGAATCCCGAATGGCCCCAATTCTTGCCTCATCCTATGACCAGGCTTTTAGAGGACCTTCCCTAAGGGCGCAGCTTCGGAGCAGGATCTGTCCAGCTCATACTTTCCTTCGCTGTCCCTCCCGCACTCCTTAGGCAAGATTTCCCAGTAAAGATTTTCTGTGCGTATTTTAAAAGTCGTGTTAATACTCATGATAATTATTAGGGACCTGGCAGCGTGATTGGAGTATGGATGTTTCCGTAAAAGCTGGAATTCCGTAAAAGCATTGACGCAGCCCCTACACTCCATCCCAACCAAGAAACTGCATTTCCTGGGGCCAGGTGGGAGCTGCCTTTGCCCCACTGCCTCCCCTGTTCTGCTCTCTCAGTCAACATGTGGAAATCCAAGGAGGACAAAGACTCCAGCCACGCTGCTAAATAGGGCTCCTCTCTCCTCTCTCTCTCTCTAGGTGGTAAGGTTGGGGATTAGTCCAGGTACAGAAGCAGAACTTTTTTCTAAGGATAAACATCTCTTCCAAGGGGATGGAGAGTGGGTCCCTCAACAAAGTCCCTGTCCAGTCACCTTTCCATCAGGGCACTAGCCCAGGAATGACTCCTCACACTTTCACCTTTACTGATTTCCAGAGGAAAGCTAGAGGATCTAGTTCAAGAGGCAAGAAGATCTGGCCCTCAATTAGCTAGATGTAGATGCTGCCTAACAGTTCCCTCCTCAAAGGCCACCTTGGTGCTGTGGGGGCCCCTTGCCTCTTCCCTTCCCACTGGTGCATTACAAAACAGTGTTCTTTTGAAATGTTCATCAGGAATAGGCTTTTTTAAAAAATGTTGTGTATCTGTATATAGTATTGTGATGTCTGAATGACAATGTACTGAATGCAAAAAGGAAAAAAACCCACAAACATGTTTTTAAAATAAAATATCTTTTTTTGCCTTGATTTTATTGCTCAGATTCTTTCTGAAGTCTATTCTGTCCACTGGCTCTTCAGGACAGTCTACTATGCCCTGACTCAGCCAGAATGATCAGGGGGAGGAGTATAGACATTGCTCCCAGCTGGGTAGATTCCAAACCCTTGTTTTGCTCCACTTAAGTTTTTGGGTTATCTATACTATCTATATAGGAGAAAACTTTCCATCCTGATGTCCAACTCAGATGAGTGTTTGTTGAGGAAGGAAAGACGTAATTGGTGACTGAAAGGCCTGGAGGCAGTGACAAAAATACATTGATGGTTACTTCGGTTAATAATTGGGGCTCAGATCTGGTTCTGGGTACTGAGAAAGTAGCATCCCAGCTGGGAACTGGATGAGGTAAATGCGGCAGCCGGTGGCAGTGAGGAATTAACCTTAGGCTCCTGGTGCTCTATTGCCCCAGAGGGCCCCGAATACCTTCAGCCAGTTCAGGACTGGAGTTGGGGCTGGGATGGGGTCAGCACAGCCTGCCAGGGGCAGCCTGAAGCTCAGCTTTTCCTGGCTGCACTTTTTTCTTCCCCCCACTTAACCTATGTAGAGAGGCTGAGCTGCTAGGACCCCTTTGGCCCCCAGTTTGCCAAACCAATCCCACTTTTACTCTCTGTATTCCTGGGAACCCCAGTCTTCTAGGCAATGAGGAGCCTATGTAGATGCTGCCACTAATTTGTTTTCCTGGTCGCATCAGTGCCTATCTCCCTATCTGGCAGAGTTAATGAGATCATTAAGTTGTCAGGTTAAGAGACTTTTTAAAAGCAATATAGCCTAAAACAATGTTATCTCAGATTAAATCTTTACTGCAGCAATTTTTATTTATATATAATATTTTTCCTCTCCTGAGACACAGAAACACTGGAGATGTCAGGTTGGAAATCAGAGTTCTCTGTTATCCCTTTGCCTGGTGGGGCTGAAGATTTAATAATTTCATTTAAATAAATTTTCCTGGGGAATAAACATATGCACATTTTGCGCACGCGCGCGCTTGCACACACACACACACACACACACACACACACACACACACGGAGTCTGAGAGAAAAAGAACCTGAAGAATTTGCCCTCTGTGGAGGCTCTGCTACTGACGTGGCTGCCAGTGTTGTTCTTCTGGGTCTCAACTCTGGGTTAACTACTAGAGAGCCACACGCTGTGCAGTGGAGATTTGAGGGAGAATAGGTGAATTTCCAGGAATAAGGTTAATTCTTAATTCCATCTGTCCTTTTTCTCCCCACCCACCATCCCAACCTCTCTCCCAAAATCCCTGGGTTTCCCCTGAGATGAAAGGAGTTGGAGACTGAGTGTGTGTGTTTGGTCAGAAAAAGAAACTAAGTGGACAAGAGGCCTGGGGCTCTGTTACTATGACCCCACCCTTCCTGACTGCTTTGGGTAGTCCCAAGCACAGCTGTAGGCAAACTGGAAATTGGGGACTCTGATTAAAGAGAAGTCTAGAGTTCTCAGAGGAATCCCTCTGCTTCTGCACACAAACCCATATATAATCATATGAGGTAGTCATCCCATATTGAGGGAACCACCCCTAAGGCTCTAGAAGGGAATAATGAAAAAAAAGAAGAGGAGCCAGGGGCGATGGCTCACGCCTGTAATCCCAACACTTTGGGAGGCTGAGGCGGGTGGATAGCTTGAGCTCAGGAATTCCAGACCAGCCTGGACAACATGGTGAAACCCAGTCTCTACCAAAAATAGAAAAACTTAACCTGGCATGGTGGTGCATGTCTGTGGAGGCTGAGGTGGGAGGATCTCTTGAACCCCGGTCGGGGGCAGGGGGGTGGAGGTTGCAGTGAGCTGAGATCTCACCATTGTATTCCAGCCTGAGTGACAGACCGAGACTCTGTCTCAAAAAAAAAAAAAAAAAAAAAAAAAGAAGAAGAAGAAAGAGGAGGAGGAGGTGAAGAAGAAGAAAAAGGAAAGCCTGTGCAGGCTCACTACTGGTGCATTGGGACACTGGTAAGCCTAAAAAGGACCTCAGTTCCTGAGTGCCTGTGAGCCCTCGTGCAGTGCATTAAATATACCCAGATTTATTTTGGAGGAGTATCATGCCTGGACTTATTTGGATATGACTTTACCATAAGAGTAAGCAAACACTGTGTGAGTGTGTGTGAGCATGTGTTTCGGGGAGGCACATTTGTGAAATATATTATTCTTTCCCTGAATAAGGATTTCTTCTTTAACACAACTCTGGTTGTGTTGATTTCTTACCTTTCCTTCTCCCAAGAATTGGCATTGTCTTTGGGGACTCTATGAGATAGTTCATCTCTTAGTCATGTCTCTAATATGTCTTTCTCTCCAAGGCCAGCCTCCTAGTGTTTGTGTTAAAAGTAAGACTAAGTGTGAAGGCAAATATGAGGATACCGGGGGTACAGGGTGATCTGAATTGCTGGTGAAACCTCTGTGAGGAAACGCAGACACACAGAGGGGCTGAGACTCCTGCTATCTTTCTCATAATCTGATGGTACTCCCCACTTCCCCTATCTCCCTAGGCCAGAGCTGGGAGGCCCAGGCAGCCAAGGGCCTCACAGGACTCTCCATCTAGTGGTCACTCTCCGGGGCTGCCAGAGAGGGCTTCAAGAGATTCTTTGCTGAGCTTGGGGGAAAAACCCTTCCCCACCCACATCTTAGTCTCCAGACAGAGGCCCAGCAGAATGGGCCTTTCAGCCAGCAGTCCCACAGCCGGAACCCAACTGAGAGAACAAGGGCAGCAGTTCTTTCCGCAGATCCCTCCATGACTGTCTGCTCCAGAGACCATCTGCTCCTGGGGTTGATCCACAGGCGGCTGGGTGAGCAATGTGGGGACAGTAGGCCAGTGTGGGTGCAAGGCAGGGGCAGGCCCCTGGGGCAGCCGCTATCTCTCTGAACAGCCCTCCTATTGGAGGTGGGGTCCATGCGGCAGGCAGCCCCTTCAGTGGCTCCATCTGTTCAAAAGAGAACTCCCCACCCTAGGATCTGCTGGGATCTGTGTTGGGTGGTATTGGAGCCCACCCCCAAGAAAACTCCAAGAGTGGTTCAGGCAGATGTATATCTAGACCTGCACTGGTGGAGAATTGAGGGGCCCTGGGGAGCTAGGGACTTCTGGGAGGAGGAGGAGGGGGCCAGAGCCTTTTCAAAACCAACCAGGCTCTTCCTCTTTTAGCCTTGACCGTGACTAGGTCTTTCTGACCTTGACATCACAGGGAGCACAGGGAAGGGGGGGGAGGGGTGGAAAAGGCCTTGATCTTCCGGTGGCCAGCGAAGGGGAGGGCTGCTTGCCCCCTTGACGCGCCATCCCCCTTCCCGCAGGAGCCCGCCGCCTCTGTTTACACACAGAGGAGGTGTCGTCTCCAGTCTAGACAAGGGCGCTAATAACGCCCATAAAAGGCGGCCTCTCCAGAGATGCTCTGGCAACTCCGCTCCCGCGCGCCTGCCGCTGGCCGCTTTCTCCACCTCCCCCCGCCCCGCCCTTCTCTGATACCTTGGCGAGGCCGGCGCACGGGCCTGGGGACGGGGAATCCAGAAGGCTTCTAGAGGCTGAGAATTCCTATCCCTCACCCTTATGAACCTCTTCTGTCTCCAAAGGTAAGTGGACCCTTGTTCCTGTCCGCGCTCTCCCAGCCTAGCGAGCCCCGGGGTTGGTAGTCCATTCCCCACCCCCACCTGCCTCCTGGTGGGGCCCATTGCTCCCACCCCAATCTGCCCAAGCCCCTTCCTCTGCCCGGAACTGGGGCCCCAGGTTTGGAAAGCAGTTGTGTAGCGGTGCTCAGCAGACCCTAAGCAGATCTCAGCTCCTCCCCAGAGCTGGGCCGGGCCAGTGGACAGGGTCAAAGCCAGAAAAGGAGGCCGAGGGGTGAGGGCACACCGGGTAGTCCTCACCCCCACCCAGCTTAGAGGTCGGTGGAGACGATTCACTGTTGCATTGCAGGCGGCTATGGGTGTGGCATTTGATGTGATTTTTTTTTTTAACTTGGTTCCCACACCTTCCCTGACACTCAGTAATTCACTAGGTGGAGGAGATCCTCTGCTGGTGGAGGGGGAAAATGTCAGAGCTGCGGCCCTATTTAACTGTTAGCGCGCCACCGAAGGAAACACAAAACGGGGGAAGGTGGTCCATTTAGGGATGCTCAGGTTGGGGTGGAGAGATGGCCTCCCAGATGTCCTTGCCTGGGGGCTCTCACTTCCCCCGCATTTTCTGAGAGGCAATCGGGCTGGAATCTTTTGGTGACAGAGGACTAGAGAAGCCGCGGGAGAACTGGAGAAGGTAGGGGCTCCGTTGGCCCCAGGCTACTTGCCTGAGCCTAAAAGCCTTACTGGGCTCCGTCACTGAGCGTTCCTACAAGCCTCCCTCCTCCAGGCTGCAAATCCCTAGAAAGCAGCACCTGGGGAAGGGATTTCCCAATCTGCTCTTTACCTCCCGGGCACCGGCAGGGAGGGCTGGGAGCCAGGTGGGCCCCAACCCCTGAAGGAGCCTGGAAGCCATGAAATAGGAGACTGAGCTCCCTACTCTACCCCCCAGCCTTGTTTGAACCCGACAAAAGTCAGGTCCCAAGCCTAAGTTGCCCCGAAGGGGCAAGGCAGACAGGGCTGCAGGGTTGGGCGGGGGGCAGGGAAGGGGGCAGGCCCTCCCACTCAGCCCCCTTCTCATCTTCCCTTCTCTCCGCCGGCCAAATCCCTGCTCACACCCCTGCTGGTGCTGAGTCCCGGCCTAATTTGCATACGAGGCAGAACCGCTTTCTGCAAACTAGACAGTGACCTTGAACTGGGCCGCTGCGGCCTCTGGACAGACCAGGGGTAAGGCAGCACTGCGCGGAATCACTCCCGACCACGGGTCGGCGGGGGAGCCAAAACGCAGTCACTCACAGCCGATTCCCCGCGGTCTAAGCCGCCAGCAGCCACGTTGCCTCTCCCACCAGAATCAGCGTAGATTTTATAATTAACTCCTTTCGCTGGGCTCAGCCGCAGTGGAGGCTGCTAGGATGCAGGAGGGATGGAGGCACAGAGAAGGTGTGAGAGAGGCGGCGGGGCATCCAGCTGGAGGACGAGCTGAGGGACACAGGCTGCCTTGGTCTTCAAGGAAAGCCTTGGACCACATCCTTGCTTTCAGCTTTAATTAACCCCGAGTTAATGAGCGAGGCTTAGTAGAGCCTGGCCAGCTGCGGCGGGAGCCAGTGGCCCAGGGGCCAGCAGGCAGGCCACCGCTCTAGCCTTGTGATCTGATAAATGTACGGGAGAGTTCGCACCAATCGCTCCACGGTTTGGGTGCCTCGGCCTGACCACCTATAGTTTTGCGCATGGTCAGCGAAGTGCCGGCGGGTTAAGCCCGGCTAGACACGGCTGCCCCGACTCCTTGGGATGCGAGTCCCTCGCCCAGCCCCAGCCTGCTCCCGGCGAACAGCTCTCGCCGAGGCTGGATTTAGATTTTAAGCGTCTCACCCGAGCCTCCCGCCGGCCCCGGGGACCCAGACTGGGAGCTGCATTTTTGTCCGAGCCCGGTTAAAAAACGGGTGCCTGAGTTGCGTGTGTCGCGGGGTTCCTTAACCACAAACGGAGCCTCGGTGGTGCACCGGAAGGCTGGACGCTTAGATTACCTGGGTCCTTGCCAGAGTCCTGAAAACCCCTAGGTTCCCGGTGGGTCTCAGGGAGCAGGACACCGGGGATGCGAATTTTGCTAGTGGTTGTCGACAGCTCTCCCTGAGAGGAATCAGGGTCAGCTGCAAAGAAGAAAGAGGGGTTTGTGCGTGCTTCTTTGCCCGCCGAATCCAAAACCTGGGGAAAACGGCCCTCTTTGATGAGGCTAAATCAGGCTAGAAGAAATGCGTGCCTGGAAGAAGGACGCCTTCACCCAATCTTCATTTCTCCTGCGTTGCATCCGCCGCCCTGTGGCCGCTGCTCCTCACGCTCAGCGGCCTGGCCTGGGAGGGCAGCGAGCAGAGCTCCCGGCCTGGGAGTTGCCTGCTGGGGTGGAGGGAATGGGGAGAGGCTGAGACCTTCCTCTTGGGGTCCCTCTTCTAGGAGATTGGAATTATCTGGGAAGGGAAAAGAGAATGAGGAGAATACTCCACCCCTCAAAGGCTAGTGATTATTTGGCAAAGCCCAGCTCGGCATCCCTCACACCAACAATAGCGGCTGAGCGCAGAGGCCTGGAGAGCCTGGGCGCAGACCTAGCTGCCCGCACGATGTTCTGATTGAAATCAACAGCAATATTAATGTCACACCCTGTTTATCTTTATGACCAAATTAACCCTCAAATAAAATGTTTTTTAAAAACTAAAATTTCAATGGCGCTCATCAATGTATCTTGAGAAGGGGAAATAAGATGTTACAGATGCTGTGACCTGGAATTTGCAGCTGAGAGATGCTCCTCTCCGTAGCCTCCCAGCCCCTTATCAGTTAGGCACAAAAAGGCCAATCCAGGCTGAGTCTCCTGCTCATTCCTTGGCGCCACCGGCTCTAACTGAAGGTGGCGGCTTCGGGTTTGCAGCCCATGGCTTGCCCTAAGTTCCGACAAGTGCGCCTAACGCGGGGCCGGCTCCTGGGGGCGGGAGGGGCTGGACCAGGCCGGGCAGCTAGGCAAGCAGGGGCGGGGAAGGGGAACCGGCCAAGCAGGGCAAGGGACAGGCACCGAGCTGCGAGCTTCGAACTGCTCCGGGCAGGGCGGCGCCCGCGGGGACACATTTCTGTCGGAGTGAGCAGCTACGGTTTGGGATATGAAATCGCCCGGGGAGCGGTGGAATTCAAAGAATCTGCGTTTCTCTCTGCCGCGTCCTGCAGAGGAGAGAGGGGAGGGAGAGGAAAAAAAGGGAGAATCTTCTCTGCTTCGATCTGCTTTTGCAGCTTTGGCTTATTCTCAGGCTTTCTCTGATATTTAACTTTCACCTAAATGGGTTTCTTTCTCATTCTCTCCGAATCTCTGTCTCCAATTTTCTTTCAATCTTCTGGTATTTTTTCGTATTTAGACGTTTACTGAACTATTTATCCAACCCTGTATTACTTAAGCCATGCATTGGTTAGAAGCTCGAAATAATCACATGGAAATTCGAGTGTTTTTTCTATTAGACCCCAAAAGGATACATCTGGTTTGGGGGAGTTTTATTTTGTCTTTCTTTTTAATCCGCTTGGCTGTGTTCTGTGGACCTAGTTGAGATCGGATTGTGGTTTTGCAGATGTTGATTATCTCACCAATGGCCAGCATTGCTTCTCGGCCTTCTCTGGAGGGAGCTTCTGAGTTTGCACCATAAATATAATTTCACCCCCCAATAAGATAATTCTTCAAGGGTTTTTTCCCTCAATCCTAGCCCCCTCAGGAGGCAACCTACTGCGGGCCTCTGCACTGCTATCTGATGGTCCCAGGGGCAGGCTTGGCCGGTTCTGGGGTGCAGTTGTCTCCTCCGCAGTGAGAATTAGGCCCCTCTCAGCCCAGTCAAGCCCTGTTAGGGGTCCAAAGCTTCCCACTGCAAAGACTCCAGGAGGCCCCCAGAAGCTCCTCAGTTCCCCGGAAATGACAGCAGAAGAGTAGTTCGCCCCCAGATTTTCAGGAGCAGGCAGGCAGGTCCATGTGGAGCTAGGCACCTCCTTTTGCTGCATTCTCTACCTCCCTTCCGCATCCTTCCTCTAGCCGTGAGTGGAGGTGTGAGGCTGGGTGGCTCCCGGCTCCAGAGGAAAACCCGGCATTATCAATTATCCTTGAGTATTGGGGAAGAGGACTCCAAATGTCTCTCCAAATTCCTGAGGATAAAGAGCTGATAAAGAAGTGTGCAGCAGCAGCTGGGGCGGGAAGAGATAACGGCAGGGAAACCTGTCCTTACCCCCACTTCGCCTCTACTGTAAATAAACCCCGAGCCAAAGGGCTCATCCGTCTCCTTAAACAGTCAGTAAACTTTATATGACACAATATCTAATAGTAATTTATTGAGGAGATATTGTAAATTCCAACGGTTTTAGTTAATAAAGAAGCTAATTAAAGAGGGACAGGCTGTGCTTGGCCAGCTGTTGGCGATAAGATAATATATGGGGGGGGGTGCAGGTTATAGGGGTGTATATATGCGGGCATTTTTTGGTGTGTGTTTTTTCCCTTTTGCCCCGTGTTGGGCAATTGCTTTACTCTCTGCGTTAGGTTATATACATTGTTTTAGAAAATCAGTTCAGCAAATAAACCTGCCCCCGCCCTTTGTTACCCCACTCACCCCCAGGATTGGGGAAGGGGGAAGTTAGAGTGCGGGATGGGATGGTGGGGGGGGGGGATCGGTTGTCCCCACCCCTCCCCCTGGCGGCCGTGCCCACGTGAGTGGGGCGGCCAATGGGTGACTGGTGCAGATTTAACTATGTTTAATGTCAGATAGCAATAAAGTAGAAGCTGCCGGTCGGGCCCCGCGGAAATGGGCGAGCATAATCTCCTGAATCCCGGGTTTGTGGGGCCGCTGGTAAACATCCACACGGGAGACACCTTCTACTTCCCCAACTTCCGCGCGTCCGGGGCGCAGCTTCCCGGGCTGCCTTCGCTGTCCTACCCACGCCGCGACAACGTGTGCTCCCTGTCCTGGCCGTCGGCGGAGCCGTGCAATGGCTACCCGCAGCCCTACCTCGGCAGCCCAGTGTCTCTCAACCCTCCCTTCGGCCGCACGTGCGAGCTGGCGCGCGTGGAGGACGGCAAGGGTTACTACCGCGAGCCGTGCGCCGAGGGTGGCGGCGGGGGCCTGAAGCGTGAGGAGCGCGGGCGCGACCCGGGAGCCGGGCCCGGGGCAGCGCTGCTCCCGCTGGAGCCGTCGGGGCCGCCTGCGCTCGGCTTCAAGTACGACTACGCGGCGGGCGGCGGCGGTGGCGACGGCGGCGGCGGCGCAGGACCTCCGCACGACCCGCCCTCCTGCCAGTCGCTGGAATCCGACTCCAGTTCGTCCCTGCTCAACGAGGGCAACAAGGGCGCCGGCGCAGGCGACCCCGGCAGCTTGGTATCGCCGTTGAACCCCGGCGGCGGGCTCTCGGCCAGCGGTAAGGACCCCGGCCACTCAAGCGGCGGATTCAAACCCGACCTCTTACCAGGGCGGGCAGAACAGGACTGAGCTAGGGACGCCCAGGGTGACAGAATGTGTGGCGAGGAAGAGCTTCTTATAAAATGAAGTGCGGGTGGGGGGAGCCTATAAACATGTAAACATCCCCACAAAAGAAATGGAGAGTGTTCCTTTTTCGTCTGCCTGCGGCTGGAGGCGGCAGGGATTCCGGAGTTGGGGGATCCTGACGGGGACTCCCCAGGCCTGGGGGTGAGGAGGTGGGGACAGAAAGCCCGGCCCTAGTTCTCCCAGGCGCCTCTCCCTCCACCTTCCCACAGACCCCATTACTTACATTTCGAAAGAAATGCCAGTGGATGCGTTTACTCTGCCATTCGCCCATATCTGTTGTAACTGATCCGGGATCCAGTCCTGAAGGATGTGAGAGGAAGGGACCAGGAAATAGGGAAGAAGAAAATTGGGGAGAGGTTTGGGAAAAAAGGAGGGGATAGGGACTTAGAAGGGTCATGAATAGTGCAGCAGGAGGTAGGGTTGAGGAGGTAAGAGCAAAGAATGAAAGGAAAAAAAAGAGTAAAGAAAGTGGGGGAGTTGGTGGGGATGTGGGTCTGGGTAGAAAAGACGATTCAGATGACTGGCGGCAAGGAGAAGGGAGAGAAAGGGCCTGGAGTCCAGCTGTGAGGCGAAGGTGAAAGGGTCTGGGGAAGGGCCAAGGGCACTGGACTGGTCACCCTTTGATCCTTTGGCCAACCCCTGCCATTCATCTCCACCCAGGCGCGCCCTGGTACCCGATCAACAGCCGCTCTCGGAAGAAGCGCAAGCCCTATTCGAAGTTGCAACTGGCAGAGCTGGAGGGCGAGTTTCTGGTCAACGAGTTCATCACACGCCAGCGCCGGAGGGAACTCTCAGACCGCTTGAATCTTAGTGACCAGCAGGTCAAGATCTGGTTTCAGAACCGGAGAATGAAAAAGAAAAGACTTCTGTTGAGGGAGCAAGCTCTCTCCTTCTTTTAAGGTGCAGGACACGGGCGCCAGCCCCAGACTGAGCCTGTCCCTGGCAGAGAGCAAAAGAGGGCGCCGCCTAGAACACAGTCCCCACTTAGAACGCCAGGCGTCTCTGGCAGGCCCTCCCTGGATATCCTCTTGTCTGTTTTGTTCGTGGTTCCCTCCCATACACACCCAAAACACCCTGCCAGGTCCCAGAGAGAAGGGAAGAAACCTAGCCAGGGAGAGCAGAAGCCGGCAGCTGCCTGCGGTTGGCAGGGGCAGGAAGGCTGAGGTGCTGCGGGCTGGTTTATTTGAGGCAGGACTGGGGCACTGCACCTCCGCTGAGGATCTGGAGAAGCAGCGGCCCAGATGTCCCCTTCCTCTACTTCCCTTCCATGGTCTTAATTCTCTTTGCCGTCAGGAGCAAAGAGCAGGGCCAGTGGAACCAAGGCACCTCAACCTCACAGTTCCTGGGGTTAGAAGAGGCTGGGAAGAGAGAGGAGGGTGGAGGGTCAGCGGAGAGAGCTGAGGGAGTCAGGTGTCTCTGGTAGGGCTGGAGGAAGTGGGGAACCAAGGAGGAAGTGTGGTTTGTGAGAAAATGATTAGCAAGAACCAGAGTCTGCTTGGGTCTGGGTCCCCCAGGACACCCAGTGGGCAGAAGCTTGGGCATTTGGCTGGCCGGGCTGTGGACAAGGACTATCAGCCTCATGTTCCCTCTAGGACCAGAACAGTGTCCTGGTCCCCAGCCCTCTCCTGATCCCGCTGCCCGCACCGGGCGAATGTCTGTTCATAGGTGTGCTGCCATCCACTCCTCCGTTGCCTGCGGTGGCTGCAGGCCTGATGCAGCAAGCAGGGACCTGAGAGCCCAGGGGACACAGCCTCAGGTTCAGTAGCCACCCCAGAGGTCCCCAGCTGGCTCTCCAGAAAGAAAGTGCAAGAGGCTGTAGATGGGGCTACGGAGCACCACACTGATTGGCCGGGAGAATTTCTGACAGCCACAGCCGAGGCCTCTGATTCTCCCTTCCCCGCTGGCGTTCACGGTCACTGCCTCACGGGCCGGCCAGAGGGTGGACCAGCGTAATTTACGAGGCGGGAGGAGAATTCACCCTTAAAGGGGCTACCAGCCATTGAGGTCCCACTCAGCCCCAGTTTCCCAGGCCCGTGAGAATGAAGGAGGGGGGCGCTCCAGCCCCCCACCCAACTCCCTTCTCTCTTCCTCGCCCGCCCCCCAACATTGCCCTTTGTCTTCAGAAGGGCTGCCTCCGCCTCCTGGCCTGCAAACCTCCACAGCCTAGCACATGGACCAGAGCAGAGGGAGGGGCACAGCCCTAGAACCCATTGGAGGTCTGAGAATGGCTTCTCTGAGTGGGAAGGACTTTCATCCAGACTCCTTCAGACCCCAGCCCCAGCCCAGTAGACGCTGGGCTGGCTTGGAAGAGAGGAGCAGTGAGAGAACCATCAACCTTTCTGTACTTCATTTTTATCCTTCTCCCCAAGAGTCCCCCAGCCTCCCATCTGCTGTCCGGCCCTTTCCAGGAGCAAGAGGGGTGAGAAGCAGGGCACTGATGGGAGTTAACTGCAGCCTGGACAGTGTGAAACTGGCCTGCTGGCTTGGAGTGTTTCCCATATGGGGAGAGTCTCCCCTAACAAACTCTCCAAAGGCAATCCACCGAGCTTTTTACTCTCCCACCAGCACACAGCTTCTGTACAGGCAGAGGCAAAGGCAAACACATACACACAGCTGAGCCCAGCACAGCACTGGGCCCACCCCACTCTCCCTAGTGCACTCGCAAGCAGGCAGCCTCATAATCCCCACATGGCCCAGCAGAATGGAGATAAAATCACATGCCTCCATCCCCCGCTGGGTATCTGACACCTGACAATTCCCCATCCACACATACTTGCTTCACCCATGTACAAGTTCCCCCAAATTACCACCATTCCAGCTGTCTGCAGTCTCCTGTGGTCTTCCCCTGGGCATGAAGCACTCCCCACCTTGACTGGTCACCCACTGTACCCCCTTTATGCAGCCCTTCCTGTGACCTCTGGGCTCTAGGGTGCTGGATTTGAGCTCTACCACTCCAGACTAACCTGATTCCCAATCTAATAATGAAGAGGGACCAGAACACTCTAAAAGGAGTGAGGGGACAAAGATATGCAATATTCTCTTTCCATTTGCTTTAAACTTGACTTCTGTGAGGTTCTCTGTCAATCTGTGTCTTGTTCTCTGTGTCTGTCGCTGGTACCTAGTGTAGTCCCTGTGGATAGTTGCCCTTCCCCTAGCTGCCTCCCCAGCTCTCTGTAGTGTAATTCTCCTATTCCAACGTCTGTCTTTAGCACGTTTTCCCTTTATATAGTCCTTGTACAGAGTTGCTTCATCATATTAATATTGATAATAATAATAATTAAAACATGAATTATGATTATGTGATTTTTTGAAAACAAAAGTTCTACCCCAAAATAATGGGAGTCCCAGCCTCTTAGCTGTTCTCCACTTTATTTTCTCCAGCTCAGGTGAATAATAAAAATAATAAATGTGTAATAATAATGAAGGAAGAGTGGTTGCAGGGGCAACAAAAATACATAAGCAACCAAGATCTGTTGATGAGCTACCATCTCCAGTCCCAAGCAATTATAGCAGAGAGAAAATTGGGGGGTGGCAGACTTGGGGGAGGAGAGGGAGCTTTGAGAAGTCATGGGGCCATAAAAATAATGTGGACAGCCTAAAGGAGGTTGAAACCAGCTTCAGAAAAGGAGGTCTGTGCTTCAGGAACTTGACAAATAGAAGCCAGGATAGGGGCACTGGTGAGCTGAGCTGGATACTGGGGCAGTAAGAGTAACCCATAATCCCGGGGCTGAGATGGAGGGGGGTTGGTGGGCCTAGAGCTTCAACCGTGTGGTCTTAATCCTATGGCTTCACTCTGAGATGACGCTTGTGTATTGCAAGATGTTGAGAAGGGGCTAAAGACCCCTTGGAACTGGCAAAATAGGCTCCACCTTTTGAAGCCAGCGACTCCCTCTAGCCCATGCCAGAGGAAAGCCCAGGCCCAGGCCAGTGGTAGAGTCCAGATGTGCCCATGAACCCTCTGCACCTCCACCTACCCCTTCCTTTGGTAAGACATGCCCTCTCTCTTTCTTACCCTTTTGCCTCTTCCCTCCCCTCTCTCCAGTTACCTTTTCTAACTGTAAAGCTCCTATCAAAGGAGTCTCCTCCAAATTCCTCTTCCACCCTCCTGTACCAGAATCCTAGGGGCCCCCACCAAGTCCAGACTCTGAGCCACACCTCCTGCCCTGAAATCTCTCTTTCCTTCCCCTTTTTTATTCCTATAATTAGATAAACTAGCGAATTTAGATCAAATACCATTCTCTTTTTTACCCCTAATCCCCAGTTGCTTTGCGAAGCTGAGGAGTACGGACAGGAAGGAGACCCAAAGCCTTAGGTTGCTCATATAAATGCCCCACAGAGTGCAGCATCGACCGAAGACGGGCAGCTTGGGCAGCCATGAGCTGGGGGAGGGGCCTGGTGTTTGAGCCTGGGTCTGAATAGAGGAGGGTAGGAGGAGTCAGAATACCAGGAAATCAAGGCAAAAGAATATCTGACTCTTATGACGTGTCTACACAGGAAGGGTCAACAATAGGGACATCTCTGGCAAAAGAAAAAGGAGGACTTAGGAAGGCCGCAAATAACTGGCCTTTAATTTATTCCCAGAGATACTCCCAATTTGAGAGAGAAGGCACCTAGTTGGGTGGTGTCTCTGCAGGTCCAGAGACTCAACGCAAACACTGGGGATGTTGCCAGAGAAGGATGTTGCCTCCTTCCTATGACTGAAAAACAAATCGTTGGGTCTCCCGGCCAAAGAGGAGGTCACGGTTGGAACCGCGATCCCAATACTTAGGTCGCAGCTGAGCTCTCCATCTGGGTGAGGATTTCCTCTATGTTGCAACTATTTGTCCAGTTTTAGCCCCCAAATTACAATGTACTCCACTAACTTTAAGACAAAGCACTCCGTGTCTCTCGCCGGGTTTTGAGGAGCAAGAAAAGGGAAGAAATATCCAGATAATTTAGGTAGACAATAATTCTGCTGTTGTGCGTGTATAAACTTATATCCCCCGAGTGAGTTCTGTATTTGGACCTGGTTATTGTTGCAGTTATTCTGCTCCACTCTGACGTGCACAGACGAAATTGAGTATTTAAAGCCACTAAGCCGCTATCGAGCCGGCAGGTGATGGGTCCGGCCGTCTGGGTTCTGTGGGTGCTAATGTAGCCGGAAATCCGGCGCGATCGATGGCTGAGACCCAGAGCAGAGCAGGGACCGCTGGCCCCGGTCCGCGAACAAAGCAAACTCCGGGGACTTGGGGTTCCGGCCAGGCCGGAGCCCCTGCCCACCCTCCCTGCTATATCCAGGAAAGCAGAAGCGGTTTTTCGGCCCCAGGCCGCGCGAGAAACGCACTCTGGAGCCGCCAATCCTCTCTGCATGGCACCTGGAGGCGCGGAAGGTTCCGGTGTAATTCAGCGGGAGGTGGAAGGCAGGCCCCGATCCCACAGCGCGCCTATGCTCAGCCTTTGGTCCGAGCGGCCGCCCTCCTGCGTGTGCCTCGGTCCAGACGGCGCTGCCGATTTTCCAAGGAGAGGCCGTGGCCCGCGTCCGCCGCTGCAGGACTCCCCAGCTTCGCCCTCCGCTCCGCGCTGCAGCCCTGCGCGGTGCTCTCGGTTGCCACTCTAGCCGAGGCCTCGAGACAAAGACGCGCCGGGCACTGGTGGACGACCCGGGCGCCTGGGACACTCCCTGACTCGCGCCTGGAGTGCTCAGCATCCCGGCCCTGTGGCGAAGGTTGTGAGACCTTGGTCCAATTCCCCGACCGTCGTGGTCCCGGCTGCGGTCCTCTCCAGGGTCCAGGGAGAGGAAACCCGGCGCGCCCACAGCCCCGGCTGACTCGAGCAGCTCCCGCGCCCGACAGCGCCGGCAGCTCTGGTCTCCTCCGGAGGGCTGCTGTGCCCCCGCGAAGGACGAGATGACCCCTGCTGGCCGGAGCTGTGGAGGTTGCCTCGCCGAGACCCGGATCTGTCCAGTCGCTCGTCCCTGAGCACCCTAGGCGTTGGGGGGACGCCCTGTGAGTGTGAGAGACCTCCAAGAGCGGCTGGAGTCTGAGGCGCTGGCCGGGCTTCGTGAATTAGACCTTTATCCTAAGCTCCTTCCCTCTGCCGGGCACTCGGTGTCCCCACAGCAGCTGACCGCCCTCCTGCCCGGCTTCTCATCGCTAGAGGCTCTGCCCTGGAGGCTCCTAAGACCTGTGCCGCCCGCTGGAGCCTGGCATAGGAGCCAAGAAACTGGGCCTCGACAAGACCAAACACAGCTGGACCTTTAGCCAATCTAAACCAGCCCGTTGCCAGCAGGTGATTTCTCTTCTTCCAGCCAGAGCCACTTAGGAGGCAAGTCTTCACTTTGTCAGTTTACCTGGCCCAGAGTGGAGAGCTTCCTTCAAAGACAGGTCTGTGAGGATGGAACCCCCCAGCAGCCCTTGCTTGGGAAGCTCTCTGTAAAACGTGCATAGTCCACATGCAGAGCATGGAAAAGATGTTCCATAAAGCACACACCTGGTCATAGTGCTGCCAATAAATTGAAACACAGTCTAAAATGCACAGATATCTCTATTATGGGTACATTGTTGGCATAGAAAATATATTTCTTTATAAAATGTACACACAGAGGCACTTTTATCTACTGTATGTGAAAGCAACCGACTGGGGAAAGATTACATACAGCACGTATATTCACCACATGTAAAACTTTATTTATGCATAAAACCACCACACACACACAACCTACACAAGGAATGTGCAGTCCTGAGTCTATTTAGCTACATGTGAGTATATACTCCATAAGGCATATAAAACCAGTGCACAGAAAATGCATCCAGATATTAATATATCTACATTTTAAAACTGCATGGAAAATACATTATTATATATACACAAAGTGCATACCTACCCAATGTATGGAAAATATATTCTGTGAGTTGTGTTTATATACATACTGTGTGTGTACTAAATACATTGAAATTGCATTCTTCTGGGTTCATGAACTGTTTAAGACACAATTCTCTAGCAATCTTAATAGCAGGAGGAAGTTCAGGCATTGGGAATGGTAATCTCCATCTGCTGATTTTTTTTCTGTTCTTCTGTACTTCTATTATTTCTGTCTTTTAAATACCCCTTCTGTGTCTACATGCATCACTTATTTAAGTGTTCTCCTATGTCTATTTTTCTACTGCAACTTTTGTCCCAAGCTGGGGTCTATATTTAGAGTGCAAAGTCCCGTTTGCAGCAGGGTCCCACTGCATAATCACTCCTGTATGGAACAAGCATTATATAATTAGGTTACCCATGTGTCTCAAGATGCATTCTTCTAGACCTAATATAAGCATATTATAGAGTTGCTCTGTGCTGCCAGTTAGAAAAGCGGTGCCACTGTGTCTTGGAGAGGCGTGTAACAGGCAGGTGGATTCCTGGGTGGGTGCTGAACCTTCAAGAGCTTCCAAAGGCTAGGGCTGGTTTCACTTTTAAAAATTTGTTTTTGAATCTTAAGTCTAGGAATCAGCACGAAGCAAAGGCTGGACCTTTGCTTCTATGTTCCTCTCAAATTCCGGAGCAGCTCAAGTCCCCTGCATCCAGCCGGGACAGAGAGGCTTCCGGCCTACACAACCCCTTCGCTTCCTTGTAATTCTTAAATTGGGCTGGGTCTACACAAGTAGCAGGGAAAGGCTTTCCTATAACCCAAGCTTTTTTCCAACAAAACACACTCCCAACCCCTTTGGGGAAGCATTTTCTGACACTGAACGGACTCTGTTTGGGCCTCCTAAAATTGGTCCCATTTGGATCTTTCCTTAGCAACTAAAAATCCAGAACCCTCTGACATTTGCCTATGGAAAAATTATTTGAGAGACAGTGCACTCACGCCCAACAGATATATTGTTTATGAGTCCATGGGTTCCGTGTAGACGCCGCCATATTTTACAGTCCAAAGGAATCAATTAATTAGCGCCTCCCAGTCCCCCCACCGACCGCTGCTCGGCTGAGCGGGCGCGGCTGAGATAGAGGTGCTTGGCCAGCTCTCTGGTCTTGTTAACAAGCCTCATCATAAAGATGGAGATGATAAGAAGAGCAAGGAAGCCCCGGTGGCCGCGAGGGGCGGGGCTTGGTGGGCCCGGTGTGGGGCAGTGGCTGACCCGAGCCGGGTGCTGCCCCGGCACCCGCTCAGGTTTTTCCAGCGTTCTCTGGGCGTTCATGTGGCGAGCTAGGACCCGGATTATTCTCTCTGTACTCCCGTTCCCTAGATTTTCCCTTTTCCTCATGGAACACCAAATCAGATTTTAAAAAATAAAAATACATAAACCTCTGTCTGTGAGTGCCCGTCTTGCCCTCTGCCACGTTTGTTCCGGGAACTGCCGCCTTGCTCCCTTGCCTGCATTTCTCTGCGTGGTTCGCTTTCACCTTCGTCTGGCGCTCTCTTCCCTCCTCTGGCTCTCTCTCTAGCTTCGTGGTTGCTTTTTCTACCAGGTCGGTACTGGCTTAGGCCCCAACGAGCTTGTGAAAAAAAAATACAAATGCCCCCTGGTTATCTCTTGCCAGAGTGAACACCCCCAGATAAGCCAGACCCAATGAAAATAAAGTTAAAAAAAAAACAACAAACCTTGGGTGTAATTGCTGGTTTAGGTTGCAGCACTTCTCTCGCCAATGTGCATACTTAACGGAGAGATATTGATATTAAAGGGCAGGAGGGAATTAATTTTACTTTTATAGTCATCTATTAAGAGCAGAAGATGATCTGAGTCTCCTTTAAAGGGACTCAAAAAAGGGGGAAGGGAAAGAGAAAGAAAGGGAGGGGGAAGGGAGAAATATGACTGAAGGGGAACAAAGATCTTTGCCTGAAGAAACAATGTAACACTAGACAGAACTATAAAGTCTGGGAATGTAAGAACGCAGGACTCTCTCAGCTTCCCCCATTTGGAATTCTGTCCCCTGCACTTCCTGCTGAAATCCTGACCCTGACTACACAGTGGTATTCCAGGAAGAATTCATGCAATTATTCGGATAATTGTAGAGGGAGAGAGAGAAAGTATTTCTCTTTTATTGTCTGACCCTCTCTGATGTCTGTGCAGAGGAGGAGGGGCCAGGGGTGTATGGGATGTAGAGGAAAAGGAGACAGTAGGGTCTCCCAACATCACCCTAAGCCCTACAAAATGGCTATTCCTAAATCAAGGAGGCCCTAGGCAGGAGCTTATAGATTTTGGAACATACTCAAGAACGCACAAGAGATCGAGTTTGAATGCCCCTGATTTAGTTTCATTTTCCAGGATATTTGCTTGGCTTTACTTTGTCAGCATAGACCTGCCTCCTCTAGTATTGTAATCATTACAAGTAAGGGGATAATAGATAATTACAGGGGTATCAATAATATTATTTTATAGCCAAACAAGATATGATTAGAGTTAATGTCAGAGGCTCGGCTGGAGCCTGGGAGGCAGCAATAGACAAGGTGGAGAGGCCCTTATAGTCTTTCTCTATCCTATTTTTACATATGCTTTAATCTCTATAAATCCCTAGTTCTCTAAATCTCCTCCTCAGATGTCTTAAGGGAAAGCTCTAAGATTTTAGGGGCTGAAAGCCAGAGAAGGGTGAACCACAATTTGGTACTTGAACTCTGCTCCCCTCCCCATAGTTTCAGGAGCTGTGGGATCTGCTTTCCCCATGCCCCCCCAGCCTGAGGCTTTGCTCTCAGTCCAAGGCCACTAGGGTCACAGAGACTTTGCAGGTGGGGCCAATGTGAGGAAGACAGGGTCTTATCCAAACCAATTTCATTGTCATCCCCAAGTGGGCACTGGTCCCAAAGTGAAGCCTCTTTTGATCCTAAATTGGCCTTCCCCCTCTCCCCCAGGAACACCTGGGTGGGGCAAAAGCCAGGCTGGGGCTGTGAAGGCCAGTTCAGGGTAGGGATGCAGGAAGGACTGAAAATATTTGTGTTGTTGTTGTTTCCGGGATTTGAGACCAGAAGGGACCAGAAGGCTGGGAAGAGAGAGAAAGAGATCAAGGAAGTGCCTGAGAACAAGGCAAGAGAGAACCCAGGGAAGCTATGAAACCAGCCGGCAAGGGTAAAAAGAATGAGTGAAAGAAAGGGGGCAGGAAGAACAGCAGGAGAAAAAGAAGGAAGGAAGGAAATGAAAAGGAAAAGACAGAAAAAAGAGGAAGAAAAAGACAGGAGGGAAATGAAAATAAGAAAGACGAGAGAGAAGGATCGAAAGATAAAAAGAGGCGGGAGGGAGGCAGAAGCAAGGGTCGGCTGTTGCTCTCCCTCGCCCGGGCGCCTGCAGCAGTCTGGGTGGGCGGGGGCGCCATGACAAAGTGAAGGTCAAGTTAGCATCGTACCTTATAAGGAAGGCGCCGGTCCTCCATTTCAGCCTTTTCTCTGCCAGGACGCGGCCGTGGCATTTCTGGTCTTGTAAACATCAGACTCTTTGGGGCCTTAAAAAAATAAAGACGCCCCTCCTTCCTTTACCGGGGGTGAGCCGGCCGGGGAAAGCGGCGGACAGGGAAATCAACTAATGAAGACTCCGGGAAACTTTTCTCTCTTTTTCTCTCTCTGGCTCCGCTCCCCGCCAGCTGGGGACCCTTCCCTCCCTCCTTCCTCCCCCTCCCTTCCCCCGCCTCTCTTTTTCTCTATCTCCCAGTCTTCTGTACCTCTCGCCGCCGTCTGTAACTCTGGGCTCCCTCTCTCCACTCCCCACTCCCCTACTGCAGGCTTCTAAATCCGTTCCATTCCACTGCGAAGCGGAGCAGGACCTAAGAATTGGAGAGAAAATTAAACGTCATAAAGAAAAGTTCATTTACAGCTTAAATGTCTGAATGTTACGGTTTCCTTCAGAAAACAAGGCGGTACACTCGGTAAGGAGAAGTGAGGCAGCAGGGGTGGGGAGGGCTGGTGCGGTAGGAGGCTTGGTTTTATTTCTTTCTCAGATCCAGAGGCGGAAAGAAAGGGGGAGAAGCAGGAAAGTGCGACAGAAGCGTTTTACCCGGGCAGCTAGCAAAGAAAGATGCTGCAGTCGGTGGAACTGGAAGCAAAGCGCATAAGGGCCCAGTGCGGGGGCAGCGATCCCCGAGCGCTGAGCTGGCTGCGCTGAGGCCTGGCGTGCGGAGAAACAAATATATTGGATATTTGCTGGTCTAGGGGAGGGGTGAGGCAAGAATGGAGGGAGACAGGGAGACCGGGAGCGTAAGGCAGCGCCGCAGCCGGCCCGGCGAGACCGAAAGAGCCCCGTATCCGCCGCGACAGCCTTTGGCGGTGGGCAGTGGGCAGGCTCAGCTCGAAGGCTCAGGGAGGAAGGATCCCGAACTGAGATCCTTGATCCTTTTCCTCCAGGGTAGCACTGGGGATGAACAGAGAGAAAGAAGGAGAGGAAAATAATTGGTGTGGGGATATCTGCGGAGGACTTACCTTTTTCCTGGACCTCACAGCTCGTTTTCGCCTCCTCTGGGCTCATGGAGACATTTTAAGGCCTAATCATTGCTTTTTAAATTGAAATTCTAATGGCAAGGGAAGGGAAGGATGCACAGAAAACAATGATGGGGAATTCTGGTTCAATCTGATGCTCCAAAAGCCTCTAATTGTTGTCACCTCCACCCTCCTCAACTGGAAAAATGGCCTCTGGGATCTGCCCCCACCTCCCACTTTACCTTTCTGATTGAGAGCACCTCCGGGATATTAGGGACCTGAGGGTCTAAGTCCCGGGTGGGAGCCGCCAGGAGCAGGGGTGTTGGTCTGTGGAACTCCCAGGCCTCAGTGCCTGGTGCTCTCTTACCCTGTGTTTTCATCATAAAAAACAAAGGAAGAGGATTTGATTATTTCTGGTGATGTTAAATGATCCTGGCTTTCAAAGCAGCTCTGACCCCAAGATCTAAGGTGATAAGTGTCTCTGCCATAGACGTTTAATCTGGGCAAAGTGCCACTTATGTTACAAAATGCCTGGGCTCAACGGGCTGGAGGGGTAGCCGGGAAGCCCCAGGGAGGGAACAGCAGGCTCTCTTTGGCAGTATCTAGAGTTCGGTGGATAGTATTTTAAACAGTTGAAATGGACTGGGGAGGCCCTTTCTTATGTCCCCTCAGTCTGGGAAGGGGAGCTCCAGTTAGTGAGGTGGTTTATGAGCTGGACGCTTCCCCCTAGTGTGGGAAAGATAGAGATAGCCAGACCTCACCCTACAAAAATGTGCTTCATGTCTGTGACATAAAATTGGCAGGCACTTTGGAGATTTAGGGACTTGCAGAGAGTGGGGCAGGGCCAGACAACCTGGTGAAAGCAGAGGCTGAGGTGTGATTCAGGGTGGGTGGGGGTATCTGAGGGAGTAAGCCTGGGAAGGTATCACCCAAAACCATTTCCTGAGAGAAGCCAAATACACACAATGCACTCCAATATTGAAAAACACCAGATGATCTGCTTGGAAGGGATATAAACAGGCCAGGCGGATGCAAGTTAATAAAACCTGAAAAAGCCCAGGCAGGAACACTTAAAATGCCCCAGAAACAAAGCATACCATGACAAATTCTCACCCAACACACAAGTACACGCACCGGAATGTTCCCCAACACAGAGAAAAAGAGACTTCCCTACCTTGGGCCTCCACTCGTGAACACTCAGGCGTACCTGCCCAGCTCCAAGAGTGTACACAAATGTGTGCACTCTCATAAAATGACCCAAAGAAACCCCTGGGGCCTGCGGGCAGGCACCGGCTGCACAAACACCCCACAGAGCCAGCCCCATGTCTCCTGAGCCTCGCTAATGCACGATCCATACCCGGAGATAAAAGTCTAGACAATAGATGGCTGTTTATGACAACGAGGCTCTCCAAGTTTGGGGCCAGGCGATAAATCTCTGGCGAATCTTCCTGTAACTCAACTTCTGACTGTAGTGAGGAGAAAACCACTGAGCCCGCCGAAAGGAAAGCAGCAAAATGGGGGAGACTTGTAAATCCTGAGCAGAAGGCACTTTCCTTGCTGGGGCAAGGAGGCATAGGCCACAACACTCACCCCACGGAGCAGTCCTCACTGTGGAAGCTTTCGGATCAAGCTCCAGAGCACAGGCGAGTCAGAGTTCCCCACTGCCTGCCTAGGCTTCCAGGTTCCGGAAATCAGGGCAGAATGTGCAGGCAGAAGGCAGGGCCTGGAGGCTGGAACAGATCCCAAACAAATGATTCTTGCTGGGGGCAAAAGATTTTTTTTTGTTTTTGTTTTTGGTGACTGGAATCTTTTTGCTTTGTGTCACCTGAAGTTTTTCACCCCATGCCTTCCCACCCCTCTCTTTTCTTTTTCCTTTTGGATTGATTAGCTGTTTGTTCCCTTTTGCATTTTCGACCCAGGCATCTGATCGCTAATAAAGAGTTGCTGAAGTTGATCTCATAAAAATGCCGCGAGCTCACTTTGATCAGGAGGACTAGGTCCGAGCCTTAATGTAGGAGCTAAAGCCAGAGAATCAGGGCTCCGGCCAACCCGCCTCTGCTCTGTGGTGAGGCGGGAGATCTGGGTGGCCCAACAGGGCAATCCCACCCAGAAAAGGTATTTTCTGTGCCACTACAACTGGCTTAGGAAACTGAAGCCCAATAGCAGCGGCTCCATTTCCAGCCTGCTTTTAAGACATTTCCTTCATTTTGGAGCATTTGGTGAGGGGGCCAGTGAAACCGGCTCGTAAAATAGGGCTTTTATGGGAAGAAATAGGGTCGGGTTGCTAGCATCCTGGGACAATCTCTCCACAGAGGAAGCTGGGTGGGGCCTGTGGGGGCAAAGGAGCTGTCCTTCTCCCTCCCCACTACCTCCTCCATAGGTCCCAGGAACCTCTGAGCAGCGTCCACCAGCTTAGGTGGCCTGACTTGGGGACTCAGGCTTGGGGCAATGGCCAAGTCTGAGAAGAGGTGGAAGCCAGGAACTAGCAGTCCCACCCGCTTCTTGTTCCCTGGCTGGGGCTGGGGTGTCCCGGGTGCAAGATAAACCACTGACCTGAAAATCCCAAAGCATACTAAAGGGATTATTGCAGGCAGTGATATTACTGTAAGGGAGAGAAATATAGGCAAGAAGGTGAAAGCCAATTTCTAATGAAGTCTCCTTGCTGGCCCAGCCTGTGAACAAACGAGAGCGTCCATGTGTGGGACTCTCTCCGCTTATCTTTTTATTGACTCCACACAGGCTGAATTTACAATCCAAGCCCACTGGAGCATATGTGGGCCCCATTTCTTCTTTCAGCATTTTCCTCCCCAGTTCATGGTCTGTGGGATGGGCTCCTTTCCCTACCACGATCTGCTCTCTAGAACCCAGAGCAGTGGAGGAGGTAGACAAGCTAACAGGAGGCCCCAACGCTGTGTGCGGGAGTTTGCTCTGGGAGCCGCCCAGGGTAGAATTTAGGAGACACTGTCCCCTTCTTAAGCTGCCCCTGTTGTCCGTGTGTTGGAGGGAAGGGTGCTGGAGTCTGCCTTAACTTTGGTCCAGCTACCTGGACAGCTGCCCAGACCGCAGCCGCCTGCTAGCAGCCAGGCTGGCTGATGGCGCTGACTGAGGACACCAAGAGCCAGTGGGGAGGGCCGGATGGCCCTGCTGCAGAGAATTTCAGGTGAAGGCCAGGACTCAAAGCAGATGGAGGGGTCACAGGCACCCACCAGATAAGATACAAATAAGCCACCTGGAGCGGGCTTGACAAGGAAGGGATTGGGGGCCAGGGATGGCTCCTGTACAGGGAGGTATTGATGCTGTGGCCAGAATCCACAGGCTGAGAGGGTGCAGCCTAGGGCAAACATCTCAGCTGAAGCGTCCAGGTAGCCTGGACCCAGGGCTGGGCAGGGAGGCTACTCCAGACCATGGGCATTTTTGCCAGTAAATGTCTAGCTGACCTCAGTGGCCAGGGCCTTCTTTCCTTGACCGTAGCAGCAACTGACAGTTGCTAGAGGTTTTTTGATTTGTTGAAAAACTAAGCCATATCAACACTAGAGAACATTTTAAACTTTATGCCTTACTTTTAAGGGGAGGAATATTACTTTCCAGAAGTCTCTGTTGGGAGACCCCAGCGTTTCCTAGACATCAACTCTTTGACATTCTTTCTTGCATTTCTTTTTTGTTTCAAGGAAATAGGGCCGCCAGCAGCTCCTTGTTGCCGCCTGGCTCACTTTTATGGTGGCCCAGGAATAAACTTTGGTGGTCAAATTCAAGTGCTCAGTCCAGCAGCTGTCTCCTCACAGGATACAGCCCCTACCCCCATCTCAGTCCTGGCTTTGCTGAATCTGCCTTGGGGGATTGGGCCCCACATCACCCTGGAGGGCCAGGAGGGGGAAGGAAGCAGAGCCTTGGGTGGAAGTGGAGAAAGCGGGATCTGAGACTCGAGCCCTCATCCACACCTCTGCAAGGATAGGGGTACCTCTCGCTTCCCTCTTGCTGGTTCCTATCACTGTTTGGGCAGCATTTTGCCTTCAATAAACTCGAGTTTAATGAGGTCAGTGTGAACCCCATTAAAAGCCATAGTCCATAGTTCCCCACCACTATAATTAAAAATGCTGGCCCCATCTCACTCTATAAAAAGGGCTAGAGGAAAAAGGAAACACAGCAGATTTTTCTTTTCATGGCCCCTTACCAACAGAAGTCTCACACTTCAGCAAAGCCCCAATCTAGTTCTTCTTTGCTTCAGTTTAAGATCTGACCAGAACTAAAGGAGTAGCGCCCAGCATTGAGTGCGTAGAGGGGCACCTGAGACCTATCCCTGAGTATTCCAGAACCACCCTGAGAATGGGACCCATGGTGGAGGCAGACTCCACTCAGGTGTCACTTAAATGCTGAGCAAGTTTGAGGAGGCAGGAGCATTGAGGAGGAATGGATTTTAGGGGTTACATATGGAGACAAGCTACAATTTTTTGTGTCCTCCTTATCTGGTTTGGGAGCCGCAGCACCTTATCATGTTTCATCAAGACAAATCCATTCTAATTTCTTTAAGTGGAAACTAATTTTAACTGAGGGTTATGGATGTAAAGAGAGTTCGGGCTATTTTTTGTTTTCCCCTGAGTGTGCATTGGGCTGAGCCCTTGGGGGCTTCGGTTCTTCCCCTCCTTCCCAAACAAATTGTGCCCTGGCAGCTCCTCTTTGGATCCAAGGTTGCTTTCAGCTCATGCTGGTTGCTTTTGGCCCCTTGGACCCAGTCCAGAACCTTTCAATAAAGTGATTTTCAGATGCCCACATGTGTCCTGTGGTGCTCAGAGGGATGGAAGGCAAGGGGTTGGGGATGCAGAATGACTGAGCCTACTTCTTGGGCTACAGCTATCCAGGAGGCTGACAGACTTGTAGGAGGGCAGGACAGGGCTGAGAAATAGGAAGGAGGCACTAAGATCTGGTCACAGCCCCAGGGACAGAGGCTGGGGGCTTTGACTAGGGAGTGGCCGCTGGGCCTCCCCTGATGCCACAGCATCCACCGCTCCTTTCCACTGTCTGGTTAGTCTCTTCTGGAGACCCATACCTGGCCCCACCACCCACCTTACAGTCCTCAAAATCATCCAAGGATAAGAACCCCAAACCTAGTCCCCCCCACCATATTCTTCCTGGACCCCTACACTAGGCTTCTTTTCAGCGCACTAGCTGAGGCTGAGCCACTAAGCCAAAGGGCCCTGACATAGAAGATACATGGCTCTCATTCCAATCCTTTTCTTTGGGGTTTGGGATTTGAAAATCCACAGTGGATGTAGCTTTCTTCACATTGATTGACAATAAAGGCAGGCATGAAATATTCACCCAGGGCCACTCTCTCATACTAAATATTTAACACAACATTAGAGAAGGTTTTTCCCAGACTTCGCCAGGCACCGGCTGGGCGGCTGGCGCACTGCTCACCACTCGTTTATGACTAATCTGACTCCCTAGCCAGGGGCAGCACAGCAAGCCAGACAAAGTTGGGACACTGGCTTGCAGCTGGGCTGCCTCACCTTTGGGAAACTTCAGATACTCTTCCGGGAGTCTCTCTAAGGACTCCAGAAAGGTAGTCTTGACACCCAGCTCTGGCCAGGAAAAGAGTGGACTTCTTCAAACTCTTGTGAACAGGCGGTGTCTCTGCGGGTTGGAAGGGTAAGAGTCCCTGAGATTTAAGGGAAAGGATTCACTTCTCTGGGGAAATCAGGCAGTGGGGAAAGAAGTCCTCACTCCCACCCTCCTGGTGCTGCTCACAGAGAGGAGGCAAGACCCCCATACATGAGAGCCCTCCTCCTTCCCCCAATCCTGGGGGAAAAAAGAGCAGCAGCTAGAAAAAAATACAATTACCCCTTCCCAGCCACCACCCTCGCCCATCCCACCGCCCACCCCACCCCAACCCTCTCTCTCCTCCTTTGCTCGTGCTGTGGTATGGAGAGAAGGGGAGTGACGAGAGAAAAACGAATACAAATCTGCAATTGATTTTCATAATGTTTCTGCGGTGTTTGCAAACCAATCGCCTGAACGTCCCCGATCTTACCTAAGAGAGAACCCCTCCTACGTCTGCGAAGTGCTCCGAACTGATATATGACAATATCTACTTTGGATCACGTGCTCAGAGAGAGAGAGACTAAGACGGATAACGCGTCATCTCGCCTTCCCAAATTTTCCCCCCTCGCTAGACCGGGTCCAAAACCTCCATCCGGAGCCGGCAGGAGAGGAGAACGATGTTTAACTCGGTCAACCTGGGCAACTTCTGCTCTCCGTCGCGCAAGGAGAGGGGCGCAGATTTCGGCGAGCGAGGGAGCTGCGCCTCCAACCTCTATCTGCCCAGTTGCACTTACTACATGCCCGAGTTCTCCACGGTCTCCTCCTTCCTGCCCCAGGCCCCCTCTCGTCAGATCTCCTATCCCTACTCGGCCCAAGTGCCCCCGGTCCGGGAGGTCTCCTACGGCCTGGAGCCATCCGGCAAGTGGCACCATCGGAACAGCTACTCCTCCTGCTATGCGGCGGCCGACGAGCTTATGCACCGGGAGTGCCTGCCTCCTTCCACCGTCACCGAGATCCTCATGAAAAACGAAGGCTCCTACGGCGGCCACCACCACCCCAGCGCCCCGCACGCAACCCCCGCCGGCTTCTACTCCTCAGTCAACAAGAACAGCGTCCTGCCTCAAGCCTTCGACCGTTTCTTCGACAACGCCTACTGCGGTGGCGGCGACCCGCCCGCCGAGCCCCCCTGCTCCGGCAAGGGCGAGGCCAAGGGGGAGCCCGAGGCACCCCCGGCCTCGGGACTGGCGTCCCGGGCTGAGGCGGGTGCCGAGGCGGAGGCTGAGGAGGAGAACACAAATCCCAGCTCGTCCGGTTCAGCCCACTCCGTGGCCAAGGAGCCGGCCAAAGGAGCCGCCCCCAGTAGGTAGCAGCGGCCGGGGAACGGGCGGGCAGCGAGGGAGGGAGCGAGAGAGGGAGGGCGAGAGAAGGGGGGAGGCAAGGGGAGCGGGGACGGCCTCGTGTTTTGGGTCAGTCCGATTTTATGTGGAGTTTTATAAGCATTCAAAGGATTTTATTATAACCTACAAAGCCCTCTCTCCCAACGACTCGACTTTTTACGATGGAGAAGGGGTGGGGAGGGAGGGAAAAGGGCTCTTTGGAAAAGCCGGGTGAACCCCCCTCCCCCGTTATCTCCCTCGGTCTGTGAAATTTTTAAAAGCGCAACCATTGCGGGCGATATTAACTTTGATCGTGAACTTAGAGGAGCATTTAAGGAAGTATGGGGAGCCGGGCTGCCGAGGAGTGGGGAGGAGGGGAGGGGTGGAGGGGGAGAAAGGGGAGGGCGAGGGAAAGACAGGGAGAGATCCAGAGAGGGGGAGAGGTGGGGGAGAGGAGCAATGGAGCAGAACCTGAGACCGGAGAGGCAAGCCAGGACCGCTATGATCCTTCTTAAAACTAGTTTTGAAAATGTTCAAACTATGTGTTCGCGGGTCCTCGAGCAGAAACCCAAGCAACTCTGGGGTCAGCGGCGACAGGGGAATGGGGCGAGGCGGCGCAGGACTCCACTGCGTTCCAGGCGGGGGTCTGGGCGTTTCTCCCGGGTCCGCGGCCTTAGTGCTTGCCTAGAACTGCGGTGTGGAAGGCGCTGCCCCGCGGGCTTCCCGGGGCGCCAGGGCCCCGGAAGCGGCTCTCTGGTGTCTCGGTGCCTGCTGGCCGGCTTCCTCCCCGCCTCCCGACTGCTCTCGCCAGATTTCACTGCTTCGCGCCTGTTCTCAGCTTTCCCCCCAGATTTCTGGGGGAGGGGTTGGGCTTTCCGAACCACTAGGAGGGCGGCCCAGGAAGGGCCCGAGGGCGGAGGGGGAGCAGACAGGGGGCCCGAGGGGACGCACGTGTACCTGGAGGGCTTTCCTTCTGTCCCAGACCCTGTCAGCCGCGGCTCTCGCCTGAGAACTGGGGACGGGGTGGCGCAGTGGCGGGGGGGTGGGGACCCGCTAGACCTGGCAGGGGGTCGAGGCTTGCCCGGGTGCTGCGGCTGCAGGAGAGCCAGCCGCCTGGCGGGAGGGCTGCCCGCGGTGGGCTAGGAGAAGGGCCGCTGAGCGCTCAGCGGGCTGGGGTCGCCCGGGTCTCACGTGTCTCTCTCCCCCCTCTCCTCGCACTTGCCCCCTCCCCTCCCTCCAGACGCCCCCCGCACCCGCAAGAAGCGCTGCCCTTATTCGAAATTCCAGATCCGGGAACTGGAGCGAGAGTTTTTCTTCAACGTGTATATCAACAAAGAGAAGCGGCTGCAGCTGTCCCGGATGCTGAACCTGACGGACCGACAAGTGAAAATTTGGTTTCAGAACAGAAGGATGAAAGAAAAGAAACTGAGCAGAGACCGGCTGCAGTATTTCTCGGGAAATCCTCTGCTGTAACCTGCAGACCGGGCCCTTTTGGGGGCGGGGGGAGGGGAAAATTATTTTATTTTATTTTTATTTTTTATTTTCTAACTCGTCTTCTTTCCGCCGGTGGAAAACTGGACTGTGGCCAGGGCTGGCCCCCACCGCTGTGGCCGGCACTCCATTCCGGAACCTCCTGGACCCTCTATCTGACTCTCGCTGTGGGACAGGGACCGGGCCTGGAAAGGGGGTGAAGGGAAGTGTCTGATGCACGGCGAGTGAACACCGTTGGCGCCGAGGCCAAGACTTTGATTTAAAAGAAAACACACCTCGGCGACAATGTCTTGCTGCTCGGATTAGGTGGGGGAGGGGCGACAGTAGTGAGCGCCTGAGCCGAACAATCCTCGAACTAAAAGCCTTCCCTTGCCCATGTGAAAAGATCCGCTAAGACAGCATGTCTGCCAGCGGAAACTTCTCGAGCTCCCCCCTCTACCCCGCCCCACCTTGCAGCTAAATGTGATCCTGCCTTGCTGTGAAATTTCTGTACCTTCAACCTGGTGTTAGGTGTGCAAAGTCCGTGTCCTACCTCCGTCTTCGCCAAGGCCCCGCCCGAGCCTAGTTGTTCTCCCCCTGAATGTGTAGAACCTTCCTTTGAAATTTCTTAATCGGTGCATTGAGGTTTCCACATCTTTTTCCAAGCAGTGCCCCACTTCATGGATTTATAGCTATAGTCTATGCAGTCGTTACCTCTTTTTTTTTTTTTTTTAAGAAAATTGAAGATTGGGGTGGTGGAGGCAGTAGGGAGATGGGATTGGGCACCTCCCCCGTGCTGGGGCCTGGATTTTTGTAAATAAATTTCCCAAGCGTTTCTTTCCACCTGGAGGGAAAGGGGGGGACGCCCCCAGTGAGATTCAAATCACGCATCTCTACTCCTCTGCGTGAGTGCGTGTGTACATGTGCACTCCCCACCCTGCTCCCTTCCCAGAGGGATTGCTGTGAAATTTTTTTGGTGGCAAATAAAGATAAATTTCATTCTGTTCAATATTATGATTTTATTTGACCCTTTTATTAACCCCTCTCCTCTTAAAATCCTCCATGCTCCCATGGCAGCGGCGGAGGAGGAGGAGGCAGGCAGGCAGAGCCCAGCGGGTGAGGACAGGCAGGCAGAGGTGAGATAGGCCGGTGCTAGCCGGCCTGGAGCTCCTCTCCGCTGGCAGGGCCAAGAGTATGGCCGTAGTCTCCTCACATTCTCAAGCTGAGGACATTCCATAGCTACTCTGAAGCTCTCCTTTCTCACGTGCAGCTCGAGCTGTGTCCAAACGCCCAGCAACGGCTTTCTGTTTAAGTACACGTTTGTTGTGGAGTTAATTGTAACCATCATCGAATTTAAATTTATAGGAATTTTTTTGGCTCCACCGCCCTTCTGCCAGATGTCTCCGTCTGTCGCAGTTAAATGTGTAGTGTGGAGGTTAGGGCTTTTTTTTTTTTTTCTCTAGGAGAAATCTGTATTGGAATTTTTATACACTGTTTTTAAGGAAGGAGGGGACAGAAGGAGAAACCAGCCCCCTCCCTCTCCTCTCCACAGCTCCTGGGGGTGGGAAGGTGGGGCCTGGCTGCTTTCCCTCTGGCACAAATGGCCAGGCTCTTCCAGACACAACAAGACGCCTATACTGGGGCCACCCTGATGTTTATACATTGGGTGTCCCACAGTAGAAAGCCCCAGAGGTTTGTTTTGTAGGGGTTGGCACTGGGGATGGAGATGACCTGCGGGGACAGTCACCATACCCATCTATATTTGCTGCATGTTTCTTCTGTATAAAGATAATCATGGCCCTTGCAGTGCTTTCAGTGAGGGCACTTCGTTGGTCTCTGTTTCAAATTCGTTATTTGGGGGCAGAGGTTCAGGACAACTCATCTCATCTTTCCCTCCTCTTTCTGTCTTTGTATAATTCAAAGAAAATATTTTTGTCAATACAATTCTGTTGGATGAAAGGAAAAAGCATCATGACTATCAAATCTAGGTTCTGTCATTTTTGATGGTAGGAATCCCTGCAGCTTAGGTATCTAAATTTCTAATTTGTAAACGTGGGTCGGGTCGTGAGACAAGATTTGCAAACTAGGGTGTATATGCAGCCCACAATTCCCTCATGTGCCCACACACAAACGTTTTATTTAACTCGGTGTGCCTATGGGTGCACATAAGAAGGAATATTATTTATATGCTTTTGTCTGTTGCATGGAGTAAACCTGACCACATACACATCTAGAGCTTGTGTCTCTGTGGTGTGTAACCATTGGCAGTGTTTGTTGAGTGTGGGCAGGAATGCAACTGAGGGGCCTCTGTACATTTTTGTGTGTGTATGTGTGTGTGACACTTCTCTAGGTATGATGTTTATCCACTAGCCACATTAGGAAATATTAGCCTGCTGGTGATGTTTCCTGTGAAATTAGGATAGAGGAAACTCTATAAGGTGAACCTATTTATAAAGCAAAATATTAGCCTCCAAATGCCTGATTTTGGAGAAAAATATTTAAAACCCGCAGGTAACACTTTCTCTGCAATGTGGAGCCCAGAAATGTCCTCAGCTCCAAAAGAGAGTTCTGGTGGATGAGAGGAGAAGGTCATCATGAAAGAAAAACAAAGGCTTCTGTGACCCAAGCCAGGAATCTGCCAGTCCTTGGTGACCCTCTAAAAAGGAGGAAAAAGGGTTTTTTGGCCCCCAAACAAACCCACCTTCCGTCTCCCAAGGTGTCCAACCCCCCTTGCAGGTCAGGGGCACTCTGGGCTCAACCTCTTGGGGTAATCCCCTCTAGCCGCAGCACTGCCCGGGAACAAAAGATCCTCGTCTAGACGCTGCCATAAAGCACCCCCTCACGTTTCTAAACCCAGTTTCATTTCGACCTTAACGACCCAGTCTGGCCTGTATTAGAAACCACTTCCGCCCTAAATAGTAAACAAACCTGTAGTGGAGGGTCTTGGCTCTCCCAACACACTCAGACCCCCACCTCCTCAGCCCGTTGCCCCACATTTTTCCTCTTTTCTCCAGCCTTTCTCAGCTCCCAGCACCCCAGCCCCTTTCCTCCCCGCCGCGCCCACCCCACCCCCCCGCCCCAGTAAATAAACCTGAGGCCGAGTTCAAAGTTTCCCGGAGCTAAGGAGGAATGCTGGTTGTAAAAATCCAAGTTTATAGTGCACGTGGGAGTTTACAAGGGTATTAAGTGGTGTGGGCTGAGAGAGCACTCTGGGCCCCTCCCCCTTCCACCATGGGCTTTGGGGTGCAGGAGGAATCAAGGGCACTCGAAATGAGAAATGGGTTTAGGAGTAGCCTTGAGTTTGGGGTTTCTTTGTCACTTAGACTCTTAGGTGGCTGAGGAATGGCGATGCAAGGGCCCCTTGTAAGAAGACTCGAAACCCCTGCCAAGCACCTCTGAGAGAAAACTCCCTGGCTCTAGTTGTCCCAGATGGAAAGATTGGGGAGCCCTGTTCTGGGGGAGCAAAAGGTGCAAACCAGGTGTCTGAAAGGTGAACAGAGTTGGGAATACCTAGAGCCAGTTCTCAACCAGAAGGGGAGAAACTACCTTGGGCTAATTTCTCGAGTGGGCTGAGAGCAGAAAGGGCTCTTCTCTTAAGAGTAAAGAAGAACTTTGAACTTCAAGGGAGTCAAGGGCACCACCCCTTCGCTTTCCCCGCCTCTCTCAGGAATCCGTAGGGCAATTGTTTCTGGGCCAGTATTCCCTGAAGGGGGGAGCTACTGGGGTTTTCTGGTGCCCCAGGGTTGGATAATGCTGTTTGCTAACCCCTCCCTACTGAGAGCCCGCCAGAACCAGTGCACGCGACTGCACTCTTTATTATTCATATAAACCTTTGGAAAAGGCAACGCCCAGGAAGTTTTTATAACTTTGTTTGGCATAAAAATTTTACAAGATTCCCCATCCCTTAAAAAAAAAAAAGTAAGTTTTGGTCTTGCCATAGGATGAAATCACAGGTCTTTGAAAGGCAGGGGAGAGAGGGGCTCTGAGGGGTGGCAGTGCAGGGAAGGGAGTGTATGGAGCTGCCTTTCTCTGTCTAAGGCAAAAAGGCTTGAAGATCTGAGTCAATCCTTCCTAAAGCCCATCTTGGACTCAGCTTTGGAGCCTCTTTGGACAGAGTCCTGTCCACTCTGCTCTTGCACCTTTACAAACTCTAAAAGTTTGGACAATATCAGCATGACAAGACCTTCCCCCATCACACCCTCTTGTTCTCCTGTAGGCACTACTCTCTCTCTCTCCCTCTCTCTCCACACACACACACACACACACACACACACACACACACACACACACATCTCTCTGCACCGCACCCCTCCAACCCACTGCACAAAGCAAAGACCCATAACCTTGACTCAGACTGCTGATTTGGGAGGGTCTCTGCACACATAGCCCTGCCTTCCTGCCTGCCGCCTGTGAAGTCGACAATGGGTTTGAAGAAAGAATCCAAAATACCAGGAAACTCCTGCCCAGAGGTTGCAGTGGTTGCAGGACCAAAGGAGACAGAGGGCCCAGCAGGGCTGCAGTCCAGGAGCAGAGAACAAAGGCGGCCATGTGGGAGATGGCCTTGCCCACGGATGACCCCTGGACCTGCCCCTCAACCTGGGACTGACAAAATCCCACTCGCTCATTTCCCCTGACTCCAGCCTTGGGAGCACCAACTGGGCTCAACTTTGGGCCATTTTAATGTTTCAGCTCCGGAGGTCAGGACAAAGATGGGACAGACTTCTCCAAAGGTAGGCCTGGTAGACAAGCCTCCTTTGGGGTGATGGAAGTGAAAATACATGACCCCTGAATCCTAGCACTTCAAGAAGCCATCAGCACTAGTGTGGATGTGCCCCAGAATCCTATTTTTCCTCCCTCTAATGGCGACTGCTGGGGCCTGGCTGCTGATGACTGGCAGCCCTACACTTCGCCTTGTGAGGAGGAGCTGAGCTAAGGCTGTAGGCGGGAGAAGGTCAACTCCAAGCCTTAGCAGCTGGGCTAGGGAGGCATGCGACTGAGCCTGGTGCTGTCCCCCTCACTAAGCCCAGCACACCAGAGAAAAATAAGAAAGGCTAGGAAAGAAAGTCAGGGGGAAGGAAATAATTGGAGAGAGAAAAGAGCAAAGAATTAATTGTATAATAAAGAAAGAAGGAAACAAGGAAATGGGAGAAATAAGGAAGACAAGAAAGAGAAAGGATTGGAAAAAGTAGGAAAAAATAAATTACAGGAAGAAAAAAGAAAAAGAAAAACAGAAAGAAGCAAATAAAGAGAAAAGAGAAGGATGAAACAAGAAGGAAAGAAAGAAGAGAAGAAAAAAAAAGAAAAATAAGAAAGGAAAGGAAGGCAAACAGAGATCTTTGAAAAGGAACTTAACCGGTAAGAAAGGTTCGGTGTTTTTCTCCGGAGCAAGCCAGCCTAACCACAGCCCCGACTCTAGCTAGAAACCTGACTTACTGGGGGCAACTTAGAAGCAAACCACTAAAGTGGGGGGCAGGGCCTGCCCCTAAGACATCCTCCCACCCTCCTCCCAAAGCTTCTCTCCGAGGTGTCTTCGGTCTGGTTTCAATTCAGGGGACAAAATTAAATAACTGGCCAGCTTCGGCAGGGCCAGGAAGCAGTCAGACTGGCGCGGGTTATTAGAATTCGGGATTCGGAGATCTTAGACAGCACTTTGGGTAAAAGTGAATATCTGTGGCTGTGTACACATATTTAAGTGCAAGTTAGACACGTGTATAGATGCTGAACTCCGTAGCATCTGTGTGCAAGTGTGTGCAATGTCAAGACGTGAGAGATTCTGCTGGCCGAGCTGCCTGGGGGGCTGTGAGGTCCACAGTAGACCAGAGGCCCTGCTAAGTGTCCTCAGCCTCCTACCTCCCTCTAGTACCTGTTTGAAAATCTTTTTCTTTTCTGGGTCTCTGGGCATTCCGAATTTTGCCTGGAATTTCCCTGCTCCCAATTCAGCTGGGGCAGAGCCTGGTGCTAGTGAAGAAGAAAAGCGAATCTTTTCTTCAAGTTTTGGGAAGGGAAGGATTTATCTCGGCCTCCAAAGCAAGAGGAAAAAACCTGCAATCTCTGGTGTGATTCTGTTTCCTCTTTGCTTAAAAAGATTTCAATACACACACTTTATTTTTATTTTATTATTTAACCCAAAAGGGAAAGACATTCTTCCTTTTTCACTTCATCTTCAGAATTTCCCAGTTGACTTTCTTAACCTGTTGGGGAAACTCCAATTTTTTGCTGGAGAAACCAGGGTGCTTCTGGGGTGTGTTGAGGGCTACAGCCAAGAAAGCAACAAAGGTCCTTTTTTGTTCATTGAGCATATTTTCCTTCTTCTGCTTTCACGTGGGGACCCCTAGCGCCCCAGCCCTTGGGCTGCCCTGTGGAACCCGCTGGATCCTCCCAGAGTATTCACAGAGCTCCTGAACCCTCCTCCTCTGCATTGCTCACAGCCCCACAGACAGAAGGAGGCCCAGCCCCGTCCTTGTTGCCTTTCCAGGATCTGGGTACCCGGGAAGGGAGAAAGGGGCCAGGGCATTGGCCCTGGGTGGGATTTGTCAGGTCGTATGCACAGCTTGAGCCCCACTGTGGCTTGCAGCCCCTGGATTTTCATGTTCCCAAGTTGAGGTAAGAGGGGGGAGCCCCAGACGTAGGCATAGGCATAGGTGTCTCAGCGCCCTCGGAAAGTTGGGGAAATGGATTAATAAAAGTCCATATGTGGGTGATTCTAGCAACACAGGCCTCCCCTGGATCCTAATCCAGTTGCCAAGGGCACAGGCTGAAGGATCTTGGCCCTGTGGGGCAGGGCGGTGGGTGCCTGGCAGTGGCGGCAGGCGGGGTCGCTGTGGCGGCCCGCATGCCTTTGAACGCCAGGCCCGGACAATAGGACCGAAACAGCCTTTGCTCGTGGCCTCGGGAAAGACCGAGCCCAAGGGGGCAGGGCTGGGACCCAGGCCCGCACAAATGCTCCCTTCGCCAGGATAAAACACTCACTTTTTCCTTCCTTTTACCTCCACTGAAGCAGAATCTCAAAGTCTGTGAAAACCCAACAAGTTATTCAGGTCTGCGTCCGAGCGGGCTCTAGTTTAGCAGCACCGGGTTTTCGTTTATCTTGCGTAATTAGAGGCAAACATTTGTCCCACCGGGGGTCCCACTTAGGCTGATGAATTTGATTTCTTTTTTCATTAATCGGCCGTGTTTATCATACTTCTAATTATTTCAACTTTAAACACTATTCTGTCTTGTGAGGAGGTGGGAGTCGAGGCGGGAGGCTCCTCCCTGGAGTATTATTTTCATTAATGATGGCGATAATTCCGAAGCGACTCTGTCCTCTCCCTTGGCTAAGGTGAGAGGTGGGCTTGGAAAGAGGTTGGGTGGTGGGACCCCTGAGGCCGATGGGTCTGCTCCCTGTCTGCTGGTTCCCCAGGCTACGCCTTGGGGCTTGTCTGAAGTTTATCTCCTTCACCCTTTCCTGCCGACTCCTTCACCCCCTCCCAGGCTGGGCTCAAACCCTTTGCGGCTCTTCCCTGGAAACCTTTCTCTGATCCCAGCCTGTCCTGGCTGGCCTGGGCAGAGGCTCGGGTAGCACTGTCCTGGCCCCCAGCTACTAACACCCAGAGAAAAAAAAAAAGAAAAGGCTGAGGTGGCCAAGGGCCACTTGGCCGTGGGGAAAAGGACCCACCAGACTCCAAAGTGGGGGGTAAGGGTAGGGAACTGGGACGCTAAATTCCTGGGAAAAGCACACCAGGCAGGAAAATAAAGGAGACGTGAAAGAGGGGGGAGGGAACCCCCAAAGCCATATAATTCTCAATTGCTTTGGTATTTAATTTCATCGTCCCATAAATGAGGAAATATCAGTTCCCATACTAAATTTTTATCCCTGGCTGATAAATATGACGGGAAATTTTCGTTGGGTCCTCGTAAAAGGGAACGGTTTCGATCAAACTGGTGGGGAAAGACTAATGCAGATAATACAAACAGAGTGGCCATAAAGTCTCGCCCGTTTCCCGCGGGATGGGCGGTGGGACAAATGGCTCCCTGGATTGACTGCTGCCCGGACTGTCCCAAGTCTGGGGCCTAAACAGCCTAACCTTGCCCTGGATAACCCCCATGCTGAGGCCACGGTGACCCTGCATATGAAAACACAAAACCATTTCAAATCTCCCCTGGCCGGTCCTGCAAGCAAATCATACACTCCACATTTCCTTCCAGTTTTCCGGAGGTTCAGGAACCCCTGCGTCTTCTCTCTCCACCCCTGGATGGGGAAATTCGGCGGATTTCTTTCTGCGGTCTTCTAGCCGCAGCGGGCTTGGGCCTCCTTAGAAACGGTCTAGCCTCCTCACTCCTCCACTCCAGGGCGCTGGGCTCCAGTCCTTTCCCCGCCAAACTCCAGCCCTTCGGAAAGTCTGAACCCTAGGCTCTGTCCAAGGAAAAATGTGGGGCGACAGGAAAGACAAGTTGTTCTCCAGATTCCGTTTCCTGAGGAAGGGGTGGAGAGTTTAGTTCGCTTTGGAAGAAGGCGATGGAGAAACGGAAATAACTGTTTGAAACATACGGTTCCCCTTATTTCTTCCTTTTATTTAAAAACAACCACAAAAATAGACTGGTCTGTCTTCTTTCAAACATGCTCCCAGCCCGTGCGCTCTGTAAAGGACGCTTCTCTGGGTCGGGTTTTGTTGCGTCTTGTGTGCTGGTTTCCCGTGTGATACGTGACTCCTCCAAACTGACCGAGGCTCCGCAGGTTCCCTCTTTCTTTCCCGGAATATTCCCTGTTTTAGCGGGGGCAAGGTCAAGCGGAAAGCGAGGACCGCCAGGGCCTGAAGTAAAGCAGCAGAACCGGCTCCAAGGCCAAAGCCTTGTGGGCCCCTGAGATGGTGACCCAGGAGCCGCCCACCCTGCCAGGCCCAGGCCACAGCTCTCGGGTCGGGGATCGGGTGCCTCTGGTCTCTGGCTTCCTCTTTCCCCTACCCCGCGTCCATTCGGAACCTCCTTTTCCGAGCAGCCATGAAGTGACCGTGACCCCCTCCCTGGCCCACCCTAGAGGCTGGAGATTCCCAGTCAACCCCCACAGGAAACTTGCAACTCCAGCGCCGCGGCCCCCAAGCTTCCAGCCCCGAGGGCCAAGCCCGGGGAAAAGAGGAGGCGGGAGAGCAGAAACTTTAGTCCTGTTTGGTATTCCTTAACTTTTTTTCCCCTTTCTCTGCTCATCAGATCCCCCCAAACCCCCCCCCCCACAAACCTCACCCCACTCCCATCCCCAAGGTAAGAAGTGGGAGTCGGGTCCGGGGATATGGAAAGGGGAGATGAAGAGTGGGGAGAAGTACCTGATTCGTGTCTCGACCTTTTAATTTGAATTTGACTGTTTTGAGCCCCGGGTTGCCTCGCTCTCTCCCTCTCTCCCGCATTTCCCCCCTCTCCGCCCCCTTCTCCCCAGGAGTTACAGGCTGGTTACTGGATAAACAAACCCCACTCTTCCTAGAACCCCCACCCCCACCCCCACCCCCCTCCACCCCTCTACCTCCCCTGCCGCCCGGGGGGCGCTTCCTTTGTTCGCGGGGAAGGGCTCCGGTGCCCCTACCCCGAGGCAGCTGCTAGATGGCGCTGTTACTCCACTCTGCGCGCTCCGCCTGCCGACAACTTGACCCCGCTGACGTCACGGCCGTCTGAATCATCAAGGCCATTTTCAAATCCCATTGGTCTAGCCGTCACATGGTGAGAACCGAATGCGCGGATAATTACGGAGCTGATATTTCCCCCCCTCCCCTTCTTTTTCCTCCCTCCCCTCCAACCGCGCCCCCCCTCCCGGATGGGGAAAAAAAAAGATGTCAGCTCCTCCGCTGTAGTATTGCTCCTTAAAAACCCCTCTCTCTGAAAATGACATGCCCTCGCAATGTAACTCCGAACTCGTACGCGGAGCCCTTGGCTGCGCCCGGCGGAGGAGAGCGCTATAGCCGGAGCGCAGGCATGTATATGCAGTCTGGGAGTGACTTCAATTGCGGGGTGATGAGGGGCTGCGGGCTCGCGCCCTCGCTCTCCAAGAGGGACGAGGGCAGCAGCCCCAGCCTCGCCCTCAACACCTATCCGTCCTACCTCTCGCAGCTGGACTCCTGGGGCGACCCCAAAGCCGCCTATCGCCTGGAACAACCTGTTGGCAGGCCGCTGTCCTCCTGCTCCTACCCACCTAGTGTCAAGGAGGAGAATGTCTGCTGCATGTACAGCGCAGAGAAGCGGGCGAAAAGTGGCCCCGAGGCAGCTCTCTACTCCCACCCCTTGCCGGAGTCCTGCCTTGGGGAGCACGAGGTACCCGTGCCCAGCTACTACCGCGCCAGCCCGAGCTACTCCGCGCTGGACAAGACGCCCCACTGTTCTGGGGCCAACGACTTCGAAGCCCCTTTCGAGCAGCGGGCCAGTCTCAACCCGCGCGCCGAACATCTGGAATCGCCTCAGCTGGGGGGCAAAGTGAGTTTCCCTGAGACCCCCAAGTCCGACAGCCAGACCCCCAGCCCCAATGAAATCAAGACGGAGCAGAGCCTGGCGGGCCCTAAAGGGAGCCCCTCGGAGAGCGAAAAGGAGAGGGCCAAAGCTGCCGACTCCAGCCCAGACACCTCGGATAACGAAGCGAAAGGTAAGGCCGCCTGGGCCGCGGGCGCCACTGGGACGTTCCGGCACTTGGTCTTCGCGGCCGGGGAGGGGGGCAGGGGAGAGGGTTGGGCCCAGGAGGCCCCAGACCATTTCGGGAATGCGACCCTGGCTTTCGACTAGCGTCCGCTGAGCTCCAGGCTGGTGGCGCGTCACTTAGCTGGGGAAGGTAAGCGGCGACGTGGAGGTGTCGGCCCTGCCCCGGCCATGGGTGCTAAGGCGGGGGCGGTGCGCACCGCGGGCCGCCTGCAGGCGCAGTGTGCTGCACCGGACGGGTGGCTGCTCCCAGGCGCGTGCTGGCTGTGGTTTGCTTTCTCAATGCTGGTGTCCTGGGGAGCTGACGTCCCCCAGCTCAGGTCAGGGGCTTGCAAAAAGCCTAAAATGGCGATCTTGGGCCAGGGACTAGGGAAGGCTGGGGAGATGGGGGGAGTTCTCTTTACTGCGTTTTCCCAGTTGAAAATTGTTTCCTGCGAAACGCGATTTGTTGTTTGTGGGTCTGATTTGTGCGTGCGGCTTGGGCTCCTGCGGCTTTTGGCTCGGCCGGGGGCCTTGGGCAGCGAGGCTGGAGCCGGAAGAGGTGGAGGTGAAGGGCTGCCCGCCACGTCCCTCCCTCCTCCAGATGCCTGGCTTGGATGGCGTTGGAACAGGGCATTTGGAATGTTGTAAGTTTTCTGTTTCCTCTTTTAATTTTTTCTTTTCCATTTTTTTCTAGTTAAATTATCTTTTTTCATTGGTTTCCAAAAGCAGCTTACAAATGAGTGGTTGGGAAATTTCTGTGTGCGTGGCAAGAGGTTTTCTCCTGAAAGGGAATGTGGCTTTGGTTGGATTTCACTGTAATTTTGGTTGAGAGAAAGCCCAGCCAGAGTTCAAGCTCAGGGTTCAAGATTCATTTCTGCTGTAGGAGCTGGGGGCCTTCGGGATCTTTCTCTGATACTTGGGGAAAGAATGTGGAGGAAACGGGAGCAGGGGAGGAAAAGCTGAGGGGAACGACTTTTCCTGAAAAGTTGTAGCAAGAGCCTCAGAAAAAGGCCCAACCAACGGGGAAGAATAAACCTGCTCCCCACAACACCGGCTACTGGTGACAGTATATAAGGGGCTCATTGGGTGTAGAGGAAGATGAAATACTGAGAGCGGAGCAGGCTGGGGGCGGCCTGGATCTCCTGGTGCTTTGTATATGGATGCGACGCACACGCATGCCTACGGGCGACCTGTGCCACACTCACGCACATCCATATTGCATGATCCTTGCACACTCACGCATGCCCGCTCACACATGCACAGGCACTCTTTTGGCGGGCAAGGGCAGAGCCTCATCCCCTTGGGTCTGCAAAGGTGGTCTTGGTAAATCATCCCCATAGAGACACTGACTGGAAGATGAGCGCTGGTGTGTTCATGAGGATAAGGGGGAGAGTGAGGCGCCTACAGCCTCAAAGCCTTTCGTTTGGCACGTGTGCAGTGTGAAGGTTTAATCTTATACCCTCTCTACAGACCCTGAGCTTGGTTAGGGAGCAGATTTGGGGCAGGAAAACCTGCATTCTAGCCCCCACCAAAAGCAAAGTCAAGGTTAACAAGTTCACCTCTTAACTCGACCTGCACCCATTCCCATAGGCTCTCCCTTTCCTCTAGCTGTCCCCACAGCAACCTAATCCCTCCCACCCCAAGGAATCCCTCTTACCCTGTACCCTCTCTGTGCCCTTCTTTCCTCTCCTCCTGTTTTGATGTCTCCACCAGGCCAGAGGCAAGAGAGCTTTTGATTAAACTTCCCCATTTATAATTTGTCTTGTCCCCCCACCCCACCAAACCTAACAACTCCAGTAAGAAAATAAACAGGACGTAGTTAGATGTGGAGAGCTTGTAAACAATCTGGCAAGAAGCTGCAGGTGCAGAGACAGGAGAGAAAATTCGGGACATTCAGATTTTTTTAGACTGCAACCTCAAGTTTGCCTTTTTTGTGTGTTTTCTGGTTCCTCTTAGGCCCCCGCCTCACCCCGCCCCCAACAAGATAAGATCCAGGAACCTGGCAGCCTCATTGGAATAGGGAGGAGAGAGAGCTCAGAGCCATCAGCAGAGTCCTTTGCTGGGTGTCCTCTCAGGTCTTTGGACTCTGTTTTTTGCCCTTAAAAAGATGGCCAGGTTCCCTTCTGCTACTTGAGAAGCAAGGCTGGTCCATTTCAGCAAGAATGTGTGTCAGGGATAGAGGCTGTCAATAAGCTCATGGGAAATACACAGTATTCTATAGTATCTCCTTACAAAAAAAGACTCATGTACATATCTATGTGTGTGTACTTATGTGTATAGGTGTGTGTATCTCTGCAGGTATACATGTGTACTTGCAGGCATACACATCTACGTATGCACAGACTGGGCAGGGGGTTTCTAGGAGGCTGCATTTCCTCAGGATATGTCTCTCCCTTGACCTTAGGTCCTTTGGCCAGGAAAGTTGTTTGAGGACCCCTTAGGTTGCCCCAGCTCTGTTGCCCCTGACCTCTGCTGCTCTTACAAGCTCCCCTCAGCTGCACATACCTGGGAGAAATGATTAAGAGAGGAAGAGATGGCAATGGGAGACCTAAGGGAGCAGAGTCACTCTGTGGCAGCTCAGGTTGGGGTAAGAGCTGGGGGCCCAGGACAGGGACCACTGCAGTGGCCTCTGGCCACAGATCCTGGAACAAAGTCCCTCCACTGAGTTGAAACAGGTCAAAGCTCTCTGGGAATTTCTCTGGTCTGTGGGTGGACTCTGCTCTGGTCTGGGGCCTGGAAAATGCTTTTCCATCTGGTTGGATTTTTCCAGAGCTGGAATGGAACAGAGAGAAGGGGGGATCTGGCAAGGTTTAGGGAATCTGCCAGGGTCAGCCAGCTGGGGGAAAGCCAGGGTACTCAGGATCTTTTAGATTAAGGTGGACTTGGGTAATTTAAATTTAATAAATGCTTGGAGGCAAGAACTTCCTCCCTTTATCTCCCTAAGTCTAAACCCCAAAGAAATTGTAAGAACCTTGAGCCTAAGAGGAGCCCACCGCCAGGCCCCTGGGGCAAGAGCAGCTCCCCTGTGCTCCCTCAGCCACCCCACAGCAGGCTGGCAAAGGCTGCAGCGCTGAGAGGGTTTTCGACTTCGAGGGATACTTATGTAAATAATGTTATTTTTAACAGAGGAGATAAAGGCAGAAAACACCACAGGAAATTGGCTGACAGCAAAGAGCGGAAGGAAGAAGAGGTGCCCCTATACTAAACACCAGACGCTGGAATTGGAGAAAGAATTTCTGTTCAATATGTATTTGACGCGAGAGCGCCGCCTGGAGATTAGCAAGACCATTAACCTTACAGACAGACAAGTCAAAATCTGGTTTCAAAATCGCAGAATGAAACTCAAGAAAATGAACCGAGAGAATCGGATCCGGGAACTGACCTCCAATTTTAATTTCACCTGAGAGCGCGGCCTCTCCTCCTCCCTTCCCGCTCCTTCCTCTCCCCGCCCCTCCTCCCTTTGTGCCTGGTGATATATTTTTTTTTCCTCCCTGAGTATAAATGCAATGCGACTGCAAAAAAGGCAAAGACCTCAGACTCTCCTTCCAAGGGACCTGTGGTTCGTGCTGCGAAGATGCTTCCACTTAAAGCATGAGAAATGGGGTGCCGGGATGTGGGGTGTGGTGTGTGCCCTCATAGATGGGGGTGGGAGTGTGGCTGGTGTGTGTGTCAAGCCCTCACTCACCCACGCACTCACACACAGCATTCTGTTCTCCATGCAAAGTTAAGATCGAATCCATCCGCTTGTAGGGGAAAAAAAGGAAAAAAATTAACCAGAGAGGGTCTGTAATCTCGCAGAGCACAGGCAGAATCGTTCCTTCCTTGCTGCATTTCCTCCTTAGACTAATAGACGTTTTGGAAAGTTCGGCTAGTGTTCGTGTGTTTGTCGTAGCACCCAGAGCCTCCACCAAACCCTCTCCATGTCTTTACCTCCCAGTCGCTCTAAGAATCTGCTTGAAGTCTCGTATTTGTACTGCTTTCTGCTTTTCTCCCACCCCTCCTAGCACCCCCACATCCCCCATCTAGTAACATCTCAGAAATTTCATCCAGAGGAACAAAAAAATTAAAAATAGAACATAGCAAAGCAAAGACAGAATGCCCCCCCCCCCAAATATTGTCCTGTCCCTGTCTGGGAGTTGTGTTATTTAAAGATATTCTGTATGTTGTATCTTTTGCATGTAGCTTCCTTAATGGAGAAAAAAAAACCTAATAAATTTCCAGAATCATAATCCTCAAATGGATGGTTTTTTGTTTTTAGTGATTTTTAGCAACACCCCTCCCCCGAAGAGGCTGAGTGTGTGGATGTGTGTGTTTTGTGTTTGACTCATCTCCTAGAGCCTTTCTAGAACGTCTCTTGGCGGGTTTAATGTAAGTGAGAGACCATAACGTTGATTTAAATATTATCCAGGTGACCACAATAAGTCAAGGTCATAAAACAGTAATGTCAGGACGGTCTTGGTGCGCGCGAGAGGTGGATTTTATGATCTGCAAATATAATGTGGTGCTGCAGTAAAAGATGCATTTAAAGGTGACTGGAGGAGGGAAAGAGGCAGAGAGCAAGCTGCAATCTTGAGGAGCAGACGGATCTGATTGCCTGGGGTGCTGGGCTGGGCGCACCCCACTGCTGCTGGGGGTCACCCCAAGAGCCCCCCACCCATCCAAGGAAAGGAATAAACTTAACCGCTGGAGGGGCATGAGGAGCTCAGCCCCCCCAACCTCGACAGCAGCTAACAGAAACGCCAGGAGCAGCAGGAGGAGGAGGCAGCGACAAGGTAAGAGAAGCGGTTTCTTGTTCTTCTCTTGGCGGCGGAGTGGGGATGAGCGGTGTCCCCAGGTGTCCGGCGTGCAGCGGACAGAGCCTGGAGGAAGGTGTTTAGGGCATCCGTGCTTGCCGAGAACCCAGGCTTTCCTAGTGGCCGCTGGCAGCGGAGGGCAGCGACTGGGAGCTCCCTCTCCTTCCCTCCCGGGCCCATTGCCATGGGGGTTCCACAGTTAAAGGGATAAATTGATGGTTTTTGGCTTCTTTATCTTTTCGGGCACTTTGGGTCTCCTCGAAGTCGACACTCTGGTCTAGGTGTTGCTCAGTCTGGTCGTCTGTTGGTGGGGGAGGAGGAGTACAGAGGGTTGAAGCTTGAAGCTTAGGTTTTCCTGCTTTTCGCTGGTTTGGATGTGAGCCTCGTCCAGCCTCTTGTTCCCTGTGCTCCCTGGCTGTAACGTTTTGCCAGGCAAGTGGCCTGATTGGAAGTGGCTCCAGAGCACAGGGCTATGATTCAGCTACCCACATTCGCTGAGAAGCCTAAACCGAGCTGAGAGGGAGAGGATCAGAGGGAGTCTAGCAGGAGAGTGCAGGAGAGCCAGATGGACAAGACAGGGGACCCAGCTCCAGAGTGGAAGGAAGATCCAGCTTCCCCCAGGGCCAGGGCCAGATGCAGGGGAATAGCTCCACTGCGGTGCTGGGGGTGGGGCAGGTATTTGGCCGCCAGTGGTCCCATTTCACCAGATTTTTCCTGAGCAATTTGCTTAGACCAGAAACTAATGAAGGCAGTCAGACCCCTTACCCACCCAGCAACCCAAAGTCTACTCTCTAGTCCTTAGGGAGGTTGTGGGGGCGGAAAGGGGGACGGGGCTGAATTTCTTCCTTCCCCAACCCCCTTCCCTTCTCCTCCAGATAGATGCAAAGCTGAATCTCCCGCCCTGCTCGCTCAGCTGATCTGTGGCTTAGGTAGTTTCATGTTGTTGGGATTGAGTTTTGAACTCGGCAACAAGAAACTGCCTGAGTTACATCAGTCGGTTTTCGTCGAGGGCCCCAACCCACCTCTCCCACTCCTACCCTCCCCAGTGGGACTGCCCCACTGCCCCCTCCCAGATAGGGCAAAGTGGGTGCAGACCAAGGAGGACAAGCTGTGAGTGGGGTTGCAGAACAAGTCTGGAGAACCCTGCTTTATGCCGTCCTCTCAACCTATCCCAATCCCTGTGATTAAGGGAGAGGAGTCTTTCCTGCAGCTATTGTCTCCTGGGCCCAGCTGATGGAGACAGACAAAGAGGGTCCAGCCAATTCCAAGGAAATTCAGGAGTTTGAGTAAGAGGTGGCCTGGCGGGCCAGCTCAGTTGGGCAGCAGGGTGGGGCAGAATTATTAGCAGAAAGAGGAGCACAGAAAGAGAAGACGGTCTCTGGAATGGTTAGCCTCTCCCACCTACCACCTCCAGTCGACTGGGGCTCAAGATTCTCCTTAGAAAAGTGGGGTACCTGGAGGTTCCAAGAGTTGGGGAACTCTGAGCGCCAGCCCAGCCCTTTCCCCTTCCCCTTCTATAGCTCCATCTCCAGGGGAAGGACATGTTTGGGGTGTTGGTAGGTTAGAGGAAAGCCATCAAAGTCCAAGTAGAACCCCTCACACACGCACACGCACGCAACTGGGAAACATCAGGGCAAAAACCTGACTCTGGTCTCTGTTTAGTCGTCTGTGGCCTGAAGGCCTCAGTTTCTGTGGCTGTGACTGTCAGGCAGCTGCCTGTCTTTGCACTATGTGGAAACATCTGGGTGAACAGAGGCTGCCCGTGCCCACCATTGCTATGTTGGTGGAAAGGTTGTTGGCTGATGCCAGGGGGAGGAGGGGAGGAGAATGGGGTAGAGGAAAATCTGAGCAGTGTGAAACTTTGCAAAGCTTCCTCTCATCCTTTCCCCCTTGGTTCTTCAATTCTGGCCCTGGTTGCTACAGAGAAAGTTCTCAAAAGAGGTTTCTTTGCCTGCCTGCGGGCGGAGTTGGGGGGGGGGGAATAAATGGGGGAGGGGTTATGGAGACTGAGGAGATACACCCCTGTTCTCAGAGATACTGGGGAAGAGAAGCCAAAAGAAGGTCAGGTTCTTGGTTCTCTTACTTTGAAATTATTATGATTATTAAAACATTATAAACGTCTAGACAGGGAAACAAAATTATGTCCCTGTAACAAAATATATACAGAGTTCTATATTCTCACAGTCATCTGCTGGGAGGGATATATGTGACCTTGTATGAGTGTAGGGCTCTGTTTCTGTCTCCCCTAGGCTCTCTTAAATACCCTGTATGTATTTATACGCATACACATTTATTTTTCCCCTCTCTTATGCGAACATATTTGTTTTGACTCCCAAGGAAGCTGGAGGAGAAAATGGGAATAGAATTTCCTGTCTCCCTAGCTGGATTGTTGGTCTGTCTGTCCCCCATCCCTTTGTGAGAGAAAAAATTTCTTCTCTTGGAGAGAAGTATTCAAACCTCTCTATGGCTCCCAGGGAAATGGGGAAGTTTCCAGAGAGTCAGGCCAGCTGGTGGGAAGCAGGCAAGGGATTCCCCTAGTTTGGGAGCTCCTAGCAGCCTTTGAGTCTTCAGGCTGCCCCAGGCACACAGTCAGTTGGGGCAAAGCGTGTCCCAGGCAGGGACTGGGTGCTCAGGAGCATTTGGCTTGGAGATAGAGTCCCTGATGGGCCGAAATTCACTAATGAACGACTTCTGTGCTTTGGGTCTCTGTGCCCCCATTTCCGTTTCAGAGCTGTTGGGCTTATGTGTGGGAGGTCAGAGAGCCAGGGGTTGAGGTGTCTCCTCCCCAAATGCAGAGAAATGGAGCGAGGTCTCATAGGGCCAAGGTGAGGACCAGTCTGGTGGTCAGAGTCCACCCCCGGCACAAGGCCGTGGATCATGGCTAAGGCGATGGTAATTATTTATTCCCTTCGCCGGAAGGGAGTCTTCAGAAGGAACAGCGTGAAGAGAAGAGAAAAAATTATCTCTCTCGTCTGTGGATATTAAGATGGATTTTTATTTCTTAAAGGACCCTCCCCGCCGAGAGCGCATAAGCGTAAACTTAATATATGCTCCGCAGCCCAACTCCAGAAATCGCAATAAAAGTTAAAACCTCCCCTACTGTTTTTTTTTTAATTATGATATGGGAAAGAGGAGCAGGATTTATAGAGCTGAACTCTCAGTGTATGAATGTTTGAGACTTGCGGGAGGAAGAAAAGGCAAGAGCTCGCCAAGGCGAGCCTTGGTCTCTGAGATCTCTCGTCGGCTGCTGGGGCTCCGGCTCAGCCTGGCAGATCCGCTGTGGCCTCTCTGGGACCTCGCCCCGGCCCACGGCCTGACTTCGGCTCGGAGATGCAGCCCTTCCCGAGAACAGGTGAAGAAGACGGCGGCAGCGGGGACTGGGGGCTTCGGGTGGGAACGCCAGGGCTCAGGGCTTTGTGTGGGTCGTGCAGGGGGCGAGGTTCGAAGTCCTGGGCTGGACCGCAGCACGAGTGTGGCCCGGACGGCTGCGTGGCCAGAAGGGGTGTTCGGGCAGGGTGCGAGAGCACCGGCAAGGTGGATTGTGTATGGACTTTGGCCGCAGACAGAGCAGAGCGGGCTCCCGGGCTGTGGCCGGCGGCGAGGCGGGCAACCGCATGTTGAGTCTATAGAAAGGACCTTGAGGTCTGCTGGGTGTTTGGGCTGCCCTGGGGGCGGCGGCCCAGAGTGTGGAGCAAGCGGCGCGCGGGGCGCGGCGGTCAGCGTGGGAGAGGCTGCAGGCCCTGCACGCCTCTGCAGCTGCCGGGCCGTGTCCGGGACGTCTGAACTGAGGCCGACCAATGGTCACAGCATGAAAAATAAATGCAATGGAAGGTCTTTCTGTCTTTTCTTTTCCGCGTAAAAGGTCCTTTCTTTTTTCTCTCTTTCGGATATACCTGGATTTGGTCCAGACCAGGTTGCCCGCGGGAGGGCCCCGCGAGCGGCAGCGCGCGAGGGAGGGAGAGAGAGGGAGGGCGAGAAGGAGGGAGGGAGGGAAGGAGGGCGGGCGGCGGCGGCCGTGGTGGCCGGGGCTTCCCTCCCCAGGCGGGAGCCGCCTGTCCTGTATCTATGGCCGTGGGGAGCGAAGGACCAGGTAACGAAGGCGCTTCCGAAGCGGGATTGGACCAAACCAGAGGGACAGAGTCTTCTGGGTCTCTCTGCCTGAGGCCCTGGAGGGAGAGAAGGTAGGGAGATCGGCGCCCGCCGGGCCTGGCAAAGAGGCCTCGGGAAATGTTGAACCTGTATGTGATCTCAGGCTCACACTCATGTTGTGGGTCTGTCTGCCTCAGGAGATGCGGTTTGCCTTTCTGTCTGAGACGCCCCAAACCCTGAGCTCTCCTTCCCAAGGCTGGAAAAAAAATCGGGAAAAACGGCGGAATTTGCACTTTCATTCATTGGGTTATCTGCAACTGAGAGGGGCTGGTTAAGGCGTCCCCAAGTTGGAAGGGCGCTTTGCTTCTGTTTTCTGGATGCAGAGTCCTCTGACTCCCTCTGCCACGGGCTGAGTTTCCGGCTCCAGGTTCGCGTGTCGCCCTGAGGTTTGAGGCCAGACAGCTCGCAGTCGGGCAGGGAGGGCGGGGGAGAGACGAGCGGCTCTGGCCCCTTAATTGTACTTCGGGCTCGTATTGTCTCTCCTTTCGCCACCTCCGCTTCCTCAGTCTGGGCTCCAAAGTCACTGCAAATTTCCTTGCGACACATACATCACACAAAAGATCAGGTAACAAGGCGCTCAGGGCCACTGGGGCTCCGGGCAGGGCAGGGAGCGGCTCTAGCTCTGGGGCGGCTCCCCCTCCAGCCACTCCCAGGCTGGAAAACCAGACCGCGTTGGGGGAGCCGGAAATAGCCCCGCTTGCTGCGGAGCGTCAGGGCGGGGGCGCCGGCGGGAATGCAGGCCCGGCAGGCCGTGGCTTTGAGAGAGCCACGTTCACAGGCCCTGGGGATTTCACTCCTGCTGGGCCTCGGGACCTGACTCCTGGTGTGTAGGGATCCCAGATACCCACCTTGGGTGGGGGCAGGACGCGGGTTTCCTCGCGGCAGGCCAAGAGAACTCAGTTTCTGCTTCCAGCGCAGGCCTTAGCTAGGAGGAGTTGTGTGTGGGTGTGTTTTTCCCAACAAAGAGGGATCAGGAGAGAGAAGGGGGGAAAGTAGAGGGGAACCAGGGAGGGGGCGGGGAGGGGAAGAGGGCAGTGGAGAGGTGAAATGAGCCCATTTCAGGGGGAGAAGGAAAATGAAAGCAAATGGAGTACGGCCTTCTCCGCGCAGGGCGGGTGCTGACGAGCCGGGAGCGGGCTCCCTGCCTGCGGCAGCCGGGATGGCCCGCTGGGGACACCGGAGAAAGCCTGTTTTAAATTTAATCCGAACTTGACGGTGTGGATTGAACCGGAGGGAATTTAAATCACTAAAAGGAAGGCGCGGGGCAGGGGGAGGGGACGACTCTAACCTGTCTATCTTTCTGTCTGTCCTTCCCACGGTGCTAGTTTGGTTGTGGCCGCAGCTGCCCAGGTTTCAGGTGATGGAGTAAGGGTGCCCCTCCCCCTCAGGGGTCTCTCCTGTGCCCAGTGAAGTCTTTTGGGGGTGGGAGGGAACTCTAAGAACCAGAGTGAATGCACAGCTGCGAGCTAAAGCTGGGGTTTCCCCCTCCCCAACAAGAACTCCCAGTGGCCTCCAGTCCCTGGGTTTGCCCCAGCGGTGCTGAGGAAAATTGAAGGGAGTATGTGGGTGAGGGGAAGTCTGGAGTATGGCAGAAGATTCAGAAGGAGTAACTGAACCCCAGGAAGACAGACCTTCCTTCTTGGTGCCCCTATATCCTTTGTGCCCCGCCCCCCGCACCTACAAACCTGGATTTGAGGGAAATCTGCAGGTCCGCTTCAAAGCCCTGGTCTGCCACCCACACCCCTCCAAATGTGGAGAATGGGGGCTACAGGCCACATGCAGTTGTGGACCTGCGGAACCTCCGCCCAGTGGACTCCGGAACTCCCAGCCTCTTCTAGCCCCCCTCCCCAAGGCCGCCTCTCTCCGAAGGGCGCAGGGAAAATGAGGCATTGGCTGGGAAGGGGCTGTGGGCGAGGCCTGCTTCCTGATCCACAGCCGTGCCTGCCTCTGAGTGGGAAGAGTTCGGAGGTCATAGTCCCAGAAAATAAAATAAAATAAAGGAAAGCGACAATCTCCTTGGTTTCACAGGGGATTTCACGGCAGCAGGGATCCCGCCGGTGAGCCTCACTGCCCGCTGCTGCCGCCTCCGCAGAGTGGGCAGGCAGGGTGCGCAGGCAGCTCAAGAGTTGAAAAGAAGGCGGTGTTCAAAGGGGGTAGGAGAGAAGGGGGCATCTCTTTACGGCCCCAATGTCTATTTGAGGAACTCTCCCAAATAGCAGAGGCCCATAGGGGAGGCTCCTTAGGGACTCTTTCCTCCAGGAAAGCTGAGGCTGGGGCAGCTGGCCTTGTCGCTTGGAGAAGACGCAAAGGAAGAGCAGGGGTGAAACCTCTTTCCTCTTCTGTTTCTTCGCTCCTTGAATAGAGCAGGGCTCAGCCCCCAGCTGCCTAAGCGGCTGTCTGGACCAATATGGGGTTCTATATCCCTGAGGCCTAGAGTACCCATCCGAGCAAGTCTCCTGGGAGGGGCAGGAGAGGAGCCCTCTTCCGCCTTTGTGTCCAGACAGAAGTGGCCGCCGCGCCCGGAGCCGGTCCCGCGGCAAAGGCCCGGCAAGCCAGCGGGCTGCACAATGCCACGGCTGCTCCGCCAGCTCGCCCCTGCCCCGTCCTGCCTGCCTACGGCCGCCCTTCCTCCGCCTCCCTCTCTGCACGCCTGCCTTTCCCGGCTCTCCTATCTCTTTTCATCTTGCCTTCCTTCTTTTAATTCTCCCCCTTTTTTCCCTTTATTCTAATGCTCCGCTTCCTTCTTTCCTCTCTTGGGCCTGACTCCATGTTTCAGTTGGTCTGTCCCAGGCTGTCTCGGGTTCAGTCTCTCTCAGGCTCTGTCCCCTGATGTCCTCTTGGTCTCAGTCTGGCCCCGGGCCCCGCTGAGGGCTAAACGTCTCTGCTCATCGCTGCCAGCAGCCGCCCAAGTGCCGGGCCCGGTCCTCAGCCGCCCTGGGCTGGGGGAGGTGCTGGCTGTACTGGGGATTTGGAGAAAGCCTCGGCAGGGGGACTGGAACCTCCTGTCTTTTCCTTGAACTAGTGAGGGAGATTTTTTGATTGACAGCTAACCCAACTCCATCAAGGCCAAAGAGATATTCTGTTTCTTGTTGTAAGTTGGGCTTCCCAGCTCAGTCCAGCTCAAGGGAGGGGAAGACAGTGGCGCCAAGGAGCTGAACCCCCAAGTCGCCTCTCCCCAACCAAACACATCCCTCATCCTCCCCCATGAGTTGAAATCCCAGCCCCGTTAAGCCGCCCCCTTAGACCAAAAAGGAAAAGGAAAGAGCCAGAGAGGGGGAGGAGCAGAGACTTGGGAGGGGGCCTATGGAGCTGGGGTCGGTGCTGCCAGCTGCAGCTGTCTCCCCCTAACTTTCCTCCCCCCGGAACACACATACTATACACACTCTCCCCAGCCCCTCTCCACCCCAGAGGAGAAAGATCCATAGAGACGCAGGAGAAAACTAGCCCCCGCCCCTACCCCTGGCGTTTGGTCCCCTCCTGGGGACAGGAGAGGGAAAGAAGGGCAGGCGTGGCCGGGTCTGGGAAGACTCCTACCCTGCTGCCTCCAGAGCCTGCATCTCAACCTCAGCTCCTGTCTATTTTCCCTGGCCACAGACTGGGACTCTTCCTTTCTGACCCTGAAATTGCACCCCTCCTTTAAATTCACTCTACCCTGCCTAAGTGCACCATATTTCTGGGGGTTTCACCTGTCCCTTTCTCCCCACCCCCCAGCCAACCTCCATGCCCCCTCTTCTTCACCCACCCTGATAATTTCCTACTTGACTAAAGCCCCCCTTTACTACACCACCATGGGACAGTCTGATGCAAAGCAGAGGGCTGGGCACAAACCCTCAATTGAAGGAGGAGGGTAGCAACCAACTTATTGGGGGGAGGAATCCAAGTTGTCTGATATTCCTCTGCAATCACACTGCCCCCTCTGGAATTCCTGCATCCGACCCCAAAGAAATTGCTTTCTCCTGTTCCTCCGTTGCTTTTTTCCCGTTCCAAAAACAGCCTACAATTTTATTTAATGAAAGATACATTTATGAACAATCAAATGATCCTCATAAAAATTTTATTGAGGGACGTAAAAACAAGCTACTTGCCCACGACCGAGGTCGCTCTTTTGCCTTGCCCGCTCTCACCCTGGCTCTCTGCAGACAGAGCCCGGGAGCGACTTTTTGGGGGGAGTGGGGGTGGGGAAGTGTCGCAGAGATGGAGTTGGGGGCAAAGGAGGGTGCGCAGGAAGATGGGATGGGGACGCCCCACTTAAGTTGTGTAGATCTCTCCTACACTTCTTCAAGCTGGCAAAGAAAGATAAATAGATATAGACAATAAATTTAAAATAAAGGCGCCTGTATATCTGTGCCAAAGCAAAGAGAAGACTTCTGAGGCTGCTGATAAAGGTGTATGAGATCCTGAGGTTCTACCCCTCCCACCCAGGGACCACCTTCCCCAGGCTTCCCCTACCCCAGATTTGGGGGGCAGAGTTGGCCAGTGGCAGAAGAACGCTCCCCTTCCCTCCTTCCCTCCCTGTATCTCAGCTTCCCCAGTCCCCTCCCACCCTCCCTCCCTCACCGCCCCTGCTGCTCCTGAAAGAAATACATACATACACACTATTTAAAAACGCATTTTTAAAAGCCACGTTCCGAACTGACAATCGCTGATCTCGGCTCGCGCAGAGACTGCGGGAGCGTCGGGGCCGACAGAGACGGATTACGTCAAGAAATAGTTCCTCCACCTACCTCGGTCGGCCTCCCCGCCCCTGCGGGGCTCCCGCGCCCAGCTCGGCCCTGGGGGTCCGAGAACCCTGGCTTCGGGGACTGGCATTTTCACCCCATTAAAAAATCCTCATGGTTGGGGGGAGGCCATCTGCTTATGGGTGGACATGGGCACAGGGGCTTCTCAGATGAGCTAGGAGCCGTCCTGAGGGGGTGACCGGTGCCTTGGGTCCAGAGTTCCGGACCCCCAGGAAATCGCAGGTCGCGGGGAGCAGCAGAGAGAAGGGGGTGGGAGAGGGGGAAAAGAAGGCAAGGAAAAAAAAGCCCCTGCGCATTGATCCGCGCCGTATTTTTGGGTAAATACGATCACGTGGGGGCCGGGGAGCCAATGAGCTGTGGGGAAAAGGCTGGAAAAATAATTACCTGACTTGATTGTTCTGTGAGCAGATAAAAAGTACATATACAGTTCATACAATAATCTTATGTATGTAAAACCCCGTTACGATGTCGGCGACGGGGCCCATCAGTAACTATTACGTGGACTCGCTCATCTCTCACGACAATGAAGACCTCCTAGCGTCCAGGTTTCCGGCCACCGGGGCTCATCCCGCCGCCGCCAGACCCAGCGGTTTGGTGCCGGACTGTAGCGATTTTCCGTCCTGTAGCTTCGCGCCCAAGCCGGCAGTGTTCAGCACGTCGTGGGCGCCCGTGCCCTCTCAGTCGTCCGTGGTATATCACCCGTACGGCCCCCAGCCCCACCTCGGCGCCGACACGCGCTACATGCGGACTTGGCTCGAGCCGCTGTCCGGCGCCGTCTCCTTCCCCAGCTTCCCGGCCGGGGGCCGTCACTACGCCCTCAAGCCGGACGCCTACCCCGGGCGCCGCGCGGACTGCGGCCCAGGGGAGGGCCGCAGCTACCCGGACTACATGTACGGCTCGCCCGGGGAGCTGCGCGACCGCGCCCCGCAGACACTGCCCTCGCCCGAGGCGGACGCGCTCGCCGGCAGCAAGCACAAAGAGGAGAAGGCCGACCTGGACCCCAGTAAGTTGGGAGCAATTTTCCTTTACAACCGGCGCGGGAGGGGAGGGGAGGACGGGCGGGGGCAGCCGAATTACAGCCCTCCCGAACCGTGCAGGGAGCGCGGGAGAGGGGCGAGGGGGCGAGGACTCAATAAAAGCGAATTACCTTGGGGAGCTTTCAGGGGCAGGAGGTCTGAGAATGGGGCCCAGGGAGACAGGTTGGGAGAGGGCCGAGGGGAGCTCCTCTCTCAGGAGCTGGCTTTGATGAGAGACCCCTGCCCCCTCCTCCCAGCCCAGGCTTTTTGGCTCAGTCACCACTTTCGAAGAAAGGCGGACAGGGCCAGGGGATGGGGCTGGGGGCGAAGTTCAGTTTATGATTTGAGATGGGACAGGGAAGAGGTGAGGAGGACACTGGGGGCACAGAGGAGATACCCCCAGCGAGAATGACCCCTGCTTCCCAGTCAGCGTGGAGGTCCTCACCCCACTAGAGATTCACAAAACAGAAGGTCCATGGACTTCTCCCCCAGGAGCACTGGGTGAGGGGTCTGAGGTATTTCGAAGCCTGAGAACTTGGAGAGATCAGGACTTTCAAAGAGAAGTGGGGATAAAAGTGGGGTCTGAGCCTCCTTAAACTTGAGAACCCTCTTCTGAGGGTCTTGGAGGGGAAGGATTGAGAATGGGGATCAGGGATGAGGAGTGGGCATCTCCCCAGATTAGAGAATTCTACACACACACACACACACACACACACTCACTCTCACTCACTCACTCCAATCAGGGAGACAGGCGCCTTCTGAGGATTGCACAGGAGGGCTAGGGTGGGGGGCAGGTGGGAGCTGCAGGGCCAGAAAAAGGGGAAAGAAGGAGAAACAGCAGGGGAGGGGGTGCAGACCCCTGGGTGTGAGGAAGTGTCTGGGGGAGTCCCAGGAGGGGGCTGCAGGAAATCTTTTCCTCCAGCCCCATAAGGGGCCAGGGCCTAATTATACTCCTCTGAAGGCTTCCCTCCCTGCCCTCAGCTACTCCCATAAACCTGAAATTGGAGGCTTGGCTCCTGCAGAGCCTGTCCTGGGGCTGGCAGGAGGGGGGCACTGGAGGCCAAACAGGAAAACTAAGATATAGGGGAGCCTGTCCCCAAGGCCAGCGGCTCTCTGGGGAGAGGAGAAAGACTTTTCCCGTCTCAGCATCACCCTGAGAATTCGCCTCAGCAGGGTTGAACTCCAAGCGGGAGGATGGTGCTGCAGAGGGTGGTGAGGGGTTTAGGGATTCTCAGGGTCAGGAAGCAGAACTGCTAAAATTTCAGGACTTGGTCGTGGGCTGGGAGGATGGGAGGGGGCAGAGGAGGAGGGAGGTGGGGAGGAGAGAGACCTTGCTATAAAAATAAAAAACAAGAGAGAGAAGCGTTTATGGGCCTATGAAACGGTTGGGAATTTGGACTTTTTATGAGGATATTCTCAAATTACTACTCTTGAAGCTGAGGACCAGACTAGAGGGGCTTTGATAGCTTTGGATTTCCTACAGTTTTAGGTGCTGGAAACTGAAAAGGGGGAAGCTGGGGAGGGGACAGAATGCAAAACGAGGAAGGAGGAAAATTCCTAAAGCAAAATGTGTCCAAATTCAGGTTCAGTTATTGCATTTGGGGAGCCTGGCTAAGTCTAGGGGTAGAGTAGCAGAAGTCCTGGGCTGGAAAGGGGCTCCACTGACCCCTGCTTGTGTTTGGCCCTCCAGGCAACCCCGTGGCCAACTGGATTCACGCCCGCTCCACGAGGAAGAAGCGCTGCCCCTACACCAAGTACCAGACGCTGGAACTGGAGAAGGAGTTTCTCTTCAATATGTATTTAACCAGGGACCGTCGGTATGAGGTGGCCCGGGTTCTCAATCTCACCGAGCGGCAGGTCAAAATCTGGTTTCAGAATCGAAGGATGAAGATGAAAAAGATGAATAAAGAGAAAACCGACAAGGAGCAGTCCTAAACCCTACCCAGCCTGCTGCCTCAGCACAGCCAAGGGAAAAACAAAAACCCCACAAAATACCCCAACACAGGCGGGGGAGAGACGAAAAAGAAAAGGAAAGAGCAAGATAGACAAAAGCCAATCAGCTTAAAAAGAAAAACAAGGAAGGGGAAAAGAAAACTCTTGCGATTTGGGAGGGTTCAGTGTTGAGATATTGGTGTTTTAGAGTTAGTTCTACCCAGCGAGGAGGAGGCGGGGAGAGAAACTGCGTTCTCTTTCCCCAGCGCAACCGAAATAAATGACACATACAAATGTGATTTTTTTCCTCCTTTCTTCAGAGAAGCCAGTACTTGAATCGCTATATTTCTATTTTTTTTTCCCTGTATCGTATTTGGTCCAGGTCATCCCTCCCCGGGCCTGGGGCGCTCTGCGTGCAGATTTTGTACAAAAAAAAAAAAGACACACACACATACATGATAATGATTCCCAGCCCAGGAGCTGAGGGGTGAGGGCTGGGGACCATGCCGCGGGCTAGGTCGGGCCCGTGCAGGCCGGCGCCTTGGGCTGTACATAGTGTTCCCTCTCATCCCCAGGGTTCGTCCCCAGCGTCCGTCCTGTAACGTGCTTCTGTTTGTTATGGTAGAACAGCCCTGTGTTAATATATTGAAGTCACTTAACCAGAAACCCAACTGTATCCAGTTCTCGTTATTTCTCCTCCCTGTGGTTCCCAGTCTGCTGTTGTGGAGGAGGCAAGTGCTCAGGTCATCTAGCGGAGGCTGGAGCCAGAGAATGGGCTCCTTCTACCTTGGAAGGGCAAACGTCTGCTTCTGCAGCTGCTTCTCTCCAGTCAGGGAGGGGTGGGGGGTCTCTGGGGGTGGGGTGGAGGCTGCTGAGGCCCAGGCCCAGCTTGTGCTTTCCCCGGCTGGCTGCCTACAAGTTTCCTGGTGGCTAGATGGAGTGCGCGGGAGAGGCACGGCATGAATGGCTTTCCTTGGCTGTAATTAATTGTAATAATTTATGAGTACATGAGATTGGAGGGAAGAGATAGGTGAAGATGAAAGTTGGGTGCTGGGTGAGGGCCCAGGCTGGATTCTTGCCTGGCGGCATTGGTGCTTTGGTGCTTCCAGGGATGGCTGGGAAAGAAGGCTGGGAGGGGGCGTGTGACTAGGAGGAAGGCCAGGCAGGCCTCAGGGAGCAGGACAGGCACTGGGGACTGCAGTGGAAGAAAAAGAAGAAAAACACAGTGAGAGAGAAGAGATGGGACATGGAAGGAGAGAGGAAAGAAAAGAAGGAAGAAAGGAAAGGAAGGAGGGAAGGAGAAAGATGGCAAAGCCAATACAATCAGAATTAGATGTAGTTTCTACTTCTCAATGCAGTCTCAGCTCCTCGATCCCCTTCTCCTAGTTCTTTTCTTCCCAATCTCTGTCTCCCCTACTCTGGTGTTTAGTTTGAATGTTTGTCTGGGGGTGACTGGGTCACGCTGTGCAGCTGCAGCATTTCTGGGGGATGGTGTGCCCAAGGCCCAAGGAAGCTGGCCAGAGATTAGCCAGGAGTGGGGTGCTCCCTGGTGGCCGTGGGACCCCAAGCGCAAAGATGTGGGGATGTGTGTGTAACAGTCCGGTGGGGCTGATCGGCTGTACTGCACCCCAGGGCGCCTTCCTAGAACCAGCAGTTTTAATCTGCTAATCAGAAGCAGACACAAGCTGCCGGGTATGCCTCGGCCCAGCGCCCCCTTTCTCGGAAATCCCCCAATCTGGAAACTGTTAAAATCAGACTGCTTGAAATATAGTCATTTAATATCTCAAGCTGCCCATTCTGCCAAAGGTGCAGGGTGTCGCTCTGAATATTTGGGGAGATACTCCGTGAAAAAAAATAGAGACCCAGCCCATGTGCTGCTCCCCGTAGCATCACCTTACAGGATGGTGAGACACTTGTAGGGACCAGCCCCTTCCCCATCATTTGAATCTCCTACTCTCTCCTTCTATTAAAACTCCAATGTCGGTGGCTGGAGGAGGGTAGGAAGGGGTGAAAATTTTGTTTCGATAATACTGGGGGGCAATCAAGTCGCAACAAGGGACTTCGCAGTCGCTGAAGCACCAGCTCCTCTTTCGAGCTTAGGAGACCGCCTCCCCAATTCCAGAAGCATTGTTTTCTTGGTCCATTTGAAAGGTGTTTTGCCTATAGTTTTTCTCCTTCCTCACACCTCTCTTTGGCCATTTTGCTGTTCTGGAACTCTGACTCCTGTTCCCCACCCAGTGGAGGCCAAGACACCCCTCTCTCCCCTGGTCGGGAGCGCTGGGATGCGGGCTTCTCTCCCAGACCGAGAGCGGCGTTTCCGGGCTTCCACCCCGCCCCTGCTCCCAGGCCCTGTCGCCTCCCCTCAGCGTCCATCAGCGCGGCCTGCTTCCTGCAGCCGGCCTGAGCGGCCTTACTGCGGGCAGGAAGGAGGGCCGCGGGCTTGGAGGACCCTGAGGAAAGCATGGGATGCAGAACAGGCCCACCCGGCCCGGCCCACTGTTCAATCCCAGCCCAGCCTGCAGGTCAGGATTGGAATCATTTTTTATTCGCTATCATTTACGAATTAACAACACAACACGCATCTGGGGAAAGAAATGAAAGCTGGGGGTAGAGAGGGGCTAGCAAACGCCCTCTTCCCCTAATCTTCCCCTCCCACCTCTCCTCTGCTCCTTTGTCAGAATCACAAAACCCTAAAGATTGTTCCACTTGAGAAGGCAGCGGATAGGTACATTTCCGCAGCCCCGAAATGCCACTTTTATGGCGCTGTTTGTCTCCCTGTTCTGGGTTCTCAATGGGGCCGAACAAAACAGCAGCGCGGAGCTGGCTAGACGTCTGGGCTTAATTGTTTTATGGTTTAAATAAGGTGGACACTTTCCTTTGAAATCGGATTATAGGAATGTTTTGTCTATGGCCCACGGAGAACAGGACCTCACTGGCTGAGAGGGAGAGGTGGAGAGCGCGCGCGCGAGAGGGATGGGCTACAAACCAGGGGTCAAACAGCCTGGAGAAGTCCGAGTCCCACCCCAAAGTCCTGCAGGCGGCGGCGGAATAGTCGGTGCGGGGCCAGCATCAGGGTAAGAGGAGGGAGGACTTTAGGGTGCGCGCCGCGGGCAAGCCGTCGTGGGAGCCTCGGAGCGTGCATCCGCGTTCGCGGAGATGTTCCAAGCCCAGAAATGCGCCTGAATGGGGGGAGATCGCGGCAGTTGCTTTGCTTAGAGTCTCTTAATTGGAGAAGGGAGGGTAACAAAAAGAGAAAACAGTGTGGAACCTTTCACAAGGTTTTATTTCAAGAACTTAGAAAACAAAAGAACAGCAGTCCTGGGGCAACTCCCAGGGAATCTCTCTCTTGAGCACCCATCTGGAGGTTCCTTCCTCCCACTTCCCACCTTTGGGGCAAGCCTGGGACCTCTTGTTAGCTTTTTCCCAGCCGGACTGCATTGGACCAAATGGACGCGAGGTGGCGCTGTTGCTCAATGTTAGAGGCGGCGGTGCCCCGGGCCGCCCTGGCCGCACTGACATTTGAGGCCCGGCCCGCAGCCGCTGCAAGAAGGCCCCGCGCCTCGGCCGGCCCGGCCCCACTGGCTCTGAGCAAATCAATCCTCTCACCTGCGAGGTGTAAATAATTCGCGAGTGGCAGCGGGAGATGGGCCCTCGATCTGGCAGCGGGCTCGGAAGGCTCAGGAGGGCAGGCATTAAAAATAATCGCTTTGTGGAGGAGATAAGTGCAAAGCAGGCAGCGCGTAATTAACACAAAAAGGCAGAATGACCCGGACAAACGAACATAAATCCGTGGTACCTATGAGGGCGGTGCAGGCCTCGGGGAGAGGGACAGAGACGGCCTCGGCGAGGATGGCTGCTTTCGGTTCCTTTATTTCCAGGCTCGGGGAGCGAAATAAACCAGATAACGTGTAAAAGAAAGCAAACAAACAAATGAAAGAACGGTGAGGGATCCCCAAAAGGGGAAACCAAGTCCGGCCAGGGGTTGCGGGACTGGTGGGCTCTCCGGGCAGGCGGCGGTGGCGGCACACTCGGGACAGTCGCATTCCAAGACACAAAGCCCCGGAAGAATAGCTCTCTGGCAGGGTTTTCGCTGGACCATAAAATGTCGAAATATCCCCCCACCCCACCCCCTAAATGATAAGGCGCAGGCCCCAGAGCGGATCCAGCCCTCTGGGCCTCCTTTTTCCAGGCTGGGAAGAGAAAGTATTTATGACAGTCTCCAGTGACCCAGATGCTGGGAGCCCAGAGTCCACTCTGTTCATCGCAGCACCCGAAGAGCAGGCTCAGAAAAGGCAGGGCTGGAGCCAAGGCTGAAGCGAGCTGTGGTACGGGTAGAGACGCCCTGTCCTGACCCCTACTGTTCTGGACCCTAGGGAGGCCTGCAGCCCTGGCACAGCCCTCTTCTGACCCTTCCCTCGTGCTGCTCCAATGCCAGAGTTCTGGGTGTCTAAGAGTTTGGGCAGCTCCTGAGATGGGGGTGGGATTCCCCAAATGCAGGGGATCCTGGAGGGAGCTCTTGCTGCCTGCACCAGTGAATCTCCTTTGGGAATTTGACAGAGAGTGGCCATTTCCCCAGCAATTACTTAGATAATAGGGGGACTGGGTTGGGTGGGAGGAGGTGTTCATTCTCTCTAAACCATCCTGCCCTGAACCGCCATTCCTTCTTCCATCTCCAGAGCTGGGCTCCGGATGGGGAAGGAAAAGGTCTGGTTGCCTAACCACCTCCTTCCTCATCCAACCCTGAAACCCCCAGGATGTGGAAGAAAAACAGGTAGCATTTTGCTTTCATAATGCAAAGACCTAAAGATGCATCTGTGTTTGTCAGGCATGTATGCATGTGTGCCTGGGTGTGCACATGTGCGTACAGTGTCTGTGAGGTGGCAGGGATGCTTCCAGGCATGTGTGTGCTAGTTTACACTGAGCATGGACTTGATGTGTCTCAGGGTGAAAAGTAGCACGTACAGTGTGTGTGTGTCCTGAGTGTGCTCTAGGATTTCCTGGGTGTAACAGCCTCACACCCTGGTGAGGGAGAGGACTGGAAAAATAATTCTTACTCATCTTTTTCATTCATATGCACACAGCATGCATGTATTCTCACCTTCTCCCTTTTTCTCTCTGTCTGTGTTAAGCCCAAATCACTGTACACACTTATGGCCAGAGAAGGGTGCTGATGGACTAAGGTTCTTTAATCCATTAGAATTAACTTGAACGTATTCAGTCTTGGGGATGGGGGAACCCTCCAGAGAAAGTGTGGATAAATATTTAAAGAGTGTCTGTTGATAGTTCCCATCCACATCCTGGCCTGGGCAGCCTGCCTGGGGAAGAGGGAGCTGCAGTGAAGCCAGGGGCCCCACCAGGCTGAGCTGGCATTTCCTATGGCATGGGGGTATGTGGGGACAAGTAAGAGGCCTGCTCCAGTCCCCTCCAACTCAGATGCAAATAGTCTCCTAAGAAGAAATGTCCTGAATCAGCCCAGCTAGAAACCAGGGACACACAGCTGCCCTTTCCTTTTAGTCTCCATAAGCAGCTTTGCTCTCAGAGCCCCTAGCCAAGCTTGTGGCCATTGCCTGGGTTTCCTGCTCCATGCAGGGGCTCGTGTCTGAAGGGGCAGTGTGGCCCTGACTGGGTATATGGAGTTTTCCCCAGCCCCACCTCCTCTGACCCTCTCCTCTACCCATAGCAGGTAGCAAGAGAGTCTCCTGGATCTAAGGAAGAAGACAGAACAGCTTCGGACCCTGGGGAGGGGCCAGGGGATGGAGGGTCTGATGCCTGAAGTATTTGGGAGTATGGTGTGCTTGTTCCTCCTCAAAGTCTCCAGACTTAGGGACCCCCTAGGAAGCCCATCTTTTGGGTTAGGGGCCCTGCTCTGGCTTGCAGGTATTCATCCCCTTGGAGGTCTTATACCTGTTGAGGTAACCTGGGTTGACCTGCTGGCTCAGGTATCTCTCTCTCTCTGAGAAGAAGGAAAAGAGAAGCGAGGCTGGGGGCGAGAGGCACCTTCACATCTAAATTCGTACCCTGGAAAACTGGCCCCAGCCATTAGCTGGGGCTGGCTCACCACCCCCCTACACACACCACACACCCCCATCCCTCCCCCTCTCCTCCCCTCCCCTTCCTCCAGGTCCCCCCAGCCCTGTACCCCTCAACCCCCGCCATCTCTCTCTCTCTCTCTCTCTCTCTCTCTCTCTCTCTCTCTCTCTCTCTCTCTCTCTCGCCTGTCTTCATGTCGTGGATTGATGAACGCGAATCGCGTGTAAGCGCCGCCACCGCCGGGAGTCTGAGGAATTCGCCTGGGCTGTTAGAGGAAAGAGCTAAGTGAGAGAGCGCGAGCTCTACCTACCGACAGTGAGGAGCGCCGCCGCCGCCGCCGCCGCCCGCTCGCCGCCCGCCGCCGCCGCCGCCCGCGCCCCAGCCCCGGGAGCTCTGCTGATCCGGCCGAGCTCAGCACCGAGGCGCCCCCCAACCTGCCCAGCCCCCAGCCCACCAGCCCAGCCCAGTCCCGGGGAGCCAGCTGGCCTGGGGTTCGGTCCCGGGGGGAGGGGAGTTTCGGGGGTACTGGGCGGGGTACTCGTGAGCCAGAGGGGAGGGGGCCGCGGGTTTTCATGTACCCAGCATGAGCTCCTACTTCGTCAACCCCCTGTTCTCCAAATACAAAGCCGGCGAGTCCCTGGAACCGGCCTATTACGACTGCCGGTTCCCTCAGAGCGTGGGCAGGAGCCATGCGCTGGTGTACGGGCCCGGCGGCTCGGCGCCCGGCTTCCAGCACGCTTCGCACCACGTTCAAGACTTCTTCCACCACGGCACCTCCGGCATCTCCAACTCAGGCTACCAGCAGAACCCGTGCTCGCTTAGCTGCCACGGAGACGCCTCCAAATTCTATGGCTACGAGGCGCTCCCCAGACAGTCCCTTTATGGGGCTCAGCAAGAGGCGAGCGTGGTGCAATATCCCGACTGTAAATCCTCCGCCAACACTAACAGTAGCGAAGGACAAGGCCACTTAAATCAAAACTCGTCTCCCAGCCTCATGTTTCCATGGATGAGACCCCACGGTGAGAAGCCTTTTCTCTTTCCCCCTTGGTCTCCCGCGCTCCAGGGTTTCCCCCCCTCCCTCGCCTCCTTTTTGTCTGCCCTCGCTTTTTCTCCTGGCTTTGGGGTCTCTCCCGCCCCACCCCCGTGCCTGTGCCTGGGTGGTTTTCTCGAAGTTGGGAAGGCTCCGCTGGGGCGGGGCAGGGAGGGGGTGCCTAGAACATTTAGGGGATTGGGGTGAAGGTGAGAGAAAGCTGGTGTGTGGCCGCAAAGGGTTAAAAATCGTTTTCTCCATCTCTGTCTGTCTGTCTCTCTCTGACTCTCCCACTCCCCATCTCTAAAGTCAAAGTTGGGGAGGTGGCTGGGAATGGTACCCTGAGTACCCTGAGACTGTCAGCCTTTGGAACAAACCAGTTTCTCCAGAGGCAGGGAGCCTGGAGTCCAGGACACTGGCCAGGCTGTCTTGGGGCAAAGGGAGACAGACCCCTGTTGCTCTGCCCTAGCCAGAGTGTGGTGAGACTCTAAGGACAGGCTCTCTGGCTCTCTAGGGCACCCATAACCTCCTCTCAGAGAACCAGCCTGAGGGCCACTACCCCAACTTTTTTATACTTCCCCCAGTTGGGAGAAGACGGGGGAGCCTGAGAGGAGGGGGAAAAAAGAGTGCTCAAAAGGAGAGAGGCCATAGAGATTAGGGGTTCCTGAGGTCCAGAAGACCCTAGCCGCCCCCCCAATCAAGGACTTGTGGGGTCTCCCTGAGACCTGCAGAGTAGCTTAGGTCATGAGCCCCTCCAAGGGTGGCCCCTCATGGCCCAATTTCGAAGTACAGGGGGAAGCGATAAAGCGACAAGTTCCGGCGGGGATGGCCCATGATTTATTTGCTGGTCTCCAGTTAGCAATCAGGCGGAGCGGTGACACATTCCAGCAGATCAATTATTTTTCTTATTGGAAAAGCATTAGGCAGAGAGAGACAAGGAGAGGGCAGTGGGCAGAGCCCCTCTTCTTTACCCCCAGCTTTTTTTCCTTTCTTTTGGAAACAGTCTGTCCCCAGCCTCGCTCACTAAATGCCCTGCTGCACTTGTAAACAAAGCTGCAAAGGCCAGTTCCTAGGATTACAGGCCTGGTGGGGGGGATTCTACAGGGCTCCCCAGCCCCTGAAAGGCCCCAGTTTCCAAACAGACCCTAGCCCCCACCCCCACCCCACCTCCCAAGGTGAAGCCAAACAAAAACAATCCCCCAACTTTTCTGCCCTTGTCTGCCTTCTGCTCTAGCCTTTTCCATAGAGGGGAGGCGAACTGAGGAGATCAGAGAGGGGAGTTTAGAGTAGGAAGAGTGGCAAAGGAAAACCAAGCCCCCATCCAAACGTAACCAGACTGGGGTTTTCTTCTGTCCAGCTCCGGGGAGGCGCAGTGGACGGCAAACTTACAGCCGGTATCAGACCTTGGAACTAGAAAAGGAGTTTCTCTTTAATCCTTATTTGACACGAAAACGTCGGATTGAAGTCTCTCATGCCCTGGGACTGACCGAGAGACAAGTGAAGATCTGGTTCCAGAACCGAAGGATGAAGTGGAAAAAGGAGAACAACAAGGATAAACTGCCGGGAGCCCGAGATGAGGAGAAGGTGGAGGAAGAAGGAAATGAGGAAGAGGAGAAAGAAGAGGAGGAAAAGGAAGAAAACAAGGACTAAGCAAAAAAGAAAGACCCCCCCCCCCTTAGCAACTCCCTTGAAGTTTCGTTTTATGGTAGCAGATAAATTGAGAAGTTTACGACTGTCATTTGCTTTTATAGAGAATAGAATGACACTCACAACTCTAACTACCTGTCAGATACTTGCAGCTCTGGTTTTATTACCTTTGGACTTCCCCCACTCTTTATTTGTTTGGGGGCTGGAGGGGGGAGACGGAGAAACAGTGAAAAGTTCGGACTCTCTGTCTCACTCCTTGCCCCACACACACTTGTCCCTGCCCCCACCCTTCTGAGTCCTTCCTGGATTTTAAGGTCTGAGACCTGGCCTCCGTGCTCCTCGGTCTGTCTCTCACCACACTCCCACCTCCCTGCTTCTCTGGTATTTATTTTAGAGGGGAGCCCCCTCGAAATGCAGAAAAGGACTTGTGGTTTTGTTTTTATGCTAAGGCTAGTGTACTAGATGTACTTTTTCTAAAAAGGAAAGGACAGAAAAAAATGAAGAAAGGAAAGGAAGACAAATGTAAAGAAATAAGGAAAAAAGCAAGGAATATCCCCTCCCCCTCCCCCTCCCCCTCCCCAGGGCTCCCTGCTTAGAAAAACCCCCTTGACTTTCTCTAGGAACCTGATGGAAACCTGAAGGAGATGTGGGTCTTTCCCCTCCCCCCATTTCCAGAAGGGTAGATAGGAGCCTGCAGTCGCCTCTAAAATCCTACCTAACCATCCCATGGTCACTCGGGCCCATGCCTTCCTCTCCTTCGCTGTTTGATTTCTATTCTGTTGGGCCCGCCTTCCTCTGAGCTGCATTAGTGTTAGTGCTCAGAAATCACCATAATCACGAAAATAATAATAATAAATCTTTAACATACTACCTAAAGGGAACCTGCAATAATCTTGAAAAAGAAAAAGAGAAAAATTTTAAAATCCTGCTATAGGAGAAAAAAAGAGAAAAAAATAAAAATCAAAAAAAAAAAAAAGAAAGAAAGAAACCTCCAGCGTATTTTATCACTACCTATAGAAAGAAATCCTGCTTTGAGAGTATTTGTAATGCGGTTTTGTTGTCGTTTGTTGCTGCTTATTTCACTAAGAAAACCCAACAACTGAGACTGCCTAGCCCGCCGGTCCTGTGCGCTTTTATTGTGCTTCTAACCCCAGTAGAGTAGAACTAAATTGCACTGAATGTATAGTTAACTCTGTCTTGAATTCTCTGTTTATGCAATGTGCTCGAAAGAAAAAAATGTTAAAAATATATCTATAATAATAATTTTTTGTCATTTGTCTTTATGTCCAGCTATGAATGTAGATTTTGTGTCCCGACAGCCCTGTTCCTGGTCCAAGTACTTTGTATTGTATACGTGAGTCATAATAATAAAAAGAAGAAGAAAAATAATAGAAGCTGGAATGACTTGCTTTTTCTCCACAGCTCTTCCCTATTCTCTACCTTCTCTCTCCTTATCCCCCTGTCCAACTCTCTGGAAAAGGTCTGCTTCACTGCTCTGGCTTTGGGGTTCAGAAACTCACGTGGAGAGAAGCCTGGGAATTGAGAAAGCATGCTGGCCTGGGAGGGCAGGTGAAAGGGGTGAGGGGTTGAGAGGAGGAAGAAAAGGAGCAGTCCATTGGTTGAGAGAGTAAGGAGTCTATAGGTATGCCCTTGGGGGAATCTTGGCTCCAAACAAAGTGGGTTTCCAGACGCCAGGATCCCAATGGGAAGAAAGATTTCCTCACTCATCCACCCTCCTCCTCCTCAGCCTTGGGCTGGGCCCAGACAAAGAATCTGCCCTATGCAACTATGACTTTTTCTTCCAGGGTCTGGGGCTGAGGATGAGATAGTGGGATTCCTTCTGATCTCCGCATGCCCCTTGTGGCCAGACCTTAGCACCCAGCACCCAGCACTAGAATAATGAACCGGGTGGGGATGTGTGAGGCTCAGGGCAACTGGCTGGCCTGTCTGCAGGGCTTGCCTGAAGATGGGGGATGCTAAGAATGGAGGGTGAGGAAGCTTAAGCCTGAAGGAGAGGAGAAAGGAAGGGGAAAGTAAGTGAGCTCGTAGGCAACCAGCCTGAGCCCACATCCTGAAATTCACATTCAATCCTCTGCACAGGAAGATTGTCATCACTGTCATTCAGCCCGCTTGCATCCACTCCAACTTCTGTTCAGACGGTTTAAAGTCCACTCCCCACTTCACCTTGGCAATTGGTCAGCTTACCCAGCCCCCATAGTGTGGGCCATTGGCCTGGAGGATGGGCCTGCTGAGTGGACATCCTGCCACCCCAGTCACAGCGGGGTAAGAGGGCGTCTTTATTGGTATCTTCATTCCCCAAAATGAAGAATTGAAGGCTCAGGGACCCAGGGGGTAGAAGGGTCTCTCACTTCTCTCTGGAGAGTCCTGGACTTAAAAATTCTGTTTATGCCAATAAGATTCTGGTCAAATAATCCCAAATTCCAGAGATACAAGTCTTCTGACTCAGTCAGGAGAGGGGAAAAGGGAGGGGAGGGATCTTCTGGTCTTAAAAACCAGACCCCCGAAGGCTGAAATATTTTTGAGGCCAGATTTTCTTTCTTTCTTTTTCTCTTCTCTTCTCTTCTCTTCTCTTCTCTTCTCTTCTCTTCTCTTCTCTTCTCTTCTTTCTCTCTCTCTCTCTCTCTCTCTCTCTCTCTCTCTCTCTCTCTCTCTCTCTGTCCTCCCCACCCCTCATCTGTCTAGCTCCTGGTCAATGATTTTCCCAGACCTAGGCCCAGGCCAACTCTTGTTTTGTGGAATTTCACCCAGGTCCCAGTCACTGGTCCCCACGCAAACCGGGCCTGAAAATCGGGCCTGAGTAGAGAATTGAGTCGGGCTTCCTTCACAGGGGGACTCCTGCAGTCCGAGAAAGGCTGTGAATTGGAAGCACAGGCTGCAGGCAGCTGGGGCAGCTTTGAGCAGGAGCTCCGGGAAATCTTCTCTAACCTGGGGTCCCTGCTGTGAGCAGCGGCACCAGCCAGGTAACCTGTTCTCAGTGGGAGACACCGGCTACCCACCAGGGAAGCCAGAAAAGAGGCCATTTCGCTCAGACCTCAGGCCTTCCCACAGGCGTGTCCTCCATACTCCGAGGGATGGCTGAGGTCCCGTTTCGTTTTTAAACGTGGAATTATGATTGCTATTAATAAAAATATCTGGCCCAGTAGCCTAGCGGAATGAACCCAGCATTAAATGGCTCCGAAGGGCCTCGCCGCCTTTTCCCCACACCAAATGTGCCATTTATCCCTTGTCCTGTTCAGCAATGTCCGTGGCCCCAAGCCCGGCGCGTCGGAGGGCGGGGTGCGTCTGGCGCCCGGCTTTACTCGAGATGCCAGGCATGGAGAGGGCTAAGCCGAGGGAGCCCCAGCCACCCCCTCATGCAGTACCCGCTCCCCCACCCCTCCTGCCCACCGCCTCTGTTTTCTCGTTTGGAAAGAAATGGAGGTAAAAACCCGTTTTATGGGGGAACGTAATTGTGAGCGGGATGCGCTCTCTTTAGAATCGCGTCCTCCCAAATGCTCCCGCCGTCCCATTACCGGAATGGGGACCATTCGGCTGCTGCAGATAGGACTTTCTCTCCCATTCTTTACTTTTTTATTAGCCAATCAAAGTGGCTTCCGAAAGCCATTTGTGATTTGTGAAAAATAGTATCTTTCAAAATGCTGAGTTGAAGCATCTCGCTCATTGCTCCTTGAATTTATTATTCTAATCTCAACCGTAGAGCTGGAATAATGCAGCTATTAAGTTGGGGGGCAAATTCGTTTCTCTGGATTAAATTTTTTTTCCTCCCCACTCCCTCATTGCATCAGCCAAGGAAGGTGCGGACCTGCAAGAGATCTGGGGGTGGGTGAGAGAGGTAGTGAGCGTCCTGAAGGGCTCCTTGAGGGACCCTTGGATAGGCGAGTGGTTTGGTCTCCCCAGTCTTATCTTCCCCAGATAAGATGCCCTAATGACTGCCTGCTGGCTGGGAAAGTTACCCCGCCCAATTAGGGAGAATTCAGGACAGGTTGTGCCACAGTCTAGAAGTAAAATTTCCGGTGAGCTGCCCGCAGCGCCGTCCCATTCTCCCCGCTGCCCATTGTGAAAAGCTGGGCCAGCGCTTCCTTGTCGTAATTTTTAACTACCTGTTATAAAATTTATGGGTGGGTTTGTGAAAAGAAACGAGGTCCCTGCATCCGGCCTAGGGAACTGCTTTTCTTACTATGGAGGAAGTCTGGGGAAGGCATGAGGTATCCCCTCTTGGTCAGGGTTGAGGCACCCAACCATTGAGATTCCCATGCCAGCTTGATGCGGGACCAAGTGGAGAGATGCCGGCCTTCAAATCTCGAGCCCGTGGGGAGAGTGACCTGCCTGCAACCCCTCCCCCGGCAAATAGTCTCTATGGGGGAATTTATTCTGGACTCACCTTCAAAATTAGGGGTCTGGAAAAACAGGCTGCTCGAAATTTTAGCACAGAAGGTGGAATTCAGGGCAGTAAAAGGTTATTTTTTCAGGCCTCGGTAGTACATCCCAGCTGCCCAGACATTGAATCAGGAAATTTTTCTGAGAAAGGCAGGTGGGTATGGGCAATCTGACACGATCCAAAAGGCTTACTGCCTTGCACCCCTCCCCGCAAAAAGGAAGTAGAGACCAAGATCTTGGGCTTTAATTTTATTTTTAATTGTAAAAAGATTTCAAATAAGCCACCATTTGAACTGGGAAGGGAAACTAGGGATGGTCTTGGGGGAAAATGTCATTCTCTCTAAGAAAGGGACCCCGGGGATGTGGGTCGTTTTGAGGGTCCTAGAAGTTGACCCCAATTCTCACCTCTCCTGCTGCACTGCAGGATTGCCCAGGGTAGGTCTAGTCCCCTAGGTTCTTCAGACCACTCCAGGTCAGGTTTGGTTGGGTGGCTGCCAGTGGTCTTCCACTACTGTTCCTGTCTAGGGTGGAGTAGGAGCTTTCAGGGGTACGGCATAGAGGGGATGTTGTTCTCTTACTAAAAAAAAAAAAAAAAAAAAAAGGTAGGGGTAGGGAGGCACCCTTTCAATCCCTGCAATTCACCAGCCATCACTGCCTCAAGGCCACAAATCTTTGCAAAGCTTTGAATTCCGCCTGATCCAACCTTAATGCCCCCATTTATTAAGGACAATATTTAAAACTCGGCAAGCCAGGAGAGGCAACCGACCCTCAGTGCTTGAAGCTTTCTTTCGCCTGGGCGTCCGCCCTCAGCTCTTTCTGCGCTCGCCTGCAGCAGCCTGGCCCGTGGGGAGTGGGCGGTGGGTGGGGGTAGGGGTGGGGTGGGGGTCCGGGGATGCTCCCTCTATGAGAGAATTGGGTAAACATGGCGACCGCGGCGCCCATTTGCACACGCTACACAAATGCATCGCATTCCCGGTTGTTTGCAGAAAATTTACAGCTGAGTAATAAAAGTTTACGATCGACTCACAAGTTGGATTGGCCACAAGAAGTCATGTGGATTCCATCCATGAACGTGAACTTTTTATTGTGGTTTGTCCGTTCCGAGCGCTCCGCAGAACAGTCCTCCCTGTAAGAGCCTAACCATTGCCAGGGAAACCTGCCCTGGGCGCTCCCTTCATTAGCAGTATTTTTTTTAAATTAATCTGATTAATAATTATTTTTCCCCCATTTAATTTTTTTTCCTCCCAGGTGGAGTTGCCGAAGCTGGGGGCAGCTGGGGAGGGTGGGGATGGGAGGGGAGAGACAGAAGTTGAGGGCATCTCTCTCTTCCTTCCCGACCCTCTGGCCCCCAAGGGGCAGGAGGAATGCAGGAGCAGGAGTTGAGCTTGGGAGCTGCAGATGCCTCCGCCCCTCCTCTCTCCCAGGCTCTTCCTCCTGCCCCCTTCTTGCAACTCTCCTTAATTTTGTTTGGCTTTTGGATGATTATAATTATTTTTATTTTTGAATTTATATAAAGTATATGTGTGTGTGTGTGGAGCTGAGACAGGCTCGGCAGCGGCACAGAATGAGGGAAGACGAGAAAGAGAGTGGGAGAGAGAGAGGCAGAGAGGGAGAGAGGGAGAGTGACAGCAGCGCTCGGTAAGTGTTTCCTTATTGGTTCAAATATGTAACTAATGGTCCGTGGCGGTTTCAAGAATAGGACAGCAGCGGCTTCTCTTGGTTAGGGAGAAGAGGGGGCTGGCGAGAGGGTGGGCGCGTAGTTAATTATGGGGAGGAAAATTGGCGGGGGGAGAGAAACGGGGTTAAACTGGAATACCGGTAACTGGTAGTGGGGCGATTGTGTTGTCCTGATGTCACTGTGTGCCAAGTTGGGGGTGGGGAGGCAAGGGAACAGCACCTGTGGGGCTCAAGCCGGCGGTCTAGGGCGCCAGCTCTCTGCTGCCCACTGTGTCAGTACCTGCTTATTATAGATCTTCGGTCTCTTGGCTAATGGAACTGGGTCGGAGCGGAACTGGAAGCTCAAGCTCCAGGCAGGAGAGAGAACTTAGAGGCTGTGCCCATTGCCCCCTAAGCAAAGTTAGCCCCCCAACCCCCAAACAAACTTTCCAGCTTCCCCTCCCTGTCTGGCAGCCCCCTCCCTCCCAGAGAGCGCGACTGCTAGAGCTCACACATGCGCAGTGTGGGCCCAGGGCCGGGCCGCCGAGCAGGAAGCCGGCGCAGCTAGGCGGCCGGCGGGGCCTGTTAATTGGCAATTAGGGGGGAGGCTGGTGGCTGGTGCGCGTCAGCCGAGAGGAGAGCGTCTGCCCACCCCCTGCTCCCGCCCCCACTCGGGCGGATGGAAGGGTGGGAGGTGCCCTGCGTTGGGTGGAGGGTGGAGGTTGTAGGGTGGGGGTGGGGGATGCTGTACTCAAAAGCCATCTTGTGCTCAGAGAAAAGAGGCCTACCGGCTTTCCCTTCCGGGGTCCGGCGCCCCTCACCCCCAGCCGCGGCCATCCCAGCCGGGATGCCCACTGGACCGGGATGCCCGCTCGCCACGCATGGCTGCTCTGGGCTAGGACCTGCCTCGCCTCGGGGGGAGGTGGAAATGGGGAAGGCCCTAGGCTGGGCGGGGACAGGCCCAGTCCTCCTGGTAGAGTCTCCTAGGTGCTGTGGAGGCAGTGAGGATTCCGGGGGCTGCTGGCTTATGGGGTAGAGGCGTCAGCCTGGGGCGGCGGGAGGGTCCTGGGCACTCGGGATCTCTCTAATAATTGGTGCTAATGGCCTGTTGTATAGTCTTAACCCGACGCATATGGTTTCATAACACAGTGGCTTAATTTCTTCCAAATGTACGTGGCCCTGAATGTGTTGCAGTTTGATATATGACCCCGCCCTGCTCCCCGGCCTGGGTCCGAGGCTCCGAGGCGGCCCCATAAGTGTGAATTTCTGTTTATAAACGGCGACGCACACGCAAACGCCTACACACCCAGGCAGACACACCCGGAGGCGTGGGGGAACATATTCCAGACGAGGTCCGAGAGAACCTGGGGGCCAGACTTACCTTAATCTAAGCCAAGACACCCCCTCTACCCCCACCCTCTCCCAGAGGCGCGACTGGGATTCTGCGCCAAGTCCCAGTGGGGGAGGGGATCGCTCCACGATTTCCTGTTTAAACCCTGACCCGTCGCCTGTGGGGGGGCGGGGATGGGGGAAGAAACCTGTTTTTATCAAATTTTTAAAAATACAGTTTGCATTCAGATCAAACCGTTTGGGCCAGAGCTGACGGTGAATTTTATCTCCCCTCCCCCCACAACCCCCTTCCCTTCCTTTTCTGCCCCCGCTAAATTCCCCTTTCGCAGCCATCATAAAGGCCTCTGAGGTATTCTCCCGCGGGAAGAAATGGCATTTTCTCTCCCCCTCCCCCACCCCCCCACCCCCAGTAGGACTTGTGTGTCGGCAGAGGCGTCTGACGAGGGGCTAATTTCGCTTTCCTTGTTTACGATCGAGAAAAGCGCTTGGCTCTCCCCAAATGGGCCCAGCCCGCCGCCTGCTCAGGCTGCCGCGCGCTCTCCCGCCGCTCAGGCACGGCCCAGTGGCTGATGCCCCGCGGATCCAGCCTGCGGCAGGCCGGAACCCGGAGTCTGTGGGACCTGAAAAGGGCAAAGGGAGTGCGGTGGGACACAAGAGGGGCCCGAGAGGCCCGAAAAAGGGAGCCTTTCTCCTGGAGTAATGTGGGAATCGCCGACCGGTGAGGCCTCTATTTCTCTCTTTCGCCTGCATTTTGTCCGCCCCCGCCCCTGTGGATGGCCGCTGATGGGGGGGAACACAAGTGTCCTTTGTCCGTCCCCGAAAGAAAACCTTTTCCAGAGAAGGCCATTCAGGCCAGTGGAGATTCACCTAGAATATTAGAAGGGCCCCCTCCCACCCGAGGGGCGGGCCTGGGCGAGGCTGAGGTATTTCTCTTAATCCTAGAACGACCTCACTGAGTGTACCCACAGCGAGATTTGGAGGTGCTAGAGTTCGAGGTTGGCCGCTTAACAGCACCATCCTGAGGTGTCTTTATATAATATTTTAATTGATTTTCTGTCCCTTCCTGGCTACAGCCCTGCAGCTCCCCCACCCCCATCCTATGCCCTTCACCCCTAGACCCATCCTTACAAGACAGAGGCAAGCAGAGAAGGCATAGCAGCAGCGACCGGCGCTCTGTTTTCATTTTCCACTCTGGCCAGGGGATAAACTGGACCCCAGTGGACTCCAACACCAACTCTCTGCTTCCCAGTTACTTTCGATTTTCTTTCCCTTCTCCTTCTTTCTCTCCCTCTCTGGCATTCAAACAGAAGCACAAGAGGACCCACCAGTGGCAACTCTAAGCCTCCTTGCAGGCCACATTCCCTGCTGACGTGGTCCTTCCTGCAGGAGAGCCCTTCTGTGATTATCTAATAATAGCCAGGGTGGCTGAGAATAGAATCTGGCTCAAGGACTCTGCACACCCGGGGCAGAGACACTGAATCTGTGGGTCAGGGCCTGGCAACATTCCTTGGAGCCTCCCCCTCTGAGCCCACTCTTTGGGCACCCTTAGGCTTGCCTGCCCCCCTTATAAGGGGCTTTGTCAGCCCTGCCATCCGCTGTATTTCATGTGCTGGTTCCTAGCTAAGGAGAATTGGGCAGAGCAAACCCTTTCTCACCCTGGTCTGACAGTTGTGATCCCGACAGAATGCGACCTTGTTTGGAGAAGGCGACCTTGTTGGGTTGGCTGTGTTCTGAAACCAGGCTTGGGAGTGTTATATATTTATTATATACAGGCTTAAATATACAGACTCAGGCTTATGCATGAATATATACAGACTCATATTTCCTTGGTGGTTAATTGTATATTACCATGCCTATATTCGCTCAAACACCATTTTATGTTCATGCAAAATTTTGTTAGTCCTCACTAGATGAGAGTGGGCTCATGGAGGCACCGGGTGCACTGAGCAGGCCCTCTGTGCATGCTCTGCTGGAAATATGTGCTCACTGGAATCGGAGTATGCGGGTTCCAGTAACCAATGGATGCCATAAAGGCTTTCTCAGACCTTATTGCTTTTGTTGCCCAAGCAGCTGGACTGGGGAAATACTAAATCCCTTCTGCTTTCTCTCCACACCTCCTGGCAAACTCTCCCAACTTAGAAATTATTTTACAAGGGAGACCAGTTGTCTTGAAATTGAGTTCTGCGGGATTCTTTTCACGGGCATGGTGGGGCTGCAAGCAGTTCGGAGTAGTCAGGGCCCTGGCGCTGGAAGCCTCACTGGAGCGATGAAGGGATCAGAGTGGTTAATAAGGTGGCCTCTGGACAGTGATCTGGGGCAGCTGCTGGCCAGGGTGCTTGGAGAAGCTTGTGGAAAAGGCAAGCCAAAAGGGGTAGGGATGCAGTGAATATCTGTTTCTCCCCCTGCTTGCCCCAGCCGGCCGCTCACCCCGCCCCAGCCCGATTTGCCTGCATCCGTGGCGGCAGATTGGGAGTTCTCTAAGGTCCCCCAAATACCCAGATCTGGTTACTGGATGAACTGCGTTTTAATCCTCGTCGCTATCTGAGCCAGGACAAGACCTGGTCAGGGAGACGGCTGGTCCGGGCAGCACGGGAGAGGACGCTGGACCCGCTGCCTGTGGCCTGGAGCACTGAGTATGGGCTACCAAGGCTGAGAATTGATGGGCCTCCTTTCCCAGCCTTTTTCCCTTCCAGAGACACAAAAAGACAGAGCAGAGGGGAAATATCAATGTCAGTGGAAAACCCCATAAAAGAAAGCAGGGACCAGAGCGGGGCTGGAGGGGTTTTCCGCTACTCTCTCTAGGTGATCGGGTTCCTCCCAAGACTCTTGTCCAGACAGGCTGCACCAAGAGGTGTGCAGCTTTCTTCCACCTTCCTCCCGCCCTTCAAGGAGGGCAGCCTTAGGCTTTCTGGGCCTTGGTCACCCCAGGCACTGGGGTGACATTACTCCAGGATTGTGCCCCTCGCCCAGCCCACGGCCTCTGCCACGGCGCCGCAGCCGCTCCTGTTTATTGTGTCTGTGAGTTGTTTACTTGTTTTGTCTGCTGCCACCCTGCGTCAGAAACCCGCCAAACCAGCGAACTCGCCCAGGAGAACAAAGTGCTGTGCTATCCCCGGACTCCCTCCCCTTTCCAGCAACCCCCTCCTGCCCTCACAAGCTCCTGCATTCTCCCTTTCGGAGGGGAGGAAGCAGAAATAGTCTTAAAACAGGGCAGCTGTTTATAGGGTCAGGGGAATTATGGGGACACCATAAACCTCTGGGTGTCCCTGTGGTGGACAGACTTCTGAGCAGCCCTTCCCTTGCCTAGGCTTTTCTTCCTTCCCCTGGTGACCACTTGGTTAAGGGGGCCACACTCATTGAGAAAGTTGAGCCCACCCCCATCAACCCAGTCCCCCACTACCCCACTCCTTTCTGCAGGAGTTTCCCTGAGACACAGGTTGTTGGGTTTTAAATCAGGGTAATGTTGGTGGATTCATAAAGCTAGATATAGCATGTCATTCTTCTCCCACACTCCCTCTCCTCAGCCCCCCAAAATTGCAGTGAATTTAAGCAAATCCTACAAAATTAAATTGCCCCTTTGCTAAAGATCCTATATGTCTCCAATCCTGCCAGGTGTAGAGTCAGATAGTTGGCTTTTGGCCTTTAATTTTGCTGCTAGCTATTAAATTTAAAAGAGTATCATTGAAGTAAGTAATATTCTCATTTCTGAAATTAATTTTCCCCTCCCAGTCTCTCTCTCTCTCTTTTTGCCAGCACAGATTAAATGGTTCTTTCAGATCTGCAAACAATAAAGGATAAAATTATTTATAGGGAAATGAGGATGCTGTTTTATTGTTGGCATATTGTTCCAGAACATAACAACATTTTATTTTCAAGCAGGAGAGGTTAGACCAGGGGGAGAAAGAGGGGGAAAGGAAAAAACATGAAAGGAGGGCAGGAACCCACACACAAAACTCCTGCCATGTATAACTGGTAGGACATTTACAATTTCTATATGACAACTCACTGTGATGTCATAATACCGAGTTCTTGAATTTTATAATTCTCATGAACCTCTCAAATGGGTCCAAGCAGTGCTTCATGTGGAGGGGTATAGAAGAAGCCAGGAGGCTGGGGATCCTTTGACCCAGTGCAGAGCAGCACACCCCCTATTGCGGCTTCTTCCTCATGTGACATCCTCTTGAGGCCCTATTCTGGGGGCTGAAAATATTCTGGATATTCTGCATTTTAATTTTTCTCCTGGGCCAAGCAGGGCCACTTGCTTTGCCCCCCTCAAGTGTCCCTAGGCATCTAAGCTCTCTCCCCATTCCCAGATCACAGAGAGCTGTGTCCCCAGGCTCTCCCCAAGCCCCCTCCTCAGCTAATACTCAGCTGCTTGGAATAGAGGTGGGAGGCTTGGGCACCAGCCCCCAAAAAGCCAGAAATGATTTTTTCCAGATGGAGCTGGAAGGGGGCTCAGGGCTGAGCGTGATGGGGTAGAGATGTTTGGGACCTATTTTACGTTTTAACCTTAAGTCAGAGAAGTGAATTGAGAAGCCAAACAAATGCCAATGTGAGAGTTTGTATCTGCTGATGGTAGCAGCAATAAGTGAAGTGCTGGTAAGGAAAGGTCAGGCAGAAATCTGGAAAGAGAGAGGGAGGAGAGGAAATGTGACATGAGTTAGCAGAGCCCTTCCATATACCTTTCTTCTCCGTTTAATTGTAATAAAGCAAAAGCAGCTCGGGTAGCCTCTCAACCTCTTAGCTCAAAAGAGGAATCACCAGCGCAGGCCTTGGAGGTGTTTGGGGGCAGTTCTCAGCAGCTTAACATGCCCAATCTGCCCTCTTCCTCCTTTCCCCCTCCCTGCTGATCCCCAGCTCCCTTCAACTGGTCAGCCCGGGCCCTGTCCCCAAAATATTAGCACCCCCAAATGATATCCATTTCTGTGTTAGGTGTGTCAAATTTCACTTCTCTCCATGCCTAAACTTTGAAAGGAGGAGTGTACCTTTTTGGAATGCGGTGTGTGTAGCGGGGGCAGGTATGTGCTCAGACAGCTTCCCCCATCATATCTATGGGAAACTGGAAGCCCCTTAGGTGAGCCATGCTTTGGTGTTCCCAAACAGCATTCCCTGCATTCAGGTTCTCTGGCAGACCAGGAGGCTCTTTGCGATCTGATCCTTTGACTAGGAGTTCCATGGAGATCAAAGGAGCTTATTTATACACAAAACACCAGGCATTTGGAGTAGAATTTATTTTTTAATTTCTAAATAAAAAAGTCTAATCATAGACCAATCGGGCCAACTGAGCAGTCGCTCCAGAACAGCAAAGCCTTAACCAAATAGTGTGATTATGAGGGGAGCTGAGCAATTACTGAAACTCGGCTTTCTCCGTAAGAGGGATTTTAGCCCTCGCCCAGTGGCACAAAAGGGGCCAGCGGGGCAACCGTTCTTCTCTTGCTCAGAAAAGTGAGACTTGGGGGTGGTGGGGGCAGGGTCGGGCAGCTGCGGTCGCGTCCAGGCAGCTGAGCACCCAGGCCAGGCGCTGAGGCTGAGCACTGAGTCCTGAGGCTCCAGTGCTTGGGTCCCCGAGCAGCCTCAGGAGGCACCGAGCTGTAGTTGCAGCGCGGCAGTCAGGAATGGAGTATGTGTATCTGTGTGCGAGGGTTGGTGAGTTACAAACATCCGCGCAGAGTTAGGGGATCTGGGGAGAGAGAGGAGACAGGGAGAACACAACTAAGGAGGACCTCTGGAAAATATTGTCCCCAAATAAAAATTCCAGATCTCATCCCTCTCACTTCAAATATCCCTCCCCAGGAAATTAATATATTTCCCAGAGCTGAGTGGAAAGCAAAGGCCAGCAAGGTGAGGCCTGCCCACGAACTTCTTCAGGCTGGGTCCAGTCCCACCCACCCTTTCCCCAGTTCAGAGCTCACATGCCCCCAGCCTTTCCCTGGCCTAAAGGGGAGTAAGGCTGGAGTGGTAGCATTTAACTTGCCTAGGGAAATCCCCAAGTGCCCAGGCTGCAATGCCACCCTTATCCTTGGGGACTCCAGGCCAGTGACTGCACCCCACTCAGGTCCAAGGCGCAGGCAGTAAATTTCTCTCCTATAATTAGCGCTATCAAAAGCATGTGTTTTGCATTGGAGAGGACTGGAGAAGCAAGTGGCAATTTTTCCCTTGTATTCTTTTTCTGTGTTTTTTGAATTCTGTTTTTGAATCCACTAATTAAAGCTTCTCTGAAAGTGAAAATCTGCTCTTGACACCAAGCCCCTTCCGAATGCCTGATTTGGGAGGCTAAGGGGCCAGAGCAGTAGCAAGGAGACCTGCAAGCCTGATGGGGTTGGGGGGTAGTGTTCTCTGATTTCTTTAGGCTCGTTTTATAGAAACAAAGAACAAGTTCTCTCCCCTCCTTCCCAAGACTTGTGCATATTTACAGAGCACAACTGCAGTTTTAATAAAACATCTGTTCTTGCTTCTGCTGATGAGTTTCCATAATTGTTTTCAGACAAATTTAACAGGAAAATATAAATATATTTAGAAAAATCTAAGTCCCAGCTTTCCCCCTATAGACAGCCATTCTTTTGCCAAAAAAATAAAATTAACATGAAATGGGAAAAAGAAAATATAATCCAATGTAGGGAAGATCGGGCTCATCTGACCTGCTCTCCCCCCTTGGAGCGAATCCTTTCAGCAAATTTCAGCTGCATAATTAAAGATCTAAGAGAAAGAAGAGGGCTTCTTCTTTCCTCAGGAATGAAAGGTAATTGGGGGGGGGGGAGGTGTTGAAAATTAATTTTGCCAAAGGTCTTTAAGCAGTGGAGGAATTTATTTGTATTTCTGTTTCCCCTTCTCTCCCCCTTCCAGCATTTCTGCCTTTTTCACCCAGCAGCTGGTTTCTGTTCATTATAAATCGGCGAGACCTTTCAGTCTCTGCCCTCTGTTTAGGGACGTCATAAAACACTTAACTTTCTGGGGCTGAGGCTCACATTCTGCCTCTCAGGTCGCCAACCTCCCTGAGCCCACCGACTTTAGGCCCCAATAGAGAATCTCCCCAACTTTGGGGCCCCTTTCCTCTCCAGACATGGTTGAGGAGGGGCTCAAGGAAACCTAGGCATCCTTGCTGGGGGCTGTAGTCCATGCTGCCCCAGAAGCCCCTTCTTTCTTCCAAGGTCCTTCCCTCCCCCACCCAGACATAAAAGAGATTTTTAAATACATAGAAAATCAACACTCATTGAAAGTGAAACCTCATTAAGACATCCTATCTTCCATCATTCAATTTGTTGTACATTGCAACAATTTAATATCTTGAAGGAAATATCACTGACATGATTTATCCCTCTAGCAATCTCTCTCTGAAATTGGAGGGGGGGACAGAGTTACTCTCTCTTCCGGCCTCTTCTACTTGTTACACCACTACCCTTAGGGCAGAAAGGAGGCTGGGAACTCTGAGAGAGGCTACTTGTGTCCAGGGGTGCACTGACTTGTTCCCTAGCTCAGTCCCCAGAGTACTCCTGCCTTGTTGTCTCTCCCCCACCTCTTGCCCTCCAGGGGGCCTGAAGCCTCAGCCAGCTGTTGGAAACCTCTGCTCAGGCATGCCATGAATTCGAGGACAGCTGGATTCTAGGGCAAAAAGCAACTCACATTGGTGTCTATGTTTGTGTACCTGCCAAGTCACCCCAAAAATGAGATAACTCATCTAAAATTTTTTTTCTTAATTTAAAAATCCTCCTCTACCCTTTCCCCTTCATTTCCTTGGGGAGAAGAAAGTGTGATCTAGAAGGAGGAACCTTTATAATTATAGGAGTCTTTCCCCTTCCCTTCCAAATACCGACAAATTTCTGTCCTTTCTGGAGGATTGGGGCTGTATTTTCTAAAACCAACACAAATTGTCTGGCAGGAAGACTCTTCAACCCCCTAACGAGGTTCATGTATTAACTAACATGTTGTCTCCACCAGCTCCTGCACACTGTCTGCTTTTGGGTTCGAAACTTTATTTTTCCCCCCTAGCGACACTCCAGGGAAACCTTAACGTTACAGAAGATGAATAAACGAGTTTTTTCTCAGCATAGTCCCGTTTATGGCTTTATTGCTACCCATTGATTACTCCGCTTTGTTACACAGAAGGAAAAGATCATAAAATCCGGCGACATCCGGGTTCTTGTTATAGCCAGCTTTCCCCCCCCCCAACCCACCCAAAAATGGTGGGGGGGGGGGGATATGAGCTTTCTCTGCTCCCCGCACACTCCCCACCACCCTTCTTTGTCAACTCAAGGCATTTTCAGCCTATATCACGATATCAAATTAAGTTTGGACTAATCAGGAGAAAACCCCCATCTGCACACTTTCCGCTGTTTCAGTTCGCCTACTGCGGCTCCCTCACAAGCCTCGGATTCAGCTGCCTTTTCGTAACCGTCTCTTCCCTTTTTTTAGCCCCAAGATGGGGGAATAAAATGGGCGTTGAGGTTGCTGAGAGGCCCATCCCCACCACGGGTGACTGGCACTTGGGTGAGAGCTCCTTAGAACCCCTTTCTGAAGTCTCCAAGCCTCATAGCTCAGGTCCAGGGGCGCCTCCACTGGCGGTGCCCTGAGTCTGGAGGGGGCAGGGGGGCTTCTGACCAAGGCAGGGGCTTGAGCCTGCAGGAAGCTAACTGTCCATCAGAGCCCCACCAGCCTTCTCTTTCTGGCTGGATCCTATGTGAATTACCCCACAGGCCCTCACTGGCTCCAAATAATAAATTCTCACCAACATAAACAGGAGTTGATGTCTCTAGAAAGATTCTCAGAGTTTTCGTTCTTCCTCTCTCTCTCTTTCTCTCTGTCTTTCCCCCTCCGGTGCCACCTCCCTACATTTTACTTCTTTTTCTCCTTTTTCTATTGCATTTTTTATACATTTTCCCTTTTAGGCAAAAATGCTGGAAGAGTTTTCCCAACAGAGGGGTCCTGAGAAGGAGGCAGAAGGGAGCCAGGAGGCAAAGGAGAGCAGATGCGTGGCCCATTTGCCCACTCCAGCTCTGCCACTGTACCCTGAAGTCTTGCCCCTTTAGACCTAGTTGTTCCCCACATCCCTACTACATTCAAGACTCTCAGCCACACTCTACTTACTCAGGGGAACAGGTTTTATGAAATTTCTTTCTACTTTTGATTTTTTTTTAATTATTGGTGAAAAAAATACTAGTTTAGTGATGGGACTCACTCCATGGAGTGTCAAAACAGGATTTCCTGCAGGATTTCTAGGGACCCCCCTCCTGTGCTGGGAGGGAGTTCTTCCCTTGGAGAAATCAGGATGTAATTTTAGAAGGGGGCAGATATAAAACATGAAACCAGATTGAAAATACAGGGGTTTCTCTAGCCCTGGCTCTGGCCACAGCACAGCAAAGTTAGCTGGGGCTGAGAGATTTCCTGGTAGTACAGCTCTCCTTCCCTGAGTCCCAAGGCCCTGCTCAGGGACATGCACCCCTCCTTCACCACCAAACCAGTTCCCTTACATATATATATATATATATATATTTTTTAAAAGAAATCCAAGTCTTACTTTCAAAGCACACACTTAGTCTCAACTAGGGAATCAACAGAAGCAGAAGCGATTTTTTTCCCCCTTCCTGACATCTGGCTTGCGATTGGCTGGGAGGGGGTCAGCTGACTTTGTCATTTTGTCTGTCCTGGATTGGAGCCGTCCCTATAACCATCTAGTTCCGAGTACAAACTGGAGACAGAAATAAATATTAAAGAAATCATAGACCGACCAGGTAAAGGCAAAGGGATGAATTCCTACTTCACTAACCCTTCCTTATCCTGCCACCTCGCCGGGGGCCAGGACGTCCTCCCCAACGTCGCCCTCAATTCCACCGCCTATGATCCAGTGAGGCATTTCTCGACCTATGGAGCGGCCGTTGCCCAGAACCGGATCTACTCGACTCCCTTTTATTCGCCACAGGAGAATGTCGTGTTCAGTTCCAGCCGGGGGCCGTATGACTATGGATCTAATTCCTTTTACCAGGAGAAAGACATGCTCTCAAACTGCAGACAAAACACCTTAGGACATAACACACAGACCTCAATCGCTCAGGATTTTAGTTCTGAGCAGGGCAGGACTGCGCCCCAGGACCAGAAAGCCAGTATCCAGATTTACCCCTGGATGCAGCGAATGAATTCGCACAGTGGTGAGTTTTACAGCTCCGAGATATAAATTAAATAAACTGAACTGGCTTTATGACCGGCTTCCCTAGAAGAACGGGCGGAGAGAGTTTTTTATGGCCCCATAAAAACAATCACGCTCGTCTCCTCACCGAGACAGGGCCCCCTCTTCTGCCCCCTCAGCTCGCCTCTCGCTCGCTTGCAGGGGCCTGGCCCCCTTGGCCCCTGACGGATTGGAGGGCCCCAAGGCGGGCTGAGGGGGCAGGAACAGGGCAGGGGATGAGGGGAGGGAGCAGAAGATAGGGGAGCCCCCCAAAGTGGAGTCAGTCTGAGGAGAAGGGAGGGGGAGAGGAGAGGCAGATAAGTGGGGAGAAGTTTCCAAGGAACTAGGATGCTTGGGGAGATGGGGGAGCCCAGTCCTTGAGAAAGGGGGCCCTCATCCCCATTATCTGGGATTTTTCAAAAATCTGCTTTTAGACTTGCAGCTTTCTGTTTGCCTTTTGCCCCGCCCCCCCGCCCCCCCCCCCACCACACACCTTTCTTTGGGACACACAGGTCCCACCTTATAGGAGGTCTGAAGTTGGGGTCCTCGCTGTACCCCCAGTGGGGGTGGGGCAAGGCAAAAGGGAGAAGGCTAGAGCCCTAAGGAGGCTGTGAGCTGCTGGCCAGGTTGGGAGGGTCAGGACTTTGCTAGGCGAAACAGTCTGCAGAGGACGCTTTGCTGATTGCTTTTAGTGTGTTTTGTGCCCGGATCTTTAGGGGTCGGCTACGGAGCGGACCGGAGGCGCGGCCGCCAGATCTACTCGCGGTACCAGACCCTGGAACTGGAGAAGGAATTTCACTTCAATCGCTACCTAACGCGGCGCCGGCGCATCGAGATCGCCAACGCGCTTTGCCTGACCGAGCGACAGATCAAAATCTGGTTCCAGAACCGCCGGATGAAGTGGAAAAAAGAATCTAATCTCACATCCACTCTCTCGGGGGGCGGCGGAGGGGCCACCGCCGACAGCCTGGGCGGAAAAGAGGAAAAGCGGGAAGAGACAGAAGAGGAGAAGCAGAAAGAGTGACCAGGACTGTCCCTGCCACCCCTCTCTCCCTTTCTCCCTCGCTCCCCACCAACTCTCCCCTAATCACACACTCTGTATTTATCACTGGCACAATTGATGTGTTTTGATTCCCTAAAACAAAATTAGGGAGTCAAACGTGGACCTGAAAGTCAGCTCTGGACCCCCTCCCTCACCGCACAACTCTCTTTCACCACGCGCCTCCTCCTCCTCGCTCCCTTGCTAGCTCGTTCTCGGCTTGTCTACAGGCCCTTTTCCCCGTCCAGGCCTTGGGGGCTCGGACCCTGAACTCAGACTCTACAGATTGCCCTCCAAGTGAGGACTTGGCTCCCCCACTCCTTCGACGCCCCCACCCCCGCCCCCCGTGCAGAGAGCCGGCTCCTGGGCCTGCTGGGGCCTCTGCTCCAGGGCCTCAGGGCCCGGCCTGGCAGCCGGGGAGGGCCGGAGGCCCAAGGAGGGCGCGCCTTGGCCCCACACCAACCCCCAGGGCCTCCCCGCAGTCCCTGCCTAGCCCCTCTGCCCCAGCAAATGCCCAGCCCAGGCAAATTGTATTTAAAGAATCCTGGGGGTCATTATGGCATTTTACAAACTGTGACCGTTTCTGTGTGAAGATTTTTAGCTGTATTTGTGGTCTCTGTATTTATATTTATGTTTAGCACCGTCAGTGTTCCTATCCAATTTCAAAAAAGGAAAAAAAAGAGGGAAAATTACAAAAAGAGAGAAAAAAAGTGAATGACGTTTGTTTAGCCAGTAGGAGAAAATAAATAAATAAATAAATCCCTTCGTGTTACCCTCCTGTATAAATCCAACCTCTGGGTCCGTTCTCGAATATTTAATAAAACTGATATTATTTTTAAAACTTTATACCGGGAATTCTGTTAATTCGCTCGCCCGCCGGCCTCAGGGTGAGAGCTGGAGCAGGCTCCAAGCGCTCCCGCGCCTGCCGGCCCCCTGCAAGCCCCCAGCCCTCTGCACTCGCCTTCCCCGGAGCCCAGGCGCCCGGCCCCGGCCTTCTGTTCGTTCTCGCGATCGCACTGAGGGGCTGGGAGGCCTCTCTGGGCTCCCTGCGCGGAGCAACACACACACCCTGCGGGAAAAAGCCGCGTAGGATTTTGTTGCGGGGGGAGCTGGGATCAGTCGGTTTGGGCACCAACCCCACGCAGGCCTTTCTTCCTGCCTGTGGCAGCCGGTGTCCTCGGCGTCCGAACCCTGAGGCGCCCCGAAAGACCAGTAAAGAAGCACTATCCAGGCACCAGGGTCTCCTCCACCCACTCCCGGGAGTTGGAGGCGGGGGGCGCCGTGAGAGCAAGCCCCAGGCCCGCGCCAAGCTGGCTGTTGCGAAACGTAGCGGAGGCGGAGAGCGGAGGGAAAGAGAAGACCGCGGGACTGGAGCCCTGTCGGCAGGGATTGAGCGATTCAAGGACATCTCGAGAGAGAAAGCCTGGAAACTGAGCTCTCGCCTGCTCTGGTACTCCTGACGTGGCCGGGACAAAATTCCTTCTTCATTACAGCTCCAGCCGGGCTGGTTCCTTACTTTTCTCTCCTCAAACGGGTGAAGAGGCGGGTGAGGAGCGCAGCCGGACCCTAACCATTTATCAACCCTGGCCTTCTCTCTCCAAGCCTGGCCAGAGAAACCTGAGTGGGCCTACAGGGAGAGGTGTTGAGGAGGGTCTCCGGAGGGAAAAAATCCGCCAGAGTTTTCCGGGCCCTTCAGATTCCCTCCAGCGCCCCCACCCTCGCCTCCAGTGCCTCCACCAGTGAGGAGGGGGCCTTCTCCTGGCGGGGCGGAGATTTCCTGGGAAGAAGCAGGCAGGGAAGTATGAGACTTGGGGCTACGGGGGAAGAGGATGGGGCCGAATGGCTGCAGATACCCTGCGAAGGCTACCCAGGCGCCTGCCCTGCCCACCCCCCAGGTCCGCCCCATTCCTCTTGGTAGCTCAGAAATTGCTCTCTTGTGAACCTTATGGATTCAGGTCCCTGGAAAGCCTAGCCCAGAGACCTTTTCCCCAAAGGGCACATAACGGGCCTTTTCCTCTGCCATGCTCACGTAATATTTGTGGAGGCTTCAATCTTGCTTCTCCATGTCCTCAATTAACATCTATTTTCTGTCTAAAACCTCTGGCATAGGTACCACATAAGGATCGCACACAGGGAAACAGAGCAGTCCTCTAGACCATTGTCTGGCTCTGTCCGTGTCCACACACACACTTGAAAATTGCCTTGTTGCCACTCTGGGGACCCTAGCATGGTGAGGTCTAGCCAACTCCACCTGGCTCCTCACCTCCAGATCCATCCCAAACAGCCTGCAACACCCTCAGCTTCATGACCCCCCTATCTTGTTCTGACCACTCAGGATCCCTCCTCCTGGGCGTCCTGTCTACCTCTTCAGAAGCTAATTCTACTTTCTCTTGCTGATAGGCACCTCTTCAGCAGTAGTGGAGCCTTAGGGCCTGAGAGGCAAGGGACTTCTACCTTTGGTTTAGGGAACCTAAGTTAAACCCCATTGGTTCTCCAGCCTGGGCATAGGCCACCTTACCTAACTTAATCCCCTTTCCTCAGCCATTTTTGAAGATTGGAAGACCCTGGAGGTTGGGAGAACGGGACTTTCATTACAAAAAGCACTCTGTGCGTTATAAGTGGGGCCTCGTCTTTTCCCAATTTTAAATAGAATTTAAAAGGCTAGCTCAGGGGTTGCCCCAACAACCAGCTTCTCCTTCACAGTGTAGGAAATCCAGCCACCGGAAAGCAAGCTGGCGCTCCAGGATGCAATTCCCCCACATAGGCACCAGGTGTCGCTGTGGGCTTGTTGTCCCGGCTACCCCCAATTCCAAGAACCTTTTTTTTTTTTTCCCTCCCCCTTCCCTCTTTCTCTCTCTCACTCCCTCTCCCCCTTGGTTGGGCTTTGCCAACATATCGAGATGCTTTTCGCCGGCTTCCATCACTAACCTCCCGGAGGTCATCAAGCCAAATTTATGAGTGGCCGCTCGAGTCACGTGACTCTATTTAAGGCTCCCTTATTTGGGAAGAGCGCATAGGATAAAGAAAGAGATATCTCCACCTATAAATTGTCCACTTTGGAGAACAAAAAACCCCTCAACTTCAAAGAGTCACAAATCACCCTTAATCAAAAAGGGTGCAGAAATTTTTTTGGGCCCTCCCCGCCATGAGCTCCTACGTAGCCAATTCATTCTATAAGCAGAGCCCCAATATCCCTGCCTATAACATGCAAACTTGTGGGAACTATGGATCGGCCTCAGAGGTGCAGGCATCCAGGTACTGCTACGGCGGATTGGACTTAAGCATCACTTTCCCACCGCCTGCGCCTTCCAACTCTCTCCACGGGGTAGACATGGCTGCCAACCCCCGGGCTCACCCCGACCGCCCCGCCTGCAGCGCCGCGGCCGCTCCGGGACACGCTCCGGGCAGAGACGAAGCGGCTCCTCTGAACCCCGGGATGTACAGTCAGAAGGCGGCTCGCCCGGCGCTGGAGGAGCGAGCTAAGAGCAGTGGGGAGATCAAAGAGGAGCAGGCGCAGACAGGGCAGCCCGCCGGACTGAGCCAGCCACCGGCCCCGCCACAGATTTACCCGTGGATGACCAAACTGCACATGAGCCACGGTAAACTTTAGGACTTCATTTTGCGCTCTCGGGTCCGCCTGGGTTTTATAGGCCATGCGGGGCAAATAAAGAAAAAAAACCTGCGGCCATAAATTTTACGATCCAGGCATCAATGGCTCGTAAAACTGTCCACTAAAAGGCTTAGAGGCTGTGTGCGCCCAAATTTACGACGACATAATTGGATCATAGGAACAAAACGTGTATAAAAGGCAATATTCAATTTTTGGGGGAGAGGGAGGGAGTTAAAAAAATAGAGGGATCTGAAGGGTGAGGAGCGCGGGGCTCCAGAGCGGGGATCCCCCCGCGGCTCCCTCCCTCCCTCCCCTGCGGAGCCGGCTCCGCCGGCGCTTGCGGCTCCGGAGGATTCCAGCGACTCGGGAGGGGCGGGAGGGGGGTCCCCGGTGCTCGGATCTCGAGGGTGCTTATTGTTCGGTCCGAGCCTGGGTCTCCCTCTTCCCCCCAACCCCCCCTCAGCCCCTCCGGCTGCAGAGTGAAGGCTGCGGTGGAAAGTTTCCTGCCTGGGCGGAGGCGCCTCTCCCGGGGCTGGGCTGGGCTGGCCCGCCTGCGGCCCGCGTGGCCTGTCTTGCGGCTCTCGCCTCCTCTCCCTCCGGCCGCGGGTGGGGGCCTGGGCTGGGGTGGGGACGGGGGAACGCTGCAAGCTATTCACCCCTTCCTGGCTTGGGGTGGGGTTTATGTTCCAGAGACGGACGGCAAGCGGTCCCGAACCAGTTACACGCGCTACCAGACTCTGGAACTCGAGAAAGAATTCCACTTTAACCGCTACCTCACTCGCCGCAGGCGCATAGAGATCGCCAACAACTTGTGTCTCAATGAGAGACAGATCAAGATCTGGTTCCAGAACCGCAGGATGAAGTGGAAGAAAGATTCCAAAATGAAAAGCAAAGAGGCTCTTTAGAGGCAGCGGGGGAGGCCCGCAGAGCGCGCCCCTAGCCGGTTCCTGTCCCTGCGCCTTTCCTTTTCGCCTTTCCTCTCTATATTTCGGGTCGGGGGCAGGTGCTGGAGCACTGGGCTCCCGGGCCCCACAGACAAAAGCGCTTTTCCTTGGCATTCCGCATCCCTACCGACCCAGGGTTCCCGCGGGGCTGTCGGCGCTGCCCCATCTCCCCTCAGCTCGGCTCAGCTCGGTACCCGGGGCCCAGGGCAAGCTCCGCAGGACTTCCCCGGAGGGCTGCGGCGTACAGGCTGGCGCAGAACGAACCTTGGCCTGGGCCGTATCTCCGGCTCCCAGCCTCAGCGCGGCCCTCCCGAGTTAAGGTGGGCCCGGCCCGCGCCACAGGACCCTCGCCGGACCCTCTAACCTCGCCCTCTCCTTTGTTCCCGGCTGGACGGGTTAGACAGCCAAAGGCTGGCGAGAGTCTGGCCCTAGACTCGGGGTGCTTCCTTGTAGCGACTAAACTAGATTTTCACTTATGAATGATTTGCATATGAAAGGAGAGCATCGGCCTAGGGCCCCCACAGTTGCTCTATGCTTTCCAAACCTTATCTCCACAACCTCTTCCCCCCAAAACCCGGGAACCTCCCCAGCCTGCGCCTGCTGCATGCCCTCTCAGGCCGGCAGCCCCAGCCTGCTAGCTAGCTCAACTAGTGGGGTTTCCTGGCACTGGACCCCAGCAAGTGGTCCTAGAGGCCCTTTGCTGTCCCATAGTCCCTGCCACGAATTTCTGTGCCCTCCTGACCCATTGCTGTTGTCCAACTATTTATTGACTCTGGGTCCTTCCTGAAACTATATTTTGTCATATCAAATAAAGAGAGAACAGGACTAAAGATGCAGTGGCTCCTGTCTGTTTGGGGCATGTATTGGGTAAAATTGTCTAAATGGGCTGTGAGATGTAGAAGGAGACCCACAAACTTTAAGCCACCCCTTTAAAAAATTTTCTAGCTTCTAGGGGCAGTGAGTAGAGGGAGGTGAAATTGAGCTCCTTTCCTGTTCCTTGGCTGCAACAAGAGCCTCTGGGGGAAGAGAAGGGCACCTAGGCCTCGAGTACTGGCTTTTCCCATGCTGTGGCTGTCCAAGGCCTTCACGCCTCTGCACTCCAGGAGGCCTCTGGACTGGCAGCAGCCCCCACTGTGTGCCAAAGCTGCGGTGCAGGAACCAGTGGCTCCACCGTGCTCAGCCTTAGGACCTTCTGGGCCTCTGAAGATCTTTCCTGGGCCTAGGTGGTCCCTGAGAGGCCTTGCTGGACATAGAGGGAGGGCTGAGCCCTCACTCTAGGGACCCATTTGGTCTCATAAGGGCCTCTAGAGGGAGGTGGTATTGCTTGGTAAGGGGGTGTTGGGAGAGTTGGAGGAGGTGTGCCTCAGTATCTAAGATACTGGGGAAGAGGGAGCAGGGAGGACAATCTGCAGTGTGTATCAGCCTGGCAGGAAATGTTCAGACTGTTTCCACCACCTTCTAGGGCCTCGGGCTATGCAGGACAATTAACTGGGAAAGGAGCTGCATAGACCAGTGCTGGAGTCACGTCTGTCTGCCATCATTTATCTCAGTCTCTGGGATTTTGTGTGGAGGGGAGGATGGGTTAAAAGTGGGGGTGGGAGGAGGCAGATAATTCAGGTAGTGTCTGAGGATCAGGTCCTTCTCCAGGCTCCTGGGATGGGCTGGGGGAGGAAGCACTTTACAGTAGAAACAAATGTGGGAAGGGTCCATAAAACTTTACTGCATTTCCTCTCCCACCTCCCACAACAGGGTGATTTCCTGGAGCCAAGCCTAGGCCCCCCACACTGGTGGGGTGAGGGTCTGGAGCTTGGCTAAGGGATTGCACCAGCAGCCAAGAAGAAAGGGGAGCAGAGGGGCTCTGGGGAGGGGCAGGGGAATATTTATGATTATTAATGCTGATGCTCCTTGGATTTATTATAAGGACTAACTTCGCTGCATCCCACTGCCTAAGCTACCCATCAGTCATTTTTTAAAAGACCCAAGAGCCTTTCCTCACCCCATGCTTGGCACATAGGCAGTCTCAACAAATGCTTATTGAACAGTGCCCACAACTACCACCCTTCCCCTTCGCACTGCACTCAGGCCAGGTTAGGGCGCCTGTTGTCTCTCCTCAACTTGCACACAGCAGTTAACCCAGACCAGTGCTCTCTCTCTCTCTCTCTGAAATAAAATGTGTAATTTTCTTCAGGGAGTTATTTTAATTTTTTCTCCATGCTGAGTAAAACTATTGAGTGAGCAGTGAAGCGTGGAGAAGCACTGGCGTCTCCGGTGGGTAACAGTTAACTAAGAAAGAGGCTGTGGCACCCGCACCCACCTGTTCCAGCCTCCCAGGCTGCCCAGGCCCTGTGCTTCCTCCCCAGGGGACAGGCGCACCACCCCAGGGGAAAACCAAGGGCTTTGTCATAGATAGGGGCAATGTTGGTTAGAGCTGCCAGGCAGGGCACACCAGCCCCACCGTGCACTGACTGCCTCCTCCCGGCAGGGTTTGGGCCTCTCCTTCCCTGGAGGAGCTGAAGGTCTGACTCATTTTGGCTTGGGTAGACACAGAGTGCCTGCCTGCCCTCCTCCTTCCTGTCACAATCTGCAGGTCTGCCCAGGCACCAGCCTTGGCTTCTGCAGCATCGTCGGGAGTCAGCGGCGGCAACCAAGCCAGAGGCCTCGTACCTACTTCCCTACGCTGAGGGTGCATAAGGCCCAGATCCCTGATTTCTCCCTGAACAGGGGCTTCTGCTTTGGGGCCTGGGGTAGTTTCCCCACCAGCCAGCCTCCTAGAACATATTTCCAGGTAACAGGGTCTGGCATTGCTCTGGGGGAGTTTATGGAGGGGTCTTCTGGGTTGCAAGCAGAGACTATGGAGCCTGCCTCTCCACTTTGCCCTGGAACCCACCCCCTCTGGCAGCAAGAAAGAAGGGGAAGAAGCATGACTTACCTTCCCGGGGGAGTGGGAAGAGGGGGGACACGGCCCACTCTGAGCAATTAGAGGAAAGAGGAGGAAAAAATAAGAGGACAAAAAGATCAACACGACCTCGAAGGCGACAGGTCCTTATGGAAATAAGTAAGTAAATAAATAAATAAGGATCCACCCTCTCCCCCCTCTCCACCCTGCAAGGGGGATGTGGGGGTGGGGCAAAGGAACAGCACCAGGGCTTTTTAGTGTAACTGAGCATTAGAGAAATAGGCATGCTTCTATGTGAATTTAGGAGTTTGAAACTTTTGGAGGTTATTTATGTGAATAGCCTGAAGGCAAGCCCGTGAGTGGCTCTTGGGGGACCACGTGATATCATTAAACCAAGTTTTATGGTGTAGGGAGAGCTGACAAACCCACAATATATTTACATCATATATAATCTTAACTGTCCAGCCACGCAGCTGCTGGTGAGGTTTAATGCTAGGACAGAGGGCCTGGCAGTTAGAGGGGATTACGGCGCTGGGGACGATGGTGAGAGAGGTTACATCTTCGCAAATGAATCCCAGGCGAACGCTGTGAGTTAATTCTCTCTTTCTCTCTCTCAGACCCTTTCTCCCATTTACCTAACCACCCCCCTCACTTGATAGAAGGCAGCTCCCACTTATTAGGGGGAGGGGGAAAAGGCCTTCCCAGGCTGGGGTGGGAGAAGAGAAGAAGCAGCAGAAAAAGCTGCTGGGAAGTAGGAAGATGGGGGAGCTTGTCTACCCTGAGCAGCCCTCCCCTTCCCACTCCTTATTCTCTCTGACTGCAAGTCAACTGGGGTAGAGAGGCCTTGGTTGTTTAGAGATTTGCCAGGTCTTCCTGACCCTTTCAGTTGAGAAGAAAGCAAGCGGCAGCAACAAGGGTGTTTGGTGTCTGTACGGGTATGTAAACTCTAGACACAAGCTCAAAATGCCTCTGGGGCCCACTGTTCCAGGGAGGGGTGAGTTCAGCCCTTGGCCAGTGGCCCAAGGTGGGAAACTGGGGAGAAAGGCAGGGAAGGAGGGTTTTGTGGCTTCTACGCCCACAGGCTACTGCTGCCTGAACTGGCAAAAGTATCTCAAAGGTGGCTGTTTGAACCCAGAGGTCCCAGAGTGCCCCCTCCCTCCCTCACTACCAGGCTTGGATGGGCAGCTGTCTCAGCCTCCGTAGTTTGGCATCTTAGTCCGTCTGAAGCCAGTGTGGTTTCATGCTTCCTCCTCTCCTTCTAGCTGCTTGGGTCTTCCTGGCATTCCCAGCCCTTGCCTGAGATAAAACTAGGCTCTAAGAGCCCTAGAGGTTCCTGCTGTGAGTGGAGTGTAATTGTGTGTTGAATGGGTGAGGGAGCAGAGGCAATGTCTTTGCTAGGCTGGGAAAGTAAGTCCCCCAACCTTAAGGACAGAGTAGCCCCTCGGGGATGGAGCTAGCAGGGCCCAATATGAGCACTGCACCCTGGGGTCAATCCTCAGGCTAGGGCGCCCTTCAGGTTTCTAGGAAGGAGCAGCAGAAGCGTTGGGCATGAGAGGCACATGTCTTCCACACCTGCAATTGCTATCCCTCCCTGTGCGTCACCGGGAGCTAAGCCAGGAAAGTGACAACATGTGAATTCAGGCTCCTGTACTGGCCAGCCATGAATAGCCAGGGCTTTGGAAGCAGGGCTGAATGCCAGCGGACCCATAGGTGCAACTCCTCCAGGCTGGGAGAAAGGGGTGGGGAGCAGAGGGAGTGAGCCAGATATGCACCTTCCAGAAGGGGAGCATGCCTGGGGAGCAGCGGTGTCTGGGCATCTGCTTTGTGGAGAGGTGCTGTTGGGGGATGAGGAGGGAATGCTGTTAGCCTCGCCCCCGCTGCTCAAGGGACTGGGGAAGAAGCGAGAAGCAGGCAGACTCTGGGAGAAGGAAGGGGGCACAGAGGCCCAAATAAATGGGGAGTCTTAGCTGAGCCCCATTCTTCAGTCTAGGGGTCTCTCACTTGCATGAGGAGCTCGGGAACCCGACATGGAGGATTCCCTTGACGCCATCCCTCAGGGCCTCAGTCTCGGCCAAGATTCAGCCTCCCCCACCCTCCTCCCTGATACCTTTATTTTCCTAGGATCCCAGGGAATTCTCTCCAGCAACGCATTGGAAAAAACTAATTATCAGTTTCTCCCTTCCTCATTACCCGTCCTTCTTGGCTCTCTCCTTCCCTCTAGTCTGTGATTTTGAGAGTTTCTGGAAACTTTCCTATCCAAGCAGCGGAGACATGGGAGTTTCTCTTGGTCTGTAACTTGACTCTTCCCCACCCTCCAGCCTCCCCAGGGCTCTAGGGAGCGAGTGCAGTGGTCTTTAACCGGGAATTTAGCCAGGGCCGAAGTCCCACACCCAGGCAAGACTCCACCCTGACACCCGCCCTGACTCTCGGCCAAATCTCAGTCCCATTCCCTTCCTCTCTGTGTAGACGGGCATTCGAGGGTGTTTAAAGATTTACATAGCGTCCCTTGAGCCCTTTGATGACTTCTTCACCCCCTTTTCTGTTCTTTAGGCTCAAAAGTTCCATTTAAATACCACCCCTCTTCCTGTGATAATTGATTCTCCTTCCCCTCAAATAGTTTGCCTCAGTTTTTTACTGTTTTCTAAAAAGTTTCTAGTTCCACCTGGAAACAGGGCAAACGCAAAGGAGGCCTGAAATTCTTGGTTTTCCCACCCACTACCCCAAACCCTAATTTGGAGTGTCTCTGGAGCGGAGGGTGGGCAGGCAATCAGGTGCCAAGCTTTCCAGCCAACCCGGGAAGCTTTTAATTTTGTTCCTAGGACTTTAACCCAAGGAGAGGTCAAGCAACCAATCAGAAATGCACTAAGCAGGGTCACATGGTCCCCACCAACCAATCAGCAAAAACTACTTGGGTCTCTGTCTCGCTCTTCCCATCCGGCCCTGTTCCTTCCTCCCTCCCTCCCTTCCCACCACAGCCTTAGCTCCTGGGTTTATCCTATCTCAGATTTGGAAGGCTGGAGTGATACCCAGCATATTCTAGCCTCCTCTGTCAGTCCCTGAACCAACTCTGAGGAGTCTTTGGCTTGTCTCCTCAGTTGCTTACAAAGTTGTATCTGGGAGTCAATCTCAAATGCACAAGGATGTGAAGTTGTGGGGGCATCCTCTGGATTATTCCCACGTTCGCCAGCGTGATTCTACCCAATTTTCTGGGTGTTGTAGTTGTAGACTCTAAATTAGACTATAGAGCAAATACAGATATGAACTCCAGCCCTGAATTCAAATTCTGGCTGTGATTATTCCCCATACACTTACAAGTATTCATTCTCTTCTGATTTTCATGAGGGCAGGTGGGGTGAGAGGAGAGCCCTTTTGATTTCTCTTTCTGGAAATGCTCCAATAGCCATTAGCTTTATCAGACTGCCTCAGGCATGGTTAGGGAAGGGAGCAAAAGTGGAGATTTTTTGAAAGTTCTGATTGGTACCTTTCGTTTGTCGAATAACTTTGAGCTAGTTAAGGGTTCTGGAAAGGAATGAGCACAGAGAATTCCGACTTTCCTCACTCTCCACATTAAATAGTTGATGGATTTGTTTAAACCCCTTCCCTTCCATTCTTTTAACAGGATATAATAATAGTAATAATAATAATAGACTAGGTGATGATCCTATGTCCTGGCCAATAGCCATCAAAAGGTACAGCCACTGAAGGTGTGGATTTCAGTGTTTGAGTTTACATGGATTAGGCCAAGAACAAGCAATAGGCGAGAAACTATTGCTGAGTAAGAGCATCTGATGGCACAGGGAGTGCACAGCTATGACAGAAATGCTTGTGTTTCCTGAACACTTGGGCTGGGCCCTGAGCCAGTCCACTGCTGGGTCCAGACCCAGGTATTCTCCCCCAGCCACTTCTCTAGAGCTTTGTTTCAGAGTGAATTTTCTGGTTGGGTTCTCCTCCCCTTCTCTTCCTGATCTCTTGCCCTCTTTGAGCTAAGGGGCAGGAGTTCTGATGGACTGTGGCACCTGGACCTCTAAGCACCCCCCTGGGGGCATTAAGAGTACAAGAATGGGAAGGATAGTCCGGACTGAGCTGGGCTTTGTCAACAATCCCCTCATTGTTTGTCTTCTGGATGGAGCTGGTTTGGGGACAATGCCACAGGCCAGGTGGGAAGGATAAGGATGAGAAGCCAGAAAAAGAGCAGCTCTTCTCAGAAATCATTGAGCCCTCACTTTTCAAGTTACCTTCAACCACACTGCTCCATCTGCTTATTTTGAGACTAAGTTTCACTCTTGTCGCCCCGGCTGGAGTGCAATGGCACAATCTCGGCTCATCGCAAACTCTGTCTCCTGGGTTCAAGTGATTCTCCTGCCTCAACCTCCCAAGTGGCTGGGATTACAGGTGCCCACCACCACACCCAGTTAATTTTTGTATTTTTGGCAGAGATGAGATTTAATCATGTTGCCCAGGCTGACCTCAGGTAATCCACACGCCTCATCCTCCCAAAGTGCTGAGATTACAGGTGTGAACCACCGCGCCCAGCCTTTTCTTTTCTTTTCTTTTTTTTTTTTTTTTTTGAGATGGAGTTTCACTCTTGTTGCCCAGGCTATAGTGCAATGGCAGGATCTCAGCTCACCGCAAACTCTGCCTCCTGGGTTCAAGCGATTCTCCTGCCTCAGCCTCCTGAGTAGCTGGGATTAGAGGCATGCACCACCACGCCTGGCTAATTTTGTATTTTTAATAGAGACAGGGTTTCTCCGTGTTGGTCAGGCTGGTCTCAAACTCCTGACATCAGATGATCCGCCTGCCTTTGCCTCCCAAGGTGCTGGGATTACAGGCATGAGCCACCGTGGCCAGCCCCATTTGCCTCTTTTATGAGTTAGAATTAAAGGACACACTTATTCTTCCCCAGTGAATGGTGTGGCAGATTGTTGGAGACCAACTCTCACCCTCAATGTGGACTTCTCACACTGGGGTACCAGATCTCATGAAGAGTTAGGAAACAAAGACAGGGGGAGATTGGTTCTATCCACACAGGCACTGGGAAAAGAGATTTTGTGAGTGCCTCGACCCCTCCTTGTGAGTGCCTCAAAAAGGTAAACTTTCTCTTTTTGACTGTCGTTCTCTGTAACTGCTTTGGACTGAGTTTTTGAGAGGGGGAATGCTGAAACATCATTGTTCTAGGATTTAATTAGGTCCTTTTTGCTGAGAAGACAAGCACCACCACCCTGAGCCTCTTCTTTAGTGGGACTAGGGCCCCTGAAGCCCTTTGAGGTGAAGGAGAAAGAAAATCTGAAATCAGGGTGCCAAACTAGGGTTTTGGGGTGAATGATTCAATTTAAGGAGAAGACGATGCTGTTTGAGAGCCAAGAAAGTCACATCCTTTCCTACCCCTCCCAACTTTTATTGGCTCCTTGTGACCCACATTGGTGTGTCTGTACTGATACTATCTCTGCTAGCAGCTTTGATGGGGCTCCAGGAGCCCAAGGAATTGCCAGACAAGGTCTGGGTTGAGGAACTTCGGTGATACAAATCTCTTTATTTTTGAGGCCTACACAACCCTTGTAATCATCTCCCTCTCCCAATCCTAAGGTTCACTGAGAGGCAAAAGGGGAACAGAGATACCTCAGAGGAAGCGGTATGGGTGTGCAATGTGGGACTTGGGAAAATTGGACTCGGTTATGCAGGACCTTGTTCAGCCTCTAAGGACCACATTTTAGCAGCTATGAGAAGAGGTTGAACACTTGGGCTGGGCCCTGAGCCGGTCCACTGCTCCAGGCATGCTGGGGAGCAAGTGCAGGGAGAAGGCTGCTTCTCTGCATCTGTACACATGTACAGAGAAAGTTCTACAGTGATCTGCAACCCCATATGGGCTGGGTGAAATGTGTAGCCTGGTCACCTAGGATCCTTTCAGTTCTGCACCACAGGTCTCAGAGAGGCAGTTCAGGCTTGGTTCTGCCCTCTAAAGATTCTCATTTACCCCAGCCCCTGGCCCTGAACACCAGAATACCTGAACACACAGAAACACATATATGTGCCCAAGGATGGTATGGTAGAGGTCAGAAGCCTGGGCTGGACACAGTAACCAGCATGGAACCAACTTCCCACTCCTCCCTCCCACTCCATTCTTCCCGTCAGCCCAGCTTGGAAACCATTTGTCCTCCCCACCCCACCCCCACCCCTCAAGCCCTGCGCAGCTGTTGAGTTTCCTTCCTTCTGCCTTTCTGGAAAACTCAAACGCTAGAGCTGACTCCAGGGATGGTGGCAGCCAGGCTTTCTGTGATCTTCAGTGTTGTGTTGGCCCAGATTGAGTTGTCAGGAGTTGAAGAGACATGGAGGGTCCAAGGAGGCCAGAATCTTATCTGATCTAATCCCCCTCTCCTTCTGTTCCAAGCTCAAACTCCAAACTCCTCAGGGCTCCCTTGCTCAGACATTAGAGATAAATCTTGTCTAGTAAATACTTCTTTTAAAAGTCAACTTTCTGGCTGGAAAACACAGGCTGTGTGTGTGTGTGTGTGTGTGTGTGTGTGTGTGTGTGTGTGTGTGTGTTTAGGGAGTAGTAAGGGTCAGGTCTTTCATTTTATGTTGTGTCTCTCCCCATCCCCTGGGTGGAGGATGGGGGCACAGGCTGAGGTTTTATTGAGGGTGCTTTTCCTGTTGGGAGTAAAGACAGGGTCATAAACGCCTAGAGTAGGGTGTTTTGATCTGGTGACTTCTCAGGAAGTAGCATCTGAGGTTTTGCTTTGTAAATCACTCTCCCCCAAAGCTGGCTTGGCAGATTGGATTGCACTTCCCCAAGCCCACCTGAGGCCCCTCCTTTCCTCCCTTCCCCAGTAAACTAAAGGAGAAATATAACAGAGCATCTGGAGTCTTCAAAATCCTCTGACTCCAATTTCTTTTTTAAAAGGCTAATTGGTGATTTTTTTTTCCCTCAAAGTTTTCCCCTAAAAAATAATGCAACGTTTCATTTCCTTTTGCCCATGCAGTCCCTGGTCCCCCAACCCCTCAGTCACAAAGGAACTAACATTGACAGTAAATAGCCTCAGAGCCTGGCTGTAGATATCAGGACTCTTCTGTTCTGGGGCTGATCTCTCCCTGTCACTCTTTCCCCAAGCCCCAAACCCCCTTTGACAAGGTAGAACTTCAGATGTATAAGACAGAGTTCATAGGAGCTAGGAATAAGAGGAGATGGCAGCGGGGCATAGGGGAACCCCATCGTGTACCGCATGAATGGAGGAAACTCTGCAGTCTGTCACTGGGTTTTTTTGTAATTAAGATGGGTGCAGGGGTGTGTGAGTGTGTGTGTTTGTGTGTGTGTGTGTGTGTAAGCCCCCAGCCTTCTCACATCTCTATGTACCAAACAAACAATATATTTTACCTAAATAACTCCATTTCCTAATGATAATGAGTCTTCCCCTCCTAAGGATCCCCCACCCCCTGGCTGGCAAGTCCCTCCCTTGTGCCTGGGGCTACAGAGCTGAAGGAAAACAAAGTTAAGAGCCCTCTAATTCAGCCTTAGTTCAAGCCAGATCAGGTCAGGAAGCTTTCAGGCCCAGGCATCAGGGCTTATATTCATTGCCAGCAAAATGCCCCTATATGCTGGAAATATGTCATAGATTATATGAGTTCCGGGCCCTCTTAGCACTTGCGAAGTCTCTAGTCCACCCTCATTTCTTTCTCAGAGAAGCCTGGGCTGGGATACCCCAAACCCACAAGCACTAGAGATTCCTCTTCATTCCTAGGACTCCATGCAAATAATCTTCACAGAGAGCTGAGCGCTCCCATAGTTATATATGTGAAAACGTATTTATAGATCGTTCTATGTCTATATCAGGATGTATGTTTTATATTCCTTTTTGTTCCACATTTAAATGCAGATTTATAGATCCATAGTGAACATAACAGTCCTCGGTCAAATTCCTGTGTGCACTTTACCAATCTTTCTATAGTGGTTGGATGTATATGCTAGGATGTATTGGTACAGCTCTCTTGAAACACCTAAGTGAATATTTGGAAATTTTTTTCTTTGTTGGAAAGAACTATGTGTGTGTTCAATGTCTATTTTGAAAATTTTATCTAGATTTATGCAAGGATCCTAACCCATAAAATAGCTACATATTGAAGCTACATATTTAGAGATCTTTACAGTCTTTGCATTTTTGCTGAAAAACTTACATGTTTGAACATATGTTTAGAGATGGTTTCATAATGCATGCATCTGTGTATAGGGGCATAGATCTCCCTTCTAGAAGGACTTAAACTTACTGCATCTCTCTGTCTCCCTCTCTATCTCTGTGTCTATGATATAAAAAGATATTAGGTGAGTGGGGGTAGGGAACAAATATATTTTGGATGTTTGGCTTATTAAAGCAAGTAATTCTGTCTCTATTTCTAAGGCCATCTCCAAAATCTAGTCCCACTAAGTTATCTGTCCCTCGAAAACCTACTCTAGGGGTCATAGACTGCCTCCAGGCTGCCTCTGTGACCTGAGATCCAAGCCGAAGCTCCCTACCTCTCAAGGTAGCCACTAAAAAGAAGGGGGAGAGAAGAAAGGGGAGAGTCCTCCAGCCCAGTTCCTGTTGGATCCCCAGGGCAAGAGGCTGACAGGGGCTTGTATATCTCCCTACACCCCCCACTGGGCCTTTGAAATGTGGGGGAAAAAGGGATCAAGTCCCCAACTGTTTTTATAGGGTGCCCAAATGATGCCAGGGTTACTGCACAACCCATAGGTTCCTCCTCCCCAGTTGTTCTCGGTGCCCAGGGCCCAATTAAGCGGCCGCCTTGCGCCCAGCAGCCCCGCTCTTATCGGCTGGGATTGATGCCTCCGCGTCTCCTGTATATCATTTCCAAGATTTTTTCTGTCCAACTCCTCGGCTCCTTTGGCTTCCGCGGCTTTGACTAATGATTGCTACAGATGCCAACGTCTCCAGAATCCTAATAGCCAGGCAGGCGGACTCTTATTTACCCGGCAACATTGCTGTGGGGGAGGGGGCCTGGGGGACAAGTATTGGGGTGTCGTAGGTCAGGGGACAGGGAGAAGGTTGTGGCCAACTCAAGTGTCACTGAACTTCTTCCCAGTCAGAAAGACATTCCCAATCCCCTTCTCTCCTTGAGGGAAATATATATATATATATACACAGTTAATGGTAACTCATTGCTGCCTCGTTAGAAAAGATCAAAGAATGAACACAACGTGGTAGAATAAGCAGAGCAATGTTTATTTGTTGTAAATAAATGAGAGAATAAGTGGAAAACCAGCAGTTTGGGGAGGAAAAAGAGAAAGGGAAAGAAGTCAGCCACAGTGGGAGAAGGGGCTCCTTTTCTTCATTTCTTGTCTTCCCCTTTCTCTCCCCACCCTAAGTCTACCCTTCTCATCAATTTCTCCCCTCTTTCCCTTCCTTCGCCTCACCTTCAATCCCTTGGGTGGAGGGGCTGAACAGCGTGTTCCCGGGCGGAGGTGCGCGCAGCCACCCCAGGCTGCTGCCAGGTGCCCGCTGGGGCTGCCAGGGCGAGGAGGCCTCTGGGCTGTGGAGCGAAAGTCAGATCCACCGCCTACTGCGGGGTAGGGGCCGCAGTGGGGACCGCCAGCCCTGTGGTCCCTCTCGCGCTGACTGGCGTAAAGTTGTGGCCGAATTCGCATCTCTTCTGGTGCTTCTCGCCCGCCAGCGCAGGGCCCAGGTGTTTGAGGCGAAGGGGCTCTAGCTCCCCGCAAGCCTGGAGCCAGGCGTCGCGCTTCCTCCGGGCTTAATCCAGACCTTTCAACACACACCTCATTCGGGGGAGGAGAAAAGCACAGGACCGCGGAGAGCCCAGCTTTGAGGCCAGGCCTGAAGGGATAACCCACACAGGGAACGTTTTCCTATCAGAGAATAATGGAGCACAAAATAATTCAGAAAGCGAATGGGCAGGACCACAGCCTGAGAGTCCCGCGCCGCGGGGCCGCTGCAGAGCCGGTCTCCCGAGCACCGCGGCAGGACCATTTCGTTGGAATGTAGGGCGAGGCCGAAGCCCGCCCCGGACCCAGGCCGCGAGGTGCGCGCCGGCCGCCGAGGGGCCGCCTGTAAATTACAGCCCGCCGGGAGGACTCGGAAATACACAAAAGGAGCCGAAAGATTTAAACAGTCGGAGGCAGAGGCGTCCCGAGGCGGCCAAAGCGGAAATCAATCACGTAATTAAAACAGGGAGGGGACGAAGCCCAAGGCTGGGGGTCCCGGGTTCGGAGGAGGCGGCCAAGGTGCAGGCCGAGGCTGGCGAGCGGCTTAGGGACGTGGCTCGCCCGCCAGGACCAGAGCGCGCGGAGGGGCTTCGGGGAAGTTTATAACACATCGCTATTGATTCCCGCTTGGCTAGGAAGAGCAGACTCTGGTGCCCTCTCCCAGGCCAGACCCTGAAGCCTCCGATGGCCCCTTCTCCGACTTTCCCGTTTTTGTGGGGTTGAGACGCGCAGTTGCAGTTGAAGGCCGCTCCCCAGATCCCACTGGTGCCACGATTTTGCCAAGGCAAGTTTGCGAACCCAAATGGCATCAAGATGCTGCCTTTGGGTTTGAGGGGATGGAGGGAGGTGACACCCCAGTTTCAGGCACTAAGAAATCTCTCTCGGCCTTGATTCCTCCAACCCAGGATTCAAAGCATGCCCGGAAAGACTCTGATCTATGGGCCGAGGCTTGGAAGGGGTGTGCGAGGCAGACGGGGTTATTAAAGGGAGAGCTTGGGGCTGAGCAAACTGGACCCCTTTGGGCTGGAAAGGAGAAAGAACAGCTCCTGGAAGAGAAAAAAAGGCACACCGGGAGCTGTGTTTTGTGAGGGGAAGATCTTATTATTGAGGTTAATCATGGTAATGATCTGGTATGGCTGGGTCAGCCCAGGAGACCGCGCTCTCCAAAGTTCTTTCTCACAGAGGTTTCTCTGGGGGAGTCAAGGGTTCCCCAACTTCACTATGGTTGGGGAAAATAAAATAAAGACCTCCAATCCTCTCCTCTGCCTTTTCCTCTCCCTCCCTTAAAAACTCCAGAAAAAGGGAAACCTTATAAAATCTCCATCACCCCACTTATTTTTCCTTGGCTCTCTCCAGTTTACTAAAATGCACGGTCTTTGGGAATTGAGTTTTTCTGGAGCACCCTTCTTGTGAAGCAACAGAGGTGACCCGACCAAGTCCTCATGAATTCTGATGCTGACCCTGGAGAGGACCCAGGATTCCCTTGCCTACTGTAGAATTCTCTCTCTATCCTTAGTTTTTCCCAGTCTCTGCCTTCTTTGGTCTTGGGTGCATAATCTCATGGGTCTCTGGCAGTTCAGAGGCCAAGAACAGATTAAGGCACTTTGAGATACCCTCATAAACTCTTAAAAGTGTTTCCAGCTTCCTGTCATCTCTTTAATACTGGGAGTACCAGGCCAGGGACCCCTCCATAAACTAACCTAAGGCCAGCCTGATTTCTAGATCTTTTCAAGCCACATTTAGGTTCCTTGAAAAATAAAAGTCCCCCTCCCCAGCAAGAAATTCAGGTCACCAACCTGCCGCACAGCAAGGTTCCTGCATCCACACATCAGAATTTTCAACAACAACAATTTTCATAATAAGAAGTAAAGCTTGCATCAAAGTTAGCAAGGGACACCCCAAACCAAATTTTAAAAAGGATATCATCCAGCAGTCTTGAAGAGGGGTGGGGGTCAATGAGGCTGGGATGAGGGAGGAAGGTGGTGGGGAACCCAACCTCTAACTAACAATTTCTCCAGCATAAAAATGAAACATCAGATTCGTTAGCCCAGGGCCTTCATTTTTCCCCTTCCACATTATAACTAGTTATTGAACTCGCTGGAAGATCTAAAGGCCATTTGCGAAGAGACAAATTTCAATGGAGTTTCCCCATCAATAACCCCATGGCAGTGAACTATTGGAACAAGTCAAACACCCGAGGTGAAATGCAGGTCACTCTGTCTAACCAATATTAAAATGCGGCCACTTTTTAAAAAGCCACTTTAAACGAGATTTGAGGAAAATTGAATTCCAAGGAAGGCAAGGCAAGGCAAGAGAAATCCATGAGAGGACCTTGCCTAAGGTCTCCAAACAAACAAGAGAAATTCATCTTTAATATTTTAAAGGGGGGCAAATTAACATTCCATGATTGCTTTTTTTTTTTGAGACTATAAGCGATTCCAGGAGAAGAAAAAAGGTTGAGTATTTTCTGGTGACACATCCAGGTTATTAAAATCATTTTAGACCAATTCATTACTTTTACTGACAAGAGATTTAAGAAAAAATCAATTAAGATTTGCATATTCTTTTGCATACATTAGCCCTGGCTGCCGGCATTAGAAAGGGACAAACACATACACACACACACACACACACACACACACACACACACACACACACACACACACGAAAAAAATGGGCTATGAGCCTTGATTTAGTTTTGGGTTTTCAAGTTGCCCAAAGGAAAAAAAAATCAAAGTGAAATGAATTGCCTGATTGCATACCATCTAAAATTCAATTTATATGAGTGAAAGGAAACAGAAATGTTGCAATTTTTAATCCCTAAAACAACAACAACAACAACATTCACACACATAAACCCTGCATTTCAAAGAGTAGGGAAAGGAATGACCCTCATTTTCCTTCCCTTTGCCCTCCAAATCCTGAATTGGTTCACCCATTTATTTTTCTCCCTTGGAAAAATCAGAGAGGGGTACGATTTTAATGCAGCAGAGAATCTATGGAGCCGCTGAGCTCTCTCAGCCGGCAGCTTGTTACTGGGGAGGGGAGGAATATGGGTTATCCAACGGTCAGTATGGTAATCCAGGCACAATAAGGCCTCACACACAATGGACACATATTTTTCTTCAGCGATGTCAGAAGGGAAGCGCTTTGTACTGAAACGTGTTTCCGAAAGAGAAACCAAATCGAGATTTAGAAAGGAGATGGGGTGGAGGGGCAATTGCAGAGAGCATTTGGATGCTGGCAAAAGGTAGTCAGAAAAAATAAAAATAAATAAAACTGGGGCAAAGTGAGGTTGAGGACAGGGCAGAGGTGCAGCCCCTGGGCCAGCAAGGCGGGAGGCAGGAGGGTGAAACACAAAAGAAGACAGGACCAGATACAAGGATTCATCACAGATGAGAGCTGCTTTAGTACCCCCACCCCCTCCCAATTAAGCCATTGCTAAGTGCAAAAGCCCTTCCAACGGATTTTATTTCTGTGCTTGTAATAATATCCAGGTGAAAATGTTTGTGTGTATGTGTGTGGTATTTTACCCATGTGACAGGCGACTTCCTTGCTATTAAGCTATAGGAGCCCAAAGAGAGTTGCTGTTGTTGTTTTGTAAATGATGTAGATGAGTGTGGGCACATTTGGGGGAATCTTGGAGATTTCACTTTCTGGATGTGCATGTTGAATTAGCTGCACGAACCTGGAATGAAAACTCTACATATTTATAGCTGCATAAAGAGGCATTTAATATATTAATAAATATTAATAGTGTGCACGCATATATGTTAACCATAATAACCAAAGACAGACTTGACATTCAGTTGGGGGCATCTGAACCCTCTGTGTCTACTACTTATACTGGCCCAAAGTCAGTCTCCTTGACCCCCCTGCAGAAGCTCAGAAACCTGGCGGGGGTGGGATGTGACAGGCAACATATTGGGGAGGACTCCTTAACAAGTACAGGAGGGTGAAGATTGAAGAAAAGAGGGTTAGCGTCAGGGCACGGATGGTAAAAGGTGAGTGTGAGGGCTGAGAGGATGAGAGTCAGGCTCACAGCTCACCTTTCCAGGTGAGGCAGCCGCATCCAGGTACAGGCCTAGAAGGGAGACTGGGAGTGGGGCCGGGAAGGTTTCCTCCCTCTTCATCAACCCTCTCCACATGGCACCAAAGTTTGCTGAGCTTTGGACTTCCCGGTGGAGCCATCTGGGACTACAGTTCAGACTTAGGTACTAGGATTCAGCACTGGTTTCCCTTTGCCCTCTTCCAGCAATTTATAATGAACCCACCCCCACCACCAATGATTAAGACAACCCCACACAACCCAAACCACTATTAACCAAGCAGTAGCCTTCCTCCGCCCCCTCACTCACAGTCTCAACTTCCTCTCCAACCAAACCAGCCTGTCCTCACATGCAGAGAGTTCCGGACAAGAGTGGGCAAGGGTTCTCAGCCAACTCTGAGAATTTGGGAATCTCCATTAGAGGTGTTCAGCCTCTGGGGAACTCCTGTTCCTTCACCTGGCCTGGTTACAGTGGGGATGGGCACTGTCCTCTTGGAGAGAGAGTATTCAGGGACCACCAAGCACCAGCTCCTTGGGAGCTAAGCCCTGGCCCTGCTGAGCCTGGGGTGGGGCTGGGGGCCTAAGCATTGGAGGAGGGAAGGCAACGAGGGCCCAGGCGGGAATCCGCACCCTTTGGGCACGGCTGTGGGTCCAGCTTCCCTCTCATTCCAGCCCTTTGGGGAAGCCCTAATTTGGAAGTGGGGACCCTCTCCAACATCCCAAAGGTGATGAGAAAAGGATTGGAATCTCTTGCCTTCAGTCTCCCTCTCACAAGGGCTTTATTTTTTTTTTCCCTTTCCCCTCCTCATTCCCTTAATTGCAGATGTTCTAATTAAACCCTCAAATAGTTGTTATGCCGTTTTAAAAGGTACTTATTCAAGTGTCAACCAGGCTGGGCTGGGAGGAGGTAGCGTAGGGCGGCGAATTAAAGGTAGATTGACTAATCACGGCGGCGATCATAATAATAAAATCAGAGGGAAAAAAAATCACATTACGACTTTTCGTGGAAAGGAGGGAGCAGGCAGCCAGCGGCCGCCAGCCCTGCGCCGCCGCCGACACAAAGAGTGCGGGCGATTCCGCGAGACTGATTTATGACGTTTTACAGCCCTATAAAAGCTGTAGCGACGAGGCAAGCGCTCCTACCACCGCTGGCAGATTTAGTCTAATAAATAAAACATAAACAGTTAACTTTATGTGTCACTTTTATTGTTATCAAGTAAAATATAGCTGAGCCCTGGCAAGCTATGATTTTAAACTATAATTGTTATCAAGTACAACAAGGGGACCCGGCTCCCTCCCTGGGCTCTCCCCTCCGCTACCCCCCGCAACTCTGAGTTATGGGCGATCAGTTAATTGGAATCGGTGGCATGACAGGACCACCCCTAGCTGGGGGGGGGGGGTGGTGGTTAGGAAAGCAGCTTTTCCTGGCCCCCTCCCTCCTCTACGGCCCTGTCACCCCCCTCCATCAGAGTATTACTGTGAGTGGGTGGCAGAGAGAGAGCAGGGGGTGTGAATGGGCTGGAGACCCCAAAGGCTGGCCGTGCCTCCCCAACTTGGTGAGCTTAGCCTTCCGTTTTTGGAAAGCAGCCTGGAGCTGGCCTTTAGGAATTCGTGTTTACATGTAAACACACGTGTTACATGGATACAGCTCCTAGCCAGAAGCAAGCAGGCTCTACCCACACAGGCCTCCCTCTTAGCTAGGTCTGCCCTCTGTGGGGACAGAGAAAGAACTCTCAGGATCTTGGCTGGGCACCATCACAGGGCACTGACTCCTGGCAGAAAGCTCTCCTCCTTGCCCCAGCTCCTTGGAGATAATTGTCAGAAAATAGCAGGCCGGGCTGAATGGGGAGTGGAAACAGAAGCCAGCAGTAGAAGAGATCCTCTGCTCTGGGGCTGGGGCAGGGAGGGTCAGTGGGTAGCAGGGGAAGGCGAGACTTCTGAACTCTGCTTTTGCCAACCACTTCCTGTCTCTCTTCAGCGGGGGCTCAACCCCCAGACCTCCAGAAATGACGTCAGAATCATTTGCATCCCGCTGCCTCTACCTGCCTGGTCCAGCTGGGACCCTGCCTCGCCGGCCGCATGGCCAGAGGGTTGGGTGAGTGTGTATGGGGAAGAGGGGCTGGACTCTGGTATCCTTGGATGGGGGGCACTCCAGGCTCTCCAGCCTCCTCGGCTCAGCCTGGGCCCCTCCCCATCCAACATCCACTCCAGTCCTCATTCAACTTCCTCTTCCTGCGAAAGAGGGGCGCTGCCCCGTGACCTACACAGACTGAGACACGATCGCCATGAATGGAGACCTCTGGAAAAGCTCAGGAGCCGAGGCCCACGGGGCCCAGCAGAGGCCTGAGGGGAGACCCTGGGCGGGGGCTGAATCACTGCCTCCCGACAGTCCCCCAATGCCCGGGCTTTGGAGGGGAGCCGGGAGCTTCCCATCTCCTTTTGCAGGGGAGGGTTGTCAGTCTGGCGGGATGTGCACTGGGGGCACTCCAACCTCTGCTAGCTAACCCCACATCACCACCCACCCCCGCCTCCCAGCACCACCACCACCACACACACAAAAAAATTGGATACATTTTGAATAAAGCGATTCGGTTCCTTATCCGGGGACTGGGTTGCTCCGTGTGATTGGCCGGAGGAGTCACATGGTGAAAGTAACTTTACAGGGTCGCTAGCTAGTAGGAGGGCTTTATGGAGCAGAAAAACGACAAAGCGAGAAAAATTATTTTCCACTCCAGAAATTAATGATCATGAGCTCGTATTTGATGGACTCTAACTACATCGATCCGAAATTTCCTCCATGCGAAGAATATTCGCAAAATAGCTACATCCCTGAACACAGTCCGGAATATTACGGCCGGACCAGGGAATCGGGATTCCAGCATCACCACCAGGAGCTGTACCCACCACCGCCTCCGCGCCCTAGCTACCCTGAGCGCCAGTATAGCTGCACCAGTCTCCAGGGGCCCGGCAATTCGCGAGGCCACGGGCCGGCCCAGGCGGGCCACCACCACCCCGAGAAATCACAGTCGCTCTGCGAGCCGGCGCCTCTCTCAGGCGCCTCCGCCTCCCCGTCCCCAGCCCCGCCAGCCTGCAGCCAGCCAGCCCCCGACCATCCCTCCAGCGCCGCCAGCAAGCAACCCATAGTCTACCCATGGATGAAAAAAATTCACGTTAGCACGGGTAGGCAACTTTGCTTTTTGCTCCCCCCCTCCCTCCCTTCTTCCCTAGCGCTCCCCACCCTCCTCGGCCCCCTCTGGCCCCCGTCCTCCTTTCTCTCCTTCCCCCTCTCTCTCCAGGAGCGACTCTGGGTTAGCACAATTGAACTGGATTTACGAGCGAGAATGGGTAATTACATCCCCCATAAATTTTATGGCTTAGCTACTCTGGGCAGTCCGAGCCATGTGCTACGATCTGTTATGTATGTGTGAAAACTATGCTCGCTTTCTAAGGGCGCATAAATAATTCAGTGTCGTTACAATGAGGATTCCCCTCTTATTACACTACAAAGTCTTCAGCTTCCTTCAACTTCTTTATAACCCATTTAAGCTTGATGACTTTATTTCCACCACTCCCTCCTCCTGTTTCTCAGAGCTGAGGATGGGGTGAGGGTGGGGGGCGGGGAGCCTGCTGCCTCTGAACCCCACTATTTGCTTTTCCCCTCCCCCCAGTGAACCCCAATTATAACGGAGGGGAACCCAAGCGCTCGAGGACAGCCTATACCCGGCAGCAAGTCCTGGAATTAGAGAAAGAGTTTCATTACAACCGCTACCTGACCCGAAGGAGAAGGATCGAGATCGCCCACTCGCTGTGCCTCTCTGAGAGGCAGATCAAAATCTGGTTCCAAAACCGTCGCATGAAATGGAAGAAGGACCACCGACTCCCCAACACCAAAGTCAGGTCAGCACCCCCGGCCGGCGCTGCGCCCAGCACCCTTTCGGCAGCTACCCCGGGTACTTCTGAAGACCACTCCCAGAGCGCCACGCCGCCGGAGCAGCAACGGGCAGAGGACATTACCAGGTTATAAAACATAACTCACACCCCTGCCCCCACCCCATGCCCCCACCCTCCCCTCACACACAAATTGACTCTTATTTATAGAATTTAATATATATATATATATATATATATATAGGTTCTTTTCTCTCTTCCTCTCACCTTGTCCCTTGTCAGTTCCAAACAGACAAAACAGATAAACAAACAAGCCCCCTGCCCTCCTCTCCCTCCCACTGTTAAGGACCCTTTTAAGCATGTGATGTTGTCTTAGCATGGTACCTGCTGGGTGTTTTTTTTTAAAAGGCCATTTTGGGGGGTTATTTATTTTTTAAGAAAAAAAGCTGCAAAAATTATATATTGCAAGGTGTGATGGTCTGGCTTGGGTGAATTTCAGGGGAAATGAGGAAAAGAAAAAAGGAAAGAAATTTTAAAGCCAATTCTCATCCTTCTCCTCCTCCTCCTTCCCCCCCTCTTTCCTTAGGCCTTTTGCATTGAAAATGCACCAGGGGAGGTTAGTGAGGGGGAAGTCATTTTAAGGAGAACAAAGCTATGAAGTTCTTTTGTATTATTGTTGGGGGGGGGTGTGGGAGGAGAGGGGGCGAAGACAGCAGACAAAGCTAAATGCATCTGGAGAGCCTCTCAGAGCTGTTCAGTTTGAGGAGCCAAAAGAAAATCAAAATGAACTTTCAGTTCAGAGAGGCAGTCTATAGGTAGAATCTCTCCCCACCCCTATCGTGGTTATTGTGTTTTTGGACTGAATTTACTTGATTATTGTAAAACTTGCAATAAAGAATTTTAGTGTCGATGTGAAATGCCCCGTGATCAATAATAAACCAGTGGATGTGAATTAGTTTTACGTCAATGTCTGATGGTTTCTTTTTATTCCCCTCCCTCTCTGGCCTGGTAACATCCCATCTTCTCTATAGTTGCCTAAGTTTACTTTAAACAAACACACAAATCTTAGCTCTCCATTAGTCTTCCAATGTCCTTAGAAGAACAAGCAAGGGGGTTGGGGTATGGGATCTTCAGAAGAGGGGATGTGGAAGATTAAGGCTGATTTCTCCAGTCCCCTTCCTTCCCCCTGAGTCTGCAGAGAGACCAGACTCCTCTGGGGGCACTTCAGTGGAGCTGAGGGTGGGGAGTGTCTCACTTTTCTATAGTTAGGTACAGTTTCTTCTTTTTGTCTTTTCTCTCTCTTCCCTTCTCCCTCCTCTGTGCTGAGTAGGCCTGCCTACTTTGTAGACAAGGGGGCAAGTTTAGGGAGTGGGAAGGAGAATAGTTTTCTTTCATCTTTTAGGGCTCTTTTGGGATGAGGGATTAAGGAAGACATCCCCTCAACATTTGAGTTCTTAAAAGAAGGAAGGTTTTGAGCTGGTGACTCTGAAGCAGCAAAGTCACCTGTCAGGATGCCTTCTCTGTTTGTTTAGGCTTGGAAAAAAGACTGGCCAGAGGCCTGGGAGGTACCCTTGTTATGGATAGGCCTCAAAGGCTGATGCCTGGAGATAATAAAAGACTTTTACCTTTTTATTCTCTAACTTTTATTATGGACCTGCCAGGTGTTGCGAAGAGACTTAGGGAGAGTCAAGGACCACCCTCTCTTCCTATAACCTCCCAGGTCCTGGCAGCGTATGGGGATAGCCTGAACAAGTTTCTCTGGCTGTAAAGAAATAAATTAATTAAATAAATTTGTTTCCTTGGGGCTAAAAAAGAAACAAAAAATCTTGCCTGGATTACCTGAATACATTCAAGCCAAAGGCTCCCAAATAATTCTGGTCCTGAGATCCAGGCCCTAGCAAGGCCTGCTTAATTTTTTGCTTGTTTGTTAGGAGAAGGTGGGAGGAGGGCTGTTGGTGACCTTCTTCTCGGACGATTTATCCATATTTCAGGAAGAAAGGCAATTAGAAGTAGAAGACAGAGGGAGAAGAGATCTAGGGTATGCAGGGAAGCCAGGGATACCCCTTCCCCCTATCCCCAAATTCTGGAGTGAAAGGCAACAGCAGGACTAAGTTGTACAAATCACATTGGTGTGCTTTGAATTTATTTCCTTTTGAACCACTTGCTGGTTGTTACTTGGTGTGTGTGTGTGTGTGTGTGTGTATGCATGCCCTCACACGTGTGTGTGTTGGGGGGAGTCTCTTAGTCCTTTAGGTCTACTTTTCCTCCCTCAGTGGTACCCTGGAGACAACAAAACATGCTGCCTACAGTATGAGGAGGCAGGCCAACAATTATCTGGAGTTTTTTATGTAATCAAGTGAATTAGGGGCCAAATCTGACTGTAGCCCCTATCGTCTTGAGGCGATTGCCCTTGGAACAGAAAAAGGGGGTTCTAGCTGTGCTTAGGAAAAGGGAAGGAAGGTCTAAGGGCACCAGGGTGTCTTTTCAAGCCTGTAAAGGAGCTAAGATGGAAAGCAGGGAAGGGGTAAATTGAGATCCATGGTTCTTTCCTAAGTTTGCTCGCGTGGCTTTCAGGGAGTTTATCCCTCTCCTCCTGAAAGTGGAAGAGATGAGAGTGAGGAGGGGGAAAATTACTACATTTTATTTCCTAAGTTTCTCCCTGAAATTGCAGAAGGGACACTCTAGTTCAGGAAAAGCAGCATAAAAGGGTCAGAACACTTATTTTATTTCCCCTTCTTTATGTCTTCTGTTTCTTCTCCTTCCTCTTCCCTCACATACATGGTCATTCTGCATGTGTCTCCTTCTGTTCTTTCTGGTCTGAAAAGGGGAAACATCAGAAATCCATAATTCTTGACAAATGAACCCAAACTAAAATCCCTTACATTTGAGTTTGAAGATTTTGGCCTCTGGCCTTCCCTCCAGTGGGCTCCATTTTCTCCCCTTTCCCCAAAGCTCTCCTTTGCCTTGGACTTGGCAACCCAGAATGGCATGGCAGGGTTGGGATGTGGGGGGCCAGTCTGGGCCGAGGGCCCCAAGCTCCAGCAGTCTTGGTCCCTGCTGCTCTGCCTGATGCTGCTACAGCCTCGCTGGGAAGCTGAGGGCTGGGCTTTTATTTAAGTTGGGTTGAGCAGTGGGGAAAGGCTGGGGGGAGGACACAGCCCAGGTTCACGGGGAGGACACAGCATTTTCTCTCCCATTGCCTTTATATTCGGCAGCGCCTCTGACCTCTCCCCCACCCCCATCTCTGACCCTCCCAAGCCAGCCCTTGCTCAGCCCTGGTCTCCAGATAGGATGCCACTGCTTTTGTAGGACTGGGGATTTCTTGCCCAGAGTAATGGGAGAGGCAAGGCGCATGAATGCCTGTAAGTGCATTGTATCCCTCTCTCTTCAATGGCTAAGTAAAAAGAAGACGGGTGAAATGTCGACACCAATCTTCCAGGGTTCCTTCTCTCCAAGCGCCAGGAGATCCCCACAGGCCAAAGATCCCATTGACACGTAAGTAGTTAGCACTCGGTCTGCTCTGGGGGTGAGGAGCACAAAAGTTTAAACTCTTATTTGCCACTCAATTTTTGTCTCAACTCCCGGTCTTAGGCAGGGAAGGCGGGAAATCCAATTGTAAGCGGAGGGGTTCTGCTTGGAGAAAAAGACGGTTCTGTGCTGAGTCTGTGTACCTGGGGAGTAAAGAAATTTGGCTCAAAAAAGAGAGAGTCTGAGAAAGTGAGACTGAGGGAAAAGGACTGGGGCACTTTGCCTTTCCGAGGGTCTCTTGCTGCTGTTTGTGTGAAGTTTCCTACAAAGTTTTCTCTGCAATCTGTGCTTCAGTTTTCTTTCTGCTTGGACTTGGCAGATTGAAATCCAGAGACAGCTTCCCACAGCTAGGGGTGTGTGTGTGTGTGTGTGTGTGTGTGTGTGTGTGTGTGTTGGGGGGAGTTGTAGGGAAGTGAAAACAATTAAAAGGTTTGCTGGGAGCTTGGAGCCAGGGTGTCCTTCTCTGCTTTTCTAGGATTAGGGGAGACTGACTCTGAAAGGGGCCCTTAAGATCAAGGGTGCTATGACGGGGAGGAGCAGTGCGCTGGAGCAACTGTACCATCTTTTTCTCTGCCTTTTGCCCAGTCCTGGGGGAGCAAGCTATTGCACTCACAAAACCACCGCTCCGGGTTTTCCACAGCTTCTATCTGGCACTGCACCTATGGAGAGCTAATTTTAATTTAAATGTTCCCCTTCCAAGAGACCCCTCTCAGGCTTGGAATGAGAGATGGAAGATCCCTGAACACCAGAACTCCAGCGGCCACCAGAGCAGAGGGAATATTTATTACCTCTCTGGATGTCATTACCTAAGAATACAATTTTATGAACTTCCTAATCTGTTAGCTTGATTTATCTGGATGGGCAGGAGCCCAAAATAAACATTTGGGGGATTTGTTAAAAAAAAAAAAAGTCTTTGCCTCTTACCAATGTTTTTGATAGAGCTGACCACCCTTCTCAGCCTGCTTTTTCTGCACCCTGCATTGCCAGCCCCATTTTGATTTTTCTCCTGCAGCGTGTGGCTGCTCCGGGTGTTGGAGTTTTAGCTGCCTCTTGATAATTAAAAATGGGGGCAGTGAACTCTGAGCTACAGATCTGTGAGGAGCCCTCGAACATTTTAAAACCTGCGCAGCTCAAGGAGCTCAGACCCCTTTGGAGCTTGGGGAGCAGAAAGAAGCTAAAGCTGATCTGGAGCTTTGCTCATCAGCCCTCCAATGCCAGGAGCCCCTGGCTCTCCCTCCACTCCTCCGGGTTTTTCTTCTCTTCTCTCTGGTGTCAGTTCCGTAGCTCTTTGAACGCAGGGCCAATCCAGCAGAGCCCACATCCAGGCCTGCCGGGATAAGGGCCTCTGCAGCCTCATCTTCCTGCTTCCACTTTCTGCCAGGCCTGGAGGATAAATCAGGAGGAAGGGAAGACAAGGATGGGTAGGGAATATCAGACTATGTTTGAGGGCGATTAGGGTTACAGAGCCTAATAAAGAGGAAGGGACTATTTTAAATTTCCGGGCCCCATCAACAATTTTCAGATTCCTGAATAGGCAGCATCCTCTAGGGTCAGCTCTGCCTGCCTCGATGGGGTATGAGTGAAGCCAAAATAGTGTCGCTTCTACTCACTCCTCCTTTCTGACTCCCTCTTTTCCCAGCATCAAAGATCGGGAGAGGAAAGTATACAGTATTTTAATTTCCAGGCAGAAAAAAACCCTGGAACCGAGTGTGCAGGAGGCACTGCCAGATAGCCAAACCCTAGGTTCCACTCTGGAGCTCTGGCTTCCCGGGAAGCCTGGCCGCGAGAGAATGGGGCAAAATGTGACTGTCTTCATGGGGTGGGGGTGTCCCAGCTCCCCTTCTCACAGAGGCCAGGGTCTTGAGGATCGCGAAATGGGGCCAGCCGGGGCAAAGACGAAGTTTCAAGGGCCAGCGGCAGCCAGGCTCCTCCTCTGGGTTCCACGCCACGTCCGCCCTGGGCGCGGTGTCGCCTTCAGCTGGGTCACGACCCCGGGCTTGGGCGGACAATAGGGGCGCGGGGCGGGGAGCGCGGGATGCGTGGCCAGCTGAGCGGGTTCACTGCGCGGTGAACTCCGCTGGGCCTGAGGGTCTCGCCCTTTAGATCCCAGCCTCTCCTTTCTTCCTCCTATCTCACCTTCCATCTTTTCGTGGAAAATTGAGAGGACCCTCAATCGCTCCTTGACCAATACCCTACGGCTACCACCTCCAAATAATGAGATTTCATTTTCTTTAGAAATTAAAAGATAGTTTTCTCCGAGGTACAAGAGCAGGAAATGGGACCCTCTCAGGATCTTTGTGGGGATGGAGAGGGGAGATCTAGGTATCAGTGGAAGCGTTCTCGACCCGGGACTCAGGAAGGCCCTGAAGGATCCCAGGCCATCAAACCAACAATCCCCTCCATCAGAGGAATTCCAGCCAAGAATGTCCCCTTCTCTCCCAGTTATAGGGAGAATTGCCCTCTTCGGTTTTCTGGCCTTTGTTTCTGGATGTCAGGTTAGGCTTAGGGCTTTTGTAAAAGGGGAAACACTTCTCAAATCCGATGGGCAGGGACAGAGCTGGGCGTGAGTCATTTGGGAGAAATCCTCCAAACTGGTCTGTTCTCGTTGAGGCGATCTCACCCCACCACAGTGATAGCCTGGCTCTTATTTGAGGCTCTGCCCCTTTGGGTGGTATCATTGTGTTTGTAACTTTGTACATGTGGAGTCTTTCCATTCAGCTGGAATAGATTTTGGAAAATAAGGTTACCGAATGGGGCTTGAGTTTTAGCTGGAGGAACCAAAGGGCAGCCAGTTTAGAGAAAGGAAAAAATGGGGGAGGGAGACAAGGAATATTCATAATACACACTTGCTTGGGCCTCCCCACCTCATCCCTATCCTGCCTGACCCAGCTCAGGTGTGATGGGGTGATGTGGGCCTCCCAGCTGGAAACCTCCCCTCAAGGATTCAGTCTTTGATAATTTCAAACCTTCCTGGAATGTGACTGCCTCCAGCTCTGTCTGTCTTTTCTTGGCCATTTCAGAGTCTCTGCCTAGCATTTCTGCTGCTTTCCAAGTTCCATATTTCCTCCTGTCGTGGCCCTGGTTCCAATCCTTGGACTCCCTTCCAACTGTAAAAGCAGAGGAAGAACCAAAAGGTGGTGGGTGGCAGTCTGGGAGGGACAGCTGAGGTTCAAAAGTTCCTGGCTAAGCCTCCAATCTGGGCCACCTCAGGGGCTGATCTGACCACTCCAGAGTGCCCCCTGGGCCAGCAGCAAATAGAACAAAATTTTATAGCCGGGGCAGATGTTGGCTCGGCCATCTCACCCGGATTCCCCTTCATCTCTCTTCCACTGAAGAGGCTCCAATCTCCACTATACCTTTGTTCTCTTTCCTTTCCCCCTCCTCCCCCTCCTCTTCCTCTGTTTGATCCTGCCAACCCCCCAAATTGTTTCTTTAGATCTGAAAGCATCTGTTCCTGTCTGACCCTCCCCCAACACCCTCCTCTTTCTCCCTCCCTCCACCTCAAGCAGTCAAAAAGCCCCCAAATGGAAGGCCTCTGGCCTCTGACCTATTCTGATACACCAACGTCCAGATACCTTTGAGGCCAAACCTTTAGGCCCCTCCCCAGTTACTTTTCTTTCATTCTACCAGCTGGAGAGGGTCCTGGAATTGAATGAGTTGAGTCTTGGCCCCTAGGGACCAGTCTCTTCTCTGCCTGGGACAATTAACCATTTTTCAGGTAAAAGCAAGGAGTCCAAGGTTGAAGGGTTTGGTGATGAACTATTTAGATAACTACCCCAGTCCTCTGTTGGGCTTTTGGGGGCTCTAGATTTTGAACATATCCATATTCTGACCATAGACAGATGTCCTTTTCTAACCTCTACCTGGCCATTTCTTTTATCACCCTTTCTGACCCTTCCCTTAATTGCAAAGTCATTTTCTGAGCAATAAGAAAGCCCCTCCAATCCCTCCCAGAATTCACTAATCTAAACTAGGAAGATCAAGGCAGTTTCCATACTGTGCACATTGGAGGGCCTCTTTTCTCTGTTTTTCAAAAAATAAAAAAGAAACAAAAAAATTACTCCCTCACATCCTCTTTCCCCCCACTCATACCCGTAGAATATATAGAGAGTGTTGTAAACCCAATTGAGGTAGACAGTCGCCTGTCTTTTCCCCTTTTTAGTCAATCCACTTGGGTCCAAGTTCAGATAATTCAGGCCCAAGGACTTTGAACTCTGCTTGGTTGACCTGTCTCTAGCAAAAACCCACTTTATATCTCCAGGGCACCAGACTGGAATAATCCCAAGGTCCTTGTCCTGGTGCCCACAGTTGAAAACTGGTAGAAAAGAGTAAACCTTCCTCATTCCCTTCCCTCCAGCTCCATCCTGAAATCCAGCCACTGCCTGGGATCCTGCCTCCTCTTCTATCCTGGAAGAGTAGCAGTTGGCCAAGAGCCCCAGATTCATGCTCCCAGTGGCTTTGCCACCCAGTTTCCATGATGTTGAGAGGCAAACTACCTACCTACCACTCCCTACTCTCTCTCTCTCTCTCTCTCTCACACACACACACACACACACACACACACACACACTGGTTGGGCAGACCTGGACCAGCCCAGGATGTTGTTCTTGTCTGGGGGAACCTTACCTAAGGAGGATACAGGAGGTAAGAGCCTGAATTTTGTGATAGCATCTTTGCTAATTAGTCGGGAGAGAAGACTGGATTGAATCCTTCTCTCCAGTCTATAATTTCACACAGACCTTTCTGTACACATTTACCTAGAGACATATCCTCAAAACATACGTGACACATACATTCAAGGATCTTAACATACTTATTTTTTATTTTTTCTGTTCACATGTGCATGGGTAGGTGACTTTGCTGAAAGTGATGGTGAGAGAGAGAGAGAGAGAGAGTGTGTGTGTGTGTGTGTGTGTGTGTGTGTGTAGAGGTGATGAATGACAGAGAATGACATCCCAACCAGCGCATCTATGAAGTGGGTTCTTTGACTTACCACTGATGTCACTGGTGCCGGAGGTTTTTGCTGTCCCCTTTTGCCCTTAAACTGCTCTAAAAGGCCTGCTTCTTTGCTGAGACCATGTGGTCTAAGGTCTCACTCTTGATCCCATAATTTGGCTCCTTAGGCCTGGGGTGGCTAAAAAGGAATGAGGCAAGAGTCAGAAGACTCTCTAGAAGATCAGATCTCTCACTTAATCTCTAGAAGATCAGATATCTCACTTAACCCTCTCACTTCTGTGTCAAGGTTAATCAAAACCACAAACATTTGTTTAACACTCCAATCTATCCTATTTTGCCCATAGGTAGGACCTAGAAAACAACCACTCCACAATAGCAGCAACTGCCAAATAACTATCTCCTAGGGTTGTTAATTGCCTTACAGTGGTATTAGAGGATTAAATGGATTAATGCATGATGAGCACTTAGATTCTTGCTTGGAATAGAATAAGCTTTCGGTGAGTGCAATCTGTTATTATTAGTAACATCATCAGGCATTTTCTTACGTGCTTGCTATATACCAGGCACTGGACTAGATTCATTGTCTCATTCAAGCCTTATAATAGCACTGTAAGGAAGTTATTATATTCCTATTTGACACAAAAGGAAGCTGAGTGAGCCTCGGGAGGATACGGATGTGTTCCACTGGCAGAGCCCAGACTCCAGTCAGATTTGCCTGGCCCCAGAGTGGGTGTTCTGAACCACTCCAATTCTTTGCTCATGATAGGCAAGGAGCACTGGTGAGAGTATGGGGGTCGTGTCAGCCGAGGGCAAGCAGGACCTAGATTAGCTTGGGCTTTGCTACCTTGCTTGATCTCACCTAGGCAGATTCTTGTTCTCATCAACACCAGGCTCCAACCCAGTGGTTCTCAAACTTTTTGGTCTCAGGACCCCTTTACACTTTTAAAAATTATTGGAGTTTCAGGCCAGGCACGGTGGCTCATGCCTGTAATCCCAGCAATTTGGGAGGCCGAAGAAGCGGGTGGATCACGAGGTCAAGAGATCGAGACCATCCTGGCCAACATGGTGAAACCCTGTCTCTACTAAAACTACAAAAAATTAACCAGGCGTGGTGGCAGGAGACTGTAATCCCAGCTACTTGGGAGGCTGAAGCAGGAGAATCGCTTGAACCCGGGAGGCGGAGGTTGCAATCAGCCGAGAGCACGCCATTGCACTCCAGCCTGGGCAAAAAGAGTGAAACTCCGTCTCAAAAAAAAAAAAAATTATTAGAGTTTCAAGGAGCTTTTGTTTATTTCCATGGGTTACACCTATCAATATCTACCTTATTAAAAATTAAAACTAAAAGCATTTTTAAATTGTTTAAAAAGTAATAAATATTATATGTTAAAATAACTTTTATGACAAAACTATATTTTCCCAAACAAAACAATTTAGTGTGAAGAATGTCATTATTTCACATTTTTGCATCTCTTTAATGTCTAGCTTAATAGAAGACAGATTCTCATATCTGTTTCTGCATGTAGTTTATTTTGATAAGCTGTTTTGATTGAAGTATCTGAAGTACATAGCCTCATATGCAGACATATAATCGAAGCAGGAAGGACCTGCAGAGCTCCTCAAAGGGTCTCTGGGACCCCCAGGGATCCTTAGACTACAGTTTAAGAACCACTGAGCTAACCAACTGTGATAACCAGCAGAAGCCACTATAATAATATTACTGGACACCCTTTTAGCTCTTTAGTGGTGCTTCTGACTACAAAACCCATCAACATTTCACTATTTCATGCTGTATTTGAATTGTGTTATCTTAGGTAAGTTACTCAATTTTTCTACCTCATAGATAGATAGAAGATAGATAGATATAGATAGACTTGCTATGTGTGTCATATGTGCATTATTCATTATTGTTTAGCTTGAATATATAGAGTAAAATATAAATTTATAGATAAAATAGCTTTCACATGTTTAGCATTGTTTGAGGTGGGCAGCTTGACTATTAATATCAATCTTTTCTTTTCAGAAGGGGAAACTGAGCCAAAGAGGGTTGATGTGACTTGCTGAGGATGACACAATCAGCAACTGGTGGGCAGTAGGGCAGAACTCCTGTCCTTTGACTCCTAGACCTATGCTCACCCTCTCAGAATCCCTCTCTATACAGACATGGCTGCAAAACATGCCTGTGGAGGGTGGATGTGTGCCAGGCACAAACCATTTATGAAGTATATATAATGTTTGCATTTATCTGAAGATATTTATATCTGAGAGAAAAAATATCTTGTATTCCTGCATGCAAAGTTACAGCTTTGCTTGGTACAAGGCATCAGCCTGCCAGTGTTTCTCCTTCCTCATCAAATTATCCATGTGTCTGTAGTTCTGGGCTGGATATATCCACTGTTAGGGATACTCCTTCCTTCCAGGTCTCCTGCTGGTACATTCCCACTGAGAGCAGGTAGATAGCCCAGCTTGTCACATGAGCACACAGAACAGGCACACCTGAGGGTAGCAGTCTCATCCCCTTCTTTTTCTTTTTCCTATACATCATTTCTAACATACCTTTTCAAAAATTAGTGGTCTACAGGTGTACAACCAAGGGAAGCATCGTTGTATGAGCTGAGGTGTAGATGTGTCTCTGCAGATGCAAATGCAGAACTTTGGGTGCCCATATACCTGTCTAGGTAAGCCCCGTGTAAATGTATGAGCAACTGGGGTCTCAATTCTTTCATTAATCTGATAGGTATTTATTCACAAATTCTATATTTTATGGCTGTATGAGGCTCATGTTTATGCAGGATCCTGTGAGAAAAAGCCTCGGTGGGAAGTCAGTCTGTCTGAATTCTAGCCAAGCTTTCTGCTCCTAGCTGCCTGAAGCAAATCATTTACCCAGTGAGAGCCTCCACTTCCTCATCCACATAATGGGGGGAAATAATGATAGTCTCAGCTACATCTCGGGATGAGGAGTCTGGTGGGGAAATAGTAGGAGATGTCTGAGTATGATTCTTTTTCTCTCTTTTCTTTCTGTCTTTCTTTCTTTCTCTCTTTCCTTTCTTTCTTTTCTCTCTCTCTCTCTTTCTTTCTTTCTTTTTTCTTTCCTTCTTTCTGTTTTTTTTTTAGATTTGGGGGTGGAGTCTCACTATATTGCCCAGGCTGGCCTTAAACTCCTGGGCTCAAGCAATCTTTTCTCCTCAGTCTCCTGAGTAGCTGGGACTACAGGCACTATGCCCAGCTTTAGGATTCTTTTCTTTTATGGAAAAGTCCAAACAAAATAGTAGAGAGAATAATATAATCAAACACTAGTAATATAATCATCATTTCACTTCAACAATGATCAGCCTACAGCCAGTCTAATTTCATCTATTCCCTACCCAACAGTACCTCTTACATTTTGGAGCAAATTCCAGACATAAAATTTCTTTTTTTTTTTTTTTTTTTTTTTTTTTGAGACGGAGTCTCGCTCTGTCGCCCAGGCTGGAGTGCAGTGGCGCGATCTCGGCTCACTGCAAGCTCCGCCTCCCGGGTTCACGCCATTCTCCTGCCTCAGCCTCCCGAGTAGCTGGGACTACAGGCACCCGCTACCACGCCCGGCTAATTTTTTGTATTTTTAGTAGAGACGGGGTTTCACCGTGTTAGCCAGGATGGTCTCGATCTCCTGACCTCGTGATCCGCCCGCCTCGGCCTCCCAAAGTGCTGGGATTACAGGCGTGAGCCACCGCGCCCGGCCAAAATTTCTTACGTAGTAAACATTTCAGTGAATACCTTTAAAAGTTAAAGTTTATTAATAACATAACCACAATATGATTATAATACCTACCTAAAATTTCTTAGCAAAACTCTTCAGATTTTTTTTTTTTTTTTTTTTTTTTTTGAGACGGAGTCTCACTCTGTCGCCCAGGCTGGAGTGCCGTGGGTTCAACCTATTCTCCTGCCTCAGCCTCCCTAGTTTTTAAAAAGTAAAAAAGATCTAAGAAATGTTAAGCGGAGGTCGGGCTCAGTGGCTCACGCCTGTAATCCTAGCACTTTGGGAGGCCGAGGCAGGTGGATCACGGATCACGAGGTCAGGAGATCCAGACCATCCTGGCTAACACGGTGAAACCCTGTCTCTACTAAAAATACAAAAAAATTAGCCGGCCATGGTGGCGGGCGCCTGTAGTCCCAGCTACTCAGGAGGCTGAGGCAGGAAAATGGCGTGAACCCAGGAGGCGGAGCTTGCAGTGAGCCAAGATCAGGCCACTGCACTCCAGACTGGGCGACAGAGCAAGACTCGGTCTCAAAAAAAGAAAAAAAAGAGAAAAAGAAATGTTAAGTGGCTAACTCCCCTCTGTCTCATGCTCAGGGCTGATGAATGTCAATAATAGAAAATGAGAATGGGGAGAAAAAGATGAACTTTCCTTTTTTATTTTTATCTTAAAATCCCAGGCCACCCCCAGCTCCTCCCCTCTACTCATTAGGTCCATTACAAATGGGCTGAGAGGGGACCCTGGAGGTCTAATGTGGTGGAGGCAGCCAGAAGGCATCCTCGGAAGACACTGCAGACCTCATATTGGATGAAAATCAGAGTGAACCAGAAGGAATCTGAGCTGAGGGCCTGCCAAGCCATTCTCCAGCATCAGATTTCTTCCTCGGCTCGCCAGGCATTTGAAAGATGTCTGAAGTCTCTTTGGAGTTACTGATCTCCAAAGACATGCAGATACATGTAATAGCATATAGAAACCCAAAAGGAGATTGCACAGAGACACAAGTAAACCCATCTGCCCATATACCAGCTATGTACAAACATATGCAAACACTCAGAGGCAGATGCAAATATACACATACAAATCAGCAAACTCAGGCATGCAGGAAAACAGAGATACAAACCCAAACACTCAAACATATATAAACATGCAGGGATACAAACATGCAGGTTCTGGAACCAAATAGAAAAGCCCAGAAGTGTGAAAATACACTTTGAGACATTTTTACTACTGACCAGTTAACATGGCCAAGCTCCAAGTCTGGCTGACTCTTTCCCTCACATACCATCAAATAGGCCAAATATTGACAAAACTACAACCTGAGTCACATTCACAAAAATGTGTACCTGGGATAAGTCATCCCAAGGCCTTTCCCCTGCCCTTGTCAGCACAAGTTCTCTATCATTAGTGCTTTGTCTCCCCAAAAGGCAGGAATAAGAGTGGTGTGGTGTGGTACCATGTATGTGTGTGCATGTATCCATATGAAGACACATTTCTTCATTCTGCCAAGTCAACTTGTCGAAAAGGGGAAAGAACACTAGCCATGCACAGACCTCAAGTCACTGCAGGCTGATGAGGGAACATTGCTTTGCTTACCCTGTGCTACAGCTGTAGGTTGAACTGATTTTTCCCCAAATCGATTGGCCCACATGGGTGTTTTGGCATCTTCTAGACATAACCTGGGGGTGCTTTCTCTGGGCCCGAGAGAGGCTGCGCCAATTGTCTGGGGTTGATTCTTCTGAGTGAACTTACCAATCAATTAAAAGAATAAAGGTGATGGAACTGGCTGGATCAGGTTGTTGGCTAGGCATTACATGGCCATGGAGTGATACTGAGTCAAAAAGGATGGGCAGAATCCAACAGTTTTAAAACAAGATCCATCAATAGATGGAGATAAACCAGTGGGGCTATTTAGCACTGTGCTCAGGAAAACCAGTCAACTGACTAAACTGTTCTCATTTCAACCAATTTTTGTGAGATGCAGCAGAAGCAACAGCATCTGAGAGTCAAGGGACCCAAGTGTGTTTGCATTGAAAGCTGGATCTACACTGGCATTTAGGGTAAGGGAAGGGTTGTGCAAATGACTGTAGATTCGGAAGGATAAAATGTGAGTATTTATCAGGAACTTAAAACTATTATCATTGGCAAGAAAGTAAAAGTTGTATAGTGAATTGAGGCTTTTTCTTTGTATGGAATCACAGAATGTTAGATATTGAAGGGACCTTAGAGTTCATGTGGAAACTGAGGCTTGGAGAGTTTTAAATGACTTGTCCAAGGTCACACAGCGAGTAAATGGCTGAGACACATTTAGACACCATATTAGTTTGCTTGGACTGCCATAACAAGAACCACAGCATGGACAGCTTAAACAACAGAAATTTATTTTCTCATAGTTCTGGAGGCTAGAAGTCCAAGATCAAGGTGTTAGCAGAGTTGGTTTCTTCTGAGGCCTCTCTCCTTGGCTTGTAGATGTCTGTTGTCTCCCTCTGCTTTGTCTGTGTCCTAATCTCTTTTTTTTTTTTTTTGAAATGGATTTTCACTCTTGTTGCCCTGGCTGGAGTGCAATGGCACGATCTCAGCTCACTGCAACCTCCACCTCCCAGGTTCAAGAGATTCTCCTGCCTCAGCCTCCCAAGTAGCTGAGATTACAGGCGCAAGCCACCATGCCTGGCTAATTTTTGTATTTTTAGTAGAGACACGGTTTCACCATGTTGGTCAGGCTGGTCTCGAACTCCTGACCTCAGGTGATCCGCCCACCTCGGCCTCCCAAAGTGCTGGGATTACAGGCATGAGCCATCGCACCTGGCCTGCTGATCTCTTCTTATAAGGACAGTAGTTATATTTAATTAGAGCCTACCCATATAATCTTGCCTTAACTTAATTACCTCTTTAAAGGGCCTATCTCCAAATACAGTCACATTCTGAGTTACTGAGGGTTAGGACTTCAAGAAATGGAACTTGCGGAGACACAATTCAGCCCTTAACTGACACCATGACTCTGGATTCCTAGTCCGCTGCCATTGTGCCCATGTCAGACTAAGTCATCTGGTGGATCCTATTCTTAAGTTGGCTCAATTTTGTTATGTTTCTTAGGGATGGGGAAGCTGTTTAGAGCCAACGTGAAATTGAAAACTGTTTCCTGGAGCCAAGGCCCATTGGGAAACTGAGTGAGCATGGGCTGGGGAATCCGGGATTAGGCTGACCACCAAACACTGGGAAATGGAAGTTTCTAACCAGAATCTTGGAACTGGAAAGAACTCAGTGAGGTTAACTTAGCCATCTCAGATGGAGGAGAACTTACCTGGTATGTTCAGAGAACACAACTGTCTGAGAGCTCTCATCACTGATATATTCTTTCTTATGTGTATTCAGATTCTTCAGGCCAAGCTCAAACCCCTATCCCTTGCCTCCAGTCCTCAGCGTTGGACAGTAAGATAAAACTCATCCAATAAGAGAGGTTTTCTCCCTTGAAGCTTGAAGAAGCCTTGACAAGATCTTAAGGAAATTTTTTTATTCAAGAGAGCCTCTTTCTCTCCTCATCTGAGGCTGGAGGTGGGGAATTTAGAGGCAAAAACTTCCCTTACCCCGTTGTTGTCTGTCCTAAGACCTTCAGCCCCTTATCTGGGCCCTGGCCAGCTCTAGAAAATGGATTAAGGTGAGTTGATATGTAATGTGGTACAGAAGCAGGGAGAGGGGAGAAGCCCTCTAATATCGCAGAGATCACAGATGGCTCCAGTGGGATTATGGGGCATGGTGTATGATGAGGCTTGTGCCAAAAAGTGGCCACAACCAGGAAGAAGGGTCCATCTTATTATGATGGTTGGTGACTCTCCCTGCCATGGAGAGCAAGCTTGGATTCTGGGGTTTGGAGGGAGCAACTCCAAAAATATCCAGCTGAAACACACAGAGCCAGAGTCAGCATGGTGCTGGGACTAGTACTGGTTCAGGGATCAGAACACCTGGGTTCTGATCTCTGTCTGAGCCTCAGTTTCTCTTCCTTCACAATGAAGTGGTTTGATTAGGTTATCACTAAGATCCTTCCAGCTCTGAGACTCTAAGCAAAAACTGAAGGATGCTGGGGGGCAGGGAGAAGGAATACTCTTTGTAGCAAATCAGATGATGGACTATGTGTCTCTGTGAACCAAACCAGGCACAGAAAACTCTCCATCTTCATTCCAGAGTTGGTGGGGGGTGGGGGAGTAGGGGGTGTTAGCTGTGGTGTCTCCTTATTTGACAACTCAACCTTTTCCACAGAGCCCCTGCAGACACACTATGGGGAGCTGTTTCCCTTAAGGACCCTGCCCCTGAGGGAAGAGAGGCAGAAACAAGATGGGGCAGGAAGTTGGAAAGGGTGTCTGCATGATGCCAATAGCCAGGTGAAAACAGAGAAATCAGCCCACTATCTGCTTAGTTTCAAATAGAATAAAGGGATCCAATTTTGTAGCTTTCATCTGATGTAATGGATAATGAGATGCAGGATCAGCCTTTTGCAGTGATTCAGTTTAAAGCCCCTGGGAAGGATCTGTTTCCCCCTCCCCAATTATCCTGCCACAAAAAAGCCTTAAGTTCCACCATTAAAGCACATGGTGTTAAGTACAGTCCTCTGCAGATCACATCCTTTAAAATACAAAAGCACCACTGGGATACTTCATCAAACAAGGATAGAATCAGAAAAGTAGTGCTTAGGGGGTATGCTTAGGGAGATGAGGGGCCCTGAAGATTAATCTCTAGATACTTCTCAGTTTCACATTGCCTGATCCTTGTGGGAAAGCTAGATTCTGCCTGAGGAAGTGGGAACTCAGGGACTCCCCTAGAAACCAGATGCCTGCAATTATGAGTATATTTCTAGTCCTGGGAAATGGGTGGACTCTAAGTGGTGAGGGTAGTTATCACACCAAAAAATCACAGAGGCTGCCAGTAAAACTTAAATCAGGGGGATGGAAATTCTGATAATATACGTGCATTTGGGTCAGCCACTATAGAAACCAGTGTAGAAGTACTTCATGGGGCCCCCTGTATGTCCAGAGGATATAAAACTATTCCAGAGGGGGAAAAATCCCTTCCATTTCTATGATTATCTACTGTATATCTAACCCATAAGGCATGGTTTGAAAGTATTAAAACCTAGCAGATAGGGAAACACACAGCCAGGGTTCAGATCTAGTGATGTGACCTTGGGTGGGTGACTTAACCTTTCTGAGAATAGATTTCCTCATCAAATTCAGTATAAAGCAACTGGCATATAGTAATCTTCTAGAAATGGAAACTATTATAGTTATGAGTACTGAGGGAGCTTCAGGACACTATTCATGAATTGGCACTAAGCCATGGAATGAATGGTCACCATAGTCAGAGCAAATCAGAGGTCCAGACCCTGATAAATTCATGCATAATCTTTTTCTTTTTTCTTTCTTTCTTTTTTTTTTTTTTTTTTTTGAGACGGAGTCTTGCTCTGTTGCCCAGGCTGGAGTGCAGTGGCACAATCTCGGCTCACTGCAAGCTCTGCCTCCTGGGTTCACACCATTCTCCTGCCTCAGTCTCCTGAGTACCTGGGACTACAGGCACCTGCCACCACGCCCAGTAAACTTTTTGTATTTTTAGTAGAAATGGGGTTTCACCGTGTTAGCCAGGATGGTCTTGATCTCCTGACTTCGTGATCCGCCTGCCTCAGCCTCCCAGCGTGCTGGGATTACAGGCATGAGCCACTGCGCCCGGCGCATAATCTTTTTCTTACCTGAGTGAATCTTGTTTTTTCCCAACTTAATCTTATCTTTCAGGATCTGCCAATAAAAGAAGCAGAAAGAGTCCTGTACCCCTCCATGCAGCCTGGAAATTTTAGGTTTGGGCCAAAGTTGGCCTTACCCACAGACAGGATGGGTGGCTGCCTTCATGACAGGATTTAAGAAAAATCATAAACCATCCTCACCCAAATTTGTATTATGCCACCTGCCACATGGGTCTAAAATTCCATTATTATAGATATTTCCCCCGATCTGGGCAGTGGCTTCTGAAGACCCCTACGAAAAACACACAGTTGCCTGGGAGAATGTGCATGTCAACACATTGGTGAAAGTTTCCTAACCTGCAATCTAGCTTCTTCTTCAATAAAGAAGAATGGTCTGGAACTCAGGACAAGTAAATTTTGATAGGACTGGGGTTCTTAAAGGGCCAGAGCACAGGCCTCTTCCTTTCAGGAGGTACACATAGAATGTATGGACAGCAGAAAGACACCAAATGGGCGTGGGACCTACTAAGAATGTCCACTGGGCCATCTGTGATTTAGGGAGCTGAGACAATGAGACAATTCTAACTTTCAGTTCACCTTGATATTGACTCTACCTAGGTCTTGTACCTTCCAGCACAGACTTGCATCCTCCCAAGAGCAATGATGTACTTGGGCAAGAGGTAGAGAGGCGATACTAGTGTCTGAGTAGTCTGAGCAGCGACATCCAGGTCTCAGTGACTGAGACCAAGCAGCTCTGTCTCTGACCAACACAATCATGACAGCAGCTAAAGGTCTCCACTCTGGGTTGGGGTCAAGGAAATGAGCAACTAAGAGTGTGCTCTGCAGATCACTGGGACTCTAGAGGGTCTTTTAGTTGGTCCAAAAGTCCACCCAGAATCCGTCGTCCAAACACACGTGACTGGTTTGTGTTTTGTTTTTTGTTTTGTTTTGTTTTTGAGATAGTCTTGCTCTGTCGCCCAGGCTAGAGTGCAGTGGCGCAATCTTGCCTCACTGCAACCTCTGCCTCCCAGGTTCAAGCAATTCTCCTGCCTCAGCCTCCCTAGTAGCTGGGATTACAGGCACCTGCCACCGCGCCCAGCTAATTTTTGTATTTTTAGTAGAAATGGGGTTTCACCATCTTGGCCAGGCTGGTGTCGAACTCCTGACATCATGATCCACCTGCCTCGGCCTCCCAAAGTGCTGGGATTACAGGCGTGAGCCACCACGCCTGGCCTGGTTTGTGTTTTAATTGTAATCTCTGAGGAGATATAAATATATATTTGAAAGAGCAAAGAAATTAATATTTGAAAAAGTATAACTATTGTCATGGTTATTTACTAAGGAAAAAATGTGTGTGTGAATATTGAATATGTATGTATGTGTGTAAACACACACACGTATTCTTCCCTCCCTCCCTCCTTTCCTTCCTTCCTTTCTTTCCATTGACAAAAGAGGCCAATGAGATATGCGACAACTGGCATCTCTGCAATCTGACCAGAACAGCCTGAAGGCCACCAGAGTGGATGTTACATCTGCAGGACTGGCCGCTTTCCTACCAATGTTTTTCAACTCGGATGTTTTGGCATCATGGCAGCACACATCCTCTCTCTAATCCAGTCTGCACCTAAACCCTGTGTAGGCAGTTTCTGCCGTAAAAAGAGCAGCCCGATAAGTGAGAACTTGGTTCCTCCTACATTACCCTAAATATTGCTGTGATATCAGGGAAATAATATTAATACTTACAACAACTACAACCAAGTTGTAGGGCCTCAACTACTCCCCTCCCCAAACTTTCCTCCTCTGAATTATGAGAAAACTTCTTTAAGAAGGTTGGAAGGCCGGGCGCGGTGGCTCACGCCTGTAGTCCCAGCACTTTGGGAGGCCAAGGCGGGCGGATCACGAGGTCAGGAGATCGAGACCATCCTGGCTAACACGATGAAACCCTGTCTTTACTAAAAATACAAAAAATTAGCCGGGCGTGGTGGCAGGTGCCTGTAGTCCCAGGTACTCAGGAGGCTGAGGCAGGAGAATGGCGTGAACCCGGGAGGCGGAGCTTGCAGTGAGCTGAGATCACACCACTGCACTCCAGCCTGGGCGACAGAGTGAGACTCCATCTCAGAAAAAAAAAAAAAAAAAAAAAAAAAAAAAAAAAAAAAAAAGCAGGTTGGAAGAACTGGGAATGAGAGAGGAGAATTGGGAATGGGGGAGAATGTGTTAAGCAGGTGTAAAACATAGGAAGAGGGTCTGTAAACGCTCCATCTCTGAGAGGGGGGCTTTGTGGACGGGAGGAGAAGGAACTAAAGGGTGGTAATTAGCTTATTATTGTTTCCCTTGGGTGTTGTGAGAATTCCTTAGGAGACACTTGTAAAAAAGCAGAGGGAAGACAGTAAATACACATCTAATGATATGCTAAATAAATTATTATTGTTATTATTATGACTATAATAGCAATTGTAACTTGCTTCCTGCTCGAATTTCCACTAAAGATGGGAACTGACCCCCTTACTGCCAGGCCTCCACAGCTGTCAATAACCCCCAGCCCCCGCCTCCCCAGGAATCAGTCGAGTAATTGGGCAATATAGACTAGGCTTCAGTTAACAGCCGTTCTTCTGGTGTCTGCAGGAGAACCAAACAGGAGCTCAACATAAGCAGCAAGGCCTCTGCCAGGTACCTGCTCTAGCAAAGAAAAGAAGAAAAGGAACCTTGCCGAGAATCGTGGGGGTTATATTTAGGGAATAACTTCTTGATTTCCAAGCAAGAGAACTCAGGGAGGGCAAAAACTGAGGCAGGCATTTAGGGAGGGGGCGGGTCACAGAAACAAAGGGGAAATATACAAATTAGGGATACTCAGTCTAGAGATCATAGGCTTCTAGGACTCCTGCAACTATCAAGGGCACTTCCAGAATTTTGCTAGGAAGTGAGCCAATTGTTTTTGTCAGCTTCTCAAAGGGGTCTGGGACCCAGGAACAGCTAAGAGCCATTCCAGCCCAGGTAAAAGGGACCCAGGACTCTTTGGGGTTAATAATAGTGGCCAGTGTCTATTGGTTTCCTGCCTTTTGGCTAAGGACAAACCAATAGACACTGGCCACTACTGTAACCTGCTGTTTACAGCAACTGTCAGCAATCCCCCCCTCAACCCCCCTACTTCTAGCCAGAGCCCAGGCACCTGCCTTGAGCCCTTCTTAGGCAAATATATGTAAATGTAGGACCCTCAGTTCTCCCTCCCTGAATTTCTTTAGGGAAAGCAACAACCATCCCTGTAAGCCATAGGTATTCATGGGGAGGAAGGAGAGGGCTAGTTGTCTGAGAGGGAAACTGCCAAAGGCTGCAGACTAGGAAATGGGATTCCAGGTTTAAGATAGCTCCTTTCTGGACCTCAGTCCTTCACCTAGTCACCTAGTCACAGGGTGGATTGTCTCTAAGGATACTTAGGGGAAAAGGAACCAAATTCGGGAGGGTCCTCCTTGCTTTAAGCCTTGATGGGAGAGGGGGAGGCCAACCCTTCTCTGCAGACTGGGATCCTCACCAGACAGAGGAGCTCCAAACCTGCCCATCTCATCCCATGCACCGACGGTGCCTGGCCTGGCTCCAAACTCCCAAAAGGAACTATTTTACAGGGACCAAAAAGGGGACACTGGTGATAATAATAATAAAAAAAAAAATGAAACAATCTGATTGCGGCATTACTGGATCAGAAAATGTGTGACCTTTTTAAAGTTAAATTGTTAAAAATTTTTAACTATTAAACATTTTAAATATTAAGCCTGATCTGTTTGGTAGCCCTGGAGCAGGGCTGAGGCATAGAGAGAAACCTTTCCTTCAGCCAGGTTGTCTGTCTCGCACTGATTTATTTTTGTTTTATTTGTGGATTTCTTAATGGACCCAATGGTGGTTCCTCTTTGCACCCCTCGGATTGACAGGCAATTCCTTCCTAGCCCAGGTCTCAGCTCTGGTTTAGTTTTCATAACTTGGGGGTCCAGGGAGCCAGGAGACTGGAGATAGAAAGCAGAAGTGCACTGGGGTGGTGGGTCTGCCTTGGCTTACCCCCAAATTTCCAGATTCCAGGTGCCTTGCTCCAGTACCCGCCCCATCCTAGGCTCAGGATGCTCTCCCACCCTACTAACCACCGGTCCGGTCAAAGCCCAAGCTGCTGCCAGCCGCCATGTTATCTCCCAGCCTGGCTAGGGTGCCTGCTAGCCTGCAGTGGCTATGGTGGTGTGCAGAGGGAGGGTGAGTTTTTATATTGACTGCCATTCCGTTTACCTCAAGAAGTATGTTTGGGCAACCATTCTGTGCCAGACAGCAGACAGAGTCCCTGCACTGCAGGAATTCCTAGTCCCGTGGGCAGGGGTGTGTGGAGGGTGGCACATGGTGGTTAGCCTGGTCCAAGGGTCTCCACTCCCTTCCTAGCATCCTAGAGATCCTGGAGGCCAGGTTGGCCACGGAGACTGAGTTCAGGATAATTCCTTCACACATTCAACGAAGTTATCTGTAACTCCCTGTTTAAAAACAACAACAACAACAACAACAAAAAACCACAAAAACTGGCAGTCGTGGGAGGTATTTCCCCACTGGGCTGGTTGGCAGCAGGGGAAGAATTGGGGACCCCTGGCCCAGCGGTGCCTGGAAGGAGGCTGATGTAAGAGTGGTGTAGCTGTGAGTGGGAGAAGTGAGATCTAGTGGGGTAAGTCCACGTTCCCTGTTCCTAAACTCAAATTCTCCCTGAAAAGACCCAGGGCAGCACTGTTAGGGAGCTGAAGGAGTCCCTCTGTGCCCAGAGGGAATTAGGCCACTCAGGCCTCAGAGAAGGAGGGCGGGTGGTGAGGACAACCTCCCCAAGCCCCCATCAGAGCAGGCCCAATACTTGCAAATTCACTCCTCAGTCCACTAGATTCTGGTCCCATCCTACATCCCCGCCAAGGCACAGGAGGCCCAGATAAAAACAAGCTTTATTTGGCCAAATTAACTCACTTTCCTGGATTACCTCACTTATCGGAAAGTGAAAGTACACCCCACGCTCCTCGCCCTGTCCCTGCCTAAACCTCTTTATCTCTGAAGCCCACTCTTTGAGACCTAAAAATTAGGGTTCAACAGAAACGCTCTAGGACTACAGGAGGGACACGACAGTCCCTATCCTACAGCGCACTAAAAGCCAAACTGAAGGCTGCTTCCTCGGTGGAGAGTGTCTCAGGGTGAGGTGGTGGGACTGTTCGCCGCTTCCCATTTTACAAGCTCCTTGTCCACAGCCGTCTGCGCCAGCCCCTCACAAAACCGGTTCTCGCCTTCTGGTGGGTGCTGGTGTTTACCCCTTTCCTCCCACTATCTGTTCAAACCCAGCCCACCCACCCTCCATTCACCTCCCCTCCTTAAGGCTCCCTGAGCTCTATTTACCCTTTTGTAACTCCATCCCTCCATAAGTACACAACTCTCCTAGCTGGTTTCCTAGAGGGCAGATACAGTGTTTCCAGTTGGCCCTCTGCAGATATCTGTGAACAAGTCTCTCCCATCCCCTACATATAAAGATGTCTGTTCTAGACAAACGGGCCTAAGTCCCAACGTAAAAACATCACAAGATAATTACACCTTATATACATACAGATCTCTCTATAGAGTTATATTTGAAAGTGTCTATAACTCTAGAGAGAGATTGCAGCATGCACATATAGGACTATAATTATTTATGTCTATTTTTATAACTATGTAGTTATAAATAGATATGCCTATATATAGTGATAATAATATAGAAATATCTCCATAGCCATATATGGCTCTAAGTGAATGCTCTAACTACTCTATTTCACAATCAATAAGTATATATCTCCTGATACATAATTCTAACAATATACGTTTTTATCTATATAGCTGTTCAGAGATATAAATCTGTCAGGATATCACATGTACATAAAGCCGGATGGCTGTAAGAGAGTCGTATATTTTCCCATATATAAATCTGCTCCTATAACTACTGTATATGCACAAATACAATGGAAATAATTATATTTCCCTCAAACATAAATCTGTAAATACAACCACAGCACATTTAGGTACGGTTAGACATAGAGCAATATTTCCTAGACATCAGTCTGTCAATAGAGCCACCAGTGCCTCCAAACAGAGAGTTATAGAGGGAGTTATAAATAAACTCTCCAGATGGGAACCGGTCAGTAGAACTAGATGTAAACATGACTCCAAGCTGTTCTTTCTTCTTCTTCTTCTTCTTCTTTGTAAGATATTCCTGAAGCAAGCCCAGTCATATAACAGGGTGCAGAGGTGTCTGGGTACTGGTATTTTTCCCCCCAGGAGGGTCGGATGTCGCTGGACTTTGGGAAACCGAGCAGGAGTAGATAGGGGACAGTGCCCGCTCCCAACGCAGCCCAGAAGTCCCTTCCTTCTGTCTCCTGGTGGCTGAGAGCTCGGGCAAGTGGAGAGGCCTAAGGGAGAAAAATGAAAAAGCAGAGTCTGGCTTGAGTCGTTTGGCCCTTCGGCCTAAAACCCTCTCAACAGGGAAGCCCCGACCAGGCGTCGGAGCGGAGAGAGCCCACGAGGCCCAGAGGCTGGGGGAAAGGGGCTGCAGGCCAGGCTGCGGAGGCCGAGCGGAGTCCCCAGCCGGTGCCTGATCGCCCGGCGCCCCATCGCCCGGGGCCGCTGCCTCGCCGGCGGCCTGGAACACAAAACCTGGGCCCTAGCCCTGCACCCTGCGCTCAGCGCTTCCACCGGTCTTATTTTATTGCTGTTTTGTCCGATTAGGTATCGCAGCGTCCTCCACCCGGTGTTGTTCTCAAATGCGAAGGAACCCAGGGCTTTCTGAATATATGTGTGTGTGTGTGTGTGTGTGTGTGTGTGTGTGCGCGTGCTGGCTTTAAATAAGTGACTCACTGGATAGTGTATTTCTCTTTTCAGACCAAATGGGTCACCGGCTACTGAAAAAGAATCCAGACCTCTGAAAGGGTTTGTGACAAATTTTTTAGAAGTTCTCACGCTCATCTGTTATGATGATTTTCTTTTCTTTTTTCTCTTTTAAAAAAGTTGGCTAATTTGTGTTTCTATATTCCTCTTTAATTTTATTTTTATTGGGGGTACAATTGTTTTTAAAGGAGGGATTTCGTTAGACCCGAAACTGTGGGGTGGCTTCCTCTCTAGCAAACTTACTATCTCTACCCCTGTGATTCCCATCTCCCCCAAGAAAACAAACTAATTAAATGACCAGAAAACTGTACCTGGAGAGAATGAGGTAGATGTTGCCGGATCCGGGACCGCGGTCTTTGCTTGCTTCATGAAAAATCGGCTAGTCTCCAAACTCGCGAAGGAAAATTCAAGGCGCCTCAACTCCTCCTTCTAAATTTTTTAATAAAGAGCCTAGAAAGGGAACTTTCCCTGGGCCTGCCGAAGCCCCAGCCTGGCTCTCCCAACTCCCCAGCGGCCATAAGTGTTTTTCTGCTTCCGTTCGGGCCCCCAGTCTTCCCGTCTTCCCGGGCATCTCTGAGCTCTTGCCGGATCAAGGCTGTGGTCATCGCCTCATTCATCTCTGCCCCTTGGCCTGAGCCTGCACATTTGGCCTCCTTCTTAAAACAGGGGCTCCTAGAGAGTCCCAAAAGCCATTAACCATCCCCATATGTGGGATCCCTTCCCTGATCACACAAAGCAGAAGCCTGAGAAAAAAAGCAATAAAGAGTGGCCTCCTGGCCCTCCTTCCCCTCTTCTGTCCCTTGTCTGGGAAAGGGGTTCCCAACCCCAGCCCCGCCAAGAGCATATTAAGAAGCTTTCTTCCTCCCTTCCTTTCCTATCTCCCCCTCAGATGCTGTGATCCTGACTCCTTCTTCTGTCTCCACCTCAAAATATTTCCTCTTGCATTTTATTGTTATTCTGTTATGGAGGGACTGTTAACTACTGTTTTATTATTATTATTCATTATTTATTGTTATTATGATTGTTGTTAGAGATTTGTTCACCACCGTTCAGGGGACAGCAGCCTGGCCCAGGGGGAAGCCTGCCTCTCTCTCTCTGTCTCTCTCTCTCTCTCTCTCTCTCTCACACACACACACACACACACACACACACCCTAACACAGTGCACACTCACGCATATATGCTCACAAATGCCTGCTGTGTTCAGGCCCCTGCACAGCAATCCGAAGAGGCAGGCATCCTACCCCAGCACCCAAACAACACACTGCCCATGCACACCAGCATTCAGGCAGAACACCACCCCCAGACCAACGCCAAAACCCACACGCACCGAGCTTGCAAGGAAAGGAAAATACGTAAAGAATCCCTTCTCTCCCACAACCTGGAGGGGCGAGTCAGGCCTCTGTCTCTTCCCCCCAGTCGCTTTCGCTTTCTCTTTTTTTTTTCTCCTTGTTTACAGCTTCAGAGAGCTCAAGGCCCATAAATCTTGAGGGGCCTACAGAGCGCAGAGCACATTTGTATGCATCGTTAGGACTCGCTAATACCTAAGCCCATTAAGGAGCGTGTATGCGCGTGGTTTCCGGTGTGTATTAACTTATAGTTAAATTCTGGAGGAAAGGGCATTGTGAATTAACATATACCAAATCCATCATGGGCTTTTGTCATATCAGATTAGTCAGTCATGGGTTTGGGGGAGCAACTTGCCTGGGTCGGGGTGTACCCACCCTTCAAACTTTGTGGAGCAGGCCCGGGGGTCTTGGGAAACACGAAGGCATTCCTATCCAGCCCCAGTCATTCGGATCCCCCAGGCCTAGCGGCTGCACACCTGCGAGATGGCGGAGGGACTGCAGACCCGGGTGCGGGAGACCAGCGCCGGCGAAGACAGGCGGGCGAGGGAGGCCCCTCCAGCGTCCTGCTGGGGTTGAGTTGGGGCGGCTCGTCCCGTGGCCGCTGGGTCGTCTGGTTTCCGCTTTCCGAAAGAAATGAGAGGAGAGGCAAGTGGAGTCGCTGAACTTTAATTAAACCGTAGAGAAGACAGTGGGGGGAGGGGAAAAAAAACGATCGGAGAAGGAGGAGAAGGCGGCCGAGAGATCGAGGAAAGGAAGTCCTGGCGGCTCGGGGGAACTTGGAGATCTCTCCAAGGGGCTGAAAGCTGGAAGTTGTATGAAGGTGTTCCTTTTCCACACCCCAGCTACTCTGCCCCAGTCGAAGAGGCTAATTCTGGCCCTCTTATAAAAAAAAGAAAGAAAAGGTAAAGAAAAAGAAAATCTAATTATGTGGCATGTTTCAGCCAGGTGTTCCTGGTTCCAATGACTCAGACCCTATTGGAGCCCCGAGGATCTGGATAATTGGGCCTGCATAGACAGAGATGAAGGATGCCATTTCTAAAAGGAGGAAGGGGAAAGGAAAGTCCATCTCTTGGGGTCTTGTAGAAAATGCCAAAGACCAAACGAGCTAAATTATTGTGTCCGTGTAGATCTATTTGCCTATTTACATACAGCAGGCTGTGTGGGTGGGGGGTGAGGGAAGGCAAGGAATAAACGACCAGGATGGAGCGGGCTGGCAGTAGAGAAAATGAGCCCCCCGCCCTTTGCGGGAACAGCCAAGGGGCCTCCTCAGCTCGCAGCTCAGGCGGCCGTGCGGCGGGCCGGTCCGGGGCCGGGGGCCGGGGCCGGGGCCGGGGCCGGGGCCGGGGCCGGGCTGGGGGAGGGGAGGCGGGGGCGGGAGGGGAGGCGGAGGCGGGCCCTCCCCTGGCGCTGTGAACTTTAGCTGGGCCGCCGCCTGTCAGCCCCAGAAAGCGTTAAAGGTGCAGCAGCTCGCGCCAGCCTCCGCAGCCGCCTTTGTACGCGTGATTTATGACTTCAATCTTGGTTCACCGAGAGTTCACACGGCTTTCGCTGCTGTTGAAGGTTAAAAGATGGTCTTCGCTTGACAAGTGGGACTATTGAAAATTCCTTCTTCTTTTTTTTTATTTTATTTTAGAAGCGAAGAGCAGAGGCTCAGGAGAGAAAAAAATTGGGGGGGGGGGGCGGGAGACAGGGGTTGCAGGTGGGCCAAAATGGTAGGTCAGGAAGGTTTGTCTTCCTATATTTGGGATTTTTTGTTGCTAGGATTTGTGTGCGTGTTGGGGAGAGGGTAGAGAATAAGAGGGAGCTAGGCAAGAGATGTAAAGATCTCTCATATTTAGAGGCCAAAGGAGTGGGAAAAAAAAAAAACAACTCGTGCTTCCACCGTTAATTATCTGGGTAACTTGGGTCACACCCCCTAACTGATCCTCCTCTAGAGACCGGAAATGGGCCAGGTAAGGGAGAGAGTTTGGGTAAAGGGTAAGGTTTGTGTGCTTCTCACTGGGTGTACTTGATCATCCACCTTACTTGGGTAACTACTTTTTTTTTTTTTTTTTTTTTTTTTTGGAAATGGGGTCCAGCTCTGTTTCCCAGGCTGGAGTGTTGTGGCACCATCATAGTTCACTGAAGCCTCAAACTCCTGGGCTCAAGTAGTCCTCCCACCTTAGCCTCTTAAGTATGTGAGACTGCAGGCATGTGCCACACCCCCAGGCTGGGTAGCTGCTTTTCAATGTGCTTCTGCACCCACAGATTTGGACAAGGGTATTTTTAGGCAGCAGTCTTTCAACTCTCTTCATCCTGAAGGTTTAGCCTGCCATTTACATTTGATGCACATGAAGAGGCTAATGGGAAGGAAATCTATAGAACTGGAATTGGAAGTCCTTTCGAATCCCAAATCCCCTTGGTCTAAGAGCCAGTCTCTCTTCTTTCTAGCATTTTGAAAAAGGTCGTGCCACAGCAGAGATGGTGGTTAAAGATCTCCTAAAGACCAGAATCTAAGGCCCCTTTGTGATCTAAGGCTCTGAGTACTTGGAGAGACAAAACTCACTCCTTCTTTGTAGATTCAGAGAGACAGAGAGAGAGAGAGAGAGAGAGGGAATGAGGAGATACCTTGAAGCTGAGGGTCTGCTTGGCTCTTCGAGGTTTTTTTAAGATATGTTTTTAAAAATTTTTCTGGAGTGGGAATTTGGGATCGTGTGCACTGGGAAGGGGAACAGCAGAGAGCTGGGTCTGGAGTTGGGTGTGCCTCCCTAGCCCTATTTAGGCCCGATCTCCATGATCGATGCTAGGTAAATGTCTTCTTAAGAAATAGAGCCAGCCCCTCAAATCCAGATCTGGGAACCAAAGGCATGCACGCTAGAAGGGGCACTCCCTGCTTCTCTTTCTACATAGCGTTGGAGAGGTATTTTCCCACTGTGTGAGGACTTAGATAAGAGAAGGAGAAGAGCCAGAAAGATGTCCACATCTCGCCGGGACAGCTAGCACCAGGCCCTCCTACAGGGGACCTCGTATGTAAATAGCAGAATGGGGAGCAGAGAACAGAGAGACCCCAGAAATCCAGAGTCCAGGCTCTGAGGTCACTTTGGCAGGAATGGTCCTCTGGCCTTATGAAGAACAGAGGGGCAATATGGCACTGTTTAGAAGCTCAGGGGGTGGTAGCTGTTAGGAGAAATCAGCCAAGGAAGCTAATGGATCTCTTCCAGGTTCTGGTTGGGAAGCAGAGGAATGAACTTAATGGCCTCTGGAAGTAATGTCTGTACTGAAGTCCCCTTCCTACCCTTTCTGACTGTGTTCCTCCCTGGGAAATAATTCCAGTGGGCTTGTGCTTATCTGCAAGTCTGGGGTAATTATGAATTATTAATTCATCATTAAGACTTGATTGTGACCGTTGCTCTCCAGTGGACCCATTTATCTCCTTCTTTATGAGGCAGAGGGCGGTCTCTGTTAGCCCTTGGCTTCTGTAACAGGCAAACTGAGGCCAGCCCCTCTTGAAGGCAGTCCTTGAACTCTGCCCTAGGTGGGATGGTTGCCTCATTACCAGTCAAGTCATGTTGCACCTCAGAGTATTTGTGCAATACAGCCACCTCCCACAAACTTCAGATTTCAAAGTGCTTTGTAGGCTCCTGGAGAGATAGAGTAGGGGATTGGGAGTGAGACTCCAACAGGGGAAGAAACTTGGCCAAGCTGTGTGTGGAGACAGGAATTAAGGCGAGGTGGGAGGACACCCAGGCACAGTATCTAAGCAATCTGGGATCAGGAATGGGCATTTTGCCTTCCTTACCCTAAGGAGATGCTAGTCTCCCTCAACTCTCTGGGGACCCCTGAACACACATCTGGCCCCTTTTCCTGACCTCTCTTTCCCCCACCAGCCTCTCAATCGAGAGGCACAGGTTTCAAGACACATCATCCCCTCCGATGGTTAGGGGTGGGAAAGTCAGATCTGCCAGTTGTTTCACATCTGTAAGAGGCCTGGAGAGGGAGAAAATTGCTCCTATCCCATGAGGTAATTCCCATCTAAATCCCTGCTATAAGCTCACCTCCCCCAGCACTGAAATAATTCTCTTCATCCTTTTTTCCCCCTCTTCTTCCCTCTGGAACTACAGGCAGGGAGATTGAGGGCAGGAGAGGCAGCTCCCAACAGCTGTACCTAGAGGAAGAGACAGAAGTAGGAAATGAGGGGAGAGTGGCTTAAACCTGTTATTTCCTACAAGTTTTATCTCCATTATTCAAACCCAGGTCAATACCCTGAAACCAGGGCCATGGGAAGCCCTCTCTCCTTGTTTCCCCAACTCTCTCTCTCTCACAGAAAAGGAGCCCTGCGTCCCTCCCTGAGGCCAAGGGGCTGCTCTGAAAACTGCTCTAAGAACACTACCACTTTCTACAGGACACCTGAGGGCCCAGCCCCCATGGATCTCTCAGTGCCTGTCTGGTCCAGAGGGAGCCAGTGGCTCTTGCCAGCACATCACCATTTTGTGCTCCACGAGGGGGTGGTCCATGGAGTCATCTCATCTTTCAGCCCAGACCTCACTCACTCTTTCTCCAAGCCACGCCAACATTCCTTGGTCTCTCCCAAGCCAGGAGGCAGGTAGGAAGCCCATCCAGAGGGTCCCCTGGAACTGGCTAATATAGTTTAATTTACTGTTTGGTGGTCAATAAAGAGAACTTGGGAAAAAAGGGAAGGAGCAACTGTGCCTAGCGTCCTTCTCAGCCACCCCTCCCCTGGACATTGGCTTTCTCCATGAAACAGTGGACTGTTGTTCTTGGACAACCATTCCCCACCATCTTCTTTGGAAGGGCTTGAGTTTCACCCTCCGTTCACCCCCATTAATCACCCCAGCAGCTAAACATCACCCAGCCCCCTCTGGCCCTTTCTCTTCTTGCCCTTAGTATTCATGGCGGAGCATTCCTCACTGCTGCACGCTCACAAAGACCCCTCCTCTGACACGAGGTCCCTCCCACTCCCCAACCACCCAGTCCACGATGGGCACTGCTCACTGTTCTGGATGTTCCAACTGCTGGCGCCCACTCCTGGACCCCGTTCCCCCACTCCCCAGCTATCTCCATAGCCACTGCCCCCTTCCCATGCACGTGTCGGCTTACCACGCCCTCCTTCAGGTACCTCCTCTTAGCCCCACAAACCCTCTTCAGTCTTTCCCAGCCACCATTCTGCCCTCCATGCCCTATGCATGTGTAGCCCCTGTCTGCTTCCCTATACTTCTCCTTGCTTCTCTCTTCTTTCCCTCCCCAAGACATTCCGTAGGCACTTCATATGGTGGACCTGAAGCCCTTCCCTTCTGGCCTTGAGAAACTGAGAGGCAGTGTACCACAGTGGTTAAAAGCATGGGTTTGTGATTCAAGTCCCTGATCTGACACTTGCTAGTTGTACAAACTTGGGCAAATTACTTAACCTCTCTGAGCCATCCATAAAATAGACATACCCGCTGACCTTATAGAGTTGTTCTGTAGATCAGATTGAATTTTATTTGCATAGATCCGAGCATTCAGCAGGGGCTTGATAAGTGGTAGTTATTGTGTTACAAGCTTCTTGTGAAGAAAGAGAGATGTTCTTCAGATTCCAAAAAGTGAAGGAATTGCCTCCTCCAGCACCAGAGAGGGAGGGATAAAAATTACACAGTCTTGCAGATAAGCAGGGCCCATTTACCGGGCACTGATACTCTTCTATTAGCTCTAGAGGGTCTCAACTTTCGCTGCACACTGGAATCCCCAGCGAGTTTTTCTGTTTGTTCGTTTTTGTTTTTGAGATGGTGTCTTGCTCTTGTCGCCCAGGCTAGAGTGCGGTGGCACATCTCGGCTCACTACATACAACCTCTGCCTCCTGGGTTCAAGCAATTATCCCTGCCTCAGCCTCGCGAGTAGCTGGGATTACAGGTGCTTGCCACCATGCCTGGCTAATTTTTGTATTTTTAATACAGACGGGGTTTCACCATGTTTGCCAGGCTGGTCTCGAACTCCTCACCTCAGGTAATCCACCCGCCTCGGCCTCCCAACATGCTGGGATTACAGGTGTGAGCCACCATGCCCCGCCACAAGTTTTTTAAAATACTGATGCCTGGGTCCCACCTCCAGAGATTCCAATTTGGTTGGCCTGTAGTAGGGCCTGGGCATCTGGATTTTTAAAACTCCCCAGGTTGCTAATGTGTAGCCAGAGGTTGAGATGCAGGCCCTAGGAAATGATACAAGAGATAAGGGGAGGGCTGACACTTCTGCCAGAGCAAGGGAGGGGAGGGATGCTCAGCTGAGAGCTGCTTCTCAACCTTGGACATCCCCTACCAGTGGCACTGCTTCAGTTGGGGAAGTTTTCACTTAGAATTAGCTTCTCTTGAGATCCCAGAATTTCAGACTCTCACCCTTTTCATTTCCTATAACTATTAGAATTTACAAAGGGGCCACCCCAAGAGGAGACAGAGGAATCGACAGATTGACCTCTAAGAGGCTCATCTCTTATCAGAAAAGCATATGGTCCCCAGACCACCAGTGATAGAAGCAGAGGCAGATACCTCCAGTAGTGGGAAAATTTGTAGTTACATAGTAAATGGAGTTTCTACCTGGTTGCTACAATAATAGGCCAAGCAATTAGGATACAAGTTTCCAGGATCTTTTCCTATATTTCCAAAAAGATAAATCACCCCTAGGAACAGAATCTGCATATTGTAATTAACTGATAAATATTTCATGCCTGGTTCAAACTTTCTCCTCTTCTATTTAATGGCCACAAACTTGAGCACAGAGGAAACAGGAGTGAGGAGAGTGGGGGTTGGCTGTAGGGGGGAGGTTCTACCTTGGCTTCAGGGAGGGAGAAACTGTCTTAGTTAATTATTTACTGTCCTCCTGTTCTTTTAAGAAAACATTGCTCACCTGGAGAAAATCAGGTCCCAGGTGGTAAAGGGTGTGACTTGGGCTTGTTGGCCTGAGCCCTGACCTCCCCCAGGAGAGGCCAGTTTTTGATGACCCTGGGGGTGCTGGGAACTGCAGGCTTTGGAGTCAAGGGCCCAGTGTTTAAACAAGAGCTCTGTTCTGTCACTTATTAACTGGATGGCTTTAGGTAATTTACCTAATTTATGTGAAACTCAGTTTCTTCATCTGTAAAACAGACATAATTTTTACCTTGTAGGGTGGCCTATGCTCAGTTGGCTCTCAATGCTTGATAACTATTATTATCAACAGTAACAATGAATAATTAATAGCCCATTGGATTGTACCCTTTCCCTTCCTCAACCCTGCTCCAATGTGTAGGGCACCTAAACTATTGGATGCTTACTGTGAGTACGGTGAATGCCTTAGCTCAATTAATCAACATAATTCTTTGAAGGGAATATCTTATCATCCCTACTTACCTGTGTTTTGCAAATGAGGGAACAGGGCGTGTAGAAGTTAAATACCTTGCCAGGTGTCACACAACTAAGTGGTTAAGAGCACAGGCTCTGCAGTCTGACTGTATAGTTTCAAATTTGGGCTCTGCCACTTAATAATAGACTCTCCTTGACTTACAATGAGGCTGTGTCCCGATAAAGCTGTAGTAAGCTGAAAATATTGTAAGGTGGATATGCATTTCATACACCTAACCCACCAAACATCATAGCTCAGCCTCGCTTACCTTAAAGTGCTCAGGACACTTTCATCAGCCTACAGTTGGGCAAGATCATCTAGCACAAAGCCTATTTTATAATCAAGTGTTGAATATCTCATGTATTCAACATGAGATATGTATTCATCTCATGTATTCAACATGAGATATGTATTCATCTCATGTATTCAACATGAGATTCAACATGTTATAATATACTGTGCTGAAAGTGAAAAACAGAGCGGCTGTATGAGTATTAGAAGTACAGTATCTAATGAATGCATATCACTTCGGCATCATCATAAAGCTGAGAAATTGTAAGTCAAAGCATCATAAGTCGAGGACCGTCTGTAATCACTGCAGGATGGAACATAAATTGCTTAACCTCGCTAAGCCTCAGTTTCTTCATCTGTAAATTGGGGATATGAATGGTACCTACCTGAAAGGTAGTTGTGAGAATTAAGTGAGAAATGCGTGTATAGTGCATGTCTCAGTACTGGCATGTGGTAAGTGCCCAGTAAATGTGAGTTGTCAGTACCATCATCATACTACCCAGCAACTCAGGGCCATGGTGTCTCCTGCTGTTTGGTGGTGTTTGGGAGGTGAGTGAGTGTGAGGGTCCTCCAAAGGTCACAGAGCTGCTCTTTTAACTCCCCCTGACAGACACACACACTTCAGTATCTAGGACTCGGGAAAAAGGACACTAAGCAGATTATGACTCCATTTCGGGAATTAAATCAAAACTCAAGACTAACTCAATTTGGCTTCTGACAAGAGGGAAAGGTTAAAAGGGAGTGAGGAGGCGGCTGGGTGTGCGTTCAGAATTGCAATTGGTTCTGGATCCCACCTCCAAGCCCCTCCACAGGGCCAGGCCCAAGGAGTATCCCCCGGGGGTGGAGGAGTGAAGGAGCCTTAGAACCTGTGTTATCTGAATGTGGGTGAGGTGGGGAGAACATGGTCAAGGAGTTGGGAAATTATCCAGAAACATTTTCCAAAGGGAGATCTTCCCGCATACCACCTCAACCTGGCCCTGGGTTGCAGGGGAACCCCAGAACGGATGGGGTCTGGGGGCTTAAGACAGGTAGGTGGCCTCAGTAGAGGGGAGAAACAGTCCTGCTGGAGACAGTTGCCTCCCTGGAGAAGTACCTGGGCTAGTGTTCTCTTTAAAGACGACTAGCAGCAGTCCTGGTATGCTAAAAACATTATGTGTATGTGTATAAACATATATTCTGTGTGTGAGTAGCCACTCAGCTCTTACTCGGCTTCGCACATTTGGGCCAGATTATTCTGAGCATTGTAAACTAAAAGCGAAATTCGGTTTCTACTTAAGAGAGAGCGTGATTTTCCTCAGTATTATCTCCCGTGCCCCCAACACTCCACCAGGCTTTAAAGGCCATTATACAGAAGGGAGAACTGAGACTCCAGGAAATGGGTGGCTTGTTCAGAATCACAGAAGCAGCGTGGATCCAAGAAGGGATCTGTTCCCAAACAGAAACCAGTGTCTTGGGAGAGAGAGAGCAGAGGAAGCCCGCACCTCTGCCCTAACCTGAGGCTTTGAGCCTCCCGCAAAGCGGAGTGAGTTGAGAGCGCCCGGAAGGCAGACGCTGCGGAGGGAGGGACTCCCGGGCTCGCCAAACAGCGGGGCCTCGGGCAAGAGCGTCGCCAGCGCGTCCTCATTCTGCGATTACTGTCAGGGGACCATCCATCAGCGCCGCCCGGGACGCTGGGCCAGACTGCCCGCCGCCCGCCCGGGTCTCTCCAGATCGCATTAGCGTGGGGCGAGGGCGCAGTGCGGCACCGGCTGCTGAGGGAGAGGCGTGGCGGGGAGGGGGGCGGGGCGGGGGGACGAGGACATCGCGGTGGGGCCACTGCAGGGGCAGGGGAGAGGCTGCTTTAGGACCCTCCTCCTTTTCTTCCAATCTCCCGCCTCTGGGATCTAAGGTGGATGAAAGGGGCACTAGAATGGGCGGCTTTTGGGGGGCAGGGGGCGCAGAACACTGAAGGCATCAGGGAAGGGTAGTGATGGGGGCAGTTACCAGAAGCAGAGAGGAAGAAATACCTGTAAAGGGGAAAGCCAGAGAAATTGTCTGGGGAGGGGAGAGACTGAAAATTGCACTGGGGAGGGGTGCAGAGATTGGGGGTTAGTGGAAGAAAAAGACTCAAAGGGAAAGGAAAAGAGAAGCTGTAGAGGGAAAGAGAATTGGAAAGGAATTGAGGAGAGAGCAGGGAAATAGGAAACCACAGATCGTCAGGGGCCGACAAAACCTTAGAGACAATCTACTGCAGCCCCTCATTCTACAAATGAAGAAATGGAGGCCCAGAGAGGGGAATCCCTTCTCCAAAGACCCACTCCACCTGCTAGCTGGGCAGGCTCTTGACCCCAGGCTCATTCATTCAACCCATGTGTTTTGAGCATCTGCTGTGTGCTGGGCACTCGTCTGCCGAGATGATGCAGGATCAGCTCCTGACCTCCAGAAGCTACAGTCTTTCCTCAGGAGCTTGGAGGGGCTGAGCATCCAGGAAGCTCCCTCACCCCAAGCCATCAGGGACTCCCTGAGCCCCACCTCTCCTGGCCATTGAACCTTCCTTGCCCTCTGCTGTTCTGCTTATCTCCTCATGGAGGGTGGCAGTTCCCTGGAAGATCTTCCCTCTCCACTTTCCTGGGGACTCCCCAGGTGTGGAGACAGGTACTTGATAGTTTGGCCAACTTGTTCTATCTCCCACAGCCAACAGGGTAGGCCTAAAAGCAAAGTCCATATTCCTTGCTGGGTTTCTCCTCTGGGCATGGACAAATCCCACAGGTTGCACTGAGATCCAATCGAGCTGTGGTAAGGAGGATTGAGGCTGGACATGAAGAAGTACTTCCAGGTCCCACAGTCTGGGACCATTTTCTTGCTGGGGCTTTAAAGTAGCTGTCCTTCTGTGAGCACAGTGTTGGCACCATCTTCCAGGGAAGGACTTGTCTTCCTCAGTCTCCAGTTAGCCTTGTGTGAGACATTATGCTGGGAATGTTGGGGTTCCAGATACCTGGTCTCTGACCATGGGGTTTCTGCTCTAGACATGGGTGAACTGACATCTCCCTGGCATCCTCCCAGTCACTGCCAGCTCTGCAACATCATGGAACCCCTGAGTCCTTCACAACTCCCAGATCATCTCATCCTTCCTCCTTGCTCTGGGAAGACCATGTCTGAGTAGTTCCAACCAACCTCTCACCTTAAACCCAGTCCCTGACAACCAGAAGTACCTCCTTAGTCTGGACTTGACCTTCCTTGCTGCCATGGTCCATCAGCGATGACCAGGGCTGAAGCAGCACGTTTTTTCTATAAACACCCCTCCCTCCCAGTGATGCTCACCCAATCCTCGGTGGTCAGGCAGGGAGTGGGGACAGCTTCCTGGCAAGAGCTCTGGAAGGCAGCTCTGCCTCCTCTGCCTGAAGCAAGCTCCTATATACTCTGAGATGGTGGTGTTCATTTTAAAGAAGGGACCATCTTTCCTCCACAGCCCAGCTTACATTTGGAGGGAGACAAATGTGAGTTTCCAATCCCAGAATCTTAGCCACTGTACCAATCTCCATGGATGCATGGGATTCAGGAAAGGAGAGAAATGAGCAGAGTGAGGACATGAATAAAATCCATTTCATACCCCTTGTTCCAGCCCAACTTCCAGGGAAAGGCCCACAGAGGGCAAGAGAGGTGGACACTGAAAATTCCAGACTAAAGACGAACAGACAGATTTCAGCATTATTCCTTCTTGTAGGCAAAGTGGTGCCTGAGGATCTAACCAATGAAAAAGCCTGGGAAATAGGCTGTTTCTGCACCCCCTGACCCTTCATGCAGAGCAGGATATCGGCTTCAGCCCAGGAGCAATGCTAGAAGTTGAGAGGTTTGGAGTAGACTGTGAAGCAGTTCCTCCGAGGGCATGCCAGATGAGGGGGTTGGAGCACCCAGCCCAGAACAGCATCCAAGGAAGGAGGCCTTGGCAGTAACTCTCTGTGTCTCTGTATTAACTTCACATACATTGTCTTGTGTGATCCTCAGTGCCAGGTTCAGCACCAGGCACAGAATACATGCTTGCTGTACAAATGCATAAGTGAAGAGCCATGGGAGGAAGGTCAGGATCCTCAATTATAGATGAAGAAACAGACACACAGAAAGGTTAAATGACTTGCTCAAGTTCACATATCTCATCAGAGACAGGGCCAAGTTTCAGTGGAGAGCCACTTTAGTGGTAGAGGGTGGTAGGGAGGAGGGAGGCAGGAAGGGAGGGAATGAACCATCAGATACCACACCAGGGGGAGAGGAGAGCTGTCATCTCTTTCTCTTTGTGAAAAGAGATTACTTCCTGGGAAAGACGGCATTTAAGACCATACAGTTTTAAAAATAACCCATTGAAGGTTGATGTGTAGCATATGCAAAGTTCTGCCAAAAACATGGAGAGGTCAATGAGTAGACGAGGTCATTGAGGATCAGAAAAGAAAGACAACACTGAGAGTCTGGACAGCTAAGCCCCAGAATTTTGCTAGTCTTAAATGCTGGGTGACATCAGGCCAGCCACACCCCTCTCTGAGCCTGTAGAGAATGGAGATGCCAGATGAGGAGGAGGGTACACATGGGCAAGAGGAGGCAGGTCATTGCCTTCAGGGTAGCAATTGGAGGCATCAAGTTCCCACTTCCCTAGACCTATTCTTTGTTGTTATTATTGTTGTTTCTTTCATCTGATTTTAATTGTTTTATGTTTTTGAATAGGAAATACATGTACATGGTTCAAAACTCAAAAGGCACCAAAAGTTATACAGTGACAAGTAAGTCTCCCCGGAACCTCAGAACTCCCAGGCCACCCATGTCCTCACTCCATTATAACTGCAGTAACCACTGAATTGTATAACCTCCAAAGGTATTTTCTGCTTCTCCTGGCTTGTACCCTGAGGCCACCACAAAGCTGAGTTGAGCACTGATATTCTGAGGAGAGGCGGTACGCACGTTTTGGCCCCTGGACTGGTGGGGCCTTGGAATACTAAATACTCTCAGTTTCCACTCTGAAAAGATGCAGAAACTTGAGGTCAGGAGAGAGGACATTTCTGCATGCTTAGAAGCTCAGAAGCCTCGCAGGTGAGAGGATGGAGTTGGGAGCCAGGCAGAGGCAGGAACCCTCTCCGGGGCTCCAGTACCACACTCACACCCCAGAGCCTCACAGTGCCCTCTGGGTTAGCCTGGCTCAGGTGTGCACCCAGTTAGGTCCTGCTCAAGTTTTCCAGAGAACAAGGCCCAGTGCTTCCCCTCCACCACCTGTCACATTGTTGGGAGGCCTTTCTTGATGTCTCACTCTAGTTCCTTCGACTTTGGTTGCAGCCCATGGCTTTTGATTCTGCCCTCAGTGGAGATGGAACATGCTCTTGGAGATGATAGCTTCCAGTGACCCAGGCTGTTCCTCCCACTTGCATACACAATTTTCCTTCAGGCCCTCTAATTCCACCTCAATCTTTTTTCCGGACTTAGAAGACACATGCCTGTTCTTTCAGCTACCCTCCCCCACCTGAATTCCCAGTCTGCTTCCATTCCCAACCACCTCATTCTTGCCCTGCACATCCCTTTGGCATTATTGTCCCCAAGTATGCTTTGGTCATGAAGATGGTAAAATCCCAACCTAAAGCTAAGTCCTCCACCAGATTCCAGAGGTAAATCCAGCCTAGTCTCTTTGTTAACTGAATCTCTCCATTTTGGGTGATGCCCTAGCCCGACTCTTGAACTTGTGCCCAACACTCTGACTCTCAGATCCTCACACATGGCCTGTTGTGAGATAAGGCACAAGTTCACCCCAAGCCTGGGATGGCCTCCCCTCTGTTCTCTTCTCCAAACCCTCCCCTGGTGAACCTCATCCTTTGCATTTACTCACTAAGCAATTATTATTGAGCACTATTCCAAGTTCTTAGAATAAATACATTGGTGATCAAAACAGAGAAAGACCCCCCGCCTGTGTGGAGTTTACATTCTAGCAGAGAGAGACAGATAATGAACAATATTCTTACTAAATAAGTAAATTATATCATATATTAGAAAATTATAATTGTTACAGAAAAGGAATAGATCAAGTACAGAAGGATCAGCATGGAGGGGAAATCTGAGGTTTTTAATATGGTTGTCAAGGAGATCTCACTGAGAATATGGTATTTGAACAAAGACTTAGAGGTGAGAGAGGAAGTAAGCCCCATAGACATCTTGGCAAGAGTATTCCAAGTAGAGGGAGTGGCTGGTGCTAAGGCCCTGAGGCAGGAACATGCCTGGCAAGTCTCTGGGAGTGAGCAAGAGTGGGAGGAGATGGCATCAGAGAGGTAAGGAGGGAACAGACGATGTTCGGCCTCGTAAGTCAACTTAAGGACTTTGTTTTTTACTCTGAGTGAAGTAGAGAGGAAAGACATGATTGGGCTTCAGGGTCTTGTTTTGTTTTGTTTTGAGAGAGAGTCTCACTCTGTCACCCAAGCTAGAGTGCAGTGGCACAATCTTGACTCACTACAACTTCTGCCACCCAGGTTCAAGTGATTCTTATGCCTCAGCCTCCCAAGTAGCTGGGATTACAGGCACCTGCCACCATGCCCAGCTAATTTTTGTAGTTTTAGTAGAGACGGGGTTTCACCATCTTGGACAGGCTGGTCTTGAACTCCTGACCTCGTGATCCACCCACCTTGGCCTCCCAAAGTGCTGGGATTACAGTCGTGAGCCACTGCACCTGGCCTGGACTTCAATTTTTAAATAGTCTTTTTGTCTTTTGTGTTGAGAATAGATCACAGAAGGCCAAGGGAAGATGCAGGGAGATTTGTTGAAAGGTCATTGCACTAATCCAAGTGAGAAATGTGTGGCTTGGACCAGGATGGCAGCAGTGCATGTGGTGAGAAAGGCCCAAATTCTGGATTTGGTGACAGTTTCCTCTTCCTTGGCTTCCATCCTTTTGCTCTCTTTGCTTCCTCTCTTCTTTTCTAGGTTGTATGTTTTCTCTCTTCTTGAAGGCTGAGAGCTCTCTGTGGATGGGGCTCAATCTCTGTTCCTGGGATCCGGGGCAGGATCCCAGGCAAAGGGCAGACAGGCCCCATGCTGCCTGGGAACAGGCTGACAAGCCACGCAGCTTCACAGCCCTCCCCAGTTACAGGGTCCCTGAGCCAAGGGGAAGAGGCTCCTGTTTCTAAAGAGGATGTGATGGGCAGTTATTGAAGGCACTCAGCTGGGGGCTCCACTCTAGTCTTAATCTGAGCCGCCCTCAAGGAAATCATAACCAGCTCTTAAAAACATGTTAAGACCAAAGCTGGTGCGTGTGTTTGAGCGGAGCTTCAGACAGCTACTTAACACTGGGGGCTTCTGGGCTTTTGATTCCTCCACTTCTAGCCTGCCATCTCCCCACAGCTGGCTGGTGCTTATCAGCCAAGACGTTGTTTAAATCACACTCATTTCCTATAAACATTTCACTTGAAATGCCATACTCTGCTCCAGAAATTCATCTATCACCAGCCTAGGGGTGTAGTTGAGGAGCCTTGGGGTGATCGCTCCCCATCTCTACCCCTGCCCCCAGTCACCCCTCCTCCCATGACCCATATTCTCAGGTTTCACGCCATAAGAACTACTTCCCCTCGGTGTAACAGGGCACTTAGTGCCAGAATTATTTATAACATTGAGATGGCAACAGGGCAATAGGGAGCAGCCCAGCCCATGGACACTTTCTCTTTGAAAGCTCGATCAATGGACCTAGATCACTGTTTACTACTTGGTGTCTCGGCCTCTGCCGTGTTTCCTGCTGGCTTTGGGGGATGGGGAAACAGGGGTCCGGACCAGGTCAAGGCTGTCCTCAGAGTTTAAGATGCTTATAAGCCAGGCCTCCAATAAAGTTATGCCTTCACTGTACCTCTATTCCTTGGCCAGGCACTTCCCTGCCTCAGGTGAGCTCTCTTCTTGGAAATGAACCATTCTTGGGGCTTTTCTCAAACAGGAGCCCTCTGCCTCCCCCAGGAAAGCTGGCATTATGTCCCTACCACAGTGGCAGAGCTAGGACTTGAGCTGAGGAAGTCATCTGATATGGATCAGAATGGGGATGTGGAAGATTCCGGGAGTTCTTCCGAGGAATGGCTTGAATTGGCCCCACCCAGTCTGGAGTGGAGGTAGAGGGATGGATGAATTCACTTCTTAAGGACTGAAAACCTTTTTACCATCCTCTTCCTCCCCAGCTATAGCCAATTACTCATTGTCCTAATTTGAAGGCTCTGTTGTCTGGACTGGAGGATTTTTACCCATTTTCCAGCCTCTCTCCCAGTCTCATTTATTTGGGCAGTGTCACATTAAAGGCATTGCCAGACTTCCTAGTCCTTCCCAAAGGCCTGACCCAACTCCTTCCCAAATGGTGAAGCACCTCTGCCTCCTTCCCTCTACACCTGTGGACCTACCACACTGGGGAACTCCTAGGTGAGTTCCAGAGAAAGCCCAGGTGAAAGACTATGAGCCAGTCAGAAGGGATCAGGGTAGAACCCAAGTTGGGACAGGCAGGGGAGGCAGTCCCAGTCTTTAGGGGGGTCAAGTAATTCCCCTTTACAAGCCAAATGAAGAAAAAAAGTTCTAAGGGGAGCATATGACTCCATAAAATAAAGGACATAATTGGGAGCGATATCTAATTTATCTGTTGAATGCCTCCTACGTACTCTTTTATCACTTAGATGGACAGAATATAATTGGTGTGCTGAACGCCATCAATCTCAGGGCCTGGGCTTCCTGTGCTGGCTACACCTATTACTGTCAGATTATGACACTGTAATACCAAGATCAATGACATTTTAAATGTGCTCCAGTTATGGGCAATTGCTGACAATAAAAACAGTGACAAATTGATGAAACTTGGGCAGCGATGATCTGGTGTCAAAAATAAACCATAAATAATCTGATTTCCAAATTGAGAGAGGTGCCTGGGACACCAGCTTAGGGGGGAAAGGCCCAGCGAGAAGAGAACCTATCCTGCCCACATGATCTTGGCCACTCGGAAGCCACCTGCTCTGGAAAACTCCCTCTAGGCTGACCTGCAAGGCCCCAGCAGGAAGATGGAGAGGTGGTCTTTGGTTAAGGCTTGGGTTCCCCTTAGAGAGAATCGTCATCACTGAGACTCTGGGAAGTGTCTGTGTGTGGCTGCCAAGGTGGGCGCCACACAAACTCACTGAGATACTGGTGGGTGGTCTTTCATGTCCTGCCCACACTGAGGAATTAGGGCAGACTGGTTGAGTCATAGAATCACACTTAGCCAATGTTAAAGCTAAAAGAGACCTTGAGAGTCTCTCTTCATGGAGGGTCAGGCTCTGTCCTCCAATCTGGCTCAGCAGAGGGACCTGGATCTTCCCTAACTCTGCTTCAACTTGCCCCAGGCATTATTTCCCCAGGCTAATCCCCTTCCCCACCCGTTGCAGGGAACTCCAGGCCTTCAACCAGCAGAACTATTTTGGCGTACATTAAGGTGGGCCTCCTCCAGCTCCTTTTTTTTTTTTTTTTAAGACAGAGCCTTGCTCTGTCGCCCAGGCTGGAATGCAGTGACACAATCTCCACTCACTGCAAGCTCCGCCTCCCAGGTTCATGCCATTCTCCTGCCTCGGCCTCCCGAGTAGCTGGGACTACAGGCGCCCGCCACCACACCTGGCTAATTTTTTGTGTTTTTAGTAGAGACGGGGTTTCTCCATGTCGGTCAGGCTGGTCTCGAACTCCTGAACTCGGGTGATCCACCCACCTTGGCCTCCCAAAGTGCTGGGATTACAGGTGTGGGCCACCATGCCTAGCCTCCAGCTCCTTATTTTTAATGGATTACCTTAATTTGTAGTATTCCTTTCATACATTTTTCTCACTTTAATAATCACAATTTTAAAATATGAATACTTTAGTAGCATTGCTAATACTACTTTATATAATAATACTTTAGTAGTATTGCTAATACTACTATTACAAGGATAACTACTATTGGGAAGCATTTATTGCGCAACTACTATATGTAAACTGTTCCAGGTGTTTCATGTGTATTATTTTTCATCCCCACAGCAGCCCTGTGGGGTGGGTATTGTTCTTCACATTTTAGAAGTGAGGAAACAAGCTTAGAGTCGTAGTGATGTGCCTAAGATGACACAGCTGATAAGCAGTGGAGCAAGAAAGGAGCCTGGGATGTGGCTCAACATTCATCTTTTTTCCATTGCCCCTTTCACAGACCTTTATATTCCCATTTATAGACGGGGCTGAGGGCCTCCCTAAAGAACCTATAGTTAGTCAAAGGCAGAGCTAGACCTAAGCCTAGCTTTTCTGACACTTCTCGTATTAGACCTGCATTGTACGTATTTTTTTTTTAAAGACTGGTCAAATGCAGTAGTGAGAAGGGGGAAGGAGCAGAACAAGGATTTGGATCTGTAACTGACTGTGAACAATCAATTGAGATAGGGCACTACCTTTGGACCACCCCCCACGCTCTTTCCAGATGCACCACAACAGTCCTTTCCCCAGGTCACCACCACTCCCTCAGCCAGGGGCTTCAGCCTTGGCCTCTAAGAGTCAGCAGGGGGTCACAGTTGGCTTTGAAACCAAGCAGACAGGTGTTTGAATCCCCACTCTGCCACCTTACAGCTGTGTGGCTTTAGGCAGATGGTTGTGAGAATTTAAATGGCATAAGCATATAAAAGCATTTGGCGTAGAGTCTGGCACATAGTAGTGCTCACTAAATGGTAGTCATTAAAGATACAACCTGGGACAGTGGCAGCTAGTTTAACAAACCACCACACTCCGTAGCACCTCTCACCTGGGTGCAAGTGCCCCAGGCCACACTGCAGTAGCTGCACGCTGAGGGTGTCCCCAGATATATAAGAAGCCTCTCCAAGGGCCACAGAGGTTTTTTGATGGCAAATGGTTTAAAACATCGTTTTTATATTAAGTTGTATAAAATATACTATGTTATAAAATGCAAAGTTTGCATCATTTTAGAGCTAAAACTTAAGGCCACAAAAGAATCTATTTTCTTATTAATAAAAAATCCTATTTTTATATAATGCAAATAACGAAGATGAAGTAACCTATTATTTAATTAAACATGTCTTTAAAAAAAAAAAAAAAAGAAATAATTGGTCCTTGCTAATGGCCCTTCAGGGCAAGCCCCCAGACTGCTGGGGTCCAAGTTTACCCTCCTGCCTCTAATATCAAAGGGACTTTGGCAGAAAAGTTTGAGAAACCCTGTCAGGAACAGAGCCTACACAAGGACCACGAAATCTGACTTCTTCATTCTTTAAAAGAACAAAACAAATAGCAACATTGTTTTTTCTACCTTCCTACTGTTTTACCTTCAAGTTTAGCATTAAGAACATGAAATGTTTTGTTTAAATTTATGATTCTTATTTCTGATTCCTTTCTGTTTAATAATTACTAGCTGAATCATTAATCATCAACCAAGTGAATGGTCACACTTTATAGAAGGCTACAAGGTGGAACACAAGATTTGTTGGATTCTTAAGAAAGAAACTAAAAGCTGCTTGCGACTTAGATGCTCCTAAGTTTTATGACTGTGGTGGGAATTTGAGCATCCAGGCCTTGCTTCTGATGGTCCTCTCGTTCCAGTGCCCCAGTTCTAATCCTCTGTGGGTGCCCTCGGTAGGCACAGCCTTGGGGCTGCCCAGGGCTCAAGGCATCCATGTTTTTAAAGTGCCCAACAATGGCTTTTGATTCATCAGAAACTCCACAGGACACCCACCTAACTGGGGCTCTGATACCTAATTCAGCAGCACCCACCACCAAGTCTTTCTAAGTTTTATTTTCTTTTTAATATTACATGCAATATATGTTAATTATAAATAAACGTAATAATTCAGGTAGGTGAAAAGGAGAAGGAAAAAAGGCCCAAGTAGTTTCCCCACTGAGGAAGAACCCTGGTTAGCGAGGCAAGTCACGTGATTTTGGGAATCGTGTTGAATCTACACCCATTTAAGGTGGAAGTCTATATAGCTTGATTCTTTGGTGGTTTAGAGCTCTGCTCCGTTTAGAGTTCAGGGAGGTGGTATCTACAGGGTGTATTGCTCTGATAAAAATTAGCAGCCTGCCCAAGTTCAAGGTATGAGGGGACTGATCACAGATTTATTTGAGAATCATTACGTTGGCCCTTTGGTGACTCTAGGGATGAGATCCAGAGTACAAGGGGCCCACACTTCCAAGGGATCCCACCACACCTTCAAATAGCAGGCTCATGGAAAGAGGATTCCCAGATTCTCCCCCTCCAGCTACGGCATTGCTTTACAATATTTAACATTCCTTGACTAAAGAGCAAGTCTAACTTGCAAGTACTCCTAGGACAGGGACTGGCTTAGATCCATGACAGCTCCCTCTCTGAGAGAAGGGCGTGCCTTACTCCACCAGACCAAACAAAACTAAAGTGACCTCTCTGCTCCCCCCAGAGAGGGGCACTGGGGATGGTAAAAGCATTTCTGTCCCTGAACCCAGGGATGAAGTAGAGAAATGCCACTTAACCATAGTCAGGACCCAAAGAATTGTGAGACCAAGCTACCAAAGGCTCAAGTGAGGGGCTGGAAAGAGTGACAAAAACAGAGAAGGACAGAACTGTGAGCCACCGGACTTCATTTAGGAAGTCAGTGCTAGGGTAACAGGAAGGATTGGGCGGGCTTTCAGGGGAGTGGAACGTGTTAGAGAAAGAACAAAACTGAGTGGAGACGCAAGGCAGGAGATGGTTTATAGGTGAATTAGCAGCAGAGGGTGGGTGGTGGCTGTGCCTGGGGCAGGGGTGGTGGGGTGAGGAGGTGGGGGTGGCAGTGCCTTTGAGGGAGCTCTTGCAGAGGGCAGCCTTTTGAGGTGAAGAGCCAGAGCTCTGGGTCTTAAGAGTTGGAAAGCAGGTTATATTTCACATCCTTCCCTGAATAGAGAAATTGAATTTGGTCAAGAATAAGTCCTAAGAAGCAGTTGTGAGCACCCCACCTGTCCATCTTGTTGATGAATATGGAGTGGGAGAAAAGTTGAGTGTGGGCATCTGACAAGGTCTTTATGATCCTAGATGCACTTACTATACCTTCTTCCTCCTCCTCTGCCTTGGCTAATGGGTTGTGGGTACCCACCGCACAGAGGGCTATAAGACAGTCCTTGTGGCTGATGCAGAAGCTGGGCCCTGCCCTCCTGGCCTTCTGAGGAAAGTGATTATCGTTTTTGGCTTGTTTTTCAACTATCCCTTTGCCCCCAGCAGGACTGAACCTTTCCACTCTTACCATCTCTGGGTCCCTTCAGATCTTTTATAGCCTTGAACTACCTGCTACAAGATTTTTTTCTGTCCTAAGAATGGAGGTCCGGTCTGCTTCCTAACATTAATCCCTTCCACACGGCACAGCCTTGTTTTCTCTAGATCAGAGAGATGGCTTCTGGATTCATCTTTCCCTGCAATCCAGCTTCTCCTCCTGGGGCCCTCATACTGGAGACTGGGATCATCATCCAGGCTTTTGCACTGGGCCAGGAATTTGGGAGTCATCCTGGATCCGTCTGCCCCTGTCAACCTTTCGCTGTCAACGGATATTTATTGGGCGTCCTCAACAGCCAGGCCCTGTTCATGGTACTGAAGAACAGCTTGTATAAAACAACCCTGCCCTCACAGGGCGATCACCAGTGACCTGTGGTGTGGAGTCTCCTTTTACCTATGTCTCCTCCTTCCCACTGTCACCATCCTTGGTCCTCCTCTGTCACCTGGAATACTCCACTTGGTAACCAGCATGATCTTATAACGCTAGTTTTACCCTTGTCAGCACTTTGCCAAAAACCTCAAATAAAGACTTTTTTTAAAATGTGCAATGGAAAAATAAAGTTATAAATTATATCATAACCAGTGGACCTCTTTTTAAAATGCACTGAAGCCTTATAATGTTATTCATGGATATATATCTATGGTAAAAATAGAAAAAATATATGATGGTGGTGCCTCTGAAAGGGAGGGGAATGGTACTGGGGAAGGGACAAAGGGAACTTCAACTTTATCTGTAATGACCTGTTTATTTTGAAACTCAAGAGCAAAATTGACAAAATTTTAACAGTAACTTAACAAAACCTCAAGTCTGGATAGTGGGTTCAAGAGTGTTACTTTATATGGACAGGCAGTGACTCATGCCTATAATCCCAGCACTTTCAGAAGCCAAGGCAGGAGGATCTCTTGAGCCCAGCCATCCTCCCGCCTTGGTCTCTTGAAGTTTGAGACTAGCCTGGGCAGCATAGTGAGACCCTGTCTCTACAAAAAAAAAAATTAACAGCAACTCAGGAGGCTGAGGCAGAAGGATTGCTTGAGTACGGGAGGTCAAGGCTGCAGTGAGCTATGACTGAGCCACTTCACTCCAACCTGGATGATAAAGCAAGACTCTGTCTCAAAAAAAAAAAAAAGTGTTGCCTGTAATCCCAGCACTTTGGGAGGCTGAGGCAGGTGGATCACCTGAGCTCAGGAGTTCGAGACCAGCCTGGCCAACATGGCGAAACCCTGTCTCTACCAAAAATACAAAACATTAGCCAGATGTGGTGGGATCAGTCTGTAGTCCCAGCTACTCAGGAGGCTAAGGCAGGAGAATCACTTGAACCCAGGAAGTGCAGGTTGCAGTGAGCCAAGATCTCACCACTGCACTCTAGCCTGGGTGACAGAGTGAGACTCCGTCTCAAAAAAAAAAAAAAAAAAAAAAAAAAGGAGTGTTACATTAGTTGTCTGTATTGTAGATACACTTGTCAAAATTTAAGCCATAAAACCCTCAGTGTCCCTCACTCTTCCCACCCCCTTAGCCTGGCCTGGCATACTGGGTCTTTCACAAGCTTGTGTCAACCTCCTCTACAGACTCATCTCTACACTGAGGGACTTGCAGTTTCCAAGTGCTCTGGCCTTGGGGCCTTTGCCCATGCTGTTCTCTTCTGAATGCCCTTTCCTGCTTTGCTACTTTGTTCTTGCCCTTCTGGATTCAGCTCCTGGGAGGCCCTGTGGATAGAAGTCAGATGGCTCAAGTAGGCAGCTGGTTAGGACCCAGGAGACAGAAACGTGTCTGGGGAGGACAACACTTTCTTGTCCTGGTTTCTATTCAGCTGCAACTAGAGAAACAGATCACCTGTTTCTTGTTCAAAACTAGGATCAGTGAGAGGAGGGTGGAAAGAGTAAGATCCTCCACAGTACCCTCCCACCTCCCAGCCTCCCCCCACATAGACTAGCCCCAAGGCAGAAACTTCCCAGCAGAAAAAGGAAAACTGATAACCTCATTCCTTGGTCTGGCTCTGTTAGGATTATCATCTGGTTTCCCCTGCTGGTGTTGGAAGAGCTGTGTTGGTGCAGGCCAGTGCTATCCTGTGACTAGAGGGAAGAAGCTCTGCCTGGGCCTGATTTGGCCACAAGCTCCTAGTAAGATGCTGAAAAGGAACACAAACTCTAGGCCCAGGACGCCCTCCCCATGCCATCCCACACCTGACTTCTGCGCACCTTGTGAGCAGATCAGATTTGGTGTTGCTTCTTCCACATCATCCTCGCATCCCCTTTCACAGACTCGGATATATCCCCTCATGGGAACCTATGGATCTACAGCATATCTATGGATATGCCACCCCATGGCAACTGTCCTTTCCCCTTCATAGCATACATCACCCTGAATTATAGCTGCCTGTTTATGTATGTGTCTTCTGCACCAGGTGGTACTCCCTGATGGGGCAGGGATTGGGTCTGTCTTGTTCACAGTTGCATCTCCAGCACCTGCAACTCTGCCTGGCTCAGAGTAAGTGCTCAGTACTTTTTGTTTTTGATTGAATGATAGAATGACGAGTGAACTCTATTTCCCACTAGACTGTGAGCACCATGTTGACAGGGACCATGCCCTGATCATCTCTGGATCCTTAGGGCCTATATAGTGCTTGCCACATAGGAGGTGCTCAGTAGACACTTATCGATTTGAGTGAATGGACTTCAGTTTCTCCACTTACAATCTGAGTAAGAGGAAGATATTCTTTGTCCTCTCTCCCTCCTTCTCCAACCACATTGGGGGTTGTGGTTGATGCTGTGAGGTCATTCCTGCCTTATTCAACTTCATGTCCAAATCTTCTAATGGCAAAACACAACATGGTGGCCAAGTCTCAGAGTCCAGGCATCCCTCCCATAGCCCATAGCCAAGTATGGGAGAAGGGTGCTTCAGGGTCTCTCTCCATTCACTTTAGTCTCCAGCATTAGCCAAGATCCCACTGTCTACCCTGAATTCTTCCTGCTATTGCACAAGGCTTCTTTCATCTTACTGTATTGTCAGGGAAAATATAGCCAAGATTATCTGCTCCTCAACCTGAAGTAACATATAGATTCTGCCTAATTTTAGAACCGGTGTTAGCCAGGTGTGGTGGCTCACACCTATAATCCCAGCATTTTAGGAGGCCAAGGCTGCAGGGGAATCGCCTGAGTCCAGGAGTTCAAGACCAGCTGGAGCAATATGGCAAAACCCCATCTCTACAAAAAAAGCAAAAAAATTAGCTGGGTGTGGTGGCACATGCCTGTAGTCCCAGCTACTCAGGAGGCTGAGGCAGAGGATCATTTGAACCCAGGAAGTGGAGGTTGCAGTGAGCCAAGATCGTGCCGCTGCACTCCAACCTGGGTGACAGAGTAAGATCCTGTCTCAAAATAAAAATAAAGAATAAAACCAGTGTTTCCACATCTGGAACTTTCTTTTCAAGTTTATATCACCTCTCCTTCCAAATCAGGTCTCCCCTCCTCCAGGAAGTACTCCTTGATTAAGCCAAAAATGTTTTAATTTTCACCACTTGTCCTACTACTCTGCATCCCCACAGCACTTGTAGTTTGTACTTATTCCCTATCCTGTTTAAGTGTGTGTTCATCATCCTAACCATACTGCATAAGCAGGCACTATTTTAAGTAGGCTTGACAGATTATCAGAAATTGACAAGAAAAAATACACACGAAGAAGAAAGTAGAAGAGGATTTTTTCTTTTCTTTTCTTTTTGCTTTATCATAGAATTTCTTGTCTTGGTGCTTACAAGCTGTGTAGCACAATGAGAGGAGAATGTGATTTCTGCAAAACACTTCAGGAAGCACAAAGTATCTGTAAATACCCAGGAATAATGACCATGTCTTTTATTTGTATTATTTTTCTAATTCCTCCACTCTATAGGGCTTGCCCAAAGTCCTTGATTTTAGCCCTTGAGTGTTGGTTGGCTGACTTAGCTTTGGATTGTGGTCCCCTGAGATCGCTGGATCTTTTTAAGCTTTAGAGTTATGCCCTACCATGTGGATGCAAGTGGAGGAAGGACTTCTCAGTGTGACCCATGAGAGGAGTGGCTCTCCTGGGCCCCAGGCCCCAGGCTGCATGCGTATGGGAGGGAGGAGGAGAAGCAAGGAAAGGAGGAGAGACAGAAGTATATACTGAGCTGGTAGTTGGGGGAAGGGTTGGCGGGTGGGGAGAAGGGAAGAGAGGAGTCTGGGCCAAGGCCAGAGGTGTCTCCCTGGGGAGTCCTCGGAGCGGGCAGCCGGACGTCGCTCCATCCTTCCCGCCTGACGGATGCGTCTGCTGCGCAGGCACAAGCTGTCGGGCCAGGCCCTGCCAAGGCAGAACAGTGGCGCTTCTGTGCGCGCTGCTCCGCTCCGCTCCGGAGGATGGGGCCCGCCCGGGAAGCCAGGGAGTGATGGAGAAAGCAGACGTCCCAGAACAGGAGCCGTGGGGTCACAGAAGCACGCCTGCCTCCCGAAACAAGGGGCCACAGGACGAGGTGGGAGGGGACCGGGAATCAACGCGGGGGAGCGTTTGGGGGAATTGTTGGTCGAAAGAAGAGAGGCAGAAGGACGCGCGCTGAAGGAGCCTGGGGATGAAGAGCTCGATGATTTGGCCACAAGCCCCCTCACCTTTAAGAACAAAGCTTTCTGCATTCAGTTGCAGAGTTTTGTTTCCCGGTCAGATGCTCAGAGACCTTCCACCCTGTCCCCCACCCCTCAGCCTTGCCCATCTCCACGAGCATCTTCCGCGCCCTCGCCCGGGACTCGGAGCCCACCACCCTCCGCCTCCGCCTGGCCTGGCCCGCGAGATCCCTGCCGCTCCAGTTCGGAATCTGGGATCCGCAGGCTCCCAGATCCGCCCCTGGCCCGGCTCCGACCCGCCCGTCAGCCGCCTCCCACTCAGCGTTAATTAAAACTTGCGAGATGGAGAGGCTGGCGCGGACGGCTCCGTTTTATTTGCAGCATCTTTCATGCTGCTGACGATCGTAAAGGGCTTTAATATTGAAATATGGGCCATTTTCCCAGCTCCAGCCCTCGCCGCGCTCTCTCCGCACCCCCACACCCAGCCACCCCGCGCTTGATGAAAGAGCCCCTGCAAATCCATTAAGGAGAGATAATTGAAAACTCCGGGGTAATATTTAAGACCGCGTGCCGACGCGGGGTGGAGGGCCTAACTGCGCCCGCTTTGTCCGTCAGTGCTGGTGCGTGCCAGTCCCTAGCGCTCTAGGCCCACCAAGGCCCCGCCGACGCCCAGCCAAGGCCCGCCGTCTTAGCGGTGCCTCCTCACTCCCTGCACTCAAAGGGCTGGCTCTGCGCTAACCTGGCTGTGCCTGGAGACCCGACTTGCCTGGAGACCCGAGTTCCAAAAGGAGCCACAGGGCACGCTGTGTGACAGATGGATTAGGGCCAGCATGAACGGGGGCCAAAGCATCTTGTCCCACTGCTTCAGCTTCGGTTTGGTGCACCAGCATCAGGCACTGCTCAAGCTTCTGAGCACGGCATCCCCTCTGCCTGCAAGCTTTTCCCTCCAGCACTTTCTACTTGCGGAACTGCTGTTCCTCTTTCAAAACCAACCCAGTTCCACCCCAAGTAAGTGCAGTGGGGTATGGAACGTGGGTGGGAGTATAGACACACCAAGATCCTGGTGTGACCATTGTTGCAGCTGCATGATGAGGACACTATACTGCTCTGTTTTCGTATGTTTTCAATGTTCCACAACAAACATGTTTAGAAAGCAGCTGAGGCATCTTCTTTTACGCCTCCCTCTCCCATAAATACAGACTACCTGTTATCTTGTACATTGATGTTCCTTAGCACATCGTGTTGCCATTATCTGTTTAAAGTCTTTCTGCCTACTCAGCTGTGACATCTTCAGAACAGGGATCAGGTCTAATTTCACTCCTTAGCCCTTGCTCCAGGCCCAGTGCAAGGCACATAACATGCGCTCAGTAAACATCACTGAATAGGCTGTTCTCTGGGTACCTAGAAGTCTCTAGGGCTTAAGGTTAGGATACAAGCACACGGAAGGAGGGTAGGGCAAAGCATGGAAGAGGGGTGGGGTCTGTGAGGCTGGGTTGGGGGTCATGTCTGTCTCCCACAATGACTGGCTTCAGGATGTTCCCAGAATGGGAAAAGGGTGGAGGACCATGTTCTGCACTGTGATTTAGGAATCCTTAGGTCTCTACCTGGGACTTTTGGGGATGTTTCTCCACTTCACTCCATTTGGCTTACTCTCCCAATCAGGTTAGACACACACACACACACACACACACACACACACACACCACCACACACCTTAGACAGGGAAAGAGTGGGAAAGAGGGAAGCAGAAGAGATTATTTGAAGACCTACTTGTGCAAAAGGCATGAGTAGTTCAGGCATTTCCATGGATACCCAGCTAACCTCCTACTACAGGGCCTTTCCTACTTACCCCTGTTGCCCAGTCTTCCCCAACACTGTGTCCAACACCCATACAGGGGTTGTACTCACAGGATGGCACTATCGAGGAAGAGGGGGCTGTTCTGACTCAGCCCCCCTAACCGCACATTGGCCCTGAAGCCACAGTTGCAATGATGCCCTCTCTATGGCCAGAATGAGATCCAAACCATTCCAAAGTTCCATTTCCAAACAAGGACTCCTCGTTAGAACCACAAAACATCAGAGCTGGAGGCAACCAAAAGAGCACTGTGTCCCCTCTTAGTATCTGTGGGGCAACTAAGACTTAGAAAGGGTCTGTGATGTGCCCCAGGTCACAAAGCCATTGGTAACTGGGCGGGCGGGGTGGCTCACGCTTGAAATCCTAGCACTTTGGGAGGCCAAGATGGGTGGATCATTTGAGGTCAGGAGTTCGAGACCAGCCTGGCCAACATGGCGAAACCCTGTCTCTACTAAAAATATAAAAATTAGCGGGCAGTAGTGGAGCATGCCTGTAATCCCAGCTACTCAGGAGGCTGAGGCAGGGGAATTGCTTGAGCCTGGGAGGCAGAGGTTGCAGCGAGCTGAGATCACACCACTGCACTCCAGTCTGGGCGACAGAGTGCGACCCTGTCTCAGGAAAAAAAAAAAAAAAAAAAAAAAGCCATTGCTAACAAAACCAGTGCTAGAATCCCAGCAAGTTAGTGGTGGAGCTGGAATTAGAATCCCAATCTCTTGACCCACTTAAATATATACAATTGGTATTCGAAATGCTTTTCACAAACATTATCTCATTTAATTCTCTCTCTCTCGATAGGATCTCACTCTGTCACCCAGGCTGGAGTGCAGTGACATGATCATGGCCCACTGCAGTCTCAAGCTCCTGGGCTCAAGCAATGCTCCCACATCAGCCTCAGGCACATGCCACCACACCTGGCTAATTTTTGTATTTTTGTAGAGACAGGGTTTCGGCATGTTGCCCAGGCTGGTCTTGAACTCCTGGGCTCAAGAAATCCTCCTACCTTGGCCTCCCAGAGTGCTGAGATTACAGGCATGAGCCACCGTACCTGGCCTCATTTAATTCTCACAAACCTATGAGATAGCGTCACAATTCCCATCTACAGATGAGAAAAATGAGGCTCAGGGAGAGCCATGATTTGTCCAGTGTCATACACGGGTGGAAAACAGATCCAGGATTTGAACCCCAGTTTGACTGGCTCCAATTCCAGTGCCCTTTCCACTCACTTCTCCAGTATCTCCCCCTACACCCCACCCAGCCAAGTCAGGCCAGTTTCCCAGACACTCACCCTTCATCCCTGGACATCTCCAGCCAGAGGTCTTTTTTCTCCTTAGCCCAGCTTCCCCCACCCAGGGCAATGTTCTTTGCCCCAGATTTGGAGGTGGCGGTGTGGTAGTCCCCGCCGTGGTTCTGGGTACAGGCCTCCATGAACTGAAGCCATGCACAGCCTGGCCTCCTGTGCGCAGCCCTACTCCTGTTCGTGGCCACGGAGGCCTCAGCCATAAATCCCCAGGTCTCAGCTCATAACCATTAGCAAGCGATTGGGCTCATCAGGACGCCTTTATGAGACTCAGGTCAAATAAATGGATTGCCGGAGGTCAGGAACAAGGGATCTCCTTGGCTTGCCTTGCCTTGCTTCCGAGATGCTCCCACCACGCAGAGGTTGGCAGATTCTGTTTGACTCACAGCTGTAGGTGGAAGTGGGGGCATTGTCACAGTGGGATAAAGATGTACAGTATCCCCTGGTACTCCACACCCATAGAAGGAAAAGCGCTTGGAGATGCACATCCTCAGATAGCCCACAGTCATTAGGGCTGGAGGAACGCACACACAGAGGCACATATACACACTCAGACCCCCATCTCTGATTCAAATCCACTCTTCAGCAACCAACCCCCCAACCCCACCCATCTCATATCCTCTGATGTCCTCACACTCCATTCCTCCTGTGAGGTATTTCCTGAAACACTGCTTCTCAAACACCACTGCGCATACAGATGACCTGGGACCTGGTTAAAATACAGATTCTGACTCAGTAGATCTGGGGTGGCACCCGAGCTCTGTTTTCTAACCAGCTTCCAGGTAAGGCCAGGGCTGCTTCTCCAGAGATTTTAAGCAATGGTCCTCCCACATTGGAAGGGTAGGGTCTTTCAAAATGTAAAAGAGATAGGAGTGTGCAGTTTGGGAAAGCTCCTCTCCCACTCCTATCCCCCAAATGCTGCTGTGCACACCCAGGTGACTGAACTGTTTCTAGAATGCTGTTACCTCACTCTTTACATGGCTCCCTCTCATTCTTCAAACCTCAGCCCAAGTGTCACTTCCTCAGAGAAACTTTCTCTGGCCACCCAATTTATTTTATTTTATTTTATTATTTTATTTTATTTTTTTGAGACGGAGTTTTGCTCCTATTGCCCAGGCTGGAGTGCAATGGCATGATCTTGGCTCATGGCAATCTCCGCCTCCTGGGTTCAAGGGATTCTCCTGCCTCAGCCTCCCAAGTAGCTGGGATTATAGGCATGCGCCACCACGTCTGGCTAATTTTTGTATTTTTAGTAGAGACAGGGTTTCTCCATGTTGGTGAGGCTGGTCTCGAACTCCTGACTTCAGGTGATCCGCCTGCCCCAGGCTTCCAAAGTGCTGGGATTACAGGCGTGAGCCACCATGCCTAGCTGACCACCCAATTTAAAGGGTCCCTGCTCCACCCTGTCTGTGATTACCCACTTCACAACAGGTCTCAAAATTGCATGTATGTATTTGCTAACTTGCTTACTTATTTTTTTGTCTGTTTCACTCTCCGAAATGTATGGTCCTTGAGTTCAGGGATTATGCCTGTTCCATTTATTCATGAATTCTTGGCAACCGGTGCCTAGTGCATAGTAGATACTCAGTAAATATTGCTGGATAGGCCAGTCACAGTGGCTCATGCCTGTAATCCCCATACTTTGGGAGGCTGAGGCGGGCAGATCATTTGAGGTCACGAGTTCGAGACCAGCCTGGCCAACGTGATGAAACCTCGTCTCTACTAAAAATACAAAAATTAGCTGGGCATGGTGGCACAAGCCTGTAATCCCAGCTACTCTGGATGCTGAGGCGGGAGAATCATTTGAACCTGGGAGACACAAGTTGCAGTGATCCAAGACTGCCACTGCACTCCCACCTGGGTGACAGAGGGAGCCTCTGTCTCAAGAAAAATAAAAAAAATAAAAAATAAGAAATAAAAGATTATCTGAAAGAATATCTGAATCCAGGACTGAGGCCGTAGGTAATCTGAGAAAGTATCTTGGAGGAAGGAAAATGGGAGGAAAAGAACATTGTGTGAAGGACTTAAGAAAGGTGACTCGAGGAAAGTGGGGAGGCAAGGGTATTCAGATAAGATTGGCCCCATTGGTCCTGGGTTGATATGACAGGGGTGAGGAAGGGTCCTGGAGGGAGATATCCTGGGGTTAGCAGCAGATGCTGCAGGGTCTTGGAAACCATAGCAGGCACTAAGAAGACACATGGGCTTCCCTCCACCTCATGGACAAGGACCTTCATTTTTATTCATTCTTTCCTACACTTGACAAATTCTTACTGAGATCTTATTAGGCACCAGGCACTGTGCTGGGTGCTGAATATTCAGGAATGAGCACAATGGGTCTGGTTCCTACCCTCCTAGAGATTACAGTCCAGTGGGAGAGACTGACAGTAAACATATTAATATGTTACAGTTGGGCCAAGTCTACAAAGGATAGGGTATGATAACAGGTATGATGGGTGGGTTCCCTAGGGAGAAGATTCCCTAGGGAGTGACAGTCACCCAGAGTGCTGATGGGTGGAGGTCTTCCTTGCCAGCCCCCTGCCAAGCTTTCATCCTGGACATTCCTGCATTCCTCTGCACTGTCCCTTTAAGAGGAGCATCTCTTCCCTGAGCAAAGGCGGTTCGGGCACACAGCCTGAGCCTGCCAAGGTTGTGGGCTATAAATCAACGCTGGCACTCCCTTGGCAGTGGGCTCTCCTCTGAGCTGCCCAGATGGCGGGCAAGCCTGGGGCTCCAGGGGCAGCCAGGCACTCAGGAGGGGGGAGGCGGGCATGGTGGGGACACAGCTGGGCCCCAGGCTCCTGATGGCAGCTGCCCACCTCTGTCTAAGGGCCCTAGGCCAGGGAGAATGCCAAAGTCCTTCTATTCTAGTCCCAGGGACCTTCCGACTCCCAAGTCAGTCTGGCATGGGGCTGTTGGGATTATTGTTCCCACCCCAGCCAGGGACCAGGGCCTTATAGGCATCCTCTGAGACCAAGGGTCTTGGATGACCTCTTGGGATCACAGTCTGTTCTAACATTCAACCTGAAAGTTCTGCCTGTGGTTTGACCTTCTTTCCTCTTGCTGTAGCCGAGGTGTCTTCTTTTACCCTGCATGAAAGATGAAAGACAGTAGCTCCCCATTTAGTGGGGGCTTTGGGACTGTGTGATATCTCCCTCCGCCTTCACTTTAAGCCTCCCAGAAAAGCAGAATAAAAAGATTCTTCAAGGTCAGTTGGAGAGATGGAACTCTGCCCTCTTGGGGGTTGCCATCCCTCTGCCACCCTCACAGGTGCTGTGACAGAGGGAACATATGTTGCTCCTACCCCAGAGGACAGAGACAACATCTTAGCAGCCACAGCCCCACAGAGCTGGGCTCAGCAGGCCTTGACAGAACTGGAAAGGCAGGCTCTCTCCTGGGCCTGGGCCTGGCCTGAGCCTGGGTTGTGGGTGGAGGGGTGGAAGCAAAGCCTGTAGACCCCTCCCAGAAAGGAATCAACAGGCTTGACTGCTCTCCCCACGCTCACTCCCAAACAGTAGAACAGTGGAAAATTCATGGGTTCCAGAACAATAGAGATTTCCTGGGATGTCCTTGTCCTCAGATTCTCTGTGAGAAGTCAGAGTTTACAAGTCCTTAGAGATTCTTTCTCACACACTCATCATACAGATTAGGAAACTGAGATGCAGAGAAGTTCACCCAGGTCTTTTTCAGGTTGTTTTTACTACACCACATTTGCCACCTGAACAGAAACTCCCAGAGCTACCACTAAGCAGGATGTATTAGACTCTAAAGGTAGTAGTATAGATGGAGGTTAGATAACAAGTAGAACTTTCTCAGAATAGTAGGTCACAGAAGAAGATGAGAAGCAAAGTAAAGAAAGTGCATTCTCTAAAACAGTGGGGTGGGGGCGGGAGGGATGGAGCCAAAGAATCAGGTTAGAATTTTGCAAAAAGATAGAAATATAGAGAACACAGGAGAGGGAGCTGGCATAGAGCCCAGAGCAAGGGCAACTGGGGTGTAGAGCTTCTAGGGTTCTTCATTCAGGACCCCTAGATTTCATCTGTCCCAGGCTTCTGGGTATCACCAGTAGTTTAAAGTCAGGCCTTATCTGGGCTGATTCTCTTGGCTTTCTCCTTGTTCTCCCGGGATGGCTTATCTGGCTGCCAGAGTCATTTGCCGTCTCTAATTTGTGTTTAAATTAAAGTTCCCACAAACAGAGGTTTAATGTGCTGTTACCAAGAACTCCCAGGCCCCCTGCAGCTCTGGGAAGTTGAAGGGGCTGGGGAGAAGAGGTCAGTCTGTGCGCATCCCATCGAAGCTGATCCCACTGGCATTGGACCTGGAGTGGATAGCCCAACTAAGTGTCTCCGTCCTTGCTGCTCCATCCAGAATGGTGATGACAGGGGGCAGGGCAGGGAAAAGCATGCTCACAAAGGGCCTGGGACCAACATGCCTGTTCAGGGGCTCCTGGGTGGCTGTTCACCCTTTTTCAGGATGGTGAGGAGAAGGCAGGGGAGGTGGGCAATGAGAACAGGGCAGGGGGTGGAAAATAAGGTGAGAGCAGGAGGCTCCATTCTTTAACACTTGTGTATGGTGCTCACTGTGTGCCAGCACTGTTCCTGGGCACCTCATAACTAAAAATTCAACCTTCTACACAACCTGTAAGGCAGGTGTTATTATCATTAGCCCCATTTTTATAGATGGGGAAACAGAGGTATGCCCAGTATCACACAGCTAGTAAGAGGCAGATCCAAGGAGTCAAGCCAGTGCCGTCTAGCTCCAGATTCCCAGTGCTATGCTGACACTTAAGCCAAGATTTATCTGTCACCCTCCCAATCCCTTGATCACAAGGTGAGGCTTCTCTTTGCCAGAGCAACTGAGACAGAGTGAAGCTCCCATCCTGCTCCCCCGATCTTTACCTCTCTGGGCCGCAGTCTTCTCATCTGTAAAATGAGGATAAGATACTAAGAGGGGTTGAGGGTCTGAGAAGGTTTAATGAGACAGCTTGTCAGTGACCAGCACCGGGTAGGTCCCCAGCAGTGGCTGCTTCCTTCTCTGTGGTCTAACCATGAGCCTTCCTGCTGTGCCTTCCTGCACTGCCTCTTAATTCTGCTTTCAAAGGAGCTAGCGGCAGTGATCCTCGCCCCTTAAAGAAAACCCTCAGGAGAACGTTGTCCCTCATTCATTTGTCCAAATTCTCTCTCTTCCTCTGGGAAACCCTGAAAAAGAGGGATAATAAAGCTGAACTGGAGCCCCAACCTGCTCTGTCCCCACCTCCTCTGCACCCAGGTGAGCCAGTCAGGGCGGCAACAGAAAATAAATGACACATTCGAAAGGGTTTCACTGAAGGGTTTAGTGATGTGACAGTTTCTAAAGGCATAGACCAGATGAAGAAAACTAATAAGGGCTAGTGTGGCACTAGGATAGAAATATCTCTACCAAAGCCCAATGCCAACTGGGGTCACGGGACACAGGAGAGAGGCCACTCAGCAAAGCTGTGACCATGGGGGAACCACAACCACCACCAGAGCTTCAGGCAGGCAAAAAGGGGGAGTGACAGGGAATGGGGGAAACAAATACCCTGACTCCTCTCTCCCCCTTCTCAGCTGGGACCTCTATTGGCTGAGAGATCAGGGGGCCCAGGTGACACAGTCTGCAGAGGTCAGCCTCCCTGGGCAGAGCAGCACAGAGAACACAGTGGGGCAAACAGAAAACCATCCCCGTCCCATCCCACCCACGAGTCCCTGCTCTGATACCAAAGCCTTCTCTCTGCTGCTTTATTGCCACCTCTGTCACTGCCTGCAGCCAAACAGTGACTGACAGGGAAGGAGAGTCAAGACTCCTTCAACACAAATACTCCAGCTCACAAGGAAGGTGGGATCCAGGCAGAGGGCAGCTTGAGGGAAGAGGGCTGTGTCTGAAGGGCAGCAGGGCAGGGACTGCCCACTCCCAGCATGGAGAGACAAAGAGAAGGACCGCACTGGGGGTGAGGATGTCAAACGGCGATAGTAAATGACTCTCTTTCCTCAGCATGTGATACAAATCACTGTGGATCTTCCTTCCTCCTCCCCTCTCTAGACCGGGAGCCCCTGTGGGGAAGGGATTTTGTCTTGTTCATCCTTGACATCTAGCACAGTGCCTCTTAGGGGCATAATCAGAATTTATTGAATAAATAAGCAAATAGATATGTAAACGAATGAACAAACCCATTTGCAGCTCATATGCACAGCCCTGGGCCCTGGTCAGGGAGCACTGTTGAATGAATGACATGCAGCATTCCTACAGAAGTTTTCTTTCAATCAGTTCCATCATCTACCACCTCAGGTTTCCTTTCAGCCACTCAGTCACGGGCCACACAGCCCACGTTTGTCTCCACGCTGGCCAGAGCTGTGCTTTGATAGCACCCACTCAGATGTGCAGTGACCTCATCTGGCTCCTCCCGATGGAGGAATAAGGGGAGTAGCAAGTGACTTCCTTTCTCACAGCAGCCTTTCTCTGAGCTCTTTCTTGAGAGAAATCTTGATCCATGGCAAACCGTCTGTGGTATTCTTGGCTGCAGCCCTTGGCAGGAGATGGGAGGAGGGAATGACAGTGCCAAGGAGGCAGCTGAAGGATCGTCACCCTGGGAGCCACAGCTCTGGCTTGCTTTTTCCAATGGGCCATAAAGACTGAGGGAGGCAGGCGGAAGCAGGGGCACCAGACTAACAAACTAGAGTTTCAAGTGTTGTCCCCATGCGAAGCCGACCTGGCGAAGTGGTTAGACACAGACACTGGGGCTGGGCTCAAGATCCCTGTTCTACCACCTGCTGGCTGTACAACCTTGGGCAAGATACTTGATTACCATGCCTCAGTTTCCACATCTTAAAAAATGTGAATAACAGTAATGCCTACTTCACATCGTGGTGAAAAAGTAGATGAGTTAATAGTTATGAGATACAGCCAGGCCTGGTGGCATGGGCCCATAGTCCTAGCTACTCAGAAGGCTGAGGTGGAAGGCTTGCTTGAACCCAGGAGTTCAAGACCAGTCTGGGTAACATAGCAAGGCCGCTCCCCCCGCTTTTTTTTGAGATGGAGTTTCACTCTTGTTGCCCAGGCTGGAGTGCAATGGCATGATCTCAGCTCACCGCAACCTCCACCTCCTGGGTTCAAGTGATTCTCTTGCCTCAGTCTCCGGATTCCAGGGATGAACCACCACACCCAGCTAATTTTTGTGTTTTGTATTTTTAGTAGAGACGGGGTTTCACCATGCTGGTCAGGCTGGTCTCGAACTCCTGACCTCAGGTTATCTGTCCACCTCGGCCTCCCAAAGTGCTGGGATTCCAGGTGTGAGCCACTGCGCCTGGCTGCAAGACCCCCATCTCTCTAAAATGAAAGTTTTGAACTATTTAGGAGAGTACATGATCCATGGTAAGCTCTATATAAATTTTGTTACATAAAATTAAGGTTGTAGTCCCATAAACTTTTTTCTGTAATAAGCTGCTCAGCCTTAGATACCTCTCATATTTGCTGTGAGAAGTGAACAAATGCATGTGAAAACTATAATGTGTTTATAATTTTTATTATTTGTCATCAAGATCATGTAAGAGACCTGATTTAGCAGAGGGTGAAGGGATGCGAAAGGGGCTGTCAGTCATCAACTTTTGATTATCTGCCTTGTTAAGGTCCCCTTCTTGTCAACATCATCAGCTCTTTGGCTTGTTCAAGTCTTTTGTTGACAATATCCAGGCCTCTCATGGTCCCTCCCACACACAACGGGCCACACAGCAAGGGCTGGAAGGAAAAAGCCTTTGAAAGCAAAACAGGTCCTTCCCTTCCTTAGCCTTGAAGCGGGAGTAACCACTAGACAGAAGGCTGTGAGGGAGGACTCTGGCACTTCCACTGTGGCTGCTTTGCCTTTGGGCAGGAGGGGAAACTGATCAGCTCCCTCTGTGGTAGGGCCGCAGGAAGAGATGTTGGTATTTGTAATGAAGTGCTAGGAATAAAAACACATACATGGCCGGGCGCAGTGGCTCACGCCTGTGGTCCCAGCACTTTGGGAGGTCAGGGCAGGCGGATCACAAGGTCAAGAGTTTGGGACCAGCCTGGCCAACATGGCGAAACCCCGTCTCTACTAAAAATACAAAAATTAGCCAGGCATGGTGGCGGGCACCTGTAATCCCAGCTACTCAGGAGGCTGAGGCAGGAAAATCACTTGAAGCCTGGAGGTGGAAGTTGAATTGAGCTGAAATCATGCCATTGCACTCCAGCCTGGGCAACAAGAGCAAAACTCGGTCCCAAAAACAAACAAACAACAACAAAAAAAAACCCAGAAAACAAAAAACAACAACCAAAAAAACCCATACACACATACTTATCCCAGTGTCCAGAGCAAATGTTCTGCCACTTACTGCTATGGGTGTGATTTCAGACAGCTATTTAAACCTGAGTTTCAGTTTTTCTCATCTTCAAAATGGAAATATTGATGCCTAATTCAAAGGGTGAAAATTAGTGAACTATAGAAACCCCTTGGTGTATGTCTGGTCCAACAAATGGTAGCTCTTATTAGCTAACATTTTGTAATATCTGCCCACTCTCTCCTCCAAGGGATGGAGAAGTAATGCTGAGTTCCAGACTAGGAAAGGTAGTGGTAGCAGAAAGTGATTTACAACTCTGACTTTTTTCACATTTTCTTTCCAGAGCACATAGTAAGTTCTTGTTGGTTCATTCATTCATTGAACAGTGTTTACAAGTTTGAACAAGCTTGAACAACTTGCCATCATTTTGTTCACTTGTATTCATCTTACTCTCACCACTAGAACTGCAAGGTCCATGAGGGCAGAGGCAGTGTCTGTTGCTGGGTGAGTGACTGGATTGAGCTCAAAGCATGTCTGAAGACTGAAATGGGCCAGGCAAGGAGATGGAAACTGGAGGCCTGGATTCTGGCTCGGTCATACCTCCAAGAACGTAACTTTCCCTCGACCCTGGGGAGTCTTCACAGACCTTCCTTCTGCTGTGAGGCACTGGAGAATCACTTGAGACCAGACTCAGGAAACTCTTCCCTGATGGGAAGACATTCATTCATCCACTCCACATCTCTGAAGCCCCAAGAGAAGGATCTGAATCCCCTAGTCTGAAGAGTCAGCAAGTGTCCAACATAGCAATCTTGATAAAAAGGGAGAATTGATAAAGGAGGGAGCAGCCCCACCTCAGTAACAAGAGGGAGGAAAATTCCAGCTAGTACATGTACTTAACATGAAAGCAGACATGTGCCAAGACCCTGCTTTCATGGATATTAGGTGTTCCCAAATATAAGAAACACCCATTCTTGCCCACAGGCCTCACTGGATACTATCCAAGATGTCTAGAGAATAAGAGGAAAGAGAGAATCATAATATCCAAAAGGTGGAAACAACCCAAATGTTCACCAATAGGTGAACGGATAAACAAAGTGTGATATATCCATACAATGGAATATTAGTCAGCCCTGAAAAGGAATGAAGTACTGATAAATGCTACAACATGGATGAACTTTGAAAACACTATGCTCAATGAAAGAAGCTAGTCACAGAAGGTCTCTTATTATATGATGCCATTCATATGAAAGTCCAGAATAGGGAAATCTACAGAGACTGAAAGTACATTAGTGTTGTTAAGGGCAAGAAGGAATATGGGGGGATAGGGAGGTGATAGCTAAAGGTTACAAGATTTCTTTTTGAGGTGATGAAAATGTTCTAAAATTAACTATGGTGATGGTTCGACATACTTGTGAATATACTAAAACCATTGAATTGTACATTTCAAATGGTGAATTGTATGACACATGAATTATACCTCAAGAAAGTTGCTTTTTAAAAAGACAGCGTAAGGGGTGGGGGGCAGTTGAGATGAAGCAGGAAAACTGTGATCAGAAGCAAAGCTCAGGGGCTGTCTGGCCTGGCTGCCCCAAGTCAAAGCCTGCATTTCATACAGGCAATGTTAGGGTAGCCCCCAAGCCATGATTCGGAAAGATAAATTGACCCCAGATGGAATAGGGCTGGGTCCCTTCTCCCTTGACAGCTCCCTTTCTGTGTTTTTTCTGGCACAAGAAACTCTGTCATCTTGTATAAATAGGAGAAATTTATGGCAGTTTTCCCTCTTCTTCTCCCTGGTGGGCTACTAGGAAAGGTCTAGGGGGAGGAGGGAGCCTGAAATTCCAAAAATATAAATGTGGAAAGACTGGAGGGGGTCGAGGAGTCTCTTTGCCTGCCTTAGCTCTGGCCCCAGCTCTCCTTTCCCTTTGCATGTTTGACCATCTGGGTGATGAGGAGGGTAGAGAACTGGTGCAGCCCGTCCTCTCTGCAAGCCCAAAAGAGATGGGTCCCAAAGCAGATATCCGACAGGAGGGGCACAAGGGAAATCAAGGAAATAGGCTTGGCTGTCCCATGAAATAATTGGAGGAGACACAGACCACTGCCCTCCTTCCTGGATTTGGCTATTTTTGTACTTCCCTGTTTGTTGAGGCAGCCTGATACAGCGGGAAGAGAACTCGTCCTCGATTTAGAAAGATTGACAGAGAAACTAAGTGTGTGACCTTAAGCAAGTCATATCTTGTCTCCGGGCCTCACCTGTAAAAAGAGGGAGGGGACTGAATTTATCAGGGGTTTTCAAATGATTTTAACTCTGGGGTCCTTCCTTCAAATAAAACCGTATGCAGTGACCCAACATGAACATGAGTAGTAGGCTGCTGAGCTTCTTGAAGGTAGGAATGGGAGTCTCAGGGCCCTGTGGTGACTGGCGAGAGGCTTGTCCAAGCACAAGATGATCTCCATGGCTTTTCCAGCCCCGTCCTCAGGAGGGATTTGCCCCCATGGTGAAGAGGCTCAGTTCTGCACACCCAGTGGGCTTGAAATCCAGCTCCACCCCCTCCTGTGTGTCCCTCAGCACATAACTTACCTTCCTTGAACCTGTTTCCTCGTGTGTAAATTGGAATAATAGTAACACATATCTCAGAGGATTGTCACATAGATTACACTAAATAATGTGCATAGAGTCCTTCGCATACTTATCTGGCCCAATAAATATTATTATAGTTATTCCGTGATCTGATGTAATCATTTTTTTATTTTGAGACAGAATCTCATTTTGTAGCCCAGACTGGTGCACAGTGGCATGATGTCAGTTCACTGCAACCTCCGCCTCCTGGGTTCAAGCAATTCTCCTGTCTCAGCCTCCCAAGTAGCTGGGATTACAGGAGTGTGCCACCGTGTCCAGCTAATTTTTGTATTTTTTAGTAGAGATGGGGTTTCACCATGTTGGCCAGACTGGTCTCGAACTCCTGGCCTCAAGTGATCTGCCTGCCTCAGCCCCACACAGTGCTGGGATTACAGGCGCAAGCCATTGCACCTGGCCCGATACAATCTTTTTAATTTGAAATATCTGGTGTGAGAAGGTGAATTAGAAAGGATGACAGCAAAACTGCTATAACACAAAGGCCCCAAAACACAGTAGCATATAGAAAACAGAAGTTTATTTCTCACTTAGTCTGGGAGGAAGCGGTTCCAGACAGCAGGCAGCTCTGTTCCTCCTAGTCAGTCAGGGACGTGTGTTCCTTTCATACCTTTGCTTTGTCTTCCCTTAGGGATGTCTTTTCAGTTGCCTGGTCAAACCTGTCTCAGGCACATCTGCCCAGCTCATGAAAGAGAGAACACAAAGGAGAATTTACCCAATGTCATCAGGCTTTGAGGACATGCTTGCCTCACATTCCCCTGTGTCTACACCTGGCAACAAGAGCAGCTGGGAAATGGAGTGTCCAGCTGGGTGTCTCTCTACCCTCGTGCAGCAAGGAAAGAAGAGATTTTAGTGGACAACGGGCAGTCTTAATCCAGGGCTCAAACCCACACCCGAGCTGTCCTCTTCCTCTTCTCTTCCCAAAGGAAGGGAAATAAAGTCTACAGCCCAGAAAACAATGTGACCACCCATCCCCTACCCCAATCAGGTCCCTGCCATTCATCCCAAGATCAGCAGTCTTGGGAAAGTGGCTTGGAAGCCTCCCTCCAGAAAGACCACCCTTTTGTCCATCTTCTTCACATGGGTGGATGTGAGAAAAGTTTCTCTCCCCACTGCCTGCCTGCCACTCCCTGTCTCAGTTTCAGCTCACGCTCTAGCCCTTTGTTCCCAGTCACCAAGAGTGACTACAAATGCGGGGGAACAGGAGGACCTGAAACTTCATGGAAATTGAGACTGGGACACAGAAGCCATGCTCAGAGGCAGCCTAGGTGAGGGTTCTGATGCCAGGAAATCCAGCTACTACTGTGTAGCCTAAAGCGGGGATTAAGCTCTCAGAACTTCAATGAACTCTTTTGGAAATAGGGGTAAGAAGCCCACTTGTCAGGGCTGTTGTGAACATCAAATGTGATCATGTATGTACCTAGTACATAGTATGCCTTCAATAAATGGTAAGGCAAACCCAAGGCAAATCGAATTCATGTCCATTACTCTGACCCAGCCTTTGCATAAATTCTTTTTTCTTCTCCTTCCTTGTCAATGCATGGCTCCCTCCCTCTTCTTTACTTCCTATCCTCATTCCCCTACCATCTGAACCCTGATGTGGAATCTCTTTTCTCATGAAATCTTCCATGATTGAAAAATTCCTGCTTGGCCACTTCCCACTCCAATACTCTATCTTCGCCCATCTTCCATCTACCCCATGGTCCTGGCCCAAGTTCACATGTGTCCCATCCCTCCCTTCAAAAAGCATGCAGCAATGGAAGGGCTTTAAGTTTGTCATCAAGCAGATCAGAGTTCAGATGCCAACTCTGCCAAGTTCTAGCTTTAGAACTTTGTCAGATCACTTCCTCTCCTTGAATCTCTGTCTTCCCAACCCTCTGGTGAGGTCAAGTGTGTGTGGGCTGGTACATAAAGGATATTTAATCTCCTCTGCTCTACTCAACCTCCCCCAACTCACACTCCCAGGACTAACTCTCTACCAAAGGGAGTTATTAGACCAAGAAAGTAATTCTCCCATTACCAGCCCCACCCCAACCCTGCCCAGAGAAAAAGAAGTGACTTCGAGTCTATGGGTCTTGGAGGGACCACCAACCCAAGAGCTAGAGCAGAAGAAGGACTTGGATATCCTAGCTTCCAGGGTTATAGGATCTCTCCCCAAGCCCTCATATGGAGCCCCAGTTGCAGGACTAGCTTCAGGGATAGGAGTGAAAGAGTTGATCTGATTCCAATCTTAGCCTGTAAGTAGTAGCTCACCTGTGCCTCTATTTTCAGCCTTCCTAGATCAGAAGAGCAACAATATCAATGACAACTAATGCTTACATAGTGTTTCCTATGGGATGGGCATTGTTCCAGGCTCTTCGTACATATAACTCATTTAATCCTGACAGCAACCTTTGAGCTAGGTACTATTAACCCCATTTTACAGACAAGGAAACTAAAGCACAAGGGGTTAAGTAACTTGCCTAGGTCATACAACTCACATAAGGCATGACTGAGATTCAAAACCAGGCCGTCTAGCTCCAGAATCCATCCTGTTAACCACTCTGCCATAAAAAGAGCTAACATTTACTGGCAGTTTCTATGTGCCAAACACTGTGGAAAACACATGGCATGTATTTCTTCTAATTCCAAATAACCCCCTGAGATAAGTTCTATTATTAGTATCCCTGTTTTACAGGTCAAGAAACTAAGGCAGAGAGAAAAGTTAAGCAACTTGCCCTGAGTCACACAGCTAGATATTAATAGTTTCAGAACCCCTAGCTGTTTTGCCTCAAATCCCACCTCCCCACCCCTGCTCGAAGCCCCTCCTCTTCTAGGTGGGTTGTTTAGTTCCTATCACCAGTTCTTCACAAATCTGCTTTACCCCCGACAGCCTACAACCCTTGTTCTCCAAAACTCCTGTTGACCTCCGTCCCTTTCCCTTCCCACTTTCTCCCTAGTCCCTCCGCTCCCCACAAAGTCCCCCAAACCATTCTGTCCCTCTCCCTCTGCTCCCCACCCACCCTCCCCCACAACTCCTGCTGAAACAGATGAATTTCACCAAAAAAGACCATCAGACTTTCCCCAAGCAGGCCCCCACTGTGCCTGATCGCACACCCCCAGGGGAGGCACCACAGTGGCTAAGCTGGAGACCCAGAAATAAAATCCTCATTCTACTTCCCTGCCCCCTCTTCCCATCACTCATCTGGGAATCCAGGGCGAAGAAGGGAGCTAAAGTGCAGAGCATTCATTTAATATTAACAAATCGAAATGAATTCTTTTAATGCCAATTAACTTCGAGCGGCCCCTTATTAATAGTAATTTAGATTCATACTTGGGAGAAACAGGGACGGGGGCTGGGCCAAATGTGCCCAGAATGTCAATGTGACTGGGGAACTGAAAGGGGAGGGGGGCAGTTTTACTTCTGCCCAGTTGGGTTCCGTTTCCCTGAGAGAAATGGATAGTCACTGGAGGCGGACCTTTGGGAAACACGAATTACTCTTGTAATTTTATTTTTGTTACTTCAAGGAATCTGAATAGTTTGAAGCCATGTCACACCATTTTAATAGTTTATTTTCACAGTAATGCTAAAAAGAAGAATTTCCTCAGAGCTGGGATTTACTTCAAACTCTCTCCTAAGCCAAACCTTACTGACAAAAGGGACAAGTCCCCAGGCCAGCTCTCTACCCTTCTTTGTTCAGAGCTAGAGCCAGAGATCAATATGGGCTTCCCCAATCCCTGCCCCTTCTACCTTAACCAAAACTAAAAGGAAGAATCAACACTGTGTGTCTCTCTGAGAAGTCTCCCCCAGGAGGTAAAAGACCCAAGGGGCTGACCCCTAAGCTGTTCAGCTTACATTTAAGGAAGAAAAACAATCTGCCTGCACTTTTCTTAGAATTTAGGGAAAAAATGAGAATTTAAAATTCAATTTCATGTATCAGAGTTCTCCAGAATACAGCCAAGTGTAAAGAACTTAGTCCCAAATGAAAAAGTTGAACAGAAATTCTGCTCTCACTCGTTTTGCCGGCTTGGAGGTCAGACTGGAGGTGTCCTGAACTAGAACCAGAGCATAGGTTCTGACCCAAGAAGGACACTGTCTACTTCCCAGGCATCCCTCCTTGGCTGGGAGGAGAGGGGAGGATGAGTCCGTTGGAAGCTGAGAATTGTGGAAGCTGGAGATGGGAGTTCTGAGATGGAGGAGGCAGGCGCGTGAAGGAGGTCAGGGAAAGGCAAGTAAATCTACTAACCATTGAAGTTTATAAAATAAAAACCTTAAAAATGGTTTAACATGCAAAAGGTTAAATTTTAAAAAGAGGCCAGGTTTTAAAGAAGGTAAAATACCTCAAATTTAAACAAATAAAAACGAGGAAAATACACAAAACATTTCAAGCAAATTGTTCTTCAGAAGAGGAGAGGTTGGAATTAATCAAAAGACCTTTTTTACACACACACACCCCCCAAGAGTTTCCCAAACAATAAATTCATTTACAAAACAAAAAGAGGAATCAACGCAAAACCTCATCCACACACAGAGGAAAATAAATTGTGGTGATTCTGTAACAGCTGAAAAACTAGTGAGGGAGGAGAAAAATGAATAAACTCTAAATCTATTAGGTGATATTTATAAATAGCAAAATTGGAGGATGGAATGGAGAAAGGAGTTGAACTTATCATTAAAGAAGTAACACATGTGAAAACATAAGGTGTAACTCATCCCCAAAGAAAAGTAAACTCTCCATAAAGTAGCAAGTATACAAATTTATTGAAAAGGAAGAAAGTACCACTCACCCCCCCCAATATAAGTGTATTAATTTGAATTAAAATTTTCTCCAAATCCAAGATAGGTTACACAAAAGAATACAAACATATTTTTTTTCTTTCAACTAAGAGGAAAAACAAAATCCGATTTAAATTCACGAATGGGACAGGAAGGGAGGCTGTGGTTTGCAGGTGCTAGTAAACGGGGTGAGGGTTGTGAAGAGTTTGAGGGGTAGAGGACCAGCTTACCTCGCTTTGGAGCCGCGGCGGCCAACAGGAGTGGGCCAAGGACCCTGCCAGTGCCTGAGTGATAGGGGAAATAAGGAATAGGGGATTCGGGTGCCCCTAGACGAATGAGGAGGATGGAAAGACTGGGGGTGCCCATCTCCCCTCCTCTGCCCGCCTCCCTCCCTCCGGTACCCAGGCCTAGAGAGCTACTGAAAGTTACAAATTGCTTCCATTATTAGCTCATCCCGGGCGGCCTGGTCATTGGCCAGCCCCTGGCCACGTGGTCCCTCGTACCAATCGATCGAATTCTAGTCGCAATTCTCTGTCTGTCCCTCGGCTCTGGGGAGAAAGGGGGGGCTGTGGCGTGGGGGCTGAGGAGGGGCTAAGGCGGGAGGGGCGCCTCATCCCTTCACCCTCCCTTTTCGCCATGTGGGGGCCCTGAGCGCCGCCCCAGAAGAGGTCGAGGGAATGTTGTGGGCTGGGGCACACCAGCACGGCAGAAACTGGAGAAAGCGAGAGACGTCGCCAGGGACCCAGGGACCTCTCCCTCCAGTTCCCCGGGCCCGCCCGGCCCTGATGGCCACTCACGCTATAGCGCCCACTCTGTCCTGGGCCATCCCGCGCCAGCAGTGTAGCCCCCAGCCCGGGCGCCTGAATGCTCTCCCTCCGGATCGCTGCTCGGGTCCCCACTTTGGCGACCGTGCCCCCGAGTCCTGCTTCCCCGGGGCCTGCTCTGTATCAGGCGCCTGCGCCTTCAAGGGTACCCGGCCCGCCTGCCCTCCCCAAGAGCCGAGTTTGCGCTCCTCCCGGAATCGTTTGAGAGAAGGACAAACTTTTGGCAGGATGGAAATCTAGATGAGCCTGTCCGGAGCAGGTAAGCTGGGCCCGGGACGGGTGCGATTCAGCCCGAGAACAATCTGTCTCTCCCCGTCCCGGTCTCTCCCTCCCCTTACCCCTGTTTCCCCTGCAGGCTGACATATTAATCTGCCTTCCCCCGGGAGAAATTTGGGCTGGGGTTGGGCTTCTGTCAGATGCATGGGGTCAGAGCAGCTTTCCTCCCCGAGTTTAGGGACTAAGGTGGTAGCTGGCAGGGGAGGGGGAGGGTTGCTTCCGAAACTGAGGATTGAGGGGAGGGTTAGGGGCCGAGAAACCCAGAGTCTGAGGGAGACGACTTCTTTCCTCAAACGCAACTTGGGGGAACTTCGGAAAAGTTTTTTGAGGGGAGATGGAGAAGGGAGCGGAGTTGGGGTTTCGAGGGCTAAAGTGGGAGAGAGGGTGCTCCGCTTCCCGTACTGAAGGAAGGATGTGTGTGCTTATTCCCCAGTCGGGACCGATTACCAGCCTAGAAAAACCCAGCCGCGTCCCAAACCCGCTCACCCCAGCAGGCCCTTAGAGACGCTTGGAGATCCCCAGACACGCCCCGCGGAAAGGGAAGGAAATGCCAGCCCGAGTTGCCGACTCTGCCGGGACGGGGCGGGGGATCCGCCCAGAGCGGTCCCCTGCTGTCCTGGGCCCTTACGTTGATTCTAAGTTAGGAGTGATCTGAGAGAGGGAATAACTCCCAAAAATCTTTTTTTTTTTTTTCTGAATCCAATTTGAGTCAGAGACCCATTTCCTTGAGATGGAGCCAAGCGAGTGCCCCCTCCCGCCTCCAGCACAATCTCCCGCTCTTCTCCAGTTCCCAAAGGAGGGCAAGGAAAAGGCCCCTACTCTCCTCCCAGGGCTGAGATTTCCTCCCCCACCCAAGAGATGCCCCAGGAGGAAGGAATGGAGAGGTTCTTCAAAGGGCAGTCAAGAGCAGAGGGTGGGTTCAGAGGTCACAGCTGAACTTGGGGCCCAGGACAAGGGGGAAGGGCGGGCCCAGGCCGGTGTAGAAGCTGCGGGGTGGCCTGGGGAAGTGGACAAGGGCAGAGGCCGCTGCAGGTGTTGGGGGGTACCCTGGAGCCCGGGGTGTTCCTGGGCGGGGAGGTCCAGCCAAGCGGCAAGGGTCTGCGCTGTGCCTTTAGTTTTTAGGTTGGGCCCCTCCTGGGGAGCACCCAGCTGGAGGAGCCAGGCAAGTGGCAGAGGACACCTTCCGACTCCTTGGAAAGGGCCAGGAAGCGATCTGGATCCTAGGAGAGAAAATTCCTACGTGGAACATGTGGTGTTCTGGCCCTTCCTGGGTAGACACCTGCAGAGGCCACTTGGCCCTGCCGGGTCAGAAGCCACAAATCTGCCCAGGCCTTTGTTTTCACTATTCCTGAAGTTTTTCTGCTGTGGCCCAGCACCTGCCCTGGCACCTGCTCGGCATCTGCTCATTGGCAAGCCCCGGACGGAGTTGGACTGGCCTAGCTGAGAGGTTTAGGAGGGCTTCCGCTGGCACTGCCAACAGGGAGTTTGGCTTGGTCTCCCAAAAAAAGGGCCTTTGAGAAGGACATGTCCAGGGGCAGACACGAAATCCACTGATACGCAAAACGAATGTAAACCCTTTTCTTTCCTCACATCTTGTGGCCCTTCACACCTCTGCAGTTCAGAGGATTTGGAATGGAAGGCCTCATCCATCCCCAGTCCCAAAGCAAACGTGGGAGCCAGCTTGGGCGTCTTCTTGCAGGCTGCTGGGGCTTTGTGTGCTCTGAGAGAAGATGTCTGGTCCTCTGCCTACCCCACTCCCCCTTTGATGAATGTGGTCCTTTTTGCTCCTGCCTCTCCAATACTACCCCTCGCCCCACCCCCCCACCCCCAACCCAGTCCCACAGATCTATGGGACTATCTCTCTTTTTCTCTTTCCTTGCTCCTCTTCCCCTTTCTTCTTAGGATTGATGGACTGACAGCAGTTTGGCAAGGCTTCCCTAAGCCTGTAATAGGGAGCTGTGGACCCAGCCCTGACTTCTCAAGTAGGGGGAAACAGCTCTATTCCCGGGCCCTTGAGATTGAGTCTCAAGTTGACAGGAGTTGAGAAAGAAATGCATGAAGGATGGCTGGGCTTACGCAGGACAAAAACCTCTACTGGGGAGGGGCCAGTTTTGTGCCTTGTGCCTACTGCTGAGAGGGAATTTAGAAACAAAGGAAGATAAGAAGAAGGCCTAGGGAAACAGCATAAAGGACTGGAAAAATTCAGAACAGCAAAGAGAAAAAACTGGGAGAGAGGAAAAGATGTGAAAAGGCCCTAATGCTGGAGACAGAAAGGTATTCTGGAAGGGTGGCTGGGATAGAGATAACATGAAAGGAATATTGATAAAGAGCAGAAGGAAGAAGCAGGACTAGGTTTGTTTGGGTTTTTAAGATTAGAGATAGTCTGGGGCCTGTTAAAATAGAAAATAGAAGAAAAAAGATTAGAGATAAAGACAGAAAGGAAAAGAAAAGAAAAATAGGGAGAGAAACAGAAAGCAAATGAAAGGAGAGAGCTAGAGAGTAAAAGAAAAAGGAAGGGAAAGAAAGGGAGGTAAAAGTGAGAAAAAATAAATGGAAGGGAGACAGAAAGATAGGTAGAAAAGGAGGAAAGACAGGGACAAGGGAAAGAAGCAAGGACAGGGGAAGGAATGGAAGAAAAAGAGAAAGTGAAGGTAGGGCAGAAATGAAGCAAAAGAAGGAAGGAAAAATGAGAAATGAAGATACAGTGAGATAAAGAAGGAATAAGGGGAGTGAGGGGAAGGCGGGTAGAGAGAGAGAGAAAGAGAAACACGAACTCAACTAAGGTTAACGGTTAACAGAAAGGGGATCCCGGTTCCTGAGGAGCACAGGGAGGAAAGAGGAGATGGAGGGTGAGCAGAAAGGCCAGTTGGGGCCCCTCCCCGCCTCACCTTGGGCTGCGGAGGCCCTGACCGCCACCACTCCGCCGTCTCTAGGGCCCAGACCTGGGTGATGGCTGCCTGTGAACCGTGGGAGGTAGAGGCAGGGGCTGGCTGCCTGCATACGGGCTTCTCTTCTCGAAGCAGCTGAGCGAGCTGGAGTTCTTCCTGCAGCCCTACCTGCCCCCGACACAGCACGCCAAGCTGGACACATGGCGTTGAGGCTGTATGACATGCAGGTCCAGATCTGGTTCCAAAAGGCGTGCATGAAGTACAAGAGGCCAGTGAGGCAGGAATTGTTTGTGGATTCCCACCCTGGCGGCCCCTCTCCCGGGCTCAATCCTCTCACCCGCAGCCCCAAGTGCCTCCATTCCCACCCTACTGGCAGAGGCTGTCTGAAGACCGGGCAGCTTTGTTCCGGGCTCGGGGGTGCTCTGGTTCTGTGAGCTTGGGCCTGTTTGATCATTTGTTGTTGTTGTTGTTGTTGTTTGTTGTTTGTTGGTTTTTTTGGTTTGTTTGTTTGTTCGTTTTTAGATGGAGTCTCACCCTGTCGCCCAGGCTGGAATGCAGTGGCACGATCTCAGCTCACTGCAGCCTTTACATCGCCGGTTCAAGCCATTCTCATGCCTCAGCCTCCTGAGTAGCTGGGATTACAGGCATGTGCCACCACGGCCAGCTAATTTTTGTATTTTAAGTGGAGACGGGGTTTCGCCATATTGGCCAGGCTGGTCTCGAACTCCTGACCTCAAGTGATCCGCCCACCTCAGCCTCCCAAAGTGCTGGGATTACAGGCATAAGCCACTGTGCCCGGTGATCATTTGTTAAATGAGCCCTTTGCACTGGAGGGTTTTTCTGTAGTTTTGGTTAGCCTGCCTGAGTATGTGCAAATGAGACAGGGATGAAGATAAGACCTAGTCCACTTTGCAAGGGTGGGAGGGGAGTGTGAGGGTGTAGGGGTTGGGAGGATGGGAGGCTGGGAGTGAGATCTTCATTTTCTTCCATTGGTGAGAAGAAAAATCTTCCTCCTTTGCTATCCTTATCTCCAACCCTGCCCCAGAAAACCACCTTTCAGGTCAAGGAGTTTCTCCATGCCAGGAGGGGTTGGATTCATCTGCAAAGAGCTTGGGAGGAGGTTTGCAAATCCTGGAAAAGCCAGAGAAAGGATCTCATACATGAAAGGGAAGGAAGACATTCCCTACCCGGGCAAGTGGACCTTAGGTCTGCAGTAGAGTTCACTGAATTCACACACACAAAGAGATTAATTGGTAAGGTGACTTTAGATTTAGCTATAGAGAGGATCAACTTGAGGTTGCTAGGTATCTTTAGCCTGTTGGGCCTGCACTCCCCATGCCCTGCTCATGTGCTCTGGTTGATTCACAAGGTTTCTTAGAGCCAATTCCTTTGTCTCCCAAAAGTGGGATGGGGCAGGTCACTGAGGTCAGCCAGTTCCTCCAAGGGCAGTGTATGCCTTGAGGATGGGCTGGGGCACCCCCAAACCACTGGCTAGAAAGGCATGTTCACAGTAAACCTTGCAGTGCTGTCTCAGGGAGGCCTCTGACCAGCACTGCCTAGCATTGCTCTTTAAGCTTTTCCTCCCCTCTTTTCTCTAGCTTCTCCCTTCCTTTATTTCTCTTTCTCTCTCTCTTCCTTCCAACCTTTCTGATTTCTCTGTCTCCCTTTTCATCCAGTCCAAGTTGGGGATCTTGTACTATCTTTGTACTCCAGATGGCTCTGCTCTGAGCCCTTTAGGCTGGTTAACATGTACCCTGCCCTCAAGAGTTCACTATTTGGATGCAAATAGCAGGATTAGAAGATGGGGAGGGAGCAGCTGGGCGCGGTGGCTCACACCTGTAATCCCATCACTTTGGGAGGCCAGGGCGGAAGCAATGCTTGAGCCCAGGAGTTCAAGACCAGCCTGGGAAACATGGCAAAACCATCTCTACAAAAAATACAAAAATTACCCAGGCATGGTGGTGTGCACCTGTAGTCCCAGCTACTTGGGAGGCTGAGGTGGGAGGATGGCTTGAGCCCAGGAGACGTAGGTTGTAGTAAGCTGAGATCGTGCCACTGCACTCCAGCCTGGGTGACAGAGCAACACCCTGTCTCAAAAAAGAAAAAAAAAGATGAGGGGGGAAATGGGGAGTAAGCTTTGCTAACCAGATGTGGGATGAATCAATTAGTTTTATGTATTAATCATGATTATGACCTTCACATCCCCTTGGCTCACCCCTAGACAATTCTTCCCCACTCCCAGCCATCTGCAAACCACAGTCAGCCTGTCCCTGCTCCCAAAAATGGAATTGCTGATGCCCTCAAGGCTGTTACTCTCCCAGGGTGAGTGAGAGTGAGGTCAATGGCGCCAGGTCGGAGCCTCAAACTCTTAAATAAACAAAGCATATTTCCCTATTCCTGATGCAGTTGGGGGTCATCTATCCCTTGGAATGGAGAGGCTGGCAATTCTGGCTCTTGGCTATCTTTCCACAGAACACCCCTGATTAGCCAGGCCCACCGCCATCCACATCTGCTCGGCAAAGAAGGAAGGCAGCTTGTTCCAGACCTTGGTGAGCAGCTGCAGACTGCCTGCCTAGAACAGCCTCCTTACTCCAGCCTGGCAGGGAAGGAAGGAACCTGACTTGCTTCGCAGGATCTGGAAGCTCAGCCGGCAGAGCTGAGAGCCGCAGTTGCATCCTGGAGCCTGATGCTAGAAGCAGCTTCCGTCTTTGGGTTCTTGCTGCCTCGGCCTCTGCTCTGTTCAGTTTGCTGTTGTGTTTTTCTCCCCCATGTTGGGGTGGTGGGGTACAGGGAAATAAAATGCTTTCTCCCAGGCCCCTAATCCTTCCCCATGCCTCCATCAGCCTCAAAGCTGCTGACAGTCATGAACTGCACCTTCCAGCCCTGCCCATAAGCTACTCAAAGCAAATTCAAATTCTCTTCTGGCCAGGAGGAAGGGCAGATGCTCCCTCCTTCCTCAAGCCTCCCTGGCTCATTGATCCATTTTGAGGGCATTTGGGGGTCAAAGTTGAGACCAGATTGCTTCAGTTTGTATAAAATTAGCATTTCTTATCACACCAAGGCCACACCTGTTCTCTGGCCTCACAAACCAGTGAGGATGTAAAGGTTTGTTGAGGTGGAGGAACAGAAGTGAAATGAGCAATCTGCTCCATTTAGAAGTCAGTCGCTTCGGCTGTTCATTCCACTAATATTTATCTAGTACCTATTCTGTGCCAAGCATTGTCTCTACCTCAGTTTGCCACAAATATGAAAAAAAAAAAATTCTTGGAACTGTGAGGCTTCAATGTGTTGTGGACCAATATACAAATAAACCAATGGAAAAGAAAGTGTGGTTCGGAGTCAGCTGATTTTCATTGCAGCTTTCCATGTGCTGGGTCTAAGAGCCCCTGACTTCCGAGCTCCAGCTACCCAGCCCCAGCTGGTTGACAAGCAGGACTTCCCTGGGGCCCATTTGTTTTTCCCACTGGAAAAATGTTAGAATGGGAGCAAGAAGCCTGTGCTGGGATCAACCGCCATGAAAGTCCCAAAACAAAGGGTTTGGGATGGGCGGCGGTGGGGCCCTCCCAAACATTGCTCCGTCAGAGGTGAGGGAGGGTAGGGGTGATGTGATACGTTTCTCCAGGTTGCAGAGCAGGTCTGTGAGTTTGCCTTGGTGTAATCACGTGCCTGAAGGTGATAACAAGGGTGTGCATGTGTGAGTGAGCTGAAGGGGGGCAGAGAAGTGTGCCTGTGCCAGGCTTGTGTACACCGGGCCCAGATGCCTGCACAGGTGCCAGTGTGTGTGTGTGGAGGGGGATAGAGGTGCCTGCAAATCTGAACATGTCTCTCCATATGTGACCCTCAGTGTATGTGAGAGTGTGTGTACCCGCTGAATTATGATAAAATTACACCGACCCTTACAGAAAATCCATAACAGCCTCGGCCTTTCTCCCCCGACCTCTCGACCTCTGGGGTGCCTGAGGAAAGGGTTGACCTGGTCACTGCCTCCTCCTAGTCAATGAGTCCCCCTCCATTAGCATAAAACATGAATCTGCTGGCAGCTTGACAAATTATAACTAGCAGCCAGAGTTTTGCCAACTGGCTGGCTTGGGTGCTGTCTATTTATCATTGAAAATGGTAAATCATAAGAATCCAGATGACTTAATTATTCAAATCCACCCAGGACCCAGAGAAGCTGCAGGCCCGTCAATCTCAGCCCTGGGCTCACAGAGAAGAGTGGGGGAAATGCTGTGAGCTTGTGAGCTGGAAGAAGCAGGTTCCATTGCCGCCTCTCCCCTACCCAGAGAGCAGGATTTTTCTCTGCAGCCCCTTCCCCTCCCTGCCGTTCTGCCCACCTTTCCAGCCAGAAGCCCAGCCAATTGTTTTGGTTGCTGGCCTCCCAAGGCTCTCCCTCGCACGCCTCCCGCTGCCCACCACCCGCTCCTCAAGCTCAGCCAGTGTTTCCCGGCCTCTCTTTGTGTGGATGTTAGCTCTTTCTCTCTGTTTCAGTGCCCTCATTTTTATTTCTTCTCTTTCTCCTATTCCTTTCACCATTTCTCTTCGTCTCTCCTCTGCCCACAGATAGACACTGAGCCCCGCACAGGGCCTCTCTGGTGGAGTTTTGCCTGCTCTCCTGGCCCCTTTGTCCTCACTGTCCCAGAGGTGCCAGCTCAGGATCCCCACGCATACGCACCCCAACCTTAACCCAGCGCTCCGAGTGCTAGAAGGCCTGAATTCGCGTCTCTCTGCTGTGGGGCCATATGGAAACACACATGTCAGTGGATAATACTGGGCCTGCCCCCACACCCCATACACACAACCTTTCTGTCCCTTTCTTCCGTGGATTTCTAACTACCATTATGCACAACTTGGGAGGTAGTGGCCAGGCTGTCAGAGATGTGCCCGGACCACTGAGGCAGGGCTTCGTCTCAAGAAGGCCCATCCCTCACTCCCAGCATGGAACTACCTCAAGCCCCAGCAGAGGGATTGCTCAACATGAGCTTTCCCAGAAGGAGAAGAAACCCTGTTTACAGAACAAGTCCTAGATCCAGAGGTCTGCACACTGAGCTTCTGGGGGGCCCTTTGATGTTTGGGTCCTTTTATCTTTGTGTCCCTCACAGTCCAATATAAATACGTCCTACTTTTTCTTGCAGTCCTGGACCCCGTGAGAAATTTATGCCCTTCTAGACCCACAATGGCAGGTGGGAGGCACATATTCACCAATGCTGATATTGCTTTGACCCCAGAGGGGAATGTGAGGAGCAAGGAGGTTGCCAGAGCCCCTCTGCTTGAATGGCATCCCGGTCTATTCTTTTGGAGGGCTTGCTTTACCTGTAAGGGCCCTGGAGGCTCCTCAGAGCCACTTCTGTGTCTGCAGATGCTTGTCAACTTGGTTCTGGGATTCAGTTTGGCTTTGTCGGGGTGTGTGTGTGAGCACGTGCACACCTTTCGTGGATAACCTGGAGTCTTGACATACTGATGGGTCGTGCCTGGTGGCGTGCATGCCTGCACAAGTGCGCCAGTGCCCCTGATGTGTATGTGGGTGAGTGTGTATGTGTGCATGAACACACACTTCCAGAAAGAGCCCTTGTGCTGAAACAACGAGTGACAATGTCCCCACCAACAGGACACCTGAGGAAACAGCCCTCTCCATTCCATTTTAAGGCCTCTGAGCAATGTTGTTGTCAGTGAAATATTGGACTTGGCATATCATAAAACCTTAAAGAAGGAGCTACCTGTTTCTGCTACTGAAAGTAAGTTCTTCCTAGAGTCTAGCCTTCTCTTCTTCTTTCAGGGCGGAATATGAGCATAGTCAGAAATCTCGAGAGGGGGCTCCCTACTCCTCCAAGAGAACATACGTGACATATAGGGAGCCCTTCCACAGCCAGGCTCATCCCCACAGCTTAAACACTTCATCCCCTCACTCTTCCCTTCTTCTCCACCTTTCCAAGCCAGGGTGATATTTGACAAGGGCAGTGGCGAGGGGTGAAACTTGGGGCGGGTGGCTGGGGGAAGGATAAAGATTCAAAAGCAGGCCAAGCTGCTGGAAGGCAGGAGATCAATAAGGGGAGACAGATTGGAGACAGGTTTCTCTCACTACTTCCCCACCCCTCGCTGGCTCAGCACCCCCGCCCCAGCTCCTGAAAGCAGGTGGAGGACAGAGCCAAGCACTGGCCTCTCCCTGCCCTTCTAACTCAAACAGGTTCCTAATCCCTGGGTAGAGGGTAAACAGCCTCTAAGCACGGCCAGGATTAACCACAGAAATGCCGCTAATGTATTTCGGGGCACTGCTCCCTGCCCCTACCCCCACCCTGTGTTACTAATTAGCCCAGCAGCAGGGAGAAGCTTGGGAGGAGCAGCTCAGAATGCCTTTGTGCAGGCTCTGAAAGCACAGGTCTGGGCTCTGGACAGTGTCTCTGGTGCTAGACAAGCTGGGGTGGCAGAGGATTCCCGCCCCCTCCCCGCCACTCCTAAATCAGCTCAAAGGCAGACAGGTTTTTCTCTGTGCCCTTCCTGAATCCCCATCTCTCCTTTCCTGTTCACAGCTGGGAGGCAGGTGGGGGACAAGAGGGAGAGTGGAACCGGCTCTGGAAATCAAACGATGCAATAAAAAATTAATTGTCTAATTAAAACCATGAGGAAGCCCCTTGCCAGAGTTTGGCTCTGAGTCGTCAGGGCTATAAAGGGTGGGAAAATGAGTCTCAGCTCCTAATAAATTCCTGATTTGCAGCTTGGTCTATCAGCAAAGGAGCACTGAGCGTTCCACTGGCTAGGCCTCCTGGAGGTCATTCCACCCTCTCTCTGCCCCAACCCAGCCATCACACCCAAAATCCTACACAAGCCCACAGTCAGGGTTTCCCCAAAAGGAGAGAAAGCGGGGACCCTCAGTCTCCCTGATCTGATGCTTACCCATTTCTTCCTGGTCTTTCCTCGGGAAAGGAAAGTTCTGGAAACTTCCTCAACCAAAGAGTTCTTCATTTAGGTTAACTAATAACTGTATGAACAAGTTTGCTATGTAGGTTCATTTTGACCTCACCTCTTCCACTTTTGTGAAAAGTATAATTTATGAACTGATTTATGATTCCCTCTCTTAGATCTTAGTGCTGATTTTTGCAGGTGAATGACAGAGAACCAAGCTAAGAAATTAATCTCCCCTCTAAAAGAGGGCTGTGCACCCTGCCCAGTTGACCAAATCCTCTGGAAGAATGAACACAGAGCTAGTCCAGAAAGGAGTGCAGAGTTAGGCAACTCTCATGGGCAGATGGATGCCCAAACCTTCTCCCTGAATCACTGAACCATTTCTTCACTTGGGTCTGCCTGTGTAGACACAGGCTCCATGCCTCTATTCCCTCCCTTTCTTGGCAAAAACAAATGCATTATACATCATCAGAGGTATTAATTCATAATAACAGCGGGAGGAGGTAGTTAGCATACTGCCTTCAACATCATATTACATTATTTTATTATACAGAATGCAATATGAACTCTATATCTGTGATTGGCTTCTTTAAACAAACATGGCAGAACAAACAAGGGTTGCCCTTCAAAACAGTCACCTGCAGGGAACATACACTCATTCCTTATGTGCCTCTATTGATTACAACATACCTGCAGCTTCCTTTTAAAACTGACTTCAGAGCCAGTTACAAAGAATTCAAGGCAACCATTATTAACTGATTTTTTTGTGGGGGGGGGGGCGCAGCGGCTGACTGATTCCAAAAAAGCAAAGCATAAAGATTTACCACCAATAAGGACGATCAAAAAACTGAGTCACACACCCTGAAGACAATTCCAAAAGAAGGCTGCAAAAAATTGTGTCACTGCACCCTTGTTGAAATAAGGGGGTCTCCCCACAAGGTGGCTACTCGCAGGCAGCGGTGCCCGTCAGAACCAGTTCTCCATAGCCACATCTGGAGCACATTACTCATCATTCCTGATGATCCTTCTTTCGTTCATCTGGTTGTTATTTTTCATCCTAAACAACGGACTAAGCTTTCCCTAAGAAGGAGAAAAAAGAAGAAAACAAATTCCTGACCTCTATCTAGGTCGGGTTCCCATTTCTGATTTCAGCGAGTTCCCATGCGCAAGTGTAGCCATCGTGGCTAGGCCATTCTGCCTCTAAGATCCGCAAACCTAGAGACTGGAGTGTAGACTCTGCTTCTGTTTCACCTCGTTGTTATCGTTGGTTGTTTGTTTGTTCGTTCGTTTGGGGGAGTTTTCTTTGAGGCAGGGTCTTGCTCTGCCACCCAGGCTGGAGTGCAGTAGCACGATCATGGCTCACTTCAGCCTTGACCTCCTGGGCTCAAGTAATCCTCCACCTCAGCCTCCCAAGTAGCTGGGACTACAGGCACACACCATCATGCCTGGCTAATTTATTTTTTATTTTTTGTAGAGATGGGGTCTCCCTATGTTGTCCAGGCTGGTCTCAAACTCCTGGCCTCAAGCAATCCTCCCACCTCAGCCTCCCAAAGTATTGGGATTATAGGCATGAGCTACTGCCTCACCTCGCATTAATTGCCTACCTATTAAATGCCAGGCCCCACTAGGTGCTTACATATGGGTTATCCTTTCCAATCCAGGGATTTTAAGACTGTTTTCCTTCCCTGATGATGGACTTTTGTCATTTCTAATCTAGCCCAAGACCACGCACTGCTCCATGGTCCTGTTACTCTGGGAGACAGCTTCCATTCCTGATACCACTTTCATGAAGACTTAACTTCGGAAATCATTTTGTCCATCTCTCTCTGTCTCTGGGCAAAGTCTCACTTGAATATTGCTAGTTCTCATGTTGGCCAGCTTGGGCTTCTAAACAGAACCCTGACCCAAAAAGGGCATCATGGTGACCCATAGTTGCACAGCTCCTCAGGGGAGAGGGGGGCATCTTACACATTGAATTCTATGTGAATGGCACCACCTAGAGTTGTGCTCCAGGAATTCAGTGAATGGCGCTCTCTGGAGCTCAGCAATGCTGCCACACCCTACCACCCAGAGATACCTGGTGATCAAGTCAGCCTTAGGCAGCATTCAAGGATGAAAAACCTAGGTTTTGAAAACTAGGGTATCAATATCTCAGCCCCCCAAAAAAGGGAGTGGAGATCCTCTCCACCTCATTGACTGCTGAGAGATCCCTGCTTAGCACACAGCTCACCAATCTTCTCTCCATCAACTTCAAAGTCCCCTCCAGCCTCAGGGAGGCCCCCAAGGGTATGAAGCAAAGCTGGTTTGATCTGAGCTTGGTGTTGGGTGGTGTCACCCCAGCACAGTTCAGGCTAGGCCTAGAAATCACAGTGAGACCAAAGACCCCATCTTGGGAAGGGATAGGAGTGGGGACTGGAGGGGTGGGTACAATCTTCAGAGCATAGTATATTGTTTACAATCGCCCAGGTCCCTCCTAGACACAAGGCCTGCCAGGCTCACACTTGGGTCTTCCCTAGCAGGCAAAGCTGTTTTGCCTGCTCACCCTCTGTCAAGTTTATCCCACATGCACATCCCCCTTCATCCTCTGCCTAGCCCTTCCTTCCCCTTCTCTCATGTCCTTTCTTATTTTCCTCTCCCAGAGACTCTGAATAAAACCCTCTGACCGCTGTAATCTCCACAACATTCCCCTTGAGCACTGATTCTCTCAGCTGACAGGGCCCTTCAGGCCGTGTGTCACCAGGACAGGAGCTTCTAATGTGTCCTACTCACCCCCTTATGTCAGAACATCCCTGACTCAACAGCTCATGGAAGCTCAGCCCTCAGAGCCCCAGACAAAGCTACCACGTGGAGGCACCAGCACTCACAGAGAGGGTCAGCTGGTCCACAGCCAACCTGTCTTGACTGAAGTCTTCCTTCATGCTAGGCACTGTGGGCCATAGAAACAGTATGGGTAGTCTGGCCCCAAAGAGCATTTGGTCTCATGTGACAAAAAAGAGATACATCCATCCCAGATTTAAAAATAAGAATAGGGGCCATGCCTGGTGGCTTATACCTGCAATCCCAGTACTTTGGGAGGCCAAAGTAGGAGGCTCTCTTGAGGCCAAAAGTTTGAGACTAACCTTGGCAACGCAGCGAGACCCTGTTTCTACAAAAGAAATTTTAAAAATTAGTGGGGTGTGGTAGCTCATGCATGTAATCCCAGCACTTTGGGAGGCTGAGGTGGGTGGATCACTTGAGGTCAGGAGTTTGAGACTAGCCTGACCAAAATGGTGAAACCTCATCTCTACTAAAAATACAAAAATTAGCCAGGCATGGTGGTGGGCACCTGTAATCCTAGTCCCAGCTACTCGGGAGGCTGAGGCAGGAGAATCGCTTGAACCCAGGAGGCAGAGGTTGCAGTGAGCCGAGACCATGCCACTGCACCCCAGCCTGGGTGACAGAGCAAGAGTCAGTCTCAACAAAAAGAAAAAAGAATTAGCTGAGTGTGATGGTGAGTGCCTGTAGTCCTAGCTACGGGAGGCTGAGGCAGGAGGATCACTTGAGCCCACTAGAGGTTGCAGTGAGCTGTGATTGTACCACTGCACTCCAGCCTGGGCGACAGAGCAAGCAAGACCCTGTCTCTAATAAATAAATATCTGACCATGAAGGTGAGCCTTATGGGCAATAAGTTTCAGGGGCAGAAGAAAGTGCTGTCACTGAGGGTCCTCCCAGGAGACTCCCAGAGGCGGTCAGATAGGAGCTATCCTTGCAGTTTTAGAAAGGCTGAGAGCCCATCAGAGGCCTCCAGGCTGCTAAAGAACCATCCTACGGGTTGTCCTTTGTTTCCCCCAGAACATTGGTCATGGGAGGAATGGGCTCCAGCAGCAGCAGGGTAGCATCACCGAGCACCTGCTCGCTGCCAGGCACTGTGCTGGGAACTAGGAACACAGAGAAGAACAAGGAGGTCCATGTCATCAAGGCACCGACAGTCTGGATGGGGAAAGAAACCACGGATCTTTACAAAGCAAGGTGAAAAGAACCAAGACTATAGGTACACCTAGGGCACCGGGGGAGCACCATGCACACACCTAAACCTCCCTGGGAAGGGAAAGGAAAGGGTCATGGAAGTCTCCCTGAAGGGGAGGAGTATGGAAACTATAAGCAAAATTATATGCAAATGGTGCCCCTTTTTTCTCCCTACACTCCTCCCAACTGAAGGTGACCTTCCACCCCAACAATAAATCCTTAGCTTCTTAAACTAAGGTTACAGTGGGGTGTCAACACCCCAACCGACTCTCACTCATCCTCAAATGATCCAAATCTGAACTGGGATTCCAGCCAGATATGGGGTGCCTCCCTAACCCATGTGCCCCACAGTCGATCCCACCCTGCCAGCATCATGACCAGACACTCTATGATTCCTGAGACAGGACAGAGCCTGGGGAACAGGGAGGGGAGCGCCTACTGTCTCCTGGAATTCACATACCCTACAGCCTTCCTCTTTCATGCCCCTGTGTGTGGAAGATGCCCCTGTTCCCCACCGCTCTCCATCTGTGATCTGGCTCCTGCCCTCCTCCTGCTATAGCTGCTCCTCCTCCCCCCTTGGAAGAATGCACCCTCCCCTCAGCTTTCCCTCCACAGAGGCCAGAGCAGGAGGGAGGCTGCATATGGCCCCGTTTTCCTTGGCCTGGGTAGGCTATTTTGGAAGCGAGAACCCTCCTTGCCCTTTCCTCCCCTCTGGGAAGCACCGTCCCTCCCCTCTCCACATTCCCCAGAAGTTCTCAGACTGAGATCCGCCCTACGTGCAGTTATGTGGTGAAATCACTGCTTTCCTCCCCGCCGGAGGCGCCAAAGCTTGGAAGGGAGGGTACTCAAACCTTTGATGTAGGCACGTTTCAGAAGGCCCACCTGTCCCCTCTCTCCCCAGCCCCCAGCCTGAAAGGCTGGAGCCCCTCATCACAGCTTTCCTGCCTGGATTAGCTGGGGGTAAGATCAGGTCACACACACTCTATCCCGCTGGGGGCAATCAGGCCCAACCACACTCGGGGACATCTGTCTCCAGCAAATAGGGGGCAATCCCAAATTTGAGGGGTTCTGTGACACTTAAAAGCTTCAAGCAGGAAGTTCTGCAATTTCTCTTGGACCAGGGCCTGCGGGGAGGGTCGCTCAGAAACCCTCGTTTGATGTTGCGCTTTCATGGCTGTGGTTTGATCCAGATGTTCCCCAATTGTGGGATTTTATTTTTGGGAGGGAGGGGCCCTTGGCTATAAAGGCATTTCCATCATGTGCACATTTGGATCTGGGCCTGCTGGGCGGGGGTGCTCTTCCAGCTCTCACTAACCCCACCCTTCCCCCTAGGATCATATCCTTTCCCTTCACATCCAGAGAAGAGAAGAGGATCCATAAGGGGGCATTCCCAGCTCCTTGATGGTTTGCTGTGTGACTGTCCAAAAATGTCTCTACATCTCTGTTTTTCTGGCACCATAAGCTGAAGTTGGTTCCTAAAGATGGTTCCCAGGTCATGGGAGGAATAGGACAGGGAATTCCAGAACCAAATTTCTGTCTAAGAAAGAAACAATTATCTAAGAAATTGTGAGTGGAATTGGACTGAACGTGGATGAGTCAGGGCTCTTGAAAAAGAAAGTGGCCGTCCCTCTTTGAGTCAGTTCTGCAAGAGTGGACAGAAACTTTTCCAGACTCCCAGGCCTCTCTGCTCCCTCAGAGCTTGAAAAGATTAAAGTCATTCCTCCTCAAGGTCTTCAGTGAAACCCTGGAAATCTTTCCTTCAATTTTAAGAGATTACAGTTCTTCCCATTGTCTAGCCTCTGTCACTACTTGCTGTAGCATGAGGTGGCTTCCCTGGGGGAAAGTGTACCAGTCCCGCTCATTGGTCGTCTAAGACCTCCCAGCATTCCTCAAGACATTTCTGCCTCATGATGTCAGAAGAAGGGCTGTCAAATAGATTTTAAAACCCCAGGCTCGGCCAGGCACAGTGGCTCACGCTTGTAATCCCAGCACTTTGCGGGAATCACGAGAGCAGAAGATCGAGACCATCCTGGCTAACACGATGAAACCCCATCTCTAATAAAAATACAAAAAATTAACTGGGCATCCTGGCAGACGCCTGTAGTCCCAGCTACTCGGGAGGCTGTGGCAGGAGAATGGCGTGAACCCGGGGAGGCAGAGCTTGCGGTGAGCAGAGATCACACAACTGCACTCCAGCCTGGGCAACAGAGCGAGACTCCATCTCAAAAAAAAAAAAAAAAGACTTGGCTCCTCACTTGTATTGTGGGAATCCCAGCCTAAATTGGACATGTGGATGTTGAGCAATAGAGGACAGACAAACAAAGGAATCTCCAGACCCTGCAGGACCCAAGGCAGCAGCCCACGAGTGGATCCTAAAGGATTTTCATCAGCTGCAAGTCTGGGTAAGTGGGCTTTTTTTGGGGGGAGGGGAGAAGCAGCCTGGGATGCTTCTTGCAGGAAGAGGAGTTTCAGAGGAGACAAGAGAGGTTAGGAGCCACTGAGTGGGTGAGGAGGGCCTAGCCCAAGAGGCTGGGGACAACCACGAGAGGCGGGCCAATGGGAGAAGAGGGCACTGTTCCTCAGCGGACTAGGTAGAAGGAGGGGTTGGAGAGAGGTGGGTGCAAGGAAGGAAGAAGGAGGATGGGGAGCTCCCCGTGGCTGCCCCACCTGAAGAATTTGAGCAGCTGTTCCCAGCTCCCCCTTGCTCTGTGTAACATCAAGCAAATGCACGGTGGGGGATCAGCTTTTCCTCTGAAGACCTCAGGGCCAGTTCTCAGGCCTCCCCCTCCCTATGGACTTTAATCCAGTCCAGCACAGATGGATCAGGTCATGATGGTGATGGGGGTGGTAGCATTGGGTCTCCCTGGCTTGAATTTTTTCTTATTCCCCCATGTCCTCTCCTCCTTAGGTGATAATTTATCCTTTCGCATGGTCTTACATACTTCACATGTCTATAGCTCAGAGAACTAAGAAGCACCTCATCATTCTTAAGTTGGGCCTTGCTACCTGCAGGCCCCTCCCCTCCCACACTTACCTTCACACGACTGGGGCAAGTGGTTAGCTTCCCCACGGCCCCCCCAGCCCCTCTCCTCTCCAAGACACCCTTCTTATCTTTCTGACTACAATTAGAGCCTCCTCTCCCTGTAGGGGAGTGAGAGGGACAAGGTCAAGGATCCTCACAACTCAATAACAGCTGTAGAGCCTCACCTATCCTGTGTACTCACAGTGACTCCATGCAGGGGACCAGCAACAAGGGGAAAGGGAGTGGGAGTTAGTGTGGGGACAGGGGAGAAGCATGCATCGGGATTCCCTGCCTGGTCTAGTCTGGTCTGGGAGCAGGGCAGATGCTCAACAAGGCATCCCAGGTCTCGGGGAGCGGCTGGCAGTGGTGAAACACCAGCTCTCTCAGGGCACGTGAAAGTTCATGTTTCCCCTCCCTCTCCTCTCTCCCTCCCACTCTTCATGACTGGATCCAGGGAAGGACACACCTGTCACAAGTACTGCCCTCATCTCTCCCTGTAACTCCACCTCCACCCCCCATACCCACTTTATCCCTCTGCAGGGTTACTAGAGCCTGACCAAAATTCTCTACTGACCAGAGACAGACAGACAGACCTGTTCCCTGTTCCCCAACTTCCAGTGGTGCTGCGCATGGAGACGCTGAGGTGGGACCCAAAGACCTGCTCCCGTCTTCTCTCCTTAGGGACTTGCAGAAGCCCCTTTCTCAGAGTCACCCCTCCCAGGATGAGGTGAAGAGGCTGAAAAGGGAAGGGCCATAATGCTAAGGCTGGGGCAGGGGACAGCGGCGCCCTCCATGCACTCTCCTGATTAGTGCAGGTAAACATAAGGGTTTCCCCCAAATGCGAGGGTTCTGCTTCAGTGCCATGGAAGGCCCCACCAGCACCTGCTGCCCCTCCTGTTCGTCCTCCCTCTCTTCAGCCCCACAATTACCGAGAGCGAGTTGTTGAGGCAAGCTCTACCCCAGGCCTGCGTTAAGAAATTTGGGTGGGATAGGCCGGGCGTGGTGGCTCACGCCTGTAATCCCAGCACTTTGGGAGGCCGAGGAGGGTGGATCACGAGGTCAGGAGATCGAGACCATCCTGGCTAACATGGTGAAACCCCATCTTTACCAAAAATACAAAAAATAAGCCGGGCGTTGTGGTGAGCGCCTGTAGTCCCAGCTACTCGGGAGGCTGAGGCAGGAGAATGGAGTGAACCCTGGAGGTGGAGGTTGCAGTGAATCGAGATCGCACCACTGCACTCCAGCCTGGGCGACAGATCGAGACTCTGTCTCAAAAAAAAAAAAAAAAAAAAAGAAATTTGAGTGGGAGAATAGAGGTAAGAGACATTTCCTTAGTGTTTACTGCAAACCCTGCCAGGCTAGAGGTGCCATAATCTGCCCTGTATCAGATCCACAGAGTCATCCCACCAAAACCCCCCCCAGGATGTATGTGAGACCACTGGACTCATTGGCACTGGCAAATAAGAAGATGGCCAGAAAGCAATCAACACCGAACGCCCACTGCGTGCTTGGCACTGGGCCAGACTCTGCTGGGGGAGACTGGAGGAAAGGCCCATTTCACTGGTCTTGAGCTCTACATACCATGTTAAGCCAGAGAGGTACATATTACAAATACTGGAGACTCTCATGCTTGAGTATAATCCTATAATCTTATACCCACTCCCATTCAGACGTGTGGTCATATGTGAATGTCAAGCACACAAGCTAGACAGAAGAAAGAACTTCCCTAGGTTGTCAGTACTGTAGAGTAAAATCATCAGACTCGAAGCCCTCATTCTCGGAAGGTGATGAACTGGGAGAGCCCCCGCCTTGCTGGGCCAGGGGTAAAATAAGGCTCCTGTCTGAAGGCAGGGGGATGGTTGAGATGACCCCTCAAGATGCTACCCAGGAAAAGGCAGAGAGGTAAAGTTTCCAGTAGAGGGGCATGAGAAGGAGGGACAGACAGATGGATGGAGGGATGGAGGAGTGCAGGGAGCAGTGCTGGAGAGATGAATGGTCTTGGCTGGACTGATGGGCGAGGCCAAGATGGATGGATGGCAGCTGAGGTTTGTTTACTGGCAGCCCCCAGCCCGCCATCGCCCAGGGGAGAGGAATGGTGGCTGGCACATCAGAGGGCTCTTAGGGAAGCTCATGGAGATGATTTAGATGGGAATGAATCAGCTCCATATGGATTAAGTGTCCCCGCAAATCCCAGATCTTACAGATGAGGGGATGGGGCAAGGGCACTGAGGGGAGGGGAGAGAGTGGGGAAGCAGCGTGGAGCTGGTGCAGGGAAACACGGTCCTGAAGCCAGGGGAAGGGCACCCTCAGAGGGCATGGGGCAGGTCAGCCTGGCACAGATGCAACCCCTGCCTTGGTCTGTTGATACCACTGTTCCTCTTGCTTGGTACCAAGCTTTAGGAAAAGGCCTCCTTCTCCACACCAAACCAACTGTTGGAGTGTCCTTTCTGAGTCCGTTTTGGTCTGTCTCCTCTTGCCTCTGTCTCTTGTTCTCTCTACATCTTCATCTGTCTTTCATCTTCATTTTTCTGTCCCTCTCACTACCTAGCCTTCTCTGTGTTTCTGTCTCTCTCCTTCCACATTCCCCCGCTTTCCACACTCCCACACTTTCCATCTCTTTCTCTAGAGGTATAAATGGTAGAGGGATGCTGCCAGTTTCTCTGAACGTCAGCCTTAGCTCTGCCCTCCTCTCCTGGGGTCAGGTCTGATGCCTCCCTCCCTCTGTACTGTTCTCTCACACAGACCACAAGTTTGGAGGTGGTCAACAGAACAGGGAAGGTGGTCAGAAAAGTGACTTTTTGGCTACAGAAAGTTATTTGTGTTCCTCTCTGCCACCCTGCCCTCGTGCCTTCAGCTGTCCCTTCTCCCAGTGCCAGAGGAGGCTTGGATTGAGCACCCATGCTCTATGGACAACAGCAAGTTGAGCAGACCTTAACATCATTCCCGGGGAGGCAACGGGTCATCTGCTGGCTGGGGTTATCAAAGGCCCCATCTCCTACTCCTCTCCCATGCCCCACAGTGAAGAGCCCCAGAGCTGGCTGTGGTTATGAAGCCGGCTGCCATGTGGGCGACCTGGAGTCAGAGCACGGGGCAGTCACATATGACAATTGGTTGAAATATCACAGCCACTCTCCCCCCACCCCCACTGGTGATCTATGGGCTGCGTGCCCTGTAAAAATTATTTATCGGGGCCTCAGAGTGTCCTGATTTAGTGCCGCTGCCTCTGGGGCCTTGGGGCCTGCCTGTCCACCAGAGTCTAAGCGTTAAACGACGCTAAAAAGTTAAACAGCCAACGCTGGGGGCTCACTCGAGGAGGCACCATAAAGCTGTCGGAGCTGCTTAAATCAGGAGCGAGGATTCCCTGGGACGTCTTCTCTCCATACGCCGCAAGCCAAGAAGGCTCTCCTTACCCCTCTGCCACTCACCCATACCCAGAAGCCCACAGAGGGCAGGGGACACGTGGGCCGGGGGCCTGGAACAGAGCCCAAAAGGAGGCCACGGATGACCTCCTCTGCAGGGCTTTCTCCAGCAGAACAGGGGCCGTGGCTCAAGAGGGTAGGGGTCATGTTGTCCAGCTCACCAACTCTGGGCAGGGGTCTCCTTGTTCCGGTCCAGTTTTTAAAGACTTCCAACAAAAGGCACTGCCAAAGTCTCTCCCAGGGGCCCCTGGGGAGAAGTTGTTTCCCAAGTCTGTCTCACTTCAATCCACGCTTCTGTGTGTTGAATCCACTGGAACTCAGTGTCTTCCCACTCAGGTTTGGAGAGGCTGTGCTGGCCACACCAGCCTGTGACTTCTTGCCTCCTTTCACCCCTCCACACCCACTTGCATGGCTCTCTGAGGAACAGAGCCCCACCCTTCCATCACCACCCTCCGCCAACGCACCCCTGGGTGCTGGCATAACACGCAAGCTTCACAGATGGCTTTTCTCAGCTGAAGCCCAGTCCCTGCTGCCACCACCCGGCCGCCGAGCAAGAGGGAAGGTGGGTCTCTGCATGCTGCCTATCACACCTTCTTTCAGCAGCAATAAAACTCACTCTTAAAACCTCCGCTTGGGTCCCTAATATTTGCCTGGCTATATATCTCCGATGATATATGGACAGAAATTGCTCATAAACGGCTATAAAACCTCTTAGTCAAGCCGGGGAGGAGGCGCATGAGGGTGGGCATGGCCCGGGCTGCAGGAGGATTGGAAGCTGAGCCACTCTGCTGAGCACCCCAAACTCAACTCTAGATTCCAGGGACCAGTGGCTGGGTGTGGGGCCTGACAAGGGTGGAGGAAGAAGACCCAGAGGAAGATCTTCAAGCCTCTCATGTGGTATTATGGGTCTGTCTTACCCGGGTGCTCCAGGCATGCGCTGTGTGGCCTTGGGCAAGTCACTCAGCCACTCTGTACCATGGTTTCCATCACCAACATGAGGATAATGACACCTACCCAGGCTCCTTCATTAAGTTGTCATGACAATCAAATGATACAAATTGATACAAATAATTTATCAATGCTTTGTAAAGTAGAGAGGTTGCATATATCAGGTGCTACCTCCAGATGGGCACAGTGCATAGAAGGCATACTATGTGCTGGATACTTTACTTAATTATCTCTAATCCTGACAACACCTGCCACGTAGGTATTACTGTCATCATGTTGCAGACAAAAACCCTGAGGTTCAGAGAGGTGTTCTCAGGTAGTCAGTGCCAGAGATAGAATTCCAACCCAGGCCTGACTCCAAAGCATCAGAATGAAATCCTGGCAACAGAAGGGATAACAGGTAAGACACTGGGGGGACTTCCAAACAGGGCAGGAAGATGGCTGAAGGAGGCCTTCTGTCCCTGGTCTCGCCTCCCCAGAGTGCAGACCTGTCTGTCTAAGAGAGTCAAGTGGTTCCCCTCAGCCTGTTCCCAGTCACTACACCTGATCACCGGAGGAAACAGCTCCCAAGGTGGAAGGCAAAAACCTGGGGCTTTGTGGGAGGCCAGAGCCCTCCAATCAGGACACTAGGAGATACAGGTGGGCCAGGTGAGGAGAGGCCTTTGTGGGAGCAGGCTATTTAGACTGAGATAGTCCCAGAGTTCCTGGTCCAACCCCCCACCAGCTCCAGTCCCTGACTCTCCCATCTGGTTACCCTCCCTCTCCCTCTGCCAGTCCCTGATGCCTCTTCACTCCATGAGGCCCCACCCTCTTCTTCCCCCACCCCACATCCCCTCTGCTTACCCCCCATTCTCCCTCCCCAACAGTATCCCCCGAGAGCCTGGCTGCTCCTCTGGCTGTTCCACACCCCTTCGCCCACCCATAGTCCCTCCAGTACCTGGCTACTCCTTCCCTCCACCTTGGCTGCTGGTTCTCTTCTCTCCCCAGGTCCCTTCAACCCCCAGCTGTTCCCTCTGTCTGCCCACTCATTCCCTCCCTCCAAGCATCCCCCAGCTCCTGGGTGCCCCTTCCTTTCGTGACCCTGCAGCCCCCAACCTCCCCCTAGCGTTCCTCTGGTCTCTTCTCACCTGCCCTCCAGGACCCGGCCCCTGCCCTACCCTTTGTCCCCTTCTTGTGACAAACCAAACAGCAGGAAGGCCATCCTTGTGCCCCACACCTCTCCTTCCCCAGTGGCTCCCACCCCCAACCCCACTTTTCTTTAAGTTTCCAAATCAACCTTCCTCCAATAATAATGATAAAGCAGGAAGCCGGGCCGGAGGACAGTGCAGATTTTTCTTCTTGACATGGAGTTTCCGATTAAAGGCAAAGGGACATAAATCCTCCCGCGTAATTGCTGTGCTCCAGCTCGGAGCCACTTGGAAGAGAGGCTCCCACCCTCTCTGCCCCTGCCACTGGGAGCCCCACCCCCAATTTGAGCAGGGCTTGGTCCCCAGAGCCTGGGGGTTGGCTGGGAAGGGGGAGCAGAATATTGCTGGCATGGGCACAGCTCTGGGAAGGGGGTGGGATAAACTTGAGCAGGGCTCTCTGCATTTTCCTTCCAGGGGTCCAAGCCTAGGATAGACTGTGGGCCACGGCCCAGCTCAAAGCACCTTTCTCTGCATCCAGGGAGCCCTTCAGCCCCTCACATCAGAAGCACACTTTACACTTGGACAAAGCTTGTTGGCATTTATTATCATTGTAAGAACCTTGAAAATTATTGAACAGATACCAGATGGAGGAGGGGCCCCAAGAAATGAACAAGTGCAACTCCCCTTGTTTTACAGATGGGGAAACTGAGGCCTGAAAAAAGGACTGTCTGGTGGCAGAGCTGGGAACTTAGAACTTGACATCTCATGCACCACAGAGGGGCTGGCACCGTTTACATCTACTAAATCGTGGGCCAAATAGCTTTCTCCCAAGTAGTTTTCTCACCTGCTAGAGAAGCTTTTTAAAAATTCAAGAATGCTGGATGTTGTTATTCCCTCTCTACAGACTGGAGAACGATGACACTAGAAGTGTGTGGGAATTACCTGAGGTCAAAAGCCAAGGGTGGAGCCTGCGGTCCCTCGGCCTCCTGATTCCACATTCATCCTCTTCCCGTCTCAGGATTTTACACCCAGAGATGCCAATGTCTGGTGACTCCACAGGTTGAACTCAGCCTGGCCTGAAACCAGCCCTCAACCCTTCGAAAGCCACAGAGCGCCCCCGCCCCCACCCCTGGCAGGGACCTTCCCAGCTCTGTTCCTCCCTTCTTTTTATTATTATTATTATTATTGAGACGGAGTTTCACTCTTGTTGCCCAGGCTGGAGTGCAATGGCACGATCTTGGCTCACCGCAACCTCTGCCTCCAGGGTTCAAGCGATTCTCCTGCTGCCTCAGCCTCCTGAGTAGCTGGGATTACAGGTGTGCACCACGCCTGGCCAATTTTGTATTTTCAGTAGATACACCCACCCCCAGGCTCTGGGGACCAAGCCCTGCTCAAATTGGGGGTGGTGCTGCCAGGGGCAGGGGCAGAGAGGGTGGGAGCCTCCCTTCCAAGTATTTTAGGGTTTCTCCATGTTGGTCAGGCTGGTCTCGAACTCCTGACCTCAGGTGATCCACCCACCTCAGCCTCCCAAAGTGCTGGGATTACAGGCATGAGCCACCACGCCTGGCCCCTTGTTTTCCAACCTCCTGCCTATTCTTCTCCTCCGTGAAGCCCTCCTGATTTGAAACCCTTGGCTCCCCTTTTCTTGGTTTCTTCCTGCACTCAACAAGCCCCTCCAGCAATTCCTAAATCAGGTCCTGGTGTGACTCTCTTCTCTCTCATCGGACTAGGGGAACAGGCCTGCGTCTCCTCCCTCTGAACTGCCAACTACTAACCCCCACCATACCCATTGTCTCCACACCACCTCCCACGCCCCCTGAAGACTCAGACCCAAAACAGATCTGTAAAGCATGTGCGTGTGACCATGGGAACCCGGGAGTCCTGTCTCCTCTTCATCCACAGAAATTTCCACAGAAGCCCCACGGATTCCCATTTCAGGTATGAGACTACCATTGCCTCTGGGTTTCCCTGACCCTCCAGGGACAATCTGGCTTGTCCTCCCCCAGACTTCTTCCCTCAGCACCTCAGGTGAGGGGAAACCTTCATGTCCATGCCCTGGGCACCCACCCCTCCCTCTACCACATCAAAGCTCAGTGGGGAGCAAGGTCCAGTGAGGGCTTTGGAGTCTCCAGGAAGACCCCCCTTTCTGGGTCAGCTAGAAGATCAGCTTAGAAGGCTTAGCTGCTCCTGAAGGGGCCTGTGTTGAGCTTCTTGTGCCATGTTTGGGGTGGCTCTGTGGCACTGCCTGGGCTGAGTAGTTCTGGATGTGACTATAGGGATTTGGGGTGTTACTGTAGATTTTGGATGCTGTCATAGAGTTTGGAGTACAACTGTGGAGTTGCCCTGGAGATTATGGTGGGGTTTTCTGGGCTTCACACTAGGGTTGCTCTGGGGTTTTTATAGGGTTACTCCAAAAGGCCACAGGCCTGTGCTACTACCTGGCCCAGAGGAAGGGAGGGAGATAAGGCTGTAAAAGAAAGCTAGGGAGTTTGGAGGGGGAAGGACGGAGGTGACCCAGCTTCCTAGAGGAGGGGATAATTTGAAGTTGCAGAGCAGCAAGGCTCTGCTCTACCCCATCTTGGTATTCAAGTCCCAAACCCTGGCCAACAGCCTCCTTTGTTGGCAGTGAGGGTCTGGGAATGAAGAAGGCTGCTTGCTCCCCTGGAGTGATGACAGGCGAGATGCTGTGCAAGCCCCGGGCTTTCTGTAGGGAGGAAGGACCAGGCCTGGTCCTGGGCAGCAGTATGGTCCTCCTGGGTGTATGTCCCCAACAATAACTGAGCCCAGAGCTCCCACCTCAGTCTTGGAGCCCTGCCCTGGGTGTTGCTGGGGCAGGGCAGAGTCCGGAGGAAAACGACATAGACCCTTCTCCCTGGGGACCCTGAACTTACAGGGATGACAGACCCTAATCTTGGACCCAAGTGAATAGAGAACTCTTCTTGCAGCTTAATCATGAAAAACTCCCCAAGAGACAGAAGTGTAGAGCCAGGATTGGGCAGAGTCTGAGAAGGGAGAGGGTTCCAAGTAGCAACAGCTGAGGGAAGGTGCAGAGGTGAGGAAGGATGAGGGTAGTTTAGCCCCAGAGACTTGGCGTAGGGAAAGAAGAGTCATTCACTCTTGTATCCATCATTCACTTAGCAAACAATCGAGAGAGCAGCTCTACATCAGCATGGTACCAGGAAACACACAGATGAATTACACAGGCAGGGACAGCAACTGGAGAGGCTTCCAGAAACTCAGTCCTCATCCAGAATACTAGCACCAGCTTCAGAGTTCTCTGGGTCCATGCTAGCTGAGCTTCTACCTCCCCGCCTCTCCAATCCAAAAGAAATCCATTCCCTAGCATTTTACTTCTTCCTCAGAGTCCCACCCCTGCCTCAGTCCTTGCCCCAGACCCACTACTCAAATATGCCATGCTCCTCCCCTCTGGGCAGACCCTGGAGCACCTTCTGGACCACAGCTACAGCAGGAGGGATTGGGGCTAGACATTTTGAGCACCTTCCCAGTGGCAGAGAGCAGTGGTGCTGAGGAGCTGAGCAGAGGGCCAAGGAAGGGATGTGAGCTTGAGTCCAGGCCCGAGATCCTCAGCCTGACTTTGCATCTTGCCGGGAGAGGCATCATTCATCCACCCAGGGGTGGAGATGGGGCAGGGGGAGGGGAACGAAAAACACCCACAGCCCATTAACCTACTTTTGCAACTTCATTAAAACAGAGTCTTCGACATGTTGCCATAAATTGTCTTCTGAGGAGGAAGCCAGATCTCAAGTTCTAGCAGTGAAGCTTCAGAGAAGAGGCTGGGATAGCCAGGTTAGAAGTTAGAAGGGACACTGTGTGTGTGTGTGTGTGTGTGTGTGTGTGTGTGTGTGTGTGTGTGTGTGTGTGTGTGTGTGTGTGGTCACTGAAAGGTTTTGCAGGCTGGGCCAGTCTGGCTGCCTGTTGCAGGGTTTCCTAGGTGGCAGGCCACTGGGTGAGGGGCAGGGAGGGAATTTTATATACTATTGTATCATGGCTGCCCTGAATCTTCACAGCTTCCTGGAGTCCCATAGAAGCTCTTCTCAGCCTTTGAGGCCTCCTTCAAGAAGCCCTGTTCTTTGACGCTCAGGAAACTCATTGAAAAAAAAAAAAAGAAATCCTGTTCTGCCCCAAAGCCCCTTCTGCAAGGTGTGCACTGAGCATTAGGCTTCCCAGCACTGAGTACAGCAGACCCCAGCAGCCTCCAGAGAGCCTGAGACCAGCACCGCCCTTGCTAGACAGGTGGCCTGGTACAGTGGAAGGAGCACTGGCTCACAGGTCAGCAGGGCTGGGTCCCAGTCCCCTTACATGAGTAGTAACTGAGGGCCCAAGCCCTGGAGAGGGACTGCCAGGGTTCAAATTCTGCCTTTGCCATTTAAGGACCTCAGCCAAGTTATTTAACCTCTCTGTGCCTTAGTTTCCTCATGGGAATAACGATAGTTCATAAAGTTATTGAGTCTTAAATGGGATGGCCCATGGAAAATGCATAGCGGCCAAGCACAGTGGCTCACGCCTGTAATCCCAACACTTTGGGAGGCCAAGGCAGGTGGATCACTTGAGGCCAGGAGTTTGAGAACAGTCTGGCCAACATGATGAAATCCTGTCTCTACTAAAAATATAAAAATTAGCCAGGCATGGTGGGACATACCTGCAATCCCTGCTACTTGGGAGACTGAGGCAGGAGAATCACTTGAATCGAGGAGGCCGAGGTTGCAGTGAGCTGAGATCACACCACTGCATTCCAGCCTGGGCGACAGAGTGAGACTCCATCTCAAAAAAAAAAAGAAAATGCATAGCACTTAGGACCTGGCACATCCCTGGGGTCAAAAAACACGGGCTATTGTTGTCATTATTACGTACTTATTTACTTAGGGTTCACAGGCCTGACAAGAACCTTTGAAGTTCAGGGAATCTGCTCATCTGGCTTTACCCATGAGGAAGCTGAGGACCAGAGAAGGGAAGTGACTTGGGTCAGAATCAGAGCTTCTCTTCCCAGACTTCCTTTCATCCAACCAAGGGTCTTCCCCCAAGAGGTCCTCTCTGGGCCTTAGTTTCTTCAATTGTGCAGTGAAGGGATTAGAGTAGATCAGGAGTTTCCTTTTTTGTCATCATCATTATTATTACTATTATTATTGTATTATTATTATTGCCTTAGAACTTCTTTTCAAACAATCCTCACTTAGAATCGCACTATGCAAAAGTGGACTAGATCTGGAGAAAACTGCAAGAGCAGGGGGTGGGATGGTCTAGAGCCCCTCTACCCCAGCAACAACCTCAGAGGCCTGTCAGAGAAACCCTGGGAGGTCACAGACCCCAGGTCAAGACCTTGGCCGGGGTGATGTCAGGGCTTCCACCACTGGCACTCTAGGAGGCTGGTGCCCCCAGAAGACCAAGAACTCTCCAAAGCCACACTGGGAGAAGAGGAGAGGCCTTAAGAAGGGCTTCCTGGGGACAGGATTATCTTGACACCCTCTCTATACAGAAAAGGGGTGGAAGAGGCAGGGATGCAGAAGAACGGTCCAGAGGGCCTCTGCGGAGCAGCTTGTTCTACCTGTCCAGGGATCCCACACCTGATGTGCCTCCACCTTCTCTCTGCTTCCCAGTTCTGAGCTGCCTGCACTCCTGCCATAGTTGCAGCCCAAGAAAACATGGCCATAAAACAGACATTTGCTTTAGTTGTCACTTGAAGGGGCAATTTAGCACAGGCTATTTGCAAGCTGTTGGAGTTCTTTACGAGGCTTTATCATGTTTTCCCAAAGTGCTCCCCTCGAAGCGAATTCCCAGGTCAAAGTTCACACGTAACTATTTAGGGGGAAGAGGGAGCATGGGAGATTGTACAGACTGGAGAATATATATATTTTTTAGGTCAGGTCAAGAGTGGCTGAAAAATAAGAGCAAGAGAAAGCCAGGCCGGCCTCTGATTGAGGCAAGTGCTGTGTGACCTTGCCCAAATATTTTCCCTCTCTGGGCCTCCTGCAAGCAAAGGCCAGTCTCAGTGGTAAAAATGAAACATGTGACTCAGCCCCAGCCTCTAGGGCCCTCACCCTTGCAATGACCCAGATGCTGTGTATTTGCAGCCAAATCACACTCAATGAGTCTTGACTTGTACTCTCTGGTTTGGATCTCTCTAGCTCTTCCCTCCCGCCAACTACCGCCCCCAGCAAACTGCTGATCCTTCCCTGCCATCAATTTCCCCCACTTGGTTTCTTCACTTGTTTTCTGGGGTCCTTCTTCCCTAGGAGAAAGGGCTAAATTTTGCTAGACCTCCCAGCTGCTCCAAGGAGGGGAAAAGTCACCAACTCCACCTCCTTCCAAAGTTCATGTGGTTTCCCCCCTCGATTTTCCCACAGTCCTTCCCCTCTTCCCTCCAGAGCTCTAGGCTGAGTGGCATCAGTGGGAACAAACCTCTCACACTGTAAACAGAGCGGCTTTCCTGAGGCTGGATGCAAGGTCCTTGGAGATCACACAGTGGGCAGGGGCTGGGAAGCTGGGACCCTGGGGCACCTTGAACATACACCAGTTCCCCTTCGGCTCCCTGCAAAGAAAATCTCCCACCTCTAAGGCCTTATGGAGACTGGGACATGGGTTTGGGGGTACACTCTGAGGCCTGCATCCAGTGCTCTCCCAAGGGTGACTTGGGAAGTGGGGGTGAGCCAGAGGTCATAATGTAGAATAGGGGTCTCCCCTCACTCAAGACCCCACCCCCTTCCTTACATTTCTGAGGAACTTTCCTGGCCTCCACGGACAATTCCAGCCTCAGTATTCCCAGGGAAGGGTAATGAGGCAAGTGGGACATTTCTCAGGCTGGGAGAGACCCCCAAGGTCAGGGTCAGATAGAAGGCAGGATGTGTGGGAGGCAGAGGAGTCAGGAATATGGGAATCTGGGGTGGTGGGAAATCCTGTGGTTCCTGAAGCAGCAACAACATTTGCAAAGGAGACTCCACCAGAGGAGCTGCCTGGAGGCTCACTGAGGCATTCTGCAGCCCAGACCCACCCGTAGACTACCAGTCAGGGACTGCACTCAGGCCTGATACCAAGCCACTGGGGCTGATGTGAAGGGAGGTGAGTACAGGTTCTCCCAGGCAATTATCAAGAGGAAAAGAAACAGAGCAGAGACCATTAGGGAAGAAATGAGAAGGGAGAGGGGCCCCAGACACAATTCTCCAAATAAGTCCTTCTGTGTACTGTGTGTGAATTAAGCTTCTGCCTACCTAAAGTCCAAAGGAATCTTGTAACGTCAATCCCATTTTTCATATCAATAAATAGAGGGTGCAAGAGGCAAAGGAAGTAGCCCAGATCACATGGGCTACAGATCAAATGGGCCTGGCCATTTATCTAGTTACCACCCCCCAGCCTCCTCACCTGCTGTGTTGTAAGGGGCTACCTATGCATCTATTTACATCTGGCTGATAGTCTCCATTCTCACCACCACAAAAACAGAATCTCAGAGTAAGGAGGTCCAACCTCCCCATGGTGCAATTAGGGAACTGATGCCCAGAGAAGGGAAGCTGCTTGCTTAGGGTCACAGAGCCAGAAGAATCAGGGCAGGGACTTAAACCAATTCAGAAGGCTGCTCTTTCCTAGAGCCAGGTTCTCAACTATTTACATACACAGATGTCAGACACCATATTAGGCACCAGGGAAATAAAGATGAATGAGTACAGGCCCTGCCTTGAGAGGCTCAGAAGTGAGGAGACAGGCTCCCCCGACCCAGCCTGTAGAAAGACATCCTCCAGATGCCAAGGACCACATGCTAAGAAAGAAGTTGCTCTAAGCTGGGGAAGTCAAAAAGGCCACCTGGAGGGGGTGGGCCTAAAAAATGATTAGAGGTGTGAGTGGGAGGAGGGCACTCGCTCTGGTGATCCAGGCGGGAGGAAATGTAAGTGCACAGGAATAGTCCTCTTGGGGAAGACACTCCTGCTGGAGGATTATGGGAGACAAGGCTGGAAAGGCAGGTTGGGAATAGACAGACCAGAGAAGAACCTGAGTGCCGGCTAGAGGGCCTGAGCTTCACTCCATGGGCACTGGGGAGTTATGGAAGGTTTCTGTCTGGGGTGACGGGGGATCCATGCAAAGGGACTTACTAGGAAATTTACTCTAATAAAGTAGGGTAATAAATTAGGGAGCAGCTTACAGGGCAGACTTCCTTGGAAAAAACCTGAGGCATCAAGCATGTCAATGCATCTGTGGGTTGCCTCTTGGGGTGACTGTGGTGTGAGTGTGTGTGTATGTGTGTGTACGCACACACACAAGTGTAGTGCTAAGACCAGGAAAGCCTGGTTTCACAAAACTGCTCCAGTCTGCCCTGGTGGGGAGATGATGGATCACCAGATCCCCACCCCTTCTGTCTCCCTTTCATAACCACCCTGAATGGGCAAAAGCATAGCTGCCTCCCCACACAGTCTGTGTACCCTGAACCCCAGCACGCACATGAAGAAACTGTCCTAGAAGCAGAGACACGCGCACACACACCAGGGAGCACAGTAAGCAACCTCTTACCTAACCTTTTCCCTCAAGACTCATGCCAATAGAGAAGGGCACCCAGGGCACTATAAAGGACAAGGGTGAGGGAGGGTCCACCCCACAGCCTGATGAGCTTAGGAGGACAGTGAGGAGTCAGGTGGGGGGGAATGAGGGGGCACTGCTGCTGAGGACAGCCCAACAATTTGCAATCCACGTAAACCCAGGGGTGGGGGTGATTGGGAAAAATGCCCTGGGAGACAAATAAAGATTGGCAGGGGACCATTCAGAAAAGGACTTACTGGAGCTGGGTGCAGTGGTTCATGCCTGTAATCCCAGTACTTTGGGAGGCTGAGGTGAGCGGATCACCTGAGGTCGGGAGTTTGAGACCATCCTGGCCAACATGATGAAATCCCATCTCTACTAAAAATACGAAAATTAGCTGGGCGTGGTGGCAGGCTGTAATCTCAGCTACTCAGGAAGCTGAGGCAGGAGAATCACTTGAACCCAGGAGGCAGAAGTTGCAGTGAGCCGAGATTGGGCCACTGCACTCCAGCCTGGGCGACAGAGTGAGAATCCATCTCAAAAAAAAAAAAGGACTCACTGGAACATGAGGAGCCTTCCTGCTGCCTTCCCCCCAACTCCCTTCCTCTCTATCCACACTGACTGACCCCTCAAGGTCTGCTTACCTGGACAACTGGTTTATTTTGTCCTCCTTTTGGGACCGGGGGTGGAAAGGGACTCAAGGTCCCCTTCCCCCTCTTCCTCAGCCAAGAGATCCCCCAAAATGGGAGGACTATGAGCAATGAATCCTGGTGGAGTTGTCATTACTGTGAGTTGCAATATCATTTAATAAGGATAGCAATTATCATAGCCACATCATCATAGCCCCTACCACCAGGAGAAGGGGGCTGGCAGCCAAAATGCCTGGTGCTACTCACCAGCTCTGTGCCCAACCCTTCCCTACTTTCCCTTCTTGAAACCTGCAGAATCCTAATTTTGGGATTCCTAGGATCTCAGAATCAGAAGAAATCTTGTAGTGGTCCCATTCCCAAACCACCTGTTTGCCTGCCTCCAGCCAGGGGCACTCACACCCACCAGGCATCCCATTGCACTGGGGTGTTGTTGAATACATGCCTCTGCCCCCTAACACCTCAGTGCCCCCGGGGAGAAGTCTGGAGGAGTTCCATCATCTTTACAATCCTGGGGTCTTCCTCATCCCTCCCCAAGCCAGGCCAGACCTGGAGCCTCCCACACTGATGTGTCACAACCTCCTCAAGCGTCCAGTTCAGTGTCACCCAACCCACCGCTCCAACAAATCATTCCAAGTTCTACCTCCAGCCCTCCTACTCTAACTCCAGCCTACTTCTGCAGCTATTTGCCACGAGCCACCCACCAGACAGGAAAATGATGATCTGATTCATCTTATAAAAAGCTTTCCAAACCTCTATCTCCACCTTTCTGTCTTTTGCTCAAGTGCACTTATCCCTGGCTGCCAGGAAGTTTGCCTTGATATTTAACCTGAATCTTGCCCTCTGTGGGATGGCCTTGGAGAAAGGTCATTCATTTAATATCCTATCCCAGTTTCCCAAGTCACTTATGATGCACTTTCTCCCTCTGTCAACCTTCCAGAAGCACTCCTCGCACTCCACACCCCAGGTTAGTGCCCCCACACCCTCCTCACCCTAGGGCAGTTCAGGGAATGCTGCCTGCCTCCAAGCCTGGCTGTAGTTCAGGTTGTCAGCCCCAGCCCCAGCCCCAGCCCCAGCGGAGGAGAGGGGTCTCATAACAGCCCGGCGTCGAGCCCCCAGCCCTCAGCCCTCACTGAAGAAGGAGGTAATTAGGAGCTGTGCAGTCCGTCCCCCAACAGGTAGAGCTGAGCAGCTGCATCCATCATCCAAGCAGCTGCCACAGAGCGGGAGGGTCACGTGGCTCGGCCGGACCAACAGGAGAGTGTGGGGAGGCCTCGGGCTGGGGATTGGCTGGTCTGCAGCAGGAGAGTCAGGGCTGTCGGGGACAACCTGAGAATGACCTTGTGGGGACTTCAGCACCCCTGGCGCTTCTCCTCCCCAGAAATCTCTCCACCTGCCCCCAGTTCCCAACTGAGGTCCTACCTGCCACTCTGGCCCTGGCATTTTCTCTTCCCCTTCAATGTCATTTATCTATGTGTAAGGGCCCCTCATATTCATTTTTAAAAGGAAAATGGTCTCTTGTGTACTTCATAGGTCTAAGTAGGATGTGGGAGGTAGTTTCCTGGCCTGAATAAGGGCTGATGATTCCATGAGGGAGAAAGGAAAGGAGGGAGGGAGGGGGCCCTGTGTGGATGGAGGAAGTGTCGGTGCAGGTGCATTTTTGTCTAATTGTCTGCACTAGTGCCAGGATGTGAGTGTGAAGGAGCATGTGCTGGCAGCCGTGTGCACTGCGCATCGGAGCATCAGCCAGGGCGCAGCCTGGGACGTGTTTTGCATACTTGCACTGACCAGGGTACATTACCACACTGCAGTGCACTTGGGCACAGATGGGCGTGTTGACCTTGTGCCTTCTTTGTGTGTGCACAGGCTCATGTTCACACATGTACACAGGTTGCTGGGCCTGTCCATGCACACTGACACAATGGGCTTTCACCTTGACAGTTTCTGACCCAGAGAGGGGAGCCCCTGAAACTCACCTGTGCCTGGGATCCTTCAGCACAGCACATCTCCCAGCTGAATGGGCAGGGACCCCCCCACCCCAACAGCCACAGGTCAAAGATGGCAGCTGGCAGGAAAGAAGAAAGAGAAAAGAGGAGGGGTGGCTCTGCCAACACCTGTGAAGGTTCTTCGTTATATATGCAAATGCCCTCATTAGAGATGCACAGCACTTCCCAGAGCTAATCGCTGCTGCTGCAGCAGGTTCTGTGTGGTGGGCTAAGGGAGAGAGAGGAGGCAGGACCACAGCCCTGTGGCTGGGCCGTGCCAGAGTTTCCATTCCTCAAGACCTGCTACCCTGGGCAGTCCTGAGGAGGGGTAGGGAAGAGCCCTGGCCAGGGGGAAGGCCTGCTATAGGCAGGCATGGTGCAATCTGCAGGCCACAGCACCAGGCCCTTGGCTCTGCCTGGGCAGGCTGGCCTGCGCAGAGCCCCCACTCCCATTCTGGGACAGGACTTGCCAGGAGGGTCGTAGGAGGAGTGCTACGGCCAACCACACACCCCACCCCTCTCTCCATCCACCACCTCTCCTTCCACGAAGCCCAAAAGTGAAGGTCTCTCTGGATCCTGGAACAGGTGGCCCTGGCCCCTGCCCCCCAAGGCCTCATTTCTTCCTTTTATCACCTCTACCATCGAACATCCAGAAAAGTAGTCTCACTGTGACCTTTTCTGTTACCCCAACCTTAGAGAAAGAATCCCGACTCTAGTCAAGCCGCACCCCCAACACTTGTCTCTCAGCCCTGCTGGACATCCATTTCGAGACCAGCCGTGGCTGGAGGCTGCCTTGTGCTTTTTCAACCTCACCGCCACCAGCGTGGCACCGGAGACAAACACAAACAGTAACACACAGTCAACTCATGCATGCCCTCAGAAACATGCAAACACTCCCTCTCCCCTCACAGGGCACACACTGTCCTGTTATATTAACGTGTCCTTAGACACACACCCACGATGAAAGAGTCCCACCAGCCTCCACTGTCCTTGTGCACATCGTCACCCCATTTTGGGGACAGAGTCCACAGAGTCCTCCCTTGCCCTACCCCCAACCTCTCCTTTCTTCGCTTCTCCCTCCCCCTCCCGCCCTCCTCCCTGGGCACCCGTTTGCCAGGGTTATTTATAGAAGCAAGCAATAAATTCAGTGTGTTTCTCGGCGCGCAAAGCTATAAATAATGGCACAGATCATTAAACCCCGAGAGCAGGCCCAGCCGCCCCGCAAACAAGATGAAGTACAAACCACCACGTGAGGAGGAGAGAGGGAGGTACAAGGCAGAGCCCCAGACCAAGGGCCAACAGGCCCCAGCCTGTACCTCTCAGCTGGGTCCCAGTGAACTTGGGCCTCCAAGGGGCCTTCCCCAGGCACCAGGGGAGGGCAGAGGGCAGGGCTGGGCCTGGACTTGCAGGATGCTCAACAGAGTTTGCCCTACCTAATTCCCACACCCCTCCTCTTGTACTCTTTCCCATCTCCCCAGCCTCTGCTTCTCTCTCCACTTCTCCCACTGTTCTTCCATCTTTGCCTATATTTTCTTCTAATTCTGTTCATCTCTCCCTTTCTCTCTCCATATTCCCGCCTCTCTCCTTTACCTTTTGCCTTCATCTGTCCCTCTACATCCACCTGTTCTTCTTTCCAGCCCTTCTCTTCCCCTACCCCAAATCCCTGGGCCTCAGGAGGGACCCTGATCCCACCAAGGAGCCCTCAGAGGCAGAAAGTCCCCTGTCAGCAGAACTCTGGAGCTGGCTGCTGATTCAGTGACTGTAATCTCCCAGGCGGAGGCGGCAGTGGTAGGGGGAGGGGGACAGGAAAGATAAATGAGGAGCATAAGAACAAAATGGCACAGACACTGGGGACAGGCTCCAGGCTGAGCAAGGTTCTGGGGAGCAGAACCAGAGCCCTGAGCTACAGCCCAATCCCACCACCGCAGGCTGGTCAGTTGAGTGCAGGAAGTGCTTTCTGGCTACCAGCAAGTGACAGCACCACAGGGGAGAACATGGCAAAGAGAAGGGAGCAGGGGACAGGCAGGGAGTGGCAGGGAGAAGCCACCAAAGGAGTCAGAGAAAGAGGGGAGGAAGCCAGAGAAGCAAGGAACACTGATAGAACAATGACCCCTCCAGTCCCACTGCACCCCCAGATCCAGTGTGGACCCCTGCAGTCATATCATATTCCTGAGCCAGGGCCACACATGGAAGGTTTGAGGGTTCCAACCACAGCTTCCACAAGTCTCACTTTTAGGGAGTACCTTTATCCTTCAGGGTTCTTCCACCCTGACTTTGGCCTACTTTTTGGAGGTTTCACTCAGCCTCCGCTCTAGGTCACCTACATTCTAGGTCTTTCATTCCTTTCCACTGAGAAGTTCTTAATTCCTGCTTCAGTCTGAGCCTCTCTCAGGAGGACAGAACCTACCTACATCCCACATGTATGGGATGGGTTTCCAGAAAACCACCCAAAGCTCGGCTCTTGGAAGGGTGATAAAACCCAGTATGGTAGTCAGTTCTCTCCTTCTCTAGTGATGTCAAGCAAAGAGACTTCAAATGGAGTAGCAGGTATAAGACTGAACATTAACCAGAACCTGCCGGCACTCAGCATCGGGAGATGCCAGGATGGGGCCGTCAAATCCTCTGAAAGTTGAGTGGCAACCCCATGGGCATGAACAAGGTGCAGCCTGGCTCTGTGGACAGGGGTGGACAAGAAAGCCCTGGAGCCACTGCCCCTGCCCTCCCCACCCCATGGCCAAAGTGACCATCTGCTCCTGCTCACTCCCCTGTTGGCAGCTTTGATGCAGAGCTTGGTTATTTGCCCAGGGATTTATAGTAGGAGCCAGGCCAGCAGCTAAATCCCCCAGCCATAGAGGTAAATCAGCTGCTGCGATGGGCCGGAACGAGGGAGCTGTCGGGCTAGGAGGCTGCACAGCAGAGCTGGAGAGGAAAACACTTGTCCCCACTCCCTGGGGGCAGCCACCAATAAATCCCCTCAGGCACCGATTAGGGCAAGTGGCCTACCAGATCTTGAGGGCTGTCAGTGCTGGTGGCAGACTTTACACCGCAGCAGGCAGTGCCCACAGAAATGGGCTTGAGGATGGACCACAAGAACTGCTCAAAGCACCTGGACTAGTAACAAGAGGTGAGGGACCAAAACCTGTTTTCCCAGGAACTGTGAAGCAGTGTGGCTGTTAGGCCAGGTTCCCTGAAGCCAAAGTGCCTGGGCTCAATCCTGGCTCTGCCACTTATTAACTATGTGACCACTGACATGTTATTTGACTTCCCTATGCCTCAGTTTCTTCATCTGTAAAATGGGGGTGAGAATAGTAGCTACTTCCCACAGTTACTAAGATGATTAAATAAAATAATATGCATAAAGTGCTTAGATTAGTGCCAGGCAATGTATCGTTAGTAGCACTGTCATATAAAATAAAGTCTTGAGACTAGGTTGAATCTGGACTTGTGCAGAGAAAAGAGAAGGGACCAAATGACCTTTGGAGGAAGCTGGGGGCGCCAAGATGATGTTTAAAGAAAGGAGGAGGGCTATGTTAGTCTCACTGGGAGAGAAAGTGAGACCAGCTTCTTCCAGGGCTGGAATCGACCCCTGTGGTTAAGAGCACAGGCTCCTTAGGCAAGCAGGCCTGCATTCAAGCCCCAATTCTGATTAACTGTGAGTTATTCAGCAAGTTATTTAATCTCTCAACTTTCCTCATCTGTAAAATGGGGATAATAATATTCATCTCATAGTATTATTGAGAGAAGTACATGAGATCATACACAGATAAGGCGTTTAGTAAGTGTTCATTAAATTTTAGTCTTGTTACTGCAATTATTTCATCAAGTGAACAAAGGAGGGCTTCACAGTGGGCCCTGAATCTAGGTGCTAAGTGCCCTGAATCCAAGCAGTATAACTGACAGGAAAGTGCTTTGTCAGAGAGGGAAGGCAAGAGAAGGGGAGGAAGGCAGGAGGTGAAGCCTGACCCGGGAGGCAGAAGGGGTTAGTAAGAAGAAAGAGACCCAGGAATGCAAGAGCAAGACAGAAACAGGCAGGAAGAGAAAAGATGGGGGACTTCCAGCCAGAAAGAGAGTAAAGGGGATGCCACAGAGATGGAGAAGGGAGAACTGGGGAGAGAGACAGAGGGGAACCCACTGGGGCAGAAATGGATGGCAGAGAAGGGGGGCACACGAGGGAGATGGGGATGGGGGAAACAAAGGTATAAATGAGCAGAGCCTCAGAGCAGAAGTCAGGGAAACGGAAGGGGAAGACTGGAGTCCAGGTGGCTGCAGGGAGTACTGAGGGGCAAAGTAAATGAGGGGCAGTGGCCAGGAGAAAAAAAAGAAGGAAAGAGACTGGAGCACCAGCTGAGAGACAAAGGAGGGAGAGCCCTGTCTGGAAAAACAGCAAGCCAGAGCCAGCACAGCTCGTTATGCAAACATGATTCCAGGCGCGCTCCGCTGCCCCCTCCCCAGCTTTCATTTTCAGCTTGGCTTCCCCCTGGCCTCCCTCCTGCGCCCCTCCTGCCAGCCTCTACTTTCTCTCCACTGAGCCTGAGGGCATACAAGCCAGCGGGGGAGGGGGAGGGGCTTGGACTCTGTTCACCAGGGGGTGAGGAGGGGAGGAAGGAAACAGTCCCCAAAGCAGAACAGAACCCAGGGGTCCACACCTCCTTCTGGCAGCTCCCCCTTCATCCGCATGAAGACAGGACAGTGGCTGAAAGAAGTGCAAGAGTGGAATAATAATAGTAGCAGTGAAAACATGAGCATTTTGCAGCCTGCAAAGTGTTTTACATGCCCCGGTCTCATAACAACCCTTGTGACGGAGGCAGTATTACCCTGTTTATTATCATCAAACAATTATATCATTCTGCTAAGAATGTCACATGTATTAACTGTCTTGCTCCTGACAACAACCCTATTATTCCCGTTTTACAGATGACAAGCTGAGGCCTACGATGGTAAGTACCTTCCATCCTACACCCCTCCCTCTTTGTTCCTCTGATCTCTCCTCCTGTCTTCCCTTGCCAAGCTCTTTCTATTCTCTCATCTTCTCATGTCCTCCCTTAATTCCCTTTCCAATCATGCTGCCTCAATAAACTTCAAGTTAGCTTTCTGTTCACTCTCATGGCAACCCCTCCAACCACCAGCAGGACCTGGTGTGACTGCACATGATCAGCAGACCCTTCGTTTTGGGGCCAGTTGTCAGGTAGCAACCCCTGAAAAAATCATACAGCAGCTGAAGTGAAATACAACAATGTCTTCAGAGCACTTTTACCCACATTCCTTCTAAAAAGATCTGAGATGGCCTACCGTATAAGACACAGATCGCCAGGTGTAGTGGCCCATGTCTGTAATTCCAACATTTAGGGAGGCCAAGGCAAGAGGATAGCTTCAGCCCAGGAGTTCCAGACCAGCCTAGGGAATATAGTGAGACACCATCTTTACAAAAAGTTTAAAAATTAGCCAGGCATGCTGATGCAGGACTATAATCACAGCTACTAGGGAAACTAAAGTGGGAAGACCCCTTGAGCCCAGGAGTTTGAGGCTGCAGTGAGCTATGATCATGCCACTACACTGTAGCCTGGGCAACAGAGTAAGACACTGTTTGTAAATAAATAAATAAATAAAATTAAAAAGACAGATATAACAGAACCATCGAAACACCCATGAAAGAACAAGAACAGATAAAGAAGTGAGGATTTTAAAATGTCCTGGGAAAAGAAACCCAAGAATGGACAGTTACTGCAGAGGAACCCAAAACTTAGCCCTCAGCTTCCTAGATGAAACCAGGTAGTAGCTTAAAAGCCTCTTCGCCTACACCAGAAATAAACTGAGCACCTACTATTAGTCATGCATCAAAGACATGATCAACATTGAGGACCTGGAATTTTCTATTCACTCTACAAGTGTGAGAAGATTTTGCCTGAAATGTCCTGGTCACATTTGCCACAGAACATTTGAAAGGACTCTGAGCTAAAAGAGCTTCAGAGCAGTGAGGAATATAAAAGTTGGAGCCCGGTGGAGCGCAGTGGCTCACGCCTGTAATCCCAGCCCTTTGGGAGGCTGAGGTGGGTGGATCATGAGGTCAGGAGTTCGAGACCAGCCTGGCCAACATGGTGAAACCCTGTCTGTACTAAAAATACAAAAATTATCTGGACGTGGTGGCGGGAGCCTGTGATCCCAGCTACTCGGGAGGCTGAGGCAGGAGAATTGCTTGAACCTGGGAGGCAGAGGTTGCAGTGAGCCTAGATCACGCCATTGTACTCCAGCCTGTGCAACAGAGCGAGACTGTGTCACATAAATAAATAGATAAATAAATGTCAGAGGCCATAGGACACAGGAAGAAGAACGGCCCACATGAAGTTGTCCCAGTGCTAGTCCCCCTCCCAGAACTGAGAAACTGAGTCTGAGATGTCAGTGATAGCCCTGTCCCCAAGCCCTTTCAGCCCCCTTCCCACTCCTAAATTGCCATTTGGGACTAAGTCCCTGCCAGCCAGTCTTGGTCTAGCCCTCCGTGTGATGCTGTGAGGGCTGCTCCTGGCTTCTCCTGCTTGTTAGCACATCAGCATGAGGATCATCAGGCACTGTAATAAATCAAATGAAAATAATCTCCCACACTCTCCCACAGAAACAAAATCTGCCCTCTCTGTTGACATAATTTCTGGCCTGCTGGAGGAATGAGTACAAGAGAGTGACCTCAGGCACAGGGGACAGGAGACACACAGGGAGGAAAGAGATGGATCCTTGTCAGGGAAAACCCCAGACTTGCAAGCCAGACTCCTCCCACAAATAATCACAAAATGCTGCCCCTTCCCAGCAGCCAGCCAAAAAATAGTCTCCACCCTCACACGCCTGTGTGTGAAATGCATAGGTATTAAACTTAAGTTAGTTCTTAGGAAGGCTGACACCCAGTCTGGCAAGCGCTGGAGATATCTAAGCAGGAAAAGCCTCCAAGCATCTGGCATTGGCAATATGTCCTAGGGCCCCCGCTCCAAGGTCAGGAGACACTGGAATTGCCTGGAGGGTGGGGGATTGAGTGGTGGGTGGAAATCAAACTGACGGACATTCCTAGGCAGCTGGGTCCCAGTGTTCACCAGCATGGACCAGTAATGATGTTACTAGCTCACCCACCATGAAAAATGGCCTCCTTATTTTCCCCTTCCTCTCCCTTGCCTGAGGCATAGTTTGTTATCAGGGGCTTCTAGTCTAAAACAAAACAAAAGAAAACCCTGGAGTTAGGACAGAAGCTCATAAAATTTTCCACTGAACAAAATTACTCTAGCTCTTTCCCAGAGGGAAAACAAAAAACAAACAAACAGGAAAACCTCACTCCAGCTCCCCCACAACCCAGGGACCACTCTTTCAATTTCAAAGCCTGACCAAGCCTCCAGGGAGTACAGACAGACCGACAAGAAGGGTCCCACCCAATAAGCAGGTAAATCAGTAGATGGCAAAGCCTTCCCCAGAAGCACCTCTCCCAGATACACGTCTCTCCTCATGGAACTCCAGTCCATGGTGCCCTAATGCATTCAGAAAAAAACTGCATTCACACCAAAGTACTGATTCCTCAAATAGGCATGCAAAGCCCTCCTTAATGCAGAACCACACTGAACTCCTACAGCTTTTCCTCCTACATCCTTCCTCCTCACCCCAGCTACTGGTCCCTTTATCGTTCAAGGAATATGCCCTGAACTATCCTGCTTCCAGCCCATTTTGTCTGGAATGACCTCTCCACCACTTTCCAAGGCCCCCATATGCTTATCAAAGCTCTCTCCATCCTCCTCTAAAGCCAGATTTAAATCCCAACTTCTTTTATTCATGCAAGATGTCTGCCTCCACTAGACAGGCCTCCTGTTCACCTGTGTGCTGACAGGTAGTCTGGATAATGTTCATGGAATTGAATGAAAACTCCAAACCTGTTCTCTGCCAAGTTTTCTTTTCTGTGACCCGTGGGGTTCATCAGGAGTAAGGAGGCCAATCAGGGACATGGAGATGTCAGTTATCTCCAGAGCCCCACCTCCCCAAGTCAGGGGTGAGGTCTTTGAGAGAGATGCTGTTGTGAGAGATGCTGCAGGTGCTTCTAGGCTTCCTGAGACCACTGACCTGGGTACCTCTCAGGGGCTTTAAAGGCCTTTAAACTAGTGACCTTGGACCTCCTCTTTCTTTGGTTCCTCTCTCCCTATTTCTCAGTCTCCCTCAATCTTCATCATTCTCTTTTTCAGATTTAGGCTGAGGATACCATCTGCCTGAGAGAACCCTCCTCTTGGAGTCTTGCTCCTCAAAATGTGACTTCAGAGCCAGCAGCATTGGCATCCCTGGAAGCGTGGTACCAATGCATTCTTGGACCTCAACTCAGACCTATTCAATCCAACTCTCCAGTTTAGCAAGATCCCCAGGTGATTTTTATGTACATTAAAGTTTGAAAGCAATACTCTAAAGAACCAGAAATGCCAGACCAGGGTCCAACAGGGAAACTGAATGCCTAAGACATTCATTCATTCATTTACCCATTCAATAAATACTTAATAAGCATCTACTGGGTGCACAGAGTTGTGCTAGGCATTGGGGATAAAATGGTGAATGACTCAGATTAGGTGTGCAGACTGCAGAGGATGAGATGAATGTTCCCTACCTGGCCTGTTTCAGCCCACCTCCCAGAGTTGGGGGGAGGGGCTTGAGTTGGGAACAGGGGTACATTTGACTGAAGAATCTCTCAAGACCCCAAAGCTGATGAGGGATGCTTTCCTCTCCCCAATCCAAAGACAGAGAATCAGTCAGTGAAAGCCAGAAGGGAAGGAAGAGTGAGAGCAAGGAAGAATGCTGAACAGAAGGAACCAGGGAAGATGGAAATGAGAAAAAGGGAGTCTAAGACAGTCCCCGAAAATACTTCCTGCCATTTCAGAAGCATACTCAACCATGCTCAGCTCACTGACTTCCTCTAGGCTAGCACAATGGCCCCCACCCCAACTCCCAGTCAGATTGCCTCCCATGAGAGGGAAGCACCCTCCACCCCAGGGTCTGAGAGGGGAGAAGACAGGTCACATCTGGGGGGAAATGACCAAAAGGCAGACAGATTGGTTTGAAGGACACAGGAATAGCAAGAAACACACAGCCCTAAGAGACAGTGCTGAGGGCTTCAGAGGAACATGACTGCTGTGTGGAGAATGGACTGTAGGGGGACACGCAGGGGAGACCAGTTAGGGGGCTGTCATGGTCAGCAGCAGAGGCAAGATAAACAGTGCATGGCTAGGACTGTACCAGTGGAGATTGTGAGATGATGTGTCAGAGTTGGGATATATTTGGATGATAAGGTCAATAGAACTTGCATATGAATGAGGGATGGGGAAGAGAGGAAAAGAGGATACTGACTCTCAGGTTTGGGGCCTGAGCTACTAGGTAGGTTAGGGCAATAAAAGGTGATCTGTCTGTCAGCAGTGGGTCAGGCTTAAAAAAAAAAAAAAAGTGATCTGGGGAGGGGTTCTGGAAGAATGAGTCAGGGTAAGGAAAAACCTAGGGCAGAGAATGGGAAAGAGGAGAGTCCATGTTGAGAAGTCATAAGAAAGGAAAGCAGAGATAGAGGAAAATGATGAGAAAATCATTCAAGAATCCTTAGTTCAAGTTTCTTGAGGGCAAAAATTGCATCTTCTGTTTCCACTGGGCACCTTAGAGTCCTCCACTGCTATTCTGCATGCTGTGAGTAAAATCAGGTACTCAGTAAAATCAGGTAATAGTACATCTGTGGCTTGTTGAGAGCTGATTCAAAAGGCAGGGTGGGCTGATATAAACAGCACTCAGCTATGTTTAGGGCCCTGGCCACCTAATGGCAGGGCGACATTAGAGAAGCTCACTGTTGGGCTGGGTACAATGGCTCATGCCTGTAATCCCAGCACTTTGGGAGGCCAAGGCGGGCAGATAACCCGAGGTCGGTAGTTCGAGACCAGCCTGACCAACATGGAGAAACCCCGTCTCTACTAAAAATACAAAATTAGCCGGGTGTGGTGGTGCATGCCTGTAATCCCAGCTACTCGGGAGGCTGGGGCAGGAGAATCACTTGAACCTGGGAGGCAGAGTTTGCGGTCCGGCGAGATCGCGCCATTGCACTTCAGCCTGGGCAACAAGAGCGAAACTCTGTCTTAAAAAAAAAAAAAAAAAGACAAAAAGAGAAGCTCACTGTTTCTCAGTTTCCCTAGCGGCAAAGCAGTAAAGGTGAACTAAGAGTTTCAGGTCCCATCTAGCCGCAGCTCTCTTTCCCTAGCTCTGGGACCATAATGCTGAGCTTCAGGAGTCCCTGTAGGTTCTTGAGCAAGCATGGCATGAAGTGGTCAGTGTGGCTGTTGTGTGGTGTTTGGAGGGGAATGAAGCAGTGGCCCAGAGAGTGGACTGGGACCATCTAGATATGGGCCAATGAGGGCCTGGCCACCAGGGCAGCTGGGAATGAAAAAGAATGATCAAGCCAAGAGCCCCGCACCTCTTCCCTAAAGCCTCCTCCCTGAGATGTCTCAGCATTTTTTTTTTGTACCTCCACAACTTTTTTTAGTTTTTGTTTTTTTTGTGAGACAGTCTCACTCTGTCACTCAGGCTGGTGTGCAATGACACAATCATGGTTCACTGCAGCCTCAATCTCCCAGGCACAAGCAATCCTCCCACCTCAGCCTCCTGAGTAGCTGGGACTACAGGTGCGTGCCACCACACTCAGCTAACTTTTTATTTTTTGTAGAGACAGAGGTCTCACTATGTTGCACAGGCTGGTCTCGAAGTCCTGGGCTCAAGTGATCCTTCCACTTCAGCCTCCCAAAGTGCTGGGATTACAGGTGTGAGCCACTGCACCTGGCCCCTTTTGTTTCTTAATCCCATGACAGATAAATGCACCTCTACAACTTCTAAATATTGCGGCGCCTAGACTCTGTCATTGGATGCCCTTCACTTTCTTTCTTTCTTTTTTTTTTTTTTGAGACGAAGTGTCATTCTGTCACCCATGCTGGAGTGCAGAGTCGTGATCTTGGCTCACTGCTGCAACCTCCGCCTCCCAGGTTCAAACATTTCTCCCTGCCTCAGCATCCCAAGTAGCTGGGATCACAGGCGTCCGCCACCACATCTGGCTAATTTTTGTATTTTTCAGTAGAGATGGAGTTTCGCATGTTGGCCAGGATGGTCTTGAACTCCTGACCTCAGGTGATCGGCCCACCTCGGCCTCCCAAAGTGCTGGGATTACAGGTGTGAGCCACCACGCCTGGCCACCTTCACTTTCTATCAGCTTTCACTCTTTAGGGGATCTCATCCAGTGTCACTGATTACTCCCAAATTTCTATCTCCAGTCTGGACTTCACCATTAAACTATAGACTTGTGGTCGGGCGCGGTGGCTCACACTTGTAATCCCAGCACTTTGGGAGGCCAAGGTGGGCAGATCACGAGGTCAGGAAAATGAGACTATCCTGGCCAACATGGTGAAACCCCGTCTCTACTAAAAATACAAAAATTAGCTGGACGTGGCAGCGCGTGCCTGTAATCCCAGCTAGTCCGGAGGCTGAGGCAGAATTGCTTGAACCTGGGAGGCGGAGGTTGCAGTGAGCTGAGATCATGCCACTGCACTCCAGCCTGGCAACAGAGCTAGAGTCTTGTCTCAAAAAAAAAAAAAAAAAAAAAAGCTATAGACTTGTGTATTGATTTACCTGCTAGCCTCCTCTACCTGGATGCTTAACAGGTATCTCAAAGCTAACATGTCCACAACTAATACTACTCCCAAAACCAGCTCCTCCTGTGGTATTTCCCCATATCAGTTGATGGCAAATCCATTGCTGTGGTCACTCGGGCCAAAAAATCTTGGTCTTATCCTCTACTCCTCTTTCTTTCATACGCTCTCACTAATCCCTTGGCTCTCCCTGCAAAATGTATCAAAAATTTGACCACTCCTCATCACCTCTGCTGCCATCTCCCTGGTCCTGGCCCTCATCCCCTCTTACCTGATACTGCAATCAGCTCCTGACTGGTCTCCCTGCTTCTGCCCTTGTTTTCTCAATCTGTTCTCAATACAGCAGCAAGAATTTTCTGTAAAAAGACAAGGCAGATCATGTCACTCCCTTGCTTGAAACCCTGCAGTGACTTCCCATGTTACTCGGAGTGTGAGTTTTACTGTAACTTATTAGTTTCTACGTGATGTGGCTCCCCATCACCTCTTAGATCTCATCACTTATTCTCTTCCCTGATTTTCTCTGCTTCAGCCATATCAGCCTCATTGCTGTTCTTCCAACACACCAGACATGCTCACATGAGGGCTTTTGCCCTCGCTGTTCTCTTAGCCGGGAAACTCTTACCCGGAAATCTGTATGCCACGTAGCATCTGCTAAACTGCAGCTCCATATGTTGGGGCGCCTGAGCAGGGATAAGAAAGGGAGTGAACTGAAGAGGAAACAATGGAGTCAGGTCCCGCACAAGAAACAAAATGCCCGCCTTGCTTCCTCTGTCTTCCTCAGGTACCTGGCTTCAGGAGCTCAGGTGGGGGGTCTCCTGCGGGGCAGGGGGGACGTGCCCCACTCTAGTTCTTCAGAAAATACCCATCTGCATCCTAACCTCAAAAGATCCTGAAGCCCTGAAGGAATCACATCTCTCTGGTGCTCCTGCAGACCTCCCAAAAAGGAACCACTCCCCTGACCCCGAATGTGGTGGTCCTCCCTGCTCTGCTCCTAAAGGATGTAGGGAAGAATGGGTCTCTTCCAGTCATCCACTCACCACATATGTATTCCTCCCGTCTCCCGCTGGGCCTAGGCCCAGCCAGGGTAAGCCCACCACCTGCTCCCACTCTTCTTAACTTAGCTTCCCTTCCTTTCCTCCTCGGCCCTTTCTAGCTGTTCCCAGTCTGCAGGCCTTCCCCACGGGCACACAGGTGGAGAAAGGCTGAGGACTCAGCGGACAGCCTGGTGTGGTGGGGTCTCTAAGTCATGGGGAGAAGGCAAGGCGGCTTGAAGGGAAGGGTTTGAAGGTGGAAGGATGCAGAAGGCCAGAGACAAGAAGACGGGAGCAAAGACAGCCAGAAGCTGTGATGATACGGTGATACAGAGAGAAGTGGAGGCAGCATCGGCCAGAACAAGGGGTCAAAGTCAGAGGCAGAAACAGCAGCGAGAAAAGCAAAAGCTGACAGATGGCAGAAGCCACAGACAGGCAGCGCAAGGGAGAGGCAGACACCCAGCGAGAGAGCAAACGGGAGAGGCATCGTGAGACGCGGGAGCAGCTGGAGAGGGAGGTTAGGGCGAGGTGCATGCACCCCAAGAGATGGAGAAACAGAGACCAGAGCGAGAGACACGCACGCGGACAGACCAGAAGGCTGCAGAGAGGGCGAGGGAGAAAAAAGTGTCGAGGCGGGGAGTGGCGGGAAGCGGCCGGGAGCGGGGCGGGCGCAGCAGAGCGGGCGCGGCGCCGGGAGCTGGCTCGTAAAAGCCGCGTCGAGCGGGGAAATTACCGCCAGAATCGCTGAGCTCCACAAAACGCCGCCCGCGCGGCCCGCCGCCGAGCCCGCTCCAATCTCCAGCCTCATCGCCGCGCGGGCTGGTTATGCATTTAAATGTTATTTAATTGGATTGCGGAGGAGCTGGGGGCCAGAGCGGCCGCCCGCCCCCGCCCCGCACGCTCCGCACGCCCGGGCTGCTCGCCTCCTCTGCAAATCTGTTTTCCAAGTCACAGATTGCAGCACGCCCCCTCCCAAAACGCTCCCCCCACCCAGACAGCTCCCCTTCGAGTCTGGGCTCCTTCTTCTGTTCCCCCGCCCAAACAGAGCCAGAGGACACTCAGAAAGACACGACAAGCCCCCCGAAGATGCCCCAAACACAGAGGCTACACAAAAATACCAGACACACAAAGACACAACAGCAGCAAAAATGGGTCACACTCAATTACACTAGTGTCCATCTGGAAGACTGAAAACTGCAGAGACAAAAAAGATCCCATGATCACAGGAGGACACAAATGCATGTAATACAGTGGACTCCCACTCTAGGGGAACACACTACCCTACCCCTTAAAACGGTACTTGCAAAGCAGCGCTACCAAACACAGGAACAAAATGATGCTAACTCAGTGATTCACAGGGGACACACAGACCTTCCATACAGCCAGGTAAGGAGCAAAACACATCCACACTCATGCTCAGAGCAAAGTCATCACACCCCAATCACTCAGCTGTGTGGCCTTCCAGGGTTGAAGGCAAACCCCTTCCTTCAAAGACATTTTGTTCTTCTCCCAAGCCACAGAAGTATCATCACATGAGGTTCTGAGAGGGAGCTATAAGTCAGCAGGTTTCTAAAAACTGAACAAAAAAACAACCCAAATTACAGCAGATAGGCTGGAGGGTAGATACCAGAAAGAGCTTCTGAAGAAGACAAAGTGTGAGATCCCAAGAGGAGAGGCTGGGCATTTGTGTGAAGTTGGGATTCTCTCAGTCAACTGTTGACAGGAGACCCTTTTTTGCTGCCTGAATCAGGTGTTAGCACCATCCAGGTAGATGGAAGGACAGAATGACCTGCAAAAACATGTCCTCCACATACTCCTAACCAGCGGACAGGAAATTGCTGGCCTGAAAAGATCAGGGTCAAGCTGCTTCAATTAATGAAAATGGAAATGGCAACCTGGCTTGGCACAGGCCACCATGGAGGACTGTTCTGGGCTCTCAGCCATCCCTCCTGCAAGCCAGGACTAGAGACAGACATCAGGCTGAGGGTCCTTGAATGAGATGTAGGGGCAGAAGAATGGACAAGATGTACAGGAAAATTCTTTTGCAGGTGTTTTGTTTGTTCTGTTTTGTACTTGAGAGGGTGAGGGCCAAAATAAGGAGGGAGAGAAAAAAAGAAAGTTTCCTCAAATACATTATAATTCAACCTTGACTGGTGAGCATGGGCTTGAGCCAGGCTGGCATTAAGGTCTCTGAAGAAGAAAGCAATTCATCTTCCCCCAAAGTAATTTATTTCTATATCACCTGATGGTCACAGCTGGGAAGTTTATCCATGTGTCTAACCTCAATGTCTCATGCTCCAGTTGAAGTTCTTTACTTCTCTGGGGCACCAGGGAAGAAGAGGAAACAGCTGCCCTATATCCTCCTAAACAAGAATATTCAGAGTCAACACTTAGTCTGGGATAGGCTGCAATCTCTATTCCCTTCTTCCATTCCATCACTAGCTTCTCTACCCCAGCTGTGGCCAGGCTGCATTTCCAGTCTTTTTTGATCTGCTACCTGGACATTGCCTGCCACCATCTGCTGCAGTTTTCCATCCCCAAAGTTAACAGATGTGTTCTGAAAGGAAGCTCCACTTCTCATCTTCCATAGGGCCACACCCAACCCTTGGCTCTTGCCTAATTCCTGGCCTCTGAGCCCCTCCCCTCATCCTGTTTCCTAGCCCCTTGCAGTTGGGGCTGAGAAATTCCTGGACATATCTGACACAATGGTCCCGTTTTGCAAATATCCACTCCATGGAGGTGGTAAGATTTAGCAAGTTATGAGATAAGAAATCTCCCAGTCTCCGCCCTCTCTCACAGGCACACACACCTCCTCCCCAGACTCTGAGGGCTAATCACTTCCTCATTCAGTGTGCCCAGAGCGCTGTGTTTATAACTTGTTCACAACATGCTTTCAGCTTGATTTATATATAATTATATGCCTGTATCTCCCAGCACTAGACAGTGAACAACGTGAGGGTAAAGAATCATCTAATTCACCTCCGTCACTCCCTACAGTGCCTAGCACAAGGAATGACACACACACAGCAGACATCAATAAATGTTTATTGAATTGAAAAAGGAAAGTGAGACCACACAGTGGCCAAATTCAAGACCCAATTTTCTTTAAGCTATCCTGTATCAGTAAGGGAGAAAAAAAAAGACAGAGATAAAAGGCCGGGGCCAGGCACAGTGGCTCACGCCTGTAATCCCAGCACTTTGGGAGGCCAAGGCAGGCACATCACCTGAGGTCAGGAGTTCAAGACCGGCCTGACCAACATGGAAAAACCCCATCTCTACTAAAAATACAAAATTAGCCAGGCATGTTGGCACATGCCTGTAATCCCAGCTACTCAGGAGGCTGAGGCAGGAGAATCGCTTGAACCCGGGAGGCAGAAGTTGTGGTGAGCCAAGATCACACCATTGCACTCCAACCTGGGAAACAAGAGCAAAACTCCATCTAAAAAAAAAAAAGGCTGGGCATGGTGCCTCATGCCTGTAATCCCAGCACTTTAGGAGGCTAAGGTGGGAGGATTGCTTGAGTTCAGGAGATAGAGACCAGCCTGGGCAACATAGTGAAACCCCGTCTCTACAAAAAATTAGCCAGGTGTGGTGGTGCATGCCTATAGTCCCAGCTACTCGGGAGGCTGAGGTGGGAGGACACCTGAGCCCAGGAAGTCAAGGCTGCAGTGAGCCATGATCATGCCACTGCACTCCAGCCTGGGAAAGAGAAGAAGATCCTGTCCCCCCCCAAAAAAAAAGGCCGGGCACGGTGGCTCATGCCTGTGATCCCAGCACTTTGGGAGGCCGAGACGGGCGGATCACAAGGTCAGGAGATTAAGACCATCCTGGCTAACACGGTGAAACCCCGTCTCTACTAAAAATACAAAAAAATTAGCCGGGCGTGGTAGCGGGCGCCTGTAGTCCCAGCTACTCAGGAGGCTGAGGCAGGAGAATGGCGTGAACCCGGGAAGCGGAGCTTGCAGTGAGCCGAGATCGCGCCACTGCACTCCAGCCTGGGCGACAGAGCAAGACTCCGTGTCAAAAAAATAAAAACTAAAAAAAAAAAAAAAAAAAGAGGTAAGAAAATTCTCTTTCTTCACCAACACAATCTATCCCTCAGAAGCTCAGAAGCATCCCCACCCCAAGCACACCCTTGGTCTCCACCAAGTTGAGTTTGTGTGTTTTGGGGTGGGACCTCCATCATTCCTCTGAATCAGAACTTGAAATACCATCACTAGGCAAAAAGAACAAACTCTAGAGAAACTAGTGTTTCTGGATGGCACACGGGTAGCTTTCCCAGACCAGATTCATGCATTACTTCCATGTCTGCTCTGAATACCTACTTTGTGCCAGGTGTGGGATTACATACTGGGAAAAGAAAAAGGAGACCCTGGCCTTTGCCTTCAAGACACTCAGGACACTCCTGCCTGAACCTTGGCTGCATATTGGTAGCATGGAGAGATTCTGTTGAAGACGGATAGCAGGATGCCCCTCGCACCTCACAAATCAAAATATCTTAAGTGGAGCTGAGACACTTGTTTTTTTAAACCTCCACCGGTTAATTCGGATTCACTGGCAGGGTTGTAAGCCACTGATCTCTAGATCAGTGTTGTCTAACACAAATTTCTGTGATAATGGAAATGTTCAATTTCTGTGTCATCCAATCAGTAGTCACTAGCCATGTGTGGCTATTGAGCACTTGAAATATGAACTGAAGAATTGAATTTTTTTCCTTAATCACTTTGAACTAAAACAGCCACACATGGCTAGTGGCTACTGTATTGGTCTACAAAAGTCTAGATGACACCAAATTATTTCAGTTTGGCTTTAGAATAATTCTCACAATGCTGTTTTATAGCAACTAAAGGCTCCATTCTCTACCACTCAGAGAAAAAAAAAAAACAATGACTTTCCTTTCCCTAAGGACACTCTCATTTGCACTGAAGAAACTGCTCTAGAATGAAGGGTAAAAGCCAGTCTGATGAGACTAAGTCTGATCAGCTACCTAAGCCCCTAGACCAGCTTCCAATCCTCCAGACTGGAAAAAAGGCACTCCTAAGTACCCTAGTTTGTTTATGGTTGACATTGGTTGGGGACAAAAAAAGCAGTGACATGACTTTGTGTGCCTGTTATAGACTGAATTATGCCCCCCTGCCGATTTGTATGTTGAAGCCCCAATATGACTATATTGGATATAGGGCATTTAAAGAGGCACCTAAGGTTAAATTGGGTAATAAGGGGGGACCTAATCCAGTACAACTGGTATCCTTCCAAGAAGAGAAACACCAGGGAGGTACATGCTCAGAAAAGGCTATGGGAGGACACAGCAAGAAGGCAGCTATCTGCAAGCTAAGGAGAGGCCTCAGGAAAGATCAAACCATCTTGATCCTGGACTTAACGGGCTCCAGAAGTGTCAGAAATTTCTGTTGTTTTAATCCACCCAGTCTGTGGTAGTTTTGTCATGGCAGCCCTAGCAGTGTAATACAGTGTCCTTAGGGAAAGGCAGGCCCAGGACCTTAATCAACCTCTCCGACAAGATGCACCCCAGGAATTGAAAGCAACAGCCCCACTAGGACCCAGACCCAGCAGCGACTCTGCCATACCCAGGCCTTCAAGTCATTCTGGTCACTACTGTTCAAGTGCCTCTGTGTATTACCCAATCCTATCCCACTATCTCATCACCTAGAGACCCCAACTCTAGGCTTTCAACCAGACCTGCTATGCCCCTAGATGTCCTCCCTATAGACTCATCCCCTCTCTTCCCATCCCTTTCCCCACTGCACCCACACTGCCTCCTACATGGTTTGCCCCTTCATCTCCTTCTATGGGTTTCCACCTATTGTTGGGTATTTTCAGTGTGTGTGTTCTGTGCATCTCACTTCCCCCACTACACTTTAAATTCTCAAAGATTATTCTAGCATTCAAGACCCTTCACAGGCTAGCTTCAATCTACCTCTTCATCTTTTTCTCCAAACTGGGCCAAGCCAATAGGAATCTACTTGTGTGTTGGTAAATATTAACTGTCAACTTGATTAATGGATGCAAAGTACTGTTTCTGGGTATTAGCAGAAGAGATTAACATTTGAGTTAGTAGACTGGGAGAGGAAGACCCACCCACAGGAAAACCCACCCAGAATGTGGGTGGGCACCATCCAACTGGCTGCTAGGGCGGCTAGAAAAAGCGGGCAGAAAAAGGTGAAAGAAGCTGACTTGCTGAGTCTTCCAGTCCTCATCTTTCTCCCATGCTGGATGCTTCCTGCCCTCACACATTAGACTCTTAAGTTCTTCAGCTTTTGGACTCTTGGACTTACACCAGTAGTTTGCCAGGGGCTCTTGGGACTTAGGCCACAGACAGAAGGCTGCCCTGTCGGCTTCCCTACTTTTGAGGATTTGGGACTCGGACTGAGCCACTACTGGCTTCCTTGCTCAACTTGCAGACAGCCTATTGTGGGACTTCGCCCTGTGATCGTGTGAGTCAATTATCCTGAATAAACTCCTTTTCATATATACATGTATCATTAGTTCTGTCTCTCTAGACCCTAATACAACTTGCCACCCCTTGAACATAACAGTGCTGTTCTCTAAGTTATCCAAAACTTTCCCAGTCTTAAGGCCACCTGAAATGCCACCTCCTCCAGAGAGCTTTCCATTATATATTTCCTCAGCTAAATATATAATGAAATGATGGCTTCTATCTCTGTGCAGTTATTCCACTGTACCTAATCCAGTGCTCTGCAACATGGCGCACTCACTACGTAGCACTGACAGCAAAAAGAGAAGGAAAGGAGTCTATGGCATGTGGAAGTTCAATACTGTAATGCAATTCTGATGCTAACTACAGGGAGTTAGTGCATACCCTCGGGGTTTAAGGGCATACTCCCCACCAAGACTGCTCTCACTTCAGATGTCAGTTGCGAGCTTGAGGATCCCCAGACCACCTGCACTTCTGACCAACTGGCTATAAATTCAGGAGTCTCCACAACCCCCCGCCACCCACCCTGAGGTTGGAGAATTTCCTAGAATGACTCACGGAACTCAGGAAAACTCTATACTTATGATTATGGTTCTATTACAAAAGATACAAATCAGAACCAGCCAAATGAAGACAAATATATGGTAGGGTCCAGGAGTGTCCCAGGCACAGATGTGTGCCCTCTGCTCATAGAAACAGGATACCAATGCACATCCCTCAGCACATCCATGTGTTCACCAGCCAGGAAGCTGACCAAAACCTGTGTCAGAAGTTTTTATATCTAGAGTTTTACCATAGATATAATTGGTTAAAATCATCGGCATGTGGCTGAACTCAATCTCTAGCCCCTCTCCCCTCCCTGGGGATCAAGCTGGTATCATCCAGCTCAAAGTCCCAGCCCTGTAACTATATGGTTGGTCATTCTGGCATGGTCAGCCTCCATCCTCAGTCAAATCTTACAGCAAACTCAGGTGTGGTCTGAGATCAAATTCAATATAAAATTAGGTGCAGCCTAAGGTCAAATCTCAACATAAATTCAGGTGTAGTTTCAGGGACCTGCCACGAAAAACAAAGATACTCCTATTACTTGGGAAATTCCAAGGATTTAGAGTCTCCTTCTCAGGAACTGAAGACAAAGGCCAAATTCTTTATTATACAATGAAGTAGGGGAGGATTTATATGAAAAATCTTACTAATTCTGGAAGCTGGAAATGACCTGTGTCCCAGGAGATAGGAAGTAGACCATGTGTTCCTCATTAAGGTGGTCTCAAGACCTGCTCTGCTCCCAACTTGGTTCACTTTCCCAGCCCTTACCAAAGGGGCACCCAGTCAACCATTCAGCAGACATAAAAAATGAGTTGGATACCAGGTTCCCATCTGCCCCATCACCTGTTTCTCACGGTGTCCAGAGTATCATATAAGACCCCTAACAGACACTTAACAGAGACCCTGCAGGTTTGGTAAGGCAATTGGAGATCTGCTACATCCAGCCAGGCAGCAGCACTTTGGGAGGCCAAGACAGGTGGATTACTTGAAGTCAGGAGTTTGAGACCAGCCTGGCCAACATGGTGAAACACTGTCTTTAATAAAAATACAAAAATTAGCCAGGCGTGGTGGCACATGCCTGTAATTCCAGCTATACAGGAGGCTGAGGCAGGAGAATCACTTGAACCGGGAAAGCAGATGTTGCAGTGAACTGAGACCATGCCACTGCACTCCAGCCTGGGCAACAGCATGAGACTCCATCTCAAAAAAAAAAAAAAAAGAGAGATCTACTACATCCTTCCCCCAGCTGCCCAAGAGAACCCCTGGCCAACAATGAAGAGGGAAGAGGGGGGAAATCTAAATGACTACCTTCCACCTCTAGCATGCAAGAGGGGGAAAAAAGTAACAAGACAAAAGGCTTTAGGAGCTCTTAATGCTTAGAGTGAAAAAAAATCACAGGCTAGTTTTTTCATAGTCATTGATCCATCTCTGACATGGCAAGAATTTTCCCTTCACCCTGGCCGCAGGTGGAAGCCCAGACTCTCTCCTAGCAAGGTATCCAGAATGGAGAGGGGCTACCCTTGTAGTGCAGTGCTGTGAATCCTCAACCCAGAGGCAAGAAAACAAGAAGACTATGTAATGAGCACCCACATGCCAAGCCCATGCAAGGCACTTTCAAGTGTGATCTCAGTTAATCCTCACACCAACCCCATAAGGTAGGCATCCCTGTTTTACAGATGAGGAGCCTGAGGCATAGAGAGGTTTATTAATTTGTCAATCAAAAAGTTCCAAGTTTCAAAGCTGGGATGAAAAGCCAGGTCTTCTGACTTGCACTCTGTCACACTGGATTTTTCCTCTGATCCAGCTGCAGCCTCCCATAAGAAGTTCACTCTTAATTTCATGTCCCATGCTTTGTCTTGGTCCCTGTGAGGAAAGGGGTCAGCTAAAGGTAACTGTTCTATAAGGATGGGTAGGTATCCTGGCAAGATATTTCCTCTGAAATAGTAAACGTGACCTTAGAAGTTACTGTCTAGGGCACTCTCAGCTGAATAAAGTCTCCCAAGGAAACACTGAGGTAGAGCAGTCTGCAAGTGCAAAAGCACACCTTCTGCAGATTCCCTACAAAGTGGGGTCCCCTGAAAGGGGCAATGTTAAAAGGTAAAGAAAGCAGGAATCAGGAGGGCAAACAGGAGTAGTGTCAAAACTGCCATGGCAGGTTGGAAGACAGTTCAACAGATCAAAGAATACGTTTCCCAGCGACCAGGGTGCACAGAAGGACCTTTTGCTCCAGTCCAGGAGATGTGTTGTCATCTGCTTGGCCAAGAATGACTTCGAGGTCTTGAATGTGTCCCATGCAAGGCCCCAAGGGCACTCATTTCAACAGCAGTGGCAGCAGCCCCAGCTCATTCAATCTTTCCTTGGCCACTGCCTCCCAGCCCTTGTTGGCCTGTGGGTTACGGGGAGAGGGATGCAGGAGCCCTTCCACCTGGACCTCTGGCATCAGGCCTGCCAGAGCCCGTCGTGCCCGCTGCTCTGCCAGTCGCCCAACTCCCACCACCAGCCGCACCCCCAGCAGCTGCACCTGCCGGCAGAGGGCTGCATCACAGATCCCAAGAAGCTGTTCTCGCTGCTTGGCAGGCAGCTCAGCAGGAGTAAGGTTGCGCCCGCTGGGAGCCAGGAAAAGCAGAGGGCATAGATTGTGGACAAAACAGTGATGGAAGAAGACCTCAGGCTGTCCACAGAGGTTCCGGAAAAAGCCCCAGAATCGGGCACCACTCACTTCTGACTGTGGGCACTCCAGTCCCAGCACTGGTCGTTTAGGATGCTCTTGGGGAGGGGTCAGCACAGGCCCCACAATGCCCAACCAGTCCCGGACCATGCTTACTTCCCCAAAGGGCACCTGTGAGGAAGGAGAGAGACATGAAAGGCTTCAAACTGGAGACCTGAGGCCCGGGCTCTGGACCAACTGACTTCTTTATACCTTACATGAGGATCCAGCCTGCACCCCCTACCCCTACCTTCACCCAAAGGCCTGAGACAAGGATTCTTGGCCCTATGGTTTGAGCCTGTCTGTCTTTTTCCAGTTCTTCATTGTGAACCGTGGTCCAGAAGAATTTGTTTCCCTCTAGCCCAACTAGCCTTTGGGACTAAGTACAGGGACTACATTGAGATATCTAGCCCTACACAGGGTTTGATGGTTAGTACTGGGGACAGACAGATGGTCTGAGACAGAAAGGCAGCCAGGGTTAAAGGAGGCACAAGGATGGGCTGACCACTGCTGTCTGGATGCCCTCTCAGCCCCAAGCCTCAGGCTGTCATTTCCATCGATCATCATTGATCACCTTTCATCACCCAGTTGGGGTCAATAAAAGCGATTGAGCCTTCTGCCCTGAAGCCTCTTCCCCTCCCCCACCTGCCAAGCACCCCCACTGGGGGCAGTCACTCATCCTGAGCCCTGAAAGAAAAGCGGGCAGGCACTGGAGCCAGGCTCTGTTTTGAACCTCGCCTTAGCTAGGAAACAGAACCCAGGTTCCCAGAACGCCCTGCATCTCTTACATACCCACCCCTGTCAACCAGTCTCTTCTGAGGACCCAGCAGTCCTAGTCCCTCTTCTGACCCCAACCACACTTCAGGGACAGGGGAGATCCAGTAAAGTAAGGATGGGGCTGGCGGAAGGAAGGGCTCTCAGAGGCAATTACTGGCCAGCTCACAGGGAAAACGAAACTACCATTAATGTGCTTGGTTAATTACGGGCAGAGACGCTGGGAGAGGGCCTCGGACCACAGGAGCCAGTATATGTGTTGAGACAGAATGGGGCGGGAGGACCTACACATGTCTACAGCCATGCACATGCTCCTTCTCCACAGCACACCCAGCCAAGCATCCACCTAGAACCCCCCACTCCACCCACTGGGGAAGCCAAACCCTTTACCCCAGTCTGGGCCATGCCAAAAGGTCCAGGGTTCATGCCCAGGAAGAGTACTTCCTTGGGGCCCTGGCAGTAGCGAGTCACGTAGTTGCGATGTGGCTCCCATGCATACTCCACGGGATTGTAGATGATGCCCACAGGCTCCGAAAACTGCAGCTGGCTCAGCTCAGCATTGAGCCGAAGCTCCTCCTCCAGGAAGCTCTCAGCCAAGCTTCCAGGGCAGGGCTGGGGCTCCATGAGGGCACCTGCAGGCTCATGGATGGACCCCAGCAGGAAAGCCTGGGGCATATGTCCATGCCGCTGTCACCTGGGAAAAGAGATGGACAGAAGCCCCATCAACCCTCAGCCACAGAGTAGGAGGGATCCATGCTTGCCAGGGCCCCCACTACCATTTCCTGGGCTCAGAAGGGACCCTAAGAGACCATGTCAGTCATCTACCAACCACCAAGTAGGACTGAACTCATCTCAGTTCTTGGTAATGAAGGGCCCTTTCCCTCCCCACTTCCATTATCTGTCCTCTTCACATGGCACCTGGTGAGGATAAGCCATAGCCACCAAACATCTCCCACTCCAAATCTCCTTTCCATCAGGCATAGGTCACTAGTTCCTGGGCTATGCCGAGCACATAGTAGGTTTTCAATAAACATTTACTGGTGGCATCCTTTCAGCACCTTTAAGGTCATCCTAAAAAAGAAAAGCCCAGCCAGAATGGACTGTTCTGGAAAGCACGGCGCTGAAGAATGAAATGCAAGTGCACAGCCACAGCCCAGAGACCTGGGAAGGCTAATTACAATAGCTTCCAGGTGGTGAGCGACTGCTCTGCACCAGGTACACCTCATTGATCCTCACAACAATCCCATGAGGTGGGTATTACTGCTCCCCTGTTATAAGTGAGGACACTGAGGCTTAGCAAGATTAAGCAACTTGCCCAAGGTCTTACAGTTAGTAAGTAATAAAGCTGGATTTGGTTGAGCCCAATCTCTCTGGCTCAAGGCTATGCTTTAACCACCCACGCCATCTTGCCTTAGATGGTTTGATCAGCCACCCTGCTAATTCTACAACCCCCTAACCCCAGCCTAGCTTCTTTCCCACACTCAGGAATACCGAGTAGGATGATTACAGACTCCTCATAGAATCTTACGAGCTACACAACCATGGCCAGAGCCTCAGGTTTCCACCTTCAAATACAAAGAATAATAATATCCACTTAATAATGTTGACATAAGGAAGGCCAGGCATGGTGGCTCATGCCTGTAATCCCAGCACTTTGGGAGGCCAAGGCGGCTGAATCACCTTAGGTCAGGCGTTCAAAACTGGCCTGGCCAACATGGCGAAACCCCGTCTCTACTAAAAATTACAAAAATTAGCTGGGCATGCTGGGCGTGGTGGCTCAAGCCTGTAATCCCAGCACTTTAGGAGGCTGAGGTGGGCAGATCACCTGAGGTCGGGAGTTCGAGACCAGCCTGACCAAAATGGAGAAACTCCCACCTCTACTAAAAATACAAATTAGTCAGGCATGGTGGTACGTGCCTGTAATCCCGGCTACTCTGGAGGCTGAGGCAGAATCATTTGAACCTGAAAGGTGGAGGTTGCGGTGAGCCAAGATCGTGCCATTGCACTCCAGCACGGGCAACAACAGTGAAACTCTCTCTCAAAAAAAAAAAATTAGCTGGGCGTTGTGGTGGGCACCTGTAATCCCAGCTACTCGGGAGGCTGAGGCAGGGAGAACTGCCTGAACCCGGGAGGCTGAGGTTGCAGTGAGCCAAGATCGTGCCACTGCACTCAAGCCTGGGCAAAAGAGCAAGACTCCATCTCAAAAAAAAATAAAATAAAAAATAAATAAATAAATAAATAAATAAATAAATAAATAAATAAATTTGCCGGGCGCAACAGCTCATGCCTGTAATCCCAGTACTTTGGGAGGCTGAGGCAGGTGGATCACGAGGTCAGGAGTTCAAGATCAACCTGGCCAACATGGTGAAACCCCGTCTCAACTAAAAATACAAAAATTAGCTGGGCATGGTGGCACGTGCCTGTAATTCCAGCTACATGGGAGGCTGAGGCAGGAGAATTGCTTGAACCAGGACCTGGGAGGCAGAGGTTGCAGTGAGCCGAGATTGTGCCACTGCACTCCAGCCTGGGCTACAGAGGGAGACTGTCTCAAAACAAACAAACAGACGTAAGGATGGAATGAGATGTTATGTTTAGGTGAAGGGAGAAAAGAAATGGGAGAGGAAGAAGAAAGGGAAGAGAGAAGGGAGGTGGGAGGAAGGAGAAGGGAGGGGGCAGGAACATGACAGCAAGCTTTGTAAACTGCAAAGGCCATTGCTTCACTCCACTCCCATTCAAACCCAGTGTTCCAACCTGACCATTCTACTCACATTTTCAAAATGCCTTTCCTGCCTCAACTCCCAAAACCTTGCACATACCATTTCTACAGTCCAACCAAATACACTCCTGAAGTCAACCAGGACATCATCCAGCAGTCATCCAGTCAACTAGGACTGTTGATTCCCCAACCTGTCCACATATCCAAATCACTCCCATCCTTCAAAATGCAGCTCAAACCATCCCTTTGATAAAGTCTTCCCTCCTCAGAACACTGCAGTATTTGCCATAGTGTCCCAACCCCACCCCCAACACAAGTAGGTCCCGTGTGAGGCCTGGGAATCTGTGTTTTTTGTTTTGTTTTGTTTTGTTTTTTTTTTGAGACAGAATCTTGCTCTGTCGCCCAGACTGGAGTGCAGTGGCGCGATCTCAGCTCACTGCAACCTCTGCCTCCCGGGTTCAAGTGATTCTCCCACCTTAGCCTCCTGGGTACTGGGATTACAGGTGCGCAGCACCACACCCGGCTAATTTTCGTATTTTCAGTAGAGACAGGGTTTCACCATGTTGGTCAGGCTGGTCTCGAACTCCTGACCTCATGATCTGCCTGCCTCAGCCTCCCAAAGTGCTGGGATTACAAACGTGAGCTACCGTGCCCAGCCTGGGAATCTGTATTTTAAACAAGCTTCCCAGGGTGATTCTGATGGTTGGTGAAGGCTGAGAACCACTGTGTGTCACCATGGTTACCGTCGTCTTAATGAATTCCTTTTGCCTCCCCAGCTAAACTTGGGCAGATCAAGAGCCAGGCCTTGTTCAATCTCCCTCCATAAGCCCAAGGTCCTGGCCCTTATTAGGTACTCAACAAACACCTGCTCAGCAATGTCCATCTTCTTTTTCACTTTTGTTTAAAACTACCTTCTGTGCTGGGCACAGTGGCTCATGCCTGTAATCCCAGCACTTTGAGAGGCCAAGGCAGAAGAATTGCTTGAGGCCAGGAGTTCAAGACCAGCCTGGCTGACATAATGAGACCCCATCTGTAAATATAAAAATAAAATAAACAGCTTTTACCAAGGAGGCACTCCTGATGGATCCTTCTCCACTTCTATATCCTGAGTTCACTCAAGGCTTAGCTGCCCACTTTGCACTCTGCTTGTTTTCCAGACTCTGGGTCTGTGCCCATCATATGTGTGCCTCCCATGCGACAAGGACCATTGTCATTCCTTCCTCTCAACTTTCTGCCTGGGTCAGGAGTGACTTCTCCAAGATAAGAACTCAAGGTTGACACAACAGCTCGATAAACCTATTTTCTCACCCTAGCCTAGGGGAAGTGGGAGAGAAAAGAAATCAGAGGCCCAACTTAGGAAGTCCTTCCCTGACTGTCTCAGTAGTCTTTAACTGATCTGTTGTCCAGGTGGCTACCCAGGACAAACTGGGCTCATACAAAAGCTGAGAAGGGTGCTGTGGAGAACGCCAGTGTTTCAGGGGACCTTGCTTTGCATCTCCCCATGCAACACCAACATTAGCAGATTGGCTGCTCCAGCTCTAGAATCTCGAGAAGTCTTGAGCCCACCTTTGACATTTAGACACCTGTGTTGGAAACAGCAAGGCTGGGGAAAAGAGTGGCAAGATACTACTTTCATTGTTCCATAACTTCAAAGCCTGATCTCATAGCAAGAGCCACAGGCTGGAAGTCAATTGATTTGAATTCTACTCCTGTTTCATCTCTAAGAAGGTTCTCTTGAGCAACTCATTTAACTCTCTTCTCTATGGAAAATCACATACTCCATCCAACCTACCACCTGTTAACTCATTTTTTTTTTCAATACTTATGAGTCTCTTACATGACAGGCACTGCAGCAGTCTCTTGATGAGGAAGAAATCCAAAAAGAGTAAAATGTAGGCCAGGCTTTCTGTAAGCTCATAATCTGCTGTGAGGGCAAATAAACAACTAACTGTAATACAGTGTGATGTGAGCTTTAATACCCGGAACAAAACACTAAGAGAACCCAAAGGAGGAACTTGTAAGTTCTACCCAAAGTCGCCCCAAGAGCCAGAGGCTTAAGAAATGTAGATATTTTATAAAATACGGTGTCATACTACATTAAGCACAAAGACAGCGGAGTTGGACCAAGCGATAAGGCTGACCACCAAGGGCCGACTTCAGACTGATGTCAGACTTCTCTGACATCAAATCCGGGAAGTGAGGAAGGAATCGAAATCACATATGCACTCCCCTGTCCTTTGGAGGCACTCCGGGAGTCCAGGGACAATAATAAATATCCTTAAACGAAATAATAATAATAATAATAATAATAATAAATAATAATAATAATAATAATAATAATAATAATAATAATAATAATGCATAGGCCGGGCGCGGTGGCTCACACCCGTAATCCGAGCACTTTGGGAGGCCGAGGCGGGCGGATCACGAGGTCAGGACTTCGAGACCAGCCTGACCAACATGGTGAAACCCAGTCTCTACTAAATACAAAAATTAGCTGGGCATGGTGGCGCGCGCCTGTAATCCCACCTACTCGGGAGGCTGAGGCAGAAGAATCGCTTGAACCCGGGAGGCGGAGGCTGCAGTGAGCTGAGATCGCGCCATTGCACTCCAGCCTGGAATTCAGAGCAAAATTCCGTCTCAGAAAAATAAATAAATAAACAATAATAATAATAAAGCATAAACTCAAAAAGACCATTTCATCTGGTTCCAAAGGGGCCGACTACTAAGGCACCATACAAAACCTCCGGGGGCGCCCGCTGGCTCCGGCCGACTGGAAAGCCTTGATCCTGCAGACCTCCCAGGCGGTTTCATAGGCTGGGCTCTCCCTGCACTGAGTCTTACCCCATACGGAGGGAGGGACCCCAAAATATAGAAATTCTAACCACCCTCTCGGCTCAGCCCCGACGACCCTGGGAGCCGTCAACTTGCCCCCACAGTCCCGGATTCCCAGCCCCCTACTTCCTCACCTGGTCCAGCTCCCCATCCCGTTTCCGGTTCCTTTCCCCCACCCCAAACCCAACCCCCGGCGCTAAGGACAGTGGGAGTCGTAGTCTACATTGTTTAGGGAAGGAGATTGGCGTACCCGCAGCCACTTCCGCCGGAAATGCTCCAATCCCGGAAGGCGCACTAAATTAGCCCTAAAGATCGCTGGGAATTGTAGTTTAATCTTTCCATCAGCGTTAAATCAGGAAGTCTTGAGAAGTGAAAAGCCACAGCCTGTAAGTACCTAGGAAATCCTGGGTTCTATCCCTAAAGGGCATCGCCCTTCCAAAAGTTCATTCACTATTTTCCCAAAGGGATTGCAAATCAGGAAGCTTCAACCATCCCCAATCCCTCACCCACCTGAAGGTATTAACAATAGCTAAAGACCATTGCTAGGCCCCCTGCCACCGTGGGTATAAGAGACTTCTCCTTTGCAGCCTGCCATTACTTATACAGAACATCCACGAAGACATTTCTGGTAGCTCCTAACAACTTTTTAGCAAGGGGCATCCCCCATTACTGTCCAAGCCCATCTCCAGAGTGTCACCATTTTGACTTCTTTCTCTGCCTTGCTATCTGCCCAACCCTATAACCTCAGTATTAGTCAAGAGTTTTCCAGAGAACAGAACTAACAGGATATCTATCTATATGACGAGATTTATTCCAAGAATTGGCTCACAGGATTGTGGAGGCCAAGAAGTCCCACAGTCTCCCGCTCTGCTGTCTATACACTGGAGAACCAGGAAAACAGGTGGTATAATTCAGGAAAGTCCAAAGCAGGGGAGGAGGCTCACTGCTAAGTCCCAGAGCCTGAAGGACGAAGAACCAGGAACTCCAATGATGTCCAAAGGCAGGTAAAATAGATGTCCCAGCTCATGAAGAAAGAGAATTTGCCTTCCTCCACTCTTTTGTTCTACTGGCCCCCAAGGGATTGGATGGTTCCCACCCATATTAATGAGGGTGATCTTCTTAGTCTACCAATTCAAATGCAAATCTCTTCCAGAAACACTCCACAGACATATCCAGAAATAATGTTTTACCAGCTATCTGGGTGTCCCTTAGACCACTCAAGTAGACACATAAAGTTAGCTATCACTCTTCCATCCAAATCTTCTCCCTCAAATACTTTGTCCAGGAAGGCTTCCCTGATCAATCCTCATCCCATGGCTGCACCTAACAGTCCATTCCCCCACCATTCCCCCATCCCAATATCTATGTCCAAATCTGTCCTATTCCTAGTTTTGTTCTTGTGCTCTATCTGGGTCTGGTTCTGTGTCGTGACTCTAAAACTTTCATTAGACTGGGAACCCCCTAAGGTTAGTTATCTTCTATATTCCTCCCACCCCACAATCTCCACACACCTTAGCACAGCCAAGGCTCTAATCACAGAAGCAAGGTCTCCCTGTGAGTGGTAGAAAAGGAGACCTATAAACCCCAGAACAGGAAGAAGTGAGAGAAAAAGGATGCTATTCCCTTCCCAGGACTTGTCTGATCTCCTATCAACAAAAACTTAATGGGTGCAGTAGGAGCTTCAGGGAGCTGTGAGCAGTGACCTGCTGACATCAAGGGTGAGAAACTACCCTGACCCTTGCAAGACTTTGGAAATGGAATTAATCATCCACCTCATGAAGCCCATAATTTCCTGAGCTTTAATTTTTACCAGATCCTCTCCCTCTCTGTGTCTCTCTCTGCCTATGTTATTTGCCCCTCTCTACTTATGTAAATTTATCTCTATTTCTAGTCTCTTGTGTAGCTTTCTCTCTGTATCTGCAGGTCTCTGTCTCCCTCTGTGAACATCTCCCTGTTTCTGCTTCTTACCCTAGAATGACTGGAATAAGAGAATCTGAGCTTCTAGAACAAGTTCCCCCATCTCTGTGTGTCTATGTATTTCTGTGTTTCTGACCAAAAATAAGGTGAAGGGACCTCATTGTGGTGTCATCTCATTGCTTAAAAATTCCAGGATTTCCACCATCCCTTGGACAACCCTCCTGTCCACCCCGACCCCTCTGTCACTTGCTTGCCCAGCACTTCTGTTCTAGTTTGTCATCTTGGCAGCCCCTCCACATTCAAAGTCTGCTTCTGGCAGAACAATAATGAGTGAAATGAGTAACAGGCAAGCAGAGATCCCCCAGGACCTCCACCTCCCCACCCCTGATTTCAATTTCCTAGAAGACTTGAATAACTGTTTCTGTCCCTATAAGCCCATCCACCCCAGGGAACCCAGAGATAGGAAGTCCAGATATAAGGAGAAACTGAGGCTTAGGCAGCCCACAGTGAGTCCCTACAGCCAATGTCAGAGGGGCCTGGGGCCTTCTCTCTCTCTAGTCCATGCTATTCCTCCCCGCCCAGTGAGTCACTCCCAGGAAAGATGGAGGTGAGGCGCTCTCCTGAAGTAGGCGTGCTTAGAAACAGGGACCCTGAGGCTTTCAAGAGATAGAGCCCAAGAGATGAAACATGGGCTTGGGTGCAGCCCTTCCAACCAGTCTCTTCCATTTATTAGTCTTCATGTCTTCTGGGAAGTCTTCAGGAGGCTGCTGACTGTGATTTACGGGTAGAGCCTTGTGGGGCAGGAACAGAAGATGACCCAGGTTATCGCCTGGGTAAGAGCCTAGAGAGTTGAGTCACCGGTCCTGGGGCAGGGCTCCAGGCATACCCACCAGCCAGCCCCTCTGTCCTGAGCCCGGGAGGGAAGGGGTTAACCGGCTCACTTGTTTTTTTTTTTTTTTTTTTGTTTCCTCGGGCTGCTGGAGCTGTGTTGGGCCATGAGCGCCATCTATCGGCCTCTTTGGGTCCTAGCTCCGACTCTGCTCACTTGGGCTGCTAGGCGGATCTTTCAGCCTTTCCCTTGCCTCGCCGCTTCTCACGGGGAAGGGCTGTCTAGCTGCGGGGCCTCCCACTGCACAAAACAAAGGTCGGGAATTGGAGAAGGTGAAGGCCATGTTTCCCCCTTCATAGATACTAAGTTTCACCCTGTTCAGCTCCCACTCACTGTTTCTGACATGGGGAGCCCCAAAGGGGGTTCTGGTGTTTAACTTTCAGTGTAGCCACCTTCCCCACTTCCACTACACTGGGTCCTGTCCCGATTAGCCCAACAAACATCAAAAGAGCATAGGACAGTGAAGACAGCATAGCAGAGGCCTCAGGACTTTGGGCTCTGGAATCAGACTGCTGCGTTTGAATCCAAGCTCTGCCACTTACTCATGGTGACCTTGGGCATGCTACTTAATTTCTCTGTGCCTCAGTTATCTCAGTTGTAAAATGGGATAATCATTGTAATCTCTATCTTCTTTTGTGATGTTTAAATGACTTAATTACATTAAGTGCTTATTACAGAATTTGGGCTCCACAAAGGGTAGTTATTGCTGTTGCTCTGCCAGGGTCTCAGGCAGATGATAGTCTGAGTACCCAAGACCCAGTCCATGAAGCCCTATCAGACACACAAGCACGGAGGACAAGACTGGGGAGCTCATCCTGTAGATTTCCCAAAGACAGTGACCTGCATGCAGGGTTAGGTTTGGAGTTGGAAGTTCAGGATTGCAAGGAAAGTAACTCTTCAGGTCTCCAAGGTCAGCAGAAGTTGGGATAAGGAGGTCACAGCAAGAAAGAACCTGAAGTAAAGATGTAGGAAGGAAATGCATTAAGGAAGAAGCATTAACAGGCCCTTTAAAGGGCCCTGATTTGGGGAAGGGAAAAGGGCTCCTTGATGTGTGAGTTAAGCAAGGGCCACTGCATCCCAAGGACATGTCCTTGGCACAGATGCAAAAGTCTCCAGACTTGATCAGATTCCCCATGCCTCCCCATTCCATCTGTGGGGACTTAACACTCCATGTCTTTTCCTCAGCCTAGTGAGGAGGGGCACTTACAAAGAGAGAAAGCTATCTGCAGGGCCCACAACCAGAGGAGCTAGGCTGTGAGTTCATCCATTTGTGTCCTTTTTTTTTTTTTTTTTTTTTTTTTGAGACAGGGTCTCACTCTGGAATGCAGTGGCATGATCATGACTCACTGCACTCTCGACCTCCTAGGCTCAAGCAGTCCTCCCGCCTCAGCCTCTCCAGTAGCTGGGACTACAGGTGCGCACCACCACACCCAGCTAATTTAAAAATTTTTTTTGTAGAGACAGGGTCTTGCTATGTTGCTCAAGCTGGTCTTGAACTGCTGGGCTCAAGTGATCTTCCCACCTCGGCCTCCCAAAATGTTGGGATTATGGGTGTAAGCCACCGCACCTGCCTGATTTGTTTCTCAACAGGTTCAGCCATCTCGCTGTCTCTGTATCTTCTATATCTCTGCCTTCATCTACCTTACAAGAAATGGGATTATTCTCCAAGGGGTGAGAATAAGGTGACAAAGTGACACCCTCTCAGTTAAGACAGAAATGCAGAGCCAGTGGGGTCCCTGGCTCAGCCTCGCTACCCTGCTACGCACACCTCAGCCCCAAGGCAGCACAACCTAGCTTTATGGATTATGCCTACTTAACTGGAGGAAGATGACAGCGTCTAGGTCTCCTCAACTCTGGTGTCCTCCATCTCCTGGGGCCTGGACGCCTGGGTCCCCAAGAGAGGAGCAGGAATAGGCTGGATGGGCTGATTTGCATCACTTACTTGGGAAGCAATTATCGGAGGAGCTGTCAGCTCAGTGCAGCTCTCTCCTCACTAATCGGATTTCACCAGAGCCCGGGGCTTGGGGGGGCCGAGTAATTTGGCTTGATGCAGTGGTGGGAGATGTCAGGGCCAGGAGGCCGGACAATCTGTCTGAGTGGTGTTAGAGTTGTCCAGAGCAATTATCCTGAGGGACCACACAGACATCAGATAGACAGACAGACAAGGGAATGGGACTGATCCCCAAGTCCTTTAGCAGGAAGGATGGAAGTGAGACTTGGAGAATGGGAGGAGCATCTCCCACAGGTTGAACCAAATTGAGCAACTAGAAGAGGATCAAGATGAGTCTGAGAGAGTGGCCATGGGACCAAGTGGGAGGACGACCCAAGAATCCTAGCTTCCAGCCTACTCAACACCGAGGCCCAGCCCTGCCTTGCCCTGCACTCCCAGGGAACCAGTCACAGAGCAGGAACTTGAACCTAGGGTGATTCTTCTGAGCTCTGCTCCTTCCCCTGCAATGTTCCCAAAAGACAATTTCCTTGCCTCTGGCCCTGGCTCTGTCATTTGCCTTCTCTTGCTCCTGCAGCCCTCTTGAACCTGTCCTTTCCTTCCCACCCATACTGCCCCTCTCATCTCTCTGGTGATCCCTCTCTCTGTCTCTGTCCTCCATTCCACATCTTTCAGAATAGTGGTAAGGGTGATAGTGACAATAACTAACCGTTAGTGAGTGCTTTGTCCACACCAGACACCACCCTGAGTGCTTTATGTGGATTGTTTCCTTTACTCCTCTCAGCAACACTTTGAGGGACATACTTTTTTTTTTCTTTTTTGAGACAGAGTTTTGCTCTGTCACCCAGGCTGGAGTGCAGTGGCACAATGTCGGCTCACTGCAACCTCCGCCTCCCAGGTTCAAGGGATTCTCCTGCCTCAGCCTCCTGAGTAGCTGGGATTACAGGCACCTGCCACCACGCCCGGCTAATTTTTATATTTTTAGAAGAGACAGGGTTTCACTATGTTGGCCAGGCTGGTCTTGAACTCCTGACCTCAGGTGATCTGCCTGCCTCAGCCTCCCAAAGTGCTGGGATTACAGGCGCAAGTAAGCCACCATGCCCAGCCTTTTTTTTTTGAGACAAAGTCTCACTGTGTTGCCCAGGCTGGAGGGAAGTGGCACAATCTTAGCTCACTGCAACCTTCACCTCCCAGACTCAAGCAATCCTCCCACCTCAGCCTCCCAAGTAGCTGGGACTACAGATGTGCACCACCACACCCTGCTAATTTTTAAATTTTTCTGTGGAGATGGGGGTCTCACTATATTGCCCAGGCTGGTCTCAAACTCCGGAGCTCAAGTGATCCTTCCACCTCAGCTTCCCAAAGTGCTGAAATTACAGGCATGAGCCACCATGTCCAGCTCAAGGATGTTCTGATAGCAGGTTGAAAAGAGCACTGAACTTTCAAGGACATTTGGAGCTGGGAGTCTGCCACTTGCCAGCAGTGTGACCTTAGGAAGCTCATGACCTCTGTGAACCTTGGGCTAATCATTTCGTTCTTCACCTGGAAGAGAGGATGACAATGCCTACTTCACGGGACACATGATGCATCCTTGTCTTATCTGCTCTGAGTCTATCAGATAAGCTGTGGGGATATGTCTGTTCTCTCCACCTTTCTACCTTACTGTTGAGCCTCTGCCTCTTTGACCCCCATTAATTCAGGCATGTAGCCCAGGAGTCCTACCACTCTGCTCCCTCACTGTCACTCACTGTCACTCAAGCATGTTGATTTTCCTGATGTTTCACCCTTTTCCAAGAAGTCCAGAGGACCAGCCCACGTTGGCCCCACCACTCCCTTAACAAGATTTGAGTTCTCCCTCTGAAAATATGAATAATAAAGAAACGAGGCACTAGGCCTAGAACTGAATGCAAATTGGCCCCAGTGCTCAATCCAAGAAAGAGAATGCTTGAGCTGTGGACCCAGAGAAATCCTATGCTTATTTGCATGTCATTTGCATTATATTTACATGTGATCAATTTCATGTTCAAATGCACAATCCTCCCTCCCCAGTTTTCCTCCCCTAGAATCCTCTCAGCCTCTGCCCCCATCATTCCCCACAGCCCCTGACCCTCCTCTCCTAGCCCCTGCCACAACCTTCCTCATCCTTCTCTTTCTTTCTGCCAGTCCCCAGCCCCTGGCTCCCCTGCTCTACAGGCAAGGACCCACTTGCCCAACACCCAGAATAGCGTCCTGGGGTCTCACCCCTTAGTTCAGGAGGGACATCCCTGCTTGCCCCCTCCCACCCTGAGCTGAGCAGGCGCAGCAGACAGCAAGCGCGCCTCTCAGCAAATCCCAGCCCCATTCAGCCTGGTGATTAATGGCGCTGCCCTCCCCATGAACCTGCCTTTAATACTGAGGAAGTTATGAAACCGCTATACATCAGCAGCTCCGGCCCCACTGCCCCCGCCCGCGTCCTCCTCCCCTCTAACCCCCACCCTCCAGCTCCCTCTTCAAAATCTCATCTGGGCTCCTGTCTCCTGGGCCCACCCCTCCTCTGGCCTTTGCTGGGGGGAGGAGGGTGTCTGTCCCTGCTGCCATCCCTGGTAAGGACCACATCTCATTTTCCCTTCCTCTCTCCCCCCTGCTCCGCCCTCTCTCCCTCCCCCCAACCCACGGCTGCATCTCCGGACCCATTTAGAATTGCTGACATTTTATCTGCATTACATACATCACTCCGTCCCCAGCAGCCATCTCTCATGGATTATCGGGGGGCGAGGGCGGGGTGGTCCTCAGCTTGGGGAAGTGACAGAGAAACAGGGTGGAGGTGCGGAGATAGATAGCACTTCCTCCACACGCTTTTTCCCTCAGGGCCCAATCCCCAGCCACCTGAGAGGCTGTGCAGGTGGGAGCCTAGGATAGCTGATGGCAAGGGTTGTACCCTAGCCGCCTCCTGCCAGTCACTGCTATCTCATAACATCAAAAGCCTTTTTCTCAGACCACACAGACTAAGGAAGGTCATGTTGCGTGTCTTCCTGCCATGGGACTCCTCCTCAGGACATTATGAAAGGGGTTGTTTAACGTCTTAGCAGGCCTTCTCTAATATTTTCCACACTGCCCTTTTAGGAAGTCTCTCTGAATGTCTAACCACTGTGCTCCATGCTGCAGCCATTATTGTCTTCTTGCTTTGTCCTTAGAAGGTTGAAGAGCAATATTGTTCCTCAAATGCGTTAAACCCTTTGTTAGGATGCCTGAGCAACCATAAATACAGTCACTTTTCCACACTCCTGAGGCTCATAAACATGATAGGAGGCAGAAAGTAGGGCCACCTTAGAAAGGAGGAAATTGAGACCCAAAATCAGGAGAAGGAAAAGCAAGAACCTGTCCAAGATCAGGAGGCAAGGACACAGGGGCCCCACGATCCCAGTGGGCAGTTTGCTCTCCATAGATAGTGGACAGGCAGAGGGCAATGACAGACGGAGAATTCTGGACCAACAGATAGACAGCAGAAGGGAAAGAAAGGGGCAACCAGGAGGGAGACAGGCAAACAGACAAACAAACAAAGAGCTAGACAGACAAAGGGACCGTCAGCCAGGGACAGGCAGACAGGCAAGAGAAAGCCGACAGAGGCGCTGGTACAGCATGTCCCAGGCTGGACACATGAGAAGGGCTCTCTCCGTCTGTCTCTGTCACTCAGGGTCTCTGCTGGAATGTGTCTCTCAGGGTCTCAGGCTCTTTTTGCTCACTGGGTTTGCATCTATCTACTTCCCTGGAAATCTCTGTTTTTCTTGGGCCTCTCAACAGACTGTCCCTTACCTTGTGGTCTCCCCTGTCTAAGACCCCATCCCAGTCACTCCCTCTGTCTCAGGTCATCTTTCTGACCTGCTCTTCACTCTCCCTGTCAGAGAAATTCAGACGCTTCCTGCGGGCTTTGGGAAGCTTCCACAGGAACCGAGCCAGTCCTCCCGGGATGAATGGGAGGGGCGAGGGCTCTAGCAGGGGAGGGGTGGGGAAGGAATAGCTCTTGGGCCTGGAGAAGGGAAAGAGCTGATAGGCCTGTGTCCCCAAAATCTAGCAGGCTTAGCCAGTAAGGCAAGAAGAGCCCGGGCAGGGAAGGTAAAGGGTACAGGACCCTCTGTCCTGTGGCTCAAACCCACACAAAACAGGCCTCAGGCAGTGGGTGCAGGGGTGTGAGTCACCTGCTGTTTGCATCTCATTTGCATGTTTCTGGCTCCCAGTTCAGTCTGGTCCCAAGAGGCTTGGGGGCAGGGAGGGGATCATGCACCAGAGTCCATGACTCTCACGTACCTCCTGACAGCACAAGGCGTGTTCCTGTCCTCTCCTACCTTAAAGCCAGCCTCAACCCCAAAAGTTGGCTGGACACATCATCCTCCAGACATGCCCTGCACTGTCCTGTCTCCAACTTTTGTCATGGTCCCCCGAGTCTTCCCCACTCCTCTCAATTTCGCTCAACATTAGCCATTTTTTTTTTTTTTTTTTTTTTGAGACGGAGTTCCACTCTTGTCGCCCAGGCTGGAGTGCAATGGTATGATCTCGGCTCACTACATCCTCTGCCTCCTGGTTTCAAGCAATTCTCTGCCTCAGCCTCCCGAGTAGCTGGGATTACAGGCACCCACCACCACGCCCTGCTAATTTTTTGTATTTTTAGTAGAGATGGGGTTTCACCATCTTGGCCAGACTGATCTTGAACTCCTGACCTCGTGATCCACTTGCCTCGGCCTCCCAAAGTGCTGGGATTACAGGCGTGAGCCGCCGCGCCTGGCCTAGCCATCTTTTTCTTTTTTGTTTTTTTTGAGGTGGAGTCTCGCTCTGTTGCCCAGGCTGGAGTGCAGTGATGCAATCTTGACTCACTGCAAGCTCCGCCTCCTGAGTTCACACCATTCTCCTGTCTCAGCCTCCCCAGTAGCTGGGACTACAGGCGCCCGCCACCACGCCTCGCTAACTTTTTTTTTTTTTTTTTTTTTGTATTTTTAGTACAGATGGGTTTTCACTGTGTTAGCCAGGATGGTCTCGATCTCCTGATCTCGTGATCCGCCCACCTCGGCCTCCCAAAGTGCTGGGATTTCAGGCATGAGCCACTGCGCCCGGCCGCAGACTAGCCATCATTTAAAGCCAGATACCAAGTCCTCCACTTCCATGAAGGCTTCTCTGATCACACAAACCCCAAGTGATCATAATCCTACAGCTCTCAATGCTGAAAGGCACCTAAAGAAATCAGGTCTGTCTTACCCATCTTCAGGAGATAAGGCTTCACCATCCCCGTTTTATAGATGAGGCAACCGAGGCCCAGGATCAGTTAATGTAGGTTTCCCAGAGCAGAATAGCCAGCAAGTAGGGAGGAGATGAAGGCCCAGGGCACACCTCTCCACACCCCCAGCTCCCACTGCCCCTTGTCATTCATTTAGCAGGGAGCAATGCCCTGTTCTGCACCACTCTCGCATGGCTAGTGAGCTGACCATTGGGCATCGTTGCTCCCCTTCTGGGTTGGGATTTCAGTCTCCCATGACTCCCTCGGCTTCAGCCATACAGAACTACTGCCGGTTCCCTAAATTCTCCTTGCCCTTTCTTAGCAACATGTCTTTGCCTGTGGTAATCCCTCTGACAGGACTGCCTTTTTCTCCACCCACTGCTGAACCTGGCAAACTCCAGCTCATCCCTTAAAACCCATCTCAACCATCACCTCCTCTGTGAAGCCTTTTCTGATGTTCTTCGTCAGATCCCAGCAACCTATTCAAACGTCTGAGGCAGCACTTGTCACACTGCTGCTGACACCGCAGCCTCCCTCCCTAGCCACAAGTCCTTCAAGGGCAAGGACCACCATGTGCTATTCAGCTGTCTCCCCAGGATACACACAAATACAGGCACACATTTAATTGAACCAGATTTTATTATCAACTTCCTTCCCATCCCAGGCCCACAGAACAGAAGCATCAGCCTAGTGGGGAGATCAGAAAGAAAGACTGAGAAGAAAACAACTCAGGAGATGATCGGGGGTACAGCACGTGCATTAGTGCTCTTGATCATCTCTTTCACCTAACTTAATGCTTAGTAAAAGAAGGAAGGGGCTGGGTGCGGTTGCTCACGCCTGTAATCCCAGCACTTTGGGAGGCCAAGGCGGGCGGATCACGAGGTCAGGAGATCGAGACCATCCTGGCTAACATGGTGGAACCCCGTCACTACTAAAAATACAAAAAATTAGCTGGGCGTGGTGGTGGGCGCCTGTAGTCCCAGCTACTCAGGAGGCTGAGGCAGGAGAATCGCTTGAACCCAGGAGGCAGAGGTTGCAGTGAGCTGAGATCATACCACTGCACTCCAGCCTGGGCAACAGAGCGAGACTCCGTCTCATAAAAAATAAAGAAGGAAGGAAGGGAGGAAGAGAGGAAAGTAAAGGAACAGAGGAAATAGGAAATAGAGCTGAAGGAGAAAGGGGAAGAAAGAAGGAAGGGAGAATAAAAAAAAAAAGTAAGAAAAGAGGTGGATGCAGGGTAGAAAGTAGAGCCAGAGAAGGGCCTTGTGGGAAGAGGGAGGGGAGGAAACAGGAGGAGCCAGGGGAGCGGGAGGCCAAACTTTTGACTCTGGAGCATGTCCAGCAGAGATCCTGGCCTTGAGCCTTAGTATCATTCCTGCCACCATGTTCCAATCTGGGAAATGGACACATCTCCCCTTCTCCAGGAACAAAGGAGTCTGGGCGGGAGCACCTGCTGTGCTGTGCTCCCCCCCCCCCAGAGGCCCTTTCACATCTGCCGTCTCCCAAAGCTCACCACAGCCCTGGGAAGTAGGATTTCTTATTCCACCCTTCCCTTCTGATGCGGGGATTGAGACAGAGCGGTCCGCCATGCGGCTCCAACAGGTAAGGTCTGACTCCAAAGGCCTGCTCTTCCCTTGACCCCAGGGTCCCCTCAGCATTGAAGACAGAAGAGGCAAATGACATTTCATGTCCCACTTGGAAAGTCAAGGTGCAGAAAACAGAGGGGACCAGACTCCTTCATATCCTGCGCAGCGTCATCTCCTGCCGCAAGAAGCACCCCACCTGCCGCAAGAAGCACTCCACCCGCATGACTCAGTCTTTGCCCAGTAGGTTGATGATAACCTAAGAAGCTGAAGACCTCACAGGGGCTCTGAAAGCCAACTGAAGTAGATGCAGCAAACTGTTCCATCATGTCATCCTTCCCTCTGCCTTGGGTCACCAGCCAAGGGAGGGAGTGGCTCAGGTGTTTTCCTTTCCACCCCTTTGTAAGCCCCCACGCAGATCTCCTCCCCATCCCAGAAGCCCAAGGAGCCAGCAATATCTGTGGTTCCCTGAGGTTCGGAGAGACACAGTAGCAAATAACTGTACCCAGGCCCCACTCCCCACTTCCAGGGATGTATAGCTTCGGGGTGTGGAGCACAGAGGACTTTTCCCAGAGCCTCACCCCAGATGAACAGCCAACTTCCCTTTGTTCAGCCTTCCTCAGATACTCAAACCCAGCAGCCCATGGCCTTCTCTGTCAGGAAGTCCTTCCTGATGTCTAACTTACATCTTTCCTGCTGCTGTCTATCCAGCCCTTAGCAGTGACAGGAGAGCAGTCTGAGCTCTAATGATCAGGGAATGGGGACAAGAACAAGTACTTCCCTTCAAGCCTTGGGTAGGGGAGTAGTAAGCAAAGAAAGAAGAGTGGCTCACTCAGCCTCATCTCTCCCGGCCTGTAGCAGTAGAAATGGAGGGTAGACAACTGGAAGGACTTCCTAGCCAAGCAAAGGGAGGTACTTCTGGAATAGGATTATAAAGTGCAAAGGCTGCGCCCTTTCTGATGGCCTCCCAGCCTGGCAGAGACCCTTCAGTGGCAGCTTCAGAAGGATAACCGGCACTTCCAGAAAAGCTCAGGGTGCTGGGATTACTGGGAACCCTTGCAGCTCCAGCAAAAAGAAAAACCTGGTCCTGGAGCCCCCTTGTGGCCGTGCAGAGGCAGGACAGGCAGTTCCACCTCCCACCACCACACCCGTGCTTAGAGCTGGGGCCCAGGGTTGCTGATGCAGAGGACAGGGAACCCAGGGCCCCACCTTCTGTGAGAGGCCAAATCGGCAGCCCCAGCCCCGAGGGCACCTGATCAGGAAGGAGTAGGGCCCAGAAGGAGCACTGGAAGAGGACACAGGCTAACCCCATTCTGTTCCTAATCTGCCGCTCTCCATCTGGTGACCCTGGGCACACCTCCCCACAGAGCCTCAGTGACCTCATTCATTAAAAGGAAGAAAAAGCCGGGCACGGTGGCTCACACCTGTAATCCCAGCACTTTGGGAGGCCGAGGCGGGCGGATCACGAGGTCAGGAGATCGAGACCATCATGGCTAACACGGTGAAATCCTGTCTCTACTAAAAATACAAAAATTAGCTGGACGTGGTGGCACATGCCTGTCCCAGCTACTCAGGAGGCTGAGGCAGGAGAATCGCTTGAACCAGGGAGGCGGAGGTTGCAGCGAGCCGAGATCATGCCACCGCACTCCAGCCTAGGCAACAGAGCGAGACGCCGTCTCAAAAAAAAAGTAAAACTCCCTCTGGCCCACCATTTTACCTTAAAGAAGTGTGGAAAGAACCAAATGCAATGATAATGTTCCGTACGTGAACTTGAATCATTTTTAAAACTCCTCTTCAGGCCGGGCGCCATCACGCCTGTAATCCCAGCACTTTAGGAGGCCAAGGCGGGCAGATCACCTGAGGTCAGGAGTTTGAGACCAGCCTGGCAAACATGGTGAAACCTCGTCTCTACTAAAAATACAAAAATTAGCCATGCGTACTGGTGCATACCTGTAATCCCAGCTACTTAGGAGGTAGAGGCAGGAGAAGTGCCTGAACCCAGGAGGCGGAGGTTGCAGTAAGCCAAGACCACACCACTACACTCCAGCCTGGGCAATAGAGCGACACTCCATCTCAAAAAACAAACAAACAAACAAACAAACAAACACCCTTCTTCAAATATGTGGGAAGAGTTGGGCACAGTGGCTCACACCTATAATCTCAGCATTTTGGGAGACTGAAGCTGGAAGATCACTTGAGGCCAGGAGTTCAATAAAGGCTAAGCGCAGTGGCTAACTTCTGTAATCCCAACACTTTGGGAGGCCAGGGTGGGAGGATTGCTTGAGCCCAAGAGTTCGAGACCAGCTTGGGCAACAACATGAGACCTCATCTGTACAAAAAAAAAAAAAAAAAAAAAAAAGCTAGGCACGGTGGGCGCACCTGTGTCCCAGCTACATGGGAGGCCAAGGCAGAAGGATCACTTGAGTCTAGGAGGTCAAGGCTGCAGTGAATCGTAATCAAGCCACTACACTCCAGTCTGATTGACAGAGCAAGACCGTGTCTCAAAAAATAAAATTAAAATAAAAACAAAGGTGTGGGCCAAGCACGGTGGCCCATGCCTGTAATCCCAGCACTTTGGGAGGCCAAGGTGGGCAGATCACGAGGTCAGGAGATCGAGACCATCCTGGCTAACACGGTGAAACCCCGTCTCTACTAAAAATACAAAAAATTAGCAGGTGTGGTGGTGGGTGCCTGTAGTCCCAGCTACTCGGGAGTCTGAGGCAGGAGAATGGTGTGAACCCGGGAGGCGGAGCTTGCCGTGTGAGCTGAGATCGCGCCACCGCACTCCAGCCTGGGCGACAGAGAGAGACTCTGTCTCAAAAAAAAAAAAAAAAACAAAGATGTGGAGAGAGGGGTCAGGAACTGACCCGCTACAGAATAATTCTGGACCTGCAATGGAGGGTGCAGATGGGACTGATGGGTTCTGCCCATCTAGAAACCCACCACTCCAGAGCTCCTGGAGGGAGGCAGACTAGGAGCCCTTAGAAGGAAGAGCCAAAAGGTCCCCAACACAGCCCTTCAATCCTCCACCAGTGCCTACTTTCAGAAGGTTGGGCCTGGTTGGTAAGGGCCCATTTAGCCAGATAGTGGACAGCAGATCTGGCCTGGGGCCTGAGGGCATTCAGTGCAACATCAGGGAAGCCTCAGGTGTCGGCATGCCTACTTCATAGTGTCAGTGGCTCTCCCAAGCTTGTGCACTCACCAACTCATCCCACCTACCAGCTGACCCCAGGGCCAGAGGCAGGATAGAGACCAGAGGGGCCTTCTGGAGTTCTGGGGCAAGGGCTGAGGCAAAGGCACACCGAGACCCCCAGGTATGCCTTCACCCCATGCACAGCCACACACACGGCTGGCTCCACAGATGGACCCAGCACACCCTCAGATCTCCCACACACAGACCCTCCAAGCATCCCATCCTGAGAAGATGAGGGACGGTTGGAGTGGATGGTAAGGCCACAGGGCCCAGAGCAGGGACAATGGTCAAGGCCAGGGCAGGAGGGTGCCCCAACCCATCCTTCAGCATCAGTGTGGCCCTGAGGAGCCCATGATCTCTGAGCCCCTGGCAGCACTCATGAAGAGGTCAGGGGATGGGCACAAAGTCACCCTAGCAGGGGTTTGTGGGCATGTGTAAAGGGGGGACCAGGAAGAAGAAGAGGATTATAAGCCTGGAGAGAGACCAGTCTTTCCCCTTGGATCCACACCCTTATTCAGAACTACTCACTTAGGCTATTTGGAAGTTTTTCCAGGCATCTAGCCTCAATCCTTCCTGCTGGAATTGGAGAGGATTTCTCTCTGGGAATTAATTACTCTGGCTTTTTACCTCTGTTATAAACCAAACAAAGAATTCTGAAGAGGGAAGAAGGGCAAAAACTGGTGATAGATGAGAAGAAGGGAGCAGGAGGCCAGGGGAGCCAGGAACAGCAGTGACAGTCAGAGGCAATGTCTGCAGCGCTCTCTCCTCCCCACCTACAAGGGGAGATCAGGGAATATGGACTTTCCTTGGAGAAGAAACTTGGGACAGATGACAGGGAGGACTTCTCAGAAAATAGTTGATAAGCACCTTCTCTGGAGATTAGAGGGAGAGAGAAGAGAGGAAGAGGTAGGTAAGAGCGCAGGAGATGGAAAAAGAAAGTGTCTTGTCCATCAAGAGAAGAGAAACCAACGCAGAGAAAGTGGAGGAAAACGCTATAGACCTGCAGTGGTGGGGACCTAAGATTTTAAAAGTTTAGGATTGGTCGGGTGCGGTCGGTGGCTCACACCTGTAATCCCAGCATTTTGGGAGGCCAAGGTGGGTGGATCACCTGAGGTCAGGAGTTTGAGACCAGCCTGGCCAACATGGGGAATCCCTGTCTCTACTAAAAATACAAAAATTAGCTGGGCGTGGTGGCAGGCACCTGCAATCCCAGCTACTCAGGAGGCTGAGGCAGGAGAATGGCTTGAACCTGGGAGGCAGAAGTTGCAGTGAGCAGAGATCACACCATTGTACTCCAGGCTAGGTGACAAGTGCAAAACTCCATCTCAAAAAATAAAAATAAATAAATAAATGAAAATAAAAAATAAATAAATAAAAAGCTCAGGGTTGTTCCACTTACCTTTCTGGGCTTCAGCTTCCTTCCCACAGTGGGGATAGTAAGCGCCTGTCTGGGGTCTAAATGAACGCCACTCAGTGCCTAGCACTATAAAAACTCAAGCACAGTGGCTTCCCCCAAACTGCAGCCTGACAGAGCAGGAAGGGCCCTGGGTGCCCCCTTAGCCTTCTGGAGGGGTTGTAGGAGGTCCGCCAGCCTTCTGCCTCCACTACCCATCACCTGGCTGCCCATTAGAATCAGGCAGGGCTCAGGGGACCAAATGCTAGGTCCTGACCCCAGGACCTCAGAGCAGTTAGATCAGAGGGGTCGAGGAATCAGAATTGTAATGCTCCCAGGTGCTTCTAAGTCATCTCCTGAGAACTCCTGGCTTAGCCTCATGCTGTCATATTTCAAAGTACAGAAATGAGGCCAGGAGAGGCAGAGAGAGCAACCTGCCCAGCTCACCATCTACAGACCAGAACCCCCATGTGCAGGAGGGGGTTAGTTAGAGAGGGCAGGGAGGCATCTCACTCCTCCTCCATGCCTCCTCAGCTCCTGACTCCAGAAAAGGTCTGTCTGGCCTTTCCTCTCTGTCTGGTGCTGCTGGGACCTCCCTCCCACTCTGGCCCATGGACAGAGCCCTCCTCTTTCAGTCACCCAGACCTGAGGTGGGCTCAAGCTCTCATGGCCATCAGAGCACCTCACACATAGGCAGTGCTCAGTAGGCATTTATGGGATGAACAACTATCGGGTCTCCACCCAGGGGGCAGGAACTTTCCTAAAGTACCCAGGAAAAGGCTAGGAAGAGAGCTGCTTGCTCCTATTTTCTCCAGTCTGAGTCCCAGCTGAGAGCTGAGATACCGTCATTCCCTCAGCCACCTGAGCCCCATCTGGGGCCAGGAGAGCTGCAGGACCCAGCTCTGCACGCCTGCTCTGTGGTGTGGTTGCCCTGGTAAGCAACTTGACGAGCAGCTCGTTCTCCAGGTAAATGTGAGGCCAGCAGACCTCCCAGAAGGACAGACAGTATCATCGGCATGAAAAGACCAAGGGTTGTGAACACTCCACTACACTCCCAGCTGAAGGCCAGGGGAGAGATTAATCTGAATGCTGCCACTGAATGCAGGGGGGAGGTTCTAGAGGCCCCCATCCAGTCTGGCTCCTGCAGAAGGTCCATTCCCACAGCCTGGATGAGCCCCACTTTCCTGTTCTAGGACCTCTCAGACAGGGAGGTCCCCTCTGTCAGCCTCTGGGTGTTGTCTGTCCTAAAGGTCTCCTGCTGAAGAAAGCCAGGCTCAGGTCATGGGAAGGTCGGATTGAGCTGGAGAAAGGGATAGTGAGCTGGCCATGCAACTGGTCAATGACCATTCAAAATCACACCTGTGACTCTGAGTCCTGGAGGGCTGGGAACAGAGTCAACCAGAGAACAGAGATGAGATGAAATGCCAGGGCTGGGAGAGTAGAGACAGCAAGAAGCAGAGGAGGTGGGGAGGAAGGAGGGAGAACCCCAGACAAACAGGATGAGGCCAACAAAAGGAGTGCAGCCTGCTCCCAGGTGCCTCAATGGTGGTGGCGCACCCCTGTAGTCCCAGCTACTCGGGAGGCTGAGGCAGTAGAATCACTTGAACCCGGGAGGCGGAGGTTGCAGTGAGCTGAGGTCACGCCACTGCACTCCAGCCTGGGCGACAGAGCGAGACTCTGTCTCAAAAAAAAAAAAAAAAAAGAAAGAAAGAAAAAAGAAAAAAGAAAAAAAAGAGGGAAAGGAAAAAGGAAATGCAGCATCTCAGGCCCTGCCGCCAGACCTACTGAGTCAGAATCTACATTTTGACAAATCCTAAGGTGATGTAAAGTTTCAGAGCACCAGACCAGTGGATGATTAAGTGCATGGGTTTAACATAGAGCCCCCCAGAGCTCTGATAGAGGCCTGGTCCTTCTGCTTACTAGCTGAGCTTCTGTTCATTCATCTGCAAAGTGGAGATAAAACATATGCCACAGGGTTATTGTGAGCAGCCAAGATCAAATGAGAAGTGCTGGGCACATGCTGAGCATTCCACAAGCAGCCAGAGGTGGTTACTGGGGGTATGGCTAGCACCATCACATGGGATCCATCCTGCTTAGTACTCGTCACTGGGTTGGGATGGCCTGGTTGCCTGCTGGCTGTGCAGTCTTGGACAAGGTCCTCCACCTTTCTGTGCCTCAATTTCCTCATGGGTACAATGAGAATAGCTAGAGTGCCTCCCTTGAAAGATCGATGCGGGATTAAGTGATTAAATGATCTGATGCGTGACAACGACTACATGTGGTCTACAAAGGTTGGCCACAATAGTAATCACAGCAGCTTTCACTATCATTACAAGAGCCCCAATCTCCAGACACCTGGATTCTAGGGAAGGTAGTGAATATCCTTCATTCAGCTGGTCAGTTGGGCCATGAGGAAGAGGCTGGTGCAGAGACAGGGAAGCCAGAGAAGGGGAGGACAAGGCCTCTTCCAGGAGTTAGCCCCAGCAGTGGAGGTGGGGGGAAGCAGGCACTTGTTCTGAGACCTGGGTTTCTGTGTGGTACAGCAGACACACCCACTTCTCATCAACTCAGAGATGCACACCAGTAAGAATGGTGCAGTAACCGTCTGAAAGCTCGGCCATGAGCTCACCGTGCAAGCCTGAACAAGCACGTTGCCCTCCCTGGGCTCGGTCTCCCCAGCTGAAGATAAGGGGATTGGCCCATTAGACAATCTCTGAGTCCTTTGGGGCCACAGGACGCTGATTTGGTGGTCCTGGTACATTCTAAAACACACAACTGCCCCTGTACATGTCACAACATGGGTAACAAGGCAAGACACCCCTTCCCCACCTCATCCTCACACACGGAAGCACGGGAGCAGGAGCGAAGCATCTGGGAATTAACCTAGACACAAAACCACTGGGCCCTTCCCATCGCCCTCCTCGGCCTTCAGCAGGGCCAGGTGAGCGCACACCCCTTCCTGGAGGTCACAGTCTGGGCATCTGCTTCCCTCTGCTGGCCAGAGAAGGGATGGCAGCCTGGTCTGCAAAGCTAGACTTGGGGGCCTGGCCTGGTGGGAGGTGGGATGTCCAGCATTCATCCTGTCCTTAGAGTCGCACCACCAGCCGCCTCCTGGACCTAAGTGAAGGCTGTGAAAAGGAATAAGTAGAGGAAAGCCCACCAGCTGACCCAGATCTCTCTGCAGGGAAGAGAAACCGGAATAAACAGACACACTAATATTTATTACATTAACAGACAATTAGATCGCATTTAATATGACTCAGGCACTGTCCTAAGTGCTTTACAGATCTTACCTCATCTAGCCTCTGAGATAGGTGCCGCATTATTCCTCATTTTACAGATGAGGGGGAATAAGATAGAGGAGCCCCAAAGTTACGCAGCCAACAGATTCAAGTGGGTGCTGCGCCACCTCCCAGAGAGGAAGGGGCCAAGAGAGACCAGGTAGGGGTGGAGACACTTAGACACAGCTACAGAAACATGACAGAAGTCTCTAGAAGAGCAGAGGAAGATGGGGGGAGAAGTGGGAGCAAAGGAGGTGGGGGAAGGGGAAAAGAGAGGGCAGCAGGATGGCTGGGAAGAGGGAGGGAAGGGAGGTGGGCTCCCTTTTGACCCCAGGCCCCAAAGATGCTATCAGGCCAGACCCACCGGAAAATCCTTCCTAGATCCCTCCACATTCCAGCTCTGCTGGGCTGGTTTTACAGCCTCATGGTGCAGCCGGACACTGTTTATGGCAGCTCCATTCTCTGCCCCTTGTCTCCAGGCCCCAAAGGCATCTGGCCAGGCTGGGGGAGGCTTGTGGAGGCAGGGGTCCCCCGCCCAGCTTCCCAGCCCCTCCTTTGAACCCTGCTGGGTGCCAGAAGGAGGGGGCTGCCTGGGCACCACAAGGGCCCCTTCCAGGCTCCTTACATCGAGCCTGGGAGGGAGGGGGCCGACTCCCCCAGGCATGGGCCACCTCGAAAGGACCACTGAATCCCACCTCTGCCAGTTCCTGGCTGCGTGATCTTGGGCACATGATTTAGCATGATTTGACCTTCCTCAGCCTCAGTTTACTCTTCTGTAAATTGGACATAATAGTTCCTCATGGTTATTTTGAGAATTTGACATATATATATATAATAATTTTTTTTTCAGATGGAGTCTCGCTTTTTTGCCCAGGCTGGAGTGCAGTGGCCCAATCTTGGCTCACTGCAACCTCCGCCTGCTGGGTTCAAGTGATTCTCCTGCCTCAGCCTCCCGAGTAGCTTGGATTACAGGTGCGCGCCACCACGCCCAGCTAATTATTGTGTTTTTTAGTAGAGACAGGGTTTTGCCATGTTGGCCAGCCTAGTCTCGAACTCCTGACCTCAAGTGATCGGCCGGCATCGGCCTGCCAAAGTGCTGGAATTGATTACAGTAGTGAGCCACTGCGCCTGGCCATAGAATGCCTGTGTTCTAAGGAAAGGATGAATGGAAGAAGAGAGATGAAGGGAAGATCCTAAGAAGGGCTTAGCAGGGATGCAGGGCAGGGTTAGCTCAGGGGAAAGGAGCAAGAGAAAATAGAAGACACCTCCTTTCCAGCGGTGTCCTAGCCTGATAAATACTGGGGAGGGGGAGGACATGGAGATGGAGGAATATCTGGGATGCCCCTAGAGACATACAGAAAGGAGGGCCAGGCCGGGCGCGGTGGCTCACGCCTGTAATCCCAGCACTTTGGGAGGCTGAGGTGGGTGGATCAAGAGGTCAGGAGATCGAGACCATCTTGGCTAATATGGTGAAACCCCGTCTCTACTAAAAAAATACAAAAAATTAGCCAGGCATGGTGGCGGGCACCTGTAGTCCCAGCTACTCAGGAGGCTGAGGCAGGAGAATGACCTGAACCTGGGAGGCGGAGCTTGCAGTGAGCCGAGATCGCGCCACTGCACTCCAGCCTGGGCGACAGTGCGAGACTCCATCTCAAAAAAAAAAAAAAAAAAAGAGAAAGAAAGAAAAAGAAAAAGAAAGGACGGCCACCAGGGATGGGAGGAAGATGCCCTCCACACATGCACTGAGGGCGAGAAGAGGTTAATTGAGTCTGTCTGCAGGCAAGATAAGGCTCCCACAGAGCTGGAGCTAGTTCCCTGGAGTGTCTTCTAGATAACACTCAGAACCTGGCTGAAGATGAACAACTCCCAGGGAGACTCTGGAGGGAAGAGCAGGAAATCTCGGGCACTCTCACTCCACCCTCCCTACGCCCCCATCCCTTACAGAGGGAGGTGGAAGTCAGAGAGAAGAACTTGTGAGCGCTGCTGCACTACCCTAAGGTGCTGAGAATCCACAGCTCTTTCCATCCTCCGTTCTTCCCTCCCCAGTGCCCATCAGGTGCTTACTCAGAGGTGGTGCTGGGTGCTTTCATAAGAGGGTAAGTCAATCTCAAGGGACTTTGGATGCTAGCCCTTTCCCCAGAGCCATTAGCAACAAGTCCCTGAGTGACGTCAAGGGCCGCCAGGCTATGGTCTCCTCTTTCAGCACCCATGGACCCTCCATGAGGTCCGCTCTCCCCACTCCACTCATTTTCCCACCAACCGCTCCCTCCCCATATCACCCTCCCCAACCACCAAGAATTCCAAACAAGAGGCTGGGTTCCAGGCCCCATGTTTATCTCATGGCAGGCTCTGTCATGTCAGGAGCTGCCCCTGAGTCTGACCCCCTGCCCTGCCCCCAGAGCTCTGCTGAGAGGATACACTGAACAGGGATGCCCAGTGGACAGGCCTGCAAGGACTGGGGCCTGAGGAGCCTGGGGGTTCCATATTCTCACAGCAGCCTGAGCCCCAAACAGGTGGGATCGGGCATGTGAGGGCCTCTTCCCTGGCCAATTTCTGCAAGGGCTTCTCAGGACCCAGCGGCCACCTCCAGTCCCTTCCTCTTCCTAGGTATCTTTCCATTTCTCCACAGCTTCGATTTGACTGGTCATTTGATGTAAGACCCAGGAGATGGAGCTGCCACGGCCACCCCTCAGCCCCTCCTTAGCCCAACCGTATCCTGGAGCTGCAGGACCCAGGTTCTCAGATCCAGGCCTTCCCCTTCCCCTGCGCCCTCTCAGAGTGGGGTCTTGCAGAGGAGCCTGCAAAGGGGGCACCAACAGGAGGCATAAACAAACAGTGCATGGGAGAGGAACTGGAGATACAAAAATAAAACTGACCTCAAGCAGGTCATAAACAAAGCGGGACCCACTGTAAATAAGGGTGAAATTTACCATAAACAGAAAGTAAAAGGGGCTATGAGCAGAGGGCCTTAGGGGGGTGAAAAGCATGATCAGTGCCCCCTCCCCAAGTGAGCAGTGGAAGGAAGGGGATCTGGGAGCACCTGGCCCAGGGAAAAGGAGGTCTGGAGAAAGGGGCACCTTGAGAGGCAGGAGTTTACTGTTATCCAAAGGGATACCACACAGGGATATGAGTTGATGGGATCTCCAAACAGTAGGAGGCATGGAGGTGGGACTTGCAGAATGATTTCCTGGTGTCAAGGATGAGTGTAACCTGCCATCACTTCACCATCTCTTTTTATCCTCACTCCCCTCCTTCCAACCCTACAGGGCAGTGGACAGAGTCTTTGGAAATAGCTCGAGGAGAAAGATTCTGAAGCTGGAGCCCACTCCAAATCTCAGGAAAGAGAAGGTCCTGAGTAGGATGGGGAGTGTGGAAAAGAAGGCCCGGAAGGGAATACCACCCATCCCAGCAAGACAAAAACATAAAGTCAATTCAAAGGTAAAGAGCTCATTCTACTTTTCCTCCTTCCCTCTTCCACTTATTTCCTGTCTCACCTTGCACTTCCTCCTGTCTCTGTTTTCAGCCTCCTCTATTTTTCCTTGCTTCTGGTGGCATCTATACCTCCCAAAACATGAGGTTCAAAGGCAAAATTTTTAGTGAATCCCAGCATTGCTCTCTTATATCAAATGACCAGTCAAATTGAGGCCGTGGAGACGTCTGGCACATTTAGGAATTGCTTCTGTCTCAGTCTCACCCTGGTACACACACATGCACACTCACACACATTGACACACACACTCACACACATTCAGGCACTCACACACTCGCACACTCACACACATTCATACACTCACATACACTCACACCACACACGCACACACATTCACACACTCACACATATTCACACACACCATACACTCACACACTCACACTCACACACACACCACACGCTCACACACACATACACACACGCACACATACACACACTCGCACACACACTCACAAGAGCACGTTCTCTTCACTTTCATCTCCATGTACATGTCTCTGCCTCCATGTTCTCCATCCTTCTGAACTCTGGAAGTCAAGAGGGGAAGGATGAAATTGATGTCTGCCTTTGCAAAAGGATCCAGGTAGATCCCATTCTGTTCCTAATCTCTAAGCATGGGTGTGAGGGTGAGGGGAGAGATGGAGCCCATAAATCCTCTGAAATCTTCCTAGGACCAAGAGAAGGTCCATATATTGCCAGACCTTAAAACCATAAGTTGCTCCACCACTGTCGTCCCCCACCCCCAACCACATAATTACTATTCATAGTGCACAACTGGGTGATTAATGACCTGATTAATAATTACTCAGGCTAATAAAATAATTAATTAATTTGGCAAGCCATTATTTATCTGTTCATCCTCAGCCTGAAACTCTACAACTAGGAGTTTAGGAATCTCCCCTCCAGGCTGTTTCAGAAATATGATCATTAGTGTGGGCTGGGAAGGATGGGGGATGAAATTCTCCATCCTGAGACCCTCCCAAGGTAGGAAAGGGCCCGAGGGCTTTCTGAGAATGCAGACCGGAAAGAATGAAACAAAAATGACCAGGTAACCTCAAGCCCAGGAAAAGAGCTGACCAGGGAGGCCAGGGACATTGGGATAGGGGAGCATAACAGGGAGCTTGAGGGGGTGCATCTGAGCACCCAGGTTTGGGGAATTCTTAGATGTATTCTCTCCAGCAAATGATTGATGACACCATTTTCAACAAATGATCTTTATCTCGCCTCTTGTCTCCCAAATTTATGATTTTGCCCCCAAGCCCCAGGCTAGACAAGCAAGGACTAGGTAAATTCTGGGGTGGGGAGGCTGACTTGGAGTAGGGCCCAAGAATCAGTGGGGAATCTTTGGGACTCTGCAGAGGGGAGAAGTCTCCCCTACCATCAGTTTCTGAGCTCTTAAGAAATAAACCTCTGAATCAGACTTCAATTTAGGTCCCCAGAACCCAGAGGCTCTGGAGTACCTGCCCCCTAGCAGGGAAGGGAGCAAATAGCAAGGAGAAAGAAAGGATGACTGATCTCCTAGGAAGTGAGGAGGGAAGCAGAGGCTCACCCCAGGAGTGAGGGAATGAGAAAACTGGCTTGTCTAGTCAGTTTGTGAACAGGCAGAGGCATCTCTGCCATGTTCTAGGCCCGGGGCAGACATGAGACACGACTTCTCCCAATCTGGGGCTGAGGCACCAGTGGGTCCTTGGCCAAGCAGCTCTAGATTGGATTCCCAGTATGTACTAGGATGGATAAGAATCAGACTCGGACCTAGTGATGCTCAAGTTCTAGTGGAGCTGGGGGGAACCGATTTGTGAATAGATAATGCCCCAGGATAAATGCCATAAAAAGGAGGCGAGTACAAAGTCCATGGGGGCACAGAAACATGCTTCCTGGGGGTGTTAGAGAAAAGAATGCCCAGCAAGGGGATATTTGAACTAGGCCTTGAGGAATGAGTAGAAATTTACCAAATAGAGATCAAAATCCAGGATGTGATTAGCTGGGCACAGTGGAGCACGTATGTAGTCCCAGCTGCTAGGAAGGCTGAGGCAGGAGGATGGCTTGAGACCCAGAGGCTGAGGCTGCAAGTGAGCTGAGATCGCACCACTGCACTCCAGCCTGAGTGACAGATCAAGACCCTGTCAAAAAAAGAAACAAAGAAAGAGCAGGATGTGTTTGGAGAATTTCGAGTAGGCAAAGAAGTGATCTGATGAGATCAGAGGCTTAGATTTGGCCAAACATAAAAGATGGAGATGGGCTAAGAAGGAGTCTGGACCTTTTCTCCTAGGCAATGGGGATCTACTGGAGATTAAAGTAAAAGAGTGACCTACACTGATTTGTGTTTTTTGTTATTGCTTTCGTTTTGTTTTGTTTCAGACAGAGTCTGGCTCTGTCACCCAGGCTGGAGTGCAATGGTGCCATCTCGGCTCACTGCAACCTCTGCCTCTCGGGTTCAAGCGATTCTCCTGCCTCAGCCTCCCGAGTAGCTGGGATTACAGGGGCACGCCACCACACCAGGCTAATTTTTGTATTTTTAATAGAGACGGGGTTTTGCCATGTTGACAGGCTGGTCTCGTACTCCTGACCTCAAGTGATCCACCCACTTCGGCCTCCCAGAGTGCTGGGATTACAGGCGTGAACCACCGCGCCCGGCCAATTTGTGTTTTAGAAAGATAATTTTGGTAAGTGGAGAGGAGAGACAGTAGGCAGGGGGTCCAATGAGAAGGCTGGAACATGCCCAAGCTAAGACATCCTGAAGGACTGACAGGCTGGGACCAGGCAGTGGCCAGGCAGCTGGGAGCAGGCAGGTTGAATTTTAAACCTCCATAATCTGGATATAAAGATACCCTAAGCGTGACGCTGCTGGGGATTCTTCTCATCACCCTCCCCGGTCGAGCGTGAGTGTGGAGCTGGGCAGGCAACCTGGTACTTGGATTCACCTTTTGAAGGATGGAGAGGAGCTCCCTTCTCCACAAGGAGTTGAAGGGTGGAGGAGTTAGAGCCAGGCCTGGCTGGGAGTTCTGGCGTCCAGGATGCAGGAGGCTTCAGCAGAAGAGGCGTGGCCAACAGCCCCTGAATTAGCAGAACCCCGCCCATTTTGTGGGCACTGAAGACAGGCAGCGCGATAGTGTCCTTGTTGGCCAGCAGAGGGCGCAATAGGAGGCGGGCCGCACCCGAAGATGGCTATAGCGCTGTGCCCGAGCCAGCCTGGGCGCCCTCTGCCGGGCAGCCCCGACTCGGGGCTCCCACAGCGGGGTCTTCGGTCCCGTGTTTCTGCGCCAGGGTCCAGGCCCACTGGCCTGTACCCAGAATCCTCCAGGGAACTGGGATCCCGCCCTGGAGAATCGGATCCTGGGTCTAGGATAGCCAGTTCTGGGGACCACCCCTCGCATTCTTGGGTTCCCTCTCTGGCATCTGACAGCTAGCTCTCCCTAGCTGGCCCCCCCGCCTACCATCTCCAGCTTTTGCTTGATTGCCTCCAAAGACGCGGACCTAGCCCCTCCAAGAGATTCAACCTGTGTGAATGTGGGTGTACCCACCCCTGTGCACACGGGTGTCTGCATGGCTTGGACTCCCACAGCCTGCATTTGCATAAAACAAAATGCTTTCCCTTTGGTTATTTCAGGCACATAGTCCTTTAAATAGCGTAAGAAGGCCAGGCACGGTGGCTCACGCCTGTAATCCCACCATTTTGGGAGCCCGGTGCGGGTAGATTACCTGAGGTCAGGAGTTTGAGACCAGCCTGGCCAACATGGTGAAACCCCTGTCTCTACTAAAAATAAAAAAATTGGCTGCGCGTGGTGGCACGCACCTGTAATCCCAGTTACTTGGGAGGCTGAGGCAGGAGGATCGCTTGAACCTGGGAGGCAGAGGTTGCAGTGAGCCGAGACCGTGCCATTGCACTCCAGCCTGGACGACAAGAGCAAAACTCTGTCTCAAAAAAAAAAAAAAAAAAAAAAAGCCTAAGAAGTGAGCAAGACAGAAGTACCCATTTCACGGATCAGGACATGGGGCTTCAAACCGAGGTCACACAGCTAGGACAGTGCATGATTTAAAGCCAGGCCTCCACCCAAAACTTTATTTGGTGTCCCTACTATGTGCTAATCAAGGTGTGGTTCCTGCTCACCCAGGTCACCCAGAGAAACAAAGTAGAAGAGCCATAGGATTTCTGACCAGGCTGGCGAGAACAGGGCAAGCTTCCCAGAGGAGCCTTTTCTAGGGTTGCAGGGAGGACATTTCAGGAGCGGCCCTGAATGCGCCAAAGCTAGGGGATGGGACTGGCGAGTTGCCACGGGAGCCCACGTGAGGGTCTTCGAGGAGGTCTGCGCCACCCGGGTGCAACCCGAGGCTACGGTTCATCCAAACACACCTCGCCCCATCCGGCTGGGGAAGGACTTCCTGCAAGCCCTGAGTGGGGGTGTGTGGCGGGACCACCCAGGTGTCCATCCAGGTGGGCAGTGAGCGTGAGAGCACCTGGTCAGGAACCTCCCACCTCTCGGGCCCTGCAGCCGCTTCCGTGGGGGAAGGGCAGCCGACTTCACCTAAGCTTCCACCTACTGCATCTAACCCTTAACTGTATCTCCCGCCCCCACCACCCCTGACGGGTTCCCATTATAAGAGGGTTTCAGATAACTCACCTCCCACCCCGGGAACGACGTCATCACCCCTTCACCCTCTGCCACCACGTCTGACTCCAACGGGGAAGTCCTTCCTGGTGTCTGACCACCCTTCCTCCTGCTGCAGCTTCAGCTAAACCTAACAACTTCTGACCTCACAGGAGAAAGGGGCTGCCTTAACTTTCCTTCTCTGAGCTAAACAATCCAAATCTCCAGCCCCTTTTCCACGCTCACATCCCATTTTCCCGTTCTAACAAAGCTTTCCTTTAGGGGCCTGGATCTTCCGTTTTTCCCGCCTTCCGACGTCAGATCAATCCATGACAGCTTTCTGATTGGCTAACCCCTCCCTTCTAATTGCCCCTGTCACTTCAGAACCTCCCCTGCTGTATCAATATGTAAGTCCCACAGATGGCCTCAGTTTCCCTGGTAGGGAGTTGAGCCGCCTCTTGGCACCCTCTTGCTTTGGGAGGAGGGGTGTCCTGCTCAACTCACCCGAGTCATCTCTTCCCTGCCCAAGCTTCTGAACAGGACACTGCCACATTGTCATTCATCTGAAAAGCATTTATTGAGCGCCTACTATATGTCTGGCCCGAATTCTTGTCTCAGCTCACAGCCCTCCGGTTGCTCCATAGGCTTAGGGGAAGGAGCAGGAGATCTTGAAATGCCAATCTCCAGTCTGGAGCGTGGGGTAAGAGAACTGAAGTCGTCTGCGACTGAGTGAAGCCACCGAGGAGGGGCGGGGAGGTGGGACGCCTGCAGGTCTCGGCGCTCGGAAACCGCGGAGAGGAAGCATCGCTAGGCGCCCCACCCTCACAGCGCTCAAACCTGACGCCGGATTTCCCATTCTTAGCGCAAGGAAGACCCCTTGTGGCCATTGTGGGAAGAGTCAGCAAGGGAAAAAAAAAAAAGCGGGAAAAAAAACAAGCCAGAGCCGGGAGATGACAGCCTCAGCCCAGACTCCCTTCCAGTTCTTGCCTAGCGTGGGGACTTATTCTTTGGTCGTTGGGTGGGGGAGAGGGGGCGGGAGTTGATGCCCAGGCCCCACTCCCACACCCTCAGAACCCAACATTTGGGACTTTGGGAATAATCTTCTCACTAAACCACCCGGAAAAATAAAACAGAAACAATAGCAAATGTGACTATGGTTAGACTTCTGTAGGGACTTCTCAAGAAGCGGATGGGAGGCAGAAGGACGGGTCACAATAAAGGGATGAAAGAAATCAGGTCTTCCGGACGACCCCCTCCCTGGCTATGGGGAGGGGTAATTCTGGGAGACCCGGGCGGGTGTGGGATCATCTACCCACCCTGCGGCTCCTTCCCGCTCGCAGTGAAGGAAGGACGCTCAGACCAACAGGGGCTCAGGTATTCTGGGTGTCAGGACCCTTCCTCCTGCACGCATCTTACGCAGGGTGGGGCTGAGGGCGTGAGGGCACAAGTCATTGAGGACATGGAGGGAACCCACGCTCGTCCCGATAGATTGTCACGGTCCTGAGGCGGGACGGTCAGGACAGGGAAGATGTATTTCTTCCCCCTGCATCCCCTCCCGCACCGCGTCTGAACTCCTCTGGGAGCGCAAGAACAGTAACAATGCTGCGCCCCTTCCCCCACCCTTTGACTCCGCTCGCAACCTAGCCCGGGCCGGGCAGCGCGAATTTGCATACATTTGCATACCCAGCTGCGCACAGCTGCATTCGGCTTTGGGCCATAAATTCGTGGCTGGCGGCTCTGGGCGAGCAGGCCCCACGCGGGGCAGGCGTTCTCCCTGCGCGCCTCCGCCGCGGCTGTTCACGTCCCGGGTACTGGCGCGTTCTCACGCCTCCCTGAGTAACCGCTGGATCAGTCCTGCCCGGACCCGGCTCCCCTGGCTCGAGCCACCTTCTGGGCATGTCTGTCTCGCACTGGCGCAGGCCAAGCCTGCAATCTCAGATTCTGGTTCCTCCATTTCTCTTGGACTCGACTTGGTCAATGTCTCCTGAATGCGCTCATCTTTACCTGACGCCTTGGACCAGGGGCTTCTGGTGGGATTTTCCTGCTAGGACTGGTGCATAGCCTCTTAGGTGGTAGTCCTGCCTCTGGGGTTACCTTGCTAAAAAATTGGTCTAATGGAGGTCAACAGCTAAAAACTCTGGACTCCCAGGCTTGCAGAATAAAGCTTATATTGTTCACCCTTGCCAAAGAAAGCCCCTGACGTTCTGTCAGCATCCCCCTTCTCTAGCCTTATCTTCTGCATCATGGCCAGACTCAGGCACACAACAGCCAGCGCTTCGGTTACACAAAACTGCTCTGAGGGTCCCTAAGCTCCTCATGAGCTCTCTCACTCTGCCTGGACTTACCTGCACCTTGCTTCCACCTGGACTGCTCTTCTGCCCTCTTGTCTGTTTGACAGACACATTCTTTGAAAATCATTGCACAGACGTTCTTTCCTTTGGAAAGACCTCTGAGATTCCTCTCACCCCTGGCAATTGATAATGACATCTATTAGCACTTACTGCAAAAACATTTGGTCAGTTGCACTTACCAAATTGTGAGCTCTCACTTAAGACAGAGAATATGTCTGTTCTTTGCTGTATCCCACTTCTGGGCACAAAGTCTGAAGACCAGGAGATACTCAAATACTGAATAAATGAGTGAGGCCTTGACTATTTCAGGCACACATAGATACCCAGGGCTCTGGTGGTCCCAAGCAGCCTTTACATGACATCCCATGGAAGAGCCCCTCCTCTTGGTACTTTTTGGGTCCTTACGCATCTTGGCCCAAGATTGTGAGGGGTGAGAAACCAGGGGGATTATGAGTGGAGAGCTGATGCCGTGAAAAAGCACTGGACTCCGAGCCAAGAAGCTGAGGTTCAAACTCTGGCACCGCATGATCTTGGAGAAGTAACTGCCTCCTTCGAAGGCTGTTTCCTCACCTTAAAATGGGAATAATAGTGACTACTTAATAGGGACTTTGTAATGATGGAGCGAGAATAGTACATAAAATGCTTACTACATGTCTTAAGAGTCCAGACAGGTGACATGAGGTTCCATCTCACTCCCTTGCCCCCGAGAAGGAGAGCACCTCCACTAACAATCCAGGCCAAGAGGCTTAAGGAATTTTACCAGTATGCATTCTGCAAGAAAGTATGAGACAGCGGCCGGGTGCGGTGGCTCACGCCTGTAATCCCAGCACTTTGAGAGGCCGAGGCGGCGGATCATGTGGTCAGGAGATCGAGACCATCCTGGCTAACATGGTGAAACCCCGTCTCTACTAAAAATACAAAAAAAAAAAAAAAAAAAAAATTAGCCGGGCATGGTGGTGGGCGCCTGTAGTCCCAGCTACTCGGGAGGCTGAGGCAGGAGAATGGCGTGAACCCGGGAGGCGGAGCTTGCAGTGAGCCAAGATCGTGCCACTGCACTCCAGCCTGGGTGACAGAGCGAGACAAAGAAACGAAACGAAACGAAAAGAAAAGAAAAGAAAAGAGAAGACCGGGCGCGGTGGCTCAAGCCTGGAATCCTAGCACTTTGGGAGGCCGAGGCGGGCGGATCACAAGGTCAGGAGATCGAGACCATCCTGGCCAACATGGTGAAACCCCGTCTTTACTAAAAATACAAATATTAGCCGGGCGCGGTGGCAGGCGCCTGTAGTCTCAGCTACTCGGGAGGCTGAGGCAGGAGAATGGCATGAACCTGGGAGGCGGAGCTTGCAGTGAGCCGAGATCACGCCACTGCACTCCAGCCTGGGTGACAGAGCGAGACTCCGTCTCAAAAAAAAAAAAAAAAAAAAAAAAAAAGAGAGAGAGAGAGAAAGAAAAAGTATGAGACAGCAAGAATTCATCTTGTAGGATGGGGTTCATACCGGTTCTTCTGCTGAGCATAGTTCTCAGTGCTATTCCCACAGTGGCTACCAGGGGGCAGCACAAACCCCCAAATCACCTCAGGCTGCCTAAAGGGGCTAGAAGAAAGGACCCTTCTGGACTTCCCTCTGAGTATTGAGCCCTAGTCTGAACATGCCTCCCCTGTCTCCACCGTCTTCTCCCAGACAGCTCTTGGTGTGCAAACCACGCCTCCCCCAGTGCTTCCTGTCTTCTCTGGTTTTGTGTTCCCTTGGTCAATTTATAACAAATGTCCAGCAGGGCTCGTTGGCTCACGCCTGTAATCCCAGCACTTTGGGAGACCGAGGCGGATGGATCGCTTGAGGTCAGGAGTTTGAGACCAGTCTGGCCAACATGGTGAAACCCCGTCTCTACTAGAAATACAAAAATTAACCCGGCGTGGTTGCCCACGTCTGTAATCCCAGCTATTCAGGAAGCTGAGGCAGGAGACTCTGTTGAACCCGGGAGGTGGAGGTTGCAGTGAGCCAAGACAGCGCCACTCCATCTCAAAAGGAAAGGGAAAAAAATGTCCAGGCCTCCTAACTGTCCAGACTGCCCTTAATTATGGTCAATTATGCCCTAAGTGTGCATCCCAGGATTGGGAGGGGCACAGTCAAAGCTTCTGAGAACAGAACACAGTCGGGGGTGCTCAGGAAGACAGACCTGAGTTCCAGGCCTAGGGACAAATGTGACATTTTGGGCTACTCAGAGCCTTCTCCTGGGCTCAATTTCTCTCAGAATTGTTAGATATACATGCATTCATTGCATGGAAAGCTCCACTTTTCTCTCTGTTTGATCCATTATTGTTCCCTCTCACTCCACCCAGGCTTCATCCTATCCCTGTACAGGCCAGAGCCTCCCTCATACTAGCCCTATTTCTGGTCTTCTTAACTCCTCGAACTAATGACAAAGATCTATCACCCTTAACCCTAACCTCCCCCTTGGCTACATGTACCAAGTCCTACCGCACCAAGAGATACAGTCGGGACCCAGCGTCACATCACTCATGGGTGTGCCCAACACTGAGGGAACTGATATTAATATAAGGTTCCCACTCCCACCATGCCTCTTTTCTGAGTGAAACAACAGAAAACTCAATGACCTTATAGGAGGCTGGTGTGTGTGTGACATCCAAGATGCTGGGCACTTTTGGAATCCCCAGCCTTCTCACTTCCCATCCTACAAACAGGAGGGCTTGGTGAATTTACCTGCTGAGACTCTTATCTCACCTTTCGTTCACGCTGTGGTGCCCAGGAGATGCCTGGACACACTCAGGTGGCTCTCCCTCACATAGCGCCTTTTCTCTCACTGCCTACCATACCTCACATCATTCCTGCCTTTTTACTGCCTTTTATTTTCCTCTCCTTTTATGCACCCACCCTTTCTACTTACATTTCCTCTCCCCTTTTCCCTCTGGGGCTTGGTTTCTTCCCATCCTTCTCACTCTCTAAAATCCTGTCCTCTTTCCATCCCAAATGCTTTCCTCTATAACTACCACCACCAGCAACAGCTCTCCATCACCCGTCTCTGTGCTTCCCCTCCCAGGCCTGAGGCACCACAAGGGCGTAAGTGATTTATGAGCCACCTTTTAAACTCAGAAACCAAAAACTTCTGGTGCTTCAAGGGGGCATACTGTGCAATCTTACTGCTGTGATCAGACTCAGTGATAAGGATATCTAGACCAAGACAGTCTCATGGAGAAAGCAAGAAGGCAGAAGGGAAGACTATGGAGCTGGGGCGGGGACTGGCCAGAAAGTCTGGGCAGTGAAGTCTTACTAACCATTATTAGTGTTTTTGGTGAGTTTCACACTGTGGGTGACGATGGAGACAAGTCCAAGTAGGAGGTGAGAGGGCTGGGGATTCCACCGTGCCTCTCTAAATGTCACATCATGTCTTTTTTGGTGGGGTAGGGGACAGACATTTAGGCTGGAGTGCAGTGGTATGATCTGGGCTCACTGCAGCCTCAACCTCTTCAGCTCAAGTGACCCTCTCACCTCAGCCTCCCAAGTAGCTAGGACTATAGGTGCGCTCCACAACGACCAGCAAATTTTTTAATTTTTTGTAAAGATGTCTTGCTAGTTGCCCAGGCTGGTCTCAAACTCCTGGCCTCAGCAATCTTCCCCAGCCTCGCAAAGTGCTGATACTATAGGGATGAGCCACCATACCTGGCCTCATGTCATTCTTTAAATAATTTTCACTTTCTTGTTCACTGTTCATCCTTCAGAAAGTCTATAATGACCATGTCCCAGCACAAACTATGTTTTAGACTATGAGCTCTGGAAGGCAGGGATGACATGTAACTCCATTAAAAGCTCTTTGCATACTATCCTCTGGGAACAGATGTTTAATGAAGGTTTTTTTTTGTTGCTGTAAATGATGAGATGATGTGGTCAATGGAGTTAATAATAGTGACCATGAAGGAAGTGTGATCATGATCAAGTTAATGATGATAACAGTAAGGGCACTGATCAGTGGTGACAATGACAGCATTGGTGAAAAATGAAGCAAGTGGGAACCATGACTTGACCACTGATTCATCCCACAATTATTTAATAAGCATCTGCTATATGCTACACACTCAGCCAGGAATTGAAGATCCACAGATGAAGTAGAAATGGACTCTGTCCACAGGAATTCGCAGTTTATTTTATAATACAGATGAGGCATAAGAGGTTGTGAAAGCACCAAAGAGAGAATGAGTAATTTTACTTGGAGGAACCCATGAAGGCATCAGGGAGGAAGAGACCAAAATATGCAGAGTGGATTGTGGGAGCAGAGGCATTGAAATCCAAGAGACCAGCTTGTTGGGGCTTGGAGCATAGTTCTGTGAAATTCTGGGAGGGATAAGGAGAATAGAAGTGGAGGAAAATGCAGTAAAGGCAGGTCTGGGGCAGACTTTGAAGGGTCTGCATTTGAGGAGTTTCCAGGATTCTCAGGAGGAGGTAGCAAAGGGCAAGTGGATACAGAGAGAACAGTGATACAGTCAAGGCCCAGAGATATCGGTGTGGGGGGTCATAAGTCCATAAGTAATGGTTGAAATAATGAAAGTATAGAAGCTATTTTAGAAGATGGGAACAAACTGGGGTAAGAACAACAGCTGAGGCCGGGCATGGTGGCTCACACCTGTAATCCCAGCACTTTGGGAGGCCGAGGCGGGGGGGATCACGAGATCATGAGATCGAGACCATCCTGGCTAACACGGTGAAACCCTGTCTCTACTAAAAATACAAAAAATTAGCCAGGCGTGGTGGCGGGTGCCTGTAGTCTCAGCTACTCAGGAGGCTGAGGCAGGAGAATGGCTTGAACCCGGGAGGCGGAGCTTGCAGTGAGCCAAGATCGCGCCACTGCACTCCAGCCTGGGCGACAGAGCGAGACTCCATCTCAAAAAAAAAAAAAAAACAACTGAGAATGGAACACTGGAACCACTACTGTTTCAAAGGTATGAGACTAACACGAAGTGGCCAGGGGGCCCTCCAGACCACGGATACTGGTAGAATCCATACACAGTACATTGATACTTCTTTTTTTTTTTTTTAAGAGACAAGATCTTACTCTGTTGCCCAAGCTGGAGTGCACTGGTATAAACAACGCTTACTGCAGCCCCAACCTCCCCGGTTCAAGCGATCCTCCCACCTCAGCTCTCTGAGTAGCTGGGACTATAGGCATGCACCACTACAATCAGCTAATTTTTGTGTTATTTGTAGAGATGGGGGTACGTACCACCTTGATGCCCAAGGTGGTCTCGAACTCCTGGGCTCAAATGATCCTCATGCCTCGGCCTCCCAAAGTGTTGGGATTATTATAGGCGTGAGCCACCACCCCCAGCCCAGAACTGTTTTTTATGTTAAGTGAAAAAAAGTGCAAAATAGGGACGGGCACAGTGGCTCATGTCTGTAATCCCAACACTGGTCCAGGCAGGAGGATCTCTTGAGCACAGGAGTTCCAGGCCAGCCTGGGCAACATAGGGAGGCCCCATCTCTTTTTTTTTTTTTTTTTTTTTTTTTTTGAGACGGAGTCTCGCTCTGTCCCCCAGGCTGGAGTGCAGTGGCGCGATCTTGGCTCACTGCAAGCTCTGCCTTCCAGGTTCATGCCATTCTCCTGCCTCAGCCTCCCAAGTAGCTGGGACTATAGGCGCCCACCACCACGCCCAACTAGTTTTTTATATTTTTAGTAGAGTGGGGTTTCACCGTGTTAGCCAGGATGGTCTCGATCTCCTGACCTTGTGATCTGCCCGCCTTGGCCTCCCAAAGTGCTGGGATTACAGGCGTCCCAGCCAGGGAGGCCCCATCTCTTAGGAAAAAAAAAAAAAAAAAGCAGGGCATGGTGGCACGCATCTGTAGTCCCAGCTACTTGGGAGGGAGGCTTAGCCCAGGATGTGGAAAGATCGCTTGAGTCTGGGAGGTCGAGGCGGCAGTGAGCTGTGATCATGCCACTGCACTCCAGCCTGAGAGACAGAGTGAGACCCTATCTCAGAAAATAATAATACAAAATGGTACACACACTATGTAAAAACGGGATTTTGTTTCATATGGACAAAAATCTGGTCAAGCACACAAATGTAAAAATATGTCATATTAACATCATAGGATTATAGTTTTCCCAATGTCTACTTTTGTCAATTTTTTGCTATGATTACAATAAAAAGATAAAATACTTTGTGAAAAATGAAATAATTATCCCATATTTGAGCTGAGTCCCCTTAGGAAACTGATACCCAGAGAGGGGAATTAATTTAGCCAATATTACTCAACCTTGTGAATAACAAAGCCAGACTTAAATTCTTACCTAAGGATTTTGCCCAGTGCCTGGGCTGTTCCGAGGTGGTATATTGGTTAATTCGGGAGTGATGCCAGTTGTGAGCTTATTGTTTCCTAGCTTCTCTCAATCCATACATAACTGCGACTCTCTTTGTGCCCTCAGAATTCCAACCTGCTTGTTGCTCTTCCAATAGCATGGGGTCTGTACAGCTATTCTGGTACAGGTCTAAGAGTAGCTTTTCATTTACCTCCATTAATGATTTCTTCCTTTTGGCCCAGAGAAGTCCACAAAGCACCTTCCAAAGCCCCTTCCAAGTGCCTTTCAATCACATTCATAAATGATTTGGGGATTATCTACCGCCTTGAATTATTTAGGCCATTGCTTCCCCTCCATTAAAGTGACTCAACTTGGACTCAGTGAAATTTAATATATTCAAATGAAGACAAAAATGTATTCAGAGAGTTATATTCAAATGAATATAGCCTTCCAACTTATATACACACAGACCTGCCATTTCCTTGTGGAGTAAAGGGGGCTGTCTGTCCCATCTCTTCTTTGAAGATAGCAACAGTTATTCAATTGAGATCTCTAATGAGGATTGGGGAATCCTTACCTGCGGCTACCTGCACTGCCATCCCCTCAACTTCCCTCTTTTATACACACCCCCTTCTCATTCCCTTCCTGGGACCACCTAAAACAGGCTTGGGAATTAAGAAAGCATTGGGATTCCAGGCCCTCCAACTCCCCATACTAGGGTAAAAATTGAAGTCATTCAGGATGCAGAAATAATCCAAGTATTTCTCAGATTTTCAGGAAGGTGATACAGTCCAGAGCAAAGATTATTCTAACTCAGAACACATGAGAGTGGATGCTAAGTTGATTCATTGCCCAGAGCTCTGCAGAAGTGAAGTTCCAGCCATCTGTTTGAGTGAAGAAGATACTGCCTGGAGGCAGAGGATACACAGCCTTAGAGGGCCTCAATTGCCCCTTTCGTGAGCTTCTACATTCCTAGCATCTGTGTTGTGGTGCATACATGTCCCTGCACAACATCTATTTTTCCAACTCCTTCATCTCCACTTTTTTTTTTTTTTTTTTTTTTTTTGGAGACAGGATCTTGCTTTTGTCGCCCAGGCCAAGGGCAGTGGCGCCATCATAGATAAGTGTAACCTCAAACTCCTGGACTCAAGCGATCCTTCTGCCTCAGCTTCCCAAAGTGCTGGGATTACAGGCTTGAGCCCCCATCCCTGGCTGTCCTTCTTCATTTTATTCCACAGTCTCCTAGTTTTTCACAGGGACAACCTTGTGCCTCTCTCTTTTCTACCCCCTCTATCCAAGCTTATAAGTTGGGTCTCCAACCACCCCTCTTCTCTGTTTTGAGTGTAAGAAGTATGGGGAGAAGCAAAGGGTGAGGATGAGAGATCCAATCTCTGAGCCCAGGAACTGTTCCTCACCTCCCTCTACAGGCAGGCTGGGCCTGTCTTTTGCGGGGTTGGGCAGAGGCTGGTGGGGTTGGTGGGGAGAGGAATCAGGGAAATGGTTTCTACCTGCCCCATGATCCTTTAGGCTGATGAATGAGACAAAAGGAGATCCCCAAAGAAAGTTTTCATTCCCATGCTAAATAAGGCAGCAAAAATTTCGGACAGAAATAAGGACCCAACTGGTTTAGTGGGACACTGGAGACCAGTAATTTCCAGTCTTGTTGCAACAACCAGATGGCTCCAATCATGTTAAGGAGGGTTATAAAATTCTCAAAAGTGATCATCTTTAAATTTTTAACAGAAATATACCACACAGATAACTGACTGTGTTCTCTCTCACAAATATGTAATCACACACACACACACACACACAATAAGAATTGGAACTATTTTTCAAGATAATGAATCCGTTTTAGACATCACTGCTGAGAGAATCAGGAGTGCTGGGGATGGAGAGATGCTCCAGTTCCCAGGAAGAGAAAGATGGTAGTCTCCCCGCTTCCCCACATTTCCAAAGGAAATGAGGAAAAACCATCTACACTTTTCTTTCCAACTTAAACCTTTCCCTCACTCCCCCTTATTAGCTCTGTACTCTCTGACACATGAAAATAAAAAACAGGGGCCGGGTGCGGTGGCTCACACCTGTAATCCCAGCACTTTGGGAGTCCGAGGTGGGCGGATCACCGGAGATCAGGAGTTCGAGACCAGTCTGCCCAACATGGCGAAACCCTGTCTCTACTAAAAATACAAAAACTAGTTGGGCATAGTGGTGGGCACCTGTAATCCCAGCTACTCGGGAGGCTGAGGTAGGAAAATCACTTGAACCCAGGAGGCAGAAGGTGTAGTGAGCCGATATCGCACCATTGCACTCCAGCCTGGGCAACAAGAGCAAGACTCCATATCAAAAAAAACAAAAAATGGGAGAGGAAAATGGGAAGAACTGAGAAGACGATAAAAAGGAAAATACAGTAACTAGAAAGGACAATGAACAGTGAAAAGGTTAGGGAGAGGGAAATTAAAAGGGCAGAAAAAAACACGGAGGAAGCATCCTGTGACCTGCTCCAGAAGCAAGACATGTGGCTGCACCACACCCTTGAGCAGCAGGGAGCCCCAGCCCTGCTCTCTCCTGGGAGCATTGTGGCAGCCCCATCCTCTCTATCTCCCAGCTCCATGCGCAGACAGGACTAGAAGGGTAAGGCAGGAACTAGAGCAAGGGGGTATGTGACAGAGGACAGGCCCAGGCGTCTAGGAGCTGGGCTGTCCTGGCTCCTACCAAGAATAGCTGAAATGTACAGAAGCAGAGGATTATAGTGTGGAGTGGAGTGGGGAGAAGCAAAGGGGAAACAGGCTGCATAAGTAAGTGCTGCATGGAAACAGTCTGAAGGAATGGACTCTCCCATTCCTTCCTACACAGCAAAGGCAAGGACCCTAGTTTACCTGCCCTCCTACCTCAACCCCATCTCCACCCCCTATCCCTACCCCTACCCTTGCTGCAGATGTAGAAGCAGAATTTCTTTTTGTTCTTTTTTTTTTGAGACAGAGTTTTGCTCTTGTTGCCCAGGCTGGAGTGCAGTGGCATGATCTCGGCTCACCGCAATCTCTGCCTCCCGGGTTCAAGCAATTCTCCTGCCTCAGCCTCCCTAATAGCTAATTTTGTAAGAATTTCATAAGCTGCAGCAGCTGTGGTCAATACCTCAGCTTCCTACCAGCTTCCTTCTCCAGAAGATAGCAGCAGCAGAAAGAGGAATTAAAAGGAAAGGCTACAATAATAACCCTAAACCTTTTCATCTCAGCAGCCCCCAAATATATCAGCAAGCTCGATTCTCAGCATCTCTTCCTCCCTCCTTGGCTCATAACCAAATGATCAAACAACGCTTTGCTGAGACGAGGCATGAGGCTATTGAGCCAGCATCACCTCTCCCAGTGTGGGAGGGGGCATCACATTATACACATAAACAGAAGCACCTGTTTCCAGAAGCAGCATGGGGGAGAAAGAGCTCATAAAGAGTCCCAGATTGTTATAAGAAATAATTTGATGGGGTTAAAATTAAATGTCCAAATTGAGGTTGCTTATGGAATTTAAAGGGGATGTTGAGAACATGGGGTGGAGAGACTAGAAAAGGAAGAAAAGAAGACAAAGAGAAAAATACACACAATATAGTAGACAAAGGGGAGAAACCATAAAAAATACAGCCTCACAAATAAATGCAGAAGCTAAGAGAGAGGAGGGAGCCAGCAACTGGAAAGCAAGATGTTACAGCTGCGGAGTGGGAGGGGAAAGCAGGAGAGCAACAGGGAAGAGGAAAAAAGGCCAAGTAGCCAAAGAGCTGAGAATCAGACCCTTCCCTTCATCTGTCTTCATCTTCTCTGTGACTTTAAGCAGGTGAATTCTTGGGGTATTCTCACAGTGGCTGCTGCCTCATCTTGGCCTGAACAACAGAATCCCCGCAATGCCTGTGTGGCATGCCCACACACACCAGTTGGCCCCCAGCTTTCACCTTGTCTTCCTGTTCCCCAACACAGATGCACAAGTCACTCTCAAGGCTTGGGGAGCACTTTGGTGTGTCCACAGGATATAATGGGCTCTCCTCTGCACACACTCACATTCAGCAGCCCTCAGTACTGGGGCTTTCACCCCCAGCTCACACTTACTTCCAAAGAGCAGAGGCTGAGGGCTGCTGACTCTTAACAGAGCGATTTAGAACTGTGTGCTCAGGCCAGGCGCTGTGGCTCACACCTGTAATCTCAACACTTTGGGAGGCCGAGGCGGGCAGATCACTTGAGGTCAGGAGTTCGAGACCAGCCTTGTCAACATGGGGAAACCCTGTCTCTACTAAAAAAAAAAAAAAAAAAAAAAAAAAATTAGGCTGGGCACAGTGGCTCACGCCTGTAATCCTAGCTACTCAGGAGGCTGAGAGAGGAGAATCGCTTGCACCCGGGAGGCGGAGGTTGCAGTGAGTTGAGATCATGCCATTGCACTCCAGCCTACGCAACAAGAGCAAGACTCTGTCTCAAACAAAACAAAACAAAAATTAGCCAGGTGTGGTGGTGGGCGCCTGTAGTCCCAGCTACTCGGGAGGTTGAGGCAGGAGAATCGCTTGAACCTGGGAGGCAGAGGTTGCAGTAAGCCAAGATTACGCCACTGCACTCCAGCCTTGGCAAAAGAGCGAGACTCCATTTCAAAAAAAAAAAAAAAGAAAAACATAGAACTGTGTGCTCAGTGATCCAATGAAGGGGATTCCCACACAGTGATCCTCCATTTTCCCCAGGCTGCCAGTGCTGCACTGATTTCACAAGCTCTGAAGCTCTTTAATGAAGACAAAAGGAGAGGCAAAATTGCCCAGTTCCTGACTTCTCCAGCACACTGAGGCAAGATTCCTGGGAGGAGAGCTATGAGCAATGATGAGGTCATCTGAATGAACGCCATGCAGGCACAGCCCCTCACTGAGGGAAACAAAAACCAAGACATAGTTTAGGAATACAAGCGTGGGTGTCAAAACCCTGGAGTTGTGCTTTCCAGTGGGCCTGAGACAGAGACAAAGTGACATGATGTTTAGAGAGCAAGAAAGAGATCGAAAGGGAAGAGGGCAAGCAGTCTCAGGCTTCCATGGTAGGAAATAAATAATGTCCAGAAGGGTCTGGCTCTGAAGTGGACCAAATGGCTCTCCTGTCCCATGTTTATGAGGTCATGGACCATTAAGCCAGCCAACCTACAGATGTCTTCATAAGACTTTACGAGATTAGACTGGGGAGACCCTATAACTCAGCAAGAAAGGAAAACAAGAGGGGAGAATTGCAGGTAAGAGATGGTAGAAACAAGTGCTCCGCTCCAGAGGCCTCACATATCAGTGGGAGGATATCTGGGTTTGGTGACCCCTTCATCTTCCTCACTTCTCTCTTCTGTGAGTTTCTGCCTATCTCCATTAGATTCAGGGCTACATCAGGCTTATATTATTCGATAATTTCTTGATTATCCACATACTTTCCTCCTCCTAACTTCCAACTGACCTCACACCATGTTCCTGACCTGCAAGCCTTCCATCCTCAGAGAAGTTTCTTTGGTATTTGTGAAGCAAATCAGAAAGATAAAATACAAAGTTTACAAATTCACATATTTTCAAACCTGATTTAGACTGCATTTGCTTGATGTGGTATTCCATAAGTTCTAATAGCCATGAGATGACTCTTCCAGGGATCCCTAGGTTGCTGAAGCCTAATATTTATTCTCTGAACCATTAGGAGCAGAGAAGAGCATGGAAACCAGGAAAGGTACACACTGAACCAGTTAAGGAAATAAGAGTAGGAAACAGGATACGCATTATCTTATTTCCTCAGGCTTGCGCCAACCTGTGGTTATTTGCAGAAAGTCAGAGACCAATAATCCTTAGAAAAGAAGCCCATGTTCTCCAAGTCTTGTTGCTCTTTCAGAAATTGAGCTGACACTCCAGGGCCCAAATTAAAGAAGGGGCATAAGACCCAGATCTTTAAACCACCACTCAGAATCCATATTTGAAAAGCAACCATTTATTAGAACCAATACAAGAGTATGAAAAGGGGGAAAAGAGGAGGGTAGAAGAGGGGGAGAGAATGAGGTCTGCATCAGATGTCAGTTATGGAAACACATAAATGCTTACTTTTTAAACATTTACATTTAAAAGGTGAACATATATATAGACCACTTATACTTTAAAAAAAAAATCAAAAGCAGACATGTTTGGCTGAAATAAAACCAAGAAACACAGCTAAAACTCCCCCATAAACCTAAAAGTCCATGGAGAATTCAATTTCTCATTTCCATTCAGAAATCTGGCTACAAAGTGATTTGTTTGCTATTTGGGACAGTACAGAGTGCTGAAAGAAACCCAGCTCTTGAGTCTCTTAGATCCCATCCTGTAGGAAGTGGTGGGAAAGCCAGCGGACCATGGGCAAGTCAACTCCTGGCTACTTGGCAGGGAGTCAGACTGTGCTCTCTCCATTCCCCAGGACTCCACAGAACCATCTGGTACTGCTAGTGCTGGGTGAACAGTGAGAGCAGAGTCCACAAAACACAGAGAACCAGAATGTGACCGCAAGGAGCCAGGACCTTGTGCTTTTTCATGGATTACAAATCTAGGGCCAAGGAGAGGGAAAGCAGAAAGAGCCCTATTGGGAAGAGGAGCTGGCTGCGCCCCTAAACTGAGATGGAAAGAGTAAGGCTCTTGAGCCCACACCTGGCCAAGTAGAAATAGTGTCCAAAGTTTTCTCAAACCAGAGGGAAAAAAGGTCAAGGTTAGGTTCAGACTGCAGACACTAAGAGATGACAGATGTTGAATACGGTGAATGGGATGAAGCTTTAAGGATCAATGCCCAATTCTGAGTGTTATACACATTTCTAGGAAAAATAATTCCAATGTAGCTTTTGGGGGTGGGGGGTGGAAATAAGGTGGTCACATTTATTCAATCAGCTGGTCCCTATGAGGAAGGAGAGGCCCAGGTACAGATACCACAAAGGGGTACAGTGACCCAGCTGTCCTGGGATTGGTTGGGGAGTGGTAAGCAATGACATAAATCAAAACCATTGAGGGTTGCTTTGATCCTGAGACAGTCTGAGTCTGCTTCAAACCCATGGGGAAAGGAACTTTAATCCCCAACCTGCAGAGAGAAATACGCAGTAGCATCCCTGCCTCACGATTCCCTAATCCAATGCTCTTGAATCTGAAATGGCCTCCCTCTGTGAATGCAAGACACAGAAAATCCCAAGTGCCTTCCCCAACAACATCCTAAGTAAGTCTGGACTAGTAAGATTCCAACATTCATGAAAACACTGTCAACATCTGAACTAGCAGCTTTGATGAGGGGTGGGGGGCAGAAAATTTGCCGAGTCACTAAGTAGTTCCAGTCTTGGAGACAGCTCAGTGAGGACCAAAGCCTGTGTGTCAGGCTTAAACTCTGGCTCAAGACATCCTCCACAGAGGACCCTGAAGTATTCTATTAACTTTGATTTACAATGCCTCACAACAACACCCCTGTGAGGTAGGTCAGTATTATTAACCCCATTTGACAGATGGGGAACTGAGGCATTGAAAGAAGTGACTTGCCCAAGGTCAACCATTATCAATCAGTTGAGGAGGTGGGCACACAGAGTCAGCATCCACTCGATTCTTGTTCCATTTCCCAGAGCATTTTACCTCTCAGAGTGTACTTGGGAGCAGAGGGAAGTTGGCAGGATACACCTCATTCCACAAACTAGATTAATTCAATAACTGAAGGGTATTAACTGAGGGCCTATTATTTATCTAGTATAATGTGAGGAATCTTGGAAAAATGAACTGCTTCTGAAAGTCATGTTATAGATGTTTTGAAAATAAAATTACATCTTTAACATTAAGGACATGAATTATTTTGTAAAGAAATATTCACTTTATCTTAGGAGGTGAAGGACTAAGTCACACTGATTTCTCAGAGTTTTATACTGAGTAACCTGAATTCCTAAAATCCAGAAAGCAAGATCACATTCCAACAGAAACAATGAATAAGAACCTTTTCCCCAGTGGTGGTTCTTGGTAGCGCTCTTATAAAGCTGCAAGTTGGTGGCGTGGGAATCCTAGCACCACAAAACACCCTCTTACTACATCACATCCCTCCCCACAATACCCAGAGGGCTGCATTTTTCCAACCTTTCTGCCTCAGCTCAACTTCAAGAGTTACAGCATCTTCAAAAACACCTCAAGGGTAAGGATACAAATGGTGACCCCTGCTTTTCTATTCAGGGAGAGGGGATGAAAATATTCTCTGTAACTAATCATATAGACTCTTGAATTCTTTCCTCCTGTGAGAGATGTAACTCTTTAACAAAAAAAAGGTAGAAGAAAAAACAGTTATGTCTTTTCTCCCCCTTTGGATTTACTTTGGATTCTGGTAGAAATCATTATGTCTCTTATCCTAAACTGAGGAGGTGAGGGGTGAGGGTGACACGAGACAAACACCAAACTCACCACCAGCCCTCGTTTAGAATCCAATCCTAAAGCTACCGGAAACCAGAACACTGACTTGAGCCTTAAGAGTGTTGTGACATGATTAAACTGTCTTTTCAGGTGTTCTCAAAGAATTTCTAGGCAGAAAGCCTCTCCTTTCTTCCATACCTCTTCACAGCAGCCAGTGTAGGAAGTCCCCACATACAACAGAAACTCAAAAGATGATTTATCAACACATACAGTAAAATGTTCACTAGGGGCCGGGTGCGGTGGCTTATGCTTGTAATCCCAGCACTTTGGGAGGCTGAGGCACGTGGATCACTTGAGCTCACGAGTTGGAGACCAGCCTGGGCAACACAGGGAGACTGTCTCTACAAAACATTTTTTAAATAATAAAATTAGCCAGACACCGTGGTGTGCGCCTGTAGTCCCAGCTGCTTGGGAGGCTGAGGCAGGAGGATCATTTGAGCCCAGGAGATTGAGGCTGCAGTGAGCTGTAATAAAGATACTGTGGCCGGGTGCTGGCTCACGCCTGCAATCCCAGCACTTTGAGTGGCCGAGGCAGGCGGATCACAAGGTCAGGAGTTCAAGACCAGCACGGCCAAGATGGTGAACCCTGTCTCTACTAAAAATACAAAAATTAGCCGGGCATGGTGGCAGGCGCCTATAATCCCAGCTGCTCAGGAGGCTGAGGCAGAGAACTGCTTGAACCCGGGAGGCGGAGGTTGCAGTGAGCCAAGATCACGCCACTGCACTCCAGCCTGGGCAAAAGAGCAAGTTTCCATCTCAAAAAAAAAAAAAAAAAAAAAAAAAAAAGGTTCAATATGGATACTCTAGGTACAGGAACCATTCCAAGACCTAAATAGATTTTTTTTTTTTTCCTCACTGATAGCTGATCACATTAAACAGGTACAGGTGCTAAGAAAGTTTAAGACTGATCTTTTGGCAATGACAGTTTAGGTTAACTCTGTTTGGAATTCCTAAAAATAAAAAGAAATCCCTTAAAAAAGGCTGACAAACTGACCACTTGGCCTTGAATCGACTGTTAGGGTCACACCTGCCAATGCCAGGGGACATCACAAAAAAATAGAGAATGCCAAGATAAAAAGTTCACTGCATTCAATTTGGCCTAATTTCTTGATAATAGTTTCCTATTAGATTTTCCGATTAATACTGATGGCTCTTACCTAGGCTGTGATAATTAGGTTTTGATCTATTGTGACATTAATGATCACAATCAGTTGACTTTGAAATTGTCTTAATTAATGGCTCTTTCCTTGTCAGCTTTTGCCTCCAGTGCAGGATTCATTCCCTTCCCCACTGCCTTGTTTTAACTCCTTCTCTTACTGACCTCAGAAACAAATAGCATTGGAGGATCACTTTCTTCCCATAAAACAAGACTTTAAACTATTTTAAAACATTTCTCTTGACAGAGGAGCAATATGAGATGATGTTAGATGAAATGAGGATCAGAATGAAAAGGCAAGAGAACAAGCTGTCAATGAACAGGAAAAATTCCATCTTAGAAAACAACCAAAGTCAAGCACAATGTTAAAGTGACAAGTTGAAGTAACTCTAAAAAGACAAGATGAGGTAGATTAAAATCCAAGAAAGTCAGCACAAGCAAAAAGAAACCAGAATTGTTTTTATGAAACTATCTAAAAAACTTCACACTTTAACTTTCCAGAGCAGTTACTCTAATTCCTGGGAATTCTGACTTCCAAAGTTAGTCAACTCTCAATTATCCAGGCAGAAATAAATATCTTTTTCTTGTGGTCATCCATGGGTCAGAATCGACAACATCCTTACGATCAGACTGTTTCTTAACCCAGCTACGCTTCGATGATTAAATCTGAGACTCAGATTTAATATACAAGGTATATGTATTTCTGGCAAAGGTTTCCACATAACTGATACAATTCTCTGCTTAGAAATCACCCTCTCGGCCCGGCGGTGGCTCACGCCTGTAATCCCAGCACTCTGGGAGGCCGAGGTGGGTGGATCATGAGGTCAGGAGATTGAGACCATCCTGGCTAACAAGGTGAAACCCCGTCTCTACTAAAAATACAAAAAATTAGCCGGGCGTGGTGGCCGGCGCCTGTAGTCCCAGCTCCTCGGGAGGCTGAGGCAGGAGAATGGCGTGAACCCGGGAGGTGGAGCTTGCAGTGAGCCGAGATTGCGCCACTGCACTCCAGCCTGGGAGACAGAGCAAGACTCCGTCTCAAAAAAAAAGAAATCACCCTCTCTCCAGTATTGAATAAAACTGCACTGCTCAGAGTAGATGCTCAGGTATTAACAGATGTGCTCCAAGACTTCTCTTTAGAAAATCTCTTGTCATTGGAAAGCATGTCCGTTTTAGGCTTAAAGGCAGTTAAGTCTCATGTTCATTCCTCCAAAAGGGATGAGAAATTGAAAAAGGTGTGAGCAACTCTGGTAAAGTGTCCATGAGGAATATGTTGTTATAGAACCCACAATAATGTAACACAACTGAATCTGCAACATAGTTAATGCTTTCCACAAGCAAAGATTAACTCTACCACTACTTTGGCCAAGAATCTAAACCAGGGATGAAAATCAGGAGTTCTCAATCCCAACTCACCTGTTTTCTCTCTCAGTAATAACAGCATTTCCAACCCTCCAGCTATATTTATTTCCTGGAATATGTTCTTGTGTTCTATGGCCAGCTGGCTCAGTTCACCCAATGTTATAGGTCTTTTCCACATATAGGCCGAAATTAATGTCAACTTCTTACTCCAGGGCTACAAACTATACAACATCAGCCAGTCTGTCTCTGCCCCCAAGTCAGAAATGTGTATTGGTTTATAGCATTTATTATACCAAACTATTTTTTTTTTGAACAGAAACATAGCTTGTAAGCACTTAAACTATTAATGGTCAGTTCATCATACACCAGTATGAAAGTTATTTGAGGGCAGGGATGGCCTCTTTCTGAACCTTGTATCTTCAGGCCAAAAAAATGTCTGTTGAATGAAACCAATGTTGATGTACAGCAATGTGGCTGGAATTTAGAAAGCTTAATAAAAATTGGGTGAGGGGGCATCTAATTCAGAACATGTTTTTGGGTGTAAGGCTAGTATCATCTACTTTTGAAAACATAATTTTTATGATTAGCAGGTAAAGGTAGCATGAAACTGCAATACACTGGCTCCAGACCTTTCCTCTCTGCCTTGCCACAGGCATGCTTGGTGGTCTGATTACAAAAGTACGGATCTCAACACTATATTTTTTATTCTAAAATCTCAACCAAAATGATGGGATCATGGGTGCAAAGTGGGTTTTTCCTTTAAATTGTGAGAAACCATTTCCACATTTCAGATCTAACGGTGTTCTCATGACATTGCAAAGTAGTATTTTATGCCCTCAAAACTGAACCTTAAGGTAGAGACAATTGCTCCCCGGGCCAAACACAGATCCCTCCAACCCCTCACTGTACCTTAGGAAAGCTGGGGTAAACTACAGATTCAACAAAATCTCAATAAGAAAATCCCAAAAACCTTCCCCAATGCCCTGTGGTTTGGCCTGAACATAGGGAAAATGGACTGCTGGGTGGCTACAGAACAGGAATGAAGAGTTAAGAATAATAAATGCCTAAGTTACAGGGACAGAACCAATCTTTCATTAATGACACAAAGTAGAATGCACAAAGTAGTATGCAGTATGGCTGGGGGACAGTCAAGGACCATCTAGACTTTTAATTGTTAGAAGCACCACAGGTCCAAATGCTCCCCAGAGTGGACCAAAACTGGATTTTGTCCATGGCAACACTGTTCTCCACTATTCTGTCTATAATGAGAATATATCAATAGCAGGAAATCTACTTTCACACATGGCAAACCGCGAAGAAAAACAAGGATAACCTCAGACCACTTTTACTTGCTGTAAGTGGGAAAAACAAACAAACAAACAAAAAACCCCAGCAAATAAAGGATTTTCCATGAACAGAAAAGCAAATATAAATGCAGTTGATAAACTAGAAAGCAATCATCAACTAATTGCAGACTATAAAGATACCCAAAAATCCTTCTCAAAATAGCACCCCAGTGGATGGTAGTCAAGCTTTCCAGCAACCAGTTATTGATGATTCATGGCCTACATCAAATGAATAAGACTTCGATTTTTGATACCAACAATGTCCCCAAACCAAACTTAACAAAGCTAATGACTGCTTCTCAGTAATTCAGGAAAAATTTAGAAATATAGCATTGTGAGCAAAAAACAGAAGCTTGTTTTGGGGACAGGAATTCCAAGAGTCTGAGTGAAGATGTGGTTGGAAGCCTTCTCAAACATGCAAGTCCAGGGCTTTTCTCATCCTGCCTTCCCATCACCTGACCCTCCTCTGAAACCACCCCTCAAGTCTTTAGCAAAGTCAGGTATTACAGAGGACAGAGCAACAAAGAGGGCAACTGGAATTTAAAAAAAATTGTATTACTGAAAGTGCTCCATGAGAGCAAACAAATAATGACAATTTTATTTTTGTCCACAAAAATTTAATAGAGGTGGCCAGGCACGGTGGCTCATGCCTGTAATTCCAGCACTTTGGGAGGCCAAGGTGGGCAGATCACAAGGTCAGGAAATCGAGACCATCCTGGCAAACATGGTAAAACCCCATCTCTACCAAAAATACAAAAATTAGCTGGGCATGGTGGCACACACCTGTAGTCCCAGCTACTCGAGAGGCTGAGGCAGGAGAATCGCTTGAACCCAGGAGGTGGAGGGTACAGTAAGCCAAGATTGTGCCACTGCACTCCAGCCTGGTGACAGAGCGAGACTCTGTCTAAAAAAAATAAATAAATAATAGAGGTGAATGTCTGCATTAGGATCAAGACAAGAAGAAGACAGACAATCACTTTGGAATTCTGAGACTACCTCCAAGAATCATCCACGGAAGGATGTCAGCCATTTAACCAGGGCTACGGATCAAAAAGGAAAAAATACAGTCAGTGGACAAGTAGAAGAGTCTCCTGAAAAATATCCGTATTTGAAAAGGCAGCAGGAGTTGATAGAAAACATAACTAAAAAAGTAGAAGACACTGTTAAATTTGAATCTGGATCCTATATAGCTTCTTCTCTGGGATCTACTGAGGAGTGAAATCTAAATGAAGATTTAGCTTAGAAAGCATGAAGATAGTATGTTCCAATTTTAAATAAAAATTATATTGTCTGAAAGACAATACAATTTTAGTACTGGGGGAAAAAAAACTAGATTGTTATTTGAAGAAGAAAACATCATGGTTCTCTCCAGGTTTAAAATGGGTGCTCCCATGTAGGCTGATTTTCCCGGCATTTGATCTTAACTTGAAGGCCATCTGCCCAGCCCAGCAATCAAAGGGCTGCTAAGCTGTCCTTGGTAGCCTCTACTGGGCAAAGCTGTGCTATAACTCTGAAGAAAGGGAGATCTTTTAATGTTGATTACTGAAAGGCTTAGAAAGATGTCTTGAAAGAGGACTAAACACAAGAAAAATAAATTTTTAGCATTTGAGACTTAGGTGTTTAAGAGTGCTTAGCTCTTAACTATTAACTCTTCTGAGGGGAGAAAGCTCCATGAAACAGGTTTCTGTTTGAGGCTGTAATTCTTCTAGGGCAAGAACATCTACTCAACACTAACAAATGCTGGAAGCAGGCATCTGATTTCCTTTGTGCTAAGGGCTGAAATCAATACTGGCCTCTGGCTCCCTACATTCCTATAGAACCAGCTGCAGGTAGGCAGGAAGAGAACAAAAGTTGTTTTGGCGGCACTCAGTACAATAAACCGAAGACAAAAAAGACAGAGTAAAGTCTATTAACAGATGGTAAGTAGTAGATGATACTGGGGTTATTTCGGTAAAAGAATATCAGATTTTTATGAATGTCTTAAATATTACCTATAACCACAGCAGCCACATGCCCCAGGTTTCTCAGAACCAATCTCAGTACCAAATATTGTCATGTTCTTTGTCCACATACTAGGTTTTTGGTTTTAAAAATAAGGTCGCTGCAGTTTACATGCCCACTGCTACTGGGAGGCATACACTGGGCCACTTGGATAGGCTGTCATTTTCTGCAAATCAAGAGACCCATATCACCTCCTCAGGAGCTCTGGCCTATTTTTGTCCTATTCTTGTCTACCCTAATTGATATCCTTGGCTACATTTATGATAAATGTTTCCTGACCATCCTTTCCTTCTTTTAGATACCGATCAGATTAAGTACAAGCAATTGTCAATTATCCAGCACTTGATCTAGGCCTTTAATTCCTTCAGAGAGAGAAGGAATATAGAGATAAAACTCCCACCCACTTGAGGTATGGTTTATGAGCTCTTGCCCAATCACATTACCATTCAGAAGGATTTTCCTGGCTGACTTAAACCAAAAGCTTCATTGTTCCAGTCTGTCATGTCACTGCAGCAACAGCTGTCACCTCAATTATGCAGTATAATTTTTGACATAATTTATATAAGCACACAGAATTCAATCAGCAGCTGAGCAGGGAAGCAATGTTAACAAATGCTATGAATGGGTATATGATTTGCATATTATGTGGCTCATCTGTGGACTGGAGCAATCCATCCATTCCCCTCATTACTCTGAATAATCTAGAAATGGTAGATGCTCCTGGCCAGACAGCTGTATGTTTTAAAAATCAAAAACAACAAGAAAAGCAGCCTCATGGCTGGTGCGCTCTAGAATTAAGGCTATATTAAGCATTTATTCTTATTTCCTCAGCTTTGGGGCTGGGACAAGGATCCTCAAAACCCTGCTATTTCCTTACTTTTAATTGTGATTCTCTAGCCCTCCTCAACTACAAAAAGAAAAGGATAAAGTAGGGCATTTCTTGGGGGACAAAGGCAGAAGGATATGATCAGACAAATTTCTCAATAGCAACACAAGAAGAAACCAAAACGAAGTATTTTGCTGAGTAAGAAGAAAAGGGTGTGTCAACATGCTAATGCCAGGGCCTGTCACTTTCCAAGGTGACAGTCTTTCAGGAACATGCCTTTATTTTTATTTATATTTTTTAGAGACAGGGGGTCTCACTACATTGCCCAGGCTGGTCTCAAACTTCTGGCTTCAAGCAATTCTCCTGCCTCAGCCTCCCAAAGTGCTGGGATTACAGGCGGTAGCCACTGTGCCTGGCCATGAAAATTCATTTTAAAAAATAAGATACAACTATAAGTTTGAGGGTAGAAAAAGGGAAGAGCATTAATATTTTGGGGACTCTTGGTGGTAAATCCAGGAGCCAAGAATGCAGGAGACATAACTGCTATGAACACTTAAAATTGATATTGTGGCCAACAGCTCACCTCTAAAACTTCCCCACTGAAAATAATGGCATGGAAGGGAAACTCGGGTCCACTGAGAAGTGAGGGTCAGGTTTGAAGCCTCTTTGGTAACAGGAATGCTTTGGGAGGCCACAAAAGTTGGCAGGGTTGGAGGGTGCCTAGCACCTTGGCACAAGCAAGCACCAGGCAATCACTCACACCTACATAAATATACAGTCTAAATATGAGGAATGGAAAGAAATCATACATACATACCATATATGATAATAAAGACAATTGTACCCTACCCCATCATCCTCATGTACTATAGCTACAAATCTGCACAGTTAATAATCTTGTCATTTTATCACAAATTGATATCACTTTACAGAAGCAGAAGTGGGGAGTGCTAAAAGCAATACCGAAAGTCCTGGGGCTAAAAAGAGTGTCTTGACAGATTTCAGTGTAAAATTTCAAATCTTCCAAAGGATGGAGTAATTCTGGGAGGATGAGTGAGGATGAACAACAGAGGGTGGCCCAGAAGACCACACCAGAAACCCTGTATTCTCCTGGGTAGAGCTGAACAAGGTTGGGAAAGCCCCAACAGGTAGGCAGTTGCTATTGGCTTTTTAACAGATGGGCAACATCCTTTCCATCTCAACATGTCAGAACAAAGGCCAGCTAGTCAGCAACATGTTCTAAGAACCAAAGCAAGAAACCAAAATTCAACATCATTGTAACAAAATCCCCCAACCTAAAAAGCGACCAACCCTGAAAAGATCAAGACTCTAAGGTGATTAAAAAGTTGAAACTCATCTTGAGGTCACAGGGAAGCAGAAGGAAGAGATCAGGGCAAAGGAAAAAAAAATTGTGGGTATTACACTCAGTATGTAAATGCCTGGTCTTCACAGAGAGACACTTATCATTAATCAGACCATCAGTTATGTTACAAGAGAACCAATACCAACATTTCTCCTGTGGAGCACAGTGATAAGCACATTTTTTATGGATGTGTTTAGGATAGAAAGGGGTGGGTAGAAAGGAGAGGAGGCAGGGAGGTGAATGTATTATGTACAAAGAGAAATGACAGAGACCATCCCCTCCTTTAGCTCTTTGCTGTTTCTTTCTCTTTGTTTTCCGCATCCTCAGGATATGCATGCCATGTCAGTCTCTCTTCATAAAATGCTATCACAATTTGTGGACATTTCACATTAGCTTCTTTTGCAAGAACCAGGTCAGCTTCATCTGTGTCTTTCCTGGAGAGAAAGAATATGAGACTTAAAAGGAGAGGAAGAGTGAAAGAATCTGTCCAGACATACGTTTATGTCATTATATGGATTTAGTTGACTTGATTTCCTCCTCACCTTGGTTTCAAGGTGAAAAGGACCCTTTCAATATTTTCAAGAAGAAATGTAAGTAAATGGATTAATAGCTAATATATTATACAGAAACAGATGTCTGTAGCTAGAATTTAGATGTAAACCATGGTGGGCTTAGGTTAAAAAGATGAATAATAAATAATATTAATCTGCTTCCAAAATTTTTATTTGTGAATATGAGCATGTGAGTGAACCCAATCAAACCTACATTCAGGGGCCGGGCACGGTGGCTCACACCTGTAATCCCAGCACTTTGGGAGGCCGAGGCGGGTGGATCACGAGGTCAGGAGATCGAGACCATCCTGGCTCACACGGTGAAACCCCGACTCTACTAAAAGTACAAAAAATTAGCCGGGCGTGGTGGCGGGCGCCTGTAGTCCCAGCTACTCGGGAGGCTGAGGCAGGAGAATGGCGTGAACCCGGGAGGCGGAGCTTGCAGTGAGCTGAGATCGCGCCACTGCACTCTAGCCTGAGCAACAGTGCAAGACTCCGTCTCAAAAAAAAAAAAAAAAAAAACCTACATTCAGCTCTATTGATTATGCACAAGTCAATTATACACAGGTTGGTCAATCCAGTTTCCAGATCATCTAAGTGAAGGGGTCTTAACCCTCCTCACCTTGTGTCCGTTTAAATACTCATTACCCCTCTGGCCAGAACTGTGGATTGGAACAACGAGCAAATAAAAATTTAGCTACAAATTTCAATTATCTCAGTAGGGCCTCTAATACCAAGTATAACAAAAAAAAATCTAGCTACATGGTTCCTTAAGCATGATTCCAAATCAATTAAAAAAAAATTAAAATTATCCTGAGAAGCTCAGGTGCAGCAGCTCATGCCTGTAATCCCAGCACTTTGGGAGGCTGAGGCAGGTGGATCGCTTGAGCCTAGGAGTTTGAGACCAGCCTGGGCAACATGGCAAAACCCATCTCTACAAAAAATACAAAAATCAGCTAGGCATGGTGGTGCATGCTTGTGGTCCCAGCTACTTGGGAGGCTGAGGTGGGAGGATCACTTGGGCTTGGGAGGTGGAGGTTGCAGTGAGCTGAGATTGAACCACTGCACTCCAGCCTGGGCAACAGAGTGAGACCCTGTCTCAAAATAAATAAATAATAAAAAACAAAATAGAATTATCCTGAGATGTGGACAAGAAAAATTACCACCTTATTGGAGCAGATACTCAAATTTGGACTATGGTGGAAAAAGCCAATTAATGTTAATGTAAATTGTAAGTAACCACATATGGCTGAGTAGGAAAAAGCAGTCCAGCCCAGGCACAGCGCCTCATACCTATAATCCCAGCACTTTGGGAGGCCGAGGTGAGAAAAGCACTTGAGCCCGGGGCAACATAGGAAGACCTGGTCTCTTCAAAAAACTTTTTAAAAATTAGCAGGCCATGGTGGCATGCACCTGTAGTCCCAGCTACTCAGGAGACTGAGGTAGGAGGATAACTTGAGCTCAGGAGGGCAAGGCTGCAGTGAGCTGTGATTACGCCACTGCACTCCAGCCTGGGTGACAGGGCGAGACACTGTCTAAAATAAAATTTTTAAAAAGCAGTCCAGCCTCAGCGTGGTGGCTCATACCTGTAATCCCAGCACTTTGGGAAGCCAAGGCAGGTGGATTGCTTGAGATCAGGAGTTCGAGACCAGCCTGGCCAACATGATGAAACCCTGTCTCTACTAAAAATATAAAAATTGCCCAGGTGTGGTGGCACATGCCTATAATCCCAGCTACTTAGGTGGCTGAGGGATGAGAACTGCTTGAACCTGGGAGGCGAAGGTTGCAGTGAGCCGAGATGGTACCACTGCACTCCAGCCTGGGTGATAAAGCAAGACGCTGTCTCAAAAAAACAAAACAAAACAAGCAGTCCATATAGCTCCTTACTTCTGACAGAATATGGCAATTCTTCAAATACAGGTTTCTGGGTAATTTACCAGCAGTACTCTCATCAGATAAAATGTTAAGCCTTTTGATTATACAACTTTTTTTTTTTTGAGACAGAGTCTCGCTCTGTTGCCCAGGCTGGAGTGCAGTGACAGGATCTCGGCTCACTGCAAGCTCCGCCTCCCGGGTTCACACCATTCTCCTGCCTCAGCCTCCCAAGTAGCTGGGACTACAGGCGCCTGCCACCAAGCCTGGCTATTTTTTTTTTTTATTTTTAGTAGACACGGGGTTTCACCGTGTTAGCCAGGATGGTCTTGATCTCCTGACCTTGTGATCCGCCCGTCTCGGCGTCTCGGCCTCCCAAAGTGCTGGGATTACAGACGTGAGCCACCACGCCCGGCCTTGATTATACAACTTTTAAGGTAACATGTTTCTTTAGTGGCACTGCAACACAAACCCTCTATGTATCACAAATTCAGAATACTTGGAAACAGAGGTAGTGAGGACCACAACATAAATCACTCTGTCTTTAAGAAATCAAATTAGGGCTGGGCGCAGTGGCTCACACCTGTAATCCCAGCACGTTGGGAGGCCAAGGCAGGCAGATTGCTTGAGGTCAGGAGTTCGAGACCAGCCTGACCAACATGGCAAAACCCCATCTCTACTAAAAACACAAAAATTAGCCAGGCATGGTGGTAGGCGCCTGTAATCCCAGCTACTTGGGAGGCTGAGGCAGGAGAATCACTTGAACCCGGGAGGCAGAGATTGCAGTGAGCCAAGATCGCGCCACTGCACTCTAGGCGAAAGAGACTCTGTCTCAAAAAAAAAGAAATCAAATTGAGAAGAACTACTTCCTTTTCATCTAAGAGCCATCCTCTCTCTACTGGATGAAATAACTTGTGCTTTGGCCAGTATTAGCTTTAATGCTTTTTGTTGAGATTATTTTTCTCTTTTAGACATTATTCAGCAGGTTTGGCCCTCAGTGATGGCAGAAAGCCTCATTTGATTCCTAGCCCAGGATCACAGGCCCATGGTCTTACAGTAAGTAATTCAGAACTGTGTAAACAAGTGGTTAAGTCATGTTTTATATATATATATTTATTATTATTTTTTTTTTTTAGAGACGGAGTCTTGCTCTGTCGTTCAGGCAGGAGTGCAGAGGCTCGATCTCAGCTCATTGCAACCTCTGCCTCCCAGGTTCAAGCAATTATCCTTCCTCAGCCTCTCAAGTAGCTGGACTACAGGCATGCGTCACCACGCCCAGCTAATTTTTGTATTTTTAGTAGAGATAGGAGTTCACCATGTTAACCAGGCTAGCCTCGAACTCCTGACCCCAAGAGATCCGCCTGCCTTGGCCACCCAAAGTGTTGGGATTACAGGTGTGAGCCACTGCATCCGACCTTTATATATTTTCTACCTCAAATTTACCTTTTTTTCTGATATGTAGTACTATAATTTACTTAATAGCAATCCATTCTGAAGCATAATTCCCATTTAACACCAATAATTGGTATCAGTTAAGGATCTCTGACATTCCAGGAGTTCAAGACCAGCCTGGCCAACACAGCAAAACCCCGACTCTACTAAAAATACAAAAATGGGCCAGGCGCAGTGGCTCACGCCTGTAATCCCAGCACTTTGGGAGGCCGAGGCAGGCGGATTACTTGAGGTCGGGAGTTTGAGACCAGCCTGACCAACATAGAGGAACCCTGTCTCTACTAAAAATATAAAAGTAGCCAGGTATGGTGGCACATGCCTGTAATCCCAGCTACTCGGGAGGCTGAGGCAGGAGTATCGCTTGAACCCGGAGGCGGAGGTTGCGGTAAGCCGAGATCGCACCATTGCACTCCAGCCTGGGCAACAAGAGACTTTGTCTCAAAAATAAATAAATAAATAAATAAATAATAAAAATACAAAAATTAGCCAGGCATGGTGGCGGGCACCTGTCATCCCAGGTACTCGGGAGGCTGAGACAGGAGAATCACTTGAACCCAGGAGGCGGAGGCTGCAGTGAGCTGAGTGAGATCGCACCACTGTACTCCAGCATGGGCAACAAAGGGCGAAACACTGTCTCAAAAAAAGAAAGATCTCTGACATTCAAAATTCATGGTTTGGGAATATGCAGTCTTGCCACCCTATCTTCCACACAAATTCAAGTCACTGGCAAAGAAACACAATTGTAAAGCGAAGCCAAATCTCTCTCACCATTTCATTAGGAACATTAAATCACCACAGGAATCTGTTGCCCCAATGATCTTTTCTGGTTCCAGTCCTCTCTCAAAGCCCCGAGCGATATCATTGCTCTGCTATAAATAGAAGATAAAGAAAGGTTACAGCTTGTGGAAAGAGTAAAGAAACTCCCTGCTTCTAGGCTCAACAAAACATAACCTAAGTTAATATCTCCTGATATCATTTCTTTCACCAATTCAGAAAAATTTTTAGAACTTAATACTAAGTACTGACAGTGACAATGAAGTGACAGTGATGTCAAGAGATATTTTTGTAAGATGTGATTATCTTTCCTGGAATTCCTCCAGAAGACTGGTGGTGAACCCTAAAAGTCTCTAATGTCCTATAAGATACTCCGGAGTCAGAGGCATGGTGGCTCACGCCTGTAATCTCAGCACTTTGGGAGGCCAAGGCAGGCGAATCACAAGCTCAGGAGTTCAAGACCAGCCTGGCCAACATGGTGAAACCCCATCTCTACTAAAAATACAAAAAATTAGCCAGGCATGGTGGCAGGTGCCTGTAACCCCAGCTACTCGGGAGGCTGAGGCAGTAGAATTGCTTGAACCCGGGATGCGGAGGTTGCAGTGAGCTGAGACCGCACCACTGCATTCCAGCCTGGGCAACATAGCAAGACTCCGTCTCAAAAAAAAAAAAAAAAAAAAGAAAAGGGGCGAAAAGAAAGATACTCTGGAGTCAACATCTAGGAACTCCTCTAATCCCACTCACTTGGAATCTCCTTAATATTGTAAATAAGCTTCTGAAATGGTAAAGAATACCATGTTTACCCTAACTGTATCTTTTCATTTTACAAACTTCAAATATACTACCTCTCTCTCAATCTTTATTTTTTTAGACTTTTAGTTTACCTTAACACTAAACAATAATTTTGACACATTTCACAGTCACCTGTGTTTATGGAAGAATAGAGGTAAGAATTATGTAAGGCCAATACTATTAAATAGCAAAATTTCAGAGATCATAAACACCAATACCTATATGCTTGGTTAGAGAGAAGGCCCTGGTCAGTGCCTATCCCCTCTGGATGTAGATGACTGTTAGCATTAGAAGGTAGAACCGGACTGTGACTGAAAACAAAAACAAACAAAAAAGAAAACAAAAACAAAAAACTGGCCTGGTGCAGTGACTCATGCCTGTAATCCCAGCACTTTGGGAGGCTGACATAGGAGGATTGCTTGAGACTAGGAATTGGAGACCAACATGGGCAACTGTCTCTGCAAATTAGCTGGGCACAGTGATGCACACTTGAAGTGTGCTACTCCGACTCAGGAGGCTGAGGTGGGAGGATCCCTTGGGCCCAGGAGTTCAAGCCTGCAGTGAGCTATGATCACGCCACTGTGCTCCATGGTGGGCAACATAGTGAGAACCTGTCTCTTAAGAGAGAGAAAAAATTTGATAATTCATGAGATGAGTATTGAAACTTGGTCTAAATGTAGTAATACAATCTAGACAAGGAGCACAGGTTCAAATCCATGTGTAGTAACACTGATGAGAGCCAAAAAGCAAAATTTTATACAAGCCAGGTAATTTTTTTTTTTAGACAGTCTCCCTCTGTTGCCTAGGTTAAAGTGCAGTGGCGCAATCTCAGCTCACTGCAACCTCCACCTTCCAGGTTCAAGTGATTCTCCTGCCTCAGTTTCCTGAGTAGCTGGGATTATAGGTGCCTGCTACCACCCCTGGCTAATTTTTTTTTTTTTTTTTTGAGACAGAGTCTTGCTCTGTTGCCCAGGCTGGAGTGCAGTGCCACAATCTCAGCTCACTGCAACCTCTGCCTCCTAGATTCAAGCGATTCTCCTGCCTTAGCCTCCTGAGTAGTTGGGATTACAGGTGCGTGCCACCGCACCTGGCTAATTTTTCCATTTTTAGTAGAGACAGGGGTCTCACCATTTTGGCCAGGCTGGTCTCAAACTCCTAGCCTCAGGTGATCCACCCTGCCTCGGCCTCCCAAAGTGCTGAGATTACAGATGTGAGCCATCACACCCGGCTACGCCTGGCTAATTTTTTGTATTTTTAGTCGAGACAGGGTTTCACCATGTTGACCACACTGGTCTTGAACTCCTGGCCTCAAGTGATCCACACGCCTCAGCCTCCCAAAGTGCTGGGATTACAGGCGTGAGCCACCGCACCCGGCCCAAACTAGGTAATTTGAAAAAACTTTATTATGGAAGATAATGCTAGCCTCTCTAGTGGCAACACACACACAAAAAAAAGATTTAGAGATGCCCAAATGAACTAAATCTCTACTGCCCGATTTTCATAATAAAATCTCTTTGATCTTATGTTCACCTGCTTTCCTCTGAGACATACAAAGCATTTGGGGTCCGGGTGGTCCCCAAAGATACCAAAATTCACAATTGGAAGGACATTCCACGCGTGGATCAATGAGAGATACTGACTTTTAAAAACATAGCCTCTTTTGGGGGTGCTTAAGGGGAAGAAGTTCCCAGATGTGCACACAGCTGCTCACAGCTGGAATGCTGGTGCATGGACTAAGTTGTAAATCATAACTGGCAACTGAAAACAGTTTGCTACATAGGGAGGGAAGAGGAGGCGAATGGAAGAAAAACGTTCAAGCTGCTGAAAAGGAGCCAGGGCGAAGAAAATGCTAAAATCATCATACAGGCAGTAATCTTAAATCAGGCATAATGCAAACTAACAAATTTCTTCTCCAGTGGTCTTAAGAAATAAACACAATCCCCTCCTATACCTTTAAAACATACAATCACCTATCTTTCCAGCTGTCTACCTGACAGCAGCCAGTACTGCTAAGAATGCTATCAGGGGTCCCAGATGAACATTATGATGTAAGGGACATGTGGGGGTTGTTTTCAAGGTCGGCAGCTTCAGAACCTGGCCTAGGAACAAAACTCTGTGCACTGGCCAGTGGCTCCAAGCCAGATTATTCAGACTGCTCCTTTTTAAAAATGACAGAGGCCAGGTGTGGTGGCTCATGCCTGTAATCACAGCACTTTGAGAGGCCAAGATGGGCGGATAACGAGGTCAGGAGATTGAGACCATTCTGGCTAACACGGTGAAACCCCATCTCTACTAAAAATACAAAAAATTAGCCAGGCATGGTGGCATGTGCCTGTAGTCCCAGCTACTAGGGAGGGTGAAGCAGGAGAATCGCTTGAACCCAGGAGGCAGAGGTTGCAGTGAGATTGTGCCACTGCACTCCAGCCTGGGCAACAGAGTGAGACTATGTCTCAAAAAAAAAAGAAAAAAAAAAAATTCTAATTTTACTGGTCTGGGGTGCATCTTAGGCACTGGAGATTTTTTTTTTTTTTTAACGTACCCCCCAGGTGATTATAATGTGTAGCATTGAGAACTAATGCTCTAGAAAGGTATAAATCTAATTAGAATGAAGATACATAGGGATGATTGTGGCAGCTACTCTGGAAGGCTGGAAGATTCCGAAGTAGACTTACGCTTTTATGAAATGTAAAGTGTATGATACATCCTTCACCACAAAAGGCTTCATAACCTTGAAATAAATAAAAGGAATGGAAGCTGGGGGCGGGAGGAGGTGGTAGAGTGTGTGTATTTATGCGCCCACACACAGATGAAAAGAGAGAGAGGCAATAACAGTGCTTATGCTACTTACTTGAGAGCTAAAGATCAGAAGGATTAAAGCAACTAAATCAAACCAAAATTTCATAAATACACTTCCCAAACTGAAGAAGATTCAAAAGACAAAAATTAATTTTGTACGCCAAGTATGTAGAAATAATAGATCAAGAGAATATAAATGCCACTGAACTGTACATTTTAAAATTGTTAATTGAGCCAGGCATGGTGGCTCACACCTGTAATCCCAACACTTTGGGAGGCCAAGGCAGGTGGATCACCTGAGTTAGGGAGTTCAAGACCACCCTGACCAACATGGAGAAACACCCTCTCTACTAAAAATACAAAATTAGCTGGGCATGGTGGTGCATGTCTGTAATCCCAACTACTCTGGAAGGCTGAGGCAGAAGAATCACTTGAACCCAGGAGATGGAGGGTGCAGTGAGCCAAGATCATGCCATTGAACTCCAGCCTGGGCAACAAGAGTGAAACTCCGTCTCAAAAAAATAAATAAAAAATAAAAATAAAAATACAAAAATTATCTGGCTATGGTGGCACATGCCTGTAATCCCAACTACTCAGAAGGCTGAAACAGGAGAATCACTTGAACCCAGGAGGTGAGGGTGCAGTAAGCCGAGATCACGCCCATGCACTCCAGCCTGAGTGACAGAACAAGACTCTGTCTCAAAATAAATAAATAAATAAAATATTTAATTGTATATTATATGATTTTCACTGCAAAAAAAAGATTATCAAGGATTGAAAACAAATGCTATCACTGGAACAAAAGAAAGGGCCGGGGCCGGGCGCGGTGGCTCACGCCTGTAATCCCAGCACTTTGGGAGGCCGAGGCGGGTGGATCATGAGGTCAGGAGATCGAGACCATCCTGGCTAACAAGGTGAAACCCCGTCTCTACTAAAAATACAAAAAATTAGCCGGGCGCGGTGGCGGGCGCCTGTAGTCCCAGCTACTCGGGAGGCTGAGGCAGGAGAATGGCGTGAACCCGGGAGGCAGAGCTTGCAGTGAGCCGAGATTGCGCCACTGCAGTCCGCAGTCCGGCCTGTGCGACAGAGCGAGACTCCGTCTCAAAAAAAAAAAAAAAAAAAAAAAAAAAAAAAAAGAAAGGGCCGGGCGCGGTGGCTCACGCCTGTAATCCCAACACTTTGGGAGGCCAAGGTGGATGGATCACAAGGTAAGGGGTTTGAGACCAGCCCGGCCAACATGGTGAAACCCCGTCTCTACTAAAGATACAAAAAATTAGCTGGGCATGGTGGCGTGTGCCTGTAATCCCAGCTACTTGGGAGGCTGAGGCAGGAGAACTGCTTGAACACAGGAGGTGGAAGTTCCAGTGAGCCAAGATCGCACTATTGCACTCAAGCCTGGGTGACAGAGCGATATTCTGTCTCCAAAAAAAAAGAAAAAAGGAAGTGAAATGGTAAACATTTCAAAGCCCCGGCTGGGCATGGTGGCTCACGTCTATAATCTCAACACTTTGGGAGGCCAAGGCAGGCGGATCACGAGGTCAGGAGTTCAAGACCAGCCTGACCAACATGGCGAAACCCCGTCTCTATTAAAAATACAAAAATTATCAAGACCATCCTGGCTAACATGGTAAAACCCCGTCTCTACTAAAAATACAAAAAAATTAGCTGGGCGTGGTGGCAGGCGCCTGTAGTCCCAGCTACTCGGGAGGCTGAGGGAGGAGAATGGCGTGAACCCGGGAGGCAGAGCTTGCAGTGAGCCAAGATAGTGCCACTGCACTCCAGCCTGGGTGACAGCAAGACTCTGTCTCAAAAAAAAAAAAAAAAAAAAAAAAATCAGCCAGGTGTGGTGGCATGTGCCTATAATCCCAGCTACTACTGAGGCATGAGAATCGCTTAAAGCCGGGAGTTGGAGATTGCAGTGAGCTGAGATCCAGCCACTGCACTCCAGCCTGGGCAACAGAGCAAGACTCTGTCTCAAAACAAAACAAAACATTTCAAAGCCCCTTTCTATTCTTAAAAAATTCACCAATGATCCTCCTTCTCTAAGATAACTAAGTCTTCTACTTATGGAGAAGGCAGAGGAGTGGTTTAACATTTTACAAAGATTTAATTTTGCCCCCTTAATACAATCCAGTGGCCACAAATTACATTTCTCACTTAGCCAGGAGAGGGAGCTGTAATCAACATACCTCCCTGGAAGCTCTTTTGTTCAACAATTTACCTTATAGGTCCATCCTTACAATAGAAATAACCAAAATATGATACTTTTATTTATTATTATTATTTTGGTGGCAAAAGAATAGTTTTTGGGGAAAAGGGAAAGGAAGCTTACCTCTCTCTTTTTTTTAGATTTGATGTCATCGGCACTGTTTGAGAAATTGGATTTCCTCTTGTTACTTTCTGACTTCTCCCTGGGTTTATTATTTTCACCCTCCTTCATCTTCTTATACTTTTTCATAAATTCAGAAATTAGCTCAGGGCAATCCAAGTTTTTCTCAGGTTCCCAAGTATTGTGCTCCCTGGGTAAGAAAAATGGGAAAATTAAAAAAAAAAGGGGGGGGTAAAGAATGAGGAAAAAAATCCAATGCCTTATTTCAAAGAGGACATTCGGACAAAAAGGACAGAGAAACCCTATGCTTTAAAGAAGATAACAAATTTGATCCTAGATTTCTACCCAGGAAAAATGAAAAAAAAAAAAAAGCCCACACAAAGACTTATTTACAATTGTTTACAGCAGCATTTTAATAGCCAAAAACAGAAAACAAATTCAAATGTTCATCAATGGATGGTGACATGGAAAAACAAAATGTGGTATATCCATACAAAGGAATATTATCCAACAACAATAAGCAAAATATTAAAACATGCTACAACTTGGAAGAACCCCAAAAACATTATACTAAGTGAAAGAAATAAGACACAAGATACTACATACTAATTCCATTTACATGAAATGTCTGGGAAAGACAAATTTATAGAGACAGAAAGCAGATCAGCCGGGCACGGTGGCTCACACCTGTAATCCCAGCACTCTGGGAGGCCGAGGCAGGCAGATCACTTGAGGTCAGGAGTTTGAGACCAGCCTGGCCAACACAGTGAAACCGTGTCTCTACTAAAATTACAAAAATTAGCTTGGTGTGGTGGTACACATCTGTAGTCCCAGCTACTCGGGAGGCTGAGGCAGGAGAATTGCTTGAGCCCGGGAAGGGGAGGTTGCAGTGAGCTGAGATTGTGCCACTCCTGCCTGGGCGAAAAAGCCAGACTCTGTCTCAAAAAAAAAAAAAAAAAAAAAAGCAGATCAGTGAATGCCTGGGGCTGAGGGAGGGAGTTGTAATTAACTACAAATGGGAATCAAGAGAATTTTGGGGGACACAAAAATGTTCTGAAACTGGATCATAGTGGTGGTTGCATAGCTCTATAAATTTATTCCAAATCATTTAATTGGAGCCAGGCACAGTGGCTAACGCCTGTAATCCCAGCACTTTGAGAGGCACTCAGGAGTTCGAGACCAGCCTGGTCAATATTGCAAAACCCTGTCTCCACTAAAAATACAAAAATTAGCTGGGCTTGGTGGTGCACACCTGCAGTCCCAGCTACGCAGGAGGCTAGGGCATGAGAACTGCTTGAATCTGGGAGGCTGCGGTTGTAGTGAGCCAAGACTGCACCACTGCATTCCAGTCTGGGCAACAGACTGAGACTCTATCTCAAAAAAAAACAATAATAATAATTTAATTGGGCTGGGCGCAGTGACTCACGCCTGTAATCTCAGCACTTTGGGAGGCTAAGGTGAGCAGATCACTTGAGCCCAACAGTTCAAAGACCAGCCTAAGCAACATAGCAAGACTCCTGTCTCCACAGAAGATTTAAAAATTACTCAGGCATGGTGGCTTGCACCTGTAGTCCTAGCTACTTGGGAGGCTGAAATGAGAGGATCCCTTGAGCCCAGAAGGTTGAGGCTGCAGTGAACCGTGATTGCACCACTGCACTCCCACCTGGGTAACAGAGTGAGATACCATCTCAAAAAAAAAAAAAAAAAAAAAAATCACTGAATTGTACAATTTTTTTTTTTTTTGAGATGGAGTCTCACTCTGTCTTGCAGGCTGGAGTGCAGTGGTGTGATATCGGCTCGCTGCAACCTGTCTCCTGGGTTCAAGCCATTCTTCGGCCTCAGCCTCCCCGGTAACTAGGATTACAGGCATGCGCCACCAATTTTTGTATTTTTAGTAGAGACGGGGTTTCACCATGTTGGCCAGGCTGGTCTCGAACTCCTGACCTCAAGTGATCCGCCTGCTTCGGCCACTCAAAGTGCTGGAATTATGGATGTGAGCCACCGCATCTAGCCTGAATTGTACAATTTCAATGGGTGAATGTTATGGTGTTTAAATAATACCTCGATAAAGCTATTTAAAAACCCAAAATTCAGCCAGGCACGGTGGCTCATGCGTGTAATCCCAGTACTTTGGGAGGCTGAAGCAGTCGGGCATGGTGGCACCTGCCTGTAATCCTAGCTACTCAGGAGGCTGAGGAGGGAGGATCACTTGAACCCGGGAGGCAGGAGGTTGTGGTGAGCTGAGTTCGAGCTATTGCACTCCAGCCTGGGCAACAAGAGTGAAACTCCATCTCAAAAAAAAAAAAAAAAAAAAAAGGTTTATTTAGATGGGAATGATTTGAACACATGCCATAATAACCTGACTCAAGTAGAAAGCAGAAAGACGGAAAAATCTGAGCTATTTACTCTTGACCTAAACAACTTTCTACAAAAGGAACATAATATTGAGACAAAATTTATTTCTAAATCATTTGAGCTAATATGGGAAAGTTTCTCCTTTATATCCCTTCTCTCAGCAGAAAAAAAATTCCTCGGCCGGGCACGGTGGCTCAAGTCTCTAATCCCAGCACTTTGGGAAGCAGAAGCAGGTGGATCACCTGAGGTCAGGAGGTCGAGACCATCCTGGCCAACACAGTGAAACCCCATCTCTAATAAAAATACAAAATTTAGAAGGGCGTGGTGGCGGGCGCCTGTAATCCCATCTACTCAGGAGGCTGAGGCAGGAGAATCGTTTGAACCCGGGAGAAGGAGGTTGCAGTGAGCCAAGATCACGCCATTGCACACCAGCCTGGGCAATAAGAGCAAAACTCTTGTCTCAAAAAAAGAAAAGAAGTCAAGAAAAAAAATTCCTCACACAGTAACTTTCCCCAAAACCCACAGACCATATAGTTTACCATCCCAGAGGAAATTAACATACCAATATCAAAAGGTGTACCAAGACTATTACACAAGCCGAATACACTTGGGGGTTGGGAAGAATCTGTTGATAGCTAGAAAAGCCAGTCCTATAATGCGATTATCCCTTTTCCTAACACTTTGGTACTGCTGCTTCTACTTCAGTTTCCACCCAAAAGACAACATAGTATGATTTAAAAAGAGCCTGGGTTGGCCAGGAATAGTGATTCACACCTATAATCCCAGCACTTCAAGAGGCCAAGGCAGGCAGATCGCTTGAACCCAAGAGAGCGAGACCAGCCTGGGTAACACAGTGAGACCCTGTCTCTATTTTGAAGATAAAAAAGCAGGGCGTGGTGGCTCACGCCTGTAATCCCAACACTTTGGGAGGCTGAGGTGGGCGAATCACAAGGTCAGGAGTTCGAGACCAGCCTGGCCAACATGGTGAAATGCTGTCTCTACTAAAAATACAAAAAGTTAGCTGGGCGTGGTGGCAGGCACCTGTAATCCCAGCTACTCGGGAGGCTGAGGCAGGAGAATCGCTTGAACCCGGGAGGCGGAGGTTGCAGTGAGCTGAGATCGCGCCACTGAGCTCCAGCGTGGGCGATAGTGAGAGACTCTGTCTCAAAAAAAAAAAAAAAAAAAGATAAAAATATGTAAAAATTTAAATTAAAAAAAGAATTAAAGTTTTGAAAGAGGCAAGGGTCTTGCTATGTTAACCAGACAGGAGTGCAGTGGCTATTCACAGGTACGATCCTACTAATGCTCAAAATGGGAGTTCTGACCTGCTCTGGTTCACTCCTACTTAGGCAACCTGGTGGTCCCTCACTCCTGGGAGGTCACTATATTGATGCCAAACTTAATGCAGACACCTGATCGGTTTAGTGCACTACAGCCCAAAACTCCTGGACTCAAGCAATCCTCCCACTTCAACCTCCCTAGTAGCTGGGACCACGGGTACATACCACCATGCCTGGACTCTAAATGCTTTTGTGAGAATCGAAGAGAGCACAAGAGGTAGAATTTGATCACTGTCTAGCACAAAGTAGGCATTTAGTTATAGACAATGCTGATTTGTTCCAGTCTTTTATGAAATCCAGGGCATTTCTGAAAAAGGACCAATGTTTACTTTGTCTACCCCAAACCTTACCTTTTCCCCTTTCATCTATGGTAAGGTACCAGTAGCTCAATGACAGAGAAAGAGTTTCAAGTATCTTTCAAACACCCAAATATTTCCAGTGGAAATGGGCCCAATAAACATCTTCAAAATCTTCTGGTGTTACTTTAGTTCCTATCTGTTAGTGCTCTAGAGGTCTCTCAAACTTTAACAGTTCTCATCTCTAGTGGAAGCTGTGATACCACTCCTCTCTACAAACAGAGGGCATCTTCTGATTGTTGTGCTACCCATACTTGCACTCTGGGTGCTAGAGATGCTAAGCATCCTGCAATGCATGAATGATCCCACCTACAACGCCAATAATTCTCCAGATGAGAAACCTTGAGTCATGTAATGAAATAACCTCCAGTATGTTTCAAAGGTTCTTGACACATAGCCTTTATCCAAAAGTATTGGTAAACCACTGTATCTTTTAGTGTATTTAGGTCCTAGACTGCAGGAGCTGTGCCATCCAATATGGTAACCACTAGCCACATGTGCCTATTTGAAATGCAGCTAGTTTGAATGGAGATGCACTATAAAGTATAAAATACATCCCAGATTTTCAAGTCTTAGCACACACACACACACAAATTTCATTAATAACTTTTGTACTGATTAACGCTGAAATAGTATTTTTCACGTATTAGGTTAAATAAAATATTATTAAAATTAATTTCACAGCCAGGCACGGTGGCTCACGGCTGTAATCCCAGCACTTTGGGAGGCCAAGGCAGGTGGCTCACTTGAGCCTGGAAGTTCGAGACCAGCCTGAGTAACATGACAAAACCCTGCCTCTACTAAAAACACAGTCACCCAGGCTGGAGTGCAGTGGCGCAATCTTGGCTCACTGCAACCTCCGCCTCCTAGGTTCAAGTGATTCTCCTACCTCAGCCTCTGGAGTAGCTGGGATTACAGGGACCTGCCACCACACTTAATTTTTTTATTTTTAGTAGATGGAGTTTCACCATGTTGGCCAGGCTGGTCTCAAACTCCTGACCTCAGGTGATCCACCCGCCTCAGCCTCCCAAAGTGCTGAGATTAGAGTGCAAGCCACCACGCCTGGCCTTATAAGCACTACTGCTTATCCTTATTTCACTGAGGAGATAAAATGATTAAGGAAATTAGCCAAGGCCATCCAGTTTGTATCATAAGTGGTGGAGTTAGAATCTAGACCCAAGCAATCTGACTCTCGAGTCTGTGCTCCTAACCAATTCATTATACTGCCTTTCAAAAGCAGTATCATTAGAACGTAAGCTCCACAAGCGGAGAGATTTTGTTTTCTTTACTGCTGTGTCTTCTAACTCTTAGGAAGAGTGCAGGAGGGGGAAGAAAAAGACAAAAATGCTTGTGATTCCTAAGGAAGTAAACCAAAGGTATCTATCTCTACAGAGTCCCAACGCCTGGGGGAAAAAAGGAACTTACTCAGAAAAGCCTTTCCACTTCAGTAGATATTCCACTTGTCCCTTAACCACGCGCCTGTCTAGCACCTTCTCCACAACATACTCCTCCTCATCCTCTGAAGAAGAACTGTCAGCTGTCCGCTTGGTTTTCTTTCCCATGTCGCACACCGTTCCACCTGAAAGACTAAGGCCACCAGGTCCCTGCAAAGGCAAAGGACAAAATGGTTAGAATCCATGTGAGGAGTTAAAAACTTTGTCTTTTCTTGATGGGATGAAAAGGGGATAACACTGAGTTGCCATGTGCCCTGCTCTTGAGTCTCAAATCATTCTACAGATGAGTCCTAAGAGTTTAATTTAAAAATGAATCAGTCTTCACTTCCTCAACTACAACCTCCTCTTCGGCTAAAGAGACCAAAATTATTAGAAGGCACAACTGTTTAACTCTTCTATTTCAGATTCCAAAAGACAAGTAGTGTGGTATGTTATTCCTGGCTATGTTTGTAACTGTTTACAAGCCAGGAACTCAAACAGAAATGTGCAAAATCTTTAGTTAAATGAACCAAGATAAAATTAAAACCTTTTTCTCCAAGGTGAATAAGCGTCTTTATAAAAATGAAAAAAGAAAAGCCACTAAAATATGAGTTTTCTGTGCTCTGAGCATCTTGCCCAGTCTCTTAGCAGCACACAAAAAAGGCTTGCTTAGGCACCTTTCACCACATTTTCAGTGACTTGGTACATTTCCCTTAAACAAATTGAGCTTGTCCCTTCAGAGCATCCATCAGCTCACAAAAGCAAGGCTGACATCTCAAACACACTAATCTTCCTTTTTAGAAAGCTAATTTGGGGATGGGAGGGAGGCAGAAAGGAGAAAAAATTTTTCAGTCCTAAAATTCAAAATTAGTCACTAGATTATTCAGTAATTCCCAAGATGCAACTAACCCAAATAGTTAAGAAGGTACCTCTCCCTCTTAACTGAAGTTGACTCAGGGCCAAAGGAAGAGGAGGAGGAAAAAGAAGTCTGGCCCCAGACTCAGCATCAACATGAAGCCTCCTCAAAATACAGAGGAACCATTCATAGGCCCAAGGAAAGCTGAAGCAAGGAAACACAAATGGAAATTGAGTTAAGCTCAGAAATATGCACACCAGGGGGTACTCAACAGAGAATCTAGTTTTAAAAATTCCCATGTTGTTGTTCCATAATCATTTTTAAGAATTCTTCCTTAACCATGCTAAATGGTGCCTACAGTCTGGATTACAGAGTAGCAGAAATTGTTTTCTTAGCTGAACTCCATTATTATTTTCCTGTAATCTTTAAAGATGTTTATCAGCACCCTCTAAATATTTCCACCCTGACCAGAAAACCACTGGGTCAGGGAGGGCCCACTACTAACCTCAGAATGATGTTCAAGTCACATAAAAAGTGGCAATTATCAATTCACTTCAAATTAGCAAAATTTTAAAAATTATTACAAGAATATATAGTTGGAGACCATATCTCCAGAACTTATTAGCTATAGGTCTGCCCACCTAAAAAACTGCCTATACCCATTACTGCCCTATAAGACTAAGTTTTTATTAAAATACTCTATTTGGAAGAGGAAGTAGTAGCAAAATGTAGGTGCGGGGGGGTTAAAATAATTTTTCCATGAATTTAGAAGAGTCCTAAGCTTCAAGAAAATATCTTATGTGCTTTATTTAAAATAAAACAGCCTCCAACCTCACCAGAGACAGGAAATGTCATATTCCAGGGAGAGTACCCCACCCCCACCACCACTCACCTTGGAATTTCCGGGAGCTGAGCAGTTTAGGTCAGAGCGCTGGGGTTAAAACCAGCCCCATGTTAGATGCATGCAGTTAAGCATTGTGGCTATGGCCTCCCCTGCCTCACCAGGAAAAACAAGGATTTACATGTGTTCTTCATTTTGAGGGAGAGACAAGGAAAATCTCCCTTTATACCTTCATGCAGAAGAGGAGCCCCAAAGGTAGAAAATGAATGGGGGTTCCCTCCTTTACCTACCGGATCGCCCCAGTTCTTTCTTTCCCTCTGGGCTAACAGGAGGGGCCTCCCCTCCCAGGTCTGGGTCTTGGCGGGCTGGCAGCTCCCCTGCCCCCACCCAGCTGCCTGGGCGCCACTGCGCAGCTGTCCCAGTCCGTTGCCATAGCAACTGGCAGCAGTACTACACTAAGGGGGAGAAGCAAATGGAAAAGTTAAAAGGCTTAACTTTCCTTTTCAGTGAAGACTGGGTGGAGAAATTGGAAGGTACCTCTCTTGGCCTCAAGGCTAAGGCATTCAGAGCTTAAGGGAATTACTTCTTAGGTTTTAAATCCAGTATTTATGCTTATTCCTCTAACAGCACTGTGAATTAATCAATAACATTTTAAGATCATCTAACAAGATTACAGCTCAACTGAAGGGGGAGGGGAAAGGCTCGATCCTTCTACAACACGATCAGTACAAACCACCCATCACTTAATCCAGCCCACCAGAGCACTTTGGGCAATCCCATTTTACCGTCTGTCACAGAACAGTTAATTAAAATTGCTTGAGGGGAAAAATAACAGGAAACAGGGGAGGGGAAGTATTTTAAAGACACTATATAACTTTCCTTCTTTGGGGGGATTACTAGAGACAAAATCCAAAGACATGAAGCACTACCAAAACAACAACCAAAAAAAAAAAAAAAAAAAACCCCTTTTAACTAAAATTAGAGGTGGAGGGCCAGGTGCAGTGGCTCATGCCTGTAATCCCAGAACTTTGGGAGGCCGGGACGGGGCAATCATTTGAGGTCACGTGCTCAAGACTAGCCTGACCAACGTGGTGAAACCCCGTCTCTACTAAAAATACAAAAAAATTAGCCAGGTGTGGTGGCAGGCGCATATAGTCCCAGCTCCTCAGGGGGCTGAGGGAGGAGAAATCGCTTGAACCCAGGAGGCAGAGGTTGCAGTGAGCCTAGATCGCACCACTGCACTCCAGCCTGGGCGACAAGAGTGAGACTGTCTCGAAAAAATAAAACAAAATGAATTTAGGTGGAAAAAAATTCCTAAGAAGCTTAAAAAAAAAAAAGAGGAGAGCAGTTCTGCCACAACCTAATGGTTGATAAATTTAAACCACTTATAGGTTGCTCTATAATGTTATAAAACAGATTTTTAAATAATTATTCATCACCTGATACATTATTAATATACAACTCTCTGTATCAGTATGTCTCAATACTTGAGAAAAGGAGTACTAGGATAAATAAAAAAGATATATAGAGACTTGAAATACTGTAAGTTTTCCATTCTTCTGGCTCTAAAGAACATTTTAGAGAGCTCCAAAACTCTACTCTGCTTTATAGATGTGGGAACTTTAAAGCCAGAAGTGGCTGCCATAGGAGAGTAAGAAAAAGGGACAATCAAAAGCAAAGAACTCAGTTGAGCCAGGAACAGTGGCTCACACCTGTAATCCCAGCACTTTGGGAAGCCGAGGCAGGTGGATTACCTGAGGTCAGGAGTTCGAGACCAGCCTGACCAACATGGTGACGCCCCATCTCTACTAAAAATGCAAAAATTAGCCAGACATAGTAGCACTTGCCTGTAATCCCAGCTACTTGGGAGGCTAAGGCAGGAGAATCGCTTGAACCTGGGAGGCAGAGGTTGCAGTGAGCCGAGACTGCGCCACTGCACTCCAGCCTGAGCAACAAGAGCGAAACCGTCTCAAAAAAAAAAAAAAAAGAACTCAGTTGAGAAGAAGCACAATGGTGACTATTACGACTGTCAAACAGAAGAAACCATAGGGTGTAAGACCAAAGTAGAAATTTTTTTCTTTTTTCTTTTTTTTTTTTGAGACGGAGTCTCGCTCTGTCACCAGGCTAGAGTGCTGTGGCGCCATCTCGGCTTACTGCAACCTCCAACTCCCTGGTTCAAGGGATTCTCCTGCCTCAGCCTCCCAAGTAGCTGGGATTACAGGCATGTGCCACCACGCCCAGCTAATTTTTGTATTTTTAGCAGAGATGGGGTTTCATCATGTTGGCCAGGATGGTCTCGATTTCCTCATCTTGTGATCCGCCCACCTGGGCCTCCCAAAGTGCTGGGATTACAGGCATGAGACACTGCACCCGGCCAGAAATTTTTTAATTACAAAAGATTTCCTCAGATTTGAATGGACCATCAGCAAACCTCCAATTAAAAACGGCATTTTTCAACTCTTACCTTTTAACTTTTCATAATTAAGGGATATAAAAACAATAACAAACATTTAAATAGGATCCTGACTCTGATTAACTTGCCATGTGTTATCCTGAGTAAATAAATTTTCCATCTAACCCCGGCATCATTTAAACGGGCTAAATAAATCTGTACTACCTGCCCTACGTACCTCCGAGGGAAAAAGTGAGTTTATGTTGAAACCAAAGATCTATTAAGTCCCCCAAAAAGAACCTTCTGTAAAAATATGTCAGGGCTGAATACAACAGCAGAAGAAAATATGTGACCTTCCAAATTCCTAAGCTAGTAAACCATATCACATGCAGTAACTCCTGCAGCTCAACACATTAGTAGATAGCAAGAAAAAGAGGAACAGTGTCTTTGTTAACTAGGCACTGGAAAACGAATAAACCTTCAGAGAACAGGGTAGGTACGTTCTCTCTCAAGGGCAAAATACTTATTCCTTAAAACTCAGACAAACTTTAAAGATGGCAGAATGAAAAGACTAATAGTAACTCTGTGAAGGAATAAGGAACAGGAGAGAATGACAGCAATACTAACATTTTGGTGAAACCTTTCAGAGAAAGAAAAGTGAATTTAATGAGGAAAGAGACAAAAATATTCTGGTGTCCACCCCTCCCCACAAAACATCAGAAAATAAAGATTGAGTTCAATTCCCTCCTTTCCACCCTTAAGAACTGCCTAAAGGGCACATGGGCCGAGGTCCTTTTCTTTTTGGGAAATGGGTTTTGTAACCACTGACAAATCGAATTGGGCCTGATGCCAGGAGTCAGAGTACAACCATAATATTCTTTAAAGGATGGCATGCAATTGTCTTGTAAATCTCCTAGACAGTCACAGATCAGAAGCTGGCAAGGATGACGACATAGTTCTGATGGAATGTGTCTTATCTTAACCTTGAAGTTACAGATCTGCTCAGGAGCAGCAGTAAGAAATGAGAAATGCACTCAGACATCGGAGGGGACATAATTCTCTTTTAGACAGTGTGACCCGGAGTATTAGGGTCAAATGAAACACAAAGCCAGTCAAACAATTTAAGGGCTAGAGCCTAGACCAGATAAAGCATCAAGACTGGTGGTTCACACTGAGCTTAGGAGGAGGGAGCTTTCCAGCATGAGAAATGAGACATGGCTGGCAGGATGATGGAGTGATTAAGATAGAATCCCAATACCATGACAGAGGAAAAGAAGATGAGCCTCTGAACACAACCTTATCCTTGTGGAAATCTCCAAGGGAAAGGGTGAGTAGCTTCTCAAATTTCTGGAGTCTTTCAGGCATAACAGCTCTCAGCCTTCTCTCTTAAATATACATAGGAACTATCTGGTAAAGCTACCAATAACTATAGATTACAGCACCTAAGGCCCATTGAGATGAGAAAAGAGGCTGGGCGCGGTGGCTCACGCCTGTAATCCCAGCACTTTGGTAGGCCGAGGCGGGCAGATCTCCTGAGGTCAGGAGTTCCAGACCAACCTGGCCAACATGGTGAAACCCTGTCTCTACTAAAAATACAAAAATTAGCCAGGTGTGGTGGCAGGCACCTGTTATCTCAGCTACTTGGGAGGCTGAGGCAGGAGAATCACTTGAACCCAGAAGATGGAGGTTGCAGTGAGCCGAGATCAAGCCATTGCACTCCAGCCTGGACAACAAGGGCAAAACTCCGTCTCAAAAAAAAACCAAACAAAAAACTTATCAGTCCTCAGCAATTACAGAGAGGGCATCACAAGCAAGCTAGGGCAACCCAGAAAAACAAGAGGTAGGCCGGCACAGCGGCTCTCGCCTGTAATCCCAGCACTTTGGGAAGCCAAGGCAGGTGGATCATGAGGTCAGGAGTTTGAGACCAGCCTGGCCAACATGGTGAAACCCCGTCTCTACTAAAGACACAAAAAAATTAGTCAGGCGTGGTGTAATCCCAGCTACTCGGGAGGCTGAGGCAGTTACGCACCTGTAATCCCAGCTACTCAGGAGGGTGAGGCAGGAGAATCGCTTAAACGGGAGGCGGAGGTTGCAGTGAGCTGAGATCGCGCCACTGCACTCCAGCCTGGGCAACAGGGTAAGACTCTATCTCAAAAAAAAAAAAAAAAAAAAAGAAAAGAAAAAAGAAAAAAAAAGGCCAGGCGCAGTGGCTCACGAGGTCAGGAGATTGAGACCATCCTGGCTAACATGGTGAAACCCTGTCTCTACTAAAAATACAAAAAATTAGCCAGATGTGGTGGCGGGAGCCTGTAGTCCCAGCTACTGGGGAGGCTGAGGCAAAAGAATGGTGTGAACCCAGGAGGCGGGGCTTGCAGTGAGCCGAGATCGCACCACTGCACTCCAGCCTGGGAGACAGCGTGAGACTCCGTCTCAAATAAAAAAGAGGTAATGGTTAGCCCTCAGCATTGACCGTTTAATGCTGGAAGAACCCACATAGGGTCCCTGGTATCTGTCTGCTTTGTCCAGTTCAGGTTCTACTCTCATCCCTCCAGTCATTTCTTTTTTGAGACAGGGCCTCGTTCTGTTGTTCAGGCTGCAGTGCAGTGGTGCGGACAGTTTATTGCAGTCTCAAACTCCTGGGCTCAAGCAATCCTCTCACCTTGGCCTTCTGAGCAGCTGGGACCACAGGGGCACGCCACCATGCCTGGCTACATTTTTTTATTTTTTGGTGAGATGCAGTCTCACTGTGTTGCCCAAGCTGGTCTCAAACTTCTGGGCTGAAGCAATCCTCCTGCCTTACCCCCACAAAGCAGTCACTACTTCTCAATACCAATTCTGGTGGCTTTTCTTATCTTGTTATAGTCATTTCATTTTCATCACCACTTATGAGCAAAAGTACACATAATTCTAGATCTTTCACTAAGCTTTCTTCTTATTAAGAATGAAAGCCAGCCGGGCGCAGTGGCTCATGCCTGTAATCCCAGCACTTTGGGAGGCCAAGGTGGGTGGATCACCTGAGGTCGGGAGTTTGAGACCAGGCTGGCCAACATGGCGAAACCCCATCTCTACTAAAAATACAAAAATTAGCCAGGTGTGGTGGCAGGTGCCTGTAATCCCAGCTACTGGGGAGGCTGAGGTAGGAGAATCGCTTGAATCTGGGAGGTAGAGGTTGCAGTGAGCCAAGATTGCGCCACTGCACTCTAGCCTGGGAGACAAGAGTGAAACTCCATCTCAAAGAAAAAAAAAAAGAAAAAGAAAGCCAATTGGTAAGCTGCCTCACTGAACTACCCACTGAATTAAAGATGGTAATCAAACCAAATGTCAAGATGCATAATCAATGAGCTCTCCATTGTAGAGTTTCAACATAAATTCTATAAGCCCCCTAACTAAGCAAAATCCTTTAGGAAGTAAGCCAGGGTTAAAGAGCAGAGGAGAGCGCATATGCAAAGCTCCCTATCACATGGATTAATTAGATATGCCATTGATGAGTGGTTGCAGTTGGCCCAGACTTGCACGATTCCCACTTCTCCTTAAGGCCCTTAGGGAGAGAGTGGCTTAGGTGAAGATTAAATTGTCAGCTACAGCACTGTCTTCAAAGCATCCTCTATATAGCCTTATTGCAGCAAATAAAACAGATGAAAATAAACCAAACTTACAGAAACATTTTAATCTGCTCTATGTTCCTTGCTCTTTATGGAGCTTGAAGTACTGATGGTTTTAGGTGTGTAACACAAACAGCATAAAACTAAAATATCCCCTATAAAGATGTTTTCTTGCAGTGGATTTATGATTTCCAAAGTATTAGCCATGTGGCATTTTAACAAAAACACAGCATAGAGATGCACATTACAGCTGTCCTGGCTGTCTCAGGTTTTGTTAAATGGGCTGATAACTATCACTCCACCTCCACCAAAAGCCCATGAGCACACAATTCAAGAGGAGTTAAAAGCTTTTTAAATGTCTGTTTAAGAGACTAGATTAGGAAAGAGTTGAAGAGAAAGATTAACTATGGTCGTTAACACCCCTATCATTAACGAGCCACATATAGACAACACAAACTTTATTAAAAGAAGAGAGCATGGAGGCAAGAAATGTTCTCCCATTGGCTAGCACAGCTCTAGTTCATGATCCTTTAAAAATCAGGCCAAGAGGCTGGGCACAACGGCTCACGGCTGTAATCCCAGCACTTTGGGAGGCTGAGGCAGGCAGATCGATCACTTGACGTCAGGAGTTCAAGACCAGCGTGGCCAACATGGTGAAACCCCATCTTTACTAAAAATACAAAAATTAGCCAGGTAAGGCGGTGCACGTCTATAATCCCAGCTACTCAGGAGGCTTAGGCAGGAGAAGCGCTTGAACCTGGGAGGTGGAGGTTGCAGTGAGCGGAGATGGTGCCACTGCACTCCAGCCTGGGCAACAGAGGCAGACTCTGTCTTAAAAAAAAAAAAAACCAGGCGAAACCTCCTACTACAGTGAGCAAGGGAGTAAAGGGCCTTTTGTTCTTTTAGATAAAAACGGCTGCGTGCGGTGGCTCACCCTGTAATCCCAGCACTTTGAGAGGCAGATCACCTGAGGTTAGGAGTTCAAGACCAGCCTGGCCAACATGGCGAAACCACGTCTCTACTAAAAATACAAAAATTAGCCAGGCATGGTGGTGGGCATCTGAAATCCCAGCTACTCAGGAGGCTGAGGCAGGAGAATTGCTGGAACCTGGGAAGTAGAGGTTGCAGTGAGCTGAGATGGCACCACTGCACTCCAGCCTGGGCGACAGAGCGAGACTTCATCTCAAAAAAAATAAAAAATAAAAAAATAAATATAAAAACATATACTTGGCTGGGTGCCATGGCTTACACCTATAATCCCAACAATTTGGGAGGTTGAGGCAGGAGGACAGCTTAGGCCCAGAGTTCAAGACCAGCATGAACAAACATAGTGAGACCTCCGCAATATTTAAAATAATAATTGTATATATACACATTCTAAATGACGATAAAGGCTGCCCTATAAATTCCATTTGGTTGTATGTCCCCCAGGCTCTGATTACCAATATATTACAAATGAATGTGGGCTACAAGACTCAATTTTCAGAACTGCTTGAAGGTATCAGTCTGGTAAACTGGTGTATTTAGCAATAACACAAAAATTCTTGCTTGATATCTCATCATTTTATATTGGATTTTTTTTCACCCTCTTATTAAAATCCACTCAATTTCTTCTCTCAACTATCAGTTTTCAGAAACACGCATTCTATTTTATAGAATAAGATGTTGCCCTATTAAAAAAAAGTATCAGTTTTCTTTAAATTTAGTTAGGGTACACCTAAACCCACCACTGGGCAAGAGGTTAAATATCCAATTGTTTCAAGATTTATGAGAAAGCAGAATTTGGCACCACCATGGGAAAATGCCTTCCAGATGGTGTTTTCCAACAACTTTATCCTTGGAAATGTACTGAACTCATCTTAAGGCACCACATTCTCAGGTGGGTGTTAATCTCACATCCACTCCTCTTAAGTGTAATGAAACATGAATTTGGAGACCTCGTCACCTTTCACAAAGAACCTGGCAATTTCATCATAAGTAAATCTTGAGAAAAATGGGTAACAGCAACATTTGAGTAGATTGTCATGAATCTTAGATTTATACATACCACTTTGGCAGATCATGTTCACAAAATATGGAAGGATTAAAAGAATACTGAAAACACTTGTCCCCAAATAAAATTATGGTCATAAAGCATTTTCCAAACGTCAGCCATAAAATTAAGACTCAGTCTTTACCATGGCATCATCTAGCTTGCACATTTTAGACATCAGTAGCTTAAGGGTTACAAAGGCTCCTTCAGGTCATTTCAACAAATCATCCATTTTAACGAAGAGCCTGTGTTAAGTCAGGCAATTTTTCTCTTTTTTTTTTTTTTGAGACGGAGTCTAGCTCTGTCGCCCAGGCTGGAGTGCAGTGGCACAATCTCGGCTCACTGCAAGCTCCATGTTCCGGGTTCATGCCATTCTCCTGCCTCAGCCTCCCGAGTAGCTGGAACTACAGGCGCCCGCCACCACGCCCGGCTAATTTTTTTTGTGTATTTTTAGTAGAGACGGGGTTTCACCGTGTTAGCCAGGATGGTCTTGATCTCCTGACCTCGTGTTGTGATCCACTCACCCCGGCCTCCCAAAGTGCTGGGATTACAGGCGTGAGCCACAGCACACAGCTGACAATTTATGTTTTCTTAGCATCAGTTTAAAGAAGACATCTGGCTGGGCATGGTGGTTCACGCCTATAATCCCAGCATTTTGGGAGGTGGAGGCAGGCGGATCACTTGAAGCCAGGAATTCGAGACCAGCCTGGCCAACATGGCGAAACCCCATCTCTACCAAAAATACAAACATTAGTCAGGCGTGGTGGTGGGCGCCTGTAATCCCAGTTACTCAGGAGGCTGAGGCAGGAGAATCGCTTGAACCCGGGAGACGGAGGTTACAGTGAACCAAGATTGCGCCATTGCACTCCAGCCTGGGCGACAGAGCGAGACTTCATCTCAAACAAACAACAACAAAAATACAAGGGTATCCTTGGCAGCTCCTGGGCCATGTATTATGATCCTGACCAATTTCTCTCTGTGGGAATTTAAAAGCTGTAAAAAAAATACATAATGGGTGATGACAGGAGAAACAAACCCACACCAGAAGTTATCGAACCTTGCAGGTCTTTTCAAGTGTCTCTATTGACATTTAAGTTGAGTTACTATGCCACAATATCATAAAAGTGTGCTCTAAACTTCAGCTATATTGACAGTTAAATGCAAAGAAAGGCATCAGATAAATGCTAAAGGGATGGGCAATCTCAGACCACCCAGCTCTTCAAGTGAGTGTTTTGATGTGTTACATGAGATTTTTCTGACTCCCTTTTTGTCCAATTTCCAACTACATTCCCAATTCAAATCCTATGCCAAAGATATGATTAATATAGTAATTCTGATCCTTGCTCTAAAATTGGTTGATTATGAGATATTTATTGAGGGCCTAAAAAGTGTCAAGCATTGCATGAGCACAGTCTATTCCAGTTTCCAATTTTAAGGCGAGGATTTTTGAAGTTTCTCCTTGGTCAAGTTAGCAACTTCTCCAAAGGTTGTTATAGAAAAGGTAAAAGGTAACTTGTCAATAGTGGAAAGATCAGGACAGGAATAAGTACATGTGGGTCCTAACCCAACTAGATCATTAAAAGGTCAAATTGGACAACTTCATTGACTCTCATGGGTGTTAGTTATTAGCCCTACTTAAACATCTGTTGTGGGAAAAACAAGAAAATACTTGAAAAATATAAAGCAAATAGAAGTTAAATGTCTGATAGTAGATGAAGTTAAAAATAACTGTTTTGGGCCAGGCACGGTGGCTCACGCCTATAATCCCAGCACTTTGGGAGGCTGAGGTGGGCGCATCACGAGGTCAGGAGAGAGACCATCCCAGCTAACACGGTGAAAGCCTGTCTCTACTAAAACTACAAAACAGCAGCCAGGCGTGGTGGCACGTGCCTGTAGTCCCAGCTACTCAGGAGGCTGAGGCAGGAGAATCGCTTGAACCCCCCAGGAGGCGGAGGTTGCAGTGAGTCGAGATTGCACAACTACACTCCAGCCAGGGTGACAGAGCGAGGATCCTTCTCAAAATAAATAAATAAATAACTGTTTTAAGCGTTCCTGCTTCTGTTTTCTGGAAGAGTTTGTTGTATAAAATTGGTATTTCTTCCTAAAAGGTTTGGTAAAATTCTTCAGTGAAGCCATCTGGGCTCAGAGTTTTCTTTTTCTTTTGAGACAGAGATTGCTCTGTTGCCCAGGCTGGAGTGCGGTGGTGCAATCTCAGCTCACTGCACCCTCCGCCTCTGAGGTTCAAGCGATTCTCCTGCCTCAGCCTCCCGAGTAGCTGGGACTACAGGAGCACACCACCATGCCTGGCTCATTTTTGTATTTTTAGTAGAGACGGGGCTTCACCATGCTAGCCAGGCTGGTCTTGAACTCCTGACCTCGTGATCCACCCACCTCAGCCTCCCAAAGTGCTGGGATTACAGGCATGAGCCATCATGCTTGGCCTGGGCCTGGCGTTTTCTTTGTGGGATTATTTCTATCTAAAAATCCCTTTTCCTTAATAGAGATAGGGCTAGTAAGGTTCTGACGTTTTCTTCTTTTTGCCTGTAGAGAGGTCTCATTATGTTTCCTGGGCTGGTCTTGAACTCTTGGCCTCCCAAAATGTTGAGATTACATGTGTAAGCCTCCATGCCCACCCAAGGTTCTGTATTTAAGTGAGTTTTGGTAGTTTGTCTTCAAGGAAGTTACTAACTTCAACTAAGACATTGAATGTATTCGTATCGTTTTTCAAAATATTCCCTTATTATCTGTAGGATCAATAGTGATATTCCTTAGTTCCTAATATTGTTAATTAGTATCTTTTTTCCTGATTTATCAATTTTATTGATCTTTTCAAAGAACTTTCCGTTTTTTTCTATTCTCTATTGTTCTATATCCCATTAATTGCTGCTTTTATCATTACTATTTTCTTGTTTATTTTGGATTTAATTTGTTCTTTTTCTAGGTTCACAGGGCCAAACCTGTCAGTGACCTGCTTTTGTTGTTAAAGTACTTAATGCTATAAATTTCCCTTTAAGCACTTCCTTAACTGCATCCCACAATTTTGTTTTGTTTTTGAGATAGGGTCTCTGCCACCCAGGCTCAAGTGCAGTGGCAGGATCATAGCTCACTGCAGCCTTGATCTCCCAGGCTCCAGTAAGCATCCCACCTCAGCCTCCCAACTAGCTGGGACTACTGGCAAACCACCACTCCTGGATACTTTTTAATTTTTTCTAGAGACTAGGTCTCACTATGTTGCCCAGGCTGGTCTTGAACTCCTGAGCTCAAGTGATCCTCTCGCCTCAGCTTCTCAAAGCGTTGAGTTTACAGGAATCAGTCACAGCACCTAGCCTCATTCTAAAAGTTTTGATATATCATCTTTTCATTTTCATTCAGTTCCAAGTATTAGTTTTCTTTGTAATTTCCTCTTTGTAGGTGGGTTACTTAGAAGTGTGTTGTGTAATTTCAAAATATTTAGGGATTTTTCTTGATGTCTTTGTTACTGATTTTTTATTTAATTGCACTATGATCAGGAAATAAACATACCTTGGCCAAGCACAGTGGCTCATGCCTGTAATCCCAGCACTTTGGGAAGCTGAGATGAGAGGATCACTTGAGCCCAGGGGTCTGACACCAATCCGGGCAACATAACGAGACCCTGTCTCTACAAAAAAAGAAAAAAGGGTGGGTGGCTGAGCATGGTGGCACATGCCAGTGGTCCCAGCTTTTCAGAAGGCTGAGGCAGGAGGATCACTTGAGCCCAGGAGTTTCAGGCTGCAGTGAGTTGATTGTGTCACTGCACTCCAGCTTGGGTGACAGAACAAGACCCCGTTTAAATTTTTTTAAAAAACCTTTATGATTGAATCCTTTTGAATTTGAGACTTATTGACCCAGAAGGTAAACTGTCTGTGTAAAAGTTCCATGTGCACCTGAAAAGCACATGTATTCTGCTGTTGCTTGTACTATTCTATAAATGTCAATTATATCAGGTTGTTGGTAGTGTTGTTCAAGTCTTCCGTTTCCTTACTGATTTCATCTACCTGTTTTATCAATTACTGAGAGGCACTGAAATTTCCAAATATAATTGCAGATGTCTGTTATTTCCTTTTTCTTTTCTTTTTTTGAGACGGAGTCTTGCTCTGTCACCCAGGCTGGAGTGCAGTGGCGCGATCTCCGCTCACTGCAACCTCCACCTCCCAGGTTCAAGCGATTCTCCTGCCTCAGCCTCCCAAGTAGCTGGGATTACAGGCGCACGCCACCATGCCCAGATAATTTTTGTATTTTTAGTAGACAGGGTTTCACCATGTTGGCCAGGCTGATCTGGAACTCCTGACCTCAGGTAATCCACCCACCTCAGCCTCCCAAAGTGCTGGGATTACAGGCGTGAGCCACTGCACCTGGCTTGTTACTTCATTTCTGTTTTCCTTTGTGTATGTTGAAGCTTTATTATTAGCTTTTAGGACATTTAGGATTGTTATGTCCGCTTGATGAATTTATTCATTTATTATATAACCTGGTGTTTGTTATTTGCCCTATCTCATAAGTCTATTATGGAAAAACAATAGGAAAATACTTTGGAAAATATATAGGAAACAGAAGGAAAAATGTTTAATAATCAAGGAAGTTAAAAAAATTTTAATGAATTTTCTTTATTATCTGTAAGTCTTATCCATGCTTGTCTCTACTTACATAAATGAGGTTTGCTATGTTTTATCAGATCTTAGGCATAATTTATTGTTGTGAAACACTGAACAAATTAGCAGTATATTACCCTCCACAACTCCCTGTGAGGTGAGTTGCACAGATTTAGGGATGAGAAACGAGGCACAGAGAGTTCAAGGATTTGTCTTAAAAACAAAACTTAAGATTTCCCAGCCTGTTAGTTGACCTCTTTAGTACAGGGCATTTTATTCCGACATAATTATATTTTATTCTGACATAATTATGCCCTCTGGCTCAGATATGAACTTGCTTTATTCTAAGAAACATAGATTACTATCAGAAAAATACTTGAATCCAATTTGGTTTCTCCTCTCCACAGAAGAAATAAATAATGAGTGTGTTATAAAACCTGATCTTGAAACGGTCCTTTCAAGTACACCATCTCAAGCTCATGGCTTTATCTAGTGTCCTTCCTAGCAATGAAACAGGATGGAACAGGCATTCAGTGAGTCTGAAGAGTAAGACTGCAAGTGAAAATTTTTACTCTATGACCTAGTTTCAGGTAGAAAAAAATCTGTCAGTGTTTAATTTTGATGAACTACTACTACTGGAAAGAAAATTCAGGCTACACAGTCTATAGTCTCACTAAAAATGTAGTGAAAATGTTCCAGCTAGTCTATTACATCCCTTGTAGAAAATCTTTTCTTCAGAAAGGTTTAAGCACACAGCTAACAAATACAGGTTAGTTATCCTGTGTTAATACCCCAAGGAGTTGACAGTCAGCCAACAGCTCAGTCTTCCATCCTTCAAGTCCTAGGCAAGAACAGGACTACCCTCACCCAAAATGTTGTAATTTGTAATGTTTTGATTCACATTTTAAATTATTGACTTAAAAAACAAACTCCAAGATGACTTAGGAATCACTTCATAAAGTCTTAGGTCTAGAAGGCTTGTTAACGATCACTTATCCAACTCCTTCCCTATAAGATAAAGAAACTAAGGACTAAAGAGGGCAAATGGCTCACCCATGGTTACACCATTAGATAATGGCAGAGGCAGGACAAGAACCCAGGTTTCTGAGCCTTTTTTCACTTGCCTCTGTTTCTTTAAAAATAACATTTTCTTTTCTGAATTAGCTCAAATCTATTTGGGTAGAGGTTAGGGAACCAATGTGTAGTGGTCTGAATGATGGCCCTCCCCCAAAGAGATTCTTATCTTAATCCCTTGAACCTGTAAATGTTATTTTATATAGCAAAAGATGTGATTAAAAGATGAATCCGGCCGGGCGCGGTGACTTATGCCTGTAATCCCAGCACTTTGGGAGGCTGAGGCAGGCGGATCACCTGATGTCAAGGGTTCTAGACCAGCCTGGCAAACTGGTGAAATCCTGTCTCTATCAAAAATACATAAATTAGCCGGGCACGGTGGCAGGCACCTGTAATCCCAGCTACTCAGGAGGCTGAGGCAGGAGAATAGCTTGAACCTGGGAGGCGGAGGTTGCAGTGAGCCAAAATCACACCAATGCACTCCAGACTGGGTGACAAAGCGAGACTCTGTCTCAAAATAAACATGAATCTACATTTTTTTTTCAGGGACCTGCCACTTTAGGAATAAAATATATTTTAAATCTGCTCTCTCAGGTTGAATTAAAAGATAGGATTGGAGAAATTTATCCTGGTTCATCCAAGTGGTTTCTTAATTGCAATCATATGTATCCTTATAATACACAGGTAGAGGGAGAGTTCTGATGCAAGTACTCAAAAGAGAAGACAATGTGAAAACAGAACAGAGAGATATGCCAAGGAATGCTGACCATAATCAGAAGCTAAAAGAGGCAAAGAACAGTCTCTCTCCTAGAGCCTCCAGAGGGGCCTCAATATCTTGATTGCAGACTTCTGGGCTCCAAAATTTTGAGAAGAATAAATTCCTCTTGTTTTAAACCACCAAGTCTGTGGTAATTTGTTATAGCAGCCACAGGAAACTAATACATAGGGGGAATAAAATTTTAAACATCATAAAGTGGACATATATAAAACATTACTGATCCAAAAAGAATTGTGTTTCAGATAACCCAAAGAATGTCTAAAACCTTTAATCCCTCATTTCAAAGGGTAAATTGAGGCTACTGCAGGATACAATTTGCCCCAAAGAAATTGGCAGATCTGAGAAGAGAAACTCAGAAAGATCTAATATTTACATAGCTGCTAACAAGAACAGTGTAGGTTTTTCTGCAAACATGCTAGTTGGTAGAGCTCCTGGACAGACTAAACATAGGCAGCAGTTGTCACAGTGGGTGTTCTTCCAGCACAAGTGTAAAGCTGTCATCAGAAATGAATATGTGGCTTCGAGTGGCTTACAGAAATCCAACAAATCTGCATCTTGGACTCTGGACAAGCGAACTCTTCTCAGGATGACCTGGACTCCTTCCTATTAGTACAATGATCAGTTAAAATCATTCTCTATAAGCAAGGAAGAAAAATAAAAGTTTATATCAGGAGAAAAAGATGATTGCCCAGAGTCCGAGTTCACGAATAGCAGATATGTAAACAGCCATACTAAGTCAAGTGGTATCTCATGTTGTAATTTATTACTTTTAAAATCAATATCCATAACACAGCTTTAGGCCCAGTTTCATGTAAGATGAATGGAAATAAAAATAATCTAAGTAAAAGGACAAAATAAAGACTAGAAATGCTTTACCAGGACAGTTATTAATTAAATGGGCTATACCAATAAGATATGGAAATCATGCTATGTGGTTAAAGACCTCAATAGAGCCGGGCACAGTGGCTCATGCCTGTAATTCTAACACTTTGGGAGGCCGAGGCGGTTGGATCATGAGGTCAGTAGATTGAGACCATCCTGGCTAACACGGTGAAATCCTGTCTCTACTAAAAATACAAAAAAATTAGCCAGGCATGGTGGCACGTGCCTGTAGTCCCAGCTACTCGGGAGGCTGAGGCAGGAGGATCGCTTGAATCCGGGAGGCAGAGGTTGCAGTGAGCCGAGATCACGCCACTGCACTCTAGCCTGGGTGACAGAGCGCGACTCTGTCTCAAAAACAAACAAATCTCAATAGAAACAAAAAGCGACTTAGTCTTCCTCAAAAATCTTTGTACCCTGATACCAAACCTTTCTCTTTTCTAGAGTATTGTTAAGGGCTCTGAGAATCTCCAGAATTTCCCTAGCCATATACAAATCCAGCCGCTTCAAATGTAGGCTCACTCTTTCTTTCCCCAACTATCATCCTGCTCACCTACTACCCAAATTGAAGCTTTCCACTTACTAGTTTTCAGACAGAATATATTCCCCTTTAGTAAACACCCCTTTTAGATTTGGTTGCAATAGTAGGTATGTCTCTAAGTTTTTTTTTCTTTTTTGAGACAGTCTCGCTCTGTCACCCAGGCTGGAGTACAGTGGTGCAATCTCGGCTCACTGTAACCTCCGCCTCCCAGGCTCAGCAATTCTCCTGCCTCAGCCTCCAGAGTAGCTGGGGCTACAGGCGTGTGCCACCACGCCCGGCTAATTTTTTGTATTTTTAGCGGAGATGGGGTTTCACCGTGTTAGCCAGGATGGTCTCAATCTCCTGAACTCATGATCTGCCCGCCTCGGCCTCCCAAAGTGCTGGGATTACAGGCATAAGCCACTGCGCCCAGGCAGTATGTCTCTAAGTTCTAAGCACAAGCGTTATAACTTCTGTAATTAGAGGCCCAACACGTATCACATTGGAAGTTAGGATTTCTAACTCTGTGATAGTACCAGAATTTCAATGAAAAATTACCCACTAAAATTTCACCACCAGAGAGAAAAGTTCATCATATCTATTAACTACCACATTGGAGGCTGGGCACAGTGGCTCACACCTGTAATCCCAGCACTTTGGGAGGCCAAGGCAGGCAGATCACCTAAGGTCAGGAGTTTGAGGCCAGCCTAACCAACATGGAGAAACCCCGTCTCTACTAAAAATTAGCCGGACGTATGCCTGTAATCCCAGCTACTCAGGAGGCTGGAGCAGGAGAATTGCTTGAACCTGGGAGGCGGAGGTTGAGGTGAGTCAAGATCGTGCCACCGCACTCCAGACTGGGCAACAAGAGCGAGACTCCATTCCAAAAAAAAAAAAAAAAAAAACCTATCACATTGGGAGACATTTTGCAATATTTTTATTGTTTTCCCTCTTTAAGCATTGTGAGACTTCACAATAAAACAAGCAGTTTTCACTTGCACACGACAGTAAACTAGAAAGTCTCGGTTTGGCTCCTATAATCTTTCAAAGTAAAACACATGAGTAAAAACACCAAATAATGGGTCACTGCTTAATCTGTTTACATAGATACTCCTTGATGGGGTTATGTCCTGATAAACCCATCATAGGTTGAAAATATGAAAAATTGAAAATTCATTTCCTACACCTAATCTACTGAACATCATAGCTTAGCCTAGCCTACCTTAAATGTGTTCAGAATACTTACATTAGCCTACTGTTGGACAAAATCACCTAACACAAAGCCTGTTTTATAATAAAGTGTTGAATATCTCATGTAATTGGTTGATTACTGTACCGAAAGTGAAAAACAGAATGGTTATGTGGATACTTGAAATATGGTTTCTACTGAATGCAAATTGCTTTCCACACCGTTGTAAAGGTGAAAAATCTTAAGTCGAAATATCACAAGCAAGGGACCATCTGTACAAGTGGCTGGGGCTGGAGATGGAAGGAACTGACTCAGAAAGCAATCAAAGTTGGCATGATTTGGTGACCTATTCTTCAGATCAGCAGTCTTTTTCCCCCAAAACCCTGGGTCTATAAACAGCTGTGAAATCAGTTCAATGGAAATTGACTGCTTTCTTAAGACAATGAAATAGTATACTGCAGACAAAAGAATATCAGAGTACTCTGCACGTTTAGTGAAATGTTTCAATGTGTGTACAGGATTAGTGTAAAATATATTTCTTATTGCGGTCAAAAAAGTTTTGAGACGTGGATCCAAAAGAATCCCAGGAAAAGAAAGAGGCTAGCTAGAATCAAGTGAAAAAGAAGGATGTGAGGCAAAGTCTACCTTCTTCAAAAACATATTTGCCATTATTTTAGGAAGCCAAACAAGGACAAGATGCAATCAATCGTATGTGTAAGTTTAAGCAGCAAAAAGTGGTAAAAACTTTTTTTTTCTGAGACAAGGTCTCACTCTGTCGCCCAGACTGGGGTGCAGTGGCATCATCTCGGCTCACTGCAAACTCTGCCTCCCAGGTTCAAGCGATTATCCCGTCTCAGCCTCCTGAGTAGCTGGGATTACAGGCGCCCACCACCATGACTGGCTAATTATTGTGGGTTTTTTTGTTTTGAGACGGACTCTTGCTTTGTCGCCCAGGCTGGAGTGCAGTGGCGCAATCTCGGCTCACTGCAACCTCTGCTTCCTGGGTTCAAGCAATTCTCCTGACTCCGCCTCCCGAGTAGCTGGAATTACAGGCACCCGCCACCACACCTGGCTAATTTTTTGTGTTTTTAGTAGAGACGGGGTTTCACGATGTTGGCCAGGCCGGTCTCAAACTCCTGACCTGAAGTGATCCACCCGCCTCGGCCTCCCAAAGTGCTGGGATTACAGACATGAGCCACCACGCTCAGCCCAATTTTTGTTTTTAGTAGAGACGGGTTTCACCTTGTTGGCCAGGCTGGTCTGAAACTCCTGGCCTCAAGTGATCCGCCCACCTTGGCCTCCCAAAGTGCTGGGATTACAGACATGAGCCACCGGCGCCAGACCAAGTGGTAAAAATTTTAATAAAAATTTCCTTTTATTAAATGGAACAATGATCAATTCTGTATCTAAGGAGATAACATCAGGATTTAGTGATCCATTTACCAAAGGCCACTCCCTAAACATTTCAACCATCTTCTCACCTTTACCTATTTTCCAATTGGTAAAATAATGGATTTTGAAAAAATAATAAACTCTAGTGTTCTATTTTTATTTTTTTAGCAATGGGATCTTGTTGTGCTGCCCAGACTGGAGTGCAGTGGCTATGCACAGGCATAATCATCTCACACTGCACCCTTGACCTCCTGAACTCAAGCCTCCTACCTCAGCCTCAGCTTCCAGAGTAGCTGGGACTACAGGAACACGAAACTGTGCCCTGCATACTCCAGTATTTTAAATGAATGGTTTTCAACCAAGGGAGATTTTATCCCCCATCCCTACCTCCCCGGACATTTGGCAATGTCTGGAAACAATCTGTCACAAATGGGGATGTGGCGAGTGATGCGATGTTACTGGCATACAGTGGGTAGAGGCCAGGAATGTTGCTAAATATTTTACTATGCACAGGACACTCCGAGCACCCTCAACAAAGAATTATCTGCCTCAAAATACCAACAGTGCTAATGCTGAGAAACCTTGCTGTAGGTCAAGACTGTATTCCTTCCAAACCTAAATAAATCCAGGACAGATACCCTTAACCAGTATCACTTTAGTTCTCAGAAGCTCAGCAACTCCATTACTAGCATACCTACAAATAGGTTTACAGCCAGGTATAAATTATAGGTTTGTCCTTTTGCTAGTGCCAGAGAACATGGAAATCTCTCCTCTGTTCATAAACTGCTATTAAAATCGTCTGTCTTTGGTATAAAGTCGGAAAGGTCTCTAATTATAAGTGTATTTCATAGGTAGTTGATTTTCAGTATTTAAATATTTTCCCTTGATCCTGAATAAATTATTGAATAAAGCAGTAAGACTCTGATACAGCCAATGTTATCAAAATTTATTTATTTCTCCAAAAGATCCTGGAATAAGCAGAGTGGGCATTACCAAAAGGAGATAGACTGCATGTAAAACACACTTCGAAGGAAATCTAATTAAAAGGCAAGGAATAATCCAGGTGATGGATGAATCTTCTGTCCCCAGAACCCTAAATATTACCCTCTTTGTTTCTTTTTTATTCCAAAGTCAGATATCCTCAAAGGAACAGCAAAAAGAGGGACTTTAGGATATCTTCAATGGTGTAAAGAAAAGAAATATATGAAAGTTCCCGGGAGAAAGAGACTAAAATAAAAGCACTGGGCACATGGATTACATAAAACAGAAAAGGGGTTGTAAGTATGTGATTATGACTAGAAACACAAAACAATCGACTTCATTTTTTATTTAATTTTAATCACAAATTATTAACCTTGCAAAGTTTTAAACATTAAAGATCTAATCTGCCTCGATCCTACTGTGTCCCTAGGATTGACACTTTGGTGTGTAGCTTTCCAAAACTTTTCTGTGGACCTACAAACATATTTGTCAGTAGAAATATGCACTATCAGGAAGGAGATATTTCTTGAACGCCTTTCCATGACAGTACATAGAGATTTCTCCCATTCGTTCTAACATTTTAACAGTCTTCCTAAAGAAGCGACTTCTGAAAGTATTATTTAAAAACAAACAAACAAAAAAAAACAACTCCTGTTCCCCAAACCTCAAGTGGTGAGGGGGCGGGGGAAAAATGCTCAAGTCGAGGAATACAGGAGCAAACTTACGCTTTCAAGGAGGTGTATGGGACTGAGGCCTAAAGGCTTCGTTAGAGAAGTCATCGTGGATAAAACATCCACCCTCACACGCCATTACAGGCACCGACTCCCCTTCCTCACAACCCCAAATCGAAGACCTCCCTCTTTTGGAGAGCCGATTGGACGACTGGTCCCAGCGCTTTCCTTAGGCTGTCCGTCTACTGGTTCCAGATTCGTTCCATCCGTTTAACCGCCCGATCCCGCATTCCCCATTGGAGTCAAACCGCTGCCTCCTGGAGAAGCCCAACCTACCGCGCGCTTCCTGCTCACTGGCTCAGTGAGACGCTGCTCAGAAGGGGAAAACCCGTCTCCCACATTCCGATGGCCCAAGGGCCGATCAGTCGGCAGCTCAAGGCAGACCCAATTGGCCTATACACAAGCCAGTCAAAGTCTTCGGCTGCACAGCTCCAAAGAACCTACGGGGATTAAAACATCCCGCCCCCTGTTCTTCTATTGGTTGGCCCGACCCACCGCTGCCCCTTCACTATCCCCCCACCCCGCCGTCCATTCATTTCACACAATAACGGGCCCAAATGGAGTCAGTTCAAGACCTACTATGGGTAGATAAGACTGTCTGCCACTTACCCGGGATTGAGAGTGATCACTCACGCTAACGTCTGCCCTGTTCCTGTATGGTGAGGCCGCACCACAAGCCACCACCGCCGCCGCCTTCTGCGCAACGCCAACCGCCCGCCAAAACGGATCCTTCCCTGCGCCTGCGCAACCAATCCTGGGACCGGACCTTTTTTCTCCGCCCACTACGCATGCGCAAAGCTAGGACAAACTCCCGCCAACACGCAGGCGCCGTAGGTTCACTGCCTACTCCTGCCCGCCATTTCACGTGTTCTCAGAGGCAGGTGGAACTTCTTAATGCGCCTGCGCAAAACTCGCCATTTTACTACACGTGCGGTCAACAAGAGTTCATTGCAAAAAAATTGTTACCTCCTGGCTGCTTGTCTAATACATAGTGTTAATCATGCTTTGCCAAGCGACTTGACTGTAATATTTGCGCGTGGAAGATTAAAAAGATGTTAAACACCCAAGGTAGATTCAAATGTGAATGATTGGTCGGTTGGCCAATCAGACTGGTTAACAATAACATTACTCGGGAACCAATGGACTCCAAGGGGTGGAGACGGCGTAGAACGACCGAAGGAATGACGTTACACAGCAATGTGGCACCACAGGCCAATAGCAGGGGGAAGCGATTTCAAGTATCCAATCAGAGCTGTTCCAGGGCGGAGTCTACCAATGCCGAAAGCGAGGAGGCGGGGTAAAAAAGAGAGGGCGAAGGTAGGCTGGCAGATACGTTCGTCAGCTTGCTCCTTTCTGCCCGTGGACGCCGCCGAAGAAGCATCGTTAAAGTCTCTCTTCACCCTGCCGTCATGTCTAAGTCAGAGGTGAGTTAGGCGCGCTTTCCCACTTGAATTTTTTCCTCTCCCTTTCCTGAATCGGTAAGATGCTGCTGGGTTTCGTTCCTTGCACCAGCCCATTCTACAGTTCCTTCGGTCGCTGCCACGGCCTACCCCTCCCAAAGTTCAAGTCGCCATTTTGTCCTCTTGATCGCCATGAGGCCGCTCTCCGCCAACCATGAGTTATCATGCGGGACTCGTTACTCGTAGCAAAATTCTTAGGCACACAGGATCTTTGTCTTTTTTTAAACCTTGCCTTGGTGAGCGAGTTTTCTAAAGAGCGATTAGTCCCATTGTGGAGATGCACCCCTACCGCCCAAGCCTTTGTTGCGCGTGCGTCGGAAGGCGACTAGGGACGCATGCGCTTGCGATTTCCTAGCACTCCCAACTCCAGCATACGGCCTCCCTTGATAGGCAGAAGCACGTGTCTTGTTGCGACCTGAACGAACAATAAGTGCTAGGTACACAGTTGGTGTCTAGTTTTTCTTTTCCTCGATGGAAATTGTTTCGTGTTGTAGCCCATTTAACACTTCCCCCTCCCCCCACTCTAGTCTCCTAAAGAGCCCGAACAGCTGAGGAAGCTCTTCATTGGAGGGTTGAGCTTTGAAACAACTGATGAGAGCCTGAGGAGCCATTTTGAGCAATGGGGAACGCTCACGGACTGTGTGGTAAGATTTGGAAGGGACAAAGCAGTAAAACAGCCGATTTCCTTGGCTTATCTTGGTGCAGTCTTCTCCGAATGCTTATGAAAGTAGTTAATAGCATTATAGTTAGAGCTTTGTTGGCAAAGGAACGTCCTGCTTTGATTTTAAAAGCTACCTCTTAAATCTAGGGTAGTGGGAAACTGGACGACTTTTTATAAAAGGCTGGTGTAAAGTTTCCTATTGCCCTATTCAAAGTTAAAATGACAAAAGCTTTTGCGGTCAGACTTTGTGTTACATAAATTAACACTGTTCTCAGGTAATGAGAGATCCAAACACCAAGCGCTCCAGGGGCTTTGGGTTTGTCACATATGCCACTGTGGAGGAGGTGGATGCAGCTATGAATGCAAGGCCACACAAGGTGGATGGAAGAGTTGTGGAACCAAAGAGAGCTGTCTCCAGAGAAGTGAGTGGGTTTTTTTTCTTCTTCTTCTTAAACTTACTTGGATATGTGCTGCTATGGACTTAAGATTCGGGAGTTTTCTAAACTTACCAAAATTTTTTATTCGAGTATAGGCTTTGCTAATCTAAACCTATGGTTTTTCTCCTATTAGGATTCTCAAAGACCAGGTGCCCACTTAACTGTGAAAAAGATATTTGTTGGTGGCATTAAAGAAGACACTGAAGAACATCACCTAAGAGATTATTTTGAACAGTATGGAAAAATTGAAGTGATTGAAATCATGACTGACCGAGGCAGTGGCAAGAAAAGGGGCTTTGCCTTTGTAACCTTTGACGACCATGACTCCGTGGATAAGATTGTCAGTAAGTATCAGATAGTGGCATTTAGTAAGGGTTCCACAATCTGTATGGCATTCTAAACCCTGATACCATGTTGTATCTATGTTTTTTTTTTAGTTCAGAAATACCATACTGTGAATGGCCACAACTGTGAAGTTAGAAAAGCCCTGTCAAAGCAAGAGATGGCTAGTGCTTCATCCAGCCAAAGAGGTATGCTTGTTGCTTAATTAAACCTTAAAGGTAACTTTGAGTTACTCCAGTATGAATGATTTAATGCTTAAACTTCATGTCTTAAGGTCGAAGTGGTTCTGGAAACTTTGGTGGTGGTCGTGGAGGTGGTTTCGGTGGGAATGACAACTTCGGTCGTGGAGGAAACTTCAGTGGTCGTGGTATGTATGGTTTATCTACATGTAGTTCTGACTTCTCACCATCTTTGCTATGAAGATTTTACAGTACGGGAACTGCATTCAGAATGTCACTTTAAGTCCAAGTCATACTTAAAACTTGAAACTTTTTCTTACAGGTGGCTTTGGTGGCAGCCGTGGTGGTGGTGGATATGGTGGCAGTGGGGATGGCTATAATGGATTTGGTAATGATGGTAAGTTTTTTAGGAATAAGTAGAGAAAAATTCCTGGCAACCTGGATCTTTAGAATAGGTTAGTAGAGACTAAAATTCTGGTGCATGTCAAACTCAACTTTGCCCATAACACGCATGCTGTGAGCAGGCCTTCAGCCGTTACACTTGCACAAGTTTTCATTGTCAAATACTTTTGTCTTATTGAGAAGAATTGTATTCTTGTAGGTGGTTATGGAGGAGGCGGCCCTGGTTACTCTGGAGGAAGCAGAGGCTATGGAAGTGGTGGACAGGGTTATGGAAACCAGGGCAGTGGCTATGGCGGGAGTGGCAGCTATGACAGCTATAACAACGGAGGCGGAGGCGGCTTTGGCGGTGGTAGTGGTAGGTATCCAGTGATCCAAGTACTTGGTGTGACAGCTAGATTAGCCTTTTAGAGCTTGGGTTCTGGTGCTGTTGAAGCATTGTGTGGTACACTGCATGGTATATTAAAAACAAATGGGCTTGCTATGCTACCTCCTCCTAGCTTTAAGCTGGGGCCGCCTCACTCCCAAATAGTAGAGATAAGTGGATAGTGTTGTCTTTGAGTTAGATTAGTATCATAGAAGGATTTAGTATTTTAACTCCTTTGGGACCTTAGGCGCTTAGTTGATGTATCCAAGATACTTCTGCTTGCTGTGGCCCTGGATCCGTGAAGGCCTTCAAGGCTGAAGGGTATGCTTGTGCCACTCTGAAAATCTCTTTATTTTATGTCATGGTGAGTTAGGCCAGTTTTCTTTGTATTACTGGATTATTCAACTGAATGCCTTTCCCAGAGAATGAAATGCAAAGATTGGAGTCACCATAGTTTGGGAGAAAGGAAGGCTGATAACTCAACCTTATTTTATTCTGACTGCTAAACAGAATTGGAAACTAACATCATCCTCAGGTAACAGATAAAGGCCCTCTTTCCCATTCATAGGAAGCAATTTTGGAGGTGGTGGAAGCTACAATGATTTTGGGAATTACAACAATCAGTCTTCAAATTTTGGACCCATGAAGGGAGGAAATTTTGGAGGCAGAAGCTCTGGCCCCTATGGCGGTGGAGGCCAATACTTTGCAAAACCACGAAACCAAGGTATGGTATCTATGTAATTTTGGATAATGTCAAAAGAGTGTCTGTAGCTACTGCTGGGAAGAAAGCCCTTTAACTGCTATGTCTGGGCAGCAAAACGTTTATAGTTTAGAACCTTCAGAAAGTGATAATTTGATCACAAATTAGAAAAATCATGGGACCTCTTTACCACCTCCCTTGTAGTAGGGCCATTTTTAAATGGCCAGACACTTGAATTTAACTTTTATTATCCCAAATATGAAAACATTACTGTTGGCACTTTGAAACTTTAAAAGAAAAATTGTACTTTTCAGGTGGCTATGGCGGTTCCAGCAGCAGCAGTAGCTATGGCAGTGGCAGAAGATTTTAATTAGGTAAGTAAGCACCTTTTTGTGTGTTGACATAATTTTTTAAATTGCTGATGAACCCAATAACCCTAATGTAGCTGAGCAGTGCAACATAGTTAACATTATAATTGCAGTAATTGTGGATATAAAGTTAATATTCAGATCAGCAAAATTTGTGGGAAACAAACTTGATATTGGATTGTAGCCTTGAGTCTTAATATGTTTAGATTAACAACTTTATTCCATATTGTTCAACAGGAAACAAAGCTTAGCAGGAGAGGAGAGCCAGAGAAGTGACAGGGAAGCTACAGGTTACAACAGATTTGTGAACTCAGCCAAGCACAGTGGTGGCAGGGCCTAGCTGCTACAAAGAAGACATGTTTTAGACAAATACTCATGTGTATGGGCAAAAAACTCGAGGACTGTATTTGTGACTAATTGTATAACAGGTTATTTTAGTTTCTGTTCTGTGGAAAGTGTAAAGCATTCCAACAAAGGGTTTTAATGTAGATTTTTTTTTTTGCACCCCATGCTGTTGATTGCTAAATGTAACAGTCTGATCGTGACGCTGAATAAATGTCTTTTTTTTAATGTGCTGTGTAAAGTTAGTCTACTCTTAAGCCATCTTGGTAAATTTCCCCAACAGTGTGAAGTTAGAATTCCTTCAGGGTGATGCCAGGTTCTATTTGGAATTTATATACAACCTGCTTGGGTGGAGAAGCCATTGTCTTCGGAAACCTTGGTGTAGTTGAACTGATAGTTACTGTTGTGACCTGAAGTTCACCATTAAAAGGGATTACCCAAGCAAAATCATGGAATGGTTATAAAAGTGATTGTTGGCACATCCTATGCAATATATCTAAATTGAATAATGGTACCAGATAAAATTATAGATGGGAATGAAGCTTGTGTATCCATTATCATGTGTAATCAATAAACGATTTAATTCTCTTGAATGAAATGACAACTGTATGGATTTGGGACTGGCAGAGATTTGGACTTTCCCTACCCACTCCCCCTGATAATAATGTTGAATGCTTCTATCACAATTCAAGTTCAAAGCTCTGCCAGGGAATAGAAACTAGCTGCTGGCTAATGCCGCTCCATAAATCCGCAGATTTGAAGTGTCTGGGAGGCCTTTTAAAAATAACTAATATCAGAAAGCATTTTAATGAACGTAAAGATAGGCTTACATTAAAGGAAAACTGCAGTTTGACTGGGTTCTGGTTGGGTGGGCCTTCAGAGGTTCTATCAGTTAACTATACTAATTAATTTGGAGATTCAAACCATACCAATAGAAACTAAATTTTTCTACATAATTTCATGTTAACTGCAGTTTCCCTTTATGGCACAAGGGGTCACACAACCTACCTAAAATGTTAATTGTATAGAAAATGATTTCTAAACCTTTAACAGTTAATATCCAATAATGTGTTATTTGTACATAGATTCTTTTGAGCCTTACCTTTGGTGCTCTCTCAATTTCAGTGCTATTGTACCTAGTAGCATAGAGATTTGTCTATCAATAGGACTGTATATTCCATCCCATGGGTGTGTTGGAAGTTTGGGGAGGAGGAGGGTGGTGGGAGGTGGGTGGGAGGTGGTGGTGGGTGGGAAAGCATGGGTGATAGTTCCATGATACTGGCTGAGTTTGCAATAGCAGGTGGAACCCTAACTATTGAGGGAGTTTGCAGATACCTCAGGATTCGTGACAATGCCTTTAAAGATCCAGGAGAGATGTTCAGCTACTAGGAACTGCTAGCAAGTATAGCGCGAATGGCTCCGAGCTCAGACACTCTACAGCTGAGAGTAGACACTTGTGGTATGTGGAGTACAGATAAGCCAGGGGCAGGCCACGGCACGCTCCATGAAAGCTAGGAGGGAGTGAAATATCAGTGATCATCGCAAGGAAGGAGGCAGACAAGAGTAAGGCACACCTGACTCTTAGGACTAGCAGTCAGAACCAGGAGGAAAGGTTTTATTGCTATGCGGGTAGGTAAGAACAGATTTTACTTACATCCATATAGTTACTTAAAGTCCAGTTTTCTGTTAAACATTTTTCTTAATATATTGAGCCAAAACTAGTCCAGTTAAGCTGAACTTGGTTTTTCTGGAGATGAATTGTTTTAAATTGACACCCTATTGATGGCTCCCAGTTGAAGGAAGTGAGCACATTATTTGTACTGTGAATATAAATTTTTGCCCTTTTATTTATCTTCCTTTGACCCATTTCCTTAAAATAATGGCTCAAAGTAATAGACTTCCCCAAATGGTGGGGGGATGGGTGGGTTATTAATGGGAGGTATGGGGGGTTTAGCTTGAGATGGGACTTGGTCTTAGAGCTAGTTCTAAAGGTTGTTTACTTTTCTAGGGAGGAGTCTGCTACTAGTCTTATCAGCTCTTAAAAACAGAAACTCATCTGTCCAAGTTCGTGGCAGAAAGGTAAGTTTTTACAAATTAGTGCTCAGCAAAAGAATGCCCTGCGTTCCCAAAGTAAAAGAATGACAAGCTGTACCTTAAACCAAAACACTTCGTAATCTCATCCAATTGCAAAAAGAGTTATTAGCCAACCAGGTATTCCCAGTAGTGACAGTGGATATAACTGTGTAGTCATTCACCTCTGCTTATATGAATACTTTACAACCTCTTTTGCCTTTTGCAGGAACGTCCTTGTGAAGACCTTTATCTGAGCCACTGTACTTCGTTATCACTGCCATGCAGTTTACATGAGCTGTTCTGCAGCTCAAATTCCATTTTGTGAATGGGTTTTTTTTTTTAATAAACTGTATTTAACTTAGTTCTGCTTGTTTTGTCCTCCTTTGTGATATCTATGGTTAATAACATGTTGAAATTCAGGTTAGAGAGGATATGGTTGATTCTAATGTGAATTTCTATATTTAGATTCATCCCATTCAGCTTCATGGTTTAATGAAAATAGAAATGGGTTCTCACTACAGGAGTAATTCTTGGCTCACTATAAGTAAACTTTACTATTGATCCAATTGAGCATGTCCTTTTTCTAGCTCCCCTGGCAAGGGAAAATCAAGTTGTAGCACTGCCATTGAGCTCAGTATGTCTCTATTGGGACTTACGCTCACCATCTGTTGCAGAAGGACATAATGGATTTCATCTTTGGCAAACAAGTTGGGCTTATTGGCCAGCTGTCTCATACTTCAGTAGAATTCTCAAGCCAGGAGTAAGAAAGTGAACTGAATGAGAGGCAAGACTTAGCCTCTCAAAGATAGCCTAAAAATGTAAGGACTATTTTGGAAGCAATAATTGTACCCTCTAGCAAATGCTTAGGTTCTTGCGTGTGTGTGTGTGTGTGACGAAGTGTCCCTCTGTCACCCAGACTGGAGTGCAGTGACACTCTGCTCACTGCAACCTCTGCCTCCCAGGTTCAAGCAATTCTGCCTCAACCTCCCGTGTAGGTGGGACTAGAGGTGCCTGGCTAATTGTATTTTTAGTAGAGACACAGCGTTTCACCGTATTGCCCAGGCTGGTCTTGAACTCCTGGCCTTAGGTAATAAACGCCCACCTTGGCCTTCCAAAGTGCTGGGATTAGAGGTGTGAGCCACCGTGCCTGGCCACTAAACTGTTTCTGTTATTTTCAAGGAAAGTTTATCCAGCCTCAGTTTTGAGCCTAACAAAAGTGGAGGTAGGATTCTTGGGAAATTTTTGCCTTTTAACACCCATGCTGTTTTGAAACAACTGTATATGGGACTAAGTTCCATTAGCCTTTTGATACTTGGGGGAAGTAATGTCAGGGGTCTCAGTTTGTGACTTGGCATTTGCTAGAGGTTTTTATTGTAGACAATCAAATTTCCTTGAAGGGAAAGGAAAACTCCTAAGGATAGTTTCCTAAAAGCATTCCTATTGAAGAGAAACATTGTTTCAGTCCATGTACTTTGCTATATACTTTATTATAATACTGTGAAAAGTAAATTCCATTATTTTCTAAATGAGGAAATAGGCTGAAGATAAAATCCTGTCCCAAGTTCCTGCAACCACTGGATCATATAACTCAGATTGCTCTATTTTCAAACTATGTTCCACCTTGTTTAGGTCAGCACGCTGAACAAGTATGTGTGTGTATAAGACCTCACTAGTGATTTTCATGAGAGCAGGGGGATCTGACGTCTCTTAGGTAAACTAATTAAATTTCTGAACAGCTAGCCCAAGCCCCTGCCTTTGCAGCTTGAAATGTGGAAACAAGATGGCCGGGCGCGATGGCTCATGCTTGTAATCCCAACACTTTGGGAGGGCGAGGCGGGTGGATCACGATGTCAGGAGTGCCAGACCAGCCTGGCCAACATAGTGAAACCCCATCTCTACTAAAAATACAAAAATTGGCCAGGCGCGGTGGCTCATGCCTGTAATCCTACCTGGGAGGCCAAGGTGGGCGGGTTGCCAGCCTGGGCAACACGGTGAAACCCCGTCTCTGCTAAAAAAGTACAAAAAAATAGCCGGGCGTGGCAGCGGGCGCCTGTAGTCCCAGCTACTCAGGAGGGTGGGGCAGAAGAATTGCTTGAACCGGGGAGTCGGAGGTTGCAGTCAGCCGAGATCGCGCTACTGCTCTCCAGCCTGGGTGACAGAGCGAGACTCTGTCCCCCCTGCCCAAAAAAAATACAAACATTAGCGGGACATGGTGGCGCACGCCTATAATCGCAGCTACTCTGGAGGCTGAGTCAGGAGAATTACTTGAACCCAGGAGGCAAAGGTTGCAGTGAGCCGAGATCGTGCCACTACACTCTAGCCTGGGCGACAGAGCAAGACTCCGTCTCAAAAAAAAAAAAGAAAGAAATGTGGAAACATTGCCAGGTACAGTAGCTCAACACCTGTAATCCCAGCACTCTGGGAGGCCTAGGCGGGAGGGTCACTTGAGGTCAGGAGTTTGAAACCAGCCTGGCCAACATGGTGAAAAGCCCGTCTCTACTAAAAATGCCAAAATTAGCTGGGCATGGTGGCAGGTGCCTGTAATCCCAGCTACTTGGGAGGCTGAGGCAGGAGAATTGCTTGAACCTGGGAAGCGGAGGTTGCAGTGAGCCAAGACCCTACTGCTGCACTCCAGCCTGGGCGACAGAGCGAGAGACGCTGTCTCAAAAAAAAACAAAACAAAACAAAAAAAAACAATGTGGAAACATTGGATGCCTCATGCCTGTAATCCTAGCACTTTGGAAGGCCGAGGTGTGCAGATTGCTTGAGCCCAGGAGTTGGAGACCAGCCTGACCAACATGGTGAAACCCATCCCTACTAACAAATATTAGCCAGGCATGGTGGCATGCGCCTTTAGTCCTAGCTACTCAGGAGGCTAAGGTGGGCTGAGATCAGCCCACTGCACTCAAGCCTGGGCGACAGAGACTCCATCTCAAAAAAAAAAGGAAGTGCTTCAAGTTGTTTTTGTTCCCTAAACTTAGGCTAGAGACCACACTCCATATCTCCCTAATCACTGTGCTGCTTTTAGGTCTCAGTATCTGTGGTGTCCATTTTTGTTTGAGACAGTCTCGCTCTGTCGCCCAGGCTGGAGTACAGTAGCATGATCTTGGCTCACTGTAGCCTCGAACTCCCAGGCTCAAGCAATTCTCTCACCTCAGCTTCCAACATAGCTGGGACCACAGGCATATGCCACTGTACCCACCCACTAATTTTTTTTTTGTAGAAACAGGGTCTCCCTATATTGTCCAGGCTCGTCTCAAGCTCCTGGGCTCAAGCAGTCCTCCCACCTCAGCCTGCGGTGTCCAGATCAGAACTTGGATGTAAGGTTTTAATGTTGGAATGGAGCTAGTAAAATTGAATAAAAAGTAAATGTAAAATCTTCTGAAAAGGTAAGCTGTGTAATTCAGTGACTGGGAATACTGGAGACTATACAACTCCAAGCAAGGAGATTGTGTCCTGTCAGGGAGGTTTGACTGGACTTTAACTGATATGGGTAAGGAATCTGAAACTTAGTGAATTATATTCTGTTTCAAGAAGAAGCAAAATAGACTAATAAAAAATATCTAGGCTGCGCACAGTGGCTCACGCCTGTAATCCCAACACTTTGGGAGGCCGAGGCAGGCAGATCATTTGAGGTCAGGAGTTCGAAACTAGCCTGGCCAACATGGTGAAACCCATCTCTACTAAAAATACAAAACAATAGCCAGGCATGGTGGCGGGCGCCTGTAATCCCAGTTACTCAGGAGGCTGAGGCAGAGAAGGTGGAGGTTGAGGTTGCAATGAGCTGAGATCGCGCCACTGCACTCTAGCCTAGGCGACAGAGCGAGACTCTGTCTCAAAAAAAAAAAAAAAGCCAGGCGTGGTGGCTCAAGCCTGTAATCCCAGCACTTTGGGAGGCTGAGGCAGGCAGATCACCTGAGGTCGGGAGTTCAAAACCAGCTTGGCCAACATGGAGAAACCCCATCTCTACTAAAAATGCAAAATTAGCTGGGCATAGTGGTGGATGCCTGTAATCCCAGCTACTTGGGAGACTGAGGCAGGAGAATCACTTGAACCCGGGAGAAAGAGGTTGTGATGAGCTGAGATCACGCCATTGTACTCCAGCATGGGCAACAAGAGCGAAACTCCGTCTCAAAGAAAACAAACAAAAAAATCTTTAAGGATCTAGAAAAGGAGGGCCCCAAAACAAGAATTGGGTAGTGTTGGCCGGGCACGGTGGCTCACTCCTGTAATCCCGGCACTTTAGGAGGCTGAGGCGGATGGATCACCTGAGGTCAGGAGTTCAAGACCAGCCTGACCAACATGGAGAAACCCCTGTCTCTACTAAAAATACAAAATTAGATGGGCATGGTGGTGCATGTCTGTAATCCCAGCTTCTCCGAAGGCTGAGGCAGGAGAATCACTTGAACCCAGGAGGTGGAGGTCGCGGTGAGCCAAGATCGTGTCATTGCACTCCAGCCTGGGCAACAAGAGCAAAACTCTCTTTCAAAAAAAAGAAAAAAGAAAAAAAAAAGATCTGGGTAGTGTTTGTCTAACATAATCAGAGAAAACGTTTCACAGGAATAAATAGTTTACTCCACTGTGGAGCAGGTTTTACCAAAGCTTCGGTGTGAAATCTTCTGAAATTTTGATGTATAAATTCCAGCCAAGAACAGCCCATTCAGTCTTCTGAGAGAACTCTGGCACATTAGGAGGACCCAGGCTGAGAGGTAAGCAGGAGGGGAAGAAAAAAAGAAAGGCCTATGGGCATCCTGGGCTTTTTTGTGCTGGGAGAATTGAGAGAAAAGAGACGTAAACATCAGGAACCTTTGCACAGGGTGTCTAGTCAGTTTGGACAGCTCTCCAAGCTCTACAAATAGGGCACCACCAGGGAGTGTGGGGTTCTTCAGATCATCCATGGCCTCTGACTCTGAAAAGGAGGTGAAGGTGGTAGATCCCCATACTGCTCAAGCCCAGATTTTTTTTTTTTTTTTTGTAGATGGAGTCTCGCTCTGTCACCCAGGCTAGAGTGCAGTGGCGCAATCTCAGCTCACTGCAACCTCTACCTCCCGGATTCCAGTGATTCTCCTGCCTCAGCCTCCTGAGGAACTGGGATTACAGGCGTGCACCACCACACCCAGCTAATTTTTGTACTTTTAGTAGAAATGGGGTTTCACCATTTTGGCCAGGTTGGTCTCGAACTCCTGACCTTGTGATCTGCCCATCTCGGCCTCCCGAAGTGCTGGGATTACAGGTGTGAGCCACCATGCTCAGCCTCAAGCCCAAATTTTATGGTACCTCTCATACAGAGCTCTGGGGAGAATGAAGTGAACTTGGTAAGATTCAAACAGATAATTATCTCAGCTTCCACCCTCCCTCAAGAAGGAAGACACAGTGAAAAGCCATTTCTGTAGCGCACTTTATAGACCAAAGCTTAGACAAGGTGGAGGCTAAAGACCTGAGGAGCCGAGTCAGGGAAGACAGATTCCAGCCCTCCCTCAAGGCAAGCCTCTTTGAACACACCTTGGAACTTCCAAACACTTGTTGCCATTGTCATCCTCTTCTGGTCTAGAGAACTCAGCTCCTTCTGGGACTCAGGGTTGGGGAGTACCTTTATCAGAAGGGAATGAAGGAAATCCCATCAGCAGTTCCACCCCTCTGGGCCAGCTCAGTCTGTGGCCTCCATCTTGGTCCCCCGGGGCACAAGGAAGATGGTCCCATCGGCAGCCTGTTGCAGCGCGTACTCTTCAGGAGAGTAGCTGTTGCCTGATTCATCCCGAAGGTGCTGGAAAATGTCACGGTACAGCTCTGTCAGCTGTTGGCGCATGACCTCCAGGGTCCGGTCTGCCTCCCCGCGGGCCCTGAGAAGCCGCTCCCGTTCATTGGTCAGCCGCTCCAGCTCCCGCTCCAGCTGCACAATGGTTTCCAGCTTCCTCTTGCGGCAGTTCTGGGCTGCCACCTTGTTTTTGCCCCGTCGTCGGATGTCCCGGACTAGCGCTAGCTGGCTCTCTGTCAGCGGGTACCTTGCCAATAGCTCATTAAAGTCATCTACCGGCAAGTTGACAATCTTGTCCGTAGGAAAAGGAATCTTCATGGCCAAGGCCCGACGTTCATCCCGACTCCCTGCCTCCCCCCGTGCAGTGGGCTTAGCCCGCACAGGGCCTGAGGAGGGCTCTAAGGCCAAGGGGGTCTCAGCAGCTGGCAAGGTATAGTTGGAGTGGGCCAAGGAGTTGGGCATGAGTGAGTAGGGGTACTCCACTGGGTACATCTCTACATATTCGCTGCGCCGCCGACCAGCCTCTGTCCCCTCCAGCTCAAGAGATTCAGCATCGCTATAGTTGAGGGATAATCCTGAGTCGGATTCTGGGTCTTCTTGGGGCTTAGGTGGCCCTGCTGGCAGCCCAATGTCCAGGAGGGCTAAGGGGTCTTGGAGCGGCTCACTGAGCAGGCCTGAGAGGCTCAGTGGCTTGGAGACTGGTATGGCCATGTTGCCATAGGAGTATGGGGGATCTGGGACATGGGATGTGGATGCTGGGAGCTCATAAGGTGGTGGAGGAAGTGGGAAGCCAGAATCTGGGTGGATTGAGCAGGGGCAGTAAGTTGTGGGTGGTGGAGGTCCAAGGTATGGAGCTGGGGCTTGGGGCTCAAATGATGGCTCACTTGGAGCATTCAGACCCTGCAAGGAAAGACACAAAGAGATTTGGAGACAGACTAAGGAAGAGAAACCAACACTCTCTCAGGAACAAGCTGGATTCTTCTGAAAGTCGCAGTGAGGTAGTAACAAGGAAACAAAGTTGCCACAAATCACGGGAAGCTTCCTGCAAAGTTATGATACAGTTGTTGCAAGAAAAATGCAGCTTAAAGCCAGGAATGGTGGCTCACACCTATAATCCCAACACTATGGGAGGCCAAGGCGGCAGATCACCTGAGGTCAGGAGTTCGAGACCAGCCTGGACAACATGGTGAAACCCCATCTCTGCTAAAAATACAAAAATTAGCTGGGCATGGTGGTGAATGCCTGTAATCCCAGCTACTTGGGAGGCTGAGGCAGGAGAACTGCTTGAACCCCGGAGGTGGAGGTTGAAGTGAGCCAAGATAGTGCCACTATCCAGCCTGGGCGACAGAGCAAGACTCCCTCTCAAAAAAAGAAAAAATGAAAAATGCAGCTTTAGCAAGAATGGAAGTCACTGAGGTTGGACTGCAGAAAAGACTACCTAACATTGGAACAATTATGAACTCTCCTTGGAGAAGCTCTTACTGGGTTGAAATGGCTCATGTTCGGCCAGGCATGGTGGCTCAGGCCTGTAATCCCAGCACTTTGGGAGGCCAAGGCGGGCGGATCACAGGATCAGATCAAGAACGTCCTGGCTAACACGGTGAAACCCCCTGTCTACTAAAAATACAAAAAATTAGCTGGGGTGGTGGCAGGCGCCTGTAGTCCCAGCTACTTGGGAGGCTGAGGCAGGAGAATGATGTGAACCAAGATTGCACCACTGCACTCCAGCCTGGGCGCCAGAGCGAGACACCGTCTCAAAAAAAAAAAAAAAAGAAATGGCTCATGTTCCTTTATTTCCTTCAGGAAGTCAAAGCCTTTTTATCCAAGATGACCCCTCAGAACCCTTTCCTGCTGCAGTTATCTAGGGTCAAAGGGTCAAGTTCAGATCCTGGCCATGCCCCAGATGCCCAGCAGAGGGAGCCGCTGTGTGGGAAGAGGGCCTAGGGCAGATCCTGAGGGTGCTAAGCATGGTAGCAGGGTAGTAAAAGGGGGGTGGCTGGGGGCTAAGAAGCACCTTGGGGAGCCAGCACAAGCTCTGCCTTCTCCTCTTCAGTCCCTCTGTCCCTGCCCAGGTGCAGCGAGAAGTAGAGAACATGCTAGAAACAAGGCCCCCAACCTACATCAGGGAGCCACCCTGCTCCAGCCCAGCTGGGGACAAAGGCATCATTGTCAAGCCAACAGACACCCCTTTGTCCAAGTAGCAGGAGGAGAGGACCCTGGCATAGTCCGACTCCCCTTCCTGAGGCCCCTGAACTACTGCTCTGTTACCTGGGGTAAACGGGCCCAGTTGCCAAGGGCAGGCGGAGGTAATGAGGGAAGAAGATGGCAGGATCAGAGAGGCAGGTCAGAAGAGAAGAAGGTGAGCACGGGAGGGAGAGCAGGAGGTGGGGTAGAGAGAGATGTGAGTCAAGTGGCTGCTGAGAGAGCCTACACTCCCAATCAGATCATTCCCTCCCCACCACTGCTCCTCCACTCCTCCTCCTCAACGTTCCTCAGTGTCTTCCATCCGGATCTTTCCCTTCCTTTCCCAGTGCCTGGAGCATTACCAGCCCTGAGCCCTGCTTGCTCCTGCCCTCTGCCTCAGTCCTGGCCAACTCCCTGCTTCTCTCTTCTCCGACACACGGCCTCCCCTGCCCTATCCCCCCTTACTCACCTGCAGCTCGGTGATGGACATGATCTCCTGCCAAGTCAGTTCCATCTCTCCTAGCTCTGAAGTGGACAGCTGTATCACCCTGTTCCTGCTCTGCTGGGGAGGACACGGGGACATCCTACTGGGCCAGAGTCTGGTCCAGGTTCCCGGAAAGCCCAGATGGCTCTAGAAACCTGTGTCAAAGGAAAAGAGGTGTTAGAGCTACACCTGCTAGGGTCAGCAAGTTTGCACTACCTCCTTGGAGGGGCTCCCTCCAGCTTCCCCTGAGGGAAGGAGAGACCGCCTCCTCCCCATCCTCACTCATGCTGGATTCATCAATCCCTTAAGATGGAAAGTCTTTTCCTGTGTTGTGATCTCCACCTCGCCAACTATGGCCACAGTCAGTTCCTTTGGTAGCACAGGAGGTCTTTACCTTTTTTCCAGGCAAAATGCCCACTCTTTTCCCTAATACTTTTTACTCCCCCAAACTGTTTTCCTGGCTAAAGGCAGAGTCAGATCTTCTGTTTTTCTGTTTTGCTGTGTTTTGTTTTCCATTTTCTAGGGCAACATCAGGGGTCACCCTGCTTTCCTCCTCTGTCCTCAGTTTTACGTTCTCAGCCTTTTCTTTCCAAGATGATGACAGTATATGCTTGAGGATCCCCAAGAACAAGTTGTGGAAAGAGGCAAGCAGACAGCCCCTCCTCCTCTCCAAGATATGGCCCAGGCCTGGTGGTTGATAGCAGCTCTGCCCTCTCCTCCTATCCTGGCCCTGGGCTCCCCTGCCTGGGCCAGATAAGAGGTTTATCAGTTGCAGGCAGCAGAGGCACAGAAGGAATGGGCTCTGGAGACACTGGACCTCTGTCCTGTGTCCTCACAGGGTCATTTGGGCCATACCTTAACCCATACAATCAGAAGTCTTTCCTCTTCTGAGGTAATATAACCTTAGTAAAGACTTAGTAAGCACTTGTTAAGAACTGTGCTGGTATTGCAAGCTTAGTTTATAAGATTGGTTTTCATCGGGCGCGGTGGCTCAGGCCTGTAATCCCAGCACTTTGGGAGGCCAAGGCAGGTGGATCACCTGAGGTCAGGAGTTCGAGACCAGCCTGGCCAACATGGAAACCCCGTCTCTACTAAAAATACAAAAATTAGCTGGGCGTGGTGGGGTGGCACATGTCTGTAGTCCCAGCTACTCGGGAAGCTGAGGCAGGAGAATCACTTGAACCCAGGAGGTGGAGGCTGCAGAGAGCCGAGATCGCGCCACTGCACTCCAGCCTGGCTGACAGAGTTAGACTATGTCTCAAAAAAAAAAAAAAAAAAAAGACTGGTTTTCACAAAGATTCTAAAGGTACATCAGAAACTGAGACTGAAGCTGATAAATAATAGCAGGATGAGGTCCAGAACCTGACTCTACCTGACTATAATGTCTTCTAGGCACCTTCCCCTCCTGCCCCTGTATCTTCATACTCCAAACCTCTACTGGAAGTCTACATTCATCAGTTCTTTCTGTGGAGTGTCAGTCTCTCTTTCTCCTTCTGGGCAATGTCTCTTTAGAGCCTTGAATATACACTGCCCTCCAGTCCCTTTTCTTTTGACCTGGGTTCTAGTTGCAGCTCTGCCACAAAGCAGCAGTGTGATGTTGGGCAAGCCATCTCACTTCTCTGGGCCTCTGTTTCCTCATTTGTAAAACCAGGGAGTTGGACAAATTGACCTTGGAGGTCCCTTTCTGCTTGGATAGCTTAGAATTCTCAGCAAACCCTCACCCGTGTCTTTATCTTCTTCTGTCAGTCCCTCTCCTCATGCTACCTCCCTATTCCCTGACACCCACCTTCCTTGCATCTGTTTTCCCTGCCGTCAGCAAGAGATTCCAAGTAGATTTGGCAAGGTCTTCCTGATCTCTACGGTCAGACATTGTGTCTATGTGCACGCACACAGACATACCGTGCCATATCAGTATAGGGAAGCAGGCTAGGATGAAGGAAACATGGGAGAGGGGAAGCACTTTGGGAGGCCAAGGTGGAAGGATTGCTTGAGCCCAGGAGTTTGAGATCAGCCTGAGAAACACGGTGAAAACCCATCTCCACTAAAAATGCAGAAATTAGCTAGGCATAATGGCACACATCTGTGGTCCCAGCTACTCAGGAGGCTGAGGTGGGAGGATCACTTGAACCTGAAAGGTCACGGCTGCAGTGAGCCATGATTGTGCCACCGCACTCGAGAGCCTGGGTGACAGAGCAAGACCCTGTCTCAAAAAAAAAAAAAAAAAAAAAAAACGGCCAGGTGCAGTGGCTCACACCTGTAATCCTAGGACTTTGGGAGGCTGAGGCAGGTGGATCACCTGAGGTCAGGAGTTCGAAACCAGCCTGGCCAACATGGTGAAACCCCCATCTCTACTAAAAATACAAGTAATAGCCAGGCTTGGTGGTGGGCGCCTGTAATCCCAGCTACTCAGGAGGCTGAGGCAGGGAGAATTGCTTGAACCCGGGAGGCGGAGGTTGCAGTGAGCTAAGATCGCACCACTGCACTCCAGCCTGGGCGACAGAGTGAGACTCTGTTTCGGAAAAAAAAAAAAAAAAAAAAAAAAAGAAAAGAAAGAAAAAGAAGGACAGAGGATAGGATTGTATGACCTCAAATTGCATGACCTTAGACCACTCACCACAAGGATGGCCCATCACAGCAATTTAATATGGAATCTTCTCTTCGACTTACCACAAAATTAGTAGGAACTACAAATGATCCTTTTGAAAGAGTATCTCCCCTAGCCCTTGCCTCCATCCCCTTGTTTTACTGCCATCCCCAGAGATGGGAGTTGGTGTAGGCAACTCTGCCAGTGGGCAGAGTGGGTGGGGTGTTTATGTCTGTCCAGGATGCCATTTCAACACCGGAACCCCACCCTCCTCCACCCAGGTTCTGGCGGAAATTGCCCAAAGGCAAAGTGAATGGAGAAGGGGTTTAGGAGGCAGAGACAATGACTCTTGCTTCACAGTTCTTTACTCACCCCAATCCCCCCATTTGTCTCTCCTTTTATCTTCTTGGATCTGACTCTAAGGTGCAGTACAAAGATCCTGCCCTAGGAGGCCAGAGACCTAGGTTCTCTGGCACTTAAGATACAAGACCTTGCTACGCACGGTGGCTCACGCCTGTAATCCCAGCACTTTGGGAGGCCAAGATGGGAGGATTACCTGAGGTCGGGAGTTCAAGACCAGCCTGACCAACATGGAGAAACCTTGTCTCTACTATAAATACAAAATTAGCCGGGCATGGTGGCGCATGCCTGTAATCCCAGCTACTTGGGGGGATGAGGTGGGAGAATCGCTTGAACCCAGGAGGCGGAGGTTGTGGTGAGCCAAGATCATGCCATTGCACTCCAGCCTGGGCAACAAGAGTGAAACTCCACATCAAAAAAAAAAAAAAAAAAAAAAAGATACATGACCGTGGGCAAATTGCTTCTCATTCAGTCCCTTCCATTAAATGGAGACAGGACTAGGAACCTAATTGCTATTAAAGGCCATAGGTTGCATCTAGCTCAGGGAGTCACAAACTTCATTGTGTGCCACATTCACCTGGGCTACATGTAAAGACACAGATTCCTAAAAGCCACTTCAAATCTACTGAATTGAATCCATAAACCCAGGAATCAGCATTTTAAAAGTGCCTCAGTGGCCAGGTGTGGTGGCTCACACCTGTAATCCCAGCACTTTGGGAGGCTGAGGTGGGTGGATCACCTGAGGTCAGGAATTTGAGACCAGCCTGGCCAACATGGCAAAACCCCATCTCTACTAAAAATACAAAAATTAGCCAGGTCTGGTGGCGCACACCTGTAATCCCAGCTACTCAGGCGGTTGAGGCATGAGAATTGCTTGAACCTGGGCGGTAGAGGTTACGGTGAGCTGAGATCATGCCACTACACTCCAGCCTGGGCAACAGAGTAAGACTCTGTCTCAAAAAAAAAAAAAAAGAAGGGGAGCAAGGGGAGGCAGGAGTTTGGGGGAGAGAGAGTTGAGGAGAACCTCTGGATCCATTCCAACCAGCTCTTGGGTGCAGTAGCAAGTTTGTACCAGGTGGCAGGTGGAGCAGGATGCTTTTCCCTAGACGCTCAAGGATGGATGGTGTTCTATACACCAGGCATAGGGTCCCTCTGGGTTTCCAGAGCCTACCTTTCAGAGGACAGCAGAGCTGGCAGGCAGTGGGATAGATCAGGGAGATAGATAGAATTGGATCAAATAGAACACCATAGAGGGTATAGAAACTGGGGAGATACTGGGAAAGTGAAGTGGGCTTCCCTGTGTTCCCTTTCTTTTACAATAAGAAGCTCCCACTTTACAGTTTAGCTTTTGCATTTTGGGGTCACACCACCATCTTACTCCCACTGGGTTGTCTGTTCCTTCTCTTACTCCCCAACATTATGGATTAGGTAGAAATGGGGTTGTCACCAGGGACTAAAGTCCATCCTCCTTACTCTTAGCCTGGTGGTCCTACCCAGAAAGATTTTTATCATAATCCCTAAGTACTCACAGAATGATACGGAGCTTCATGATTAGGAATACAGAGTGAGGACTATTCGGAGAGGGATGATGGAGAGAGGAATACATTTGGCCTTAGCTGCTGCCCCAGGGCTCTTAACTTCCTTAACGAGGGGGAACGATGAGAGGGGGCTTGCCTCAGGATCCCTTTTCTGAGGCTTATTTGACCACCTCACCTCTCCAGGTGTCAATAGGTGCAGTGAAAGGATGAGGAGGGATTAGTAAAACTTGGGGTATTGGTTAACCGGTAAGCAACCTATTTAGAAAGATTAGGGAGAACTCCCGAAGAGAGAGAGACACACAGAGATGAGACAGAATGAAGGGGAAAAAAAGGAGGGAGAGAGATTTAAGCATAGTGAGCTCAGTGCCCTAGGGACATGCATGACTCAAACAAATGTGTGAGAACAAAGAAGAGGGGGACGAGTTTCTGCTATTGTGTCACTTCATCCCTGGACCCCAAACTCCAGTCCTTTGGTACCGATGTCTAGGGGATCCCAGCCCCAGCAGTTCTGATACCTCCTCTCTTCTCTTCCACTGCTTCCCAAGCCCCTATTTCCCAAGCAGCCAAGAGTTCCAGTTAGAAGCAACTATGCTGGGGTTGGGATGTCTTCCTTCTCCCTCCAGGTCCAGCTGATCTCTACTGCCCCTGGGCACAGAGAAGAGAAAGGGCAAAGGAGCCAACAACCCAGAGGCAATCTCCCATCCAACCCCCGCACCTTGCAACACTTCTCAGAGGTTCAGATATCCAGTGTTTCCAATTCCTCAGCTTTCCCTAAACCTTCTCAGCTGCCTAGACAGGGCAGAGTAATGGAATGGAGTTGGGGAAAGGGTAGTCTATTGGTTCCCTCAGGGTAGCCCACCAGTTGAAGGATTCCTCCTGGCTACTCCCCAGCCCCTCAGCGGTGCCTTGCCTCTGGAGACCCCTCTCTGATCCCCATTCACAGCCTCCACCCCAAGGATCCCAGAGCACCCAAGAAACCACTTAGGTCTTCTCCTAGAGGAGTTCCCAAATATGTCAGATTCCTAAACCAGGGGCAATCTAGAAAGTCTGAGGTCTCCTAGGATACCGAAAGTTGGTTATTTTCCCCCCTCACCTCCTTCACCCCCCAGCCTGCCCCTCGGATCTCACTGGAATCCGCCCCCCCCACACACACCCTGCCTTTCAGGCACCTGTGGTGGAGTCACAGCAGGGTGAGGAGAGAGATGAGGCTCCCGGTGTTGTCTCTGGGGAGGCTGAGCCTGAGCTGACACTGCTGGACGAGGATCCCGGCTACCTTTGAGAATCTGCGAGGACCGCGCCCCGCCCCCGGGCCATTGCTGAGCGCTGAGTGTGGAAGCTCAGGCTGAGCTGAGCACAGGAGCCCCAAGCAGGCGCACCAGCGTCTGAAGCCCTCGGCCTGAGTTCTCAGTCCTTCCTCCAACCCTCCCCTTTCCCCGTGGCTCTCCTCTCCTCCTGCCCCTTTCGGCCAAGAGAGGAAACTTGAGCCCGATGTGGTTTCTGCCCACACCCCGCCCCCACCTTGCTCCTGGCCAGCGGGGGCACACATGGCTCCAAGCCTCTCCCAGCCCTCCTTTTCAGCCCAGGAGTCCAGCCAGGTCTGCGTTTCTCCCATGCATTTGACGAATTCCAACCTGATGGTCCACTCGAATGTGACCTTTAAACTTTATACAGGTTGTCGTCGCCTTGTGTCCCCACGGCTCTCCTAGGGACAGGGAAACTGAGTCATATCAAGGTGGAAGGCAGCTGAAGGTAAGGACCAGGTGTCTAGCTTCCCAGCTGTCTAGGCAGTTGGACGTTTAGGGTATAGCCTTCATTTACAGAAAACCTGGGCTCTGGGAACAAGGGCAGGGGAACTATTTGGAGGAGGAGGGGCAACTGACTGCTTTGATGTGTCCTTTCACCTGTAGCCTTCTCCCCTCCCCCCTCAGCCTCAGAAGTCCCAGGACAAAGGATTCTTTCTTGGCCAGGTTTTTGTCAGTGTGTGAAGGGAGTTAGGTGGGGGGCCACCCAGCAGGGAGATTATTCACCTCCCGTAAAGGGGACCCCAGGTGTCCTTTGTCCTCCTTTCTCCCAGGCAAAGCACCCCAGCCACATGGCACCCAACTCTGTTAGGCCAGTAAGTACCCTTATTCATCTTTTTTTTTTTTTTTTTCCAGAGAGGGGCTCACTCTGTCTCCCAGGCTGGAGTGCAGTGGTGTGAACATGTTTCACTACAGTCTCAAACTCCCAGGCTTAAGCAATCCTCCCACCTCAGCCTCCCAAGTAGCTGGTTCTATGGGTCAGTGCAACCATGCCCAGCTAATTTTTTTTTTTTTTTTTTTTTTTGGTAGAAGTGGTGTCTCACTATATTGCCTTGGCTGGTATTGAATTCTTGGGCTCAAGCAATCCTCCCCTCTTGGCCTCCCAAAGTGCTGGGATTACAGGCATGAGCCACCTCACCCAGCCCACTTATTCATCTTTTTGCCTGCAAGCTACACCACCAAAGCCCCAGGTCAAACATCTTTCTCCACAGACTGTGAGAAAAGAGCCTTTCTTCCTCCTAATTTGTAATGGCTTTCAGCTCTATATGTCTAGCTTCAATCCTGACATCTGCAGCTTACATTTTTTCTTCTTACAATGTTCAAGTTAAATTAGAAACATCTGAAGACTGGGGAAGCAGATAGGTGCCACTCTGGAGTAGGACTGGCATTCAACCAGCATGCTCTGATGGGATTGTATTTGCTGTTAAAATAATGAAAATGTTCAGTCCTAGTTGATAAAAGGCAGCTGCTGTGAGCCCTCTAAGTGTCCCCCACGACTCCACCAATAGCCTAGTTCTCCTCTAAGATCCCCAACAACCCAGCAACACAACCATGGAAGTAAAGAGGCAATGCTGGTACCATAAGGAGCCTCCTGTGCTGCCTGCTTCTGCTGGAATTGGCCAATGCCCATGCCAAACCTATGGTTAAATGCTTTGAATTCCATCCCTTTTCCAGTAGATCATGACTGCACATGCATGATCAAGGTAAGACAGGAGGCAATCCAATGCCTTCATTACATGTTACATGTGGGTTCAGAATCTCTTCAGACTTGGGCATGAATCTGGGTCACATATGTAGGCTCTCAGATATAATTCTCTCATTTGCATATTTATTTGGGCCACTCAGAGGGGATGAAGAATGGTAACAGTCACACTTGTGGCTGACTATATAATGATATCAGGTTATAGATAGTCAACAAACATTTATTGAATAAGAATTATCAGTTCAGGATACTGGTGTTGCATAGACAATTATGGGTAACACAAGGCTCATCATTCATTCATTCAACAAATATTTATTGAGTGTCTACTATGTTTTACATCCCAGGAACACAAAGATGAGCAAGACAGTCTGTATCTTCAGTCAAGTCTAGTCAGGGAATTACATTAATAAGGTGTATATAATAAAATAAAATAAAATAGGCCAGGCACGGTGGCTCATGCCTGTAATCCCAACACTTTGGGAGGCTGAGGCTGGCAGATCACCTGAGGTCGGGCGTTCGAGACCAGTCTGACCAACATGGTGAAACCCCTTCTCTACTAAAAATACAAAAATTAGCCAGGCGTGGTGGCATGTGCCTGTAATTCCAGCTACTCAGGAGGCTGAGGCAGGAGAATCACTTGAACCCAGGAGGTGGAGGTTGCAGTGAGCTGAGATCGTGCCACTGCACTCCAGCCTGGGCGACAGAGCAAGACTCTATCTAGAAAAAAAAAAAAAATTTGAATTAAAAAAATAAAGGTGTATATACAGTGCTATGGAGAAGAAGAGGAAATAAATTCTGCCCAGTGAAATTCAAGGAAGGCTTTACAGAGGAGGTGACAATTAAGTTAGGCTGTGGAGAAAAACTAGGAATTTCCCAGGCAGAGAAGTGGAAAAGAGTATTCCAAGCAAAGATGTGAAGGCATGGAGGCATAAAATACAGAGCAATACTTTGGGTTTGCTAGGTTGGGGTATGGGATGGGAAGTAGGAGAAGATAAGCCTGGAAAATTTGACAGGGGCTAAATTATACAATGTCTTGAGAGTCAATCTAGGGAGAGTGTACTTTATCCTATAAATAGTAGGGATTCATAGAAGTGTTTGAGGTCATCTACTACTTATTTGAAGGGACAGACATAGTCAAGTAGGGTGTTCTAAGTGAAGAGACAGCCTTCCTTCAATAAGGTGACTGGCTAGGTGGAGATGTCTCTCCCATCTCACCCTCACTCCTCTCCTACAGAAAAAGAGGACTTCACTGTGGTTCTCAGGCTGTGTTCTGGAGGCAGAACACCCTTTACAGCCCTCAAAGGAGGGGATGGTTCCTTTAGCCCCTTCCTCTCAGATTCCTGAAATCCAGACCAAACACCTTTCTACCTTAAGTCTCCTTTGTTTGATTTACAAATTGCAAAACATTAGGAGCCAGCCTGAATGGGTTGGATAGTGCCTAAGACTTGGTAAAGCAGGGATGTCTAAGGTTTTCCTATCCTCAAGATTCTCCCACTTCATCAAAGGTAGCAGAGACAGAATACGATACGGAGAAAACCACGGCCACATATCTTTACTATTTTATCATTCTCCACGTATGCTGCTAACCCACTCCCTAAAAGATTCACTTCTTGTCACACCTGGTCAACCCACCCCTACCCTCACCCTCATAACGTGTGTGTACACCACCAGCAGCAGCAGGTCAAGCCACAAGCAATGTTGCCAAACACCCCACTGAGTTATGCAACCAGCTTCCCGAGAAGGGCGGGGTGGGTAGAGGTGGAACCAGGGGAGGGCCATGGGTCCCAGAGGGAGCTGGCTGCCTTGCCTGCTTGCCTGCTGGTCTGACCGCAGTGGCCCCAGAGGGTGGGGGCAGGGCTGGCCCTTTATCAGTGCCCTGCAGGGTTGCACCCAACACCCCCTGGCTTCCTCTCTCAACAGACGGAAAGGGGAGGCAGCCACAGGGGGCAAGGGGAGGGCTGGGCGTTATCCTAGGCAGCAGAGCCGGGCGGTTACCCCGATGCTTGGGGGAGGTGGTAGAGGGGTCTGGGACCAAGGAATAGCGAGGCCCCTCTTAGCGGGGGGCCCTGGTATACACAGAGGCTCAGATGGTGGACTAGATTTTCTGAAGCATATAACTCATTGTTCCTTGTGTTCCAGTTTGGGTAAGGATAGGATTTAAAAAAGTCTTTGAGGAGGTTTCTTTCCTCAGATAACAATTTTTAGACGATTGACTCAGGAGTTAAGGGGAGACTGAACCCCATTCTCAGGACAAAAGGGTTTGGGGCTTTCAAGGGAGTTAGATACGACTGAGGTTCCCAGACCCTGGCATCTAAGAGTTAATGCCCTTTAGCAGAGCCTAGTACTAACACCAAAATGGATGAAGGCTGATAGATAAACCTAGTATAGTCCCAGAAGAAATAATCCCTGGGGCTTAATTCTACTGTATTTTATTATTATTGTTATTATTATTATTATTATTATTTTGAGATGGAGTCTTGCTCTGTCACCCAGGCCGAAATGCACTGGTGTGATCTCGGCTCACTGCAGCCTCCGCCTCCCGGTTTCAAGCGATTCTCCTGCCTCAGCTTCCCAAGTAGCTGGGATTACAGGCGCCTGCCACCACGCCCAGCTAATTTTTGTATTTTTAGTAGAGATGGGGTTTCACCATGTTGGCCTGGGGCTTAATTCTAAATCTAGAAAGAGAAGTAGTTTCACGGTGCATCATAGATCTTGAGTCTTATTAGTGGGCTTGAGGCTGGGCACAGTGGCTCACACCTCTAATCCCAGCACTTTGGGAGGCTGAGGAAGGAGAATCATTTCAGCCTAGGAGTTTGAGACCAGCCTGGGCAACATAGTGGGACCCTGGTTCTACAAAAAATTAAAAAAAAAATAGCCGGGCATGATGGCATGCACCTGTACTCCTAGCTACTCAGAAGGCTGAGGTGAAAGGATGGCTTGAGCCCAGGAGGTTGAGGCTGCAGTGAGCTGTGATTGTGCCAGTGCACTCCAGCCTGGGTGACAGAGCAAAACCCTGTCTCACAAAAACAAAATAGGCCGGGCGCGGTGGCTCACGCCTGTAACCCCAGCACTTTGGGAGGCTGATGCAAGCGGATCACCTGAGGTCATGAGTTTGAGACCAGCCTGGCCAACGTGGTGAAACCCCGTCTCTACTAAAAATACAAAAATAAGCCGGGTGTAGTGGCACATGCCTGTAATCCCAGCTACTCAGGAGGCTGAGGCAGGAGAATCACTTGAACCTGGGAGACAGAGGTTGCAGTGAGCCGAGATCATGCCACTGCAATCCAGCCTGGGTGACAGAGCGATATTCCATTTCAAAAATAAATAAATAAATAACATATAAAATGAAATAAAAAGACTTGGGGGCTGGGCATGGTGGCTCATGCCTGTAATCTCAGCACTTTGGGAGGCCGAGGCAGGTGGATAACTTGAGGTCAGGAGTTCGAGACCAGCCTGGCCAACATGGCGAAAGCCTGTCTCTACTAAAAATATAAAAATTAGCTGGGTGTGGTGGCGGGCGCCTGTGGTCCCGGCTACTTGGGAGGCTGAGGCAGGAGAATTGCTTGAACCCAAAAGGCGGAGGTTGCAGTGAGCCGAGATCGCACCATTGCACTCTAGCCTGGGCAACAGAGTGAGACTCTGTCTCAAAAAAAAGAAGACTTGGGCTTGGTGTCGAGTGTGGTGGCTTGAACCTGTAGTGCCAGGTACTCAGGAGGCTGAGCTGGGAAGATCACTTGAGCCCAAGAGTTTGAGGTTACAATGAGCTATACTCCAACCACTGTACTCTAGCCTAGGTGACAGAGCAAGACCCTATCTCTAAAAAAACAAACGAAGAAACTTGGGCTTGGGTCCTGGCATTTATTGGCTATGTAGCCTTGGGTAACCCAACTTTTCTGTTTTTTTTGTTTTTTTTTTTTTTGAGAGGGAGTTTTGCTCTTGTTGCCAGGCTGGAGTGCAATGGCATGATCTCAGCTCACTGCAACCTCCACCTCCCAGGTTCAAGCAATTCTCCTGCCTCAGCCTCCTGAGTAGCTGGGATTACAGGCGCATGCCAAGATGCCCAGCTAATTTTCTGTTTTTTTTTCAGTAGAGATGCGGTTTTATCATATTGACCAGGCTGGTCTCTAACGCCCGACCTCAGGTGATCCACCCACCTCAGCCTCCAAAGTGCAGGGATTACAGGTGTGAGCCACCAACCAAGCCCGGCCAACCTAACCTTTCTGAGCTTTATTTCCTTTCTGAGCTTTATTGAAAAATGGAGACAATAATGAGAATGCCCACTTAGCGAAGTTGTTAGGAAGATAAAATGGGATCAATACAAAAATTAGTCTGTTACTTATTAGATGAAAGCTTAGATACCTGGAGGCCAGAGTGACCCAAGGGCTTGAGGAACTTCGAATGCCCTATCTGGAGGTCAGACTCTGGTAGAGAGATGCTTGGGATAAACTGAAGCCAGTAAAGAGCCTGATTCTGGGGGAGAGCAAGAGCTAGGCTGCACTAGTGTTGGCGGGGAGGGGTGGTGGCTAGACTTCCAGGAACTAGCCTGCAGGCCGTGGCTCTCCCATCCCAGCACTACTGGGCGGGGCTAGTTCCAGCCACGCCATGGGCACAGTGCCAGGCTTATGGGCTTCAGTCACCTTCCAGGAACCCCAGAACCTCCGCCCCACCTCACACTGTTGCAACCCTCTAAAGTGGGTGGAGCTGCCTAGGAAGTCCCACCCTCTGCTCCTCCTTAGAGGATGGAAGGCCAGATCCCTGGCCATTTACCAACTTCTTTTCACAGGCATCCTTCTCATTCCAGACCTCCATCTTTGCCCCTGCTGCTCCCCTCTACCTGGAATGCCTTCCTTGGCCCTTTCTACCAATCTGAGGCAGTGTGGAGTAGACGAGAGATCTGGGTTTGAGTCTCAGCTCAGCACCTAGCAGCGTGGACTTGGGCAAATTATCTAACCTCCTTGAACCTCAGTTTCCCCTTGGTAATGAGTGAGAACAGAGGTTCCATCACAGGTTGTGTAAGGGATCAGATGAAGCAATGCACATACAGTGCTTATACAGGAAACACATTAATGTTGGTTCCCTTCTTATAATCTACTCTCCAAGGAGAGTTCATTTCAAGCTCTAGGTCTGCAACACCCTTTCTGGCTACTTTCACACATACACATAGTCCTCTTTTCTTTCTTTCTTTCTCTCTCTCTCTTTTTTTTTTTTTCTTTTTGAGACAGAGTATCACTCTTGTCAGCCAGGCTGGAGTGCAGTGGCGCAATCTCGGCTCACTGCAACCTCCGCCTTCCGGGTTCAAGCAATTCTCTGCCTCAGCCACCTGAGTAGCTGGGATTACAGGCACCTACCACCACACCTGGCTAATTTTTTGTATTTTTAGTAGAGACAGGGTTTCACATCTTGGCCAGGATGGTCTTGAACCCCTGACCTTGTGATCCACCTGCCTCAGCCTCCCAAACTGCTGGGATTACAGGAGTAAGCCACCGTGCCCGGCCAATTTTTGTAGAGACAGGGTTTCACCATGTTGGCCAGGCTGGTCTCAAACTCCTGACCTCAGGTGATCCGCCTGCCTCAGCCTCCCAAAGTGCTGGGATTACAGGTGTGAGCCACCACACCTGGCCATATTCCTCTTTTCTAACTTATTTTGCAATAATATGTACCAGAGAATTAATAACGTCGTTTAAATATTTTTCTATTTGGACCACATGATTTTGTATTTTATTATATCATCCTATAATAGTGATGGTAAAAACGGTATTGAACAAAATTTGTCTAAGGCACCACAGTACAATGGCTAAGAGCATGAGTTTCAGAGTCAGAAATGCCTGCACTCAAATCTTGGGTCTGAAGATGGGAACAATAGACACTGGGGACTACTGATGGCAGGGAAGGCTGAAAAACTACCTATTGGGTACTATGCTCATTACCTGGGTGACAGGATCATTCATACCCCAAACCAGTGTCATGCAATATACCCATATAACAAACCTGCACGTGTACCCTCTGAATTTAAAATAAAAGTTGAGGCCAGGTAGGGTGGCTCATGCCTGTAATCACAGCACTTTGAGAGGTTGAGGCAGGAGGATCTCTTGAGCTCAGGAGTTGAGACCAGCCTGTGAAACATAGTGGGACCCTTCTACAAAAAAAAGAAAAAAATTCTTTTTAATTAGTAGGTGTGCCTGCATGCAACTGTATTCCCAGCTACTCAGAAGGCTGCAGTGGGAGGATTGTTTGAGCCTAGGAGGTCAAGGCTGTAGTAAGCTGTGATCATGCCACTGCACTCCAGACCGGGTAACAGAGAGAGACCCTGTCTAAAAAATAAAATAAAATAAATTGTTATTACTATTATTATTTTCTTTTCTTTTTTTCTTTTTTTTTCTTTTTTTTTTTTTGGGACGGAGTCTCTCTCTGTCCCCTAGGCTGGAGTGCAGCGGTGCGATCTCAGCTCACTGCAAGCTCCATCTCCCGGGTTCACGCCATTCTCCTGCCTCAGCCTCCCGAGTAGCTGGAACTACAGGCATCTGCCACCATGCCCGGCTACACTTTTGTATTTTTAGTTTATTTTTAGTTTATTTTTAGTTTAGACAGGGTTTCACCTTGTTAGCCAGGATGTTCTCGATCTCCTGACCTCATGATCTGCCCGCCTCGGCTTCACAAAGTGCTGGGATTACAGGTGTGAGCCACCACTCCCGGCTTATTATTATTATTTTTTGAGATGGAGTTTTGCTCTTGTTGCCCAGGCTGGAGTGCAATGGCATGATGACGGCTCACCGCAACTTCTGCCTCCTGCGTTCAAGCAATTCTCCTGCCTCAGCCTCCCAAGTAGCTGGGATTACAGGCATGCGCCACCATGCCCAGCTATTTTTATATTTTTAATAGAGACGGGGTTTCTACATGTTAGTCAGGCTGGTCTCGAACTCCTGACCTCAGGTGATCCTCCCGCCTCAGCCTCCCAAAGTGCTGGGATTACAGGTGTGAGCCACCGCGCCCAGCCCTAGTTTTTTTATTTTTTTTAGAGTCAAGGTTTGACTCCTAGGCTGGCATGTAGCAGTGCTATCATAGCTCACTGCAGCCTCAAACTCTTGGGCTCAAGTGATCTTCCCACCCCAGCCTCCCAAAGTAGCTGAGACTACAAGTGTGTGCCACCACACCAGGCTAATTTTTTGTAGAGACAAGTCTTCACTATGATGCCCAGGCTGGCCTCAGACTCCCAGACTCAAGCAATCCCCCAACCCTTGCCTTCCAAAATGTTAGGATTACAGGTGTGAATCACTGTGCCTGGTCTTTTATTTTTTAAATAATCCACTCACTCCCCTTCACATCCAGAACCATAAACTTGCAGACATTGTTAACTTCCTTGTCCCTCTTGCCCTCCATAGAACTTTCCTGGAAAAAAATCAAATTCCAGTTAAATCCAACAATTCAGCTTCTCCATATATATACCTAGGTAGCTGAATATTGAAGGAGAAAATCTCAGAATCTGGCTAACTAGCATCACTTTAAATTTATGCCCCTAAGATGGGTGCGGTGGCTCGTGCCTGTAATCCTAGCACTTTGGGAGGCCGAGGCGGGCAGATCACTTGAGATCAGGAGTTCGAGACCAGCCTGGCCAACATGGTGAAACCCCGTCTCTACTAAAAATACAAAAATTAGCTGGGCGTGGTGGCGCATGCCCGTAATCCCAGCTATTTGGGAGGCTGAGGCAGGAGAATAGCTTGAACCCGGAAGCAGGGGATGCAGTGAGCTGAGACGCGCCACTGCACTCTAGCCTGGGTGACAGCAAGACTCTGTCTCAAAAAAAAAAAAATGCCCCTAAAACGCAACACTCCCAAATAATTCTGTATTTCCCTGGTAAATTCTCTTTTCTACCCTGCATAATGATTGTTTCACACCTTCTCTCTTCTAACATCTCCAATACCACCTCCAGTTCACTCTCAGCAGATGATCTTGCTTCATGTTTCATTGATAAAATAGATGCATTTAGATGAGACTGCCTCATTTTTTCCAATACCAAAATCCACCAGTTTACTTGTATCTATTCCCACATGCTTGGCCTTCTACCTTATCAAGGTGAAAGAAGGCAGCCGGGCACAGTGGCTTACGTCTGTAATCCCAGCACTTTGAGAGGCCTAGGCGGGTGGATCACCTGAGGTCAGGAGTTTGAGACCAGCCTGGCCAACATGGTGAAACCCCATCTCTACTAAAAATACAAAACTTAGCTGGGCGTGGTGGCGTGCGCCTGTAATCCCAGCTACTCAGGAGTCTGAGGCAGGAGAATCACTTGAACTCAGGAGGCAGAGATTGCAGTGAGCTGAGATCTTGCCACTGCACTCCAGCCTAGGCGACAGAATGAGATCTTCTCTCAAAAAAAAAAAAAAAAAGATGAGAAAAATATCCCTCTTCCTAAGGAAAGTCATCCCCTCACAGCTCTGTGAAGGGATGAAAAAAATTGGATTCCTCTGAGTGCATAGCTAACATTCAATTCTGCCCCCTAGCAACGTTGTTCTTTATACAGGTTACTATGTGTGATGTAGTCCTGAGGAAGGTTGATGAAGTAATTAAGAGGTAGGGGTGGATCTTTAGGTGGCAGTCAAAAGAGTTCATCCACGTAGCACCTCAAACTACTGGATGAAAGTTGCAACTACATAACCCCAGGAATCTTCTTTTTTGTGGTCTTAATTTTCATCATAGTCATATGTTAGGGAGACACCTCCTACACCTCAGAGACAAAGCCAGACTGTTGTTAGGTTAGATGCCATCTCTGGGTGTGGTGGCTTATGCCTGTAATCCTAGCACTTTGGGAGGCCAAGGCAAAAGGATTGCTTGAGGCCAAGAGTTTGAGACCAACCTGGGAAACATAGTGAGACCCTGTCTCAACAAAAAATTTAAAAACTAGCCAGCTGTGGTGGCACACACCTGTAGTCCAGCTACTTGGAGGCTGAGGTGCAAGGGTCACTTGAGCCCAGGAGGTTGAGGCTGCACTCCAGCCTGGACAACAGAGGTTTTTTTGTCTTATAAAAAAAAAAAAAAAAAAAAAAGATGCCGGGGCTGTGGCTTATGCCTGTAATCGTAACACTTTGGGAGGCCAAGGCGGGCAATCACCTGAGATTGGGAGTTTGAGACCAGCCTGACTAACATGGAGAAACCCCGTCTCTACTAAAAATACAAAATTAGCCTGGCGTGGTGGCCCATGCCTGTAATCCCAGCTACTCGGGAGGCTGAGGCAGGAGAATCGCTTGAACCCAGGAGGCGGTGGTTGCAGTGAGCCGAGATTGCGCCATTGCACTCGAGCCTGGGCAACAAGAGCAAAACTCAGTCTCAAAAAAAAGATGTCACCCTTCTATTGTCTCCCCAAGGCCTGATTTTGTGGAGGGGATTCGCCCACATCTCCAGATCAACAGCTGTAGTTGCCCCAACTCTGCTGTGATGACCACTGTGCTGTTTCCTATTATGCAGTGGCTGGAGTAGAAGCAATCTATGATTGCCAAAGCAAGAGCCAAAGCAAGCCCTGGGTTGGGAGTTAGTGTCTAGAGCCTTATCTAATTGAATTGTGTGGCCCTAGGCAATTTGAATTGCTTTTCTGAGTCTGCTTCCACTGTAGAATGGAAAAACCAAACAAAAAAATTCCTCTCACTGTCTCTCCTAAGCATATAAAATAAGGCTCCTTCCACACCTGGGTTGATTAGACTATCAAGGATAGAAACATTGCTAACTTTTTTTTCCTAAGAACATTGAGGCTGGGCACGCTGGCTTATGCCTGTAATCCCAGCACTTTGAGAGGCTGAGGCGGGCGGATCACCTGAGATCAGGACTTTGAGACCAGCCTGGCCAACATGGTGAAACCCCATCTCTACCAAACAGTACAAAAATTGGCCAGATGGGGTGGTGTGTGCCTGTAGTCCTAGCTACTAGGGAGGCTGAGGTGGGAGAATCCCTGGAACCAAGGCGGTTGAGGTTGCAGTGAGCCGAGATCGCATCACTGCACTCCAGCCTGGGCGATAAAGACCCTGTCTCAAAAAAGAAAAGAAAAGAAAACATTCAAGCTTTGGCTTGAATGCCCATGTCAATTTTGGTCAATTAATTCATCTTGGAAGAACTCACTTATGCTGACCAAACTTAGAAGAATATAACATATAAACCACATGGTTAATTTACATATTTCTACATAAAACTTCCAGTGGCGTGGCCGGGCACGGTGGCTCAGGCCTGTAATCCCAGCACTTTGGGAGGACGAGGCAGGCGGATCACTTGAGGCCAGGAGTTTGAGACTAGTCCAGGCAACATGGTGAAACTCCGTCTCTACTAAAAATACAAAAATTAGCTGTGCGTAGTGGTGCACACCTGTAGTCCTAGCTACTTAGGAAATATTTATCTATTTTCAAGCAGAAAATCACTTGAACCTGGGAGGCTGAGGTTGCAGTGAGCCGTGATTGCACCACTGAACTTCAGTCTGGGTGACAGACAGCGAGAGACTCTGTCTCAAAAAGAGAGAGAGAGAGAGAAAGAGAGAGAGAAAGAGAGAGAGGAAGGAAGGAAAGAAAGAAAAAGGAAGGGAGGGAGGAAGGAAGGAAGGAAAGAAAGAAAGAAAGAAAAGAAAGAAAGAAAAAAAAGAGAGAGAGAGAAAGAAAGAACGAACAAACAACCTCTCTGTACCACTTTTTTTTTTTTTTTTTTTGAGATAGAGTCTCGCTCTGTTGCCCAGGCTGGAGTGCAGTGGCGCGATCCAGCTCACTGTAACCTCCGTCTCTCAGGTTCAAGCGATTCTCCTGCCTCAGCCTCCCGAGTAGCTGGGACAACAAGCACATGCCACCACACCCGGCTAATTTTTTGTATTTTTAGTAGAGATGGTGTTTCACTGTGTTACCCATGATGGTCTCGATCTCCTGACCTCATGATCTGCACGCCTTGGCCTCCCAAAGTGCTGGGATTACAGGCATGAGCCACCATACCCGACCGTCTGTACCACTTTTAAATTTTGTTATTAAAAAATAGAGAAAAAAAACTTCCAGTGGCCTAGACAATCTTATTGGATAATCAAAATGGTTGACTATTTTGGAAGACAAGTTTGATCATTAGAAGGTTGCTTAGTGAACAAGTGGAATTAGTTGGATAATTTTATTTTATTTTTTTGAGACGGAGTTTCGCTGTCACCCAGGCTGGAGTGCAGTGGTGTGATCTTGGTTCACCGCAACCTCTGCCTCTCAGGTTCAAGCGATTCTCCTGCCTCAGCCTTCAGAGTAGCTGGGATTATAGGCGCCCGCCACCAATCTCGGTTAATTTTTGTATTTTTAGTAGAGACAGGGTTTTGCCATGTTGGCCAGGCTGGTCTCGAACTCCTGACCTCAGGTAATACACCCGCCTCGGCCTCCCAAAGTGCTAGGATTACAGGCGTGAGCCACTGCGCCCACCCTAGTTGGAAAATTTTAGTGACTAATAGAACAGCATACATCTTCTTTATACAGATATAAGATATTCATTTATGTTGGACAAATGGGTAATCTTCTTTCCTAAATGTCGCTGGAGAAATATTGACAATTTTGGGGGTGGGGATTCTTTGCAGACTACTTCCTTACTCCCCCTTCTCTGAAGACAAGGTACAATTCAATTGATTGGGTTTCAGCTCTAGCCAAGTTAATATAATTGATTCTGTTTATATTCCCTTCAGCCATCTTATTCTAATTGATTGGGTTAGAATTTGATTGTGTTAGGCCTCCGGCCATTTTACTTTGAGTGATTAGGTTGCTAGAACTTTAGATATGTTGATAGAATTATGCTTTCCTGAAACTACACCAGGTTATTTGCTACTTCTACAAATGGCTGATCTCATCTATTATACTTTGATTTTTTTGTTTGTTTGTTTTTGTTTTTGAGACAGCGCCTCATTCTCTTGCCCAGGCTGTAGTGCACTGTCGTTATCATGGCTCACTGAAGCCTCTAACTCCCGGGCTCAAGTGATCCTCCTGCTTCAGCCTCCCAAGAAGCTGGGACTGCAGGCACATACCACCACGCTCAGCTGACTTTTCCTAATTTCACCTGTGGTACACAATCGTTTGGGGGACATTTTCTTACTGTTACTGTTTTGTGTCCATTGTAACCTGAAGAACTGCAATGAATTCCTAGTTGGTCTTTCTGCTGTCTCTTCAAATCCTTTATGCACACACAACTGTCAAATTAATCATTTAAAAATTGCTTCCATAAGCCTACAGAATAGAAGAAAATAATTGCAATTTTTGTACCTGATAAGGATCCAGTATCCAGAATATATAAAGAACTTTTACGACTACAACAACAACAACAAAAAACAATAATCCAACTCAAAAATGAATAAATGACTTGAATAGACATTTCTCAAATAAAGATATACAAGGCCGGGCGTGGTGGCTCACGCCTGTAATCCCTGCACTTTGGGAGGCCGAGGCGGGCAAATCACGAGGTCAAGAGATCGAGACCATACTGGCCAACAAGGTAAAACCCCGTCTCTACTAAAATACAAAAATTACCTGGGCGTGGTGGCACATGCCTGTAATCCCAGCTACAGGAGAGTCTGAGGCAGGAGAATTGCTTGAACCAGGGAGTCAGAGGTTGCAGTGAGCTGAGATCGTGCCACTACACTCCAGCCTGGTGACGGGGCGAGACTATGTCTCAAAGAAAAAAAAAAAAAAAGGCCAGGCGCAGTGGCTTATGCCTGTAATCCCAGCACTTTGGGAGACTGAGGCGGGCGGATCACCTGAGGTCGGGTGTTCCAGACCAGCCTGACCAACATGGTGAAACCCCACCTCTACTAAAAATACAAAATTAGCCAGGCATGGTGGTGCATGCCTGTAATCCTAGCTACTCTGGAGGCTGAGGCAGGATAATTGCTTGAACCTGGGAGGCGGAAGTTGCGGTGAGCCGAGATTGCACCATTGCACTCCAGCCTGGGCAACAAGAGCAAAACTCGGTCTCAAAAAAAAAGATATGCAAATAGACAAACATATGAAAAGATGCGCAAATCATTAGTCATTAAGGGGCCGGGCGCGGTGGCTCACACCTGTAATCCCATCACTTTGGGAGGCCGAGGCGGGTGGATCACGAGGTCAGGAGATCGAGACCATCCTGGCTAACACGGTGAAACCCCATCTCTACTAAAAATACAAAAAAATTAGCCGGGCATGGTGGCGGGCGCCTGTAGTCCCAGCTACTTGGGAGGCTGAGGCAGGAGAATGGCGTGAATCCGGGAGGCAGAGCTTGTAGTGGGCTGAGATCACACCACTGCACTCCAGCCTGGGGGACACAGCGAGACTCCGTCTCAAAAAAAAAAAAAATCATTAGTCATTAGGGAAATGCAAATCAAAACCATGAGACACCATGGTTTACAACCACCACTAGGATGGCTGTAAAGAAAATACAAAACCAAAAAACTCTGAAAATACCATGTGTTGGTGAGGATGTGGAGAGGAGAAATCAGAACCCTCAAACGTTGTTGGTAATGTAAAATGGTGCAGCCACTGCGGAAAATAATTTGGTAGTTCCTCAAGAAGTTAAACACAGGGCCTGGTGCAGTGGCTCACGCCTGTGATCCCAGTGCTTAGAAGCCCAAGGCAGGAAGATTGCTTGAGACCAGGATTTCAAGGTCATCCTGGGCAACAAAGCAAGAGTCCATCTCTATAAAGAATTTTTTTTTTTTTTTTGAGACAGAGTCTCACTCTGTTGCCCAGGCTAGAGTGCAATGGCGCAATCTTGGCTCACTGCAATCTCTGCCTCCCAGGTTCAAGTGATTCTCCTACCTCAGCCTCCCAAGTAGCTGGGATTACAGGCACCTGACATCATGACCCGCTAATTTTTGTATTTTTGTGGATACGGAGTTTCTCCATGTTGGCCATGCTGGTCTTGAACCTCAGGTGGTCCGCCTGCTTGGCCTCCAAAAAGTGCTGGGATTACAGGCATGAGCCACTGCGCCAGCCTACAGAAAATACATTTTTAAAAAATTAGCCAATTGTGGGCCGGGCACGGTGGCTCACACCTGTAATCCCAGCACTTTGGGAGGCTGAGGTGGGTGGATCACAAGGTCAGGAGTTCGAGACCAGCCTGACCAACATGGTGAAACCCCGTCTCTACTAAATACAAAAATTAGCCGGGTGTGGTGGCGCACACCTGTAATCCCAGCTACTCAGGAGGCTGAGGCAGGAGAATTGCTTGAACCCGGGAGGCAGAGGTTGCAGTGAGCCAAGATTGTGCCATTGCACTCCAGCCTGGTCGACAGAGTGAGACTCCATCCCAAAAAAAAAAAAAAAAAAATTAGCCAAGTGTGCTAGTGCATGCCTGTGGTCCCAGGTACATGGGAGGCTGAGGCTGAAGGATTACTTGAGACCAGGAGGTTGAGGCTGCAGTAAGCCGTCTCCTCGCCACTGCACTCCAGCCTGGAAAACAAAAACAAAAAAGCAAAAAACAAAACAAAGCAAAAACAAAAAACAAAGTCCCAAAAAGAAGTAAAATAGGTTGGGAGTGGTGGTTCACACCTATAATCCCAGAACTTTGGGAGGGTGAGGTGGGCGGATCACCTGAGGTCAGGAGTTCCAGACCAGCCTGGCCAACATGGTGAAACCCTGTCTCTATTAAAAACACAAAAATTAGCCAGGAGTGGTGGCATGTGCCTATAATCCCAGCTACTCAGGAGGCTAAGGCAGGAGAATCACTTGAACCCTGGAGGAAGAGGTTGCAAAGAACCAAGATCCCACCACTGGACTCCAACCTGGGAGACAGAGTGAGACTCCGTCTCAAAAAACAAAAAGTAAAACATAGTTACCATATGACCCAGCAATTCCTCTCCTAAATACATACCCATAATAATTGAAAATACTTGTGGCTGGGAGGAGTGGCTCATGCCTGTAATCCCAGAATTTTGGGAGGTTGAGGTGGGTGGATCACTTGAGGTCAGGAGTTCCAGACCAGTCTGACCAACATGGTGAAACCCTGTCTCTACTAAAAATTAAAAAAATTAAAAAAAAAAAAGCCTGGTGTGTGGCGCACACCTGTAATCCCAGCTACTGCAGAGGCTGAGGCAGGAGAATCACTTGAACCCAGGAGGCAGAGGTTGCAGCGAGCTGAGATCTCGCCACTGCACTCCAGCCTGGGTGATAGAGCGAGACTCCATCTCAAAAAAAAAAAAAAAAAAGAAAGGATTCGTGAATTTGCATGTCATCCTTGCGCAGGGACCATGCTAATCTTCTCTGCATCATTCCAATTTTAGTGTATGTGCTGCTGAAGCCAGCACTATATATATATATTTTTTGAGGCTCAGTCTTGCTCTGTCACCCAGGCTGGAGTGCAGTGGCATGATCTCGGCTCACTGCAACTTCTGCCTCCTGGGTTCAAGCCATTCTCCTGCCTCAACCTCCTTATAGGCGCGCACCACCACGCCCAGCTAATTTTTGTATTTTTAGTAGAGATGGGGTTTCACCATGTTGGCCAGGCTGATCTCGAACTCCTGACCTTGTGATCTGCTCATCTTGGCCTCCCAAAGTGCTGGGATTACAGGCGTGAGCCATCGCGCCCAGCCTCTTTCTGTTACTTCTTTGGGGTCTCTTAATGAAATGTCCCCTTCTGAATAAGGTCTTCCATGACCACCCTATTTAACTCTTCTTCCTTGTTCCTCTTTTCTCCCTAACATAAATGTACCATTCCAAATTGTGCAACATATAGCCCAGCACCCATGGCATGAGCCTGTAGTCCCAACAACTCAGGAGGCTGAGGTGGGAGGATCCCTTGAGCCCAGTAATTGAAGTCCAGCCTAGACAACAGAGTGAAACTTCATCTCTAAAAAAGAATATATATATATATAATAAATTGTTCAACAAAGTGGAATTGTCCACTACCCTCTTTTTCCATTTTGTTATTCTCCACAACACTTGTCATCTAACTTACTATATAGTTTACTTTTTTTTTTTGAAATGGGGTCTCACTCTGTCACCCAGGCTGGAGTGCAGTGGCAAGATCACGAAGCTCACTGCAGCCTTGATCTCCTGGGCTCAATCGATCCTTCAGCCTCAGCCCCTGGAGTAGCTGGGAATACAGGTGCATGCCACCACGCCCAGCTAATTTTTTATCTTTTTTAGAGATGAAGTCTTGCTATGTTGCCCAGGCTGGTCTCGAACTCCTGGCTTCAAGCAATCCTCCTGCGTCTGCTTTCCAAAATGTTGGGATTACTGGTGTAAGCCACCCCCCACTGGCCCTAGCTTACTTATTTTTTTGGTTTATTGTCTGCTCCTACACATTACCCCACCCCTCCAGCTAGAATGCAAGTTACATGAGGGTAAACATACTTGTCTGTTCTGTTCACTGCTTTATCCCCAGTGCCTGGCCCACAATTGACATTTAATAAATATTAATAGAATAGAATATAAACATTTACAAACATAGTTATTCATAATTATAGTCTTTTTTGTTTGTTTTTGAGACAGAGTTTTTGTTCTTGTCACCCAGGCTGGAGTGCAATGGCGCAATCTTGGCTCATTGCAACCTCCTTCTCCCAGGTTCAAGTGATTCTCCTGCCTCAGCCTCCTGAGTAGCTATGATTACAGGCGTGCACCACCACGCCTGGCTAATTTTTGTATTTTTAGTAAAGATGGGGTTTCACCATGTTGACCAGGCTGGTCTGGAACTCCTCACCTCAGGTGATCCACCTGCCTCAGCCTCCCAAAGTGCTGGAATTACAGGGGTGAGCCACCGCGCCTCATCTATAGTCTTATTTTTTTTAATAAAAAAATAAAATCATGACATATAAATTACTCTGCAACTTACTTTTATCATTTAACATGCCATTGTTATTTCTCCAGGTTAATGTATATAGATCTAACATTCCTTTTTTTTTGAGACGGAGTTTTGGTCTTGTCACCCAGGCTGGAGTACAATGGTGCGATCTTGGCTCATGGCAACCTCCTTCTCCCAGGTTCAAGTGATTGTCCTGCCTCTGCCTCCCAAGTAGCTGGGATTACAGGCGCTCACCACCATGCCCAGCTAATTTTTGTATTTTTAGTAGAGACGGCATTTCACCATGTTGGCCAGGCTGGTCTCGAACTCCTGACCTCAGGTGATCTGCCCACCTCGGCCTCCCAAAGTACTGGGATTACAAGTGTGAGCCACTGTGCCCGGCCTAGTTGCATATTATTCCACAGTCTAGATGTACGATAATTTATTAACTCATTCCCCTGTTGACAGATGTTATTTCTGGCCATTGTAAACAATTCTATAATAAGCATTCTTAAATATGTATCATTAGGTATTGGGCTGTGTTTTTATTTCTCTAGGAGAGGGTATATCCATGTTTAGTTTTACAGGATATTGCCAGAATACTTTCCAAAAGACTGTAACAATTCCAACTTCCACAACATCTGGTCCCTCTATGGCAGCTACCTAGGTTTGTTTTCAAGGTGTTTCACAACCTGGACACAAAGTACCTTTCCAGTTTTATCTCTGTTCTCTTTTCTTTCTTTGAATTCTGTTCCATGAAATCGATCCTTCAAAGATTTCTTATGCAACCTTTAAGACATTCTGCTAAGTGAAATAAGCTAGATGCAAATAGAAAAATATTGTATGATTCCATTTTATGAGGTACTAGAATAGTCAATTCATAGAGACAGAAAGTAGAGTAGTGGTTACCGGCTGCTGGGCAGAGGAAAGAATGAAGGTTACTGGTTTTTTAATTTATTTTAATTTAATTAATTAATTAATTAATTTTTGAGGCAGAGTCTCGCTCTGTCACCCAGGCTGGAGTGCAGTGGCGTGATCTCGGCTCACTGCAACCTCCGCCTCCTGGGATCAAGCAATTCTCTGCCTCAGCCTCCCATAGCTGGGATTACAGGCACCCGCCACAAAGCCCGGCTAATTTTTTGTATTTTTAGTAGAGACAGGGTTTCACCATCTTTGCCAAGCTGTTCTTGAACTCCTGACCTCGTGATCCACCCACCTCGGCCTCCCAAAGTGAGCCACCGTGCCTGGTCTATTTTTATTTTTTTGTAGAGATGGGGGTCTCACTATTTTGTCCAGGCTGGTCTCGAACTTCTGGCCTCAAGCCATCCACCGTCTTGGCCTCCCAAGTCCTGTGATTACAGTCATGAGCCATGGCGCCTGGCCAATCATAGAATTTTAAAGTTAGGGCCTGGCCGGGTGTGGTGGCTCACGCCTGTAATCCCAGCACTTTGGGAGGCCGAGGCAGCCAGATAACCTGAGGTTGGGAGTTCGAGACCAGCCTGACCAACATGGAGAAACCCCGTCTCTACTAAAAAAATACAAAATTAGCTGGGCCTGGTGGCACAAGCCTGTAATCCCAGCTACTCGGGAGGCTGAGGCAGGAGAATCACTTGAACCCTGGGAAGCAGAGGTTGCGGTGAGCCGACAGTGTGCCATTGCACTCCAGCCTGGGCAACAAGAGCGAGACTCCATCTCCAAAAAAAAAAAAGTTAGCTAGGGCCCTAGAAAGCTCTGGTCTGAACCTCTCCCCTTTCCAGAAGTGACAGCTATAGTCCATCCAGAGAGGGTACAGAGACTTGCAGAGTTCTCTCACTGATTAAAGCAAAGTCACAACAATAACTAATGTCTCTAATTCAGTCAATTGTCTTCCTCCCACAGCACAATTACCCCAACAGGCTGGAGAGCTAAGAATCAAGCGATCTTCTGCAACAATATCTGACTTAAAATTTGTCAGTTACTACACAGAAAAAGGAGCCAACCATCCCCATGAACCAACCATACCACACTTTTTCCTCCTTATGGTCCTTGTAGAATATCTGGCACTGAGGTAGAGTCCTTGAGGTAGGACTGGGATGCAAGAGAGGCAGTACAACAAACTAGAGGAGTGGACTGTGGGTAAGAACATGGTTTAGAGTCTCCTGTGCTCAAACGTATGGCTGCTAAAACAGTTCTGTAGCCTTAAGTAAATTATTTAACTGCTCTAAACTCCATGTTGCTCATCTGTAAAATGGGTTTAATAATCATCTACTTCGTAAGGATTTTTTATTTTATTTGTTTTTTTTGAGACGGAGTCTCACTCTGTCACCCAGGCTGGAGTGTAGCATGCAATGTCGGCTACTGCAACCTCTGCCCTCTGAGTTCAAGCGATTCTCCTGCCTCAGCCTACCAAGTAGCTGGGATTTCAGGTGCCTGCCACCGCGCCCGGCTAATTTTTTGTATTTTTAGTAGAGACGGGGTTTCACCATCTTGGCCAGGCTGGTCTTAAACTCCTGACCTCGTGATCCACCCGCCTCGGTCTCCCAAAGTGCTGAGATTGCAGGTGTGAGCCACCGCACCCGGCCAGGAATTTTTTTTTTTTTTTTTTTTGAGACAGAGTTTTGCTCTTGTTGCCCATGCTGGAGTGCAATGGCAGGATCTCGCTCATTGCAACCTCCACCTCCCGGGTTCAAGAGATTCTCCTGCCTTAGCCTCCGGAGTAGTTGGGATTACAGGCACCTGCCACCACACCTAGCTAATCTTTGTATTTTTAGTAGAGACGGGGTTTCACCATGTTGGCTAGTCTGGTCTCGAACTCCCGGCCTCAGGTGATCTGCCTGCCTCAGCCTCCCAAAGTTTTGGGATTACAGGCATGAGCCACCATGCCCAGCTACTTCATAAGGATTTTAAAAAATGTATTCAATAATGTATTTAAAGATTTAGCACCGTGCCTGGCACATAATAAGTGGGCAGTAAATGTTAGTATTACCTTTAAGCTGCAAAGCCAATGACAACCCACTGACTGTGATGCCAGGCACAGTAAATGTGTGAACAACTCTCCTTGAGGAATAAAAGGACAAGCCTTCACTTCTTCCAGATATAAGGCTTAACACCTGGTATTCCACCAGAAATTCACCTTCTGTCAGAGTACACTGTAGGTCTATAATTTGCATTGTATTGTTCAATTTTTTATTTTATCTTATTTTTATATACAGACTGGGTCTCCCTGTGTTGTCGAGGCTGGAATGCAGTGGCTATTCCCAGGCACAATCACTGCGCACTACGGCCTCGAACTCTTGGGCTCAAGCATCCTCCTGCCTCAGCCCCTGGGGTAATTGGTACTACAGGCACATGCCACAGCGCCCTTGTATTGTATTGTTTTATGTTTCCTTGATTCTACTCCGACTATTAGAAAAATTCCTGGGTGGCTGGGCCCGGTGGCTCACGCCTGTAATCCCAGCACTTTGGGAGGCCAAGGCGGGTGGATCATCTGAGGTCCGGAGTTCGAGACCAGCCTGGCCAGTATGGCGAAACCCCGTCTCTACTAAAAGTACAAAAATTAGCCAGGGGTGGCAGGCGCCTGTAATCCCAGCTACAAGGGAGGCTGAGGTGGCAGGGAGAATCGCTTGCAACCGGGAGGCGGAGGTTACAGTGAGCCAAAATCACACCACTGCACTCCAGCCTGGCGACAGAGAGAGACTCCGTCTTAAAAAAAAAAAAAAAAAAAAAAAGGCCGGGTGCAGCAGTGGCTCACGCCTGTAATCCCAGCACTCTGGGAGGCCGAGGCGGGCGGATCACGAGGTCAGGAGATGGAGACCATCCTGGCTAACACGGTGAAACCCCGTCTCTACTAAAAATACAAAAAATCAGCCAGGCGTGGTGGTGGGCGCCTGTGGTCCCAGCTACTCTGGAGGCTGAGGCAGGAGAATGGCGTGAACCCGGGAGGCGGAGCTTGCAGTGAGCCGAGATTGAGCCACTGCACTCCAGCCTGGGGGACAGAGCGAGACTCCGTCTCAAAAAAGAAAAATTCCTGGGTAAGTTTGGAATCTCTTCTTGGAGGGCTCCTAAGGATATAATTTTCAGAGATGAGGGAAAAAATCCCTTTAGGATAATTAAGGTAATAGGTGTCCCTGCCCTAAGAGGAGTCAGGGATCAGGAAACCAAGGGATAGGGGAAAGCCAAGCTTCATCAAAATCATTCCCTATTGTGAAATTCTTGCATTCAGTAAACTTCTCTTTTCTCATTTTGCAACGCCTCATTTCTTTCCTCTCCTTTCTTTCCTTCTCTTTCTTTCTTTCTTTCTTTCTTTCTTTCTTTCTTTCTTTCTTTCCTTCCTTCCTTCCTTCCTTCCTTTCTTTCTTTCTTTTCTTTCTTTCTCCTTTTCTTTTCTCTTCTCTTCTCCTTTTCTTTTCTTTTCTTTTTTTTTTGAGATGGAATTTCGCTCTTGTTGCCCAGGCTGGAGTGCAATGACGAGATCTCGCCTCACCTCAACCTCCGCCTCCCAGGTTCAAGTGAGTCTCCTGGTTCAGCCTCCCGAGTAGCTGGGATTACAGGCATGTTCCACCACGCCCGGCTAATTTTGTATATATGTATATTTTTTGAGACGGAGTCTCGCTCTGTCACCCAGGTTGGAGTGCAGTGGCGCGATCTCAGCTCACTGCAAACTCCGCCTCCTGGGTTCACGCCATTGTCCTGCCTCAGCCTCCAGAGTAGCAGGGACTACAGGCGCCCGCCACCCACGCCCGGCTAATTTTTTGTATTTTTAGTAGAGACGGGGTTTCACTATGTTAGTCAGGATGGTCTTGATCTCCTGATCTCGTGATCCGCCCGCCTCGGCCTCCCAAAGTACTGGGATTACAGGTGTGAGCCATCACGCTCGGCCTGTATTTTTTTTTTTTAGTAGAGACGGGGTTTCTCCATGTTGGTCAGGTTGGTTTCAAACTCCCGACCTCAGATGATCCGCTCGCCTCGGCCTCCCAAAGTGCTGGGATTACAGGCTTGAGCCACCGCGCCCAGGCACAACGGCTTGTTTCTATTGGAAAACCCCAGAATTTACTCCCTATAACCCCTCTCTTATTCTAATCCCATCCCTTTCCCCGTTTGTCCCGCAAACCCCATCTCCAAAGCCGATTTCACGTTGAGCTCAAGTTGGCCTTTACAAACTGACTTCTCATGTTCCTCAGGCCCAGCAAAGCCTGGAACTCCACCTTAGGGAGATTGTTATTGCGACTATCAACTCCTGGCAGCCTTGGTTTATGTAGTTAACATGTTGGGCCTTTCTTGGCTCTACTCTATGGTTGTGCAGACTTTCTGTGAGGATGCTGAAGTGACCTGAGCGAGCATGAGGGAAGGGCTAGCCACAGAGATCATGGACCTAATGCGGGCGCTGAAAATAGGGATTAGGGCAGGATTCCGGTTAGAAAGCGCCAGTGTTAAAGGCTAAGGAGACACAGCGCCCCCTAAAGAGGGTGCGGTTTAAAAATCGCTAAATCAGTCCGACAATATCACGTGTCCTCGGCCCTACCAATTGAAAATTAACAATCGCTTCTTCTGTTCCCCATGGAAACAACCCCGCCCCACTAACCCTCCCGCCCCAATGAGTCGTGAGGTTTTGGCGTTTTATTGAGTATTCAAGCTGACAATCAAACACCTGAGCCTTCTGGTTGGACACTTTGCTTCCGGTAAGCAAGCTAGTACAATAATTGGCCAATAAAGCAAGCCTTACCCAATGATCCTTATCCTAGGCGGGGCCTAATGGGAACGTATGGCCAATCAGCGGCGGCGTTTCTTTTGCGGCTCCACGTCGGCACCAGCTGCGGGGCAAGATGGAGGCGCTGATTTTGGTAGGAGCTGGAGGGGCAGCAGAGATGCTGTGGTGTCCACAGGGGCCGGGAGTCAGGGTTCAGCCCGAGTGGGAGACGGGGAAAGAGAGTTCCGGGTAATTCTTGGGGACTGAGCGTTCTGCTGACCTTTGGAATAAGTGTGTGGCCTAGTGTAGGAGCTAAAGCCTTGGTTTAGAGTAGGAAGCCCTGCCGGGGAGAGGGCATAGAGTCGGTGGAAAGTTGAAGGCAGCACATGGACTCCTTAGGATACACAGACCTGTAGGCGTACTGGATTAGGACCCTTCAGGTTGCCCCTTATTTTTAGCATTGTGGATGATACCCTGATTTTAATTTACCAAACCACCAAACTCGCCCCATATTGTAAGAAAAGAATACAGATGTTTTGTCGTTACAGACTCCTCCTGATGGTTTCCCAAGTTTGACTCTCCATTGCCGATTCCCTGCCACATTCCTTCAGGAAACTGTTTTGTCTTCGGTTTCCTGTTAATCCCTATTATATAGGTTTGTCAAATAATCAGTATTCCATCAAAGTTCTGGGATACCTGATAAAGTTAGCATGGATTGTGGAATATTTTTTCTAGACTCCTTATTCTGTTCTCCTTTTCTCTACCCATTTAGACCTTAGGAATTCTTTTTTTTTTTTTTTTTTTTTGAGACCGAGCCTTGCTCTGTCACCCAGGCTGGAGTGCGCACGTGGCGCGATCTTGGCTCACTGCAATCTCCACCTCCCGGGTTCAAGCTATTCTCTTGCCTCAGCCTCCCGCGTAGTTGGGACTATAGGCGCGTGCCACCACGCCCGGCTATTTTTTTTGTATTTTTAGTAGAGACGTGGTTTCACCATGTTGGCCAGGCTGGTTTCGAACTCCTGACCTCAAGTGATCCGCCCGCCTCGGCCTCCCAAAGTGCTAGGATTACAGGCTTGAACCACCGCGCCTGGCCAGGAATTATTATTATTATTATTATTATTATTATTTTTGAGACGGAGTCTCACTCTGTCGCCCAGGCTGGAGTGCAGTGGTACGATCTCGGCTCACTGCAAGCTCCGCCTCCCGGGTTCACGCCATTCTTCTGCCTCAGCCTCCGGAGTGGCTGGGACTACAGGCGCTCGCCACCACTCCCGGCTAATTTTTTGTATTTTTTAGTAGAGACGGAGTTTCACCGTGTTAGCCAGGATGGTCTCGATCTCCTGACCTCGTAATCCACCCGCCTCGGCCTCCCAAAGTGCTGGGATTACAGGCGTGAGCCACTGCGCCGGGCCAGGAATTCTTATTGTATGATCTAGGATGCTAATTTCTCCCTCTCTGGTTACATGAGAATTGTGGTCGCTAAAGGGCTGTATTAGCCCTCTTGTCCATATGATGCTTTATGCTTGTTCTAACAAATAAAATACCTGTTACCCCTTTTTAGAACTGGACCAGAGAATTTCTCTCAAAAGTGCCCTATTTTGCGATTTGGAGGGGTGTGTGTGTGTGTGTGTGTGTGTGTGTGTGTGTGTGTGTAGGTAGGTAGGTAGTATAGTGTAGGAATTTAACTCCCAGCCTTCTTCCTTAATTGGCTTGAACTCTAGGCCTCTTTCCAAAGAAGCTTGTCTTTTATTTTCCTTCAGATCTCCTAAGCATACACATTCAGATCCTCATCAGATAAAAGAATAACAGGTTTTAATTCCTCTCTTTCAGTTAAAGACAGTTAATTCCTTATGTCGGTTGGTCAAATATAGGTAAAAAGCTTAAAATCTGAGTAGTTTTAAATATTTTCTGTACCAAGCAGTTAACAAGTATTCTTTTTTTTTTTTTTTTTTTTTTTTTTTTTTTTTTTTTGAGATAGAGTCTGGCTGTGTTGCCCAGGCTGGGGTGCAGTGGTGCAATCTTGGCTCACTGCAACCTCCGCCTCCCAGAATCAAGCAATTCTCATGCCTCAGCTTCCTGAGTAGCTGGGGTTACAGGCACGCGCCACCATGCCCAGCTAATTTTTGTATTTTTAGTAGAAACAGGGTTTCTCCATGTTTGCCAGGCTGGTCTAGTCTTGAACTCCTGACCTCAAGTGATCTGCCTGCCTTGGCCTCCCAAAGTGCTGGGATTACAGGTGTGAGTCACTGCACCCCGGCCAGTTAGCAAGTTTTTTTTTTTTTTTTTGGAAACAGAGTCTCGCTGTGTCACCCAGGCTGGAGTGCAGTGGTGTGATCTCACCTCACTGCAACCTCTGCCTCCTGGGTTGAAGCAATTTCTCCTGCCTCAGCCTCACGAGTAGCTGGGACTACAGGCACGTGCTGCCACACCTGGCTAACTTTTTTGTATTTTAGTAGAGACGGTTTCACTGTGTTGCCCAGGCTGGTCTTGAACTCTTGAGCTCAGGCAATCCACCTGCCTCAGCCTCCCAAAGTGCTAGGATTATAGGAGTGAGCCACCGTGCCCGGCAGCAAGTATTCTTAATCAAGAGGTTGAGTGCAGTGGCTCATGCCTGTAATCCCAGCACTGTAAGAGGCTGAGGCAGGAGGATCGCTTGAGCCTGGGAGTTTGAGGCTGCAGTGAGCTATGATTGTGCCACTGCACTCCAGCATGGGTGACAAAGCCAGACCCTGTCTCTAAAAAAATAAGAATAAAAAACCTCCCCCTAAACCCAATTAGCAGACTAGGATAGATTCTAGGGAATTGGTTTTTTTGGAAGTTTTTAGACTTACCTATATATGTTTAGAAGGGAGCCTGCTTAAAGGTAAAGGAATGAGGAAGATAATAATTGGGGAGCCCTTTTAACAATGGGCCTGTGTGTAGTGGGTAAGCTGGGGGAGTTATATGTGAAAGTATCTCTGTCGGGCGCAGTGCAGTGGCTCATGCCTGTAATCCTAGCACTTTGGGAGGCTGAGGTGGGCGGATCACTTGAGGTCAGGAGTTCGAAACCAGCCTGGCCAACATGGTGAAACCATGTCTCTACTAAAAATACAAAAAAAAATAGCTGGGCGTGGTGGCACGAGCCTATAGTCCCAACTACTCAGGAGGCTGAGGCAGGAGAATCACTTGAGCCAGGGAGGCAGAGGTTGCAGTGAGCCGAGATCGCGCCACTGCACTCCAGCCCAGGCGACAGTGTTAGACTCCATCTCAAAAAAAAAAAAAAGGCCGGGCACGGTGGCTCACGCCTGTAAATCCAGCACTTTGGGAGGCCGAGGTGGGCGGATCACGAGGTCAGGAGTTGGAGACCAGCCTGACCAACATGGTGAAACCCGGTCTCTGCTAAAAATACAAAACTTAGCTGGGCGTGGCCACGCCTGTAATCCCAGCTACTCAGGAAGCTGAGGCAAGAGAATCACTTGAACCTGGGAGGCAGAGGTCGCGGTGAGCCGAGATGCGCCACTGCACTCCAGCCTGGGTGACAGAGCAAGGCTCTGTCTCAGAAAAGTTAAAGAAAAAGAAAGTCTCTCTGTCACATTTCTCTTCCCTTAGTTCTCTGTCTCTGCTTCTTCAGTGAAGTCTGTTTCAGCCTGCTTCTTCCTTATTCTTTTGCTTTAATCTATGCCTAATAGGCTGCATTCACAGATCCCTGCTAACTTGATCAGGTAACCCTGGACTTTGCTTTTAAAACCACACTGGTTCTTTGTTATGGGAAACCTATGTAATGCGGTTAGGGACAATCTGATCAAAGCATATTCTTCTGTCCTTAACTCTACAAGGTACATACATAGCTGCAGGATGTCGAGAAAAAGGGACAGGTAAGCTACAGGGGGTCAAGAAGAACTGTTGATCAAAGTTTGCATTGATTGTGGAATTTCTAAATAACAGTAAGTTCCCTTCTTTTAGGTACTTTACAGTGGGTCACATGGTCACATTTCTTTCTTGAATTAAGTAATCCAGCTCTAGCTTTCAAGCAGATTTGTCTAATCTCTCTCAGGTCTCCTTAGGCTCTAAGGAAAGAGACCCTTTCATCTCTTTTAGTTCCCAATGCTTAATAATAGTGATCTCAGCCTGCATCTTTGGACTTGGCTTCTTCTCTCTTGCTGTATCTGCTGGTTCTCGCTTTTTGAGTTGTGAATGAAGAGGATCTCTGCAGATCACCATTCTCCATTAATAACCTGTGGAATCTTAAAGATAAGGATTTCCCCTTCCTCCTTCCTGCTTTACTTTTTTTCTTTAAAGCTGAATTACTCGGGCCGGGCTCGGTGGCTCACACCTGTAATCCTGAGGTGAGTGGATCACCTGAGGTCAGGAGTTCAAGACCAGCCTGACCAACATGGTGAAACCCGTCTCTGCTAAAAATACAAAAATTAGCTGGGCGTGGTGGCATGCGCTTGTAATCCCCAGCTACACGGGAGACTGAGGCAGGAGAATCGCTTGAACCTGGGAGGCGGAGGTTGCAGTGAGCCGAGGGCCATTGCACTCCAGCCTGGGCAAAAAGTGAAACTCTGTCTTAAAAAACAAACAAAACTGAATTCTGTATCGGTTTAGATCTTTAAATCTTTGTTCATAGGTTTTATTTTTCCTAATCCTCTCTGGATTCACTTTCAGAGTGCTTCTCCAGTGCTTTACAGACTAGACTTCTAATTCTGTACTTTGTCTTACCTTAATATTTTAAAACCATAACCAAATCCTAAATTCTAAGCCTCATTAAAAAATCAGGCCATCCAAAGTGCACAAGGATATGAGTATGTATGGAGGAGGAAACTATGCAGAATATGTCAATGACTTTAAAGGTTGATGTTGCTCCTTGGCCTTTGCTTCCTGAATCATCTTAATGGGGCTTTTGTTAAATTCCTTTGGCCCTAACAGTAGAGGTACTTGGCCTAAATGCCCCCCTCCCCCTGCTCTGGGCAAAGGTATCAATTACATTAAGCCCCTAAAGCACTCCCATCTCGTTCCTGGCAGTCCCCTGTGCCCCTCTCCCAGCTGCGTCCTTGCTGGTGCCTGGCCCCCTCCATTTTGTTAGGAGAAGCAATCTCCTCATTCCTGCGCTGTGGAGATATATTTCTCAGCTAGGGCGCGAGCAGTGCCAGCACTGCCCCCGGTGAGGTCCCTGGCAGCAATAAAAATTTTTATTGTGATTATGTTGGTGTCGGGGTGTCCATCTGGGTTATTGCACACCTAGTTTAATTGATTGAAGTTTAATTTATTGACACTTCAAATTAAATGATCAGAATAAACTGTGCTGTTACTCTGGCCAGCTTGTTTTAATGGTTGATTGCTGGAAGCAGACCTCGGCTTGAACTAAAACCCCCAAAGAGCAATTGACGCTGCTTCTAACTCTCCCCATGTCTTGCCCTCCAAGAAGACCTTGTTATAGATTTCCGACGTATTTATATATATTTTTTCCCTCTTCTTCACAGTGGTGGGAAAGAGTTGGTCCCTGGCAAGGTATAAATTATATCAAAGATCTAGGGGAGCTGTCACATGGTCAGAAGAGGAGGAGGGGGCCTCCATGTGAGGAAAACCAGACCCTTGAGAAGCCAGGTCTGCCTTGGGAGGCAGAGGATGAGTGCAATTATCCAGGTATTTGACGGAGCCTAGTGGCAGGTTTAGGGTCTTTTTTATCTAGATACTTGCTGCTGTTTCTTACTTTACTCCATTGACATGGCTTGATTAGAGTCTGGATGTTGACAAGAAAACAGGTTGTGGAAAGGGAAACTAGAGGAGCAAATCAGATGGAGCAGGGATAAAGAATCAGTACCTATGTACCCACTTGTGCTGGAGTAATTAGGAAGAGGAAAGGCAGAGTGCCCAGGGGACAGCTGATGAAGATGGATTCAGAGAATGAGTCCATGCACTTGTAAGATGCTTGTGCTGGCAAGGGCCCTCTCACATTCTGTCCCTCCTGTTTTTGGGCAGAATAGGTTTCCTTACATCAGATTATTAGGGGGATCTCTCCTGGCCTTACATTCCCTAGCCTGTGTCACCTCTTCTGGTGTTTGACCACACCCATCTCTTCAGGAAGTCCTTCCTGTTGTGTAATCTAAGTTATATATGCTGCAGATGAAGCCTGCTTTTTTATTTGGCTTTTTATTTTCACACTCTTTTTTTTTTTTTTTTTTTTTTTTGAGACAGAGTCTTGCTCTTGTTGCCCAGGCTAGAGTGCAATGGCATGATCTTGGCTCACCGCAACCTTTGCCTTCCAGGTTCAAGCGATTCTCCTTCCTCCGCCTCCCGAGTAGTTGGGATTACAGGCCCCCACCACCATGCCTGGCTAATTTTTGTATTTTTAGTAGAGACGGGGTTTCGCCATGTTGGCCAAGCTGGCCTCGAACTCCTGACCTTGTGATCCACATGCCTTGGCCTCCCAAAGTGCTGGGATTACAGGTGTGAGCCACTGCGCCCGGCCTATTTTCTCACTCTCAATGCAGATATCCCATCCATAGCCAATTGCCCTGGATAGCTCGGTCAACTAATTTTCTGCAACTCCTTTTCTGTTGTGTGGTTTTAGAGGGAGACTAAAACCAGAGGAGAATAGAGCAATTCTGCCTCGGGGTTGATTTGGGGGCATAAATAGACTGAAAGATAACACAGAGTCTGTCAATTCAGTCTCTCAGAGACTAGCTTTTTGTTTTCAGGAGCAAAAGCAGGGAGATGTGGGGGGGAGTAAAGGGATAAATCATGATACAAATCGTGACCCAGGACTCATCAGGAATGGATCTAGCCCCTTTTGATTTTTTTCCTTTGCTGAGTGTTATTTAAGTGAGGGCTCCTGGATTACCAAACTGAGAAGGCAGAATGTTCTAATGGTGCTCTCAGGCCTCAGGTCTGGAGTATAGTCTGATTTCTCCTTATTCAGTTCATCTCTCTTCCCAGCAGTACTGCTTTGTCCCTCATTTCTGTGATTCTTTCACTTCCATGATAGTTGAAGAATTAGGGACTATGTGACCCCTGGGTAAAAAATCCTCCAGCAAGGCCGGGCGCGGTGGCTCACGCCTGTAATCCAGCACTTTGGGAGGCCGAGGCGGGCGGATCACGAGGTCAGGAGTTTGAGACCAGCCTGACCAACATGGTGAAACCCGTCTCTACCAAAAATACAAAAATTAGCCGGTCATGGTGTCACGCGCCTGTAATCCCAGCTACTCAGGAGGCTGAGGCAGGAGAATGGCGTGAACCCGGGAGGCGGAGGTTGCAGTGAGCCACTGCACTCCAGCTTGGGCGACAGAGTGAGACTCCGTCTCAAAAAAAAAAAATTTTCCAACAGACAGGCTTTCTGAGTTTTGAGAAAGGTCCTGAGACTTTGCATTCCTAAAAAGCTTAGGGTTTGGTTGTCTTTGTCCTGCCCATTTCACAGTCATCAAATTCAGCCATTGAAAGCTGGAGGTGGCTGGGCATGGTAGCTCACGCGTGTAATCCCAGCACTTTGGGAGGCTGAGGCAGGCGGATCACCTGAGGTCAGGAGTTCGAGACCAGCCTTACCAACATGGCAAAGCCCTGTCTACTAAAAACACAAAATTAGCCAGGTGTGGTGGTGGGTGCCTGTAATGCCAGCTATTTGAGAGGCTGAGGCAGGAGAATCGCTTGAACCTGGGAGGTGGAGGTTGCAGTGAGCTGAGATTGCACCATTGCACTCCAGCCTGGGCAACAAGAATGAAACTCAGTCTTAAAAAAAAAAAGGGAAAAAAAAAAAGAAAGCTGGAGGGAGCGTGGTTGCTGACCTTTATTCCCCCTGCTGGCTGTTAGTTTTCTCAATCATATTTATTAATTTATGAAGGCCACACACACATTTATTGAATTTATCCAGCATTACTGGATGCCAGGTAGAGTAGAGGGGGTGGTTTACAAAAGTATCACTCATTTCCCCTCTTTTTCCTGCCCCCTCCACACCATCTTATTATCTCCAGAGAGAATCTCATTTAATTCTAAACTCGGCTCTGTGAACTCTTTGAAATCATAAAAAAATTATTTTTATTTATATATATATTTTTTGAGACAGAGTCTTGCTCTGTCATCCAGGCTGGAGTGCAGTGGTGCGATGATCTTGGCTCACTGCAATCTCCATCTCCGGGGTTTAAGCAATTCTCATGCCTCAGCCTCCTGAATAGCTGGGATTACAGGCATGCACCACCATGCCCAGCTAATTTTTTTGTATTTTTAGTAGAGACAGGGTTTCGCCATGTTGCCCAGGCTGGCCTCAAACTCCTGAGCTCAAGCTATTTGTCCCCACATTGGCCTCCCAAAGTGCTGGTATTACAGGTAGGAACCAGCATGCCTAGCCATGAAATCATAAAAAAATTTGTGAATGTATTTTGCTGGGAATAAGGTCCATAGATGTAATTGGTTTATCAAAGGGGTCTGCTGTAACTCAAAAAAGGCATTAACCTTAACTGATCTAGGTCAAGCCTCTCATTTCTCTGATGAAGAAGCTGAATCTCAGAGAAAGGGAAAATTTGAGTTAATGGCTGATCCCCATTATAGTACAAGTATTGTAGCCAGGCATGGTGGTGCATGCCTGTAGTCCTAGCTATTTGGAAGGCTGAGGCAGGACTCCTTGAGCCCAGGAGTTCAGGTCCAGCCTGGGCAACATAGCAAGACCCTGTCTCTATTTAAGAGATGGATTGTAGGAGTTTAGAGACATTTTCTCCTGTAATATCAAAACTCTTGTTGACTGTGCTTTACATGTTTTGGGTCTGTGTCAGATAGGAAGATTGTAGGTGTCTCTTCCTGCCGTCAGTTCTTCCCGAGTCATGTGTTGAGTTTTTTCTTTATAACCAATATTTGGTCTCATGTCAGCTGGGTAGTGTTCTGTGGTACCAGTGGCTCCCACTCTTTCCTGAGCTGTGCTTTTTGAATCTAATCTTGTGTGTATACAGAAATAATTAGCAGGGTGTGGTGGCATGTACCTGTAGTCAGCTACTTGGGAGGCTGAACGGGGAGGATCGCTTGAGCCTGGGAGGTTGAGGCTGCAGTGAGCTGTGATGGCACCACTGCACTCCAGCCTGGGTGACAAGAAATAATAATAATATTAATAAATCTGATATAGGCTGGGCGTGGTGGCTCATGCCTGTAATCCTAGCACTTTGGGAGGTCAAGGTGGGCAGATCACCTGAGGTCAGGAGTTCGAGACCAGCTTGGCCAACATGGCGAAACCCCGTCTCTACAAAAAACACAAAAATAAGCCAGGCTACAAAAAACACAAAAATAAGCCGGGCGTGGTGGGAAGCGCCTGTAATCCCAGCTGCCTGAGAGGCTGAGGCAGGAGAATTGCTGGAACCCGAGAGGCAGAGGCTGCAGTGAGCCAAGATCACGCCACTGCACTTCAGCCTGGGCAACAGAGCAACACTGTCTCAAAAAAAAAAATCTGATATGTAAAAACTGCTCTTCCCTGTCAAAGACTTTAGCTAATTCTTCTTTTCTTTTCATCTGAAGTCTATCGGATTGTGGCTGGCAAATTGGAGCCCTTAACCCCAGAGGAGCTTTTAATTTTAAAAAAGTTGGCACAGGCTGGGCACGGTGGCTCATGCCTGTAATCCCAGCACTTTGGGAGGATGAGGCGGGTGGATCATGAGGTCAGGATATCTAGACCATCCTGGCTAACACGGTGAAACCCCGTCTCTACTAAAAAAAATACAAAAGAATTAGCTGGTCGTAGTGGTGGGTGCCTGTAGTCCCAGCCACTCGGGAGGCTGAGGCAGGAGAATGGCGTGAACCCGGGAGGCAGAGCTTGCAGCGAGCCGAGATCAGACCACTGCACTTCAGCCTGGGCGACAGGGTGAGACTCCGTCTCAAAAAAATAAAAAAATAAATAAAAGTTGGCACAGAGGCCAGGTGCAGTGGCTCACACCTGTAATATTAGCATGTTGGGAGGCCGAGACAGGCAGATTGCCTGAGTTCAGGAGTTCAGGACCAGCCTGGGCAAGATGGTGAAACTCCATCTCTACTAAAATAAAAAAAATCAGCTGGGCATGGTGGCAGTCACCTGTAATCCCAGCTACTGAGGAGGCTGAGACACGAGAATTGCTGGAACCCAGGAGGCGGAGGTTGCAGTGAGCCAAGATTGTGCCACTGCACCCCAGCCTGGACAACAAAGTGAAACAAAGTGAAACTCTGTCAAAAAAAAAAAAAAAAAAGTGTTGGCACAGAGTCAGGAAGTATACCTACTTAGCCATTTGGAGCTGGGAGTGGTATCTAGGAATTTCTCCTTCTAGTTTTTACCTTCTTAGTTTTACTTTATAAACAGGATTGAGACAAGAGAATCTTGTTACAGTTTTTAATTCACCAAGACCCATTGCCACATCAGGGTAATGCCACATCAGGCCCTTTTGGTATGGCCTTAGGGAATGTTTTTTTTTTTTTTGATCTGAAGTCTTGCTCTGTCGCCCAGGCTGGAGTGCAGTGGTGCGATCTCAGCTCACCGCAACCTCTGCCTCCCAGGTATAAGCGATTCTCCTGCCTCAGCCTCCTGAGTAGCTGGGATTACAGGCGTCTGCTACCATGCCTGGCTAAGTTTTGTAATTTTGGTAGAGACAGGGTTTCACCATGTTGGCCAGGCTGGAAGGATTTATTTTTAAGTAGACAATGAAGAACTTTTTAGTGATCTCAGTCAGCTTCTTTTTTTTTTTGAGGCGGTCTCACTCTTTTGTGTAGGCTGGAGTGCAGTAGCGCAATTGTAGCTCACTACAGCCTTGAACTCCCAAGCTCAAGCGATCCTCCTGCCTCAGCTTCCTGAGTAGCTGAGACTACAGGTGCATGCCACCATGCCTGGCTAATTTTTGTTTTTTTTAAGTTCTTGCAGAGACAGGGTCTCACTGTGTTGCCCAGGTTGGTCTTGAACTCCTGGCTCTAGTGATCTCCTGCCTCAGCTTCCAAAAGTGCTAGGATTACAGGCATGAGCCACTGCGCCTGGCCTCCATATTCTTATTTGTGCTCTTTCAGCTCTGTAGATGGCATCCTGTAATTCCCTCCATAGAGGCTTCTTGGTTTTTTCCCCTAAATGAATCAAATAATTCATTATAGTTTCCAAGTATCCTCTCTACCTTCCCCAAACATATTCTCCCAGTCTTCTGGTGGCTTACTAAGATCTTACCCCAAAGAGTTCTCTTACTATATACATTGTGAACAGACTTAATTCACTTATTTTTCAGGGCCCATCTCTACTAGTTTGTCCTACAAGACACACAAATAGAGAGCTTTTGCCGGGTGCGGTGGCTCACGCCTGTAATCCCAGCACTTTGGGAGGCCGAGGCGGGCGGATCACGAGGTCAGGAGATTGAGACCATCCTGGCTACAGTGAAACCCCATCCCTACTAAAAATACAAAAAATTAGCCGGGCATGGTGGCAGGTGCGTGTAGTCCCAGCTACTCGGGAGGCTGAAGCAGGAGAGCTTGAACCAGGAGGCGGAGCTTGCAGTGAGCTGAGATCGTGCCACTGCACTCCAGCCTGGGCGACAGAGCGAGACTCCGTCTCAAAAAAAAAAAAGCTCTTATCCAGAGCTGCCTTTGAAAAATATTTTTGCTTATGACTGTAATCCTGTGGAAGCTGCAGGTCACCGAGAAGGCCCACAGGGGGCAGCACTAGGAATGACTCTTTCCCTCTAGTCCTCTATGCGCTAGGGGAGAGAGTTCTTGGAGATGTTGATGCTTTTCACCAGGCTTTAGAAGCCCCTGATTGAGGCCGGGCACGGTGGCTCACGCCTGTAATCCCAGCACTTTGGGAGGCCGAGGCAGGCAGATCATGAGGTCAGGAGTTCGAGACCAGCCTGGCCAATTTGGTGAAACCCCGTCTCTACTAAAAATACAAAAATTAGCTGGGCATGGGGGTGTGTGCCTGTAGTCCCAGCTACCCGGGAGGCTGAGGCACAAGAATCACTTGAATCCGGGAGGTGGAGGTTGTAGTGAGCGGAGTTTGCTCCACTGCACTCCAGCCTGGGTGACAGAGAGAGACTGTCGCAAAAAAAAAAAAAAAAAAAAAAAAAGAAGCCCCTGAGATCAAAGATTCATTTGCAGCAGCCTAGTTGCTTGTTCTGTGGTGTTTCACCTGTCTTGAGGACAGCATTCTTGTTTTCTTGATAATAAAAACATAAATACATGAAAATCTGTCTAAGTCACCCAATCTCCCACAAAACAATCTGCCTATACATCATTTCCAAGCACGATTAGCATTTGAGGTGAAGTTCTGTTATACACTCAGGCTGTGGCTCTCTGAAAGTCAGTGCATCACAGAACTTTGTCTCGAAAGCTTTCTAGCAGCTACCCATTTTGGGAGTGGGAGGGAAGAATAGACCTTTTAAATTCTTTCAGTGTGGCCCTAAGCTGATAAGGTCTTTCTCAACAGTCAGCATTTAATGTGTTACAAGGTCAAGCCTAGTCCATTGTCCTGGAAGCCCATTTCTCAGTAGCTGGGAGTTATTTATAAACTTGCCCTTTGCAAAAACTTAAAATGAAATTACATTATCAGTAATGACTTCTGGGGCCTTTAAACTGGCTAGTTTTATGGCATAGCCCTCCCCACTCCTGAGAGGTAAAAGCCCCAGGCTGAAGTGGAACCAGCTGCAGTCAGGAGGTGGCAGGAGAAGTAAAGAAGCTGCTGGCTCCAGCTGTAGCAGAATGGAGAATTGAAGCGGCATTTAAGCGCCTGCCTAAATTCTCAGCTTTATTTAGTATGCTTCCTCCTTTGGAAGTTTGAAATGACCAGCCTTTTCTGTAATGCCTTCTTTCCCTTTTGAGAGCTCCAGTAAGCTCTATGTCAAATCTAGTCTTTATCCTTGTCCTCCTTAGCCTGTCTTTTATTCTTCCCAGGAAGATCCAATGTTTCTATTTTTGGGGTTTCTTTGATAATGTCTTCTAGGAAGCCAGTGAAAAGAACCAAGAGCAGAACCCAGGGATATGTTCTCTCTTTGCCGGTGTGGCTGTTGTAGGCACTCACACCCTGTTGGCCACAAAGGACATTGTCTGACTCTCCCAGTTGGCTGGGGGCCATTAGGGCTTTGCTTTTCTTTGGGTTCTAGGGATGCCAAACTCTATGGCTGCAAGAACCAGTTTCCTATGCCAGGTTAATGCCCAGCTTAAACTAATGGGCAGCTCTCTAAAGTTGCTGTGAATGTGGATAGAGGAACAGAGCCAAAGATTTCCAGGAAAAGGTTGTGGGAAAAAATGATTTCGTCTAAATTTTGTTCCTTTTGGACTTCTTTTCTTCCATTAAGAAAACTCATTCCCATTGTTGTCTCCCTTTTGGAATTGAGGACCCAAGTTGTTATAGAACTGAGCCTGCTTTACAGGAAGATCTTTCTGTGAGGAATTAGGAGTTAGGAGAGCTGCTTCTACTTGTGACCTTTTAAGACTAGACTCTAGAGGACTTCCCTCCACTAGGCAACAAAGTTCTTTAGTTTGAGAGAGGAGTTACTCATGCCTTGTTTATTCCAGAGTGTTATATATACAGGATGGACATCTCTAAGGAGTGTTTATCAGAGGAGGGATAAAGTTGGTAGTAATATCACCCAAAGTGGCCACATCAGAAAATCCACTTATATGTGGAGGTCTAATTATAAGTAGTCCCTTAGATGCATACTGCGTCAAGGTATTTTAACTTTATTCTCAAACTTCCTTTATTCTCTGAATTATTCACCAAATATTGAGAGTTTAGTATGTGTCAGGCATTGTTCTGGACAAATGGGACAAACCAGCGAACAAAACAAAAATTGCAGTCCTCAAGAATTCAAGTAGGGAAAGCTTATGTTCCTCATCACCTTGTTGTCAAAAGACTGGGTTCCTTTTACTTCCATTCTGAACTGCCCTCCTCTGCCCCCGCAAACAGGGTTGATTCTTTGCATGGAACCATAAACCTCCTGAAGCCTCATGAGGCAATTTATGTTTGTAGAGGCTGCAGTTTCTGGGTTCTTGGCAATGATTTTTTCCTCCTCACTCTTGGATATCTGTCAAACACATACTTTTGTGTTTGGCTCCTGTGAGGACTGTGGGTTTCTTAAATAAGGCCAGGAAAGAGGTAGCAAAGCAACAGCCTTGTCTCAGCACAAGGGATATCAATGGTAAGTAATGTTGATTAGAAAGTCAAGGAATGTAGGTCGGGCGCAGTGGCTCACACTTGCACTTTGGGAGGCCTAGGTGGGAGGATTGTTTGAGCCTAGGAGTTCAAGACCAGCCTGAACAATACAGTGACACCTTTTCTCTTAAAAAAAAAAAAAAAAAAAAGAAAGTCAAGGAATGTGAGGCTGCAAATACCTTTCATGCACACATCACTATCTCTCCACACTTTTGGTTTTTTCTATTCAATCAATTAGAGATGGGGTTTCACTCTGTCACCCAGCCTGGAGTGCAGTGGCGCAGTCCTAGCTCAGCGTGGTCTTAAACTCCTGGGCTCAAGAGATCCTATCACCTCAGCCTCCTGAGTAGCTAGGACTATAGATGCACGCCACCACACCTGGCTAATTTTTTTTATTTTTGTAGAGATGGGGGGTCTCCCTGTGTTTCCCAGGCTGGTCTTGAACTGGCCTTAAGCAATCCTCCTGCCTCAGCCTCCTGCGATTTTCCTTCTCCTAGTTAGCTGGCTCCCTTGAAGTTGCAGTGGTAGAGGAGAGCAACAGACCACCACAGGTTTTGCAAGTGATATACTTACAGTTGAAGAAGAACCATTAAGACTGAGGCCGTGATTCCTTATTTGATTCTTGGTAGTGGAAAAAAAATTACCCTCTTGCTCACTCACTCTAGGCCCCAGAGTGTTTCTCAGATAGATCATCTTCTCACTGCTTCTTAACTCCCCCAAAATTCAGGTTGGCTTTTGTCCTTGGAAGTTAAGTGGTAGTGGTTAAGGTATAGTGGAAGAATTGGAGAACATAGGAGAGTTTTTGAAGATGGCTGTTTTACTAGGCTGCATTGAGAACTGGTGTGCCTGTGCGTGTGTGTGTGTGTGTGTGTGTGTGTGTGTGTGTGTGTGTAAACGCTCTTTTCCCTCTGCTTAGTGTGTGGGTGGTTTAGGGAAGGCTTGCTTTATGCTTCTGCATTGCTACTGCATTCGGACTGCAGAAACTTCCAAGTATACTAGGACATTCAACCCTATTTTCAAATGGCTTTGTTCAGTGCCTTTTAATTAATCTGGTCACATTCTATAGCCACCTGTACATGGGAGAGCAGGAAGGGAGAGGGTAATTTGGAAAATAACTGTACCATAATATTTGGAAATAACAGCATGACCTCTCTTGATTAAGCCCCCTGTGAGTCAGAGAAACTGTTTCTCTGATGGTACTTTGGAATCCTTTGTTTAAATGCTTTCTCTGTCAATTCAGTTTACTTACCCTGGGTCTTTCTCAATGGGAAATATCAAAATCTGACCAAGTTGAGGTAAGGGACTTACAGAGGTACCTCTGTATCCCCTTGCAGCCCCAGTGGGACTAGGGGAAGGTATCTGGTTTACCAGTGGTGATGGGAGGCTTCAGGACTGAAGGTATGTTCGTATCTCTTCAGGAACCTTCCCTGTATACTGTCAAAGCCATCCTGATTCTGGACAATGATGGAGATCGACTTTTTGCCAAGGTGAGATTCCCTTTCGAATTAGTTTAGGAACAGCACAAAGGTTTATTCTGAGATTTGAATCTTGGGACTGATACCTTATTAACTTATGTTCCTCAGTAGTATAATTTTGAGAATACTTCCATCTTTTTTTTTTGAGATGGAGTTTCGCTCTTATCACCCAGGCTGGAGTGCAATGGCGTGACCTTGGCTCACTGCAGCCTCAGCCTCCCAAGTAGCTGGGATTACAGGCACGCGCTACCACCCCCGGCTAATTTTTTGTATCTTTAGTAGAGACAGGGTTTCAGCAGGTTGGCCAGACTGGTCTCAAACTCCTGACCTCATGATTCGCCCGCCTTGGCCTCCCAAAGTGTTGGGATTACAGGTGTGAGCCACCACACCCGGCCTGAATTCTTCCATCTTATCTTGCCTACTCCAGATAAAACCTGTTTTCTTTTGTCCCTTAGTTGTACTGCTGCCCTGCTTGCTGTCCTCAGACTTTGACCTCCTTTGTTGTCAGCATCAGATCAGGGAAAAGCTTTGAAACTTTGGTTCCTAACAAAGCAGTATGTAGATGCTAAGAGGCAGTCCGCCCATGTCCATCATTCCTGTCCCCTTCCCTCATACCATGTCACCCTGCCTGGGTTTTTCCAGAGAATTGTCTTGCAGTTCCAGGTTTCCATTCCTAGGTTTATAGTCACCATCAAGCTTGTTACCTCCTGACTTTCCCAGAGTGATGTTTCCAACTTTAGATCTGTTGGAAGAAAGAAGAAAGGACACCCTCTCTCCCTCCATATTCTCCCCCTCCTGTAGAAATTTCTTCTGTCCCTGGTGTATTAACTCCGGGCGAGCGTAGCATAAATCAATCAGCAGGTAGAGATTAGTTTAGAATTCACCAGCTGTTCCTCCCTGTAATTGGATGTAACTATGCAGGACACCTTTTGAAACAGTTATCCAGTTACTAAATGCCAGACCTGTCATGGGTCTTCAGCTGACTGCGACGGATTAGCCCCTAAAGAGCTAGCGATTTAGCAGCCTGCATCTCCGCCCCCTTTGCCAGGGAGAGCCTGGGAATGGGCTCAGTGGTATGCTGGATGCTTCTTTCAGCTTGCAGAAAAGAAAGCTAAGATAGATCATAGGGCAGGGTTTGCCTTTCTTTGGAGGAGGTTTTTGTAGCCTTTCCCCATTCCTCAGCTTCATACAGTGAGTGAGGGTCTATGGAAGTGTTCTGTGCTTCTAGTGTTTTTTGTGTTCTCTGGCACTGCTTCCTGACATGGGGTAGCTCCTAGGAAACACTTGATGAGAATGGTTTTAGGAGAGGTCTAGATTGCAGACAGCTGCAGAGCCTCACTGTAGGGCTGGTAGGCTTCTGCCTTCAGACAGTCTTGGAAATGTGAGGTGGGGTTGCTTATGGCAGGGTCTTTTATTTATTTTTCTTGGATTACTCACTGCCCATTCTCTGCCTCTACAATCCTTCCTTTTCCATGTCAGTATTTCTCCCTTGCCCCATGCCTTGAAGGAGAGAAATCCAAGATCCCAGGGCAAAACATAGTCACTAATCATTCTGGCTTCCAGCTCTAGTGACCCAACCCTGTCTTCTTTCCCTCTGACCAGTACTATGACGACACCTACCCCAGTGTCAAGGAGCAAAAGGCCTTTGAGAAGAACATTTTCAACAAGACCCATCGGACTGACAGTAGGTCATTTTCCTTTCACTACTACCCGTGCTGGGGGGAACCATGGTGGAAAGGGGGTGGTAACAGGGCTGCAGAGAAAGGATGAAATGACTCTGCCTTTTTCTTTTTTTTTCCTTCTTCCCCTTGTATAATAAACTCTTCAGAATGTAATGGGGAGGTGAGTGTACCTCACGCGGGAATACCATGCTGGAAGGTTGGCTGTTAGCTACCTGTCTAGTCCCTGGATTTATGAGCCTCACTTGACAAATTTAATTGCAGCTCTGCTTATTGTACCGCATCCATTAGGGCAGGTAAATGGAAGTCTGTAAAGGTGACCGCTCTGCATTTTCACCTCCGAAGGATCGACTAGTATCCTGTCTCATATACAAGTAGGGAAATAGGTATAGTGGGCAGGAACAGAGGATGGTGGTTACAGAAGATACATTTAGACTCCCCCAAGTTCATACTTCTCTTCTCCTGCCACCACCCAAAAAGTGCAGATCATCTTCTGGCTTTGGAAGTCATTACAGGCGGCCTCACCTTAGCCCAAAAGAGCTGGATACTAGGAATTCATGGTAACGCCTTCTTTTTTTTTTTTTTTTTTTTTGAGACAGAGTCTCTCTCTGTCACCCAGGCTGGAGTACAGTGGCGAGATCTCGGCTCCCTGCAACCTCCGCCTCCCAGGTTCAAGTGGTTCTCCCATCTCACCCTCCTGAGTAGCAGGGATTACAGGTGCACACCACCACGCCCGGCTAATTTTTGTATTTTTAGTAGAGACGGGGTTTCACTGTGTTGGCCAGGCTGGTCTTGAACTCCTGACCTTAGGTGATCCGCCAGGCTCGGCTTCCCAAGGTGCTGGGATTACAGGCATGAGCCACTGCGCCTGGCTGGTAACTCCTTCTTTCCTACTTCCTTATCTCAAGCCACCCACTATTTTTACTTTTTTTCCCCCACCAGGTGAAATTGCCCTCTTGGAAGGCCTGACAGTGGTATACAAAAGCAGTATAGATCTCTATTTCTATGTGATTGGCAGCTCCTATGAAAATGAGGTGAGAATCCCCACCCCTCTTTGCTATTTCTGATCCTACTTTCTAAACCACAGGCAGTACATAGCCACTGGTTTGGGGCCCTAATAGAGCCGTGTTCCTCTGGCTTCTGACCAAGCTAATGAAGTTGTCAGAGATCCCACCAGCCTCACAAACATGGCCCGGCAAATGAATCGCCTAGAAAGGAAGTTTTCCTAGATTAATCTTTTGCATCCATTAGGAAACATCATATATGTTTTAATACCTTTCCCTGAGTAGTGTTTTTTAAGATGGATTTCTGAGGTATGGTCAAGACTGCAGGGGGATACTTGCTTCTTCTATGAAGGGTCCATACCTGACTGAGTTTGAGCCAATTAGCTAACAACCTGGGTCATGTTGAAACCATACATTCTGAATGGATCACTGGAGAAGACCTTGGGTATAGTCCTAACCTGCTTCCTATATGCAGGAAAAGCTGTTTGCCTCAGATAGCAACTTCTAGGAGAATAGATAAATAAAAATAAGCCCCCAGATAATTTGAGGCAAAAGTGAAAGTTTGAGAAAGTCAACTCTTACTGAGCTCTTATTATTGGTATAAGTGCTTTGTAAAGTATATTGTTATTTAAACCTCATAGCACTTCTATGAGTTGTAGGCATTGGTGCCTTTGTTTTACAAATGAGGAAACCAAACCATGAAGAACTATATGAAATTACTTGTATGTGACCATTGAGAAAAGTACAAAAGTGGCAGTTATCTGATGTGGTTCAACCTAGTAACTTTCTCAGGGTCACACATGTAGAAAATGGCTCAGCTTGGATTCCAACCCATATCTGTCTGACTTAAAGTCCATGCTTTTTAAAAAATTTTGAGACATAGGCCGAACGTGGTGGCTCACACCTGTAATCCCAGCACTTTGGGAGGCCAAGGTGGGCGGATCACTTGAGGTCAGGAGTTCGCGACCAGGCTGGCCAACATGGCGAAATCCCATCTCTACTAAAAATACAGGCCAGGCATGGTGGCTCACACCTGTAATCCCAGCACTTTGGGAGGCCGAGGCAGGCGGATCACGAAGTCAGGAGATTGAGACCATCCTGGCTAACACAGTGAAACCCCATGTCTACTAAAAATGCAAAAAATTAGCTGGGCGTGGTGCGGGCACCTGTAGTCCCAGCTACTCGGGAGGTTGAGGCAGGAGAATGGCATGAACCTGGGAGGCGGAGGTTGCAGTGAGCCGAGATCATACCACTGCATTCCAGCCTGGGCAACAGAGCGAGACTCCGTCTCAAACAAACAAACAACAACAACAACAAAAATTAGCTGGGCGTGGTGGTGGGCGCCTGTAATCCCAGCTACTTGGGAGGCTGAGGCAAGAGAATTGCTTGAACCTGGGAGGTGGAGGTTGCAGTGAGCTGAGATTGCGCCATTGCACTCCAGCCTGGGTGACAGAGCCAGACTCTCAAAAAAAAAAAAAAAATTTGAGACAGGGTCTTGTTCTGTCTCCCAGGCTGGACTGCAGTGGTGCGATCTTGGCTCACTGCAACCTCTGGCTCCCAGGCTCAAGTGATTCTACCACCTTAGCCTCCCAAGTAGCTGGGACTGCAGGTGCCCACCACCATGCCTGGCTAATTTTTTTTTGTATTGTTTGTAGACAGGGTTTTGCCATGTTGCCCAGGCTGGTCTCAACTCCTGAGCTCAAGCAATCGGCCTGCTGCAGCCTCCGAAAGTGCTGGGATAGAGTCAGAGTCTAGACAGGGTCTAGACGTTACAGGTGTGACCCACTGTGCCCAGCCAATTAAAGTCCATGCTTTTTACACTAACTCTGAAGCCTTCCTCTGACCTCAGCTATTGCTTGGTTAGTAATTTCTCTACCTAAGACATCAGGTAACACATATACAGTTGGTGAAGACATTGTAGAGGACTGTGACAGGGAAGTTCTGTTTAAACTTTTGGCTAAAAGATGTTGAATTGTGGAATCATGTAGCAGAATTTATTTCTGTGAGAAATCACAGATCCTTTTCCTGTTGTGCTCTCACTTCCACTTTATGTTTTTGGTCCTTTGTGAAAGCCTGTGTCTTTTGATGTTTAATGAATTAGGAGGTTTTGTTTTTAGGTAGCAGCTTTCAGGGCCTTGAACCTTATCCTTCTGCCTCCTCTGTTTCCCAACAGCTGATGCTTATGGCTGTTCTGAACTGTCTCTTCGACTCATTGAGCCAGATGCTGAGGTGAGCAGGACATTCTTTTTTTTCCCCTCAAGTTATGATGGAAAGAGCAGGGCATTGTTGATTTCTTTTTGGGAGATAAAGTAACCATTCTTCAGGCCCAGGGATTGTAGGGGATTGGCAAAGGCTCCAGGGAGTTGATTTAGTTTTAGAAGTTGGGTTTTGCCGGGCTCAGTGGCTCACGTTCGTAATCCCAGTACTTTGGGAGGCCAAGGCGGGCGGATCATGAGGTCAGGAGATTGAGACCATCCTGGTTAACATGGGGAAACCCTGTCTCCACTAAAAATACAAAAAATTAGCCGGGCATGGTAGCGGGCGCCTGTAGTCCCAGGTGCTTGGGAGGCTGAGGCAGGCGAATGGCATGAACCTGGGAGGCGGAGCTTGCAGTGAGCCGAGATCGCGCCACTGCACTCCAGCCTTGGCGACAGAGTGAGACTCTGTCTCAAAAAAAAAAAAAAAAGTTGGGTTTATTAATTCACAGTAATTCATGCTACTGGGGAGGACTGGATGGAGAGTATGTCCCTCCCATAGAATAATTCTCTTACTAAGTAAGGGGACTGGGAGGGAGCCGAATCTTTACCTCTGTGTTTACTCTTGTAATCCCCTGTGGTCCTGTCAGATCTGAGCATCCTCAAGGTGCTTTCCTGGGCTTCATTCTTGACATTAGAAGTAGGGAAAGGCCAAGCATAAGGAAGTGTCCCAGATGAAATGTCATTCAGTACTTCAGGAATGGAAGCAACACTCCCAATTTTTTTTTCTTTTTTTTTTTTTTTGAGATGGAGTCTCACTCTGTCACCCAGGCTGGAGTGCAGTGGCGTGATCTCGGCTCACTGCAACCTCTGCCTCCCAGGTTCAAGCGATTCTCCTGCCTCAGCCTCCCGAGTAGAGTAGCTGCAATTATAGGCACGTGCCACCACGCCTGGCTAATTTTTGTATTTTTAGTGGAGACAGGGTTTTACCATGTTGGCCAGGCTGGTCTTGAACTCCTGACCTCAAATGATCCACCTACCTTGGCCTCCCAAAGTGCTGGGATTATAGGCATGAGCCACTTAGACCAGTTTTTTTTTGACTTCTAGTCCTTGTTTTTTCCCTTCTGTAGAACAGGAAGCACCCAGGCAGGAGGACTGCATGAGTCGAGTTCAAGACAAGCTTGGGCAACACAGTGAGACCCTGTCTCTGCAAAAAATAAAAAAATTAGCCAGGTGTGGTGGTGCATACCTGTAGTCTCAGCTACTTGGGAGGCTGAGGTAGGAAGATTGCTTGAGCCCAGGAGGTTGAGGCTGCAGTGAGCTGTGATCATGCTACTGCACTCCAGCCTAGGTGACATAGCAAGACCCTGTCTCAAAAAACAAAACAAAACAAAAAACAGGAAGCTTCTGCCATTTACCCTCTCCTCCCTTTCCACCTTCCCACTAGCCCTCTGTTCTCTGTTACCCGTGTAGATGGGTAATAGAAGAGATATAAGTTACTTTTCCTGAAAACATCCAGGGCTCTGAACTTCATTCCCCCAGCAGCTCCCAAGTGAACCCAGTACAGACAGCCATCCAGACCAGAACAGCAGGCACTCTCAGCCCTGCAAAATCAGCAGGGTGAATGGCTCAGATTTCCTCAGGAAGGGGATGATTTATTTCTTATCCAGGTGAATGAATAGTAATTCATTCGGGTAATCTAGTGAAAGACTCAAACTGACAGATGTGACAGGCCACATGCACCAACCAACGGATCTGAGGCTGGTGTATGCAGACCCTGCCCCCTCTTTGGGCTTCTTTTCAGGGCCTGAGCAGAGCTGGTAAGGGATAGGGAGAAGAGGGAACAGAGAATGTCTCAGGAGGTTTGTCAGAGCTTGAGTACAAATAAGGTTTGCATTGAACCCCTCTCACCTCCGGCCACCTCCAGACTGAGTCTTAGCTCTGTTTATATTGTTTTTTTCCACCCACTGATGTCAGTGTTTATGAGCAATGTTATGAGCAGCATCATGGCAGGTAGGAAAGAAATAATAGCGTGGATAATCAACCCCTGAATAGTCAGAAATTGACTGTGTTATTTGAATCTCTTTCCATACATTCCTTATTCAGCAAACGAGTAGAAAGGGGTTTTGAGTGAACTAGCTAAAAAGTTCTTCACCTTATTTACTTCTTTGTGTGGTTGGTGGAGATGTTTATTGGTCTAGTTTAGGTTCCTCAATTGAGACAAGGTCCTAGGATTTCTTTCACATACAAGTTGGTTATTCTCTTCTCTTCTCTTGGGGACTCAGGAAAAATGTAGAAAAGCGAGCACTGCTGGAGAACATGGAGGGGCTGTTCTTGGCTGTGGATGAAATTGTAGATGGAGGGTAAGTTCTCTGACCTGCCTTGATCTTGGGTGAGGTGGCGGGATAACTGCCCCTGTCCTAAGTCAAGCAGGCTCAGTGGCCAGAGGTCCTGTTCCCCGACAGTGAGTTGGGCCTTCGGGACAGAGTGAACAATGATCTCTTCTTTGTTTTTGCAGGGTGATCCTAGAGAGTGATCCCCAGCAGGTGGTACACCGGGTGGCATTAAGGGTAAGCAAGAATGTGTTTCTTTGCATCCCCGCATCTATTCACAAACACCCTCCAGAGCCAGACCTGCTGGATGTGTCCAGTAGTTGGGGCTCATAGGATACATACAACCTTCTCTTTTTCTTTCAAATACATTCAGCCTTTCTCTTCCCTTCTCTTCTTATTGTCCCAAAGAAAGAAGCAGAAATAACTTATTTCTACCCCTAATATGGTGCCTAACATCTCATACAGTCTTTGCACAAAGTGGACATTTAATACATACTTATTTAATAAATGATAAAATAAACTTTAATATTTATGGTTTTGAAATTATAAAGCAACTTGAAGTTGGCTTATTCCCTTCTTGGAGATGGATCCAGTCATCTGAGGCAGAGGAGTGTCTGTTTTGTCTTTTAAAGTGTTACATAGGACTGAGCGTGGTGGCTCACACCTGTAATCCCAGCACTTTGGGAAGCCGAGGCTGGCGGATCACAAGGTCAGGAGTTCGAGACCAGCCTGACCAACATGGTGAAACCCTGTCTCTACTAAAGACACAAAAATTAGCTGGGCATGGTGGTGCGTGCCTGTGATCCCAGCTACTCAGGAGGCTAAGGCAGGAGAATTGCTTGAGCCCGGGAGGTGGAGGTTGCAGTGAGCCGAGATTGCACCACTGCACTCCAGCCTGGGCGACAGAGTGAGACTCTGTCTCAAAAAAAATAAATAAATAAAATAATAATAATAAAGTGTTACATAACTGAGGATGGTACCTCTCCATTAGGAAGTACTTATTTGCCAGAACCTCAGTCCTCTTTGGTGCTGGTGATATCAGAAAGGGGCCTCTGAGTTAACCATAGAAGGCCCCAGGTCAGCTGAGGAGATAATGGTGGATGCAGAGAGAGCCCACCAACAAATTATACGGGTGCAAAGATGTCTGAGCAAAGCAAATCTCCCCATTCACAGAATGTCCTGGCTCTGACCTCCACAGAGTGAAGGCTGACAGTGCTTGGTAATGGGAAATCTCTCTTAACTGCTGTGGGCTCCATTTGCATAGTTTAATCTTCTCCTCTAACATATGTCTCTGTGTGGCAAGAGAGAGGGTCCCCCCCATCAACTCCCCGCTTTGTCTTCTTAGGCTGCTGTTGCAGCAGTTTATTTCTTCAAATTAACATGCTGTCGTTACCCATCAGGCTTTGCGGGATCCATTAAACCACTCCTGGCTCCCCCTCATCCTTTCCCTAGTGATACTGATATTCAGAAAAGGCCTTTTCTGACTAGGGAATCAGGTCCTCCACCCCCACGTTAAGGGAGTTGAGGATCAGATAACCTGCTGGTTACTCTGAATGGAGTTAAATCTTTTAAGAAGTCCTCCTGCCTTAAAATGGAAGCTGGATGAAATGACCCTTTTTTGTTCATAGTCCCTCTGGCCAAGTAAAATTGTAGCTGTACTAGTCCCTAGAAGGGACTGAGAAGTTCAGTGCATCTGCCCTTTGTTTCAGTTTAAAGGATCACTTTTTTCTTCTCTAATACCAGACTCCAATCAGGTCTTACTCCAGCTTTCTCCCACACTAAATGCTTGTATCTCTGTGCCATAGGGTGAAGATGTCCCCCTTACGGAGCAGACCGTGTCTCAGGTATGACTCTCCCTTCTTCCTTTCCAGATGGACTGGGTCACTAAAGAGGCTAGAACAGCATTCCACCCATACCTCTCAAATCTGAGTGAAACTAGAGACTCAAGACACATCTTCCTTGGCTCCCTCTTATTCCAGAGAACTGGGACTCATACAGCCAGCCACTCCCTACCCCTACTTCCAACTCCTTTCTCAGTTACCTGTGAGCAGTGGCTGTCAGCCTTGCTCTGTACCCTTCAAACCCTCCCTGCCTGCCTGATGCCTCATTCAGTGATTTATTCCCCAGCAGAGGCTTGCCTTAAGCAGATGGTCTGTGTGCATTTGTGCACACACACTCTCTTTCTCTTATTATTCAATTGAGGGCTAAGCTGGAAATGCATATTCTAGAATATGCAGGTTTTGCAGATCCATCTTGCTACCTTGACTGCAGATAGATTGTCTACCTGATGTAGGGGGAAGGGAGGGGTTCCGTTTTCTACCCACTTGGAATTCTCACCAAGAAGTCCATCTGGATTTGTTACCCGCCCCCTGCCCGCCGCCCCTTTTAACATATGTCCAGTAACTCCCTTTTTTTTTTTCTTTTATACCAGGTATACCTCTTCTCTCTTCATCCCCTCAGTGGGTTTGAATTTTTTTGGAATTTTCCAAACAATCTGCTAGGGCCTTAGAGAGCTTCTTCCCATCTCTTTACCCTTGGGGATTTTCTATTCTCCATTCTTCTAAGGACAGGGAAGACAAGTGAGGGGAAGGAGATCCCCAGCCCTCATCCTTACCCTGCCCTGTCAGCAAGCTTTCCTCAATGCTGCTCTTATCTCTGCAGGTGCTGCAGTCAGCCAAAGAACAGATCAAGTGGTCACTCCTTCGGTGAAGACCTCACTGTTCCTGGCTCTTCATCCTCTTCAAAAAATTTGCATGTCTGCTGTGAATTTTCATCTAGTTCCCCAATCGATGCTCTCAGGGTCATCTCGGGGATCACAGGGATCCTTAAATCTCCATTCTGTTTGTGGTTGCCCCCTCAACCTCCCCTACACCCTTCCTATTCTTTTTCATTCTTCTTGCAGTTCTGGGAGTAAAGCTCCCAGCATATTTAGATAATAGGGCAGGGGAAGCACCCTCTTTCTTTCTAGACTGGATTATGCTCACATGCTCCCTTGCCCTGACATTTTTGTAAATTCTGTGCCCTTTGCTGTAGCTACACTTCAGATTAAAGTAGGAGAAAGAATGTGCTGAGTGTTTTCCTCCCTTTGCCTCTACCTGGCCCTCATCCCAACAGCCCAGCAAGGGGAGAGAGAAAGAGAATTCTTTTCTATAGAACGAGTGGGGGCGGGGATGGGTAGGGATTTATCCAATCTAAGCCCTAACCCCACTTAGTGACCTCAGTGTTTTCTTCCATTCCTTCTTACTGCCCTGTCCTCTGCCTTGGAAGAGGCTTTGGGAATAGTTCATAGGGAAGGGACAACATGGAAGAAACAGCGATTTAAATTGTATTGAACAGGGCATATAAAATGCATTCTGTACCCTGATCTGGCATATAGCTTCAAAACTGCAGTGGCGAGTGTCCATCTCTTAGTTAGCTACCTTAACTGTCCACCCTTACTACCTGTGGGATCGTTGCCTGGTTTGTCTTCTCTGTGTCCTGGAGCAAAGCCAGTTCCTAAAACTAAAACTCCATTCTAGTCTTGGGAAGAAAAGTTTCTACTCAGAACTGGGGAAGGAGTGGAACTTATGACTTGGGCCTCTAGGCTGTCTCTGTCCCCTCAGCTCCCCGACATGCATTTACTCTCTGCCGTGGGTCTGCAGTCGCTGCAACCTACCCTCTCTCTGCCTCAGCCTTACACCCAAGCAGTAGGTCTGTGCTCTCCCTGTCTCTAGGTCGCTGAGAGAGGTGCTTTTCTTCATAAAACCTTTGGGGTTTGGATTTCCCCAGGAAGATGGAGAATGGAATACTCACTCTTGGGTCTAATCTTTCCCCTTGACCCAGAACTTCCTCCCCACAAAAATGCCTTTAAAAACCTTCCTGAGACTTAAGCATTCTGCCCCACTTACTAACTGCCAGTTCTCCAGCACTGAGGTGGGGCAGATAACGGGGCATATTTAAGGGGGCATCTTTGTGTAAAAGATGCATGGAGTCAGGAGAAAACCACCTTCATAAACTGCTCTGTGCAAAGAGGAATAAAACATTTTTTCCAAACTGCCTTTGTGTGATGTTTCTGTTTCTCTTCCTCTCTTTTTGGCAGCTACTCCTGTTCCTCCAGCCCCCCGTCATTCCCCATCTTATAATATTTCTTCCCTCCTACCTCAGAGACTCCTAGCAGTGCCCCCCCATCCCTAATTTACGGGGCTGTTTGCCTCCTTGGCATCTCTCCGTCCCCTCGCCTGGAAATTGGCGCCAGGGGTGGGGTGGGGATGGTATTTTCTCAGTGGGAGTCCCAGGGAACTGAGTTCTTCCCCCATCACCCCCAAAGCCAGCTGCCTGCTCCCGCCTCAGCCATTAGTAACCCAGAGACGCGCACCTGCGTGGGGGCTCTTCTCCAGCCCTTGCTCACTTCCTGCACCTCCCACTCCTGCTCTGAAACGGCGCTGAGCGGGTTATTTATCGGAGCCAGCGCTGCTCCAGAAGGTCAGGACGGTGGTGTAAATAACCTCTTCTCGCCATTTCCCCGTCCCTCCAGAGCCTGCTCCCCTCCCCCTCCTCCACCTTTATTCGCACAAATGAATGTGGCTGGGCTGGCGCAGCGCCTGGCCCTGCATCTTAATGGGGCGGTGAGCTCACAAGATGGATTTAGCTGGGGGTTTTATGGTTGCCGCGGCGACAGAATGCTTTGGTTTTCTTTCCCCCTTCCTCTGCAGGATTTTTAAGGAGGGGGGAGTGTGGGGAGCCTCTTCTCCACTGCAGTTTGAAGGGTCTCCTCAGTCACCTCTGCCGCTCATAAAATGGACCTGCAATTCCAGGATTAAGCAAGGGAGACCAAATTAGTATCTCAGATGGGAAAGGATGGGGGAAGGAAGGTAGCAGGAATGGGGAGAGTCTCTCCAGCATCAGAACATGAAACCCAGAGTTTTCCAGTCTTGCCTGCTCTTCTGTGAAAACCTGACAATTAAGCTCAACAACTATGGGGCACCTGTGCATGGGATACTCCTCAGCAGGTAGAAAAGAAAAATACCTGGGTGTACCACGTCTGCCAACAGTCCTGCATTGAAAGTTGGAGTGCAAGAGTTTGGATAAAGACTAGGTACTTCTTTTGTCTTTGCCTGTCTGAGCTGGGGAAAAGCAATACTCAGCCTTAACATCCTAATCTTCCTACTCACCACACAGCATTGACCTGGGGGAGGGGCAGTGTCAGTGCCAGAGCTGGGTGGTGGTGATCTGTGATGGTGTGGAGTTCTATCCAGTTCTCAAACTTGGAATTCTCTGAGCTTCAGTTTCCCCAGCCTGGTCTGGGTTAAACTCCTGCCTTCTGTTTTCCAGCATGAATGGAACTTTGGTGCCCTGGCCTACCCAGTCTTTTGGCCAGCAATTTTTTTTCAGGGCTATGAGTAAACACATCCCCAAGCACTGACTGAAGCAGAGCCTGGGAGCAGGGTCTGATTATTTCTTTTCCTTGGTTTCTTTCTGTCTGTAAGCCTCTGTCTTTCTGTTTGTGAGCCTTTCCCTCTTTCCCAGGGAATGCTGGGAGGCCCCTCCTCCCCTCTCCCCCTTCCTCCCCTTTGGCTGGGAAAGTGGCTACAGCCTGAACAGTGCCAGACACCTGCCTGCCAGATGTGGCGATTCCCCATTCTTCCCCCCACCCCCCTATGTCTATTCTTTCCCTACCCCACTGAGCTCAGGCAGAGGGAGCCCCCCAACAGGGTGATTTACTGCTGCTGCCTCTGTTCCTCAAGTGCCCTCCTCCACTCCTCTCCCTCTCCCTCCCCCTGATGCCCATGCCCCCTCTTTTCCCACAATGTTCTGCAGCTACCTTCTTGGTACAGCCTCCTCCCACTCCTACTCCAGAGTGCTAGGCTATGTAAACTCCAGCTCCTGGACTAGAGAGTGAATGCATGGGGCAAAGGTGATTAGCCTTCTGTTTCACCCATGGGAGAGTACATCAGCAACAGGGCTGAGGACAGGGGCAGCCAGAGCTGATGTCATTCTCACTGGGGGAGGAAGAGAGGTGACAGAGTGGAGGAGGTGAATGGGGAAGGAACCAACACTCCAAGACTGTCTGGAGAGGAGAAAAAGGTCTCTGAGAACTTCCTAGGTAGGTGACAGAGAGTCCAGAATTGTGGATGCCTGGTGGACATCACATCTTTCTGGCTGAGCCTCCAGACCTTGTCTTTGAACCTGTATCTCAATATGACTTAAGAGATGCCCCTCAGCTCCTCCCCTTCACACTGACCCAAAACACACAGAGAGAACTTTAAGTCCGCACCCTTCTCTCTTTAGTGTTTGTCATTCTGTGTCTTTTCTTTTCTCTTTTCTTTTTTTTTTTTTTTTGAGACAGGGTCTCACTCTGTCACCCAGGCTGGAGTGCAGTGGCATGATCGTAGGTCACTGCAGTCTCGACCTCCCTGGGCTCAGGTGATCCCGCCACCTCAGCCTCTTGAGTAGCTGGGACTACAGGTGTGTGCCACCATGCCTGACTAACTTTTTGTATTTTTTATAGAGACGATGTTTTGCCATATTGCCCAGGCTGGTCTTGAACTCCTGGGCTCAAGTGATCCACCTGCCTTGGCCTCCCAAAGTGGTGGGATTACAGGCATGAGCCACTGCACCCGGCCTGGTGTCCTTTTTTGTTTGTTTGTTTGTTTGTTTGAGATGGAGTCTTGCTCTGTTGCCCAGGCTGGAGTGCAGTGGTGCAATCTTGTCTCACTGCAACCTCCGCCTCCCGGGTTCAAGCGATTCTCTTGCCTCAGCCTCCCGAGTAGCTGGGATCACAGGCATGTGCCACTATGCCTAGCTTTTTTTTTTTTTTTTTTTGTATTTTTTAGTAGAGACAGGATTTCACCACGTTGGCCAGGCTGGTCTCCAACTTCTGACCTCTGGTGATCCGCCCGCCTCGGCCTCCCAGAGTGCTGGGATTATAGGTGTGAGCCACCATGCCCGGCCTATGCCTTTTCTTTTTCAATCTCTTCCCTCTCATTTCACCCTACCTCCCTTAGTTGTGCTTCTCTTTCTGGTCACCTTCTGCCCACCCTGCCCTTCCGTGCCATATCATAACCCAGTATGATTCCCAGACCTCCCACTAAAGCAGGGACTCATTCAGAGCCTCTTTTCTCCTTTCCATCTATTCTTGGAATCTTAACTCCCAAAGGTATCCTCTGGGTCAGAACAGGGTTCTGAGGTGGGACTGAGGTAGGAGGGATGGCTGGGCTGAAGAGTGGCAGAAACAGGACAGATGGAGCAGCGTCCAAAGAATTTGGGGAGGGGCGAGAGGGAGACAAGAAGATGGAAAGAAACAAAATGAGAGAGAAAAAGTGATTGAGAGACCGAGGCAGAGGCTGAGAGACGGTGAGAATAACAAACTGGGAGAATGAGAGACACAAAGAAGGAAGGCAAGACTGGGAGCAGAGAAAAAGAATAGAGTTGGAAACAGGAAAGTCATAGCAAGAGAAGGCCACTAGGGAGGGGCCAGGCAAAGGGCAGCCTGGCTCTCCGGGGCTCCCTCATGCCATAAGTCCTGTGTGTGTGAGTGTGTGTGTGTGTGTGTGTGTGTGTGCGCATGGCACATTTGCACAGGGGTCTGCGGTATGGATAGGATGATTTCCACAATATTTTTCCACTTCTTTCAGCAGTCTCTTTCCTTGAGGCACCCCATACTAGCCCCCCATCTCCCAGTATTCCAGATGCTCAAGGGACCATTCCAAAGGTATTTCCACAACTCGGCAATCCTGGCTTTCTCACTTGGAATGCAGGCCTGCTGGAATGTCCAGGATCTGTAGAATGAAGAGCCCCATCCCCTCACTGCCCACCCCCCATGCCTGCCCACCAGCTGCTCCTGTCTATCTTCTCCCCATTCTCCTTGTATCTCCCCTTCCTCCACACTGACCCCTCCCCCAGCTCTGACCCCCAGCCTGCCTGGGGCCTGGGTCAGAGGGGAGACAAAGACAGGATTTATCACCAGTATTGAGAAGTAGCCAGAGACCAGGGCTGAGGGCAATGGCTGACCTCCTTCAGATAGGAGGGAGCACTAGGCCGGATGCCGGGAGGCTGGAAGGCTGGGTTCCAGTGGCTGCTGCTCACAACCCCATTTTCCCACTCCAGCTTTCCTCTCTCCCTTGTCTCTGAAGACTTGGAAAACAGAGAAGAGTATGACCCTGAGGTGATTTTAGGCCTCTGAAGGAAAACCTGGGAGAAAGGAAGAGATGAGATTGATATCTTAGGGTTATTCTTTTATGGATATGGAAGAGGATTTGGAAACTAGAGGCAATCAGGCACCAACTGTTTCCAGGGCTGGGAAAGAGTTCAGGCCTAATACTGCAACAGATGAGAGGGACTGTCCTCTAATATAGAGAGGGACTTCTCAAGAACAGGCCCTGGTTGCCAGTAGGAAAGGAAATAGGGGTGATTATGGGTCCTGAAAGGTGGGAGAAACAGTCTCACCTGAAGAAAGAAGAAAGAAATGAAATTTACCAAGGGCTAATTCTAGCTCTAGCCCCTCTGAAAAAGTCTTCTTCCCTAAGATCCCCAACTCCCTCCTGAGAGGTACAAGGAGCAGCTGGTCCTTTACAGTAAATACACTATTGGCCCGAAATTGTCTCTACTCAGCAGACAGGGTGTGTGCTTGAGGAGAGGGAACAGTATGATCCAGGAGTTTCCGAGAAACCAGACTGTATATCTTTCAGTGGACAGCTCCCGCAGCTTCTCTAGCTGCCCTTGGAAGCCCACCACCAGCCCCTCTAGAATCTCAGTGTGTCAGAAGCCTCCACAAACCCAGCTCAGAATCTTTCATGCCCCTTCCAGCCCCTGGCACCCAACTTCCTGCTTCTTGCCTTTACCCTATTGTCCTGGAAGACGGCTGCTAGAGTTACCTCCGAGTGAGAAGACAGTGGAAGGATGAGAAACTGAGGGATCTGGGAGTTACCAATCTACCAGTTTCTCACCACAATCCCACCAAGCATTCCCACCCGGGTCTGGTGAGGGAAAACTTGTGGTCTCTCTTAAACTCCTCTGCAAGCTGAAACCATTCTGTCAATTTCTGATGCAAAGCCCAAAATTGGAAATTTTAGTGGGAAGGGGTTGTGGATTGCAAGAGAATGGGAGAGGACAAAAGAATTGGGTGGAGGGGGGTGGTGTGGGCACACCAAGTAAGGAAGAAACAGGAAAGGGGAGAAGAGAGCATGTCTTTTTTCCTCAGTCCCCCTTCCCCCAGTTGAAGAGGCAGATTTACAGCCTTGGTTTGGAGAGGGGGTGAGCATAAGGAAGACAGATCTGCAGTTCTGCCCTCTGAGTGTCTGGGTACTTAGCTTTAACTCCCCCATTAGCATCAATCCCCATCTTGCTGCCCATCCGTCTTCTGACATCAGCTCCTTCCCCTCTCTGTAGCCCAAGCTTTCTGACCCTAAGTGGCTCTTAAAGGGCCAGTCTAGACCCTTCCCTCCCTCCTGCCACTCCAGGCAGCAGTCTAGTGTATGTACGCATGTGCATTGTGGCCAGCCTTGCTAAGGCCATAGCGGTTGGAGGGCATGGGGGATGGGGGCGATGTGTGACTCTTCCCCAGCTCTGTTTTCCTTAGGTCTCCCTTATATTATGGACCTCCATCTTTGTTCACTACCCACCCAAACCCAGAACAAGCCCTTTCACTGGGTTGGGGGGTCACAGACACATGGCTTCTAGAGCTGAGGGCTGCAGAAGGTATGTGGATCCATAGGCAGATCCACCACCCCTTCTCAATTTCCTGGAGGCCCAGAGCAAGGGATGTCAAGAAGTATTGGCTGTTTTTAATTCTCAGCAGCAGTGAGGGTGGGCAGGTTGGAGGCCAAGACTCCTAGGAGATGCCCTGAGCCCCACATTCCTAGCCTCCTTTCCCAGGGATCCAGGCTGTGGTCTGTGGAGGTGGGGGATTTCAAATCTTCCTTTCCTGTGAGGATGGTGACAGGCCAGAGAAATCTGCCTCTGAATTTTCTGGCTTATCTCCCCTATTCCTCAGCAACTGAGCTTAAGGGGACAGGGGGGAAATGGGCTTCTCCCCACCTTCTGCAAAAATGTTGTAACTGCACACTAGGGGCTATACGAATGCCAGGATGCTTGGAAAGTTCCTCCCCTATCTGCCTTCAATCCTTTCTGCTGCAAAGCTCTGCAGTCCTCTGAGGGGCTCTACAGGATAGTCAACCCCTCTTCCTGATACCTGAAACCCATTCCTCACCTCCGTCTGTGCTTCCTTCTCTGGCTCAGGAGGAGAGGGAATGTGTGGGTGGGGCCTTGGGAAAATGGCCATGTTAAAAATAGGAGCCCCCAGCTGCACCCCCCAGTGGACCCTTATTTATCACCTTCTAAATCTCACTCTCAAAGAAGCATAAATATTCCTAATTCCTGAAGGCCACCCTGGACTCATAAATTTAACTGGGGAGGTGGGCAAGGGGAGGAGTGAGGTGCATGGGATGGGGAGCTTACTGCAGCCTTGAGGAAGCAGAATATCTCCTGGGGGAGGCGCCTGACTCGTCTGTCCCCTTGCAGACGCCAATGGGTCTTCATAGGGGAGGAGGAGGAGCCTTTCTGTCAATATTTCCGTTGGGGAGTAGTCTTCTCTCACGGCACCTTTCCTCCCTCCCCTAAAAACAAACAAAAAACCAAAAACCTACCTTCCTCCTGGTCTTTCCCATTAGTTCTCTGTCGCTCTCCCTCTCTCTTTTCTTTGCTATTACCTTCCAGTTGTCCTTTCCTGCTTCTCCCTCTCTCTCACCTCCCTATTGCGCCTTTCTCTGTCTTTGCTTCTCTAATGCTTTTCCTTTTCAGAGCCATTGTGTGAAAAGGAAATTTCCGTCTCTTATTCAGTCTGGATAGTGAGATTTGAAAAGTCCCTCTCTCGATGCCCGATTTCCCTGCTTCAGCCCGTGTGGCCCCTCAAATGTGTCCTTTCTCTTCATCTCTCCTTCTTTCTTCTCGGATCTTGGACAAATTACCCAACCCCCCATTTAGCTCCTTAACCCTCTCTCTCTTCCCCTGCCTTCCTTCTCTCCTCAACCTTCCTTTCTTTCTGTCATCCTTTTGCCCTCTCAGTTTCCCCTTCGTTCCTCAGCTCGGAATCCTCTCTCCCTGTTCAGTCTCCTCTGCTCTCCCTGTCGGCCCCCATCCACACCCCTCAAACTCGACTCCTCGGCCCATGTGTACCCTCAGACCCCATCATCCCTTCAGTTCCCGTTACCACCACACCCCAGTTTCCCCTCCCAGTGGACGAAAGAGAAGGGAGGAGGGGGCCTGAGGAACAGGTAGAGGGAGCGCCATTCCTTGAGGGGAGGGAAAGAGGGGAAAAAAGCGGGGGAGAGGAGGAGGGACGCGGCGGGAAGGGGAGGGGAGGGGCATCCTCACTCCTCACTCCCTAGCAGCTGCACCCCCCTCCCCGCGGCTGCTGAGCCATAAATCAGGGCCAAGGTGGTTTGGCCAATGGTAGAGTGACTCGTAAATCGGCCTGTCAAGCTCAGCCAATGAGAGGCGGCGTTAAATCAAGTTCTGTCAGCGCTTGGCCAATGAAAGGCCCTGGGCTGACCATAAATCTGCCTGTAAGAGACAGCGAAAGAGAGAGAGCGTGCGAACGAGCAAGAACAGCCCGGGCGGGCGACTGGGGAGGGGGCGGGGGGAGCGCGGCAGCGGGGATTGGAGAGACGAGCTTAGGAGAAAAAAAAAGGCGATAACAGAGGTACAGGAGATGAAGACAGCCTACAGGAGAGACGGACAGATGGAAAGAGACAAAGAGAGGCAGTGAGAGATAGCGTCAGAAAGTCAGGGATAGAGCTCGGACTCGGGCGAGAGACTGACAGAGATAAAGAGACAAAGAGAGACAGACAGTGACTCACACTCGTGAGCATAAAGGGCCTCCAAACACACACACATCCCGAGACACGCATGAGCAACGCACCACGAGGGACCCAGTGCATGGCCTCACTCGCCAAGCACAACCGCAAGAGAGAGAAGGCCTCAAGAAAGCCTGGCTTTTCTTCAGTTTCATTCCCCTCATTCAGCCCTTATTGAAATTAGGGGCTGGGGTGGATGTGTGGGCCGTGGCGGGTGGCTGCTTTTTTGCTAAGATCTGTCCTCTATGGTCTTAGACCCCAGGATTTCCTTCTGTGTCTCCTGAGTTTTTTTTTTTTCCCCCCAGCGACTGATAATTGGGAAGTCCTTTCTGAGGTCTAACCTCAATCCCTATTGCTTCACCTTTCTACTTGACACCGTTGTGATTTGCCTTCTAAGGACATGTAAAGTGAATCCTTTTACAACTCTTCAGAGTTGTCAACTTTCAGAATCTTAGAAGGTCTGAATAGGAAGGACAGTTAGGGATCATCTGGACACTTGATCCTAGTTTTAGAAAGGCGGATTTGAGACTCTGCCCTCAAATCACGGTCTTACAACGTACTAGGCATTCGGCCTTGGACAAATTACTTAACCTATTTGTGCTTCAGTTTTCACATTTGTAAGAAAGAAATTATAATAGATACTTCATGGTAATTTTGTGAGGATTACATGAAATAATATATGTACAGGGAACTGCACTGGGCACGTGTTAAGAGTGTACCCCGCACCCCGCTTTGTACAGATGATAAAATCTGAGCCCCAGAGTGGTCCAGAGATCTGCTCAAGTTCCGAGAGCTAACTATGAGAGAGCCTTGACTGAAACCTTTGTCTCTACACCCATAAACTGTTGTTCTTCATTGGTCCAACAGTTTACCTGGACCCCTGCCTTAGTAGCCCCAGCTTGATTTGGTTTAGGCTCCTGTGACTTTCGTGGAAGGAGGACAACCAAAAGTGCATGTTCCATATTAGGAGTCAGGATTCCTGGACCCTAGAAGTGTGTTGCATGTGAGGGTATCAATCTGTCCACCCCAACTGTGGTTCTTTCTGCCCTTAATATCTTCAGATTTTACTTTGTTCTCTCAAACCATGGACTTGGGGGAGGGAGGGGACAACATGCAGCCAGAGCATTAAGGTCAGCATGACTCACATTCCATCCCCAGTGCCACCCCAGTGCCCACACCGCTACTTCCCCCAGCCCCACCTCAAGTAGACAGGAATATCTCATGAATAATAAATGTCTCATTCTTCACTTTTCTTCCTAAGCTTTGGGGGAAAGGGAGGGTGAAGATCCCTGGGTCTCTACTCCCTGGTCAGGGGTCTCTGGATTCCCAGTCCTGCCTTGTGTCCTCAACTGGGAAGCCAGAAAGGAAACGCAGAGAACCAGCGTCACCTGGTGGCCACAGGTGCTTTAAGGATGTGTGTAAGCACGCACATTGTGACAGGATTTGGTCATTCTGGAGGGAAGGAATGGTATGGTTTCCTAGCCTGGCCCCTGAGCCCTTTTAACTAGAGTCTTTGTTTTCCTGCTTTCTTTTTCTTTTCTTTTTTTTTTGTTTGAGACAGAGTCTCGCTCAGCCACCCAGGCCGGAGTGCAGTGGCGCGATCTCGGTTCACTGCAACCACTGTCTCCTGGGTTCAAGCGATTCTCCCGTCTCAGCCTCCCGAGTAGCTGGGATTACAGGCACCCGCCATCATGCCCGGTTAATTTTTGTATTTTATTTTATTTATTTATTATTATTATTTTGAGACAGAGTTTCACTCTTGTTGCCCAGGCTGGAGTGCAATGGCGTGATCTCGGCTCACTGTACCCTCCACCTCCCGGGTTCAAGCGATTCTCCTGCCTCAGCCTTCTGAGTAGCTGGGATCACAGGCATGCGCCACCATGCCGGGCTAATTTTTCTATTTTTAGTAGAGATGGGGTTTCTCTGTGTTGGTCAGGCTGGTCTCGAACTCCTGACCTCAGGTGATCCACCTGCCTCTGCCTCCCACAGTGCTGGGATTACAGGCATGAGCCACCGTGCCTGGCCCATAATTTTTGTATTTTAGTAGAGACGGGGTTTCACCACGTTGGCCAGGCTGGTCTTGAACTCCTGACCTTAGGTGATCTGCCCACCTCCGCCTCCCAAAGTGCTAGGATTACAAGTGTGAGACACCCCACCAGGCCTGTTCTCTTGCTTTCATAAGTCCAGATGACAAATGCAAGGCAACTGAGGGCCTGGGACTCAGGTGAATTAGCCCCATGGGCAGGACCCTGCCAGGGCAGCTGGAACCTTTTTCTGCCTTTGCCTTAACTAAGCTCAGTTCCATTTCTACAGACCAAGGAGTCCTCCTCCATGACCATTCCCTTCGCACAGAGTGAGGGCTGGGGGACTGGTCCCACTGGAGTAGATATCAAAGCTGGATTATAAAACTTTTTTGAGCTGAATAAACTTGTTTGTAGGGATGGCGGATCCTGGCAGCAGTGGTTAGGGGCAGAGGCCATTTCTGGGAAATTAAACAAAAAGGCAGGCTAATCCTCTTAAATCACCTCACATGTTTTATTACCTAGAAACCCCTCTTCTAAAGGCTATGTCCCAGGCCAGCTGCTTCCTGCTCCTGCTTTGACCTAGGTACCCCTGAATCCTTAGGTATTAGGTTCCAGCTCCTGGTGGCCACAGGTGCTTTAGGGATATGTGTGAGCATGCACATGGTGACAGGATTTCGTCATGCAGGAGGGATGGAATAGTATGGTCTCCTCCTAGCCTGGCCCCTGAGCCTAACCGTGACCTGTTTCCTTCTTCCCCAGAGACCACACCTGAGCATTAAAAGCACAGAATTCATTTATTAATAATTAATAATACTCCTTGGGCAGTCTAGGGCTGAAACATTGATCAAGTGATGGAGAGACTTGATTTGGGAGGCTGGGGAGAGATTGTTGTGAAAATGCCCACATGTGTTATTTCACCTATTCTCCTATTACCTGGCCACTTTGGTCCTGGAGGAGACAGTCCTGAATTCTGGTGACTAGGGTCACAGTTCTAATGGAGCCTATGGAAACTCCGGGGCCCTCTTTTTAAAATGGAGCCATATGCTTGGCGGAATTGGCGGTTCATGGCTGCATAGAGCACAGGGTTGATGCAACCATTGAGCCAGGTGAGGTTGGCAGCAAGCATGTGGACCACCCGGGGAGCCTGGACTCTGGCATCCAGAATGTTGAGCAGCAAGAAGGGGATGTAGCTCAGGGCAAAGCAGAGGAACACAGCAAAACACATTCGAGTCACCTTCCCAAATTCCGATGAAGAATCCGGAGCTCTTCTGGCTCCTTTAATTGGCTGGGCTTTGGCAGATGCTTCTGGAGGGCTTTTCTCTGCCATCTGCTTAGCTCTCTTGCTGTTGATCTGGTCTCCCACTTCTGATGAGTCCCCTTCCAGGGTCTGGGTGGTGGCAGCACTGACTGGCTCAGATGAAATCCCCTCACTGGGTCCTCCTGATGCTAACCTGCTGTCCAGCTCCTGGAAACGACCAGGCATGGCCTCATCAGTCCTGGCCACATGGTTGGAGTGGATGCTTGCCTGTCGCAACTTGTATTGGTCCAGTGCCTGTGCTGCTCGTTTGACCTGGCGGTGGATGAGGCAATAGAAGATGCCAACACTGCTGAGCCCAAGCACAAAGTAGATGCCCATGAGGATGGTGGTGTAAGGCCGGCCTCGGATGCGGTCAAAGCTGCAGGTGCAGACTACAGGTACCAGGATATAAATAGGCCAGAGGGGAGCAAAGCTGGCCACGCCCACAACCCAGGTGCTCACCAGTGCCAGCACTATCCCCTTGGCACTGAAAACTTGGGGAAAAAGCTTAGGGTGGGCAATGAGGAGGTAGCGTCCCAGTGCGATGAGGCAGAGGGTCAGGATGGAGACAGAATTGGAGGCAAAAAGGAGGAGCCCAAATACCCTGCAGAAGGTGGCACCGGTGCGCCAGTGCAGGTGGAGGTAGGTGTCCACAGAGAAGGGCTGAAGGAGCGTGCAGTAGAGGAGATCAGCCAGTGTGAGGTTGGCTATGAGCAGGTTGAATCGGGTACGGAGCTTGGGCTGGATGGCCAAGGCCAGTAGGGTGAGCACATTGCCCACGGTGCCTGTCACAGCCACCACCACCCCCCAGCTAACTGCAACATAACGATAGCCCAGCACAGACTCATGGTAGCAGGAGAAGTTGGCGTCAGAGCTGTTCCACATGATAGAGGCTAAAGAGGCAGAGGGTGGAAGAGGAAGAGGGAATCAGAACCTAGCATTCAACTTAGATCTCTTGAACAGTTCTGGGACCCTGGACATCTAAACTGTTCCTGGACCTCACCTTAATTCAGTATCCTCCTGAACCATTCCCAGGCCTCTTCATCTCAAGATCCCTAACTCTCTCCTTAGGTTCTCTTAGTCCTTTCCCATTCTCAAATATTTCCCCAAGTTTTTATCTAAATATCTCTTGCCTAAATATCTTAGTCTTATTCTGCTCCAAACCTCAGTCCTCTTCTATATCCATCCCGCTGCTCTCAGTAAACCCAGTGCCCTCCAACTTTTTTAATTCCTTCCCCATCCCCAAAGACCCCCAGGAGTCCCCTCTCTCTATTCAGCATCGTGTATTCAGGATCCTCTCTGTATTCAGTTCCCTCTGCTCCTTTCCACTACACACACATATAGGCTTTAGTCATTTCTGTTTGTTACCACCTGGGAGATGAGGAGACCAAGAAGGTAAAAGTATACCCACAACAAAAGTGCTTACCTGAGTTTCTCAGCCTTCAATTCTTTCTATAATGGAAGAAGTTCAACTCACCCAAAGAGCAGTCCTTTCTGGTGGACAGTTAGGCTTCAAGCAGGAGACATCCTGCTCTTATGTATCCTATTATAGTCCACTGAAAGAATAAGAAACTCCCCCATTACCCAATCCCAGCCACTTCCTTCACCACCTCCGGTCCTACTCATTTTGCTTCGGCTAGTGAAATCTAGGCTTCTCTGTTGAAAGTCCCCCGCTACTTACCTCAGAGTGGTTTCACTCTTCCTTTCTCCTTCCTGAAACCCAAACTCTGTTTTCTTCCCCTCTTTGCATGGCAGAACTCATCTGTAAGATCATTGCCAAGAATTGCTAGGGCACGGAGTCAGAGCATCAGAACATTTGGGCCACTCCTCAAAGGGCCAAAAGATAAGACCAAGTTCCAGGAGCAACTTTAGGTACCCCCAGAAGCCTTGGGTTTGTTTCAGAGGAGCACTACCTTTCTTGTCTCCACGGCTTAGACATGGTTCAAGTCAGAGGGACCCATGTGACACCCTAGCACATTTGAGAAACCAAGTCAGATGAAGAAAAGTGGGGAATGAGGCATCCAGAATTCTGGTTTCATTCTCCTCAAGGGATCAGGGTCCTGTTCAATCATTCATTTATCCATTTACCCAACAACTTAGTACTGAGTGCCTACTATACACCAGACTCTGATCTAGACACTGGGGATACAAGAACGTCTGATATATGGCCTTGTGCATAGTCTACTAGGGGAGACAGATACATAAATATGCAAATGCTTAATCGATTCTCCAGAGCAAGGGTGAGTAAACTTCACCCTATGGGCCAAATCTAGTCTGCTGTTTTTGTATAGCCTGTGACCCAATCATGTTTTTTTTCCATTTAAAAATGGTTATATTTTAGGCCAGGTGCAGTGGCTCACGCCCATTATCCCAACATTTTGGGAGGCCAAGGAGGGCAGATCACTTGAGGTCAGGAGTTCGAGACCAGCCTGGCCAACATGGTAAAACCCCGTCTCTACTAAAAATACAAAAATTAGCCAGGCGTGATGGGTGCGCCTGTAATCCCAGCTACTAGGGAGGCTGAGGCAAGAGAATCGCTTGAACCCGGGAGGCGGAGGTTGCTTGCAGTTAGCCAAGATCACATTGCACCACTGCACTCCAGCCTGGATGACAGAGCAAGACTCCGTCTCAAAAAATAAAATAATAAATAAATAAGTAAGTAAAATAAAAATGGTTATATTTTAAATTGTTATATAAGTGCCTATGTAATATCCTCAGTTTTATCTCTTGATTAACACAGTTTAAAATATTTATAATCAGGCCCTTTGAGAAAAAGTTTGCTGAGGCTTGCTTTAAAATACTATATAGGCCTGGCTTGGAGGCTCATGCCTGTAATCCCAATGCTTTGGGAGGCTGAGCTGGGAGGATGACTTCAGGTCAGGAGTTTAAGACCAGCCTGGGCAACATAGTGAGACCCTGTCTTTACAATAAAAAAAAAAATAGCCAGCTGTGGTGATGTGCACCTGTAGTCCCAGCTACTGGGGAGGCTGAGGTGGGAGGATCATTTGAGTCTGGGAGGTCAAGACTACAGTGAGAAAGATTGTGCCACTATACTCCAGCCTGGGTGACACAGCAGGACGTTGTCTCTGAAAAATTAGAAAAACAAACTAACAGGCTGGGCGCAGTGGCTCATGCCTCTAATGCCAGCACTTTGGGAGGCCGAGGCAGGTGGATCATGAGGTCAGGTGTTCGAGACTAGCCTGGCCAACATAGTGAAACCCCGTCTCTACTAAAAATACAAAAAATTAGCTGGGCGTGGTGGCAGGCGCCTGTAATCCCAGGTACTTGGGAGGCTGAGGCAGGAGAATCGCTTGAACCTAGGAGGTAGAGGTTGCAATGAGTCGAGATGGTGCCACTGCACCTCAGCCCGGGCGACAGTGTGAGACTCCGTCTCAAAAACAAACAAACAAAAAACAAACAAAAAATACATCGCTGGGTGCAGTGGCTCACACCTGTAATCCCAGCACTTTGGCAGGCCAAGGCGGGCAGATCACTTGAGGTCAGGAGTTCAAGACCAGCCTGGCCAATATGATGAAACCCCGTCTCTACTAAAAATACAAAAAATTAGCTGGGTGTGGTGGCAGGCACCTGTAATGCCAGCTACTTGGGAGACTGAGGCAGGAGAATCTCTTGAACCTAGGAGGTGGAGGTTGCAGTGAGCCGAGATCGCGCCACTGCACTTCAGCCCAGGTGACAGTGCGAGACTCCGTCTCAAAAACAAACAAAAAACAAACAAAAAATACATGGCTGGGTGCAGTGGCTCACACCTGTAATCCCAGCACTTTGGGAGACCAAGGCGGGCAGATCACTTGAGGTCAAGAGTTCGAGACCAGCCTGGCCAATATGATGAAACCCCGTCTCTACTAAAAATACAAAAATTAGCCAGGCGTGGTGGTGCGCACCTGTAATCCTGGCTACTTGGGAGGCTGAGACAGGAGAATCGCTTGAACCCAGGAGGCGGAGGTTGCAGTGAGCCGAGGTTGCACCACTGCACCCCAGCCTGGGCAACAGAGCAAAAACTCTTTCTCAAAAAACAAAACAAAACAAAACAAAACAACCCAGAATGATATATCAGAGGCTTAGAGAAAAGGAGCATACTATTAAGTAGGAGGTGAGGAAAGGGTTCACAGAGAGGTTACTGAGCTGCATTCTGAATGATGAACAGGAGAGTTTTTTGGGAGATAAGTAGAGGGACATTCTAGACAAAGAGAACAGTATGTGTAGAGGCGCAGAGGTTCAGGTAGAAGCCAACAAAGGGCATGAGGTAGAGAACAACAGAGAAGAGCTTGGAGAGTTGAGCAGGCAGGGTCAAGGGGGACCTTGTGTATCGTGCTAAGGAGCTGGTTTCATGCTGAAGGAGTTGGTGAGATTTGCACTTAGATTGCTGTGAGTAAAGAATGAAGGCGTGCAGCCTGGGAGTGAGCGAAATGGGTAAAGAGGCACTAGTTCAGACGAGAGATAGAATGGCCCTAAGTTAGGGCCAGACCACCTGTACAACTGCATAGGGCCTTGCAGTTTGAAGGGCCTGGTGCTTGGTTAAATGCTCGTCAATCACTGTTTTTAAATTCTTAATACTATACTTTTTGAATAAGGGGCTCTGCTTTTTCATTTTGCACTGGGTCCCACAAATTATGGAGCCAGTCCTGGTTAGGGCAGTGGTTGTGGGAATGGAGGAATGATAAGGATCCATAGGTTGTTAGGAGGTCAAATAGGACTTATTTAGTGATTCATTGGATGAAGAGTTAGGAAGAAGGAGGAACTAGGATAACTTTCTGTTTTCCAGACAGATGGTGGTGCTCTTAATAAGATAGGAAATGTGGGAGGAGGAGCAGGCTTAGGGAAAGGGGTAAATAATGAATTCAGTTTTAAACTAGCAGACTTGAAGTACTTGTGGGGTCTGCTAGGATCCCAGACTCTCTAACCCCAATTTCTTCCAGTCCCTATCTCCTTCCCCACATGTGACCCAGCCCCTGCTTTTCTCTACCCACTCTTCTATAGGGCCTCTCTTGTCCCGCATCCTTCTGAATCCTCCCACCCCTTTTAAAGCTAGATTTACCTGGAAACAAACATGCAAACAAACACCAAAACACTCCTTATTGGGTTCCAATTCTGAACCCACAGTGAACACCCTCCTTTCAGCCTCACAGTTGACAAACCCAGGAGTCCCCCATTCCCCTCTCTTTCCTGTTTAACAGACATCATCCCAACTTCCCTCCTCCTTTCTTCTGCAAGACTGGGAAGTGGGTAGAGTGGGGGAAGTGAGCAGAGATGAAAGTCGGGAGGAACTCACATAGATTCTGGGTTTTGGTTTGGGCTTTTTTGTTTGAACTTCCTGCCTCTCAGTAGGGATAGAGGGGGTCAGGATTACTGGCTGCTCTTGGGAGTGTATGGTTGAACCACATTTTGGAGATAACGGAGAAACCATTTTCCTCACATACCATGTGAGAGACAGCTGAACAGTGTTTCCCTGTTCCACAGACCATTTAGGGGCCAGTTGAGAAGGTATTCCAGTATATCTGTAAATGGCACAGTCTCAGTTCTTCAGTCTTGGATACATGAGATCTTAATGAACCTTTGAAAGACTCAAGTCTCCTTATTTTGAAGACTGTGACACTGAGGTCCAGAGAGGGCAAGGACTGACTCAAGGTCACTATTTATGTGGGGCCAGAGCCTAGAGCTCAGATCCCCAGTCTCTGCCCCCCGTTTCTTCCTGTGCCTTGAGTCTCGCTGGCGTGGGTTTCCCACCAGACACACAAAAGCCTGGATTCTTTTCTTTGTCTGAGACTGAGTCTAGACCCATCTGCGTGGAATCTCGAAACACATTACAGGAGCGGCTTAGCCTCGGGCTTAGACTCCTTTTCCGGGTCGTTGGCGCCGCCTTGTGGAGTTGTGGCAAATTCTCAACAGCTGCAGCTGCAGTCCCAGACTTGGACTAGAAATGATCCCCCAGGCCAAGTTTACACGAGCTGGACGAGAGTGGGCGTGGGTGGGATGGGGAGCCTCTGCTCACTCTGCACAAGCCTCATATTTTGCCTCCCCCACCCCCGATTTCCGTTTCCCTCCTCCTTCTCGCTCCCTTTCCTCTTTCTGTGCCGGTCCCATACAGATACATTTAACGACAGAATTGCTCCCAAAACAGCGGGCAAAGACAGAGTCTGAGTCTAGGGGCGGAGGGCAGAACAAATTCAGACTTTATTGTCAGGGAGAGGAAAAAGGGGAGGACCGTGGGTGGGGGGCCTGGGTTGCTACATTGTCAAGCAGAAAGAGTTGATGGGAAGGGGAAGACCAGTGTAGGCCAGACCCCTCCCGGGTCGGCGGCTGAAGGGTTGACGATACGGAAACCACGGAGTCGGGGGTGGGGGAGAGGTGTCACACCCCCGCCCGAGTTGTGCAGTGGAGGTGACTGGTGGGAGGGGACAGCCATGAGGTCTAGGAACTTGGATCGGGGAGGCTACAGACTCGGCGAATCCTGCGAAGGGGAAGGGCGGGGGCGAGGCTTCTATTGCTTTTTGCTCACAGTTTTGCGGAAGGCGAGGCGGGGGTGGGCTTGGACTGGACACCCCTTGCCCCCCTCGGTACCCCTTGGGCGATGGGTGCTGGTGAAAAGAATGGAACCCGGACTAGGGAGGAAGAAGGCGAGGGAAAGGTCTATGGTGGCATCTCCTTGGTCCCACCCAAGTGCCGGAGATGCCCCCAAGTGCTGCCCCCTGCAATGGGCCCGGCTAGACCTGGGGCTAGGGCATGGTGCGGGGCGGGCACAGTGAGGTTGCAGGCGGTAAAACCAAAGTGCTTATGAGGGACCCAGGATCCCGCCTGCTCCCCTCCCCCTACGGAGGACGGGGGTGTTCACGGAAGCGCTTCAGTTTGGGGTAGGGAGCCGGAGTCCCAGAGTCCGCTTATTGCCAAGAAAATCCATTTCTGTCCCCCCCGGACCCCGACCATGGCTTGTGAACCCCGTTTTGTGCTAGGTTTGGGGGGAAGGGCTGGATGGACATGGCTTTTGGGAGGGGGGGTGTCTCCAAGGGGGCTCGGGGGTGAGACGGCCCCCCCTTTTCTAGGGGAGAGGGAAAGGCAGGGGGCGGGGTTCCCTGAGATCTGGGGTGTTCCCCCCCTTCTGAAGCCCCCCTCCCCCGCTACCCCTCCCCTTTCCTGGAACCCCGTATCTCGGGGTGGGGGGGGGGAAGGAGAGATCATTTAGGGAGTGCCGGGAGGAGGGGCGGGCTGGGAGCCCGGACGCCTGGGTCCCGGCTGGAGGTGGGGAGTTGAATGGGAGGGGTTCAGGGTTGAGGTCAGTACGGGGAGAAGAGGATGGGTCCGTGCGCAGTTCGGATGGGTCCGGGGGCCGGGTGAAGCAGAGGGTGAGTGATCGGCGGTCCCTGGAGAAGAGGTGCGGCTGGAGCCGGGCGCAGGGACAGCGGCGAGCCTGCTGCCGCTGCCATCACTGCAGCCACCGCCAGGGGGCTGGGGAGCAGGCCGCCCGCCAGGGACTTGGGCAGCTCCTTGGAGAAAGTCAGCGTGCCCTGAAGCGGGCGAAAGGCGGAGGAAGAGAAGTCACCCGGCGGTCCTGCAAACCCCACCTCTCCCTGGGCAAAGCCCGCGTCCCTCTCTCCTCCCCGCCCGCGCCCTCCCACTGCTGAATTCCCAGCATCCAGGCCTCACCGCCAGCTCCCCGGCGCCCCTAGACTTCTTGTGACGGCTCAGTAGTGGGTTGGGCTTCCCGGCCACGCCGTCTCGGTGCCGCCGGCTGGAGATGTGCTGCGGGGGCCAGTGGATAGGGGGCTGTGAGCTCCCGGAAAGGGGCAACAGCGAGGGAGTATAATCAAGCTCCAAGCACCGGCCCCCTCCCATCTGGCCCCCTGGGGAAAACTCTGAAGAAGGGCCTTTACTCAAGCTCCTTGCTCCCCTTCCCCACTTAGCGGGTGGAGCGTCCCAGAATTCCTGGGAAGGGCCTTAGACCCACCTGTTTCAGTTGGACCTCCGAGTTGACCTTGACATTGCAGATCTCACAGTGGAAAGTTCGGTCCTGGGCAGGAGCCTCTGGTTCCCCCGGGGTGGGAGGCCCCAGCCGAGGGTAAGCTTTGATGGGCCCGAGCCCACTTCGGGCCTCCAGAATTGTCTTGTGCTTAGTACCTGGAGCCCAGAGAGGGCAGGAGGTAAGGGGTGGAAGAAAAATTATCCAGGCCTACTGGGCCTCAGAATGCACATTCCCAGGTACAATATGAGGGGGAAGAGGGTGGGCACAGTGTGGGTTCTTTCTAACTAAGCTCCTTGGGACCCTCCCAAAGAGGTGGATCAGGAGAGAGTCATAGGTAAAGGAGTAAGATGGAGGGAGGAGCTGAGGAAGTAAAGGGCTAAGGAACAGGGGAGATGGCTGGAGAAGGAGACAGGCAGATAGGCTGATAGGTCTTAGATGGTCTAGGGATGTTGGAAGCCAGGGGCATTAGGATGTAGAGGCAGGGGTGGCCTGAGGACAGGAGAGTCTGGGTGGGGGCAGGGGAGTCCATACCTTTGTTATGTGCCTCAAGCTGGGACAGGGAGTTCACAGCCACCTTGCACAGAGCACAGTAGAGCAGCCGCTTGGCTTTCTCCTCCTCTTCCTTGCTACCCCCAGGCAAGGAAGCCGGGGCTGGAGTCCCCCCTTCACCCTTGGTTACACCCTGACCAGTCTCCGGAATGCTGGGAGGGGATGGGGAGCCAGGCTGTTTCTCTGGGGATCCTGGGGCTGGCCCCAGTCCATTCTCCATGGAAACTGTTGTTGGGGGAGAAACATGGGGATCACCCTAGATGGCTCTTGGAGAAGACTCTTCATGTGGAAGAGACCCCCCCCATTTCCTGGAGGGCAAGGGACCAGGAGTCCCCACCCTGTTACAACATGCATGCTCTCATGCCCTGGTCCAGAGCCAGATGTGGTCCAGCTGCCGCAGGCTGGGTGTGAAACTCCAATGCTTGGCTCATTCTCCATTAGCTGGGAATGGCCAAGGGGTCCAGCCTCACCAGCCTACCTTCAGGGTGAAGCTGGCAGCCAGCCCAGCCAGGGGGAGAGGCATGCAACAAGGATATACCCCTCAGTGGCCTGCCAGCCAGTCTGGGCTTCCTGCCAGGACAGCCCCTTCCTGGAGTCTTGCCCAGCCCCCAGGAAGTACACGAAAGAGCCCTAGGAAGGGGCAGAGGCAGGGTGAGGAAAGGTCTGGAGAGATAAACACAGGCATGGCAAAAGGGAAATAGAAACATCAGAACCGGAGAGGGAAGAAACAGGGATGTAGGCTGCTCTATAATTCATGGCTTGATTAAAGATGCACAGGCCCTAGGCCTCAGTGCTGGGTTCTGGCCTCTGTACAGGGGAAACTCTAGCGCTCCCATTCTTGCTCCAGCAGCTGATCCAGTTTCCGGGTCATGGCGAGGCTGGCAGTGGGGGTGGGGAGCTTGTGGGAGGGGAACTCCTCACCCCTCCAGGTACCCATTTGCTTGTTCATCCTATGTCCTTCCCCTTATTTCTCTTACTTTTTTCTGACATTCTTCACCTCCATCCCAATCCAGACAGCACATCCACATCTCAGTCTGGACAGGACTTCATGGTTTATAAAGCACGGCAGGTATAGTTATCCTGCCTATATCCTCAGAGATACTGTAGGAATTAAATGAGGTAATATGTGTAAAGTGCTATTCAAGAAATGTTAGCTATCACCATCATCATCATCATCCTCTTCCTCTCCATCTTACAGAGATGTTAACAAACTAAGATGATCAGGCTAAGAAGCAGCCAAAGTACAATTAGAACTCAGCTTCCCGTGGCCGGGGACGGTGGCTCATGCCTGTGATCCCAGCATTTTGGGAGGCTGAGGTGGGCAGATCACTTGAGGTCAGGAGTTTGAGACCAGCTTGGGCAACATGGTGAAACCCTTTCTATACTAAAAATACAAAAATTACCCGGGTGTGGTGGCAGGTGCCTGTAATCCCAGCTACTCAGGAGGCTGAGGCAGGAGAATCGCTTGAACCTGGGAGGTGGAGGTTGCAGTGAGCTGAGATTGTGCCACTGCACTCTAGCCTGGGCGACAGAGTGAGACTCTGTCTCAAAAAACAAACAAACAAAAAACAGAACTCAGTTCCCCCACCTGCCCGCCTGCCCACTCACTCTGACTGTGCATCCCTGAGGGGGTTCTGTGTGTGTGTGTGTGTGTGTGTGTGTGTGTGTGTGTGTGTGTATTGAGAATGGGGTCCTGGTTTCCAAGCTGGTAGTACAGATGTTTGTTTCTCATTCTTCTTAGGGTGGGGCAGGAAGGACAGGCAAGTATAAGGATGGAGATGTTAGGTCTCTCTGGAATTGGCCATGATTGACATCCGATGTGGTAATCCCAGGATGGGGGTGGCTCATCATATCTTCCTGTCTCAATATTCCTGCTTTCCAATTTCTTGGCTGCAAGTATGACTGAGGATGGTCACCAGCCATGAGGGAAAAGGAATCTTGTAAACTTGGAAAAGACCTCAAAGATCTTAGTCTCACTCCTCTATTTCCCAGAAAAAAAAAAAAAAAACTCTGACTAGGGAGGTCAAAAGGTCTACTACTACCCAAGATCATCCAGGGAGTTTCCTGGGTTTCTTGCACTCTCTGTCTTCCCCGAGGGGAGCCCCAGTAGGGCAGGAACTCAGATATTCTGATTCCCTTCCCTGCCCCTCTCCCTAAGATGAAAAGGCATCTCTCTGGATTTGGTGGTTCTCTTTTTCTTGGGGATGTTTGCCAGGTGGCCTCACCCTAGCCCCTCTCTGAGTCACTGGGCTGTGGGGAGGACAGACAGTGGGGACTCTGTTGAGAGGAGCTGTGGTGGGGGTAAGGGTGACAGGATGGAAATTTTACATCACTGTGCCTGGCTCCAGGACTCACCTTGGGTGGGGGTGGGGGTATAGGGACTGAGGAAGAGAGAGATGGAAGCAGAGGACAGTTCTGGAAAAGGGGGAGAGAATAGAGAAGACAGAGATCAGTTGAAGAATATGCGGGGATTCAGACACACCTGGACGGGGTGCTACACCATCCCCATTTGTTGGGGTGCTGCCTGGGGGAGCTGGGTCTCCAGGTTCTCGGACGCCAGGCTCCCTGCCTCTGGTCTTGGCAGCCTCAATGCCTTTGACTCGTCGGGCGTGGCGATTACCTTTGTAGTGCGCCTCAGCCTGGCTCTTTAGGGATGGAGGAAGAAAATGGAATCTGAGATCACCTTTCATCTGACCGATCTCCCCACAGAGCTCCCTCAAGTCCTGGGGTGATCTCAGCAGGCTGCAGTGAATTTTTCTGTACACCAGTGAGATGTAAAGCCCCATACCAATAAGTCCTGGTTATTCCTGGGGCTCAGACTAGCTTCTCAAGCTTGAGTCCCTGGGAACCTAGGTCCCCACCTAGTTCAGACTCCACCCTACCACCACACCCAGGGCCTGGCTGCTGACTCAGACCCCCACCTAGTCCTGGTAGAGACAGGGGGACCACAAACCTATGGAAGAGTTCTAAATGGGGAGAGGCCTAGCAATCCAGTCAGTCAGCATCCTCTTAGACCCCAAGGCTATGTGCCCAAGTCCTCTGCCCCTAGGATCCAGCCTTTGCTGCTTTCACCCTGAGGCTGGAAGTCCCAGGATCCCTGATGCCTGGGCTCTGTCCTGACTACTTCCCCTTGGGTCTCATTTTCCCTGAAGCCTCTGTGGACACCCTGGAGGACCCTGGCCCCGAGCCCAGCTCTGGGGACAGAAAACAGCAGTGGAGACAGCTGTCAAAACAGAACCATTTGATGGGGGAGGGGAGGGTAGGGCAAAAAGTGGGAAGGGCTATCTGCTGTTGGCTCCCTGCCCCTCTAGTCTTCCACCATCCACCAGTGAGTGGAGCCAGGGTTGATAGACAGGATGCCTGGGGTCCAAGCTAAAGCAGAGGCCTGATGCTGGGTTAGTCCTGTCTTCCCTTCCCCACCCTGCTCCACTCCCATGTATACCCCTGCTAAGAATGTACCATCCTGGAGGCACAGGGTCACCCAGACAAGGGCAGAAATAAAAGGTGTGGATAGGCAGGAAAAGAAGATTGACAGCCCAGGGGTAAAGTAGCAGTGTGCAGAGCCCAGTAGTATGGAGTGTGTGTGTGTGTGTGTGTCTCTGTACTGGGTAGAGAAACAGAACATGCTTTTATTTTCCCCTACTCAGCAGAACGAGGCTCTGCTGTTTTTCTCCAAAAGCTCTCAGGGCCTGCACCCCACAAAGTCCCCTCTAGAGCCACACACACTCCACAGAGTCCCAGTGGAGCCTCAGAGGGAGGAAATCTGGGAGGCTGAACATCTGGGTTTTGGGTTTGGGGTAGCTTCTCCCCAGGGGAAAGCCCCATGGGATAAGAGTAGGGGCCAGGCCTTGTGTGTGATTTGGAGGGAGGAGAGTAGAAATGGGGTGGAGAGAGAAGGAAGCCAGAAAGTTAGAGCGAAGTGGGTGGGCCAAGGAGGAGTTTAGCAGAGGCCAAAGAGGACAGAGGCTCTGTGGGGGAGCCAATGACCTAACTCTGCCCCATACCCAAGAACCAGTGGGCCAGAGGCCACACTCCTGCTCAGACACTGATGGCCACCTATGTTCCAAGAAGCTCTGAACCACGGATGCCCAAGTCTCAAGGGAGGGAGAGGTCAACTTTAGAGGACTGATCTACTTCATGTCAAAATACACAGCAACTTCTTGTGTCTCTCCAGTGCCTTCCACAAGACCCTGCCCCTCCTGCGGTATCCCCATTCCCTGCTCTTTGCCTAATATCCCCTTAATCCCTGCCCCTCAACCAGAGTAAGTGTTCTCACCCAGCCTCTGCCCTCCCTCAAGTTCCCCTGCTGCCCCTGCCCCACCCACTGGGTAGATGAGCAGCTTGGCTTCTTACCTGAGAATTGAAGCGGATTTGACAGATATTACAGGAAATGACGGGCCGCTTGGTCTTGAGCAAGGGTCCCCCAAAAGTGTGGGAGAGCACAGCCTTCTGCACAGGGTCCATCTGTGGAGGCAGGCTGGGGTGAGCCGGGAACCCTAGCGCAACTCATGTCCAGCATTCCCCCAACACAGATATCTGTGTTGAACCAAGGTCCCCAGACCCCTTCTATCCCTTAATATGCCTGAGGGATCTGAGCCTCAGTCTTCTGATTCTCTCTTAGCCCAATCTTCATAGCACTGAAAGGGACCTGATCGATAACTGGCCCAATGCTCCCATTTTACAGGACATAGAAGTGGTTTGCCCAACGTCACACCATGAGTTAATAGCAGATCTGGTATCTGAACCTGGATTCCTGCCTTGGTCCATCATACCATGAACATACAACTGTGTCACCTTGACTTATCTCCTACAGTGAAGCCAATCCACCAGAGGCCTCTGACATGAAGTCCCAAAGCACCCTAGATCCTAGGGCCTTCAGCTGAAGCCTCTGAGCCCTTTGGGCCTCCACTCTGGGGTAAGACTATCACCAAGCCCAGCCTCTAGTCCCAGGAGACAGATGTTCCCAGCCTCCCAACTCTGGATCCCTGGTCGCCCTAACACACACACTCTCTGGACCTCTTAAGGGCAGCAACTTCTAGAGGGAGTAAAAGAACTCAGGAGAGAGTAGGAGCTCTAGTGAATCATGGGGACTAAATGGGGGGACCTAAGCAGCTGGGCTGGCCCGAGGCAGCCCAGGGATCTTCTGAACCTTTTCTCCCTGATCATCAGGGTTTCTAGGGCAGAGCTGTGGGGCTGGGCGGGATTAGGAACCATCCCTGTCCCCACCCTGGGTCAGCAGACGTCTTTGCAGTCTCCTGCCAAGAGTTCACATGAGTAAGGGAGAGGACGGGAGTTTCTCTGAGGCTTTCTGCTATCAGGGGATGAAAACCAGGGGCTCAGAGGTGTGAAAACTGCCTCCCTCAACAGTTCTCCTCCCTTTTGGCCTCTAGGCAGCTAGGGAGAGGAAAGCCTGGAATGCAGCTGAGACTGAAGATTGGGGGATGGCTGGGCTCTCTCATAAGAATGGGACTGAATTAGGACAAAACCTTATCTTCTGGGTGGAGGGATCAAGTGAAAAATAGTTGCTGGGGACTTGGGGTCCTTATCTCCTCAGCCGAGCCCATCTCTGTGACAGGTCTTTAGGGTTTCCAATGAGACACTGGTGAGAGAACAAGAAGTGGGGGAAAGTAGTAAGAGTCTGGAAAGCCCTGTCCTCTGGACTCTCCTTTCCTCTCACCAGTAGTTTCACTGGCTGGGTGGGGTTAATGTCAGGAAATGGGCTTTCGTATCCCTGTGAAATAGATGGTGGCCTCATCCACTCTCCATTTGGGTAGTGCTGAAGGCAGGGACCAGGACTGGGTTCAGACAACTGGTCTGACTGACAAGTGTCAATCTCTTGGCCTACTCTTGGTTGGAAAGAAGCCTCTCTAAGGGCTCACTTTTTTTTACCTCAGCTTCCCAGAAGCCCCAGTCACATCCAGGGAAAAGCCAAACAGGAGAACGGGTGTGTCTGTGTGTGTTAGGCAGGCTGTGATCAATCTGTGCATGGGTGGAGTGTGAATAAGTGTCATGTACTGTGCGTACATCATTTATATATCAACATTTCTGCGTCGGGGGCTTTGATGGCACCATGAATGGTCAGGTGGTGTAATCTTCAGCTGTGTGTTTATCTGTGTAAATGTATGATGTGTTTGGCAGAAAGAAAGACAGACCAAGTTGGAGACAGTCTTTAATCAGAAAGGGGAGACAGACTGCTGCTCTCAGTTCCCAGTCTCCAGGCCTTAATCCTTCCTATTTAGAGACCCCCAACTCTGTTCCAGAGTTCTCCTCAGCCCTGGGCTTCCTCACATGCTGGGTGGGGAATGGGAATTCAAACAGAAACTCAAGTTGGGCCAGGAAACCCAAGTTGGATGAAAACAGTAGGGAGAGAGGAGTGGGATGGAAGGGGGAAGCAGAGTCTCCTAGTTCTGCCTATGCTCTGCCCCATCATGCCAGCCTGCTCTCCAGAGGGGCTGAGGACACAGTACCCCGAGGATGACTTGTGGACTGGCCACCCCAACATCCATACCATGAGAATGGTTCCTGCCCTACCTGGGTCCTTCCTCCAGGGTGAGAACCTTAGCTTTTGCACAACCCCCTCCCCTGGTTTAAGTCCATAAACACCAACTAGGAGTGGGAGTGGGGAGTGGGGAAGAGGGCAGCAGTGGAGTCAGGTGGGTGCTTCCCACCCTCCTCCAGGAACTAAGGAGACACCAGGATGAAAGTGAGGACTCCTGGGCCCAATCCCTGTGCAGGTGGAATGTGAGCCACTGAAGTGCTGCTCCAGGCCAAGGTCAGGAGGCCCCGGTGACCTAGATGAGGGCTCCCTGGGGAGGGGTGAAAGCCAGCACCTCCCAGAGCCCATCTCACTCCAGAGCTTCTTCCCTGGGATGCTGGCTTGGACACGGCCTCGAAAGGTCCATAAAACAGTCCCCTCCCACCTGCCCTCCAACAGTAGACATGAAGGGGAACCGCTCCCTGACGCTGGGGCAAAATGAATCAGGAAGGGCAAGGGAGAGGGAAGGTGGAAACCAGATCAGGAACAGGAGGGGTGCTATGATTATATTTCCTTCCATTGCCCTTTATCTGATGGAACTGCTGCCCCTTGTGTGAGCATCCCACTTCCCCACCCACCAAAATTAAGACGAAAAGGGAAAGGTGGTGGAATCTCAGGGATGGGAAGACCTGAGGAAGGACTGAGATAGGAAAGAGAGGGAGCTAGGGGGTATCTAGAGAGCAGGTGCAAGCTGGTGGGGGAGGGATGCTGGGAAGGGGCTGGGGCTGGAGAGGAGGGATCTGATCAGTGTGGTCATTGGAGGGCAGGTGTAGGACCTGACAGGAAGTCTGAAGATTTGGGGGACTCCAAGAATGTGGGAAGCAGAGGTCAGGGTATCCAGTGTGGTGGCAGTAGTCTGGGGGCATGAGCTGGGATCCCGAGATTGGTTAGGGCCGCGCCGATGTGGGGGATGGGCCGGACAGCCCGAGGACTAGGCAGAGGGAGCGGTAGCCAGCCCCGCAGGGGCGGGCGGGGACGGGGTGGGGGTGCGCTGCGGCAGCCGCGGGAGTCAGGGAGAGAGGAGGGGCCGGGTGGCTTACCCTGCGAGACCCTGGGGGCCGCGGCTCCATGGCCCGGGGTGGCGGACCCGGGCTGGGGGGCCGCGCCTGGCCGGGCCGGGCAGGCCAGGGACGCGGCGCTCGTTGCCCGGGCGGCTCGGGGCTGTGCGGCCCGGCCGGCGGGGAGAAGGGGAGGCGGCGCTGGCCCGGGCCGGAGCCCGCCCCGGAGGCGGGGCCGAGGACGGGGGCGGGGACAGGGACAGGGACAGGGACAGGGAGCTGAAGAGGAATGAAAGGGGGCTAGGGCGGAAAGAGGGAGATGTCCATTATCCAGACACTCCTAGGAAAGAGCTTGTTCTGAAGAGAAGGAGCCGCTTGGCCCCGCGGCAGGGGCATTGACCAGATGACCTCGTTGCCTCCACTGGGGCTCCTTCTTGGGTCCAGGGTCCCCACCAACTCAGACATTTCTCCTTTCTTTCACCCCTTTTGCCCCACCTTCCCTAGATCCCCTGCTGACAGTCTGTCTTCAGAGTCCCCAGACGACCCTTCCCCAGCTTCCTCTGCAAACGGCGGCCCCTATGCTGCTACCTTTTTACAAGTCACTTCCCTCCCTAGGGATGGGAAACTGAACCCGGGTACCCAGGTGTCAGGCACTGCTCTCTCAGAGACTCCTCCAAATCATGGAGCTGAGGGCACCCAGGGCAAAAGCGACCTCAGACTGGGGATGTCGTTCCTAACTTCTTCCCACCTCCTACCCGCGCCCGCCACCTGCCGGAGAACCAGGCTCCCTGAAAGCCCACGCTTCGTGCACCTGCTGCCCTCTGGCGGTTCAGTGGGGGCAGCACTGGGGGACCAGAGGCTGTAGGGCCTAGCAGCCCACTCCCCCAGACACCTCGTTCTGTCTAGACAGGTCCTGGGATTCCCAGTATTTCATCTCTAGGTCTCATCTTCTCCCATCCCACCTAAGGCAGAGACATTAGTGAAGCAGGGGACTGGATCTAGAGAGAGGGTGGCTTTGGGAAACAGTGAGGGACGTCCAAGGGCAGAGGGAAGCAGTGGAGTGAGTGGGAGGAGAACGAGGGGAGACAGTAATTCTAGAAGAGGTCTAAGGAGTAGGAACTGCCCAAGTAGGAGAGAGCACTGGAGGTGCCAGTCCACTGGGAAAGAGAGACTCTGTCATGAATAATAATATCACCACCACCATCTAATGTTGATTGAGCCCTTGCAATGTGCCAGCTTCTGTACTGAGCTCTTTGCATGGATTATCTAATTTAATCTTCACAACCACTATTTGAAGTAAGTACTATTATTATCTTCATTTTATAGAGGAGGGAACTGAGGTTTAGAGAGGTTAAATAATTTGCCCAAGGTCATAAGCTAGTAAGTGACTGAACTGGGATTTGAATTTAAACCTGGGCAGTCTGACTCCAAAGCCACGTACTTAACTGCTGCACAGTACTTCCAAAGGCCTGTCTGCAGCTTTTCTGCAGTCCTCATTCCCCTGCAGAATTTGACAGTATTGATGCAGCCCGCCACACTCTCTCCCTTGGCTTCTCCAACTCTACAGGAACATATTTCCCTCCCCACCCGCTCCAGTGGCTTTTCCATTCCTTTTGCTGAAGCCTCTTCCTGTTCCCACTGCCTAATTCTGCACGTTCCCGAAGGCTAAGGCCTTGACCATCCTAAGTTTCTCTCTTTACTCCTCTTTTAAATAAAAACAATAGCAATAGCATAATAATCATAGCAGCTAACACTGATTGAGCACTTAGTTTGTGCTAGGCATTATGATTATGTAATATGATCTCACAACCTTGTGAGCTGGTGTTAATACTATCCCATTCTCAGCCTGGGCAACATGGCGAAACTCCATCTCTACTAAAAATACAAAAATTGGCCGGGCGCAGTGGCTCATGCTTGTAATCCCAGCACTTTGGGAGGCTGAGTCGGGCGGATCACAAGGTCAAGAGATTGAGACCATCCTGGCCAACATGGTGAAGCCCTGTCTCTACTAAAAATACAAAAATTAGCTGGGCGTGGTGGTGTGCACCTGTAGCCACAGCTACTCTGGAGGCTGAGGAAGGAGAATTACTTGAACCCAAGAGGCTGAGGTTGCAGTGAGCGGAGATTGGGCCACTGCACTCCAGCCTGGGGGACAGAGTAAGACTCTGTCTCAAAAAAAAAAAAAAGAAAAAGAAAAAAAGAAAAAAAGAAAAAAAAAAACTATCCCATTCTACAGTCAGTAAAACTGAGGTTCAGAATGGTTAAATAACTTGCCTAAGATCACACAGCCAGTACTTTGGAACATCAGTTTAAATCCTGCCAATCAGATGCAGGATGCAGTTCAACACCCTGCTGAACTCTTCAAGCTTATCCATGCTCATCGCTTTAAATACCTCTGCTAGAGGCAGTGGAGCCATGAACTCTGCAGGAGTCGAAACCCTGGATTATCCAATCAACTAAGTAGCTTTGTGACCTTGGACAATTCACTTAACCTCTCTGCGTCTGTGTTTCCTCATCTATACAATGGGGACAATGATGGGGTTGCTAAGATCTGAGGTCAAGTGTAAGTCAGGTGTTTAGATGGGGGGAGGTTTTCTCCCCATCTTATGACCTAGTCACATCCAATCTTGCACTTTCTCAAATGCTCCTTTCTAGCCCTTGTTCATGCTACTTACTTCAGTCTGGAATGTTCTCTAAGACTACTTTAAAAATCTTGCCAATAATTCTTCAAAGCCCAAATTATATGTCACCTGCTCCAGGTTAAATCCCTTTTTCCTCTGCTCTCTGTTTTTCTGCCTAACTCTGGTTGGTCCCTTAGGCCCCATCACATCCAGGAAGGTCTTTCTTGATACTTGGGCTTCCATGCAAGCAAAATGCCTCTGACACAGCTCTTCTCACACTGTATAGGGTAACTGTTAACTTGTTATCCTTCCTACCAAACTATGAGCTCCCCAAGTGTGGTAACTGAGTCCCGTGTCCCTGACACCAGGCACAGTACCCAGCACATAGTAGGTGCTCAAAAAAAATTTTTTTTTTGTTAAATTGAATTTTTTTTTTTTTTTGAGATGGAGTTTCACTCTGTTGCCCAGGCTGGAGTGCAGTGGCGCAATCTCGGCTCACTGCAACCTCTGCCTCCCAGGTTCATGCCATTCTTCTGCCTCAGCCTCCGGAGTAGCTGGGAGTACAGGCGCCCGCCACCACGCCCGGCTAGTTTTTTGTTGTTTTTTTTTTTAGTAGAGACGGGGTTTCACCATGTTAGCCAGGATGGTCTCAATCTCCTGACCTTGTGATCCGCCTGCCTCGGCCTCCCAAAGTGCTGGGATTACAAGCGTGAGCCACCACGCCTGGCCCAGTCTGAAAACTTAAAAGTGCAATGCAAATGTGTGTCTGGGTCCCTCATTTGGGGGGAGCAGCTGTGGTATAACGATAAGTCTGTTTAGAGTCAGATGCAATGGGTTCAAATCATACCTTAGGCACATACTGTGTCAACTTATATAAATTACTAAACCCTTCTGAGGCTTAGTTTTTGCTTTCTTATTTGTTAAATGGAATAATAATGTCTACCTTGTTGGGTTGTTGTGAAGGTGAAATGAGATTGCAGATAGAAACATCTGCTACAGTGCCTGGTGTGTAGTCAATGCTCAATACATGTTTATGGCTAAATATGGTTTGATGTGGGTTATTTAAGTTGAATAAGGCTGACTTTCCCCAAACTTTTAGCTCTAGCCCACCTTCCAGGCTTCAGATTCTAACTATCTGTAGAACATTTTGGGCTCAATGTCCTACTGGTATGCCAAATCACCATATCCTTTTTTTTTTAAAAAAAATATTTATTATTATTTTTTAAAACAAAACAAATAGGCCAGGCACGGTGGCTCAAGCCTGTAATCCCAGCACTTGGGAGGCTGAGGCAGGTGGATCACAAGGTCAGGGTTCCAGACCAGCCTGGCCAAGATGGTGAAACCCCATCTCTACTAAAAATACAAAAATTAGCTGGGCATGGTGGTACGTGCCTGTAATCCCAGCTACTGAGGAGGGTGAGGCAGGAGAATGGCTTGAACCCAGGAGGCGGAGGTTGCAATGAGTCAAGATCATCATGCCACTGCACTCCAGCCTGAGAGATTGAGCAAGACTACATCTCAAAAACAAAACAAAACAAAACAAAACAAATAAAGCTTTAGCTTTAGCACCACATGCTAAAGCATCATCCTCACTGGAGACCAGCTTCCTCTTCCAACCCTCTGCCTCTGTCAGTGGTGACTTCCATCCAATCACAAAGGCCTGAATGCTGGAGTCATCCTTGACTCATGCCTTCTCTTCTCCCCCACCCCCAAACACCAGTTGGTCACCATGGCCTGTCAATATTTCCTTGAAATTACCTCCCCCATTCTCCCTTTCTCTCCACTCATACTGCCACTGCCACCAGCCCCGTCTGGCTTTTGAGGCTTCCCTCGGGCCTGCATTGCTAGGACAGCCTCCTAACTGTCACCTTCCTCCTGCCTCTGTTCCCTTTCATCCAGTTGCCCCACTCACCTTCCTCAAACACTGCTCTTACCAAGTCACTCTCCTGCTCAAGAATAGACAGTGGCGGCTGGGTGTGGTGGCTCATGCCTGTAATCCCAGCACTTTGGGAGGCTGAGGCAGGCGGATCACCTGAGGTCAGGAGTTTGAGACCAGCCTGGCCAACATGGTGAAACCCCATCTCTACTAAAAATACAAAAATTAGCCCGGTGTGGTGGCACACGCCTGTAATCCCAGCTACTTGGGAGGCCGAGGCAGGAGAATCGGTGAACTGGGGAGGTGGAGGCTGCAGTGACCCAAGATCGTGCCACTGCACACCAGACTGGGCAACAGAGTGAGACTCCGTCTCATAAAAACAAACAAACAAACACACGAATAGACAGCACCTCCTTATTTCATATTGTATTAAATCTAGACCACCTTGCCAGTCCTCCAAGCCCTATCCCACTGATGCTACCCACCCAGCCGTGGACTGCAGAGAGGTGAAACTTACAAACAGGCATGCTTATTTTCCTGCTCATTCCCTCTTTCTGGATTCAGCACCTACACCCCTCCTACCTCCCTACTGTTACTACCACCAATTTAAGTCTCATTACTTCTCTAGATGGTAGGGCGATTCACTGTAGGACTAAATGAGATAATTCATATAAAACACTTAGCACAGTGTCTGGCCCGTAGCAAGACCTCAGCAAATATTAGCTATTATTATTGTTGTTAACACTGTACCAGATGGCCCACAATACTCAAAATTAACTAGAATTAAGGAAGATGGGGTCATAAGAGGAGATAAGGAATTAGAAACAGAAGAAGAGGGCAGAGGTGGGTCTGAGAGAGAAAGGTCGGGTCACAAGAGGATGGAGAAGGCAGGCAGGCTGCTACTTACGGTGCTGTAGTTGCTGAAGAGGCCAAGGGTAGGGGCTGGCTCGAGTGGGAAGGGCAGGATCTGCTTGAGGTCCAGTGGGGGCTGCATGATCGGGGGCTGCCGTAGCAGAGGCAGGGGCCCTGCCCGGCTCAGGCTGCCTGAAGGGCAGAGAAAACATTCTGTGGGGTAGGAAGATTAAAGCTTGGGAACCCCACCCAAGCCTGCCAGTCCCACTCCCTAGCCAGGGCCCCCACACTCAGAAGTGTCACCCTCAGTGCACATAGTGTACACACTTCCCCTGCTGGCTCCAGAGCAATGGAGCACAGTGCCCTGTGGGCCTGGGGGAGGGTGTAGACCAGTCCTTCCCTTCTGGGTGGTTTTCACTTCCCCCTTTTCCAGCCTCCCTCCCCCAAACTCCTTAGGCACATTACAGACCCAGTAAGAGCTCATACCTTTTCTGCAGGCTGCCTGCTGAACCAGCAGGACTCCCAGCCTCAAGCCCCTGGCCACCCTCTTCTTCTGGTTTTGCTTTCCCCCAGGGGATCCTAAAGCTTGGTATCGCCCCAGGAAGAAGAGAGTCAAGTGGGTGATTCATCCTACTGACCAGAGGGGGATATTGAGACTTAGATTTGGAGGGGGGCTGCTGAATCTCTCAGATGCCCTAGAATTAGATTTTGCTCTAACTATAATTCTTTATTAACTATTGACATCTGTGGGGGTAGGTAGTGGGTTGGGTGGCTTTTGCTCTGGGAGGTGAACTACCTAGGCCATTCTCAGAGCCCCTTCTCCCAACCTTCCTCAGTCTTCCCCCATGCCCTTTTGTCTCACCAGGAATGCTCAGCTACAGGTCCAGTTCTGCAGGAGGAACCTCGACCTGGCCTATGGGCGGGGAATGCCTGGGTCTGACCCCAAGGGGAAATGAAAGTCCAGGCCAGCCATTCAACTACCCTTCTCTGAAACCTTCTCCTCCTCCTCTCAGAGTCACGGGAGGAACTCCACCAGACTCCAAAGGGGCAGCCCAAAGGTCCTCAGAGCCCTTCTGGGCTTCCACTGGCCCAGCTCCCTTCTGCGACCCTGCTGTGCACCAGCTGGGGAGTTCTGGCCGCCCTTCACTGCTCCAGTAACCCCCTGACAGCAACAGGGGTTCCCAGGAACAAAGGCAAACCGAGGAGGCTGCGTGCTTGGCCCGTCCTCCCTTGACTTTACTAGAGCAGAAGGTCTCCAGGATCCCTTCCTGTTCCCTCCAGACACCACCCCCTTTCATACCTTTAGTTTCTGATGCCTGCTGCCCCCAGGCAGTGGCCTGGCCCTGGCCCCCCAGGGGCCTGGGCCTGACAGCGTCCCCTTCCCTTGGTTCTGCCCTCTGCCCCCTCCCTTGCCAGCCCCCTCCCCCTCAGCCCAGTCAGTAGAATCAGCCAATCAGAATCCTGGAAAAGTGGGGCAGAGGGGAGGGCAGGGGAGCAGGGATTAGGGGAATCTGAGGCGACAGGGAGGGGGTGGGGAGGGCTCAGGCACAGCTGGGGGCTGGGAGCTGGTCCAGAAAGGTCTGGAGGGGTCTGTCTCTTTCACCCCATGCCAGGATGGGTGGTCAGGGTGACTGAGACAGAGCAGGGGGTCAAGGCTACTGGGAGTTTGGGCTTCAGAATTCTCAGGGCTAAAGGAGAGGGTAAGATCCTTGGCTTTGACCCTTAAGTAGCTGGGGGTCTGTATGCTTTGTGTCTATTCCCTCCTCTGTCACCTTCAAGGTTGGGATGGGGTGGAGAGAGGACACACACACACACACACACACACACACACACACACAGAGAGACGGACAGATGAAAGTGAGTGAGAGGATGGGAGAGTGGTAGCAGCAGGAATAGGTGACTGAGGAATCGGACAGTGACACTGAGAGAGAAAAGGATAGAGAACAATGGAGAGATGTCAGAGAGCGAAATCAGACATACAAACAGAGAGACACTGCCGAAAAGCTGGACACAGAACTAGAGACTAGGGCAGACAGACCGAGAGACAGAGAACAGAGACAGCGAGAAAGATAAAAGAGAAGAGAGAGGGACAGATAGATGGATGGGGCAGCTTGACCACCTCCCCTTCCTGGTCTGTCCCCTTATGGCATCTGCCCTCTGTGCCCCACCCTCCCTTACTGCCTGTTACCCAAGGCCAGGGCAGCCTTAATGAGCCCCAGGCGGCATCAGGAATGGTGAGAGAAACCTGAGTGCTCCCAGAGTCCCCTGCACCCAGCATCCACCCCCAGCAGCTGGTTTTGGGCTGGCACTTGCCCTGCCCCAGAGCACCAGAGGCTGAAGCTTGGCTTGACCCTTTCCCTGGTTCTAGATTTCTCTAGGCTCCCACTCCTCAAAGCCATCTTAAGAGGAGACAGCAGAGTTCCAGAAAAAGCCACAGAAAAAAATTTGAGGCTACTATGTGCCAGGTAATGAATTCCAAGTATTATCATATTTAACCTCTGAAGTAGCTCAATGAAGTAGCCATGATTCAATGAAGTAGCTGATAATATTTTTCTACTTGACTTATGAGGAAATGGAGACTCAGAGTAGTTAACAAACTTGGCTGATGTCACACAGCCTGTAAATATCAGAGCTGAGATATAGATCAAGATCTGCTGGACTCTACAGCAAATTCTTTCTCTGCTACCTTACTCCCAAAGGGCTTGAATTTAACTGAAGCAGAGATCTGAGCACAGGCTTCCATCTTGTTCAAGGAGAGGAAGGGGAGAGCAGGTTCCATGCACTTCCTCAGGTTGGAGTCCTCATTTTTCCTCCAGAGGAGGGATAGAGGAAAACAGGTAGCAGCCACTCAGTTATCTATGGCTAACAACTCATCTTTTCCACAGACATGAGCCCTGGGTGAGCGGGGGAGGGGAGGGGAGTGGAGTGGGAGAGAGGGGTCAAATGAGGGTACAGTGAGGGAAGGAAGCAGGCAGGCAACTGGAGACAAACTATCTACTTCCCAGATTCCTGGGTCCACTCCATTCTGAGGTGGCGAGAGAGGCAGATGGCAGCTTTTGGGCCGGGTGGGCAGAAACAGGACTCTTGGTTTCAGGTAGCCCAGGCCTTAGGCCTCTCCCTCTCTTTTTCTGAGGCTAACAATAGTTGCCGCTTTTTGAGGCTTTACTATAGGCCAGGCACTTTACATACACAATCTCCCAGTAGGTGGTCCCACCACTCACTAGCTGGGTGAGCAGCTAGGTTCTCTGACTCTCAGTCTCATTTCTCATCTGTCAAATGAAAACAACACTACTTGCCTCACCAAGTTGTTGACAGGATTGAACAAATCCATGTAAGATGCTGGCATGTCACAGTGAGAACTCAATAAATATTTGCTGAATAAATGAATCTCATCTTATAGATGATGACAATTGGCTCAGAAGGAGAGTTATTTGGCCAAGGTCACACAGTTAGTGAGTGACGTGAACCTGTCTGTCTGGTTCCAGAGACAGGGCTTTCAAGCACTACACTTTTCTGGGTAGATCTGGAAGGGGAGGAGGGGAAAAGGCAGGAATATAGGAATGGCTGGGGAGGCAGGAACTGAGTAGGAAGTGTGGGGCTTTTGACTTCTAGCTAGGTAAAATCTCCAGGCAGGTTTGGCAGAAGAGGTGGAGAGCAAATTGAAGTGTGTGTAAGTGTGTGTGTGTGTGTGTGTGTGTGTGTGTGTGTGTGGCACCCATGTCAGGCAAGGCAGGGAGGAGCTGAGGCCTGGCTGGGGCAGGCCACTCTTGAGGGAAGCTCATTAGAGTAATTACCTCCAGCAGATAGAGCCCCACCCAGCTTCATCGAGAATTGCTAAATGCTTTATTAAAGAAAGCTCCCAACATGATTTAGAGGGGGTGAATTCCAGACCCTTGGATGGATGTCCATCTGTCCATTTTCACATCCTACTTAGCCCTGGGCACTTTGATCCTGCTCAAGTTGTGCTGTCAGCACTAACCCTCAACCAGGCCACATCTGGCTTCCTCTAATGGTCTTTTCCTTTCCCTCTTCCCTAGAAATTCGGGCCTGGTCTGGAGCCCCAGCCCTTTGGCTATTTTAGGTGGGGCCTCATGCCTCAAGCCCTGTTGTTAAAGAATGCTTAGGGAGTGGCTGCATCTGAGTAGGAATAGGAGCCAGGAAAGGTGTTAGTATAGGGCTGTGGGTTAGTGTTGGTTGGAAGACTGGGCCAGAATGGGATTAAGATCAGAGAGAGATATTGGGGTTAAGGTTGCAAGTAGTTAGGGCCCAAGGTGGTAAAAAGCACAGGGCCAGTACTGGGTTAAAATGGGAATTAGACTTGGGCCACAGGAGAAATTCAGATCTCTTCTCTAATTAATCTCTTTTTCCCTTCAGGCCTTTTGGCCTTTCCTCCCTCCCCAGAAGTGCCTAAAATTGAGGGCGGGGGTGGGAGGAAAACTTTGAACCCCTGGGTCTTTTTTACCAAGTTCCATGTATATGTCCCCTTCAGCCTCAATTCCCCCATCTTGGCAGGAGGCAGGCTGAGGACTGGAAAGGCTTTGAAGTCAAAGATGAAAGAGACGAGGGGGATGATTATGAACAACTACTCAAAACACCATGCCTAATAACCCCAGGGTGGATGTGGGCGGGGACTGGGCCTAGAGGGAGTAGTTGACTGGGAAGGGGAGAGCAGGGAGGCCCCTGGGAAATCTTTCCCCACTTGATTGGAAAGGGCCTCCTTCAATGTGCCACTACCCTTACTGCACCAGGGACTCAGTTGGAAAGGATGGTATAGAAAGGCTTAGAACAGGGAACCTGAGCCCAGAACTGCCATCTTAAACCTGGGGCCCAGACTCTAGATCTTGAGCAGGCTGGCTGGGTGTCACATGCTAGGCAGGGAGGGTTTAGGGTCCCTCCACGGCTACCATGCACATGGATTCAGAGGACCTAAGTGTTCAGAACTGAAACCTTTGTAGGGTCCCTGGGGGTCCCTGGGGGTGGGGCCGGAGCCCTGGCTGGCAGCTTCCTCCCTCTCTCCTTCCTTCCTCATAGAGGGCTAAGGTATGTGGGCTTTGCCAGACTTCCCGCACTCTGTGGGCTTGGCATAAGGAGGGAATTAATTACAGTGTCCTCCAGGGGGATGTGAGGGTACCACTTGTGGCTGTGGTCCAGTTTCAGAAAATGTGGACCCAGGAATTATTCCTGTGGCTGGGGTCTTGGTCAGGCTCCAGCAAGCAGGTCCTTGATGTCCTTTTCAGGGCCTGCTGACCAGGGAAAGCACGGCTTATGCCAGCCTATTCTGGGCAAGCATGATGCTGCCTCTCGAGCTGTGCCCAGGGTGGAGCCAGGGTGCAGAGATCACACAGGTTGGAGGAATGTGGGTCCTGTGCTCTGGGGGACTGAGTGCAATGTGTGCTGGTGGGGGTCACTCTAGCATCAGGGTGGTATTCATAGAAGGGTGGGTAATACCTTCCCCTGCTGGAGAGGCTCTTGAGAAGGAGGCAGGCAACCAGCCATTCATGCCTTCGTTCAGTCATCCATTCAATAGATAGGTGGAGTGCCAGGTGGAGGGGGTGAGACATACAGCAGAGAGAGACTGAGGACACACAGGAGGAGGAGAGAAAAAGAGATGGAGGAAGGGCAGAAGGACAATAGGTAGTCAACAGGGATAGGCGGTGAAATGAAAGAAGGTAAGAAAGGAAGACAAATAGCAGAGGGACTCAGGAGAGGGATGAGTGCAGGAGCCAGTCAAGCCCTCCAGGTACCAGCATGGAGCCAGGTGTCCTCGGTTGGGGGCAGGGAGACCACAGGTGTCTAGGCCTGGTTGGGGGGCTCCCATCATAAACAGATCCCAGAAACCAGCCTAGCCAGGGTGGAGGGCAGAGGTCAGAGCAGGCCTGTGGACTATTGTGGAGGCAGGGTGGAGGGCAGGGGCATGCAGCCGGCGCTGATGCAGAGTCCAGAGCACAGCTAGGCCCTTTCCTCCCCCACCCCTGGGGCTCCCTTCCTGATGTAGGTCATGAGGATGGGGTGGCTGTGGCTGACGGGCTGTCAGAGCCCAGCAGGAGTTCCCATCCCCCATACTTACCCTCTCCATTGCCCCTCCCTCTCCTGGTGCCCCCGGCCCAAGGCAGGGGTGGAGGGAGAAGAAGGAAGTGAGGAAAGAGGGACTTAGGCAGCTACAGCAGGGAGAGAGAGGGGCAGGTCTCGGCGTGTTGGGGCAGGATGGCTGTGGAGACAGGCTCTGAGCCGCAGGAGCCCTGGATGGACAGTTTCCCACCCCCTATTTTCCCCACCCCCTCTTCTCCCAAGCCCCTCTTCTCCCCAGCCCCTCTGCTCCCCAGCCCTCTTATCTCCGGCCCTCAGGTTCCCACCTCCCACCACACTCACCTCGAAGCTACACCCACCATCTTCTCCTTCCACCCCCCACTTCCTCCTTTCCCCCTTATCCTGGGCCCAGAAGGATGTCGGAGTATCTAAGCTAAGGGTGGGGGAAGACGCTGGGGCGGGAGACGGGTCAGAACCTTTCCCCCAACTCCACCAGGCCAGGACCAGCCCCCTCCCCCAGCCTCTCGTAGACTGGTATATAATATTCATGAGCCTCATGAATACGCAATGTTCTAATTATGGGGCGGGGGTCTCACTCCGCTCTGCCTCCCGCTTTACCACTCCCTAAATTACCCGGAGCAGCGGCAGCCTGGGAAAGAGGGGAAGAGGGGAAGAGGGGACCCCAGATGTGGAGCCAGATGAAGGGGGAGGGGGAACCGGTCGCTGACGGGCGGCCGCAGTCACCGCGGTGCCGGGAGATGGTGGAGGGGGGCGGTGGGTGACCCACAGAGAGGAACCCAGGAGCCGGGAGCCTGGAGTCGCAGAGACCACTCACCGAGGATCATGCTGGGGACCCAGGCGCCCGGGGTTCCGCGTCGCTCTGTCCCGGGGGCCGTTCTGGCCGGGCTGGGGGTACGGGGGGAGGAGCCGGGGAGGAGCAGAGGCCGGCCGAGGCGGAGCGGGGGCGGGGCCCTCAGCAGGTGAAGACGGGAGGAGGGGACCCGGGCACTCAGGGCTCCGCGAGGGGGCGTCCTGGCCCCTCCCGCTTCCTCCCGCCCTTCTTCTTGCTGCCTGCTGGCCTCCTGGGTTTACGGTGTCACTGCGGCCAGGGCTGGGGGAACAGGACGTCTAGAAGACGGTGTGAGGTGATGGACGAAGCTGGAAACTAGGATGCCTGGGTTCCCGGGAAGGGCTGAGTCTGAGGGCGGGAAGTCTGGTGCTGGGCTGATATGGGGTGGGCAGGGGAGTGGGGGGGGGAGGGGGGCGGGGGTGCCTAAGTACTCTGGGAGGCGATGGGCCTTGGGTTGGGTAGGATACCTAGGTTCCCTCCAGAGTAATGGACTGAGCAGGGGGCAGGGGAAGTGCAGCAGAAATTGTATGGGTCCTAGTTTGTTGTTCTGGCTTTGGAGCAGGATGCCTGGGGGCTGGGCCTCTGAGGTGAAATGGGATGTTGAAGATGGATCCCAGGTTGAGTTCTGGCTGGGGTCTGAATGCCTGGGTCCTTAGGGAAGGTCTCAGCGAGGAGATTGCAATCAATGGACCTGAGGAGATGGAAATAGAAGCTTGTAACCGAGATCATTAGGGCAACTGGAAGATGACAGAAAATTCAGAACTGAGGCACCTTGTAGAGATGACCTGGATTAGGGTGGGGTGGCATCAGGGAGCATCTATCCAGGGCTAAATCAGCGGCATTCCCCACTAAGGCGAGCTTCGGTCGAGGAGGACTGGTGGGGGGGCATTTCGTGAGGTGGAGGGGAAGATGGAGGGTAGGACAAAATGTATGAGCAGGGGAGAATGTCAGGAGGGAGAGGAAGTACAGGCCACTTGGAGGTATTCTTTTCTTCTTTTTTCTTTTTTCTTCTTTTTTGAGACCCAAGTCTTGCTCTGTCGCCAGGCTGGAGTGCAGTGGCACGATCTCAGCTCACTGCAACCTCTGCCTCCCGGGTTCAAGCATTCTCCTGCCTCAGCCTCCCGAGTAGCTGGGATTACAGGTGCCCGCCACCACGCCTGGCTAATTTTTGTAGTTTTAGTAGAGACAGGATTTCACTATGTTGGCCAGGCTGGTCTCGAACGCCTGACCTCAGGTGATCCGCCTGCCTCGCTCTCTCAAAGTGCTGGGATTACTGGCGTAAGCCACCGCACGCAGCCCACTCAGAGGTATTCTTAAGGGACCCCAGTACAAGGTAGGAGTCTTGGAGAATGCAGATGTCTGGGGGAGATGGAGGCTGGATCTGTCTGTACTTGTCTCAAGAGGGAGGGTGGCAGCCAGATTTCCCAGAATGCCACACAGCCAGCTTCAGGCCAACCCCAATCAGAGGAAAAGTGGGTGGGAACTGGAACGTTTGAGGTTTAGGGAGGTAGAAGCTGAGGGGAAGAAGTTGGTGAAAGGGTGGTGGGACTGAAGTTTCGGAATGGTTTAGGAAGGGGAAAGAGACTGACATTCCTGGGTTCTGGAGGGAAATTGGGACTGGATGGTCAATTAAGGTGCAGGAAGTTTGAGTTTCTGTTTCTGGGTCCCAGCAATCTCTTGCCCTCACGCCAGTAATCTGGTTTGAAGAAAAGACCTGTTTCTGTACCTGCCAAGACACTCCAGCTCAAGGGAGAGAATGCTGGGAGTGCCAATGCCTTAGTCTCATTCTGATTCAGTGGGGCAGAGATCTCAGGGGATTGGCCTTGGGAGAGGATATGGGGTTTCTGGGTCCATCAGAGGAGGTCCTCCTGCTCTGGGTCTGACCTACCACCATGCTGGTCAACTCCAGTATGAAAAACCCTTGCTTCTCCTTAGACCCTGCACCTCCTTTCCTCTTCCCATTCTTTCTCCTCCTGGGTGGACTCAGAGACTAAACAAGAGCCATCATCAGGCATGGTCGATTGGTTTTAGAGACCCCTTTGCGCTCAGCTGTTGTCCACCCTGCCACACTGCCCCAGGGACTCTGGGTTAGGAAGATCTCAGAAGAGGGGTTGCTTAAGCTTACCAAGGGGAAGCAGCTGGCTAGAGGACGGGGTGACCTTGCAGGCAGCTGGGGTGGGGGGAAGGTGTGTGGGGTGAATTCATTATTGATGAGCCCTGCACCCCGGGCTACTAATGAGCCCAGGCCGGCTGCTCTAATTGATGTCAAGAAACTTGAGACCCCCAGATCAGCTTCCCGCCTGCCAGCTGCCTCTCCTGAGCCCCCTCCCCCTCCCTGCACCCCCAGCTGCTCTGTTCACTTCCTAAGGCCTCCTTTCCTTCTCCTTTTCATCTCCACCAACACAGACAAGGATAGGGCTCAGGCCTTCTAGCCCCCCTACACTTAAATTCGTCTGGATTATTCAAGTCTCAAGGTGGGAGCCACACTTCCTTCGGAGGGTTGGGAGATTTGGGAGAAGAAACTTAGACCAGGAGTCTGAGAATTAGAGCTCAGGGAAAGAGAGGCTCATACTAGATTACATCTGTGGCATTTCTGAGCTCAAGGAATTTCTTCCTTATATTGTGCATCCACGGGTAAGAACTTGTCACTCTCTCAAAAGTACAGGCCCTACACAGTGACACACCCATGACACCAGCCCAATTTTCACAGCCCACTTCCCTTCCTTATTTCCTCCTCACAACAGTGGAAGACATTTTAGGTCTGGCCCCTGGAGTTTGGCTGCTTCTACCCCCACCTCTCTCCCAAGAAGGGGACTCCTCTTAATGTATCAGGTATGGGATTTCCTCCCTCTAGAATTTCTGGTGCCTTGTTATGCCACGGCTGCCATTCTTAGAAATGCTAGGGGGTTCTTTGTCTCATCCTGTCTCTTCTACCCCATCAGCCCCTTTTCATTTGTGGGTTCTGTGAAGACATTCCTGACTCAGAGCATTCTAAGAAGTCACAGACTGGAGTGTGGTCCAGGGTTGGTCTCCCAGGAGGGATATTTTTAGGTGATGCAGGCCCTGCTAGGCAGAAGCCTGAGTTAATGAGAATAGTCCTGGTGATGGGGGAAGAGGGTGAGGTGGACCTCATACCCTACCTTCCCAAATTTCCCATAAATTTGTGGCTATGCTGCCCTCTGGTGGCTGAATTTTAGTCTATCCTGACAGGGACATCTTTGTCTCCAACAACCGCAATTGCTCTCCCTCTTGCTGCCCGTTAGGACAGGCCTTGAGGAGAAAAGAGAACCCTGAGGGTCCCTCACTTTGCGAGATTTATCTTCAAAGATCTGAACCCTGTGGCATGTTGGTTAAGAATTCGGGCTTTCCCAGCCAGATAAGGCTGAGTTTCACTCTGTTCTGCCACTCACTGTGTGACTTTGCACAAGTTATGTAACCTCTCTGGGCCTCAGTTTCTCTTTGTGTAAATGGGATAAATAGTACCAACCTCACAGAACTCTGTGAGAAATTAAATGTGATAATGTATGCAAACTAACACCCCCTACCAGCACACAGTAGCAATGAAAACAAAGCAATACAAAAACCTAACTGGGCTTTCTTCTAATTTAGTTCCGTGGCTTTTTCCTCTCAACTCATTTCATTATTCTGATTTAGGGAAGCCTGGTAAATTTTCTGAACCATCCTCCCCCACCTCCACCTTGGACCTCCCCCTTTGCATTCTGCTCTAATCCTCAAACCCAAAGAGAAGAGGTTCCTTTCCCTTCTCCCTTGGGAGTGTTGGGGACCAGGTCTGATGGGGGATGAGGGAGGGGCAGAGGAGTCAAGCCCTGCTTTCTCTCCTTCCATCACCTCTTTCACCTAAGAAGGGAGCCTAGAACTAGTTTCACAGTTTCTGGGGGGTCATACTTCTGGCTCCTAGTGGAAAGAAGCCATGAGAGAAATAGGCATCTGCTTTCCACCAAGTCGCTTGGTTCCAGGATGGGTTTGGAAAGAGTAACATGAGATCACAGATTCTAGTTCTGGTCAGTGGGGGCACTGGGTCAGATTTATTGCACTTGCAACAGAGTTTAAATAAGTCCTGGGTGTCTGGTGCCAAGGTGAGGGAAGGGTTGGGCAGAGAGATGAGGGGCAGCATCAGTGCAGCTGGCAGGCAGAACCCAAATTCTGCAGGCCCAGGACAGTGGGCTCCCCTTTCTCTGGGGAACAGGGAGGGCCTGTGTCTGGCCAGGCTGAGGTTCCAGATCTGTTGCCATCATGGCCCCTTCAGGGTCCTGGGAAATTCCTGGCTTCTCCTAAATCAGGGTGAACTGGGCCTCCAGGATCAGGTCTGGAGCAGGCCCAAATATAGTCCTGGATCTGCCTGGATTAGGTGCCAATGTCTGAGTCTGGGTTCCAGATCAACTCCAGACCCCAGGCTGGATCTGGCCCCATTTGAGTTCTGATTCCCCTTGGAGCTGGGCTCTGGGCCCTGGGCCAGCATCTATCCTTGTGTGGCATCTGTCCTGAGCTGGTCCTGGGGCACCATGCATAGTTAGTGTTCTTTGTTGGCCCACCAGGGTGGGGCTGTCCAGAGCTGCCAGGTCTTAACTCCCCAAGTTCCAGGTTCTTAGCTGGGGGCTTCTTTTGGATCTCTGGCAAGGCTGAGGACAGATCTTTGCAGGTTGGAGCTGGACAGGAAGTCCTTGTGGCATGTCTGGCCCAAAGAACTGTGAATGGATTTCCTAGTTATCTTTCCAAGTTGTTTCAGGAAACTCTCCAAAATGCAAAGGCTTCAGGGAGGCTGGGGCCTCTGTCCCTGGATCTGAGTTCCCCCATCCATGAAGAGGGTATGTGTAAACAAGGGTCCTTCACAGTGCATGGGGGGGAGGGATCCCCAGCTCCTCACCCCCCTGGCTCTGGCCCTTCAAGTATGTCTCTGGGCTGGGGAGAGGAGCTTCTCCCTGGCCGTCAGCACCTTCAAGAAGTACCCAGACCCCTCCTTTTCAGTAGAATGAGGGTGGGGGGACTGGTTCTTCAGGAATGGGAGTCTGAAATTGGGAGGACTCAGGCATCAGAGGTGGCTGGAGGCTTGAGCTGAGCTTTTTCCATGGCGGTGCCATATGGGAGGGAGCGTTTGAAGAATCCAAGCTGATAAAGGGGAAAAGAGGGAGAGTTTAGGTACTATGGCTGCCATTTCTCCACAGCTCTTATTCCAAGAAGTAATAAGGAGGACTCTAGTGCCTCCAACCTCTACATCCTGCAAAAGTGGCCTCTGAATTCAGGCTAGGACTACCCCTCTAAGTTGTGCAATGGACCCAGGAGGACCAAACTTGGGGGTGATTTTGTATGGGGGGTATCTTTTACCAGTGCCTTTAAAATTCCCCAGTTAAGCCAGAAATGGCAGATAGGTTTGAACTCAAATGCCAAGTCTGATTGCTTAGTAGTGGCTGCTTCTGTTTGTTTGTTTGTTTTTGAGACAGGGTCTCACTCTGTTGACCAGCCTGGAGTGCAGTGGCATGATCATGGCTCACTGTAGCCTCAAACTCCTGGGCTCAAGCGATCCTCCCACCTCAGCCTCCAGAGTAGCTGGGACTATAGGCACGCACCACCAAACCTGGCTAATCTTTGTGTTTTTTTTGTAGAGACAAGGTCCTAGTGTGTTACCCAGGCTGGTCTTGAATTCCTGGGCTCAAGCTGTCTTCCCACCCTGGCCTCCCAAAATGTTGGGATTACAGGTGTGAGCCACCACACCTGGCCATGGCTGCCTCTTGAGAGAGATTCTGAAGCCACTTCTAGGAGATGATCAGTAGCCATTTCTAGGTTAGTGATGGCTGCCATGGATTTTTGGAGAAATTGACAGCACAAATGCCACGTATTTGTCATCTTTGGGTTCCAATGATTTTGCAAGTATAGGCAAACTTATCATCTTGAGTCAAGAGGACCCTTTCTAAGCTAGGGGCTATAGAATGAAGGGGGGGATCTTATAGGAAGGGTTAGGATGGGATGCATGTAGCCAGGACAGAGGTGGGGGCACATGGCTGGTGAACTGGTCTAGAGGTAGATACTTGGGACTGTGCCAGGTCAAGGGCAGAGCCTGATGAGAGGGTGGCCAAGTCACAAGCAGGATGTGGCTGACCTTGTAGAGGATGTAGATGAGTAGACCTAGGAGCAGGAGGCCAAACAGGATGGCTAGGATGATGATCCACAGTGGGACGCCATAGCTGCCTTCTGCCTTGGTCCATTGCACAGCTGTGGCCACCTGGGGAGCAAGTTGGGTGAAGTCAATGAAAGCTCAGAAGTTCTTTCTACCCTATACTTGGCCCCCACTTGTCATTGGATCTGCAGAGCCCAGTGGGCTCCCCTTTCTCTGGGGAACAGGGAGGGCCTGTGTCTGGCCAGGCTGAGGTTCCAGATCTGTTGCCATCATGGCCCCTTCAGGGTCCTGGGAAATTCCTGGCTTCTCCTAAATCAGGGTGAACTGGGCCTCCAGGATCAGGTCTGGAGCAGGCCCAAATATAGTCCTGGATCTGCCTGGATTAGGTGCCAATGTCTGAGTCTGGGTTCCAGATCAACTCCACCTCTTATTTTGAACTAACAGCATTCTGAACTTAAAAATTGAAGTTCCTAAAATGTACAATATTGTCTCTTACTTTCGGGCTTTCATATCATATCCATTTTTTTTTTTTTTTGACAGAGTCTCACTCTGTCACTCAGGCTGGAGTGCAGTGGTGTGATCTCAGCTTACTACAACCTCTGCATCCTGGTCTCAAGCGATCCTCCTGCCTCAGCCTCCCGAGTAGCTGGGACCACAGATATGCGCCACCACATCTGGCTAATTTTTGTATTTTTTGTAGAGACAGGATCTCACTATGTTGCCCAGGTTGATCTTGAACTTCTGAGCTCAAGCAATCCACTTGCCTTGGCCTTCCAAAGTGCTGGGATTACAGGTGTGAGCCACTGCGCTCAGCCTCATATCTGTTATTCACCTCTCCCCAGGATATCCCTTTCCTGAATGGCTAGCCTGGTTAGTTCCTATTTATTCTTCAGGTCTCAGCTTGAACATCACTTCTTCCAGGAAGCCTTCCCTGACCCAGTTAGACTGGGTTCAGGTGTTCCTATTATGTGTTTTCATAAATATCACCACACTTGGAACACTGTGTTGTTCCACGAGACTGTGAACACCAGGAGCAAAGATACCATGTTGATCTTGCTTACCACTCTGTCTCTGGCATCTGCACAGTGCTTGGCACATAGTACATTCTCAACAGTTGTTAACAATACCAAGGCCAGCCCTCACCCAAGTCCCAGCCCTGTTCCAGCACTCTGAGCCCTGTATTCCCTCATCCAGTCCTCTGGCCCTAGACTCACCTGACGCTCTTTTTGGGGCAGCTGCCGAGGCAGGATTCGGTAGGGCATCTTCAGGGCTTTGTACACAGCCTCACACTGCAGGCTAAATGGCTGGTGCTCCCGCTGTGGGTAGGGGAAAGTTGGTTAGCACATCCTCTCTTGGGATCCAGAGGACATAGGGTTCCCCATCGTCTGGCTGGGGTTGTGATCTTTCCCTATTTTGGGCTCATTCTTCCTGAGTCTCTCTCTCTCTCTCTCTCTTTTTTTTTTTTTTTTTTTTTTGAGACTAGGTCTCACTCTGTCCCCCAGGCTGGAGTGCAGTGGTGTGGGCTTAGGTCACTGCAACCTCCACCTCCTGGGCTCAAGCAATCCTCCTGCCTCAGCCTCCCAAGTAGCTGAGACTACAGGCATGTGCCATCATGCCCAGCTAATTTTTGTTTTGTTTTGTTTTTGTAGAAGTGGAGTTTTGCCATGTTGCCCAGGCTGGTCTCAAACTTCTGGGCTCAAGGGATCCGCCAACCTTGGCCTCCCAAAGTGCTGGGATTACTGGTGTGAGCCACTGTGCCTGGCCCGTGAGCTTCTCTTGATGTTCCTTATATGAGATAATAAATGTGTAACTGAATAATTGTAACTTGATAATATATAATTAGATGACTACGTGTTCAATAAAAATTTTTTTAAAATTATTAATGTGCTTTGACACCAGGACAGTGCCTAGCCTGCAGTGTGTGCTCAAGAAGTGACTGCTCTTTACTATTCCTACATGTGTTTACCTCTCCACTATGGATTCATCTTCCATCTTACTGTTTTTCTATCATTCTTTGCACACTGGTCTCCCTCCAGCCCTCCCTCCTCTGAATGGGCCAGGAAAGGGAAGCTGCTGCTCCCACTGTGGCCACTAGATGGCGCCAAGGACATACAGCCTGGTCTAGACAAGGGCAAGGAAGGGGAGCTGGAGTGCTGGGTCCCATTCACCAAAGGAGAGGTGGCTACTGCAGTGGAGAAAGGGGTGGGTCAGTCTAAGCAGGCCCAAAGGTCAGGGGTCAGGGCTGAGGTAAGGCTCCCTCACCTGCAAGAAAGTCTTGGCCCAGACTCGGAAATGCAACTGCAGACTTTGGCTCTCTTGTTGGTGCAGGGGCCCGAGCTCACAGCGCAGCCTGAAACACTCAGCCTCCGGGCATTTCTAGGAAGAAAGAAGCTTGAACCTGGTGTTCTGCCCTTGTGATGGCCCTGAGAACCCCAGAGTACTCAACACTTTGGTCCACACCTCATTCCCTGCCTGACTTACCAGGATCTGAGGTCCCGAGGAAGCAGAGCTGCGGCTTGGAGCTTCCCGTTTTTGCTGGTGGTGCAGGGAACCCTCGGGATCCAACTATAAAAGAAAGTGTTGGGCCCCTTTCCCATCTCATTACAGCTTCTAAGTCAGCTTGCACCTGGGTTCCAGAGCAGCTTCAACCTATTCTTTCATCTATCTCTTTATTGATTCATCCAACTGTCCACCTCCTATGCGCAAGGCACTGAGCTCAGGGTTAAAATATGGAAATGAGGAAAACTTGGTTCTTGGAGATCACACTGGAGGAGATGCTTAAGTAAATAATTAGGTCTGTGTTCCTGTTTTTGCACTGGATGTTCCCTTGGTTTGGAATGCTCATCCCTGAGTCTTATAGACAGGTTCAACCTTATCTTTCAGGCCTCAGTTCAGCTGTGACGTCTTCAAGAGGTTTTTCTATGATCCAATTTAAATAGTGTCCCTACAGCTTATTAACTCTTCACTTCATCACCTTTCAATCCCTGTTAATTTTTCTCCTTCTCTTTTTCTTTTCTATGTCTATCACCCTTCACTAGAATGTAAGTTCCATGAACGTGGAGACCTTGTCAGTTCTGTTTGGTGCAATATTTCCTGGGCCTAACAGTGTTCAGTACAGTCACTTATTTAATTAGATGTTAATGAGTAAATGAACTATAAAACAGGCATTCGGGCCCAGAGGAAAAGGTTTGAAGAAGGCTTCCTAGAGGAGGTGGCACATAACTGGGCCCTAGGGGTATGCCGGGAAACAAAGAAGGGATAGTTCAGGCAGAAAGAAACACAGTGGATGAAAGTCCTTTTTCCTCCAGAGGATTTTGAGGTAACTTTGGGCCTTGTGACCCTCAACCCTAGCTATAGGCACATCCTCATTGCCTCTTGCAGGCCCCCAGCAACCTTCCCCAACCCCTCAGCCTTGGTCCTCTGAATCTGCTCCTCTTCCCCATGCCAGTGTTCAGGATCTCACCTCCAGGCCCTTTGGGTTAATGGGGTGATTGGTGGTGCAGTTGAGTCCCGTAACTCTGGTCACATATAGGAGCTGCTGACCTTCCAGAGCCTGGGGACAGCTGAGTTCCAGCACACCCTGGCTAATGGAGCTGGGGCCTTGGTTGATGAGCTGAGGAGGGAAGAGCACAATCATCATGAGAAGGAAGGGAATGCTTCTGCCCCATTGAGACCCTGGATCACCATGGCTCCACTATACCCTGCTGTCAGGCTCCTATCTCAGAGATGAAGCAGGGAAGCAATGGGCAGAGGTGAAATCCTCTCTAGCCAACACTTTTGGAGGGGGCTCCATCTTTCTTTCCAAGCCACTCAATTGGCCTGTCTCTCCTCTGGCTGTTTCTCACAGGACTCTGCCTCATGCCTTTGCATATCACTTACTCCTCCCTCCTCTCTTTCTCTCAGTCCCTCACATGGGTTCCAGCCATCTGTCACTCATATTAGCTCCTCCTTTCCCATCATTCATTCTGGCCCTGCCCCTTCCCCCCTTACCTCATAGACATGGTGGACAGCAGGTCCCAGGTCCTCCTCCTTCTGAGGCTGGTCTCGGGGATGCCAGTCGCTTACTGGGAATAGCACTGCCTCAGGCTTGGAGACACTAAGGAGGAGGGTGGTTTAGAGGAGGGTGGAAGGAACCCCATATGCATCCTTCCCTAGAAGTCTGTGTCCCCTCTCAGAAAGACCCCATTTTGCCTGGCACTGACCCGTTCAGGGTGACCTGGGCCTGAGCCTCCACGGAGAGCCGAAAGGAAACCACGTCGCTTTGCGAGTTGTTGAGATTCTTGCTGTGGGATGGAGGCAAGACTGAGGTGCTGGAGTGCAGCCAGTGAGAATGGCGCCCAGCCCTCCCTTCCGTCCCCAGCTCAGCCCCAGCCTAGACACACTCACTCCCTACCTGAGGATCTGGAAGTCAAACTGGATGGTTTTCTTAGTGTCCCGGAGATGAGGGACTGTAAACCGAAGGCCACCCCACAGCTGGGGACAGAAAAAGAGGAAAAGAGGGCAGTTAGACTGTGTATTTCACCCTCCCTCCGCACCTCACAGCTGTGCTCTCGGCTGGCTGGTTACCGCCCTCAGGTCTGCTCTCCCTCTGTCCCATCCTCTTTCATCCCAAACTTACACTGGCTCCTGCCTTCATGGGGTTGCCCAGGTCACACACCAGCAGGCGGCTCTGGTTCACGGCAAAGTAGTCACAGCTCAGGCTGGAGAAGTTCTGGAGATGGGGTGGGCACTGGTCAGGTTTTGGTGTCCCCTCTAGAGGGGTATCCTCCCAAATCCCACTCGAGAGTCTCATCTCACCCCTGGGTGTCTGACGAGTCCTGAGTACTCAGCCTCTGGAGGGGCGGTGACCCGAAGCTCAGCCTCATAGGCGCCACCCTCACCCACATTCTGGGCATGGAAAGTGAGGTTCAGGGCATTCTTGTCACCCAGGTACACATGGTTCTGCTCCCTGGAAGGGACACAGAGGGTAAGGGACATTGGTGAATTAATCCTCAAACCAGGACAAAGGACCATTATAAGAGTAGTAATACGAGGCCGGGTGTGGTGGCTCACACCTGTAATCCCAGCACTTTGGGAGGCTGAGGCGGGTGGATCACGAGGTCAGGAGTTCAAGACAAGCCTGGCCAAGATGATGAAACCCTGTCTCTACTAAAAATAATAATAAAAAAATTAGCCCGGCATGGTGGCAGGCACCTGTAATCCCAGCTACTTGGGACGCTGAGGCAGAGAATCGCTTGAACCTGGGAGGCGGAGGTTGCAGTGAGCCGAGATTGCGCCACTGCACTCCAGCCTGGGTGACAAGGGCATGACTCCGTCTCAAAAAAAAAAAAAGAGTAATAATAAAGTAACAATAGACACTGCTTACTGAGTTCTAACTCTATGGCAGGCACTAGGCTAGATTTTTTATGTAGATTATTTCATTTAATCTTTCCAAAAAGTCTGAGAAATAAATGCTACTATTCCCACTATACAGACAAAGGAGTTAAAGCTCAGAGCAGCTCAGCAACTTCCCAAGGCGACACAGCTAGTATGTCCCTAGCTGATTTTTTCAGGTGCCAGGTGCACCTGGAGCTCCCTAGCTTACCGTCAGCCCTACTTACCCAAACACTTCCAGCTGCAGGTCAGGCACACAGATGTTGTCTTCTCCACAGTCCAGCAAGATCTGAGCCTGGGGAGCAGGGCAGCCTTGAGAGGGGAAGTTTAGACCCATTCCTGGGCTGTAGGCTCTTCTCTTTCCATGGCCCTGCCCCCCCAATACCCAGGCCTCTGTCTTCCCAGGTCCCTTCTCCCTGCCCTGTCCTCACCTTGTCCTCTATCCGGCTCTTGCTCTGATAATGTAGGGCTGGCCTGAGGCCGTGGCTGTCCACTGGGGCTTGGGGGTCCAAGGAGAAGTTGAGAGCGATGTGAATCGGCGAGAGTTTGTCTCGAAATTCTGACTCGTTCTGGGGCCAGAGGAGAGAGTTCACGGAGTCAGGGGACTCTGGAGACTTAGTGGCCCTGCTCCTCAGCCTCTCTCATCTCCCTTTGTCTGCTTAGGGCCCAATTCCGACCATCCTCATTGTTTCAGAGGCCCTGGCAGCCTGCTTCCCAGCTCCTCTGACAGAAGGTCTCCCTTTCTCAGCCCCTACAAGAGTCCCAAGCCCTTCACTGGAGTCCCCCAGTCTTTTTCCCTTCAGGAGGTGCCCTCAGTTCTGTGTGGCCACCCTCCCTGGCCAGTCCACACCCCGCCCTCTGGGCCATACCCTGAGGTAGATCTTCATCTCTCTGCAATCCTCTCGAGCCCCATTCTGGATGAGCAGGGTCTGGGTCAGGGTTGCCTGCCTGGAGGCCAGGAACAGTGCCCGCCGTACCCCTCCCTTCTGCTTCTGCCAGTCCAGCTGAAGTTCCACTGTGAAACCTGAAGCCAGGGACATATAAAGGGAAACTGCCTGTCTTTCCTCATCTTTTCAGAGAGAAGAAATGTCCCCAGGTCCCCAGTCCCTTCATTCTCTGTCCTAGGGCCTGAGAGATCCAGGCAGTCTCCCTCACCAATGGAGTCAGCAACGTGTTTTCCAGAAGCATTGAGGCAGAAGCTAAGGTTGATGCTGGAGAGAGACCAAGAAGAAAGCTGGTGAATCCAACTGGAACAGACATCCTATCCTCTACCTATCTCCCAGCCAGACCCAGACTAGGACACCACCATTTTCCCCTTTTTAAGGCAGACTTGGTGCCCCTGCCCACTCCCAGGCTCAGGTCTCTGCAATTTCCTGGGCACCAGCTCACCAGGCCACAGGGTTCCCCTCTAAGCTGCAGCTCCGCTCCTCTGGGTTGAACATGGCGGGGAAGATGGTGAGGGAGGCACTAGCGGACACGATGGGGCGGCCCCTGCCAAGAGTGAATGTGGGGTCAATAGAATTAGGACTCCTCTGTAACCTGGACACAGGAAACTGATGCCCAAGCGCCAGAATGTGTGTCCTCTGCATTGATTTTCCCAACCTCAGCTCTGTTGAGAAATTTCCAGTTCCAGTCCACCCAGGTTGTCCCCTCATCTCCCTTTGGAGCTCATACCTGTATACCACAGCCTTGTCCACACCAAAGGACCCCACAATCAGATCTGTAAGAAGTCAAGAAATCACCTCTTACAGCAAGCCCCAGATCAGGATCCTTTCTTCCTAACCCCTCCTGGTTTCAACGCTCAGGGAGGTTGAAGTGAGAAGACAGCGCCCTCTGTTGGAATTAGCCAGAACTGCACCCAGGAACTTAAGGAAAGGTGCAGAAGAGAGAGTAGGGGTCAGTGACCAGGGAATTTTAAGGTGAAAAGGGGCCTCAGGCACAACTCACCAGGATATCCATTGCCATCCAGGTCTCGGCCTCCTCGAAGGGCAGAGCCAAAGAAGTCTGGGGTGTGGCTGGCTGCCCACAGGGGCTGCAGAACCTGGGAAGGCTTAGAGCCCAGCCCTCCTGGGCCCCCAGGAAATACAAACACTACTCCCTGCTGGGTCTCCCCACCAAAGGGAGCCCCGATGGCCACATCTGGAAGACACAGAACACACACTAGTCAGCAGGCCAGGAATCCATGGGCTCTAATCTCTACTACCAGACCCCAGGACCTAGGATCCTATTTTTTCCCATCTGTCAGTCCCTATATTCTAATCTTCAAATCCCAAGACCCAGACAGTGGGATTTTAACCCCTCGGGAAGTCGTGGAGGTCTGGGTATCTTAGCTGACAGATGCCCTCTCCCCAAATCCCTTCTGACTTGGGCCCCTGCCTCCTCTTTCACTCTCTGAGCCCATGGTACTCACCATTGTAGCCATCCTGGTCCAGGTCCCCCAGGGGGGTCAAGGAGCTGCCAAATCGGCCAAACTCATCATGGCCAGTGAGGGTAAGGGTGGGCGTGGGCTCTATGCCGGCTGGGTGCTGCAGGTAGACGTAGACCCTGCCCACCTCCTGAGGCCGCCCGTCAGGGGTCCGATCCATGAGCAGGGGTGCCCCCACCAGCAAGTCATCCAGCCTGAGGGGAAGGGCAAACCCAGGCATCTCGATACCCTGTCTTGCCACCCCACCCCAATCCTAGTGCTAGAAATCCCGGACACTCTGAATTCCATCACGTCAGAAGACCTGAGGTCTCTGATCATCAGCTCTCAGCTCTTTCCTTGTCCCTGAGCAAGGGGAATGCAGGTATGAGCGAGAGTCTAGAGAAAAAGCCCTGGAGAAACTCTCCTTGCATTTTCTGTCCCATTCCCACTCTTCCCTCTTGGTTCTGGGAGGGTATCACAGTGCGCTCATTTCCCACCACTCACCCGTCCCCATTGACGTCTGTGGCGGCCACTGCATAGCCAAAGTAGGAGGCCATCTGGGGAGGACAAAGGGGCAGCGCTGGGTCAGAACTAGAAGGTTCAATCCACAGGATCAAGAGGGGCTGGGAAGTTGGGCTGACATTATTAGGTCAGGGCTGGGGCTTCGTTGACAGAGGCCAAGCTGGGGTGGGGTTGAGGGGTATCCTTACCTGTTCCCCTGAGAAGTTGTAGAGGGATCGAATGTCTGAGCCATTAAGGATGGTGACCTGGGAGATGAAGAGATAGGCCCATTGGTCCTGGACTCCCAGAATATCCCATGGTTAAAGAACAGATGTGTACAGGACACCCAGGGGCAGGCATTCCTTAGAGACGCAGACCACTGTCCCTAGCTCCCTCTTCAGCTTTGCCCTCATATTCCCACCTCTATGCCAGGTAGTTCCACCCTATGTCTGCTTCACTATTTTTCTCCCTATCAATCACCAACCACTGACAGATTTTGTATTTATCTGTTCGTTGTCCCTCTCTACCCACTAGAATGTAAGATCAATAGGGGCAGGAACTTGATTTTGTTCTTTGCTTTCTCCTCAGAACCTAAAGTCATGCTTGGTGAGTAGTAGGCACTCAATAATAATTATGACTGAATGTGTGCTGGTGCCTCAAACCCATCACGTTCAAAACCTAAGTCATCCTCATCCTCCAGTCCCCCGAACCACAAACACCATTTCTCCCCTATATTCCCTTAGTGACTGGCCCCACCAGGCCTCTTGAATCCTGGTGTGAGCCCTTTCCCAGGACTGCTGGACAGATGTCTTGACAATGTCCCTGCCTCCAGCTCTCCCAGCAGATCTAGGAGGCTACCTCTGGCTTGGAAATCCAGTGGCCCCCTGCAGTCACTGCCCAAAGTCTCAACTTCTTGGCTGGTCCTCCAAAGCTCTGGAGAATCTGGCCCTAACCTATCTGTTTTTGCTCAACCTTTCCATATTCTACTCATCCTCAATCAGCTCATGAGTCTGCTAAGTTGGGCTGAAATTGTTTCCTTTTCTTCCACCTCATTCATGCTCCTGCACAGGATGCCCTCCTGCCTCATCTCTGCTGAACCTTCATAGAACCTTCTCTCATCTGTCCTCTTCCTTTTTAAAAATTTAAAATTTTTATTTCCTGACTCCCCAAACTTGTTACCATCCTTTTCCTAGAAAGGAGATTATTCTTTCCCCTAAACTGCTATGCCACTGTATCCACTTTGCTGAAGTTTACCAAAATGCAGAAAGAATGCTGATTTTGGATTAAGAGAGACCTGATTTTAAACCTACTTACTAACTGGGTGATCTTAAGCAACTTACTTGGTCTCTTAGAACCTCAGTGTTCTCATATGCAAAATACAGATGATAATATCTACCCCATAGGCTTGTTGTGAAGAATAGAAATCATGAATAGATAGTGCCTGATGCACTGAGTAGAGAATGAATAGTTGCTCCACTTTAGATCATAATTGTATGTGTGTCTTATCTAACATACTTGATTAGAAGCATCTTATAAGATGGGGTATGATACCTTATTCATCTTATCTCTTACCTTGCCTTAATAAATGTTGTTAATTGAATGAAATCCGATGGCACTCTTATCTGTATCTTTTAAAAAGCACTTGTCCTGGTCTAATAATAACATCTGCCAGTTGTACATTGCCTAACAATTCACTGAGTACTTTCACATGCATTTTCTCATTTCATCCTTGCCAGAGCCTCGTGAGGTCAGAACGATTGTTATCCCAGTATACAGAGAAGAAGAAGGCTCAGAGAGGTTCAGCAGGAAGCAGAGTATGAATAAAGAGCAGAATGATTCTGCCAGAGTAAGTGCCAGAACTTGAATGCCAGTCTGCCTCCAGAGCCCATGTTCTGATCCACCTTTTTGAGCCCTTGCAAACTGCCATGCACGGTTCTTTGTGATTAGGCAGGGGAGGAGAGGAAGTGAGGGGTCAGGCTGGGTCTTACATAGCCGTAAGTGAGGTTCCCTTTGGGCACACCAGCAACAAAGTCTGCAAAGAGAAGAGAAAGTTGTGACCTAAGGGTGGGGAAAGGGAAGCAGATAATGGTAAGTGGCCAAGTTCATGGGCTCTCTGGCCCTGTGCCTCTAACCATCCCCCTCCCTTGGCCCCAGCCTGGGGACACACTCACCTTCTGTGTCATCACCACTGAATTCACCAACAGCCACAGAGTATCCTGGGGGACAGGGTGGGTGGATGTTAGGATTCCTGCTTTGAGGACCCCTCTGCTCTGGCCTATCCACCAATCCCTTCCCCACCCCTACTGGGCCTTCATAGTCAGCAGGCACATGACAAGTATGGCAGGGGTGCTGGGGATGCCTGAGTAGGAGAGGGGAGGCGAGGGGGTGAGTGGGGACAGGAGCACTTGAGGTTCTCCCTCTGCCATCCCTTCCCCACTTGCTTGCTCACCTAGGTAGCTGTCATCATAGATGGAACTGGCCTGGCGAGTCTGCAGCTGCCCCTGAACCAGGTTGATCAGGTACTCGGGGTAATAAGATTCTGCAATCTGCTCCTGAGTGGCAGACAGGATCTGGCCTGGAGAGAGTATGAAGAGGGAGTAGATGGAGAGGAAGTGGCAGAGGGGGCTTGGGACTCTGGGGGCTGACTGGGTAGTATTTCAGAAGTCTGGTTCAAGAAAGGGAAGCATGGGGAGGGTGGTGGCATGTAAGCTTCAGGAAAGGAAGAGGAGAATTGGGAGTAGGGTGGGAGGCTATGTGCCAGGGGACTTAAAGAATGGCAGAAACAGGCAGGGCGCGGCGGCTCATGCCTATAATCCCAGCACTTTGAGAGGCCAAGAGGGGTGGATCACGAGGTCAGGAGTCCAAGACCAGCCTGGCCAAGATGGTGAAACCCCTTCTCTACTAAAATTACAAAAATTAGCCAGGCGCGGTGGCAGGCGCCTGTAATCCCAGCTACTTGGGAGGCTGAGGCAGGAGAATCGCTTGAACCTGGGCAGCAGAGGTTGTGCCACTGCACTCCAGCCTGGGTGACAGAGTGAGACTTCGTCTCAAAAAAAAAAAAAAAAAAAAAAAAGAATGGCAGAGACAGGACTTACCTTGCCAGAAATAGCTTCCTGGTCCACCTAAAACCACACGGCCAGTCTGTGGGTGAAAGGAGGGGAGTCCAACATCTGGTCCCAATCCCCCCATGTCCACCACCCACGGCCCCTTCTCTCCCAGACCACTCTCTCACCTTGGTGAACTCGGCACTGAAGCCTCCTTGGCAGTAACCCTGTCCTGCTGCCCAGCTGAAATCTGTGAGGGGAGAAGGTGGTGAAAATGAGCCCTGCATAGATGGGTCATCCAGGAAAGAAGAGAGGGCATAGGGAAGGAGGTGGGAGAGAGAACCAGAGAAAGGGCCTTCCTGGACCAGACAGTAAGCATAAAGGCTAACGAACTGGGTTAGCCTTTATCTTAAGCAACCTAGAACCTCATGGGGGCACATGGTAGGTGCGAGTCAACCCTAAGTATGTGAGACACTTCAAGTATATGAGAAGGCAGACATGGGGCACAGGCCCCCTCTTGCCCCTACCTGAGCGGCAGGGTGCATACTCCAGAATTCGGGTGAAGTTATCTGTGGAGAGGTAGCAGGTGCCCACGGGGTCGCTCAGTGGCTCCTTCTCTGTGCGCCAGCTGTACAGTGGAGCGCATGCCTGGGAGGGCCCAGGAGGAGGGGCCTTCAGATTCAGTCCAATAAGGCCCTTCCTCCCTCCCTCCAGGCCCGGCCTTACCCAACCACTGCCCATCCCCTGGCCACCACACCACTGAGCTTGCTGGCCCCTCACCAAGATGGAGGAGCCATGGGCTCGAACTGTTGCCCCGAACCACTGCAAGGACTTGTACTCCACAGGCTCCTCTCCCTCTGAGCTGGACAGTGAGGACTCCAGGAGCCGAGAGCCTTGTGGAAGTGAGAAGGGGGAGTCTTACTGAGCCATGGACATTTGAGCTCTAGGGCAGCCCCTACCCTCAGCCTGGGGATACCCAACAAACGCTTCCAAGCCCTGAGACTCCATGACTCGCTGGGAGTGTGGAATTGGTAAGGAGCTTAATTCTGCTTTGTGTAGTCTGTTTGTGTAGCCTGACTTATCTCTCCACTACACACATACACATACACACACACACATACATACACACGCACGCACACGCACACAGAACCTGGGCTTTCTTTTTTTTTTGAGATGGAGTCTCACTCTGTCACCCAGGCTGGAGTGCAGTAGCATGATCTCGGCTCAGTGCAACCTCCGCCTCCCTGGTTCAAGGGATTCTCCTGCCTCAGCCTCCTCAGTAGCTGGGATTACAGGTGCGCGTCACCACACCTGGCTAATTTTTGTATTTTTAGTAGAGACGGGGTTTCATCATGTTGGTCAGGCTGATCTCGAACTCCTGACCTCATGACCTGCCCGCCTCAGCCTCCCAAAGTGCTGGGATTACAAGCGTGAGCCACTGCGCCCGCGTAGAACCTGGGCTTTCTAGAGTTGCCTCCCCAAGGTTCCTGCTTTCTCACCCAACTGAGACAAGGATGCCTGCTGTGGAGCAGGGGCAGGAGGATGGTGGGGAACAGTGGCTATTTCCCAAGAGAGTAACCCTTTGGCTGCACTTCTTTGTCTATACTTGGACTGTGTCTCTAACACCATCTTGTTCCACCTCCTTTTTTTTTTTTTTTTGAGATAGGGTCTCACTCTGTTGCCCAGGCTGGAGTGCAGTGGCGTGATTATGGCTCACTGCAACCTTGACCTCCTGGGTGCAAGTGATCCTCCCACATCAGCCCCCCAAGTGGGTGGAAACTATACCCAACTAATTTTTGTGTTTTTTGTACAGATGGGGTTTTGCCATGTTGACCAGGTTTATTTTAATTTTTTTTTTTTTTTAAACAGGGTCTTGCTCTGTCACTCAGGCTACAGGGCAGTGGGGCAAGTAGCACTCATTGCAGCCTTGGCTGCAGTGACGGAGAATCACTCAAGTGATTCTCCCACCTCAACCTCCCGAGTAGCTGGGACTACAAGTGCTCACCACTATGCCTGGCTAATTTTTTTTTTTTTTTTCTTGAGACAGAGTCTTTCTCTGTAGCCCACGCTGGAGTGCAGTGACATGATTTCAGCTCACTGCAATCTCTGCCTCCTGAGTTCAAGCAATTCTTGTGCCTCAGCTTCCCAAGTAGCTGGGATTACAGGCAAGTGCCACCATGCCCGGCTAATTTTTGTATTTTCAGTAGAGACGGGGTTTTGCCATGATGGCCAGTCTGGTCTCAAACTCCTGGCCTCAGGTGATCCACCTGCCTTGGCCTCCCAAAGTGCTGGGATTACAAGCATGAGCCACCACACCCAGCTCTGTCTAATGTTTTTGGTAGAGACAGGGTCTCACTATGTTGGCCAGGATGGTCTTGAACTCCTGGGACCAAGTGATCCTCCTGCCTCGGCCTCCCAAAGTGCTGGGATTACAGGCACATGCCACCGTGCCCAGCCTGTCCAGTTTTTATTTCTGGAGACAGATGGCCCTAGTTCATATCCTCTCTCCAATGTTTGCTAGCTGTATAACCTTGGATAAGCTACTTACCCTCTGTCTCCTCACTTAGAAAATGGGGATAATAATACCTTATACAGTTGTTGAAAAGATTAAGTGAACTAATATATGTAAAGTGTTCACAACTGGGCCTGGCACAGAGCAACTGATAGCTGTTAGTCTCCATCTTCCTCCCATCCATCTGTGTCTACTCAGACCTTGAGCTCCTTGAGGGCAGTGGCTTAGTCATCTTTCAGTCCCTGCAGCACCAGCACAGTGCCTGTCATGCACTGTCACTTAGTCAGTACTTAGTTAAAGGAACTGAATAGTTTGTGCAACATTCCCTGTCTTTGTCTGTGTTACGGCCCTGGCCTCCCAGAATTGTGGGTGATTCAGGGGAAATGAGAGCCACATGTTTCTGAATCATGCCCGTCCTCCTTGGGCTGGGCTGGATGGGAGAGTGGAGTGAGTGCCATGGGGATCCACTGTAAGCAGTTGGAGCACCAGAGCTGGTGCTGAGAGGTCACGTGGCCGGGGTTCCAGCAGGCTCCACCCCTCGCCCCAGGCCCCACCCAGGCCTTGCCCCCAGGCTGCAGTCCCACCCCCCAGTCCCTCCCTGAATTTCACTGGCCTACCTTTGCTGTCAAATTCAATGGGGGTGCACTGTGTGGGGCTGGCACCCCAAGGACAGAGGTAGACAGCACCACCCTGCAGCACTCCTGGCTGGCTGGTATTAGCCTTGGGTGCTCCCACCAGCACACTGACCCTGTGGGGGGGAAAAGCGAGGCAGTTGAGGATGGCTCCTAGCTTTTCATTGGTGTCTGGAGGCAGGAAGGACCCAGGCCTCTAGGCTGGGGCTGGCTGGGGGTGGAGTAGATGCCCCCTGCGTTGTATTTATATCTCAGAAGATGCCACAGATGCCAGAGGCACAGGCTGGAGTCAGGCGGTCCCCATGTGCCGCTGTCACTAACACAACCCTCCCCTCCTCCCGCCATTCTCTGTCCTCTCCTACCTTATCCTGTTCATAAAGAGAGGAGGAACCACAGTCAATTTCTAGAAGGGGAAGAGGGGCCAGAGCCTGTACCCCTGGCTTCTCCCTCTCCTCTACGTACCTGCTGAGATTAGATGTATAGCTTCTGGAGCGCCAAGGTCCTGTGGAGCCTCAGGGTCTCTCATCTAGCCTATATACTCTCCTCCCAAGCCAAATCCCCTCCCTGGGCCAAGACCCAGGCATCCGGCTGCCCAGCCACCCAGCCTTGGGGCGTGTAGGAGGAAAATGTGAGTCTTGGAAATCAGGCAGCAGGAGTGGAGAGAGGAGCTGGAGGACAGTGAAAACAGATTGTTCCACTGGGCCTGGGCCTGCCCTCACCCCGGCCCTGGTGTGGGCCTCCCCTTCCTGGCTGGGTCTGTGTTTCAGCCCTTGAACCCCTTTCCCATAGACCACCCCCAGCTGACTGAATTCAGAGTCTGCTCTACCGGGGTCCCAGTTCTGGACACAGTGCTTCTGTTCCCCCTGATATGAGGGGAAGTTTGCCCTGTGTAATGGGGTGGTCATAGCTAAGGGCCTGGGCAGTCCTCCTGCCGTCAGCTCTGCCTCATTCATCCCTAGGTCTCTTGCCTCCAAGACCTCCACACCGCTCTTGGCTCTCTTGGTTTCCCCTAAGGGTCTCCTGCCAGGACTTGTATCTGGCAGCCTGGGCAACTCGACCCAGCCTCTGGACCAGTGCTCCTGCCAGCCTTGGCCTCTGCTCTGCTCTGTGTCTGCCTCTGGCACTGCTTCTCAATCCCTCTGTCCCTCTGCCCCTATGACTGCTTGCTCTCTTGGTTTTGGTTTTTGAATCCTATCTCTCTATCTCAGATTTTACATTTCTCCATCTCTATTGGTTTCTGTTCACTTTCAGCTTTCAACCCGTCCAATACCTACCCTTTCCCTGATATTTGAATACCTTCCTCAGCTTTCTCACTAGGCAAGAAGGCCCAAAGTGAAGGATTATGGTAGAGGTCACAAGAGCTGGGGGTATTTTCCAAGAAGACCAGGTATACTGAGGCGGGGAGGAGTGGCCCAGGAGGTATAGGGGATGGAAGCAGCAGAGAGGACAGGTCCGAGGGGACGGAAGAGGAGAGTGAGGAGGGGTCTGTGAGGGCCAGTGGTGAGAATGGAGGGGAGAGAAGGCAGGGTCCAGAGGAATAGGAGATGGGTAGGCTGAAGAGGGAGAGCTCCTGAAGTTAGGAGGGGTGGGGAGGGGAGGTGCCAGTCTCCGTTACTCTGGGGACAGGAAATGTTTACTGCCTGTGGCTTCCTGTCTGTTTCCAACCTCTCACTTCTCCGTTTGTCTCCCACACCCCCACCTCCGTGCCAGGCCCCACCCTTCTCACTTAGGCATGACATCCACTTGTGGGGTCTGGCTGCACCGCCCTAGGGCTGGGTGATGTGAGAGAAGGAGACCCCTCTCTCAGCAGGGGCAGCCCCCAGAGAACTTGGTTGCTGCCTTCAGGCTCTAGAAAGCAGAAAGGGCCACCAACCTGAACTAGACCAGAACAGCAGAGGTACAGGAAGCAGTGAAAGGAGCACTGGACCAGGAGCCAAGAGTTCTGGTTCAGGCACTAACTGTGGACTTGGGCAATACCCTCTCCCTCTTCCTCTGGGTGAAGAAGAGGTTCTCTCAAAGTTTCCTGGAGCACAGGGCTAAGGCCAAGGGACCCTATTCCTGCTGCCAATTTCTCCAACACCCACTGCTCTTGGAGAGGAGCTGAGCCTGACACTCCTGGGGTGGCCTGAGGAAGTAGCCTGGAGTTTAGCAGGGTTGCAAGACAGAGAGTTTACAAAGCTTGTAAAGCCCACAAGCCAGGGGCATATCCATTCCGGCTGTGCGATGGTTCAGGATACCTGGCATGCAGGCAAGGGACACAGACCTAGGCCTCCTTTCCTCCCGGCACACTACCCATGGCTTATTCCTGGACAGGCAGTGGCCCTTCCATCCCAGCAACCTAAAGTCAATCCAATAAATAGTGCCTCCCCTGCCAACACGCCAAGTGAGGTGACTGGTGCCATGGATGGCATGCAAGCTAGTTTGTCCTTATTTTCCCACATCTTTTTCCTGCTTCCTAAATCCTGCAGCAGTTGGGCACTTTTAGGGGTCTAAGAAGGTAACAATGGAGGGTCCGTGTGCTATTTTCAATATTTCAGAAAGCCTAACGGAAATCATGCATTTACCAGATAAGGTGGCCTAGGCTAATTAAAACCTCAAGTGTATTTGCTTTTGGCTGGAATTATATCAACTTATGTGGGAACCTGGTTATCTCATGCTGGTCAGAAACTCTGATTGGCAGCTATAGATGTTTTTGGTTAATAAAAAATGAGAAAAGCGCCAGGTGCGGTGGCTCACGCCTGTAATCCCAGCACTTTGGGAGGCCGAGACGGGCAGATCACGAGGTCAGGAGATCGAGACCATCCTGGCTAACATGGTGAAACTCCGTCTCTACTAAAAATACAAAAAAATTATCCGGGCGTGGTGGCGGGCGCTTGTAGTCCCACCTACTAGGGAGGCTGAGGCAGGAGAATGGCATGAACCTGGGAGGCGGAGCTTGCAGGGAGCCGAGATCACGCCACTACACTCCAGTCCAGAGACAGAGCGAGACTCCTTCTCAACAACAACAACAACAACAACGGCCAGGCGTGGTGGCTCACGCTTGTAATCCCAGCACTTTGGGAGGCTGAGACAGGCAGATCACCTGAGGTCGGGAGTTTGAGACCAGCTTGACCAACATGGCGAAACCCCGTCTCTACTAAAAATACAAAATTAGCTGGGCGTGGTGGCACATGCCTGTAATTCCAGCTACTCAGGAGGCTGAGGCAGGAGAATCGCTTGAACCAGGGAGGTGGGGGTTGCGGTGAGCCGAGATTGCGCCATTGCATCCCAGACTGGGCAACAAGAGCGAAACTCCGTCTCAAAAAAATAAAAAATAAAAATAAAAAGAATGAGAAAAGGAATTCATTATTTCTTACTAAATGCAGGTTGGCAGGTACACTTTTCTGAAATAGAGTCTGAGAGAAGAAATAACTGCCAGAATTTATTCTGAAGCCTCAGAAATGGAAGGGTTGGTCCTTGGAGACACAGACTACCACAGCTAGAAGGCACTGTAGAGAGCATCCACTGGTTTTAAGACTTCACTGTAGGTGCCTGAGGCCACATGGCATAAAGGCAGACTGGCCTCGTTCTGACACTCCCTAAGAAAAAGTTCAAAGCTGCTCACCTCGTCCCATGTTCTCATTCTGCAGATGGGAAAACTATCTCAGAGGAGTTAAGTAATGGGCTTAGGTCACTCATAATCCCTCCCAGAATATGAAGCAGAAATCAGGAATCCTGATTTCTACGACAGCATTCTAGTCTACCCCATTGCCAACTTATTCCCTCCTCTCATATCTGCTATCTCCCCAGCTTTTGATTAACCAAGTCCCAGTTCAATACTGGGTTACTGTTTGACTCTGTTGGCCTGACAAGGTCAGGGGTGGAGAGCAGCAAGTGGACCAGCGCCCAGCTCCTACAGGTCCTACAGCAGCATGGGCCAGGCCAGAGGAGGACACCTGGTTTGGGGTCCCCTAGTGCATTCACAAGGGATATGTATGATTGGCTGGGGAAGAACAGCTGTCTCCACTTGTGGCAGTTGCAGAAGGGAACAAGGAGCTGAGCTGAGACTGGCCTGCCTCTCAAGCTTTCAAGTGTCCTGGGCCAAGTCACTGCCTCTCTTCAAGCTTTGGATTCTCTGGCATAAAATGATGGATTTCCCTTGAATGTTTCCTAAACTAACTTCTGGTTCAAAATTTCTATGACTCCTGAAGCCTCAGTTGTTTTTATTTTTTGTTTGTTTGTTGTTGTTTTTTTGAGATGGAGTCTCACTCTGTCGCCCAGTCTGGGGTCGCTCAGTACAGATGTGATCTCAGCTCACTGCAATCTCTGCCTCCCAGGTTCAAGGGATTCTCCTGCCTCAGTTTCCCGAGTAGCTGGGATTACAGGTGCGTGCCAGCACGCTCGGCTAATTTTTTTATTTTTAGTAGAGATGGGGTTTCACCATGTTGGCCAGGCTGGTCTCGAACTCCTGACCTCAGGTGATCCACCCACCTCCGCCTCCCAAAGTGCTGGCATTACAGGCGTGAGCCACTGCACCTGGCCAGCCTCAGTTTTTGTATATCTAAAAATGGGGCAATAATGCTTCCTTTGCTTTAACACAAGGATTTTTGTTACAATCCAATGGAAAAATCGATATGAAAGTGCTAAAGGAATATGACAGACTATTGTTACTATCACTAGTATAAGCAAATACTCAAAGCAAGTAAGAAATGAGGGAACTAGGCGGTAGCCAGGAAGGAGAGAACCAGAAACAGAAACAGCTACCCCATAAAAACCATGCCGCCCATGTATTGATCACTCTCTGTGGACCAGGTTCCTTTTGTATATGTTTTCTCATTTAGTCCTCAGAACTCCGTTAGTCAGGTGTCTGATTTTCACGGGAAGACCAGGCTCCAAGAGCTTAAATACCTCTCCCTAGGTACTAGGGTACCACGCAAAAAACTAGTAAGTAGTGGGGACTCACACCTACCTCTGTCTGACTGAAAGCTTTGCCCTTTCCTACCATCTAACTGCTTTGGTGCTCGCCCTGTCCTTTAATACTATTTTGGTGTTCACCACAAGAGGTGATGCAGGAAGAACAAGAACACTGAGGCTCTCCCTCTTTGGCAATGGCTGTAGGTGAGGGGCTGTGTTTGTCTTGTGTTGTGGGAAAGGGGGTGAAGGCCTAGCTGTGGTGGGAGGAGGTCACTGGGGAGGTAGAATGTTCCACTGTAAGAGGGTATTGTAAATAGGAAATGAGAGGGAAGGAGTGCAAGCTGGACACCTGGGTTCTCTTGGGAGGGGAGATGAGCAGAAGGGGAGGGGGAAGGGATGAGAGAGCTAGGTCCTGTTTTAGAAGAGGACTTTAGGGACTACAGGATCAGGCCAGGGGCCAGACAGACACCTAGGGGACCAGGAATGTGTGAAGTCCAGATGTTTTAGAGGAGTGTTTTAAAGGGAAATTTAGGGGAGGGGGGAGTAAAGAGAAGGTTAAATGCCAGACAACTAGATACTCTGATCTGCGGGAGGAGACCTCATCCCCTTCCTCCTTCCCTCTTTTCTACTCCATTAGGGCTGTGATAAGAAGTTTGAGGGAACCTGGGGGAGACCAGGCCTGGCAGAGGCTCCAGGCCAGGGTGATGATGCAATGGGGTTTGGGCAAAAGGCCAGGGGGGTGGGGTGGGGGTTGGGTGGGGACCTTGAATAGCCCAGAACAACAGTCGGGGCCTAATCATTTTTCTTTTCTCCCATCCCCAAGTCCTCCAGACAAAGGAGAATTTGCCTTTCTCCCCAGTTGTATTAGCTAGATTAACCCCTTTTCTCCAAAAACTATAGGGACTGAGTAGAGATCAGTTAACTGTCTCATGTGTAAAAACAGGTCGCTTCTGACAGAATTCCCCTCAAACCCTGAGATCCTGGGGTTGGGGTGGGGGTGAGCAGTAGGAAGCTCCCAGCTCAGAGATGTAGAAGAAAAAGGATTACACCAGTCATTGTGGAGGACCAGGAATCTGGCATCTATGGCCTAGCCCAGGAGCAACCACCTACCTCTCTTGCTTCCCAATCTCCCCGCCATCCCACATTTAAACAGACACCCTTGGTTCTAATGTTGCTTCCACTCTAACTCCTGTTTCCCAAGCCTGTCAGTACCCCATTTTCTAGGCACTCGGGGTCCGGGTCTGCTTATCACTGTGCTGAGTTGGGAATAAGGATCCTCCTTTGAGATTTCCAGGGTCCTGAGTCCTTCATTCTGACGTTCTTGGCCCCACGGAGCCCCCGTCTCCCCAGCTTCCGACCCCAGCCCCAGAAGTCCCGGTCTCAGCACAGCTCCAGCCGACCAGCTACAGGAAACCAGCTTTTCTCTTCCTCCCAAGAGCCAGAGGAAGAGGGAAACCGCCCACCCCCCTTCACGCGCGCACACACCCCTCCCGACACATCCCAGCACCCGCCCTTGGCTGAGTTCGCCCCCAGCCCCAGGGCCCCAGTGCCAGGGTCCCCGCACTCGCCCCCAGTTCTCGGATCCCCTCGCCTGAACAGAGATTGGGGGCGGAGGGAGGAGTAGGAGACAGAGGAGAAAGGAGAGGGAGCCGCCGTCCTCTCTCGGGTCTTTCCCCGGTCTGAGTTGAGGGGGGAGGGGAGGATGAGGCTGGCCCCCATTTAACCTTCCGACCCCCTCAGTCTTTGACTTTCCTCCTACTACACGTAGCTCATTCGGCTTCTACCCGTTCTCTCGCCGCACAATGGCCCCTACGGATCCCGAGGTCTCCTGGAGCCCCCAAAAGCCCTTCCCGGCCTCTGCGCCCCCTCTGCGCCCCCACCCGCCCCAGGTCCCAGCAGCCCACAGACTTCAGCCAGAGACCCTCAGCTCTCCATTCACGCGCTCTCCTCTCCCTTGGCCCGGAGACCCCTGCCCAGACTTCTCCAGCTCCGTGTCCTCTCCCCACCGGACACATGTCTCCCCACTGATCTCAAACGCCAGGGCCCCTCCTCACCCGCCACGGTGCCCTCCCTACTCCAGCGCGGGCCCCCAACTCTAGCCAGGGCCCCCAACTGCAGCTCTATTCCTTACAAACTCCACCCTCAAACTTAAGCCCTGGTCCCCTCCAGACCCCAGCCGCGCCCCCAGTCTCCAGGCGGCTCCCCCACCCCCATCCCGTCTCCAGCCCTCCTCACTCACCCGTCTGTTCCCGGCCGGTAAAACTCCACTGAGAATCCGAAGAAGGAGCCCGGGGGCCCCGAGAGTACTGCTGGGGCCTCCGCGTCTAAGTTGAAGCCCCCGACCCTGGGTGGCGGCGGCAGCAGCAGCAACAGCAGCGGCAGCAGCGGGGGTCGGCGCCGGGGGCCCCAGCGCAGCTGCACGGCGTGGAGAGGGGACTCTGGCGTCCGGCTCCCCATAGCGCCCGCTCTTCCCTGTCCTGGGGCCACCGACCCGGAGCCGCTTCCTAAACCTCCCAGAGGCGAATGACTCAACGCGGGGAGGAGTTTGCCAAACTCCCGGCTGAGCCCTCCCCCCGCCTGCCGAGGGGGCTGGCGGGGGGGCATTCCTGGGTCCCTGGAACTCTGAGCCCGCGTCCCCCACCCCTAAGGGGCGTGGGGGGGGGGCGCACCCCTCCAACCCCCTTTCCCCAGCCCCAGCTGGAAGCCGGTTGTCTGGACTGGGTTAGACTGGGCGGGTTTGGGTTCTTCCCCCTCCTCTCTGCTTCCCCCTCCTTCCTCCCCATTCCTTTCCAGATGTACAACGTAAACGCTCGGAAAACGAGTCGGAAAAGGGAGCGGAGAATTTCCTAATGAGGAAAGGAATCACCTCTGGTGGGCGGAGGAAGCCTGTATATGTGTGTGGGGTCTCCCTCAGTGCTTTAGGGAGGAGACTTTGGGGTCTAAAGAGACAGGAGACTCCTCTGGCGTCCGGCCAACTGGGATTCCCCCTTGCCTTCCGGGGCCGCCGGGTGCCTGGGTTCTGGCCAGCTGGATTTGGGACACAACAGTTGAGGTACAGAGACAGCGTTCGCAGTCAGCTTGCTAGAGGACCTACACGGGCTCCTCAAGTTCCGCTGCTTCCTCCTCCAAGCTTGCTAGTATTGAAAACCCAGGAGTTTGGGGTCATTCATCAGGAGGATTCTGCTCCAGTTTGCCCCCTTCTTGGTCCTAGGGTATGTAAACCTCTGCTGAGCCCCTTCCTTGGATCTGACAGTTGACCAAAAGCCTGCGAGTGGCTGGCCCCTCAGTACCTGCTTGATTAAACTGGCCGGGTTCCTACAAACCTGGAGAATTGTGAGAGGTGGTGGTGGTGGTGGAAAGTCTTGCAAAGGGACCCAACCTTCAGCTCCTAATGGCTGTAAACGCTGGGAGCTCTGGCCAGGCACGGTGGCTCACACCTGTAATCCCAGCACTTTGGGATGCCGAGGTGAGCAGATCACCTGAGGCCAGGAGTTCAAGACCAGCCTGGCCAACATGGCAAAACCCATCTCCACTAAAAATACAAAAATTATCCAGATGTGGTGGTCCGCACCTGTAATCCCAGCTACTCGGGAAGCTGAGGCAGGATAATTACTTGAACCCAGGAGGCAGAGACTGCAATGAGCCGCGATTGCACCACTGCACTCTAGCCTGGGTGACAGAGCAAGACTGTATCCAAAAAAAAAAAAAAAAAAAAAATCCAAAAACCAAAAACCAAAAAAACAATGGGAGCGGAAAGCCAGGACCCCATTCTTCCCAGATTCCCCTGTGGAAGTAGAGGAAGGGACTCTAGAAAGGGAAGGCAGTGACCCCCTGCCCACCTCTTCCCCAAGCTCAGGCTCTGTGTGATGAGATCACTTTTCAGGATTCTAGCCTTTATCTTAGTCTGGGGGAGGGGACTACAAGTCCTTTCAGTCTCTTTCCTCCAGGACTCCTCACTTTCCAGAATAATACCCTGTCAATAATATCCTGTCAACCCTGTCCCTTCTGTTCTCCAGTCCCCTGCCCCACTTCGGGCTGAAAGGCTCAGAATAAGAGTGCCCAGAGTCAATGTTTTTTTCCTGCCATGACTCTCCCCCTCACTCTGCTACTCCACTTCCTGTCCCAAATCACCCATCTGCTTTTTTAAAAGCCCCCCTCCAGAGCCAGCTGCAGCCCAAGGGAGAGGCTGGCTGGCCAGACTGTGGGGCAATGCTGGCCCGTATCCCATTCTCACATCTGCAAGTCCTGACCCTTTCTTAGGTGAGGAACCCAGGGAATCTCTGGGTCAGGATCTTTAAGCCCAGCATTGCCAAAAAGGCAACCTTTAGGTGAGAGCTACTCAAGCCATGGGCTGGGAACCCCCTTTGGGAGGAGAAGGGCTGAGGCCTGATTGCTTTTTAGCCCAGCAAAACACGTGTGTGAACCAAACACTCTCCTTTCTCAGTCTAGGCAAACTCTTTAGATTTTCCCAGGATTTGGGAGATTAGGGGTGGGGGTGGGGAGGGGTGCAGGGAAGGAGGTGTGTGACTCAGCTCCTCCCAGGAGCCTTGGTGGGGGACAGGGGACATAGCGTCCTGCCCCAGTCCTCCTCCCCACTCCACCCCTAGCCTTGGCCAACTCAAACAGGCCCCCTCCCTGTCCATTCCCTGCTCCTGTTTACACCGGGAGCCCCTTAGTCATTCTTTGGCTGGCCTTTCTACTCTCCCCAATATCCCTCCTCTCTTGGCTCTTTCTGCCCTTATAAGTCCTCTCCCAGTGGCCCCAACACCTCCTGCCTTTCCTCTCACCATGCCTGCCTTTGCCTGATCCTCTCTTCCTCTGCTCTGGGTTCGTCCTTAACTTGGGGTCCCCTCCTAATTAGAGCTACTTCAGCACAGACCTCCAGGCCTGGAAGCTGACCTAGAAAGGCCAGTGAGGAGGGGATAGAAGCCATCAGTCCAATCTTCTCCTTCAGAAGAGGAAATGGGTGTAGAGAGATGAAGTGATTTGTCCAGGGTCATATGGCTAGCCAGTTAGCGGTGAGCCTAGAACCTAAGTGTTTAGACTCCAGACCCAGTGCCTTCTCCTCTAAGCCCACTGCCCCTCTAAATGATCTATCTCCTCTCAGCTTTTTCTTTCTATCTTGTATATCTCTCAGCCTTTCTCTGGCCAAGTTTGTGTGTCTCCAAGTGCCTCTGCTTTTTCTCTTAAACCTGACCTCTTTGGTACCCTCTGTCCCTTCATTGCTCAGTAGGAATGATTTGCTGTGATGACTGACCATTATTAATCATGGTCTGCTTGATGGAGAGGAAGAAGGGTGAAGGGCAAGGCCAGGACACTCAGCAGGCTCCTGTTGTCGCCAGCCTGCTTGCCCTGAAGGCTGGAGTTTTAGAACCACAAGAGTGAATTTCCACAGAGGAGTTCAGGATACAGGTGCAAGTTCTAACGCCAGGGGTCATGCTGAATTTTAGTAGTGTGGAAGAGGGGTGGGGAGTACTGATAATGGTTTATTTAGCACATGCTGTATTCCTGGCCCTGGGCTTGACCTTTAATCTGCCTCTATCCCATTTATCCCAACTTATCCAGCACTGAAGGTATCATGATCCTCATTTTACTGTTAGGAAATCGAAGCCTAAAGGAGAGAAGTGACTAAGCGAAGGCCAACAGAAAGGGGCAGAGGTAAATCCAAACCCAATCCCAGTAGATTTCAGAGCCGTTGCTTTTCCCACTGCAATGTCAGCCCTGTAAACCGGCTGGGTTTCTACAGAGGTATGGGGGAAGATTCTAGAGTAGGAATTATAACCTAGATCCATTGTCCTTGGGGTGGGGTGGGGGAAGATTGGGTATACAATCCATTAATCCTCTGAAACTGGATGGAAGTTTTTGTTTATATGCATGTGATTTCTCTGGGGTGAGACTCAGTGGCTTCTTTAAGATTCTCAAATGCCTGGAAATTCTGAGAACACTAAGGCTGGATGCCTTGGTTTTAAGAAACAGACTCAGGTCTTGTTGGGCTGTAAAAAGTCTGATTGGGTAGAGGTGGTAGAGGCTGAGGTGTCCATGAAATAAAACTTCCTAGGCTGGGTGCAGTGGCTCATGCCTGTAATCCCAGCACTTTGGGAGGCCATGGTGGGTAGATCACGAGGTCAGAAGTTTGAGACTAGCTTGGCCAACATGGTGAAACCCCGTCTCTAGTAAAAATACAAAAATTAGCCACGCGTGGTGGTGGGTGCCTGTAATCCCAGCTACTTGGGAGGCTGAGGCAGGAGAATTGCTTGAACCTTGGGAGGCAGAGGTTGCAGTGACCTGAGATTGCACCATTGCACTCCAGCCTGGGTGACAGAACGAGACTCCATCTCAAAAACAAAACAAGACAAAAACAAACAAGCAAACAAAGAAGTTGGATCTCACAGAGGGAAGGAAGGTGGGATATTTAGGAAAATTATGAAGCTGAAGGCGGGGGTGGGGGGATTTCCAGAAGTAGAATAGGAGCCCAGTTATACCAGGATCCAGAGACTGCTGAAGCTGGGGAGTTGTTCTGTGTGTGTGTGCGTGTATGTCTAAGAAAGGGAAATTGGAAAGTACAGGAGTAGACCATTTGCACCCTCAGGCTCTGTTGCTTCTCTGACTCAGGTCTCTGCCTAGAGGAACTGAGGGCTCTATCATCTGTGAGTCACCTCCACCATCCCTACCCGCTGTCTGACCCAGGAGAAACCCCTCCCCTGTGTCCTATGCCTAAAATAAACCCAGGCTCCTCTCCTTTTTCTATCCCCAGTTTGCACAGAGCACAGGAGGGGTGGATGGAAGATGTTTACTAGGGTGACAAAAGCAGACCTTAGCAATAAGATTCGTGGGTTCTATTGTTGCTCCAGGACTCCGAACCCAGTGATTAAGACTGTGACTAGAGCCAGATGTCGTGGCTCACGCCTGTAATCTCAGCACTTTGGGAGGCTGAGGCGGGTGGATCACCTGAGGTCAGGAGTTTGAGACCAGCCTGGTTAACATGGTGAAACCCCGTCTCTACTAAAAATACAAAAAATTAGCTGGGCATGGTGGCGGGAGCCTGTAATCCCAGCTACTCAGGAGTTTGAGGCAGGAGAATCGTTTGAACCCGGGAGGTGGAGGTGGCAGTGAGCCGAGATAGCATCATTGCACTCCAGCCTGGGCGACAGAGAGAGACTCAGACTCAAAACAAACAAACAAACAAAAAAAACCTGTGACTAGATACCTCTGTGGAGACCAAACTGGGAGTTTTTCCAGGCGAGACTAGGTTGGAGAGGCACATGGAGACAGGGACTAGGGGATGGGCACTGACAGGAAAGGAGCAGAGCTAAGAGGACACTGGGATACAAGATATAAGACCCAGGAATCCAGATTAAGCAGATCAATGGGAAGGAATTTCCCCCACTCTTGCTAATGTCTTCTCTTCCAAAAGTTCTTCAGTTTTTCTTATTTATTTATTTATTTATTTATTTATGGCATATTTAGAGGCACCAGAATGCTATGGCAAAATGTAACAACCCCAGATAGGAAGTTAAAAGGAAAATAAGATCCTCTGGGGTGTCCTAAGCATTGACCTCATTTTATTTGCTTACTCATGCCACCCCCATGACTTTCCTTTCTCTCCCCTTTGCTGCCTTGTACCTACCTCTGGAGAGGAAAGGGGTGCCTGAATCTTCTCAGCTCAAAGGCCTGGCAGTCAGAGGAGAGAACCATCCGGGGTGGGAGCTGTGGGTGGGAGTGTCAGCTTCTTGGGATGGCCTTCCCAGATGTAAGCACATCTGGAGCCCATCAGGAAGGGACCTGGAGCACCAGGATTCCCAGTGCACATCCGATTGGGGCTATGAGGGGTTGAGGATGAGCCAGGCGTTCCCTCCCACCTCCACAAGTCTGCCTGCCATTTCCAGCCCTCTCTTGGGAAGGATTATCAATCCCAGACAGAAAGGGCATTGGAAAGAGGTTGGGGAGGAAGGCAGGAGGGCCACCGATTGCACTCCAAACCCAGACATGCTATGTTACTAGCTTCAGCTCTTTCTGGCTTTATAGAGATAACAGCATCTCTGATCAGGTAGGAATCAGGGTGTGTGTGTGTATGTGTAGAGCATAGTGTGCCATTAGTCCTTAACACAATGGCACAAAGTTGGGGATGGGGCACAGCATGTCCCTCTCCTTGCTTTTCATAAGTCTTCCTCATGAGCTCTCTGGACCTCTGGCGCTCCTCATCTCTCTACCTCCAAACACATACACTCCTTCCTTGGCTGCAAATTCCTCCCTGTCCATCATCACCTCACAATGAGCACATTTGTTTTCCAGAGATCATGTACAGGGCTAAGAATAGGTCCATCCCCTTGCCTTTCTCTTCAGGGAGAGCTAACCTGTTGGGGTGCTGAACTAGGGGATAAGTGGGGTTTACAGAAATTCCTGCAAAGGTTCCAAGTGTCCCCAGCAGCCAGTGCATAAAAGTAAAATGGAGAGTCTCTGGGGCTGAGATTTATGAGCCCAGTAATATGGAGCACTCCTGGGAAGCAGAGCCCCCTCCTTTTCTTCCAGAGCTATAACTTGAGGAGGAACAAAGCCTTAGAAGATTCTTAACCCCTGGACTCCAAGGTTGAGGCTTACTAAATTGAGATAATAGTATAAAAGAAAGTAATGTTGTATACAGTTTATACATTCACAATTCACAAGTGATTACTTCTGGGTCTAATGTACAAAAATATATTGGACTTCCTACCTTACCTGCAGTAAAGGTTGAATTGCATTCTGTCCTTTGAATACCCACACCCCCGACCTCTGGCCTCAGTCCTTGATTGGACTTCAAAGCCCTAAGGGAGAAGCCAAGAGGAGGAGCTTTCTGACCCTTCAGTTTATATTCCTTTCAACAGATGTCCAGCAGTTGGGAGGTTGGGTACCCTCTTCCAGTCTCTAATCTACATGTGGCTAGAGGGTTCCAGATGACAGAATTGTGGAACTGGGAGGTAGGGCTAGGGCTTCCAGGTCTCTGAGATAGAAAAGGGGTGTGTGATGAGATTGACCTGGGAAGAAGAGAAGTTTGGGGTTTGATTAAAGGGCTGGGTGCCTAGGAACAGGAACGGTGGGATGGCACTCCAAGCTTTCACCTCTAGGGAGAGTGGCCCTCCCTTCAGGCCACACTCTTCCATCCAGTCGGCCAGGGCTGGCCACACCCCCACAGCTGGCTGGGAAATCTCAACCCTACCCCTCTCTACAAGCCAATTGCTTACAGATGTTCTAGGAAGGGGGGTTGTTGAGAGGAGGAAGGGCAGGATAGGGGTAAAGGGAAGGAAAACTCAAGGAAAGAGGGAAGACTCATGGAAGGGAGAGAAGAAGTTATGGCCAGGTGGGGAAGCCTGTCAGATGGTGAAGAAGTCAGAGAGAAAGAAACAGTTGAAGAAAGAAAGAGAGAAAATGAAAAAAGGGTCTCATTTTCCCCTGAAATCCACCCTACTCTTTGCAGGCAAATTAATCTTCCTAAACCAAGGCTCTGATGATGTTACTTCTCAGATCAAAACCTTTCATGGCTCCAACATTTTAACTACTAAAGATCTGTCTGCTCTAAGATTCCTAGAATTGTGCAAGGGACATTAACTAATAAGTGCCATTGATCTAAGTAGTATATATTTTTGAGTGCTTACTATGTATAAAGCTCTGTGGGCTATGCTGGGGAGAAAAAGGAGGGAGAAGGAGGGGGAAATGGGTGAGGTTGGAGACATAAATAAGAGCAAAGAGGTAGACAGAGAGGGTTCCGCGAGAGGAAAAGACAGAGGGGCAAGGGATTGGTGAAGGAGAAGGGGGTGGAGGAACCAGGAAGGAGGATCCTAGAAAGATGGTAGGAGAGAGGAAAGGAGAAAGGAAAGGGGAAGCGCATAATAGAGATGGGGGACAGAGGGAAAGGAACGTGAGGAGAGGGAGGGCAGGGGTGCAGAGTCATGGAGAGTGGGAAATATACTTTGGAAGACTGGATGGAGAGACTAATCCTTTCCTCCTGCCAGGTCAGGAACTCTTCATTGGCCAATGAGAGGCAGTGTAACACTGGTCTGCTCCTTCCTCTGCCACCCCCAGCTTCCCATTTAGGACCCAGCTTTCTATGTCCTTTGTCATTTTGGGGTCATTGAGTTGAATCTATTCTTGAGTTCCCTGCCCTCCCACTCCCACCCCGGGGGACCAATTTCTGAAGTCATCTTCCCCCCACTTATTACACTGCAACCTAGTCTCCCTTGTCTTTTTTGGTCCATCTTTGGATTTATTTCCCTGAAGTGGGTGGGCAGGAATGAAGCAGACTAGAGGTGCTTCCAGATCTGTTCCGCCCTTCATCAGTGTCCACCCTTCCCCTCTGAACCAGTCCAAGACTGCGACATTTGTGTCAGAAGTCCCTTTGGCCCCTTTCCTGCTCCTGAATCCCTGGAGTGGTATTTGGAGGTGGGAGGAGGGGTAAGGTCCGAAGTGGAAAGTCTGACGCTGAGTCCAGGCCCCCAGCCCCACTCAGACTGGCTGAGCTCATCTCTCCAAGCAACCGCAGCTGGACATTTTCCATGTGATCACCTCAGGGAGGGGGGCTGGGTTCCAGAAACCCAGACAGAGTTGACTGAGTATCACAGCTTAGGAACAGAGCACCCTCAGGTGCCTCCTCTCCGCCTTCTCCTGTGTTTTGCATGGGAAAGCCCTGGGGGAGTAGCAAGGAATGGAGAAACAGACCTGGAGAAGGGCCAAAGCTGGAATATATTTTGGGCCCAAGTTGACCCAGGTTTCTACATCTTTCCCATGTTCACCATTTGTGCTGGCCAGGCTGGGAAAAGATCCTGTGTGATGTGAATGTGCCTGTGAGGTGAAAATCTCCCTCTCTGTGTGTGTATGGTCTGAAAACCTGAACATGCTTGTGTTGGTGTATTTGCATGGGTGGGGTATCTGTATCCTGATCTGTCAATAGGCTAAAGTTGGGGGTGTGTGTGTGTGTGTGTGTGTGTGTGTGTGTGTGAGGTGTGATTGCCCCTGCTCTCTTGCCAGTGCAGTGGGAGGTGAGATAGCAGTTTGGGGAAGAGGGCTGCCTGTTCTTACAACTCTCCCAACCCTCCCCACTACCACATCCCTTCCCAAACTCATGGTGTTCTCTTTCAACTGCAGATACTGGAGGGCCAGAGAAAGCAAGCTTGAAACAGAGAGGAACGGGTCACTTTGGTGGAGGAAATTGGGGTAAGGGAGCTTCTGGAACTGGCTAACATGGGAGTGATCATCTAGCTATTGATGCAGGGGCTGCTGTGAGAATAGCCCCGGCCTCTGCCATGAAGGCTGCTGAGCTGGAAGCTTTAGAGGGCGTTTCGTGTGGGTCTCTGCACTCCTTTCCCTACTCTGCCCTGGGCCTGAGATGTCTGGACAGGCTGGAGGAGGTTGGTGGAGAGGCAGGGAAGGGTATGGGCAGGAAGCACTTGGCTGTTTGTTCCCTCTCTTTCCTGACTCCTTTGTGGCAGCAGACTGGCTTCCTTCCTTCTCTCAGCATCTTGGCTCCCAGCTCATTTCCGCTTTTATGCCTTTAGTCTGGCTCTCAGCCTTGCACAGCGGAGTTTTTCCAAGCCGGGTCTTCTGGGCATAGGGACTCCTAGATGAGTGGGGCAGGGGCTGAGGAATGCAAATGAGATGTCAGTGTGCCCTTCCCTCAGCCCATTCAAAGTCTGTAGCCCTGGATTGAATGAACTGGAGGAGAAGCTTATTTGCCAGGGGATGGGAAGCAGAAACCCAGGTGTTTGGTTACCTGGGGCCTGCCTCTCCTTCAGCCTGAGATATGGAGAGAGCAGGGCTGGAAGGACTCCCTACCCCCACCTCAGCCTCGCTTCCCGCTCTGCGTCCCTACTTGGCTGTCCTTGCTTCAGTCTGCCCCTGCCCCACCTCCCACCTCCAGCTACTGCCCTACAAGTCAAGGAATGTAAGTTTTATTTCTCACCCTCTCATTGATTAGTCATGGGCACCCCGATCCCCACGGGAACCGTTACTCACCCTTGGGCCCCCCCTCACCAGCAGTCTCCCCAGAACTGGCTGGGTTCCTGTAGGAGGAGTTCACAGCCAGCCGTTGGACTTGGGGGGAGGTAGTGGGGGTTGTGGGTGGTGGGCAGTGTCCTGGAGACAGCCACTTTTGGAACAGTGGTTTGACCTTATTATGGCCCGGAAGCATGAGTCTCTCCCTCCTCCCAACACACACATATATACACAGAGACGTTGTACTCCTGGTTCTAGCTACTTTAATCACCATGGGTATTTTGTCAGAATAGGTGAGGTTGGGGTAGGGGAAGTGTCCTGTGACTGTCTGGAGAAGAGCCCAAAGCAACTGAACATTTAGTCTCTTCACTGGTGCTGGCTTTGGGGGCCAGGACTAGGGCCTGGGGCCTGCTCTTTGGACTTGGCTGAGTGCCCAGGCCTGGCCTCTGTCTCCCAGAATCAGACAGGGGCCTTTCCCAATAAGGAGCTTCCCAACTCTGGGTCCACTTCCCTGTTGCCCCCACCCCTTCTCCCCTCTAACAGTTCTTCTGCCCTAAAATGGCCACGTTTTGCCTTTCTTCCCTCCCCTACACCCAGGTTTGGGCCCCAGGGGTAGAGCTGGGGGTTGGATAAGGGTAAGACTGCACAGGGGCCAGATGGGCTGGTTTGGAGAAGGGTAATGAGATCCCAGGAAGAGAGAGGAACCGTGCCACATGACTCAGGTATGTATGGGGGGTGGAGGTGGAGGCACGGCTTCCTGGAGTTATTGTCTCTCCTATAATAATAATAGCTTATGCTTTATGCTATATAGTATGTGTTCTAAGAGCTTTATATGAATTAACTTATTTAATTGGCACTGCCCCTTTATCAGGGAGGTACTATTGACCTATTTTATAAGATGAGGAAACTGAGGCACAGACTTGCCCAAGGTAAGCAGAAGAGCTGGGATTCAAACCCAAGCAATCTAGCTTTACTTTAGGAAAGACCAGCCCACTACGTTTATCTTTGGAATGCTTGAGCCTCACTGGCAAAGGCAAAAGGAATGCCTTTATATGGGGTGGTCATGCTCACAGAAGCTGCTGGTCAAGTGTACCCCACTTTGGACCTAGGTGTTGGATTCAGACTAAACACTTTCAAAGAAAGCCATTGACCCATTCTTCTTTTTCTTTTTAAACTAATTGTTTGTAGGAACGGGGTCTCACTATGTTTGCCCAGGCTGGTCTCGAACTCCTCGGCTCAAGTGATCCTCCTGCCTTGGCCTCCTAAAGTGTTGGGATTACAGGAATGAGCCACTGCACTCAGCAACAAATTCATTTTTTAAAAACAAATCTAGGCAGGGCGTGGTGGCTCACGCCTGTAATCCCAGCACTTTTGGAGGCCAAGGCGGGCGGATTGCCTGATATCAGGAGTTTGAGACCAGCCTGGGCGACATGGTGAAACCTCGTCTCTACTAAAATACAAAAAATTAGCTGGGCATGGTGGCACATGCCTGTAATCCCAGCCGCTTAAGGAGGCTGAGGCACAAGAATTGCTTGAACCTGGGAGGGAGAGGTTGCCGTGAGCCAAGATCATGCCACTGCACTCTAGCCTGGGCGAAAGAGTAAGACTCTGTCTCAAAAAAACAAAACAAAAAACAAAAAAACCCCAAATCTATTGATCTATTGTTGAATGATATGCAAGTGACATACAGGTTAGCATAGAAGCCATCTAAGTGTGACTGGAGGTGGAGGAAGGGAGGAATGCAAGAAGGGGCAGAAATAAGAATTAGAGAAGACCCAGGAAAATATGGAAGAAGCCAGTAAGCCTGTATGTAGAAGGACTTCCTTGAGCGTTTCTCCAGCTTTTGCTCATGTTTTAGGCAGTTAAAAATAGTGATTTATTCTACTCACTGAGAGAGAGAAAGGAAGAAGGGGATGAGAATTCTTTTACCCTTGAAAGCACACAGGGACTCCCTGGGCTGGATCCAGGTACTTGACTTGGAAGTTCCAACTAGAGCAAGTCTGCCCTTCTTTGGCTCCCAATTTTGTCTTTCCTAAATCAAAGGAATTGGGCTAGGTGATCCTTGAGGTTCCATCTTACCCCAACACATTCAGATTCTCATACAGGAACTCAGGGGAAAACCAGGGTTGCGGCTGGAGTCCTTGTGTGGGGGCCAGGAATAAACAAATAATTGGTAACCAGGATGAGCTCAGTGATCTAGGGGAAAGGCTCTGTAGGGGGTGATGGGAAGGAAGCCAGGAAAGGAGAGACCAGACCCCAGAAAACTGAATGGAGCATGGACTCATTCATTCATGCAACCATGTACCTTCAGAAACTAAAACCTAGGGGCCGGGCGCGGTGGTTCACACCTGTAATCCCAGCACTTTGGGAGGCTGAGGCGGGTGGATCACGAGGTCAGGAGTACAAGACCAGCCTGGCCAACATGGTGAAACCCCGTCTCTACTAAAAATACAAAAATCAGCTGGGTGTGGTGGCGCGCGCCTGTAATCCCAGCTACTCGGGAGCCTGAGGCAGAGAATCACTTGAACCCAGGAGGCACAGGTTGCAGTGAGCCGAGATTGCACCACTGCATTCCAGCCTGGGTGACAGAGCGAGACTCCGTCTCAAAAAAAAAAAAGAAGAAGAAGAAAAAAAAAGAAACTAAAACCTAGGAATCTGAGCTTCCCATTCAACAAGGTTATAATGAGCCCATGGGCTCTGGATGTCTAGGAAGGGCAAACTCCCAGGTCCCTCCCCAATTTTTGAGGTATTACAGGAAAAAACAGCTAATAGTTATCAAGTACCAGGTATAGATCTAAGCATTTTACATATGCGACCTCATTTAACCTCAAAATAATACTATGAAGCAGCATTTTATATCTTTCAAATTGATTTCTTCATTTAATCCTCCTCAACTGCCCTCTAAAGTTAACAAGGGCATTTGACTGATGAGGAATCTTTGAAAGTGGGAAAAGATGAAACTAGATTTCTAGTAGAATTTTCTAAGTGGTAATGGTGGGAGCCCCTGCAAGGAGTTAGAGGATTCTCACTTCCTAGCAAGATCTTTTCTGACTCTAGGCTTCCAGATTGTGGGGGGTGGAGTGTGCTTTCCAGATCTTGATGAATGGCAGATAAAGATATGCATCAAGTTACTGATCAGGAGCAAGAAAATGGCACTCTGGTGTCTTTGAGAATGTTTCTAAGAAGTCTCTAGAGATAGAAACAATCACAGGATTGAGGATTACCTTAAATCTGCAAAGAGACCTTGACAGGCCAGAGGCAGAATTCTGAGTGAGTTAGCTCCCCTTTGTTTCTACCAACTGCTGGTCAGCAGCAGGAGAGAAGGAAATTAGATATATGGAGGGATTTATCTATTGTTTGGGGCTGATAGGAGAATCCTGCCTCCTGTGGGTAATAGTGAAGTTAATTCTTCTATCACTGTAATCAGCAGGAGTTAGAGGTGTGAGTGGTAGTGTTAGTGGAGAGGGGGGATGGTAGTGAGGATGGGCTTGCCTGGAAGACCTCTGACCAGCTAGAAGAGCCTGAGATTTTGAGGGGGAGGAGATAATTTGCCAGACGGGTACTTGCGGAGAGGGTCCAAGTGTTTGGGCTCCAGCCTGGGGTGAAGTCAGAGACATAAATCACACCTTCCAACTGCCTGTTTCCGCTTTGAGCTCAGTTCCCAGCCAAAAGCCCAGCTAGCCTGCCAGAGGAGTAAGCGTGTGGATGGGGGAGGGGCCAAAGAGCTGGAAGCTGGTGATTGGGAATGGGCGTCATCAGCTGGGAATCTGGTCTCATCAGGGTCATGAAATGGACTCAATGCCAGGGCTGGTAGAGCAGGGAGCCCAAGGATCTCAACAGAACTGCTCTGTAGATACCTCATCCCACGTGAGACACACCCACAACCACACCCTGTTTGCTGAATTCTCCTCTCCCACACATAAAAACCACTGGGACGTGCCTGGAGGCACAGACACCTACATAGACACACCCCCCACCCCCATCCAGCTGTTGCTCACTTGTGCCAGAAAACTCTACGTCTCCTGGATGAGTAGACCTAGGAGAAATGAGTGCGGGTTGAGAGATAAGGAGGATCCTGGATCTTCATTAAGATCTGGAAACACTTTTCTCTAGTAATCTTAAAGCCCTGTTCTGTGTCATCTTTTTGCCTTTCCCCACTGGGGATGGGTCTGGGTGATTTCCCTTCTCACTTTAGGAGAACCTCAGTGGTCTGTTGTCCTCTTGGTGGGCAGTGCCTGCTAATCACAGTGATGGCAGAGCAGGAGGCAAGAGATTGAGTGTGCATGTTGGGCGGGGTAGGTGTTTGAGGGCAGGAAATCCAGAAAGCCACTCAGACAATGGCCTTTTCCGCACGCTTGGGTCCAGGCTGCAGGCTGCTGGATCCTGTCTGACCCTAACAGCAGCTCCTATTTTTCCCTCTGGTTAGCTTCCCACTCAATGCTCATTTCGGGGCATATAGGAGAGGCAGGATTCCTTTGGAGGAAAGGTATCCTGTTCATCAGCCCTTTTCCAGGTGACTGTTCGGGTTGACCACAAGGATTTGGGGGCTTAAGTAACCTTATCAAGCCTGGGACCACCCCACCCATGCCTAGTGTCCTCTTAAATGTAGCATTTGTTATGGCCTCCTACATGGTACAGCTGTAAGCACTTTGACATCTTAAGGGAATCATGATGCTCTTATTTTGGGCTAAGTTTGCCCCATTTTGTTCTCTGAATTGTCTGTTTGTATCCTATTAGACTGGAAACTTGAATGAAGCAAAGATTGTGTCTGTCAATTGGTACAGCCCCGGACTAGCATTAGGAAAATAATATGTCTTTTGATATTCAAGGTGACAAAATGATTACAATGAAGATAGAAGATCTTGGGAATGCTGGAATATATTTTTTCCTAGAAAAGTGGGGGTAGGTCACAGCTACCATGGCCACTTAAATGGGGGTAAAATGACCCTGAGGTCTCCAATCTCTCCCTTCTCCTGTACCTGGGAGAACCAGAAAGCTTCTTTCTAATACACCTTCTGCTTTAGTCATTTGGGTCTCAGTGTCTCAGTATTGTCTCACTAATGTGCCCATTTTGTCTTCAGCTTTGCTCCTGTGATTCCAGTGTCTGGAATGCACTGTCCTCTGTACTGGTCATCAAGGCCCATCCAAGCCCTGCATAAGCTTCCCCATCTCATTCTTTATTTTATTTTATTTTATTTATTCATTTTTTTTTTGAGACAGAGTCTCGCTCTGCTGCCCAGGCCCGAGTGCAGTGGCGCCATCTCGGCTCACTGCAAGCTCCGCTTCCCGGGTTCACGCCATTCTCCTGCCTCAGCCTCCCGAGTAGCTGGGATTACAGGCGCCCACCACCACGCCCGGCTAATTTTTTTGTATTTTTAATAGAGACGGGGTTTCACCGTGTTAGCCAGGCTGGTCTCGATCTCCTGACCTCATGATCCGCCTGCCTCGGCCTCCCAAAGTACTGGGATCACAGGTGTGAGCTACTGCGCCTGGCCTCTTTATTTTATTTTAAAATATTTATTTATTCATTTATTTATTTATTTGAGATGAAGTCTTGCTCTGTTACCCAGGCTGGAGTGCAGTGGCGTGATCTCGGCTCACTGCAACCTCTGCCTCCTAGGTTAAAGTGAATCTCTTGCCTCAGCCCCCTGAATAGCTGGGATTACAGGTGCCAACCACCATGCCTGGCTAATTTTTATATTTTTAGTAGAGACGGGGTTTTACCATGTTGGCCAGGCTGGTCTTGAACTCCTGACCTCAAGTGATCTGCCTGCCTCGGCTGCCGAAAGTGCTGGGATTACAGGTGTGAGCCACTGAGCCTGGACTTCCCCAGCTCATTCTAAATCTCAGCAATGTGCCACTATTCTGAAGTCCTAGGCTTATAGTCTGGAGTACATGGTCTAGCACTTAATTATCCAGTGTATTAATAAAGTCCTTGTATAATTTAGAAATTGAATACATTTGAATGCACCTATGATAGAAGCAACTCTAAATATTTTATGAAAGCATGTTCCATAGAATTTTTTTTTTTTTTTTTTAGACTGAGTCTCGCTCTGTTGTCCAGGCTGGAGTGCAATGACACGATCTTGGCTCACTGCAATGTCCGCCACCTGGGTTCAATGATTCTCCTGCCTCAGCCTCTTGAGTAGCTGGGATTATAGGCACGCGCCACCACCCCCAGCTAATTTTTGTATTTTTAGTAGAGACGGGGTTTCACCATGTTGGTCAGGCTGGTCTCGAACTCCTGACCTTGTGATCTGCCTGGCTCAGCCTCGCAAAGTGCTGGGATTACAGGCGTGAGCCACTGCGCCTGGCCAGAATTTTTAATGATAATGTTTGCTTTTTGTTAATGTGCTTTTATTTTATACAGGGAAGTCATCTGAAAAGACTTGAGTTTGAAAGTTGCCTCCCTTACTTAACAGATATGTAACCTTGGCAAGTTACTTAACCTCCTTGGGTCTCAATATCTTCACCTGTAAAATGGCAGTAATATCTTTCTCATAGATTTGTTGGGATAATTAAACTAATATACTATATGTATGGTTACAGTACTTGGTTATAAATATTAAAGCCTCATTCTGTCTGTTGATAAATCTGAAATCTATTTAAACTCTGATGTGCTCTCTGTAATGTTGTTTTTTGTTTTGTTTTTTTGAGATGGAGTCTCACTCTGTCGCCCAGGCTGGAGTGCAGTGGCGTGATCTTGGCTCACTGCAACCTCTGCCTCCTGGGTTTCAAGTGTTTCTCGTGCCTTAGCCTCCCGGGTAGCTGGGATTGAATGGAATGTATTTTATAGATCAAGTCTCAGCACAAACACTGATTCCTCCAAGAAGCATTCATTAATTCCCCACCCAGTACTCCTGATTTCACTAGTCACAGCATCTACCCCACTATATTGTATTTTCCTGTTTGTCTCTCCTTTTAGACTAAGTTCTGTGAGGTAAGGATCTTGTTTACTTCTGTTTTTCCACTGCCAAGTACGTTGCCTGGCTAAACAAATATTTGAATAAACTGAACCTGTTTTTAAAGCAATGGTAAACATAACACAGCAACATTACAAAACTAATTTCTGAATTGTGTGACATTGTTTTTTACAACGTAGTCTTCTAGCAAGATAGCGTTTCTTACTATCATGTTTTTAATTTGCATCTAATTATTGAATTGGATCCAGAGATGTGGTCCAATTACTTGTTAACTTTTGTCACCTGACCTGTCCCCACAAATTATATTTTATAAGTGTGGCAGAGACCACTCATTCTCATCATCCTGTCTCTTCTTCCTTTTAATAATATGACTCTGCTACCCTGCTATCCACACACTAAATCTTAGCAGGGTGCATGGCTGCCAGCTAGATACTACACTGTCCAGTCTGTCTTGCAATTACAGGTGGTCCCATAACTACGTTCTGGTCAATGGAATGTGAGTGAAGCAATGTGTGTAACTTCTGGGTCATGTCTTTAAAGAGGAAAAGTAGTTGCTCTCTCACTCTTTCATCCTTCTGCTTGCTATGACATGGTGACACATTAAGCAGCCACCATGGACCCAGAGATGCAAGCCTTTTCTACCAAAGACCATCTGCTCCATATATCTCTGTACTATTACTTTATTTGAAGTAAGAGGGTCACTATATTTGTGGGTTTCTTTGTTATAGCAGCATGGCTAACATCCTTTGAATGAAAATTAAGATAACCATATAATTCATTAAATCCCTTAGCCTACTCTGAAGAATGTTTTCAAGGAGTGCAAAAAAAAAAACCAAGTTTCAATGAAAATAGCGTTTACTGAAGTCACTTATTCAATGGCATTTTGTGAAAAACTATGAAATTTATTCTATCATGAGCATATTCAAAGTTCTTGTAGGTTTATAAACATACTAGCTCTTCTATTTAGCGTTACTTTTTATCATAACTTTGAAATCCCAGATAGATTATGTGGTAGCCTCCAAGATGGCCTCATTGACCCTCCTCTCTTGGTATTCATGCCCTTTGTGTTTTCTCTTCCTACACTGAATGATGGCTGGCCCATGTAACCAACACAATACTGTAGAAGTGACATGTGTAACTTCTAACATGAAATCATAAGAGACATTGCAGTTTCCACCATGGTCTCTCTCTTGGATCTCTTGCCAGCCACCAAGCAGCCCTATGGAGAGGCCAATGTGGAGAGAAACTGAGGCCTTCCACCAAAAGCCAGCACCAACTTGCTATCCATGTGAGTGAACCAGCTTGCAGTACAGAGTGGTCAACCCCAGTCAAGCTTTCAGATAACTACAAGCCTAGTTGACATCTTGACTACAACTTCAAGAGAGACATCAAGGCAGAACTGCTTCGCTAAACTGCTCTTGAATTCTTGACCCACAGAAACTGAGAGAGAGAATAAATATTTATTGTTGTTTCAAGTAACTACATCCTGGGGGTAACTTCTTATGTATAGATAATATATACCATAAATTTCTTGAAAGTAAGATTCATGTCTTACTTATTTTACCTCAAGTTATTATATCAACTACTCTCCCACCCCTAACCTAGGTGATTAGAGCATACTACAACATCTGATACATAAGAAGTGAAATGATATTCTCTTTGAAATTCAGCATAAGGCAACTCAATGAGAGAAAACAAGATATTAATTAGTCTGACTAGCTTTTCTTCCCTGAGGGCATTTAAGATTTCTCAGGGTGGAGGTGAGGACAAGTGGTAGAACTCAGTTCTCAGATGACTATTGTTACTTGTCATACTGGAATCTCCCCAAATTCTCTGTTCTCAATAGTTGAATATTTTCTTCAGCCTGGTTGTATATGAAAGCTCTGGTAAATGGAATGTTTCCAATATCCTATGGAAACTCACCTGGGCAAAGGAAGTGAATCAATGTCTGGAGGGAAAGTAAAGGCATTCCTCTCTTCACAGGATAAATTCAGGCACAGGTCCTTTACCAGGGACCAGGTGAACACTCAACAGGCAGGAAGAATTAACAGAGTCAGCCCATTGCAAATATAAAGGGGCAGGAAGAGACTCTAGTGAGAAAGGGCAGCTGCTGGTGGTGGCGGTGGTGGGGTTGGGTGGGCAGTGGAGCAGAGATCAGAGACATATCGGCCTTAGACCCAAAATTTATCTCTATATATTTAAAGATGGGATCTTACTCTGTTACTCAGGCTGAAGTGCAGTGGCCTGATCATAGCTCACTGCAACCTCAAACTCCTGGGCTCATACCATCCTCTCACTTAGGCCTCCTGAGTAGGTGGGACTACAGGCATGTGACACCATACCTGGCTAATTTTACTTTTTTTTTTTCTTTTTTTGAGATGGAGTTTCACTCTTGTCTTCCAGGCTGGAGTGCAATGACACGATCTTGGCTCACTGTAACCTCCACCTTTTGGGTTTAAGCCATTCTCCTGCCTCAGCCTCCAGAGTAGCTGAGATTACAGGCACCTGCCACCACGCCTGGCTAACTTGTGGATTTTTTTTTTTTTAAGTAGAGACGGGGTTTCACCATGTTGGTTGGGCTGGTCTTGAACTCCTGACCTCAGGTGATCCACCCACCTCAGCCTCCCAAAGTGCTGGGATTACAGGTGTGAGCTACCGCGCCCGGCCTAATTTTACTTTTTGTAGAGACAGGGCTCTTGCTATGTTGGCCAGGCTGGTCTTAAACTCCCAGCCTCAAGCAATCCTCCTGTCTTGGCCTTCCAAAGTGCTGGGATTACAGTTGTGAACCACTGCGCCTGGCTTTGATACATATTAATATAATGAATATTACCCAGATGAGCATCACTTTCTTTTTAAAATAGTAGTTTTAGATTCTTTTGGTTACAAGGCTGACTGGAGCCTCCAGCCTTCTCACTCTACAAAAGATTAGGAGATCTGGATCTCTGATATTCAAATCCCTGTAGTGGGTCCCCAGTGGTGGGAAACAGATAGTGGGAAAGGGACATTGGGAGCTCAGAACTTTCATTTTCCCACTCCTTTAGTACTCGGTTCCCTTAGCTCAGACATAGCTTATGTCTGGGGTCACATGGGGTTCTGTGGGTGCTAGACTGGTCAACTTCAACAAGGCAAAGTCATTACTTCTCAGAACTGAACAGCAGATGTTGGAGGAGGACAATATTCTAGATATCATCTAGCCCAATGTCCTCATTTTAAGCAAGGCCCAGAGAAAGGGAATGACTTGCCCAAGGTCATACAGCTGATGTGGGATAGAATTCAGGTGTCTTTATTCCAAGTCAGCTCTTTCCATCATGCCACATTTGCTTTCATTCAGTAGGATAAAATAACATACCATTTTATCCTACTGACTCCCAACTTCCAGTTCTGGGTTGGGAAGGGTCAATTTCCAGACTTTTCTTTTCCAAGGATAGGACGAAGAGACTTTGCTACTATTTTCAGGCAAAATAGAGCATTGCCCCCTTTCCCTGCCTCTCTTTCCTCTGTTGTTTTCAATGAGGAACTGAGTCTATTTCTCTACAGGCAGGAGGTCTCTCAAGTTCTGAGCTCCATTCAGTTTGTGGCAGGGAAGCTGATAGGTGCAATGCTGTGGGATGCCCTTCACCTTGGCAGGCTGATTGTACCCAACTGGTGGTCATGGCCTAGTGCCCATTGGCAGGCAGGGTGTCCACTCATGCATTAACTTGATGCCAGATGGCTGGCTGAATACCTATAGTGCATCTTGTCTGGTCTGCTGTTCCCGGTTTGTGTCACTTTTAGATTTGTGTATGTGTGAGAATTTTAGGAGGGTGGTCCCTCCATGGATTTAAGATACTGGCATTTCCAGATTGGCAGAAGGGAGGACACCTTACTGCCAACCTAGAATCTGTGCTGAATAGCACAGGACCTGGACTTCAGGAAAGTTCTTCAAATGTCTCTGTGATCTCTCTCTTCCCAACTTTCCCCCACTGTAGAGTTCTTGATGTCACTCCTCCCTACGTGGTATGTACCTCCGTCTCAGCCAAAGTGTCTAAGAATGGGAAGGCAGAGAAGTGAGGTATGTGTGGGTTAGGATGAGTGGACTGGGAAGCAGAAAAGGCACGCTGCTTACTCTTTCCCACAGACTTCAGAAGACTCTGGAAGCTATCTAGTGCCCTAAAATTTCCACTGCAGTCCCAGACAACCTTAGACTATATCTCCACCTACTGGACACCAAGGAGGTTGACAACACTGTCTCAGTTTTTTTCTTTAGAACTAGCATAGAGTCTAAAAAAACCTCATCAATACTCTACATTTATCCCAAGGTTAAATCATTCCCTCTCAGAATTTGTTGAAGCTATGGGGGCAGATTGACTGCCTTTTCAGGGAGACTGGGTACTAGGGAGACTTGGGTACAATTTCCCCCATACACTGCTTTCTCAAAAAAATCTGTTGGCCAGGTGCAGTGGCTCACAAGTGTAATCCCAGCACTTTAGGAGGCTGAGGTGGGTGGGTCTCCTGAGATCAGGAGTTCGAGACCAGCCTGGCCAACGTGGTGAAACCCGCTTCTCTACTAAAAATACAAAAACTAGCCAGGCGTGATAGCGCGTGCCTGTAATCCCAGCTACTCTGTTGGCTGAGGCAGGAGAAGTGCTCGAACCCGGGAGGCGGAGGTTGCAGTGAGCCGAGATTATGCCATTGCACTCCAGCCTGGGCGACAGAGCAAGACGCTGTCTCAAAAAAACAAAACAAAACAAAACAAAACAAAACAAAACAAAACAAAACAAAACAAAACACATCTCAGGGGTTAGATCAAGAGCCTCACTTCCTTGCTTCAGTTGCTCTGGATATAGGTTGGTTAAACTCTATTCACCTCCTATGCTCATAGACAGAAAACAGCAGGTAGGTGGGGTTAGATCAGAGGGTCCTTGTTAGCCTTAGGGCAAGGGGAAAGCAATCTTAAAGAATTGCCTTTTCCTCGTCTCTCTGTCTGCCACCTGACTCAGATATGGGAGACACTGGGGGTGTCCTCTACTGTTCTTTTCACATCCACCAGCAGTTCTCTTCCTATGCTCATTAGCAAAGACAATTCCATTAGAACCCATTAACAATCATTTTGTCCATGCTGAAACCATGGGCTAGCTATTCACCAAAGTCCCTGGGCTATATCTTCAGAAGTGAAGGTTGTATATAAGTAGTGACAGCTCTCAAATGAATCCTTTATTGGTGAAATGGGGACGATGTCAATACATATCCTCAAAATTGATCAGGGTGCACAATAATATCAATTTATGGAGGTTACAGCACTAGGAAAACAATTTACATCAGATCCAGAAATTTACTCTCCTTCTCCAGCTGAACATCTAACATGGTTAAGTAAGAAGCAGTCATTTCTTTTTTATTTTTTGGATGTCTGGTTTTCACTTAAAACATGCCCTTTAAATATCTTTCAAATTTTTGTTTTAAAGGGAAGGAGTCAAGAAGAAATTAAGACAATGTTGGGGATCATCTTATGCTACATACAGTTCATGTCATTTCTGTATTACGTATCTTCAGTTTATTCATTATAGTTAAGATATATTGAGTGTTTACCGTTAAAACTCTTAAAAACTGAGGCTGGGCGCGGTGGCTCACGCCTGTAATCCCAGCACTTTGGGAGGCTGAGGCGGGTGGATCATGAGGTCAGGAGATCAAGACCATCCTGGCTAACACGGTGAAATCCCATCTCTACTAAAAAAGTACAAAAAATTAGCCGGGCGTGGTGGCGGGCGCCTGTAGTCCCAGCTATTCGGGAGGCTGAGGCAGGAGAATGGCGTGAACCTGGGAGGCGGAGCTTGCAGTGAGCCGTGATTGTGCCCCTGCACTCCAGCCTGGGCAACAGTACAAGACTCCGTCTCAAAAAAATAAAAGCAAAAAAACAAAACTCTTAAAAACTTTAATGCATTTTTCCCACTTATACCTTTAAATGATCTTATGAGATAAATACTATACTTTTATTATCTTCATGTTCTTAATCACTACTATGCTTTTATTTTTATTTTGATACAGAGTCTTGCTTTGATGCCCAGGCTAGAGTGCAGTGGCATGATTTCAGCTCACTGCAATTTCTGCTTCCTGTGCTTAAGCGATTCTCCTGCTTCATCCTCCTGAGTAGATGGGATTACAGGCATCCGCCACCACGCCCGGCTAATTTTTGTATTTTTAGTAGAGACAGGGTTTCACCATGTTGGCTAGGCTGGTCTTGAACTCCTGACCTCAAGTGATCCACCCGCCTTGGCCTTCCAAAGTGCTGGGATTACAGGAATGAGCCACTTCGCCCAGCCCCTATACTCTTTACTTTGTGATTTGTGTGTAGATTTTTAAAGAACTTGGGTCCTTAAAAATTCAAATAGTATAATTATCTTCCTTCCTAATTTTAGTATTTTAGTATATTCCTAAAAGCCTTCATTCAATAATATGTGGTTTCAGAAACTATTGTGCATACGAATTAATATAAGGGGTACTGCTAAAAATAGATGCCTGTGTGCTGCTTCCAAATATTCTGATTCAGGAAACCTGGATCAAAGCCTAGGAATCTGCATTTTTAAAGCAAGCCCCTAAAATAATTGTGATGTAGGTGACAGTTGAACTATGCTTTGGGAAACACTGCCTTTGATTATGAATGGTATTATGGTAGGGCTGTAACTAAAACAAATCTTCGTGTGTCCATCTCATTTAATTGGCTCCACATAGCAACAGATACAACACTGGGGTTTCTATCGTTCTTGGCTAAGAACTAAACCCTGCTCATTCACTTATTTATTTATATATTCTGCAGCAAGGAGAGGTAGCCCTGGGGCCTGTCTGTTAAAAGCCCTTAGAAAAGAGGCTATTACATTAAAAAAAATTTTTTTTCCTTTCTCCTAACCTGAAACATCTCTGTGCAAAGGTTTGGTTAAGGCTGTACAATTTGACATGTTAGCCCTGGTGATTCTGCAGTTCTTCAAAGGAGAGGGCTGAGAAGCAGCTGTTATTTTTTTCTACCTTTTGACATGCACAATGCATGGGGCAGGGTAAGGGAGGAGAGTCAAGGGACTAAGCTGGAGTTAGTAAACAAGCTTTGAAGCACAATAAAAAAGCATATTGGCAGGGGAGAAATCAAGGGCTATGTAATACCACAGCATCCTCTGAAGACAGCAGCAGTCGCTCCTGGATCGTCTCTATTTTTGGGGAAATAACAACAACAAAACAGTACTGGCAAACTGTCCCTCCGCTAACATCTGAAGGTTTGTCTGAAAATGTTCTGAAAAGCAGTTCACACCGGAGAAGCAAGAGAATGAAGGGCAAGTCTTGAAGGAAAAAAAGAAATTAGGGCAAAAACTCAGCAAGTACCTCAAATAGCCCAGAGGAAGTTGCAGGGACTTAGCGGAAAGCTCCATTTAATCTCTGGCCCAGCTAACATAGCCTAGAGGACACTTTCAATGTACTTTTTTTTTTTTTTTGGTAACAAGCCTAGCTTTTGAGGTTGTGATGAGCCCTTCCAGCTCCTAGAATCAGTGATGGTTCTTTGAAGAATTTTTTCCCTGCTTAACTTCTGGGGACAGATTAACTAAAACCCCCAATTGGGAAATTAGGGAACTCCAAAGCTGCTCTGTGTGTTTAAAAAAACTACATTTGACTCAATATGGTCAGGGCAAAAACCCTTCCTTTTCTAGGTTACTTTCTCCTCCCACTGCTTCTCTCACCTCATCTGGATGGCCTCAGAGAATATTTTAAGGTTGACAGGAAAATTTTACAGAATGATCAAAAGTAAAGCAAGCCCTAGAAATGGTTGCATAATTTTCCTTTTCATTATAAAAATACTTTTTTTCAATTGAATAACTAAAAAACATGAAATTTTATTGTTGGACTGAACCTTACAGGTCATCTAGTTCAATTTGTTCATTTTATAGAAGACAGGATTAAGGCACAGAATGTTTAACTGACATTTCCAAGGTCACAGGGCTCATCTTAGACTCAATATGTTTGTCTGACTGCTAGTTCAATGTTACCTCTCAACTGCTTTCATAATCACTTTTTTTGAGACAGGGTTTCATTCTGTTGGCCAGGCTGGAGTGCAATAGTGCAATTATAGCTCACTGCAGCCTGAAACTCCTGGGCTCAAGGGATCCTCTCGCCTCAGTCTGTAGCTGGAACTATAGGCAAATGCCACCATGCCTGGCTAATTTTTAAATTTTTTTTTTTCTCGTGGAGACGGTCTCGCTATGTTGCTGAGGCTGGTCTTGAACTCCTGGCCTCAAGTGATTCTCCCACGCTGGCCACCTAAAGGGTTGTGATTACAGGCTTGAGCCACTGTGCCTGGGTATAACCACTTTTGTCAAGTAGGTTTGCCTGTCCATTTAGTACTCAACTACTATAGTAACAGTTTTTTTTTTTGTGGGGGTGGTTTGGGGGGTGGTTTGGCATATGGTACATATTTCTCTGAGCTTTGAAAATAACTAATTTCCTTCCAAAAAAAAAAAGAGAGACTTACCTCAATCTTTTTTTCTTCTTTTTTTTTTCTTTTATTATTATTATACTTTAAGTTTTAGGGTACATGTGCACAATGTGCAGGTTAGTTGCATATGTATACATGTGCCATGCTGGTGTGCTGCACCCATTAACTCATCATTTACTTCAATCTTATTATGAAAGTAAACATTCAAAAACCCCAACACACCCTAGAGCAAACTCTCAATGCTCCAGGTACTGATTATCCAGTTTCCTTTATTCTCTCTTCTGTGGACCATGTACTTGGATGTTTACATTAGTCAGTAGCTCTATAAAAAGTCTGATATTACATATGTTGTTGGACTGTGTGGCAGTTTCCTGATCTCTAGATTGTAGCTATGGTGCTATCTTCTTAAACTTAGTATTCCAGTGGTCATCAGAGGCTGTAGCTCCTTTGGTGAGTTAGTTCAGTAGTGTTCTGAGAGTCATTCCTAGAGGTCTCACATATAGCCTGCTCCTTCAGCTATTCAAATGATTTTGTAAGTACCTAATTTTCTATATTAAATTCCCTTTCTGCTTAAAATATCAAGAGTGGTTTCTGTTTCCTTCTAAACCCTGAAAGATACAAGCATTAAGAAGCTAATTACAACACAACTCAGTAAGTATTATTAAAAAAAGAGTGAACGGGCCAGGCGCGGTGGCTCATGCCTGTAATCCCAGCACTTACATGCCTGTAATCCCAGCACTCATGCCTGTAATCCCAGCGGAGGCCAAGGCAGGCGGACACAAGGTCAGGAGATCGAGACCATCCTGGCTAACATAGTGAAACCCCGTCTCTACTAAAAGTACAAAAAATTAGCCGGGTTTGGTGGCAGGTGCCTGTAGTCCCAGCTACTCGGGAGGCTGAGGCAGGAGAATGGCGTGAACTCGGGAGGTGGAGCTTGCAGTGAGCCGAGATCACACCACTGCACTCCAGCCTGGGCCACAGAGCGAGACTCCGTCTCAAAAAAAAAGAAAAAAAAAGTATGAATGGGGAAAAGTAGGAGCATAGAACAGGGAACTTGGAAAAATTACTCCAGAGGTAACATTTAAGTTGGAATTGAAGGTGGAATAGGAATATGCTAAGCAGAAAGGCATTGGGAAGGGGAGGGAACAAGTGCATTTCAGGAAACAAGATGTGCTGAGGTATGGTTATTAAAGACCACCATATATTAGAAAGACGGTGAGTTCGCCATGGCTAGACTATGAATAGGATGGGGAGAGATGAGGCTGTAGCAATCATAAAATACAGTGGGGTTAAGAGTGCTGCCTTTAGGGGTAGCAGACATGACTCCAGTTCTGGTTTCTCCATATAGTAACTAAACAACTCTGGTCAAATCTTGTAAGTTTGAGGACTTTCAGCTTCCTTATTTATCAAGGAAGGACTTGTATCTTTACTTGTAGGCACAGTATCCACTTTATTATGTGGAATTAAATGTGACATGCATATGAAGTACATTGTATAGTACTTGGTGCATACCAAGTGCTCATAAGCCTTTGCTATTACTCTTTTATTTATTTATTTATTTTAGCCAGGGCCTCACTCTGTTACCCATGCTGGAGTGCAATGGTGTGAACACAGGTCACTGTAGCTTCTAACTCCTGGGGTCAAGCCATCCTCCCGCCTCAGCCTTCCAAGTAGCTGAGACTACAGGTATTTGCCACTATGCTTGGCTAAATTTTTTTATTTTTAGTAGAGACAAGGTCTCTTTATGTTGCACAGGTTGGTTGTGAACTCCTGGGCTCAAGTGATCCTCCTGCCTCAGCCTCCCAAAGTGTTGGGATTACCAACATGAGCCACCATGCCCGGCCTGCTATTTACTATTACTGGGTAAATTAAGAACAATTAAATATCATGAAAGTTGTGCTATGGCAGGTGGAAGATAAACTGAATGAGGAAAACCTAGTGGCTAAAAGACTAGCTGCTGCAATAGTTCGGGCAAAGGTAATGATCTGAAATAGAGTAGTGGTGATGGAGATGCAACGAACTGGTTGGCTTCGGAAGTCATCTTTGGTATTTAAATGCCAGGATTTGGTGGCTAATTGAATGTGAGGGAATTCTGAAAAGACTGAGAGAACAGTAACATCATTAATCTGGATTAGTCATGTACAAGGAAGGGCGAGTCTAGGTGACAGCTGAAGCTCTAATTCCCTTCAAGTCCAAGGCCCCTTTGAGGAAGATGGCTCCAAGTAATTCATTTTTTTTGAGACTGATCTCCTTGCTCTGTCGCCCAGGCTGGAGTGCAGTCGCATGATCTGAGCTCACCGCAACTTCTGCCTCCTGGGTTCAAGTGATTTTCCTGTCTCAGCCTCTCGAGTAGCTGGGATTACAGGCGGGCACCATCATGCCTGGCTAATTTTTGCACTTTTTAGTAGAGATGGGGTTTCACCATGTTGGCCAGGCTGGTCTTGAACTCCTGACCTCAAGTGGTCCACCTGCCTCGGCCTCCCAAAGTGTTGGGATTACAGGCGTGAGCCACTGCGCCCAGTGCCCCAGCTAATTCTTTCATGAACAACATTGATATGACCACTATCACAAGCATCACAAGAAACAATCTGCTACTGTTGAATGCTTCAGGGAGCAGGACTAAAACGGACCACTGGTCCTGCAAATAGGGGATTGGGTGGTGATGATGGTAATAGAGTGGCCAGATTGCAATGGATTAAGGAGTAAGTGGGAATTTAAGACCAGGTATAGACAACTCTTTCAAAAAACTTGGCACCGAAGTCGTAATTGCTTCAGTGGGAGTGTGAAGGATTTTATGTATTTGTTTGGTCAGAATGCACACTCTTCTAGTGTGCAGAAGCTGGAAAGCTAAAGACTAAATTTCCCACATTCTCTTCTAGCTAGCTATCTTAAATCACTTCTGAATTAAGTTCTGCTAATCAGATGCACTAGTGTTTCACTTGGATTCTGAAGCCAGCAGGGGTTAAGACGGGGTGCAGGGCATCCATTTAGGGATGCTGACAGTGGCAGAGGTGGTTACTTCTTGGACTAGCAGCTGCAATGGCAGCTTCCTAACTATTGTAGAAGCTTCTTGAATGTAGTAGAAGCTTCCTAAATATAGTAGAAGCGGTAGCAGCTCCTTTAGCAGTCTTTTTTTTTTTTTTGAGACGGAGTTTCACTCTGTTGTCCAGGCTGGAGTGCAGCTCACTGCAACCTCTACCTCCTGGGTTCAAGCAATTCTCATGTCTCAGCCTCCTGAGTAGCTGGGATTACAGGCACCCACCACCACGCCTGGATAATTTTTGTGTATTTTTCGTAGAGACGGGGCTTCACCGTGTTGGTCAGGCTGGTCTTGAACTCCTGACCTCAGGTGATCCACTTGCCTCGGCCTCCCAAAGTGCTGGGATTACAGGTGTGAGCCACCGTGCCCGGCCTGATTAGCAGTTTCTTTTTTGAGGCAGGATCTCACTCTCTCACCCAGGCTGGAGTGCAGTAGTAAGATCTCGGTTTACTGAAACCTCCGTTTCCTGAGCTCAGGCAATCCTTCCATTTCAGCCTCTTGAGTAGCTGGGACTGCAGGCGCATGCCACCATACCCCAGCTAATTTTTGTATTTTTAGTGGAGACAGGGTTTCACTATGTTGCCCAGGTTGGTCTCCAACTCCTGGGCTCAAGCAATTTGCCCACCTTGGCCTCCCAAAGTGCTGGTATTACAGGTGTGAGCCACCACGACTGGCCTCCCTTAGCAGTCTTTAGGAATCATTTCTGGAAGTCCAGTCTAGAGTTTGTTTCTTCAGCCTTCCCCAGAATTCTGTGATCCATCCATTTGATGCCCTAGTAATAAGTCCTTTACTGCTTAATCTAGCTAGAATCGATTCTGTTCTCTGCAACCAAACCCTGATTAATATGGAGAACAGGGTATATATTTTAAAAAATAAACATAAACATTTTCATAGCTGAAAGAGTTAAGGAAAGAGTAGAGTTAATTTAAAGAGAAGAGGGTTGGGTATGGTGGCTCACACCTGTAATCCCAACACTCTGGGAGGCTGAGATGGGAGGATCACGTGAGGCCAGGAGTTTGAGACCAGCCTGGGCAACATAGTGAGATCCCATCTCTACCAAAAAAAAAAAAGAAAAAAAAAAAAGAAAGAAAGACCAGTCATGGAAGGTGGGAAGATTGCTTGAGCCCAGGAGTTTGAGGTTGCAATGAAGTATGATAGCACCCCTACACTCCAGCCTGGGTGACAGAGTGTGGCCCTATCTCAAAGAAAAAAAAGCTAAAGAGGAGAGAGGAATTGACTTATGGAAGATATTGGAGGATAGGAGAAGCTCAGTGTAGTAGACTGCCTTCAAGACAGCCCCCCATTGATTCTTGCCTCCTGGCATTCATGTTCCTGTAAAGTCCCCTCCCACAATGAAAAGGGCTCACCAGTGTAACCAAAAGCATATTGTGAAATGATGTAGCGTGACTTCTGAAGTTAGGTCATAAAATAATTTACAGCTTCCACCTTGCTCTTAAATTGCCCACCATGGGGGAAGTCAGTTGACATGTTGTAAGGATACTCGCAGGCTTTGTAGAGTCCCGCATGGGGAGCAACTGAGGCCTTGAATTGCCAGGCATGTAAGTGAGCCACTTAAGAAGCAAATCGTCCCACCTCAGTCAAGTCTTCAGAAATGGCAGCCCTGGCTGACTCTTTCTGTTTTTTTTTAGACAGAGTCTCGCTCTGTCGCCCAGGCTGGAGTGCAGTGGTACGATCTCAGCTCACTGCAACCTCCACCTCCTGGGTTCAAGCAATTCTTCTGCCTCAGCCTCCCAAGTGGCTGGGATTACAGGTGCATGCCACTATCCCTGGCCAGTTTTTGTATTTTTAGTAGAGACAGGGTCTCACCATGTTGGCCAGGCTAGTCTCAAACTCCTGACCTCAAGTGATCTGCCCACTTTGGCCTCCCAAAGTGCTGGGATGCGCGATTACAGGTGTGAGCCACTGTGCCCAGCCCTGGCTGACTCTTGACTGCATCTACATGAAAGACCCCAAACCAGGATTACTCAGCTAAGTAACTCCCAAATTCCTTATCCACAGACATTATGAGAGTAATGTTTATTATTGTTTTAATACACTATGTTTTGGGGAAATTGGTTATGTAGCAATAGATAATACAATGTGATGCAGTACAAAGTTCACAGACAAAGTTAGCCTTGTAGAGGAAGTATACTTTTTTTTTTTTTTGAGACAGTCTTGCTCTGTTGCCCAGGCTGCAGTGCAGTGGCACCATCTTGGCTCACTGCAACCTCTGCCTTCCAGGTTCAAGCGATTCTCCTGCCTCAACCTCCCAAATAGCTGGGATTACAGGCATGCACCACCACGCCTAGCTAATTTTTTGTATTTTTAGTAGAGATGGGGGTCTCACTATGTTGGCCAGGCTGGTCTCGAACTCCTGACCTCAAGTGATCCGCCTGCCTTGGCCTCCCAAAGTGCTAGGATTACAGTCGTGAGCAACCGTGCCCAGCCAGAAGTATACTGAGATAAAGGAAAAAGAGGTGCTATAAGAGTTAAAGAGTAAGTTAAGGTCAATGACCAGTACCTTCTCAAGGAAATCAAGACCAGGTGTGGTGGCTCATGCCTGTAATCCCAGTACTTTGGGAGGCTGAGGTTGAGGATCATTTGAGGTCAGGAGTTTGAGACTAGCCTGGGCAATATACTAAGACCACATCTCTAAAAATTCTTTTTAAAAAGTAGCTGAGTATGGTGGCACACACCTGTAGCTCTAGCTACTTGGGAGGATGGCTTGAGCCCAGGAGTTCAAAAAAGTTGGAGGTAAAGTCAATGTCATCTCCTGATAGTGGAGGATGGAAAGTAGGGACTACGAAGTTGAGAATAGTAAAAGGGCTGCAACGGCCACCAGGTAAATCTGAAAGTCAAACAGGAATGAGTGCCCGAGTTTAGAAATCTGTATCTGCAGTGGAGTTAGGTGGCATAGTTATATGATTTTCTGTAACTATGCTTGATAACCTAGCAGGAATAGAGTAAAAGATGGTGGGCTTCTCTCAACTTGGGAATTGGTAAAGCAGAGACAGAACAATAGCGGGGGTTAAGGATGCTGGTTTAGGCTACTGAAGTACTGGATCATGGAGTCTAAACTGGCAGATGTGGAAATGAGTTCAGGAGGAAACTCATAGCCTGAGAGAATGAGAAGTTGAGTGTAGAATCAATATTTAGGGAAGAATCGTATAAAAGCAGTAAATTAGAAATCTGAAGTCCCAGGTTATGGTCATAGCTCACTACTAACAAGCTGTGCAAGGATCAAATTTTCAGGGCCTGTTTTTTTTTCCCTCCTGGGTTAAAATACATAAAATGCTAAGTAAGAACAGTAACTTGCCTATAGTAAGAACTTTGCAACTCTTTTAACAATTATTCTTAAGTGTTTTAAAATTATATAGTATTTAATACACACTTGTGAAGCATAATAAACACCAACAAACTCACCATCCAACTTACCAACAGACTACTACTAATATCCTGTGTTTCTTCCTGGTCCCCTCATCCTGGCCTCTTCCCTAGGGATTACCACTATATTGAACTTTGTGTTTATCGTTCTATTTCCTTTTAAAAAACTGTCATGTTTCACACTTGTATAGGGCCTGTTTCTTCATGTGTAAGATGAAGCTTTGGATCAGGTACTCTCTAAGCTCCCTTTCAGTTTTTTTTTTTTTTTTTTTTTGAGATGGAGTCTGGCTCTGTCGCCCAGGCTGGAGTGCAGTGGTGTGATCTCAGCTCACTGCAAGCTCTGCCTCCCGGGTTCACGCCATTCCCTGCCTCAGCCTCCTGAGTAGCTGGGACTACAGGCACCCACCACCACGCCCGGCTAATTTTTTGTATTTTTAGTAGAGACGGGGTTTCACCGTGTTAGCCAGGATGGTCTCGATCTCCTGACCTCGTGATCCGCCCGCCTTGGCCTCCCAAAGTGCTAGGATTACAGGTGTGAGCCATTGCACCCAGCATTTTTTTTTTTTTTTTAAGACAGAGTCTTGCTCTGTTGCCCAGGATGGAGTGCAGGGGTGTGATCTCAGCTCACTGTAATCTTCAGCTCCTGGGTTTCAGCAATTCTCCTGCCTCAGCCTTCCGAGTAGCTGGAATTACAGGAGTTTGCCACCATGGCTAATTTTTGTATTTTTAATAGAGACAGGGTTTCGCCTTGTTGGCCAAGCTGGTCTCGAACTCCTAACCTCAAGTGATCCACCTGCCTCAGCCTCCCAAAGTGCTGGGATTACAGGCATGAGCCACCACGCCCAGCCCCTTTCAGCTCTATATGGGATACAATAGGTGGATATCAAATTTACATACCTAGTGGGAACCATGTGAATGCTTATTTTTGCAGGGTTTTATAAAGCTAAAACAGACTCCTTTGTCGAAATCTGCAGTTCAACAAAAGGATATCTCAGTGGAGCTTCTAATTTCAAGAACAAGACTTTCAATTCCTTTCAATTTGCATCTCTACTATAAAGATCTACTCTAGAGAAAACTAACACAAGGAGCTAAATCTAAGCCCCAGACCCTGTCCAATGAAAACATATGATTTTCTGTAACTATGCTTGATAACCTAGAAGGAACAGAGTAAAACATGGTGGGCTTCACTTAACTTGGGAATTGGTAAAGCAGAGACAGTAGAACAATAGGGGCGGGGGTCAAGGGGATTCAGGATGCTGGTCTGAGGCAACAACTGAAACAGACAAACTTGAAAAAACTTACTTTATTTCAGTGACAAGTATTTTAATAAAAATTAAGAGGCATGGTTGGGTTCATAAGCAGTGGTTTTCAATAAACCTGATTTCCTCCTTACATATATAAAACAACTAAACTTGTCTTCTATAGGTTTCCTCAAAGTCTCTTACACTATTTTAGTTTCATATAAACCAGTCTTTAAGGTAAATACCAATGCAAATCTGTTGACCAAATAGCTGTTCTTTGGGTTACTGTTTAGGATGCTGTTCTTCCTAGCTACAAACAATCCTATATTTCATTTTTGTCTGACCTGTTAACAAGTTTATGAGTTAAATGAGTTGGATCAGGCAGTGAATTGCTGTGTAAAAGGCAAATGCCCTGTTCATACACAGGTTTGCATTTATCAGACCTTAGTGTGGCTGGAATGGAAAGTCAGCTGAGGGGTAGTATGAGGTAACAGGTTAGTGTGTTTTCAGTGATCTCTGAAGAGGCCAACACTGTAAAGTAGGATGTAAATATGTTCTGAACCTTAACAGTATCAGGAAGACAGTGGTCAAAGGAATGAGCAGTTGTTATAGTATTTTTGCATGAAATTTAGGTAGTTTTTCCTTATTCTACCATTGAACTGGCACATGAAAATGCGTATTTTCCTAGATGTCTAAGGCCAGTCCAGTTTTAATCATTTAAAATACAGTATATAAATTGCTTTAATTTTTACAACTTGCTTCTTTAAAAATGGTAAAAATAAGTATAATATTATCTCCTCAGTTTTTGCCTATTTTGGAGTTTAATATGAATTGTGAAAAGTACAACTAAAGGAATACAAGAATGCCAGTACAGTATATACTGTACATTTTGTCTGAGAGACAAACACAAGCAGCTACTGTTCTGCCTTACCAATGAAAGGGCATTATTTGAAATTAAGTCCAAATACTCTCCTTGTTTAGCTCAGGTACAACTACCAGGAGAGCTAAGCATCACTTATCACCTACATTTGTTTTTTCCTGGTGAGAGCATTTGCAAATCACAATGGCACTTGTAGAACCCCTATGGAGAAAGGCAATCTTCCAAAAAGCAAATCCTCTCCTTGGGTAGAGTGTGGAAACCCTGGAGGAGACTAAAATGCAGGACTCAAAGCTTAGATCTCTCTGGGCTAAGCTTTTGAAATACCTCTGCATTTAACCTTTAACCATAACACTTGACTTTAGCTGAAACTGAGGCAGAATATTCAACTGTTTACCTTCCACTGTTCACATTCCAAAGGAAGGGTATCCTTTGAAAAGGAAGGTCCCAAAGATAAGCAAGCTTTCCCTCCCAAGAACCATTTCTTTTTTTCTTTTTTCCTTTTTCTTTTAGATGGGAGTCTCACTCTGTCACCCAGGCTGGAGTGTAGTGGCATGATCTAGGCTCATTGCAATCTCTGCCTCCCGGGTTCAAGTGATTCTACTTCCTCAGACTCCCAAGTAGCTGGGATTACAGGTGCCCGCCACCACACTTGGCTAATTTTTTTTGTATTTTTAGTATAGACGGGGTTTTGCCATGTTGGCCAGGCTGGTCTCGAACTCCTGACCTCAAGTGATCTACCCGCCTTGGCCTCCCAAAGTGCTGGGATTACAGGTATGAGCCACTGCGTCTGGCCTAAGAACTGTTTCTTTTTACTAGTTTTTGGGGATCTCCAAAAATTTCCTGCCAATTAAATCTAGGTTAGTGAATCCTAGGCCTTAAAAGCTTGTGACCAGACAATTTGGTGGCTTTAATCATTAGTTTACTAAAGAAACAGAACTGGCTGGGCACGGTGGCTCAAGCCTGTAATCCCAGCACTTTGGGAGGCCGAGGTGGGTGGATCATGAGGTCGGGAGATCGAGACCATCCTGGCCAACATGGTGAAACCCTGTCTCTACTAAAAACACAAAAATTAGCCAGGTGTGGTGGCGGGTGCCTGTAGTCCCAGCTATTCGGGAGCCTGAGGCAGAAGAATTGCTTGAACCAGGGAGTTGAAGGTTGCGGTGAGCCAAGATCGCGCCACTGCACTCCAGCCTGGAGACAGAGCAAGACTCCATCTCAAAAAGAAAAAAAAAAAAAAGAAACAGAACTATTTTGTGAGCTAACAAAATCAACACAGGCAGGCATTCTCCTGTAGTGAGTGCTACTCACACTCCAAAAGGTCAGATGTTTTGTGATTATGTCCTAGTAGTCATGAGCAAAGAGATGTCCTCCTAAAATAACAAAATATTTTTCATGAATGATAGATGTTAGCTTACCTTGACCCTTTAAATAGTTAAGAAGCACAAAGTAACTATTTTCTTTTTTTTCCTTTTTTGAGACAGAATCTCGCCCTGTTGCCCAGGCTGGAGTGCAGTGATGCGATCTTGGCTCACTGCAACCTCCAGCTCCTGGGTTCAAGCGATGCTCATGCCTCAGCCTCCTGAGTAGCTGGGACCACAGGCACGCACCCTCATGCTGGCTAACTTTTTGCCATTTTTAGTAGAGATCAGGTTTCATTATGTTGCCAGGCTGGTCTCAAACTCCTGGCCTCAAGTGATCCACCCACCTTGGCCTCCCAAAGTGCTGGGATTACAGGCATAAGACACTGAGCCCCATGAATAAATTAATTTCTATTTAATTCCTTTGTTGAGTTGTATTTGAGTAGCTCTTTGCAATGAAACTCATATTACTTGTTTTTCCTAAACTAGGTAGGAGTTCTAGGTTCTAAGTGCAGTATAGACAGTTTTGTTTTGTCATCACCAAAATAAAATAAAAAAGTGTTTTGTATTTATCAGTAATATGACTTCTTTAAAATAAAGTTGTTGTGAGGTACTGATATACAAACATAAATGACTACCGGAATTAGGGGACATATAGGTGTATTTTTTCCTCCTTAATATACTACCTTTTCCAGGAGAAATAGCCTACTTATTAAGATCACATAGCTGGAAGCAGAAATACTATTGTGCTGGGTCTTATTTTGAACCTGTTTTTAAAGATTGGAGCTAAATGAACAGCTCTGCTTCATTAGGGGGAGAATCCTGTTTTGTGTAAAACTCTTGGAAGGAGGTATTCCACAGGAGTCCACTCCCTCTTTTTAATCTGTCATCTTCAAACCATGCTAGAGAATCTTTTTTGGAAATGTTTCAGTATTCTTCATCCAAGTCCCTATCTATACCAGATCCCAAATGCCTCCCCACCATGCTAGACACTTTTAAAACCAAACCTAACCTGATAAAAACCAAACAAGCTGGGTGCAGTGGCTCATGCCTGTAATCCCAGCACTTTGGGAGGCCAAGGCAGGCGGATCACCTGAGGTCGGGAGTTCGAGACCAGCCTGACCAACATGCAGAAACCCCACCTCTATTAAAAATACAAAATTAGCCGGACATGGTGTCACATGCCTGTAATCCCAGCTACTCAGGAGGCTGAGGCAGGAGAACCACTTGAACCTGGGAGGCAGAGGTTGCAGTGGGCCAAGGTCGCACCATTGCACTCCAGCCTTAGGACCAAGAGTGAAACTCCATCTCAAAAACAAAAAAACAAAAACAAAACTCAAAAATAATCCAAACAAACAAAAAACTGGTCTGGGGAGATTATAAAGTCTCCTTATAAGAATCCACAAGATGCTAGGATAGCCAGAGCTTTGGGTGTTTCAGAAATCTAAGTCGTTACACGCATATCCCAGGGCAGTCAGCAGGGCCTTTACACATTTAAACTCCGAAGCTTAATCAAATTTCACACACAGGTGGAAAGCCCATCTCTTCTCCACAGGTATACTTCCTCCCCTCCATTCCAATCTTAATTCCTACATAATCCACACTTAGATTGACTGCTAGTACAATTTCTAGCTGGAATGTGGGGAGATGAATAAAACTACCCTAGGTTGGATAGGCAGTAAGATGTCCTAAAGACTATAAATAAGAATGGAGTATTTTGCTTTATAAATGTTATCAGTATCTTAGAGAATGGATAAACAGATGCACTGATCAGAAAAAGTCCATTGCTACAAACACTAAAAGGAATTTGGTCCATGTGTGTCAGAGAACACAAATACACAGTTACCTTTTCTAACCCAAGTTTCCTGTCTATTTCAGTTAGATCCTTTAAGAAAACTTTAAATCATTATGGTTCATTAATGTGGAATTGGACATGATCTCTGATCTTGGGGCTGCAGGTACTTGACCAAACTATTAAGCAATCTGTATCAAAGGTTTATTTGGAAGCTTCTGAGTATGAGGGTTCTTGCATTAAATGAGGATTCAAGGGGGGAGGAAAAAAGTGTGCTTGTCAGTTTGGAAAGTCACAGGGAGTTTACCATTCTATAATTAGATTAGGAGGAAAATGAGAACCCACTGGTAGAAGAAGAAGCAACAGTCTTCTAGGGTCTGGCATCTGCAAGTAAATGGAGAAAAAAAAGTTCTTAGTTTTTTTCAATGAAAAAAGCACCAACTACATCTGACAATGGGCCACACAACTATAACCCAATTAAATTATCTTGTTCTGCTGGAGGAATCTGCTGTTGTTGATGGCAGAACACCAAGTACCTTCTGATCTTTAACTCTTTACTACCATTGAGCACAGAGAAACTTGTTAATTGAATTAAAAACATTCTATACAGAAATCAATGTGCACTTCTGTGTCAAGAGTTTTACAAGTGAGGAGAATATCAGGAAATTGATTCATTCATGCAATTCTGGATTAACTCCAATTATCTTGATCTTTTTCTCACATACTGTATTTACTCATTAGTTCAAAAATAGTTTTTAAGCTTTTACAATGTAAATTAGGGGACAAGAATTGGTATGATACTACCTGCTTCTGAGGTACTTATCTAGTAAAAAGTGGAGTTGTTGATAAAAACATAAATAGGATAAAACACATTAAATGCTAAGTGAACAAACCCTTGTCATGTATGTATATTCAAAAACATTTCACTCACACTTAAGTTCCTTAAGGGCATAGTCATATCTTTTATTTCTTTTGTATCCTTCCAAAGAAACTAGAGAATTCTACAACAACAGGCATTGAAAATAATACTTAATGGCCGGGTGTGGTGGCTCCTGCCTGTAATCCTAGCTATTTGGAGGCCAAGGCGGGTGGAACACCTGAGGTCAGGAGTTCGAGACTGGCCTGGCCAACATGGTGAAACACCATCTCTACTAAAAATACAAAAATTAGCCGGGCGTGGTGGCACACACCTGTAATCCCAGCTATTTGGGAGGCTGAGGTAGGAGAATCGCTTGAACCCGGGAGGTGGAGGTTGCAGTGAGCCGAGATTGCGCCACTGCACTCCAGCCTGTGTGACAGGAGCCAGACTCCATCTCAAAAACAAAAAACAAACAAACAAACAAAAACCCAAAACTTCATTTTTATTAAGAGGATAATGTCTGTGGCTGCTTAAGGATTCTTATCTAATCTAATTATTTTTCTGATCCCTCAGGAGTTACACAGAAAAATAAATTTTTAGTGTGTAAGGAGTTTAACCATAAAGAGTTAAGTCCCAAAGGAGAGAAGGGTCTGGTCTTAAGTTATAGACACAGAAATTTCTCCTAGATTTTCATCTTAGAGTAGCCATTTTTACTAGACAGCTATTCATATTGTTTGATCGCCAGACACCTTGTATAGCATATCAGAGAGGAATTCAAAATTCACCATTTATCCAGGTCTGTTCAATGTATGCTTCTCTTCCAACCCCTTTTTTTAGAGACAGGTCTCACTATGTTGCCTAGGCTGGTCTTAAACTCCTGGGCTCAAGCAATCCCCCTGTCTTGGTCTCCCAAAGTGTTGGGATTACAGGTGTGAGCCACTGTGCCCAGCCCTCCCTGCTTTTGTTTAAGACACGAGGTCTCACTATGTTGCTAAGGCTAGAGTACAGTGGCTATTCACAGGCACAGTCATGGTACACTTTATCCTTGATCTCCTGGGCTCAAGTGATCCTCCTGTCTCAGCCTCTCAAGTAGCTGGGATGATAGGTGCATACCACCATACTCAATGTATGCTTTCCTGATGTACCCCAGTGCTGGTGTATCTCTTTTCCTTCTGGGACCAAATCCCATTTTCTGGCTTTCAAATGTATTTAACAATTTGACGTCAGAATCTACTAGGAAAAATGGCTGGTACCTAGAAGCAACTGATAAGTATTATTGTCTATAGCTAAGGGATGTTAACTTTTAGCATCTCTTTTCTGCTTCTTACCAGAAGAAACATCAGTTTTACTACAAAATGAAACTAACTCACAGATTTATCTGTTTCACTGTTCAGAGAGAGTGAACAGACTGGAATGCAAGAGGCCAATTATTCATTAATTCAATGAATATTCACTGAGGGCCTACTAACTGCAAAACAGTTGGGATATAATCCCATTCTCAGCCTTTATAACATTCCCTTTGCCAGAAGCAATGTGTCTGGGCAACCTCAGCCAAGACGACATTTGAAGGATCAAACTTGGCTCTGCCACAGGCACATAGGGTAACCTAAAGGAAAGGCTTCATCTGTGAAAAGTGAGAGAGATTTTGGTCTCTTCACATAGATTTTGTGAGGTTCTGCTAAATCAAATACTCAGATAAGATCGACAGTGTAAAACTCTTAGAAACCCAAAGCTTTTATTTTTTAAATTTTATTTTATTTTTGAGACATAATCTTACTCTGTGGCCCAGACTGGAGTGCAGTGGCATGATCTCGGCTCACTGCAACCTCTGCCTCCCAGTTCAGGCGATTCTCCTGCCTCAGCCTCCCGAGTTGCTGGGATTACAGGCGTGCACCACCACGCCCGGCTAATTTTTGAATTTTTAGTAGAGACAGGGTTTCACCATGTTGGCCAGGCTGGTCTCAAACTCCTGACCTCAAATGGTCTGCCCGCCTTGGTCTCCCCGTGCTGGGATTACAGGCGTGAGCCACTGCACCCGGCCAGAAACCCAAAACTTTTAAGTGCTCATTAAAAAAAGTATGAATTTTTTGATGAGTATTAAACTGTACTGCACAGGGAATGAATTGCAGAGCAGTGAAGCACAGCTCAATGATTAATCTCAGTCCATTAAAAGAGGCATGATAGATCTAGAATGCAACTTTGATAAAAAAAAAAAAGGCAATGTGTACTAATGTTAGAGAAAACAAATTGGCATGTTAACAGAATTCTAATTTAACCAGTAAATGCCTATTCATTAGAGTGTAAAGCCATAACAGAGGCTATATACTTAAAAAACACATGCACACACAAAGCTTTAATTTGGTACCATAATCTGAAAGAAAATTGGACCCAAATTGCTTTATGTCCAGTTAAATCTTGCTACCATCTGAAGAGACAGTGAAATAAAACTGAAACACTTACTTGATGAGATAGGTATTCAGTTACTGTGCATTTCCATCTACAAGTAGAAATATTTCAAAATAAATACACCATGTCAATTGAAATTCACTCCATCCCCTATTCTTACTAAACACAAATGACTTATTCCTGTGTATACTGAATTATAATATAAAAGTAGAAGAATTTAATATTAGTAATCAGATTTCATTCAAGAGCATGGGAAAAGAAAATAGACCTTTACCTACCAAGCCTTTTGACATATAATTTGGTGACTTCATTTTTTGGGAAATGCAAGTATCCAGGGAGAAACGTTTTAAAGTGAATCCTCTAGCCACCTAAAAATTAGCTCAAACAGTAGCACAGACTGAAATCAAGAGAATCTGAATCTAGGGGCAACATTGGAAAAGAAAGTTTGTATTAAGTAAAAATGACAGTATCTTGGGTGTTCTCTATGTGGAAATTTCATTATGACGGTAATATGATACAAATTTAGTACTTGTTTACCCAGCATGACCTCTAAAGTCTGGGGAGGACATCTGAATACCATTCTTTATGCTGGTTCTTATGACTTATGACTTTCATTTTCTCTCTACTCATTTCCTTTTAGGCCCTCACAATCCAATTTCTGATCCCAATTCCCTACTGATATTATGCCTTTTTTTTTTTTTTTTTTTTTTGAGACGGAGTCTCGCTCTGTCGCCCAGGCTGGAGTGCAGTGGCGGGATCTCGGCTCACTGCAAGCTCCGCCTCCCGGGTTCACGCCATTCTCCTGCCTCAGCCTCCCAAGTAGCTGGGACTACAGGCGCCCGCCACTACGCCCGGCTAATTTTTTGTATTTTTAGTAGAGACGGGGTTTCACCGTTTTAGCCGGGATGGTCTCGATCTCCTGACCTCGTGATCCGCCCGCCTCGGCCTCCCAAAGTGCTGGGATTACAGGCGTGAGCCACCGCGCCCGGCCTGATATTATGCCTTGAAAGAAATCAGGGATCACTTCCTCCTAGCCCAAATCATTAACCTTTTTATTGGCTCCCAAATTTTCTCATGGTATTTGACGTCAGTGGTCACCCCATTTTGAAAATATTCTTTTGGCTTCTGTGATCTTATACTTTCCTGTTCATAATTTCTTGCTCCTAACCACGGTCAGTAGGGTGAACTGAGTAAGGTGCTTAGGGCATAACATTTAAGGAGGCACTCACTTTAAGGGTCATGGAAATGCAAGGTGTTCAGACTGAACACATCTGAATAATCAAGATCAACTGTATTTAGCACAATGAAAAGAGTAAAACTATTTTGTCTCTATTTCACTTACTGTTTTTCCATGGCAGAACATACGGCAGAGATTTGGGAACTCGCATGCCTGAAGCCAGGTTATTCTTATGTTCTGTAACTATGTTGCTCGCAGGGCTGCAAAAAGATGAATTTGGCTATGTCGGCAGATCAGTATCATTCAAGCAGGCACACGTAAGATAATCAAAATGTGTTTTTTGTAATTTGGGGAAAAACAACAACCTACATTCATCTGAAATGTAAACACATTTCCATCAAAACGTTCCGGCAATTAGAATGATTACCACTTACTTCTCTGGAAAGCTCCCTGTTCTGTATAGACATTAAGATGGGTCTAACCATTTTCATTTTCTAGAAATTGAGATAAACAGCAATGCCATCTACTGTTCAGCTGTATGACAGGCTCATCAACTCACTCAATAAACGTAAGAGATAAAATAAAGTGCTAAGGCAACCAAACCAAAAGCAGCAAATCTTCAACTGAGGTAAAATTAAAAGTTGTAGCCAACGGAATTCATTTTAAGTTTTTCTATCTTAGTGCACATAAAATAGTATACACTTAAAATTATTTACTGTTCTCAGTAGTTAAAAAGTAAAAATTTGACAAGCATTCTGTTTGGGGAAAAAAGTGAAGTCTAGCATCTTATTCCTTCATTTCCTAAACCAGAAATATTCTCATTTGGGTTTGAAACTTGATCTTCCAAGGTTTGAGTATTGGTGTTAATGAGAAATAGCTTCATTCATTTTTATTTTATTTTGGACAAGGACTCTTTCTGTCACCCAGGCTGGAGTGCAGTGGCATGATCATGGCTCACTGCAGCCTCGACCTCCTGGGCTTAAATGATCCTCTGGTCTCAACTTCCCAAGTAGCTGAGACTATAGGCATCCACCACCATGCCCAGCTTATTTTTTTTTTTTAATTTTTTTGTAGAGACAGGATCTTACTGTGTTACTCATGTTGATCTTGAACTCCTGGCCTCAGCGATCCTCCCACCTTGGCCTCCAGGTATGAGCTACTCTGTGCCTGGCCAGAAATCATCTAGTTTTCAATTAGAGCTGGGCATGAGCAACACTTTGGGAGGCAGAGGGGGGAGGATCACTTGAGGCCAGAAGTTTGAGACCAGCCTGGGCAAAAATAAAGAATTAGCTAGGTGTGGTGGTGGATCCCTATAGTTCTTGCTATTTGAGAGGCCCAGGGGGATCGCTTGAGCCCAGGAGGCAGAGCCTGCAGTGAGCCATGATCATGCCATTACACTCCAGCCTGGTTGACAGAGTCCCTGTCTCTAAAAAAATAAATCAGATACAAAATCAGTGGGAAGAAGAGATGCATATTCTTTCCTAATAGGTACTCTGGATTTTCCAATCTCAAATAAAGAATTTTTAAGACTGCTTTTTCCTATACACTAGTTACCTAAAGTAAAAATGATCCAAGTGGTATAGTGGGAGAATTTTTTCAAAGCATTAAAATAATGTAAACCTAGCAAAAAACATAACTAAGACACATGAAAGTCTGGGGCTACTGTTTCCCTTGCTAAACGATAATGTATTTTTGTATCCCTTATGATTGGCACAAAGCACATGACCTTTTTGAATCAAGGAATAAATATGAAAAAATGCCAAAACAATATCTAGACTAAACTACCATCAAGGAACATCGTTAAAGAAAGTGGTCAATTCATGCTCCGGTGGCTTCTCTTGGTAACAGAACACGCTGATTTTGGGAGACAATGCTGGGATAAGACTATTTCATTTACCTGTTGTTGTCAGAGTAGTGAGTTGTGCCCCAGACAAATGGGGTGCTGGTCTGCTCCCACAAATCTGTTAAAGGAAGCAAAACATAGTTTGTGGTACTACTAGATAAGACACCAGCAGTTCATGTTGGTTGAATTTATAAGATGGGAAATAATACACCTAAGTTTTGCAGAAGCAAGTAAAAATTGATCAAGTGTCCTGCCTAAGTGACACAGTAGCAAGAATTTAATTGAAGAATATAAACACAAGCAACATAAATAATAATAAACGTGCCTACTAACAATCAAACACAGATGGTACAACACAATTTATGGAAAAAAACAGATGTAAAGAAGTGCTTTTTCCAATCAAGAGGGATTGGCTGTTCCACGTGTCTGCACAGCGATACAAATGTGCTCGTTTTGGGGCCCAATAAAAATAATAAGGCATTCTGAACAACATGGTATGTTCATAAAAAAGGAAAATCTTCCTTCTGTCTTAAGCAAATGACTTGAGATTTAGACATTGTGAAGAAAAAGATGTAGAGGCAGCTCACCTTTATCCCAGTCTTCATCGCAAGGAGGGCACTGCCAAGTGCTCTCAGCCAGAGTCTCTTGTCTAAGGCTCCTGGTTTGGTTGACTGCAAGACAATAAAGATTGGATATAAGAGGGGGATATTGCCAAGTTATTGTGTTCAAAGGGGCTAGTAGCTTAAAAGGTTGCAAGGGTAGCCTGTTGGGTCTTTATTTCTGAAAAATGGATAGTATAAAAGCTAAAAGAGGGATCTTATCTCTTTGCTGACAGAAGAAAGAAAAGCAGAAACAAAAATGTTTACCATATTTATGGCAATAAAAGATTTATTTTTAGATGAATTATTAGTAAAATGAACCAGGCTGTTCAGGAGAGAAAACAGTATGACATGTACAATCTGACAACCTATTGCTGCCATGATACAAATCTCAAAGGTGGAAAAGTATTGTTCTTCTAAAACACTGAAAGCCAAAAATCAAGCTGACAATCTAGCATAATACAAATCTGAAGGAGCTACCCTCCAGTACTGAAATATTTTAGATACTAAGTCTTACCAACATCTTGCTCAATACAACTTCTGTCATCACAGCTTGAGATATGATGACTAATTTCAGCTCGAGGAACCTGGTGGCGAGCATTGAAGGGACAAGTAGCCAATTTGCTTGCAACATCAGGATGATTCTGTGGAACCAAAATTAAGGGATCTGTCAGTTCTCTGGATCTACTAAAGTCAACAGGGAGTAGCTAAGCCTTATTCTACAAATGCCTCCCCTAAAATTCCTCAATAAACTTCTGGCTTAACTATAACAAGTAAACTCAGAGTAAAAAACTAAGAGGGAATTATTTATTGTTTTTATAGACAATTACTTCAAAATCATCAAAACATAAGTCTTTTTGTTATGATTGTAGAGACTGACAACACAGATATTGTTAGCTAAACAATGAATTTAGGATTGGGTATTGGAACGACATCTTTCCCCCATTTATTTCTCAGAGTCACATGATTCAGGCAGCACAGCCCGTAATGAGAGAGCTCTCTGGATGTCTTTGAAAGCTGATATTCAAGATGAATAGCAACACTAAAATACACTCTTAGTCTGCATTGCAGTAGTGTCCCTGCTATTGCAATACAATAGTGCTGGAAAATAGCTGTTGGAAGGGAGCCACAGAAGAGGCAAACCAATAATTTTTCAGATTAACACAGTGATGCTTACTTAACGTAATGATGCCTGAAATGAATCTCTGAACAATTTGACCTTCATTTCAGCTATTTCACTAAGGAAAAACCCAAATGATAGAGTCTACTTTGCTGACCAAGTTCCTTATTTTAAAACAAAACAAAGGGTTTAGTATCACCTATATCCTATGGCAAATATACCAGCAATTAAGAAATTTATTAGGAAAAAAAAGATATGTCATAAATGAAACTCGGAAAAGTAAAAATAATATGAAGTAGGGAGAAGTCTGGAAAAATATATAGGTGTGAGAAACTTGCAGGCATCGCCGTCATTTTCATAAGTGGTATCAGGCATTCAATACAAAGGTTTTGTGGCCAAAGATTAAGAACATTAGAAGAAGGGAATTATGATAGTGTCTTTTTTACCACTTGACTCCATTTGGGAAATGTTTGAGAGCCTAGAGGGGACAATGTTGTAGTGGTATCTGCTGATCCATACTGTCCAGGTTTAATGTTAAGGGATCCTTGCTCTCGAGATTAAAAGGAGCTGGAGAAATAACAAAGATACATGATGTTTCCAGGATTACAAGCACTTTTTAAAGGATGTTAAAGCTGAATTGTATGCAGTTTGGATTAAATACCTCAATTGTTTCCCAAGCATAAATTCTAGCAGAATTTTGGCTTCTGTATCAGAATTCTAACAACATTGTCAAAATGTCTCATTTAAGGTAGCATGAAAGTAGTTTATATCAGCTAAGTCTATACAAGAGTGACCAGAAAAAAAATCGTTATTTATTATTTTTTTAAAGATGTTTACTGTTGAAACTTGGAGATACAGTTATTTTTAGGAATAATTTTTCTTGGGCTAACTTCTAGCTGTTCAAGCTCTAAAATTTCTAAACAAAATAATCAGAAAAAGTGAGTTATAGCACTCAATCATTGTTAGGCTCATGAATACATCAAATTTAGAAGATAGGCAGGATTTCTCATTGTTAGCCAAAATTAGTCTGTTTTACAAAGGGTGAGAAGACTCTAGAGATGCTGTTTATAAAGGGTTCTTTGTCACTAGTTAATGGGAAGAAAACCAAAACAAGAAAAAATTTATCCTAAGGAATGAACAAATGCCTTTCTATAAATGTTGGTATTTAAGAGAGGTAGATTCCCAAAACAATTCTGGCAATCAATTAAAACATGATAAAATTATTTGATATTTATAAAATATGGCCTTTTAAAAGAACTCAGGAGGGTGTTAGAGGGCAAATTATGACCCTACCTTTCTGCACTTGATAAGATGATAAGGAAACCTGCAAGCCCTGATTTGATGGTTTTTGTCATAGGGGCATTGCAATAGCTTCTCAGGGTCCAGGGAGTCGGCTGAAAGACAGAAGTGTTTCAGTAGGTAAAACGATAATAGGCCCTTGTAAAACTACAGCATTCCAGGCACACTGGATTTTTTCAAGAGACTCTGTAATAATAGAACAATATAGTCTAAAGAAAACTTGGATTAAAAAAAAAGGGTGACTACACTTTTAAAATATTTCTGAATCTTAGTAAGTTCAGCAGAACCAGAAATCTCAGGGTGAAGTCTCAGTTTCATATTGAACTGAACATATTGTTTTTGTTGCTGGTTACTCTTATTATAAAACAAAAAGTTAAATAAAATGTCATCCTCTTTTCCTTTTCTAAAAGTGCTAATTCAGGGTTATTCCTATTCTCTAGCTAGTCTATCCAGAGCCTCCCAACCAGTATGCTGCAGTTGAAATGGATTTCTAGTGTGCTAATACACTGATTTGGGGGCCCACAACTAGTTCAAGTCATCCCCTACCCCCCATTTCCACAGGCAAGTTGGGGGTAGTAATAGCAAGTAATAGTAATACTTGCTATTACTAGTATCTAGATGAAGATACTAGTAATAGCATCTTCATCTATTACTAGTATCCTGTGACATGAAAAAAGTTGGTAAGCACTGCCCTATATCAGTTATATGTTTTATGGAAGCTTGAAAAATATTAGTGGATAGATTTCTTTTTCATCTGTCTACTTTAACTTACTCCTATAAGTAGTTCCTAATCTTGGTTACTCTAATTACCTCTCAAATGAAACCAATACTGTTATCAGACAGGTAGTTTTTACTTTTCATATTTTGGAACACATGTGAGAACAAAACAGAGAATTCTTTAATCTAGTGACTACTACATTAGCCAGCTAAAAAAATAGGAACAATGTGCAAAAACAGAACCTTCTGAGGTTAAGACAACTGCAGACATATGGAACTGCTGTGTGAAAGAAAGCCCCTAACCTATAAAATGCTATTTAAAACAACCCTTAGGCTATACAAGATGACCAGGCTGTGCCCCAAATTTTAACAAGCCTGGTTAAGGAAGGGAAATTAAATGGTTAAGCACATTCTGGTATATTATGAAGACAAGAGGCAACCTAATAAATTGCTCTTGCCACCCCTGAAGGCAATGATAAAAGTGAAATAAGATAAACAATTCACATTTGATAAGAAGCTTATAAACCAGGAGACTGCTAGGAAAATCAGAAGCCAGTGGGGAATTGAAACAGACAGTTTCACTGGAAGAGTGGTAAACATGGAATAAATTGCCAACCATGATCGTGATGCAAATGAGCCAGAAAGGTGACTTGAAGGACAGAATGAATAGGAAGGAAAAGTCTTAAAGGACAGGCAGGCTTATTATGCTAACCAGGCTCTTCTTGACCAGCAATGTTTCATATTTCCGAAGCTTCAGGACAACCAGGGAGAATTTACAGATGAAATTCTTGTTAGTTTCCCCTGATTTAATCCATTCCCATCACTAGCAAATGTTAGGCCATGTCAGCAGCTGATAGACTGGATGGTACCTTATGATTCATATATATTATACTGCCCATATAGTAGCATATGTCAGAGTTGATAATGAGAGCTTCTCATTGTAATGCTTTACTTCCTGGTCTCCAGCACTTTAGGTCAACTTTAACCTGGCTTTCTAGATTAAAAAAATTTTTTTGATTTAAAAATCTTTTTTTTTTTTTTTTTTTGACAGAGTCTTATTCTGTTGCCCAGGCTGGAGTGAAGTGGCGCGATCTCGGCCCACTGCAACCTTCACCTCCCGAGTTCGAGCGATTCTTGTGCCTCAGCCCCCGGAGTAGCTGGGACAAAAATCTTTAACTGTGATTAAAAACACATATAAAATTTACCATGTTAATGAATTTTAAGTATACAGTTCAGTAGTGTTAAGCATTAATATATTCCTTATTGTTGTGCAACTAGTCTCCAAAAGTTTTTTGTTTTACTAAACTGAAACTCTATACCCATTAACCATCAGCTCTCCATTCCCCACTGCCCCCAGCTCCTGGCAACCACCATTACTTTTTGTTTTGGTGAGTCTGACTAGATACATCATATATGTGAAATCACAGTCTTTTGCTTTTTGTGACTAGCCTATTTCACTTAGCCTAAGGTCCTCAAGGTTTATCCGTGTTATAACATGTGACAGAATTTCCTGTGTGTTTTTTTTGTTTTTTGTTTTTTTTTTTTGAGACGGAGTCTCACTGTTATCCAGGCTGGAGTGCAGTTGCACGATCTTGGCTCACTGCAACCTCCACCGCCTGGGTTCATGTGGTTCTCCTGCCTCAGACTCTTGAGTAGCTGGGATTACAGGCATCCACCACCAAGCTCAGCTAATTTTTGTATTTTTAGTAGAGACGGGGTTTCATCATGTTGGTCAGGTTGGTCTTGAACTCCTGACCTCAGGTGATCCACCTGCCTCGGCCTCCCCAAGTGCTGGGATTACAGGTGTGAGCCACCACATTCGGCCATTTCCTTTATCTTCTGTCTTGCAATTTGCTTTTTTTTCTTTTCACTTAATGTATCTTGGAGTTCCTTCCAAGTCACTACATATAAGAAATATTTCACTGCTGCATATGGATGTATCAAATTTTTGATTTTCTTATTAATGGACATTTACATTGTTTCCAGATTTGTTTTTTTTTTTGAGATGGAGTTTCGTTCTTGTTGCTCAGGCTGGAGTGCAATGGCGAATCTCGGCTCACTGCAACCTCTGCCTCCCGGGTTCAAGTGATTCTCCTGCCTCAGCCTCCCAAATAGCTGGGATTACAGGCACCCGCCACCATGCCTGGCTAATTTTTTTGTATTTTTAGTAGAGACTGGCCAGGCTGGTCTCAAACTCCCGACCTCAGGTGATCCACCTGCCTCAGCCTCCCAAAGTGCTAGGATTACAGGTGTGAGCCACCGCGCCTGGCCCAGTTTTTACTATTATATACAATGCTGTGACTAACAATCTAGTTTATTCTTCTTTTTGCATGTATGAGTATTTCTTTTCTTTTTTGAGACAGGGTCTTGCTCTGTTGCCCAGGCTGGACAGTGCAGTGGTGCGATCTTGGCTCATTGCAACCTCTGCTTCCTGGGTACAAGTGATTCTTGTGCCTCCACCCCGCAAGTAGCTGGGATTACAGGCACACCTGTTTAATTTTTTGTATTTTTAGTAGAGGCAGGGTTTTGCCATGTTGGTCAGGCTGGTCTCAAACTCCTAGCCTCCTGTGATCTGCCCACCTCAGCCTCCCAAAGTGGTGGGATTACAGGCATAAGCCACCGTGCCCGGCCAATGTATGAGTATTTCTCTTGGATAAACACCTAAGAGTATTGCATTGAAGTGTCTGTGCATTAAAAGTTGTAATAAATACTATCAAACTGCTCTACAAATTTTTGTCTGGCTTCCTGGGAATATAATTTACTTTCGAAAACGAAGTAGGTCTATTTGACAAGCTTCCTCTAAAAGCACAGACTCAGCTGTTACTCAGATTTGGGTAGGGACCAGAACCCATGGTGAGAAATGGAGAAAACTTCATGGAAATAAGGAACTAGGCCTGACAAAAGTATCATCAGCTAAGAGGTACAGTCCAAAGAGAGAAGACAGAGATGTTCAGGAATCTGTAAGATTAAGCTGGAAATCCAGGTCAATTTGGGAAACTATAGTCTAAGGCAGTGTTTCTCAAACTTTAACTTACTCTCCAGGTGTTACATCACTTAGGGACTGTGTTAAAGTGCTGATTCTGATTCAGTAGGTCTGGGATGAGCGCTGAGATTGTCCATTTCCAACACACTCCCAGGTGATATTTAAGAAAAAAAAAATGTGGCTGAAAAAAGTAACGAAGAAGTAAGAGACAGAAAGGGGAGATGTTGTTTTCTAATTTAATAGACAGTAGTATGCTTCCAAGAATAAGTGTATATATACCATACAGGGACTTCACATTCTTCTTCTTTTTTCTTTTAATTTTTTTGAGACGGAGTCTCGGTCTGTCGCCAGGCTGGAGTGCAGTGGCGTGATCTTGGTTTACTGCAACCTCCACCTCCTGGGTCCAAGCAATTCTCCTGCCTCAGCCTCCCGAGTAGCTGGGACTACAGGTGAGTGCCACCAGGCCCAGCTAATTTTTGTATTTTTAGTAGAGACGGGGTTTCACTATGTTGGGCAGGATGGTCTTGATCTTTTCACCTTGTGATCCACCTGCCTTGGCCTCCCAAAGTGTTGGGATTACGGGCCTGAACCACCGCACCCAGCCTTCTTTTTTCTTTTTAAGAGACAGGGTCGGCCAGGCGTAGTGGCTTATGCTTGTAATCCCAGCACTTTTGAGAGGCCAAGGTTGGTGGATCACTTGAGGCCAGGAGTTCGAGACCAGCCTGGCCAACATGGCGAAACCCCATCTCTACTAAAAATATAAAAATTAGCCAGGCGTTGTGGCATGCACCTGTAGTACCAGCTACTCAGGAAGCTGAGGCAGGAGAATCGCTTGAACCCAGGAGGCAGAGGTTGCAGTGAGCTGAGATCATACCACTGCACTCCATCCTGGGTGACAGAGCGAGACTCCTTCTCAAAAAAAAAAAAAAAAAAAAAGACAGGGTCTTGCTCTGTCACCCAGCCTGGGGTGCAGTGGTGTGATCATAGCTCACTGTAACCTCTAACTCCTAGGCTCAAGTGATCCTCCTGCCTCAGCTGCCTGAGTAGCTGGGATTACACGCATGAGCCACCACGCCTGGCTCAGGAATTTCACATCTTAAGTAAAAACACTTTAAGAAGGCTAGGTGTGGTGGCTCACACCTGTAATCCCAGCACTTTGGGAGGCCAAGGCAGGTGGATCACAAGGTCAGGAGTTCAAGACCAGCCTGGCCAACACGGTGAAACCCGGCCGGTCTCTACTAAAAATACAAAAATTAGCTGGGCATGGTGGCACACGCCTATAACCCCAGCTACTCAGGAGGCTGAGGCAGAAGAATTGCTTGAACCCGGGAGGGTGGAAGTTGCAATGAGCCGAGATTGTGCCACTGCACTCCAGCCTGGGTGACAGAGCAAGACTCTGTCTCAAAAGAAAGAAAACAAAAACTTTAAGAAAAATTAAGGGGCAGGGGATCCCTTTTCTCAAGTGTGGTCCTCAGATCAGCATCACCCTGGTAACTTGTTAGAAATGCAAATTCTCAGATACCAGACCTTTTGAATCAGAAAATCTGCAGGTGGGACCCAGCAATCTGGTTCAACAAGCTTTCCAGGTGATTCTGCTGCATGTTAACAAGTTTGAGAACTACTGTGTTCTAGATATTTAATAAAGATTATTTCTATGTAGTTTCTGTATTTTGGAGATATAGCTCTCCACTGGACTCTTCCTAGAGGGTAGAATGGGACTGAAATATCCTTTAGTTGGAACTTTTAATTATAATGAGATTCTGAACAAGACAGCAAAGTAGGAAGAAAAAGTAGGTACTGTTGACAAGTTTTATCCACGGGCATAAACTCAGATATTCCTCAAATTTAGTCAGAGCCTAGAACAGAGCCTGTGGTGTCATGTAGGGTACTAGGTATAAACAATATAGAAGACTCTGGTTCTGACTCTGTCCCTAACTATGTAAACTTGGGCAAAATAATTAATCTAGGTTCTGTTGTCTCTGTTGTAATAGATGATTTTTCAAGTCCCTTTTGGTTCTACACTTGTATGATTCTAGGTGCTGGCTCTGCTTTGATTTCTTGGGCCATCTAAGGTTCCTGGATCACTTGAGAAATAAGAATCCTTCCCAGATTTCTTATCCTAAAAACTAATGTACATCAACATTATTATATATTACTCCTCAAAATAGAAAGTAGAAGTTACTATCCCCGTGTCATACATACAAGAAGGTGAAGTCCTGCCTCATTTAATAGTTTAACAAAGGTGTCCTAACTGTGGCCTTTTCAAAGCTTTATGACTTCTCATACCTCTTTTCTTAATTTTCAAGTATCTTATTTCAAATTTGGGCAATACCATAAAGACTTTTCCTCCTTAGCAGTTGAGAAGTCCGACTTCTTCCCAGCACACTAAAAGTCTTGTCAGATATAAAACTATACGTAAATGATTTAACTTATTTTCTAAAAGCAACAAGGAGTACATACTGTAAGTTTCTTCCATGTTGGAAATGAAGAAGCTGAATCCAAGTGCTGGAAAAAACAAAAGTGTGATTCAGGAAATCAGAAATAAAATGTACCAAAAGGTAACCCTAAGAAGTGGAGTCACTTCTGGATTTGAAACTACCCAAGTTCAATATAAGAAACCTTTACTCTCCCCACTCCCCCCAATATTTTCTTCTCTTTAAAGCATTCTTCTTGGAATCATTTTAACATCATGGCCTAATTCACATTCTTGGAATAAATTCTAGGGCCTACCAAATAGTTAAGAAAAACCAAATATGACTCCTATAGTTCAAATTTAAGCTGTATTTGGGTGATAAGATGTCTACCTTAAGTGCTATTACTTAAGTGCCTGTCACTGTTTAGCATCTATTAGGGTTTGACACTATTAATATAATAGTGATTATAATATAAATATCCATATAATATTTAACATTAGAGGGGGCAAGTCAAGACCACAAGAATACTGTCATTTAAACTTATGCATGAGGGCTGGGCGTGGTCGCTCACACCTGTAATCCTAGCACTCTGGGAGGCTGAGGCAGGAGGATCACTTGAAGCCAGGAGTTTGAGACTAGCCTGGCAACAAAGCAAGACTACGTCTCTACAAAAAACAAAACAACCCCCCCCCAAAAACAAACAAACAAACAAACAAAAAAACAAACTTAGCCAGGCATGGGGGCTCATGCCTGTAGTCCCAGCTACTCAGGAGGCAAAGGCAGGCAGATCACTTAAGTCCAGGAGCTATGAGGTTCGTGCCATTGCACTTGGCCTGGACAATGGAGTGAGATCCTGTCTTTAAAAAAACAAAAAACCCCTTATACATAAACACAGAAATAATGTTCTATTATAAAGCTTTCCTCCTGGGTTCTTAAAAATACAGATAGGCAGGTTACCAGTCTTGTTCCTCTCTAGGACCTGGAAATGCTGGAAGTCTTTGACAGACAGTATACACTCAACCCTTCCAATATGCTTGGAAACACTAGTTCACCATTTTCATGACTTTTCTTAAACATGATCAGGAAGGGCCACACTAACATTGTCCCTTTTTCTAGTGAGGTTTCACCTCCTCTCATCCCAATCTTCAGTGCTAAAGTGGCAATACTTTAAGCTTCTCCAATTAATACTCATTCCCTCTATGCACTAAGGGAAAACCTCTCAATGTTAGGACTCAAGAACTGTCCATATTATGGATAACAGAGTCACAAGAGAACAAATCTGTAACAGGAATGTGAAACATTAAAAGAGAAATGGTTTCACAGTTTGAATCCTTTTCTATTAGAAATCTCTTCTATTGAGCACTGAGACTAAATACATTTATTATTGTGGGAAAAACCTGAATTTATATAAAACCATCCCCATACGAAACTTCTGAAAATTGTCTGTCTCTAGAGCATGCTCTCCTTTGGCCCCTCACACAATTCTACACTCCTCACCACCCCTCCCCCCATTCTGTGACATAAGCAGCGTTAGAACCTATGATAGGAAATACAAGTGATCAGCTAGAACTCTAGTTTTTTTGCTACTGAGCCCATTTGTTAATGACAATCATTAGTGAATTTGTCTTAAAAATATTTTTCATATTTATGTTTGGATCAAGAAATCCCCACCGTCTTTTTGTATATATTTCACTTATACATAGTTACTTCATACTTTTTCATTAAAAATAAGAGTTTTGGAAGGAAGAACCAAGTATGTTTCTTGATTTTAAGTGATGAGCACCAGATTCAGCAGCTTGTAGGAAGCCAACCTATTCTTCCCGGACAAAAGGACGAATTACAGTACACTAGGGGCACTGGAATTCACAGTACCATCACTTAGCCGTGTCTGTTTTAAGTATCTTCCGCATCAAACTGTTAACGGGATTCTTTACCTTTTCCCTACTACTAGATCACGGTGAAATAGACAAGCTACGCCGGAAGCAATCAAGTTTAGGGTATGGATGTAGTCGGCGGCTACTGGTTAAACGCTTAACAGAATTCCGGCCTTAGTAAAAGAATCATTTTTCTTCCTTTAAACAACAACAACAACAACAAAATCACAGTAGACTTAATCAATGAGACTAAATAAGAGAAAGTGGGGGAGGTGGTTAACTTAAAAAAAACATAGAAAAGGCGCCAAGGAGGCCCTCGAGTGGGCAATGCAGCGAAACAGGTTGGTAGCCAAAATAGCTGCATTGAGAGCCCACAAGGCTGAAGGCTACCAGCAGAAAAGCGAAATGAGGATATTAGAAGGTGAAGGTATCCCGGTACGCAAAATAGGAATTGCTTAGAGGCGCCCCGGGGTGCCTTTCCTTACCTCGGTGGACACACACCTTCCTCACAGTCACCTTCCTCCCACGCAAGCCCCAGCAACGGCCACTTCCGGCGCCTAACGTTGGGAGGTGGGGCGAGGGGCCGGCACTTCCTGTGACTGGGAGTCTCGGTTCTGGCTGAGTGTGGGGCAGGGTGGATCAGCTGTGGAGTTCACCTGTGAGCCCCTAGGGTCAGCTCCCTGATGACCCTTTCCCACGAGGATCTCCTCCTTGGGCACCCCATCTTTGGGGCCATCCTCCCCTGGCCCCCAGAACAACAGTGGCCTTGAGAGGGTAGAACTCGCATTTCTTTCCCTGGGTTTTGTGGCGGCCATCTTAGAAAAGGCAGATGAGCACTTAGAAATGGGCACCTGCGATTACCTCAGGAGTTCAAGACCAGCCTGGCCAACATGGTGAAACCTCGTCTCTACTAAAAATACAAAAATTAGCTGGGTGTGGTGGCGGGCGCCTGTAATCCCAGCTACTTGGGAGGCTGAGGCAGGAGAATTGCTTGAACCCGGGAGGCGGAGGCTGCAGTGAGCCGAGATTGCACCACTGCACTCCAGCCTGGGCGGCAGAGTGAGACTCCGTCTCAGGAAAAAAAAAAAAAAAAAAAAAAAAATGGCGCCTGAGGGAATGGGACTGATGGAACTGGTTAGAGGTGGGGAGCTGCCTAGAAAGAAGCCTTGTTTGTGGAAGTTGTCTAGATAGAAAGGTAATTTAGATTTTGAGGGAAGAGAAGAGGAATTATAAAGGAGATACGCAGTGCAGCCACAAAACAATCACCAAGGACAGGAATTTTGTGTCTGGCTGTTCTTGTTTAGAATGTGTTGTAAAATCCCAAAATTCAAAAGGCACTAACTATCTGAGAATGCTTGGTAGGATGATGGTTGTTGCTGCCTGATGAAAGCGAGTTTTAGAGTTGGGGAGAGAGCTCAATGAAGAGTTGGAGAGGACAAGAAGGCCGGAAGGTTACAACTTGTTAAGGGAAAACCAAACGTAGTGTGAGGCTTTGTTCTGGGGAAAAAAAGTGTAAGCTGCAGTTCTTGTCCCCAGAGTGCTTAGAAAAACGACTCCCAAAGTGGATGAAAGGTTTAATAGCAGTACAAAAAATGCCAAAAAAAGTGGTAGAGACTGTAAATTCCTGTAAGGAAAAAAATTAATGGGGCCTGAAATGACCTGGGAAGGCATTATAGAGAAAAGGGACTTGTAGCCTTTGAAGGTTAGACAAAAAAAGGAAGGTGTTGACACTACAAGTAGATCTGGTGGTAATATTTTTCAAAACCAAGAAGTAAAAGATATGACAAAACATTCTGTGCTGTTCAAGATGTAGGAGGCAGTCTGGGTGATTAGTCTGGGCAGTGAAATATTGGGATTTCTACAGCATTTCAGTGGTGTAGAGCCCAAATAGGACTTGAGAGGACTACCCTGACAAAAACTGAATGTAGCTTTAGTAAAAAGGATCAGTGGGGCATTTTCTTTTTCTTCTTTTTTTTTTTTGAGATGGAGTCTCGCTCTGTCGCCCATGCAGGAGAGCAGTGGCATGATCTCGGCTCACTGCAACCTCCGCCTCCTGGGTTCAAGTGATTCTCCTGCCTCAGCCTCCTGAGAAGCTGGAACTACAGGCAGGCACTACCACACCCAGCTTTTTTTTTTTTTTTTTTAAGTAGAGACGGGGGTTTCACCATGTTGGCCAGGCTGGTCTCAAACTCCTGACCTCAGGTGATCTGCCTGCCTCGGCCTCCCAAAGTGCTGAGATTACAGGTGTGATCCACTGCGCCGGGCAAGGGATGTTTTCGTTTTACATGATTAATTTGTGAGCGTTTATTGTTGTTACTCCCTCCGCACCCCCTCCCCCCGACCTTTTTTTCCTACTAGAAGAGAGTTTGCTCCACAGCCATCAGTTCAGATTAAGACACTAAAAAGAACCAAGTGTTGATGGAAGCCAGGCTCAAGCCATTGTAGGCTAGTGGTTCTTAATCTTGTCTACACCTTAGAATCATCAGGGGAGCTTTTAAGACATACCATGCCAACTTCCCATCCCACACCAATTAATGTGAAAGAGCCAGGCATAGTTATTTTTAAAAATCTACCCAGATGAATTTAATGTGTAGCCAGGGCTGAGAACAACTGACCTAGGCATTGTTTTGAAATCAAAAAAGCCATTCTTTCACCCATGGCCTGGATGATTCATTTGAAGGAGGAGCAAACTGTTAAAGTGGTTTGCGAAAGATAATTGCTAAGAAGGAAAGCTTCATTGCAAGCTTAGCACTAATCATTTTGGAAAAAGTTGTTTTGGCAAATCAGTTTTAGATTGTTAGGAAATATTTTAAAACAATTTTCATGAAATCCTAAACCTCTGATTTTATCACAGTATCATTAATGCAGATTGTTGGGGCCAGTGTGATTTGAAATGAAATATTTTTTCAGGCTTTACATTGCAGTAATCTGGTGAAATTGTTGACAGTGCTACTGTGACCCATAAATACATTTTATTCAGATACCTGCAGATTGAAATTTCTGAGGAAGAAAGAGCTAAGGGCTTGGGAGGATAGGGGAATGGGTACCAAACCAGAATCCAAAGTCAGGCTTCACTGCATTCAGTAGTAATGCCTTGTCAGAATGACAGGATCCTCAACTGATAATGCTGTTTCATTTAGCACCTGTGAATAAGCCAACCAACTTTCAAACAAGCAAAAATCAAACCTGTTTTTCAATGGTGATTTTGAAATAAAAATGCACCACACATCTGTTCTTTCTATTCTTAAGTATTTTGTTCATTCCTTTCTAACTATAAATTTTCTGCTTTGTCTGAGGTCCCTGCTTAGCTTTCTTTTAGACTGGTTTTCCAGCCAGGTTGATCATATTTGAAAAGGAAAAAAAAAATGAGACAAGGCATTTTATACAAGGGTCATTCTAGGAGCTATTGGGAATTAATACCCTAAACTGAATCTGATCCGTGCTGGTTCTATCTGTGTATATACTAGCATTTACCTCTAAATGTTGTGTGTGTGTGTGTGTGTGTGTGTGTGTGTGTGTGTGTGTGTGTGTATACATTTTTTGTAGAGATTGGGGGTGGGGATCTCGCTATATTGTCCAGGCTGGTATCGAACTGCTGGCCTCAAGTGATTCTCCCACCTCAGCCTCCAGAGTTGCTGAGATTACAGGTGTGAGCCACCACCCCCAGCCTCCTATAGATTATATTCTTAGAATTAATAATAGTTGGCTGGGTGCGGTGGCACATGCCTGTAATCTCAGCACTTTGGGAGGCTGAGGCGGGTGGATTGATTGAGCTCAGTAGTTTGAGACCAGCCTTGGCAAGATGATGAGACTCTGTTTCTCTAAATACAAAAATTAGCTAGGCCTGATGGTGGGTGCCTGTAGTCACAGCTACTCGGGAAGCTGAGGTGGGAGGATTCCTTGAGCCCAGGAGGTCAAGACTGCAGTGAGCTGAGTTTGCAGTTCATTGTACTCCAGACTGGGCGACAGAGTAAGACTGTCTCAAAGAAGAAAAATTTAAAACGAAAGAATTAATAATAGTAAAAATAAAATATCTGAACTAATGAATAAATAGATCTATTCTCTTAGTTATTGGAAAAAACCCTTTGTTAGGAAGATAGTTTTCTCAGATTTTAGGATTGAAGGCATTCCAGTAGTCCTTGAGGTTCTTTAGAAACTTTCTGTTTTCAGACAACCCTAATAAAACTTAAAACTTTTGCCCGTCAAAAGACCAAAATATATTTTTTTGTTTCTGGCTTAGGTTTTATTAATCAAGTCCTGGTTCTCTCATCTAATTATTAATTTTTCTCTCATCTAATTATGATTTCTGTTTGGCAGTTGGGTGTATAATTAAAAATGGAAAAATTATTCAATAAATTCAGTTGCAAATTCTTTCAAAATGAGGGTTCGGCTGGGCGTGGTGGCTCACGCCTGTAATCCTAGCACTTTAGGAGGCCGAGATGGGCAGATCACCTGAGGTCGGGAGTTTGAGACCAGTCTGGTCAACATAGTGAAACCCCATCTCTACTAAAAATACAAAAAAAAGAAAAAAAAATTAGCCGGGTATGGCGGTGTCTGTCTGTAGTCCCAGCTTCTCAGGAGGCTGAAACAGGAGAATCGCTTGAACCCGGGAGGCAGAGCTGCACTCCAGCCTGGGTGACAGAGCAAGACTCCGTGTCAAAAAAAAAAAAAAAAAAAAAAGAAGAGGGGCTCTATGGGGTAACAGATATTCTTCTTGGTGAGAATAAGTGAGAATAGATTAGGAAATATTGCTTTAGGGGAGGGTGAAAATATGGGGTTGGTTACAATTGTTCAGGAAAAGTAGCAGGGAGAGGTAGTGAGAGCCAATGAAAATAAATTTATGTTTAAAAAAGAGTTGCTAATGAGGACTTGCCAAGAAGAGCCAACATTCAGTTCTAGAAGCTAAAGCAAAATACAGGATGAGTGAAGAAAAACTGGTAGTGATATTTTGTTTGTCCTAGAGCCATTCTATGTTCTAACATGTAAATGTTACGTATTTCTGTAATCCACATTGCCTGTAATAGTTACCTGTATACCTGACAAATCTATTCTTTATGTTTTTCCTTTACATATATAGTTCTTTCCCCAGGACTCAGCAACAAATATCTCTTACTCTCTTTCTAGTGCTGGCACCTAAGATGTAAATTGTAAGCCAAAGTTCATAAGCATCACTTTGGTAACTTCTTAAAAGACTGTTGAAAAGATGGTAGGAGGTGTGAACCTATGGATTATGTTGAAAAAGAAAAAGATGGTAGAAGGGCAGAATTATACTAAAAAAACCTTACTAAAAGTTCTGTAAAGGACTGGTCTTCCGTAGAACAATTCTAAAATTCCAACACTGCTGTTTTGTGGATCTATTATTTTAAGGCATATAAAATGTTTAAATCCAAGGTTAATTTTCTCTGTGAAGCCTTCTTTTAACCTTTACTTGGGATTAGTCCTTACATTTTTCCTTCCTTCCTTCCTTCTTTTCTTCTCTTTTTTCTTCCTTTTCCCTCCCTCCCTCCCTCCCTCCCTCCCTTCCTCCCTTCCTTCCTCCCCTTTCCCTTTCTTTTTTTCTTCTCTCCACAGGGTTTTGCCCTGTTGCCCAGGCTGGTCCCGAACTCCTGAGCTCAAGGCATTCCCCTGCCTTGGCCCCCCTGAAGTGCTGACATTAAAGGCAGAAGCCACCGTGCAGCCCCAAATCCTTATATTTTCTTGTAATCTTCCTCCACCCTCCTATCCTCCCAGCACTGAAACTGTCCGTGACACCAGTGGCTCTTAAAGTGTGGTGCATAGACCAGCAGCATCGGCATCACCTGGGATTTGAGGAAATGCACATTTTGGGCCCCATTACAGACCAACTGAATCAGAAACTCTGGGGGCTGAGGTGCCCTACAGTCTGTGTTTTAATAAGCCCTCCAAATAATTTTAATATCCAATAAAGTTTGAGAACCATTGCCCTATACTATAGTTGCCAACATTGTTCCCCAATAATGGACCATGGCCACTACAGTTTTTTTTTTAATTGAGGCGATTGGCAAATAAATTGTATATATTTAAGGTGTACAACATGGTGTTTTGATCCAAGTATACCTTGTGTAATGATTTCCACAATTGAACTAATTAACAAATCTATTATCTGACACAGTTATCTTTTTTTGTGTGTGTGGTGAGAATACTTAAGATCTATTCCCTTAGCAAATTTCAAGTATGTAATACATTATTATTAACTATAGTTACCATGCAGTACATTAGGTCTCTAGAACTTATTCATCTTAAACTGAATATTTATACCTTTTCACCAACATCTATCTCCCTATTTCCCCCAATACACTACAGTTCTTAATTAAGTAGTAACATAGTAGATACTTGATTATTTGACTTGAGAACAGGTGTATTTTTTCAGGTGCTGCAGCAACTATATGATATCATCTATCTTGTGAAGAGCATGGGGGAAAAAGAGACTAAAATATTTAGGTTTTTTTGAGCCTGTTTTATACTGCAGCTACTTGGAAAGGCAGAGCAAAAAGGCCTGTAAAGTATGGACCAACCACAGGATAGATAAAGATGTGGAACTAATGGGATATGTTTTGGTGCATATTTTGGTGCATATCTAGGACATGAGTAACAGGCCTTAGCAATTTTTTCCCTCGTAGTTCATACTATGAGTGTAAGGGTTTAAACCTTAAAACCTGATTTTAGGGGATAAACTTTAAAGCTGGAAATTCTTTACTATTCCAGAAATATAACTGAAATTGCCATTTTTTTTTTTTGAGACAGGGTCGCACTGTGTTGCCCAGCAGTGGCACAATCTCGGCTCACTGCAGCCTCAACCTTCTGAGCTCCATCAATCCTCCCACCTCAGTCTCTTGTGTAGCTGGGACCACAGGCACTTGCCACCATACCTGGCTAATTTAACATTTTTTTTTTAGAGATGGGGTCTTGCCATGTTGCCCAGGCTGGTCTTGAACTCCTGGGCTCAAGGAATACTCATGCCTTGGCCTCCCAAAGTGCTGCGATTATGGGCATGAGCCACTGTGCCTGGCCTTGAATTACCTTAATAGAACTCATTATTTTATTTTATTTTGAGACAGGGTCTTGCTCTGTCCTTGAGGCTGCTGGAGTGCAGTGGCGTTAACACAGTTCACTGCAGCCTTGACCTCCTGGGTTCAAGTGATCCTCCTTCCTCAGCCTCCTGAGTAGGTGGGGCCATAGGTACCTGCTACCATGCTTAGCTAATAGAACTTTTTAGAGAAGAGAACCTGGTTACCAAAGTTTTTGAAAGGTTGATTTATTCTGATAGAAATATTTAGCCCAGGTTTGGTGGCAGTGGCTCACGCCTGTAATTCCAACACTTAGGGAAGCAGAGGTGGGAGGATAACTTGTGCCCAGGAGTTTGAAACCTGCCTGGATAACATAGTGAGACCTTGTGGTATTCTCCACAAGAAGTAAAGAAAAAAAGACAAAAAAGAGAGAAATATTTAGCCCAGACTACTGAGTCTTTTTTTATCCCATTGATAAGATATAGATTCTCCACATTCAGCAATCTTGCTTTTAGGTACAGGATGACTACATAGTCAAGATCATACCTATCTTCAAGTGTCCTATAGCTTAACAATAATAAAGTGGAATGAAAGGTTATTCGGAGACATGAGACTCCTGTTATGGGAACATGGGGGAATAGTTTAGGCTTTGGGAAATCTAGGAAGGCTTTGAGGCAATTACTTTTAAACTCTACTGAAAAAAAAATGCATGTGCTTTTATTTTTTTTCCCATAAGTTTATTTGGTGTTTCTCAAAGCTTTGACCAAATGTTATGTTAGAAGCCACAAAGTGATGTTTTAACTTCTATTATGCTTTCTTTCGAAGGCCTCAGAATTTCTTAAAGATTTGAGTAGCTCTGGCACCCATATTTTGAATGACACAGTTGCCTAATAAATGATGTTTTTTTCTCTTAAGACTAGGGTGGCCAACCTGATTAGTCTGGTTGTCCCAGTATCATTATTTTTATTTTTACTTTTTTAAAGATGGAGTCTTGCTCTGTCACCCAGGCTGGAGTGCAGTAGTGTGATCTTGGCTCACTGCAACCTCTGCCTCCCGGGTTCAAGCAGTTCTCCTGCCTCAGCCTCCCGAGTAGCTGGGATTACAGGCACATACCACCACACCTGGCCAATTTCTTAATTTTTTGTAGAGACAGGGTTTTGCCGTGTTGGCCAGGCTGGTCTCTAACTCCTGATCTCAGGTGATCCACCCTCCTTGGCCTCCCAAAGTACTGGGATTACAGCCAGGATAATTATTGATAGTGAGCCCTTTCATACTCAAAAATATCCTTGTTTGGAAAAACAAAATCATTGTGGTCACGTCAAATAAGACTGTATGGCCTTTTAAGGGAAGATTCTCTATATGTAAAATATGATAAAGAAAGACATTTGATGGGCTGGGCACGGTGGCTCACGCCTGTAATCCCAGCCCTTTGGGAGGCTGAGGTGGGTGGATCACAAGGTCAGGAGTTCGAGCCCAGCCTGACTAACATGGTGAAACCCCGTCTCTACTAAAAATACAAAAATTAGCCAGGCGTGGTGACGCACGCTTGTGATCCCAGCTACTTGGGAGGCTGAGGCACAAGAATCGCTTCAACCCGGGAGGTGGAGGTTGCAGTGAGCCGAGATTGCACCATTGCACTCCAGCCTGGGCGACAGAGTGACACTCCATCTCAAAAAAAAAAAAAAAAAAAGAAAGACATTTGATGATATTGGGTCATTATTCTTAGGGAACTTTTTTTTTGTTTTTATAATGTGGTGTCGATATACCAAAGGATAATTTTAAAAATTGAAAATATGTGTAAGGCCTTAGTCAGGAGATGAAAGTAGGCCAGGTACAGTGGCTTGCGCCTGTAATCCCAGCACTTTTGGAGACCAAAGAGGGTAGATTGCTTGACCCCACCAGCCTGTGCAACATAGTGAAACCCTGTCTCTACAAAAAATTAGCCAGGTGTGGTGGGGTGTGCCTGTAGTTCCAGCTACTCTGGAGGCTGAAGTGGAAGAATTACTTGAGCCCAGGAGTTGGAGGTTGAAGTGAGCCGAGATTGCCCCATTGCACTCTAGCCTAGGTGACAGGTAAAGACTTGTCTCAAAAAAAAAAAAAAAAAAAAAAAAGATAAAGTAAGAAGATTATTCTAGAAAATAAGTAAGGATTAGCCTCCTAAGGGCATAAAATATTCAGTTGTCTATAACTTCCTTTAATTGTAAATCTAAATACACCTGAAATAATCACTAAACTAAGCAAAAAAAACCATATCGTTATTTTGAAAGGCTTAGCTAGCTGCAATAAAAAAAACAATTATGACTTCAGAGATTTTGGCCTGTCATAAATTGGGTCTTTTAAACATTAAGTTTAAGCATCAAGTATTTCAATATCTACTAGATGCACAGCAGCAGACTAGTGGTGTAACAAGTACAAAGCAACACATGATTCGGACTTCTCTCGTGAGGGTTTGTGGTATGGTTGAGGTTGGAGAAAATTGTCTATATTTAACTGCCATGATAGAAATCACTAAAGAAGATAGGGAAGGTTTAAATGAGGTGAGGAATAAGAGTTGGATTAAAAAAAAAAGCTAGAACAGGAATTTAAACGATTGAAGGGCAAGGGGTGACATTTAAAAATGAGCAGAGTGGGCCGGGCGCGGTGGCTCACGCCTGTAATCCCAGCACTTTGGGAGGCCGAGGCGGGCGGATCACGCGGTCAGGAGATCGAGACCATCCTGGCTAACACGGTGAAACCCCGTCTCTACTAAAAATACAAAAAATTAGCCGGGCGTGGTAGCGGGCGCCTGTAGTCCCAGCTACTCGGGAGGCTGAGGCAGGAGAATGGCGTGAACCCGGGAGGCGGAGCTTGCAGTGAGCCGAGATCGCGCCACTGCACTCCAGCCTGGGCGACAGAGCGAGACTCCGTCTCAAAAAAAAAAAAAAAAAAAAAAAAAAAATGAGCAGAGTGAAAAAGAATAAGGCATATTTAAGATGAGTGTAAGTTGCCTGTTACAGAGTTAGGAAGGTACATTTGGAGCCATGTTCCAGTCTCAGCTTTCCATAAAACGCTATCCTTTAAGCATGGAAAGTTTTGTGTAGAGAACTGATTGAAGAATAATCTGACGGTCATATAGTAAGTGACTTGAAGAAAAAGCAATTGAAAGATGAAGAACCTCATTATGGAATAGCATTATAGCCCACATGACAAGATTTCCCCTACTAATAACAGAAATAGGCAAGTAAGCCCTCCAGACTTTTGGTTGGCAAATGAAAATATAAAAACAAGGAAGAAATTAAAAAATCAAATGAAGCTTGTCATAGAAATTAAAATTTTTAAAAAATTTTAAGTATTTTTTAGAGGCAGGGTCTCTGTCTATTGCCCAGATTGGAGTACAGTGTTATTGCAGCCTTCAACTCCTAGACTAAAGTGACTCTCCCACCTCAGCCTCTGGAGTAGCTGGGACTACAGGTGTGTGCCACCTTGCCTGGCTAATTTTTAAATTATTTTTATTTTTGTAGAGACAGGGTCTTGCTATGTTGGCCAGGCTGGTCTTGAACTCCTGCCCTCAAGTGATCCTCCCACTCTGGCCTCCCAAAGTATTGGGATTACAGGCATGAGCCATGGCACCTGGCCAGGAAAAATATTCTTTATTTAAAAAAATAAAATCGTGTTAAGATGCCAACAGTACCAAGAGTTGTTACCTAAAACATGCTAGTTAAGATTTCTCTGAAGTTTAAAAAAAGACTTAAAAATAAATATTTTGTCTGCTGGCTATTTAATCTACAACTTCTACATCACTTTTTCTGATTTGTGGGGGGAAAAAGAAGACTGAGGTAGTGTCATTTTGATGGCAAGGGTTTTTTTGTGTGTGTATTTTTCTGAAATGAGGTTTCACTCTTGTCACCCAGGCTGGAGTACAGTGGCATGAACACAGTTCACTGCAGCCTCAACCTCCTGGGCTCAAGCGATCCTCCTGCCTCAGCCTCTTGTGGGACCACAGGCCTGGCTATTACCCTGTCTGGCTAATTTTTTGATTTTTTTGTGGAGACAGAGGTCTCACGTTGTTGCCCAGGCTGATTTTGAAGTCTTGGGCTCAAGCAGCCCTCTTGCCTCGGCCTCCCAAAGTGCTGGGATTACAGGCGTGAGCCACTGTGCCCAGTTGCAAGTGTTTTTGTGGAAGATCTAAGCTTGATGTGTATTAGTAGCATTTCAAATAGATCCCTAGACAGCCCTTTCTCCTAAGACTAATTTAAAGCCATCAGGACTTTCCCTGCATTCTGTTGTGGGTGAAATAGGAAACTGAAATAGAAAATATGGTTTAATTTTTTTAAGAAGAAAAGTTTGTCTAAGAATCTTTAAAGGCTTAGGACACATTAGTGATATTAGTTAAAACTATGACATCAGTTTTTTAAAAACAATTATTTTATCTTTTCTCCAGGACTTGTTTTTAGGATGTATATCATCCATAGCCTCTTTTTTTCCTTAGGTCTCTTGAGTCACTGTAGGTGATGACTATAAGAGGAAAGTTAGTTGGAATCCAGTACTGGAGAATTAATCTAGATAATCAATTATAGGAGATTAAAGTTACTCTATCAAATGTAATTGATATTACTAAATGTCAGAGTAGAAACCATTGGTTTTTTTTTTTGCTTACTTCTGTTTTGTATAATTATTTTGCCCTTTCCCATCTTCCTGTGATTGTGGCAGGTAACTCCATGAATGACTCCTATAACTCTTGGATGTGCCCTTCAAGTTGTTTAGCTGGCAGTCCTTACCTCCTTCATGTACAATATGCTTATTCTTTTCCCTTCACAGTTTTGGAAATTGGTCTTTTATTCTTTGAAAATCTTACACAGAATCAAGAATGTTGTGTATGCAAGTCCTTGATGGGATACAGTCTGAAGCAGAGCCCTTGAGAAGGAATGGAAGTACTCAGGGCCCACCAATACAGATCTTTTACATTCATAATTGAAGCTTAGGCATCTGCCATGCCTAGGACCTGATGGCTGTCTCACTTTAAGAACCCAGGTTTCGGCCAGGCACAGTAGCTCATGCCTGTAATCCAAGCACTTTGGGAGGCTGAAGTGGGCGGATAACCTAAGGTCAGGAGTTCAAGACCAGCCTGGCCACCATGGTGAAACCCCTTCTCTACTAAAAATACAAAAATTAACTGGGCTGAGGCAGCAGAATCGCTTGAACCCAGGAGGCGGAGGTTGCAGTGAGCCGACATCGCGCCATTGCACTCTGTCTCAAAAAAAAAAAAGAATCCAGGTTTAAAGGTATTCTGCTCTCTCTTCCAACAGTGAAAAGATGGTTTATCTTAACTTTCACAAACCAGCATTTTTGGGGCAAAAGTCTTAAGAAAAAAATGGAGTATGATGCATATTACCTAGAAAGAAGGAAGAAGTAACACAAGTACTTAGCATTTTTATATGTTTGTAGAGAAGGTTAGATGGTAGCAGAGATTTGAGTCTTCCTTCCATAGTTGTTGCTGAGGAGTGGGTGATTTGCCACCTCCCTTACATTTAGGTATGGTCATATGACTAGTTTTGCCAATGGAATATGAATGAAAGTATTCTTTTCCAGGCTGAGGTGGTTGAAAGGCAGTTGCACCTTCTCCATTCTCTTTGTGGCAGCTTTGGAAACCAAGTGTGGAAGGTGACACTCACAAGATGGAAAGAGCCTGTGTCTTCAAGTCACTACCACCCACTGAATACTTGTGTTGGGATTTATACAAGAAAACTTCTCTTGTTTTAAGCCATGATATTAACACAATTTGGAATTCATATATAGAAGCTAGCATTGCTCTAACACACACATGCATCTGTATTTAATATTAGTCACCCTTGTGAGGGTGATTGTGAGGCAGCCTTGTACAGATGAAGAAGATGTGTTTAAGAAGTAACTTCCCTACTATGCAGCCATAAAAAGAATGAAATTATGTCCTTTGCAGCAACATGTATGCAGCTGGAGGCCATCATTCAAAGAGAATTAACACAGGAACAGAAAACCAAATACCACATATTCTCATGTTTAAGTGGGAGCTAAACATTGAGTACACACGGGCACAAAGATGAGAACAATAGACACTGGGAACTAATATAGGCGGTAGGTTGGAAGGGAGGCGAGGGTAAGAAAACTGTTGGGTACTGTGCTCATTTCCTGAGTGAGGGGATCATTCGTACACGAAACACCAGTGACACAAAATTCACCCATGTAACAAACCTGTACACTGAACCTAAACCTAAACATTGAACCTAAAATAAAAGTCAAAAGAAAAAAAAAAAAGGGAAGTAACTTCCGTTAAGGTCAGAGCAGATAGTCAAACCTAGATCTGACTGAAGGCTAATGAGGTCTCCATTATAACATGCTGCATCTTAGAGAAAGAGATCACTGGAGATAAGACAAATCCCACCCTTTCGGATTACAAGTTTCAGTTTATACCAGTAATGATTTTTTATGGATAGGAAAGTGACCAGATATTGGTAGGATAAGAAAAATCTTTTAAGTGTTTTAAATGATTTTAGATTTTAGATTCCTTTTTACTGGGTTGCCTCTCCAGAGACAGGTGATATTCTTAGATTGACTATGTTGATTGTTCTTGTGAAGGATTTTGTGGTTAGATTATTAAGACTTAAGTCTTCAGGGCTTTAGTACTTATTACTATGAAGGGCTTAGGGTCCAGGCCTTAATTCATGAGTATATTCACTGTTTCACCTTTGTTCACCTATATTCCAGACATCAGGGTCAGGAATCTGTCAGCATTAGAAAGTTTTTAATTTAGTCCTAAACTTGGAGAAATAACCTTTGGAAGATTAAATGGCTCTGAAATAAAGCAGACCACAAGTTATAGAATTAGAGTAGGAACTTATTTTTGTTTTTTCTTCCTCTTGTTTGTAAGGCTTCCATAGCTATGCGATATTGGAGTGGGAAAGGAAGCGACAGAATTTTATGCCACTTATCTGCTCCCAAAATGAAAAACTTACCATCATCTAGAGCAGTTCTGTTGACACAGCCTCATGTTCCTTGAGCCTTTTTTTTTCTTTTTTCTTTCGACATGGAGTCTTGCTCTGTCGCCCAGGCTGGAGTGCAGTGGTGCAATGTCGGCTCACTGCAAGCTCTGCCTCCCGGGTTCATGCCATTCTCCTGGCTCAGCCTCCCAAGTAGCTGGGACTACAGGCATCCACCACCATGCCCGGCTAATTTTTTGTATTTTTTAGTAGAGACAGGGTTTCACTGTGTTATCCAGGATGGTCTCGATCTCCTGACCTCGTGATCCACCCGTCTCGGCCTCCCAAAGTGCTGGGATTACAGGCGTGAGCCACCGCGCCCGGCCTCCTTGAGCCTTTTTATTGGGACCACATGACTAGCATTATTTTTTCAGTTAGCCATCATTTTAACTATCTTTGGATTTTTCTTTTTTTTTTTTTTTTATTGATCATTCTTGGGTGTTTCTCACAGAGGGGGATTTGGCAGGGTCATAGGACAATAGTGGAGGGAAGGTCAGCAGATAAACAAGTGAACAAAGGTCTCTGGTTTTCCTAGGCAGAGGACCCTGCGGCCTTCCGCAGTGTTTGTGTCCCTGGGTACTTGAGATTAGGGAGTGGTGATGACTCTTAACGAGCATGCTGCCTTCAAGCATCTGTTTAACAAAGCACATCTTGCACTGCCCTTAATCCATTTAACCCTGAGTGGACACAGCACATGTTTCAGAGAGCACGGTGTTGGGGGTAAGGTCACAGATCAACAGGATGCCAAGGCAGAAGAATTTTTCTTAGTACAGAACAAAATGAAAAGTCTCCCATGTCTACTTCTTTCTATACAGACATGGCAACCATCCGATTTCTCAATCTTTTCCCCACCTTTCCCCCCTTTCTATTCCACAAAACGGCCATTGTCATCCTGGCCCGTTCTCAATGAGCTGTTGGGTACACCTCCCAGATGGGGTGGTGGCCGGGCAGAGGGGCTCCTCACTTGCCAGTAGGGGCGGCCGGGCAGAGGCGCCCCTCACCTCCCGGACGGGGCGGCTGGCCGGGCGGGGGGCTGACCCCCCCCACCTCCCTCTCGGACAGGGCGGCTGGCCGGGCGGGGCGCTGACCCCCCCACCTCCCTCCCGGATGGGGCGGCTGGCCGGGCAGGGGGCTGAGCCCCCCACCTCCCTCCCGGACGGGGCGGCTGGCCGCGCAGACGGGCTCCTCACTTCCCAGTAGGGGCGGCCGGGCAGAGGCGCCCCTCACCTCCCGGACGGGGCGGCTGGCCGGGCCGGGGGCTGACCCCCCCACCTCCCTCCCGGACGGGGCGGCTGGCCTGGCGGGGGTTGACCCCCACCTCCCTCCCGGACGGGTGGCTGCCGGGCGGAGACGCTCCTCACTTCCCAACGGGGTGGCTGCGGGGCGGAGGGACTCCTCACTTCTCAGACGGGGCGGCTGCCGGGCAGAGGGGCCCCTCACTTCTCAGACGGGGCGGTTGCCAGGCAGAAGGTCTCCTCACTTCTCAGATGGGGCGGCCGGGCAGAGACGCTCCTCACCTCCCTGACGGGGTCGCGGCCGGGCAGAGGCGCTCCTCACATCCCAGACGGGGCGGTGGGGCAGAGGCGCTGCCCACATCTCAGACGATGGGCGGCCGGGCAGAGACGCTCCTCACTTCCTAGATGGGATGGCGGCCGGGCAGAGAGGCTCCTCACTTTCCAGACTGGGCAGCCAGGCAGAGGGGCTCCTCACATCCCAGACGATGGGCGGCCAGGCAGAGACGCTCCTCACTTCCCAGACGGGGTGGCGGCCCGGCAGAGGCTGCAATCTCAGCACTTTGGGAGGCCAAGGCAGGCGGCTGGGAGGTGGAGGTTGTAGCTAGCCGAGATCACGCCACTGCACTCCAGCCTGGGCACCATTGAGCACTGAGTGAACGAGACTCGGTCTGCAATCCCGGCACCTCGAGAGGCCGAGGCTGGCGGATCACTCGCGGTTAGGAGCTGGAGACCAGCCCGGCCAACACAGCGAAACCCCGTCTCCACCAAAAAAATACGAAAACCAGTCAGGCGTGGCGGCGCGCGCCCGCAATTGCAGGCACTCGGCAGGCTGAGGCAGGAGAATCAGGCAGGGAGGTTGCAGTGAGCCGAGATGGCAGCAGTACAGTCCAGCTTCTGCTCGGCATCAGAGGGAGACCGTGGAAAGAGAGGGAGAGGGAGACCGTGGGGAGAGGGAGAGGGAGAGGGAGACCGTGGGGAGAGGGAGAGGGAGAGGGAGAGGGAGAGGGAGAGAATCTTTGATTTTTCTAGAAGGAAAAAGTTCTAGGTTTTCCCTGTATTCCATCCTCCACCCCTTTCTGGAAATGCTGAAGACAGATACCATGTTCCAACATTAAGAACTGCCAGGTGCTACATATGGTCAGAAGCTTGTTTATTTTCATTTTTATTTATTTATTTATTTATTTATTTATTTATTTATTTATTTATTTATTTATTTGAGATGGAGTCTCGCTCTGTCACCCAGGCTGGAGAGCAGTGGCGCAATCTCGGCTCACTGCAAGCTCTGCCTCCCGGGTTCACGCCATTCTCCTGCCTCAGCCTCCCCAGCAGCTGGGACTACAGGCGTCCGCCACCACGCCCGGGTAATTTTTTGTATTTTTTTTTTTTTTAGTAGAGACAAGGTTTCACCATGTTAGCCAGGATGGTCTCGATCTCCTGACCTCGTGATCCGCCCACCTCGGCCTCCCAAAGTGCTGGAATTACAGGCATGAGCCACAGCACCTGGCCTATTTTTATTTTTTATTTTTAGAGATGAGGTCTTGCCATGTTGTCCAGGCTGGTCTTAAACTCCTGGTCTCAAGCAATCCTCCCACCTTGGCCTTCCAAGGTGCTTGGATTACAGTGTGACCCACTGCACACAGCCTAATTTTTTTTTTTAAAAACGTTAACTTTTTATTTCTGAGGTTATTTTCTCCCTCTAGTGGCTTACAGTTCTTATCAGGAAAACTTACTCTTCTGCATGACAGGTGGTACTGTAATCTGCTGGCTGGCCTCCTGTGGTTTGGGTCATAAGGACACATTTCTAAGGCTTCTGGCTCCATGAGGACTAAATGGTAGGAACCACAGGTTGTCAAATAAAAAGAATGACATTTAAGATCAGGTAGTCTTGGCATAGACCTATTTTATATTGTCAAAACAAAAGTAATATGAAAGATAGGAGTATCTCAAGTCTTACCTATGAAAGTTTCGAGTAACCAAAGCAATAGCCTAGCCAGTTAGACAGTAGGGGAAATTCACTGCTTCCATGCAAAAAATTAACGTTTGTATATATTTTTAGTCTTATAAGTTGTGTTAGATAGAGTGCTTGTCTCTCAAATAAAGTATTAAACAGGCAAAGGTCCTTGGAAAACTCAGTCTGGAGTAAGATGAATTTTTTTTTTTAAGACAGTTTCACTCTTGTTGGCCAGGCTGGAGTGCAATGGCGTGATCTCGGCTCACCACAACCTCTGCCTCCCGGGTTGAAGCTATTCTCCTACCTCAGCCTCCCGAGTAGCTGGGATTACAGGCATGTGCCAAGCCTGGCTAATTTTAAATTTTTATTAGAGACGGAGTTTCTCCATATTAGTCACGCTGGTCTTGAACTCCCGACCTCAGGTGATCTGCCTGCCTTGGCCTCCCAAAGTGTTGGGATTACAGGCATGAGCCACAGCGCCCAGCCAGTGAAATTTCATACTGTAAGCTTGAGTGCTGGAGAAAGAAAGGCTGGGACAGCTGGTTCCTTTACTATTCAGCATTGGTCCCTCCATCCCTTTTCCAACTTACCTAAATTAAGCTCTTTGCCAGGGAAAGATGCTAATTGTCAGATAGGTCAGCATAGCCACTGTTGGAGAAAAGGAATCTGAAGTATGAACAGTACAATGCTTAAGTTCAGGCTACTTTATAATTATAATAATTATTTTTTAGAGATGGGGCCTTGATGTTGCCGAGGCTGGAGTGCAGTGGCTCTTCACAGGTGTGATCATAGCACATGACAGCCTCAAACTTCTGGGCTCAAGCAATCCTTCTACCTCAGCCTCCTGAGTGGCTGGGACTACAGGTACATGCCAACATGCCAATCTTGGGCTACTTTATAGTTACCTGAGAATGTCAGTCTCAAATTTCTAAAGTTGTAGGTATTAACATATGAAGACTCCTAGAAGTGATTCAAGAATATACCATCTCAGATCTGCTACATTTTACTGCCAATATAAGGCCTACTTTCTTCCATGGCTAGCTGTCTTTAGCTATCCTAGCAGACGTTCATATTAAGGACTCTCAAGTTTCCAGGCAACAGCTACACCGAGATTTCTGCAAAGCATGGACAGTATAGTTTGATGGAGGAAAAATAAGATCAAGGCAGACTGGAATAAGCAGTAGGGATAGAAAAGTGCCTTAGAATAGTCCATTTCAATTCTGCTTTGCATCATGCCTAGGGCATAGATAAAGGGCACAGAGCTAGACTATTAAATGTCAGATTTTCCTGAGGGCATTTTGGTGACTAAATCCAGGGATTTAGACTCAGGTACCTTTCAGGAATACAAGTCAGGGTAGTTGTTTAAAGCTTTCACTGCATATTAATGATTATATTAGAGCCATGAACCCTTATTATAAAGTGAATTGGCTCTCTGGAAAATAAAGGCTGCAGCATAATTCAATGTTGTATACTGTTATCTTTAGATTTTTAAAGATAATGGAAAAAGATCTTCAATAACCCAAATGTAGTCTTCAGACAACCCCAAACCCTCATTTTGGCCAGCAGCCTAGAAAAGTATGAAGTTTGACCAGACTGATAAGCCTGGTCTTAATAAATGAAGACTGCTTTAGAATAGGTGGCGAGAATTGGTGACGCTGGGTTATTCACCTGATTATGGATAGCTGAATGGAGGCTAAGACCATTTCCTTTGATATATGTTAGACATGGCCAAAGCATTCCCAACCTTGATGCCACCTTGACACTTAAACCTAGCCTAAAGGATCTTGAGACCTACCTTATTCTTGAAGGAGTGTCTGTCAAGAATCTGAAGGCAAGTGTGACTTGAAGGCGAAGACGATCCTTTGGTAAGACAAAAATAAGACAAATAGCTGAAGTTTGAGGAGAGGGAAAGCACAGTACCTTTTAGTCTGGTGATGTGAATCAACTTTCCATTCAAGCTACTCAATTCCTCTTTTCCCACCATATGTTCTATGATTTCTCAGAGGTTCGGAAATTTTTGATGTCATAGTTAAGTCTTAGAGAACTGGCTCTCAATCCTGATTGTTCATGAGAATCACTGAGTAGTTTTAAAGTGACAGGTCCTTTGGTCCCACTCCAAAACTACTGGATCAGAATCTTCAAGAATGGGCTCTGGCTAATTGTGGCTTTAAAAGAGTTCCACAGGTCTGGCACAGTGGCTCACACCTATAATTCTAGCACTTTGGGAGGCTGAGGCAGACAGATTGCTTGAGGCCAGAATTTTAAGACCAGCCTGGGTAACATAGTAAGACCCCCATCTCTATAAAAAAATTTAAAAAATTATCCTGGTGTGGTGGCGTGTGCCTGTAGTCCAAGCTACATGGGAGGCTGAGGCAGGAGGATCACTTGAGCCCAGGAGTTCAAAGCTGCAGTGAGCTATCATGACACACAGTTGTACTCCATCCTGAGCATCAGAGCAAGACCCTGTCTCTATTAAAAAAAAAAAAAAAGAAAGACTTCTACAGGGGATTCTAGGTCTACCAGGCCATACTTTGGGAGTAATTAAATACCTTTAGAAGGGTTCCTCCAGTTTATGGGAGAAACTGCTGAATGATCTTTCCAATAAGTTTCTCTAAAAACTACCAGTTGGCATAGTTAGTTACATTAATTTTTTTGAGATGGAGTTTTGCTCTTGTTGCCCAAGCTGGGGTGCAATGGCATGATTTCGGCTCACTGCAACCTCTGCCTCCCGGGTTCAAGCGATTCTCCTGCCTCAGCCTCCCGAGTAGCTGGGATTACAGGCGTGCACCACCAAGCCTGGCTATTTTTTTGTATTTTTAGTAGAAATGGGGTTTCTCCATGTTAGCCAGCTGGTCTTGAACTCCTGACCTCAGGTAATCCGCCCACCTTGGCCTCCCAAAGTGCTGGGATTATAGGCGTGAGCCACCGTGCCTGGCAAAATTTTTTTTTTTTTTTGAGACGGAGTCTTGCCCTTGTCACCCAGCCTGGAGTGGCAATGGCTTGATCTCGGCTCACTGCAACCTCCATCTCCTGGGTTCAAGTGATTCTCCTGCCTCAGCCTCCTGAGTAGCTGGGATTACAGGTGCCCGACACCACGCCCGGCTAATTTTGTATTTTTAGTAGAGATGGGGTTTCTCCATTTTGGCCAGGCTGGTCTCAAACTCCTGACCTCAGGTGATCTGCCTGCCTTGGCCTCCCAAAGTGCTGGGATTACAGGTGTGAGCCACCACACTCAGCCCAGAAAATTTTTTTTGAGACAGGGTTTTGCTTTGTCTCTCAGGCTGGAGTGCAATGGTGCAATCACAGCTCACTGTAGCCTCAACCTTCTGGGCTCAAACAATCCTCCTGCCACAGCCTCCTGAATAGCTGGGACTACAGGTGTGTGCCACCACTCCCGGCTAATTTTTGTATTTTTTGTAGGGATGGAGATTCACCATGTTTCCCAGGTTGGTCTTGAACTCCTGGGCTCAAGCCATCTGCCTGCCTCAGCCTCCCAAAGTGCTGGGGTTATAGATGTGAGCCACTGCGTCTGGCCTAGTTCCATTTTTAAACCTAGAGTTTTTCTTTATGAGTGTCAAATAGAATCCACAGAAAGTGACATAACAAGCTCACTACACACTCAAAGATCAAAATTTTACTTTACTGTTGACATTCCTAATCCAATGTAGCAGGTCTTGAACCAAATGTTTACATATGCCATATTATTTCATCAGTTCCACAGTCGTATGAGGGATTACCACCATTTTATAGATTAGGAAACAACTCAATGGTGATAGATAGCTAAAGTTACAAAGCTAGTAAGTGTTTAGCATTATTAATATTAATTGAGGTAATACATGTAAGCTTGAGTGCTTATAGTACTTCAAATGCTTTACATGTACAGAGTAAGTAACTAGGCTATAACTTTTAAAATATGCACAATAGCTCCGTGAAATAGGAAGTATTATCAATATCATCTTTATTTTACAGACAGGATAAATAGGATGTGAACTCAAGATATCTGGTTCCAGAACCTGGGCTCTCGGTCACTAAATCATAAGGCTCAGCCCACTGTACTCAACTACACTTGAGCCAAATTCTGTCTGATAACAGCAGGTAGGCTTTTCGCATATACCAAGTACAGGGGAATAAGTGTTTCCAGGTTTCAACAATCTTTTGGTTCAGCTGGCTAGGCAGTATTATATGAAATGGGCAGTTAAGGACAGAACCTGATTTAGATGTAAAGTATGTGGTATAGACCAAGTGTTGTGGGAGTTCGGCAAAACCTAGACTTGGGACTATTGAGCTAGATCCTGAAGATTGACTAGGATTTGGGTAAGCAAGAAGGAAAGCATGCGTAAGTGAAGTCAGAGAGGCAGACATGAACATAGCACATTCACAGCAGGCTGAGAAGATGGTCCCCACCAAGTTGGGGAGTATCCATTAAGGAGCAGGAAACAAGATTAGCTTGGGATGCAGAGTCTTCAACCACACTTTCAGGATAAAGACAAGAAATTCAAGTGAGGTGGCTCACAAAAAATACAAAAATTAGCCAGACGTGGTGGCCTGCACCTGAAGTCCCAGCTACTCAGGAGGCTGAAGTGAGAGGATCTCTTGAGCCTGGGAGGTCAAGGTTGCAGTGAGCCATGATAGCACTACTGCACTCAAGCCTGGGCAACAGAGCGAGAGCTTGTCTCAGGAAAAAAAAAAAAAAAAAAAAAAGGAATGCAAGAAAGAGCCGCTAGAATTACACTAACCCCACGAAGACCGGTGCTATGCTGCTGCTAAGCTTCCTGGATGTTGGCCTCTTACTGTCTGCTCCATATTCTCCTTGGTAAAGGTAAAAGACCAGTAGAAATCCTACAAATTGCTTTAGTAAAACCTGGGTTTCTTTGATAACAGCAGGTAATTCAAATCTTCATGACCAATATCACATTACCTCGAGCCCATAGCTTTCTAGGGACCCAGTCTAGTAAATAAAATGGAAGGCAGATTCTATATTCCTAAAATGCAAATTCTACCTTAGAGATATTTGAAATTTCATGCGTTAAGTGTTGCCATCTTGCTGCTTCTTTTAAAAATACATTCTCTTTGGAGCATGGATGTTAAGTTTCTTTTTAAAATTAAAAAACATTTAGATTCAGGGGATACACATGCAGGTTTGTTACATGGGTATATTGTGTGATGCTGAGATTTGGGCTTCTAATGAACCCATCACCCATGCCCAAATAGTGAACACAGTACTCAAGTTTTTTTTTCTTTCTTGCCTTTATTTATTTATTTATTTATTTATTTATTTATTTAGAGACATAGTCTTGCTCTATCGACCAGGCTGGAGTGCGGTGTTGAACTCCTGGGCTCAAGCGACCATCCCACCTCAGCCTCCTGAGGAGCTGGGCCTACAGCCATGTACCACCACACCAGGCTAATTTATTTTATTTTATCTGTAGAGGGGTGGGGGAAGGTCTCACAATGTTGCCTAGGCTGGTCTTGAACTCCTGGCTTCAAGCAATCCTTCTACCTTTGCCTCCCAAAGTGCTGGGATTATAAGCATGAGCCACTTCACCTGGCCCCAACTTCTTAAGTAATAATGCTGATCAGCCTTGTCTCTCTTCTCCCACTCCCTAGAATTTATTGGGACAATGGGAACTCTGGATACGGAAAATGGGAATGATTAAAAACCTGAGAAAAGGAATTGGCAAGGTGGTGGAAATGAAGAGAACTCTTTTTGATTTATAATTTTTCCTAGGACCTTTTGCTTTGTGTCTTGAAAGAAAGTTGAAATAGAGTTGAAAATTTTCTTGAGTTACGGAGTTAAGGCCTCATTGGAATGGCAAGAATATTTTAATGCTAAAATTCATTCAAGTCTCTAAGATTTAAGGGTGATTACTAATTTCCTCTTTTTAATCTTGATTAATTTGGTTCTTCTTCATGGGGCCTATTTCCTAATTTAGTCTTAATAATTCAACAAATAAACCAGCATATTTATTGAGTGACTACTGTGTCCAAGAGGTATTGTTCTAGATCAGTGTTTTTCAGAATGGAATATTTGTACCAAAACCTCCTACAACAGTGCTTATATAAGTACAGACTTCTAGGCCCCACAACAGACTCGCCTACCTACCAATGCTAATCTCAGAGGACAGGGATTGATCTGTTTCTCAAGCATCCATAAATACCATGGTACTAGAGCACTGGTTCTCAAACTTGAGTGTGCATTGGAATCACCTGGAGGGTTTGTTAAAACACAGAGTGCCTGGACCCACCCCAGAATTTTGGATTCAGTGGTCTGGGGCGGGTCCTAAGAATTTGCATCTCTAACAAGTTTCCAGGTGATGCTGATGCTGCTGGATCACATTTTGAGAATTACTATGTACTTCTTGAGAACTACTTTGAGAATTATTATGTACTGTAGAAGTACAATGCACTGTAGTAGAGCATTGTGAGAAATATAAAAAAGTATTAGAGGCCGGGTGTGGTGGCTCATGCCTGTAATTCCAGTACTTTGGGAGGCTGTGGCGGGTAAATCACCTGAGGTCAGGAGTTCGAGAGCAGCCTGGCCAACACGGTGAAACCCCATGTCTACTAAAAATACAAAAATTAGCAAGGCGTGGTGGTGGGCACCTGTAACCACAGCTACTCCAGAGGCTGAGGCTGGAGAATTGCTTGAGCCCAGGAGGTGGAGGTTGTAGTGAGCAGAGATCATGCCATTGCACTCCAGCCTGGGCAACAAGAGTGGAACTCTGTTTCAAAAAAAAAAAAAAAAAGAAAAAAAAGTATTAGGTACAATTCCTGTCATTAAGGAGCTTATGCTGTAGTTGGGGGAGATACAACGTACACTATAAACATATAACAAGGAATATATGTATTTGACAATATAAAATATAATACAATATAATATTTGACATTGATGGGGTCTTTAGGAGAAGATGGGATTTGATCTGGGTACTAAAACATGATGAGGCCAAAGGTTCATAGGCATTCTTGGATATAAAAGAAGGAAAATATAGAGGTGTACAGGGGTGGGGTGGTAGATACTTGTTTATCTAGCTTACAGCTTTTAATTTTTATTTTTTATAGAGATGGGGTCTTGCTATGTTGCCCAGGCTGGTCTGGAACTCCTGAGCTCAATGGATCTTCCCACCTTTTCCTCCCAAAGTGCTGGGATTACAGGTGTGAGCCACCACGCCCAGCTTTGTCTAGGACACTTATGGGGGCATAAGACCAAAAAGGTTGGTGCAGTCTGTGAAGAGCCTTGAAAGCCTGTCCTTCTCCTCAGCTCCACCCACTTCATAGCCTTACCAAAAGTGCTGCACAGCCAGAAAGAGGAAGTCTCCCCTGCTGAGTGTGCAAGAGGAAGCACAAGAAGGCTCTGAGGGCCTGTGAGCCATAATGACTGATTTCACCCATGAGCCAATTGCAGAGGCAACAGAAGACCAGTGCACCAACCAGGCTGGGTCCCTCCGCCAGAGGGTGTCACCATCTAAGCTGAAAGTGTTTGGGGAGATCAGACATTGCTGTCTGGTGCTCCTCTCTCAGTGGCCATCATGTCTTTGACATCTGCTTACCAGCATAAATTAGCAGAGAAGCTCACTATCCTGAATGATCGCGGTCAGGGGGTTCTCATCCGTATGTATAACATCAAGAAGGTAAGCATGAACAATGGGACTAGTACTGATTATTCCAACAATAATAGGGCAGGGAACCCTGAGGCGGCAGGTGCAGCAGTTAGACTCCCACCTTTTTTTCCACTGCTTTTCCACTGACTATAATCTACATAATCACTCAGATTATACAGGCCAGCCAGTTCAGGAAGGCAGAAGTGGAGGCTTCTTTTCAAGGCTTCCCCTTTCTAGATATGATTCTTGCCCCAACGATGGCATCTGCTTTCCTCTGGGGATGGGGGTGAGGGTGGGGATGGGGAAACAACAGTGGTATTCCAAGTGACTTGGATAAAGGTCTGGGGTCCAACCTTCTGGGTTTTATTATTTATTGTTGATCCTCTACACTCTGAAGAGATCTGAAGCTGGGTCTCTGGCAAAAACTTTTCTGTGGAAGTGCTTCCCTAAAAGGAAAAAAAATAGATAATTAGGTATTTAGATTAAAAAGGGTAGGTGTCTTCTGAGCTGCTCCTGGGGTAGTTCATGCTGTGGTGGTTGTGTGTGTGTGTGTGTGTGTGTGTGTGTGTGTGTTTAGAATAGGAACTGAGGAATTGAAAGAAGCTAGTGACAAGAGGTGGGCTAGGGGCTGGGCAAACCATAGGAAGTAAAGAGATAAAGACAGGGGTGTTTATGGGGAGTTCCTGGCATAGAAAATAGGGGACTTTGGGGGAGGGAGCTTTTGTGTTTTTTGTAATAAAACAAATCACCAGGAACACGGTTTCTCTGTCACCATGAATCCTGTAAATGCCCTTTGGGATAAGATACTTACATAGTGAACAAAATTGTGACACTGAATCTTGTACAAAGTCTAACTCCTGAGCAGCTGCTTTTCTTGTTCCTTCCGGCTTCAGTTGAGGGGCGGGGAAACAGCTTCCTCTTTGTGCTGGGGCCAAGCAGGCATTAAACTCTACCCATCAAGACAAAATGCCTAGGTTGTTATTTCGCTCTTAGATACTTGGCTTAATGTCTTGGAATTTTTTCTTGACCTACTCTTATGCTTTTTATTTTTATATTTATTTATTTATTTATTTATTTATTTATTTTCGGAGTCTCGCTCTGTCGCCCAGGCTGGAGTGCAGTGGCACGATCTTGGCTCACTGCAACCTCCGCCTCCCGGGTTCAAGCGATTCTCCTGCCTCAGCCTCCCAAGTACCTGGGACTACAGTTGTGCACCACCATGCCCAGCTAATTTTTGTATTTTTAGTAGAGACGGGGTTTCACCATGTTGGCCAGGCTGGTCTCGAACTTCTGACCTTGTGATCTGCCTGCCTCGGCCTCCCGAAGTGCTGGGATTACAGGTGTGAGCCGCTGCGCCCAGCCTCTCATGCTTTTTAAATTAGTTCCCAGGTTGCCTTTTCCTAAGACAGATTATGAGAATGAATGTTGCAAGAAGAGGTATGTTTCTGAGGAGGAGGAGAAAGGGTTGAAATATATATGGTTTCTCTCTGCAGACTTGTTCAGACCCCAAATCTAAGCCACCTTTCTTACTGGAAAAGTCCATGGAACCATCTCTCAAGTATATCAACAAGAAATTTCCCAACATAGATGTCCGAAACAGCACGGTGAGAACTTGGTCCTTCTCTCCTTTCTCTGAATAATTCTCTGCTTGAATGGCTGAAATTCTCCTCTTTTGATGCCTCTCTTCAAACTTGGCAGGGGATGGAGTAGTCTTTTTTTATTAATAGTTTTCCAAGGCTCAACCACAGGGCTTCAGGTTGTTGTAGAGCTTTAAGTCTTGAGCATTTTGAGATAAGATGGGATTCTTCCAGCATAAGCTGGAGCGAATCATCACCCCTTTTCCATTGCAAGATTCATGGGAAAACATTGTTTTTGTACAAGACAGCTCTATCAACCCAGCAGGGTACATGTATTTTATTGTTTCTGTTTCCCACTCACTGTTTCCTTGCTGTTTGTCTTAGATTTCTGCATCTAATGGGATATCTCTACTTTTCCCTTATTAAATGTTAACCCTAGATTTTTCACCCATCTTTGTAGCATCTTTGAATTCTGTTTCTTTTGACTTTGATATAAATAGTATATCTGTTCATCTGAAAGGGTGCTTAAAATTTCCTCTCATTTAGCCCTCTGTATCTAGTCAGGATCACATGCAACCATTCTACCTAGATAGACAATCTCCTTTGTTTAAAGACCTTCAGAGCACTGAAGCGTTTCTAACTTCCTCTGTCAGTATATTTCAACTCTCTTTCTTTTTCTTTTCTTTTCTTTTTTTTTTTTTTTGAGATGGAGTCTTGCTCTGTCACCCAGGCTGGAGTGCAGTAGCACAATCTTGGCTCACTGCAACCTCTGCTTCCCAGGTTCAAGTGATTCTTCTGACTCAGCCTCTCGAGTAGCTGGCATTACAGGCGCCCGCCACCACGCCCAGCTAATTTTTGTATTTTTAATAGAGACGGGGTTTCACCAGGTTGGCCAGGCTGGTCTTGAACCCCTGACCTCAGGTGATCCGCCTGCCTCGGCCTCCCAAAGTGCTGGGATTACAGGTGTGAGCCACTGCGCCCGGCCTCAACCCTCTTTAAGAATGTTTTAGGTATAACCACTGTTCTTCTTGAGTTATTTGGATCAATTGTCTTATTTTGCACTTTTTTATTGTTTTGTTTTGTGTTTCTCTCAGCAACATTTAGGACCAGTACATCGTGAAAAAGCCGAGATAATTAGATTCCTCACCAACTACTACCAGTCATTTGTGGATGTCATGGAATTTCGGGTGAGCTCTCTTGAGCCGTTTCCAATGTAGGCAAGGTCTTTCAGAGGCTATTCTTTCTTTAGATGTTCATGTATTTGCTTAAAACAAGTTCTTGAAAAAATGAGAGAGATGTACTAATATGGAAGGATATCTAAGTTGTATTGTTAAATGAAAGCAAATTTCAAAATAGTATATGATACATCACATTTCTATTTTAAAAGAGTATGTATGTATATGTATTTAGTAAATATCTAGGAAAGATCTGGACTATTTTACATTAAACTGTTAAAAATAACTACCTTTGGGGACTGATTATGACTGGCTTCAATTTAGTAGGCTATGCATGTTTTTTCTATTTTAAAAATTATGGTAAAATACACATAACATAAAATTTACTGTCTTAACCATTTTTAAGTATACAGTTCAGTGGTACTAAGTATATTAATAATGCAACCATCTTTTCACCTTGTAAACCTGAAACTCTCTACCCTTTATGCAATAATTCCCCATTTCCCTTTCTTTCCAGCCCCTTGCCATCACAATTCTACTTTGTTTTTGTGATTTTGACTATTCTAAGTACCTTATATAAGTAGAATCATAAAGCATTTGTCTTTTTGTGGCTGGCTTATTTCATCAGCCTAATGTCCTTAAGGTTCATCCCTGTTGTAGCATATTGTAGAATTTCCTTTTTAAGCTAAATAATATTCCATTGTATGATTATACTACATTTTGCTTATCCGATCGTATGTTGATGGACACTTAGGTTGCTTCCAAGTTTTAGCTATTGTAAATGATGCTGCTATGAACGTGGGTGTACAAATATATCTTCAAAACCCTACTTTCAATTCTTTTGATTATAAACATGAAAGTGGAAATGCTGGATCATATGATAATTCTATTATTAACTTTTTTTTTTTTGAGTTAGGGTCTCACTCTGTTGCCCAGGCTGGAGTGTAGTGGTGCAATCACAGCTCACTGCTGCCTCGACCTCCTAGGCTCAGGTGATCCTCCCACCTCAGCCTCTTGAATAGCTGGGGCTAAAGGCACATGCCACCACACCTGGCTAAGTTTTTATATTTTTTGTAGAGATGGGGTATCCCCATGTTGGCCAGGGTGGTCTCAAACTCCTGGGCTCAAGCTATCCACCCACCTCGGCCTCCCAAAGGCTGGACTGTGCCGGCCTATTTTTAACTTTTTGAGGAACTGCTATACTGTTTTCCACAGTGGCTGTACTCTTTTACATTCTCACCAACGGTGCATAAGGGCTATAATTCCTCCACATCCTCGCCAACAATTGTTATTTCGTTTTTTTGACAGTAGCCATCCCAGTGGGTGTGAGGTATTATCTCATCTAAGTTTTTATTTGAATTTTTGCTAATGATTAGTGATAATGAGCATTTTTCATAGGCTTATTGGCCATTTATATATCTTCTTTGAAGAAATGTCTGTTTCATTCTTTGACCATTTTTGAATTGGATTTTTTGTGTGTGTTGAGACTTAGGAGTTCTCTATACAGGTTGAGTATTCCTTATGGAAAATTCTTGAGACCAGAGTGTTTTGAATTTCATATGTTTGCAGATTTCAGAATATTTGCATTAGGCAGTTGAGCATCCCTAATATGAAAGTCTGAAATTTGAAATGTTTCAATGAGCATTTCCTTTGAGTGTCTTGTTGGTGCTCAACAGGTTTCAGATTTTGGAGCATTTTGGATTTTCGGGTTAGGGAAGCTCAACCTGTATAAACTATATATCTTTGCATTATTTGAGCTTTAAAAATTTCAAGTATTTTTCCACAATATTTTATACAAACCTACTGTAAAATTTCTAGTATAGTACAATGAATATTGTTATACTCTTCTCCTGGATCTCCTAATTGTTAGTATTTTGCCACATTTTCTTATCCTTCTCTATTTTTTAATGAACTATTTGAGTTAGCCTCATACATCATGACATTTCCTTTCCCAAATACTTAAGCATACATTTGCTAAGAGCAAGAATATTTTCTTACCCAACCCTAATATAATTATCATACTCAGGAAATCATACACAGGAAATATAACATACACAGGAAATATATCATACACAGGAAATATAACATTATGGCTGGGTGCTGTGGCTCACGCCTGTAATCCCAACACTTTGGGAGGCTGACGGGGATGAATCGCTTGAGCCCAGGAGTTTGAGACCAGCCTGGGCAACATGGTGAAACCCCATCTACACAAAAAAAAAAAAAAAAAAAAAAAAATTAGCTGGGCATGGTAGTGAGTGCCTGTAGTCCCAGCTGCTTAGGAGGCTGAGGCAGGAGGATCACTTGAACCTGGGAAGTCAAGGCTGTAGTTAGCCATGATTATGCCACTGGCCACTGTACTCCAGCCTGGGTGACACAGTGAGACTTTGTCTCAAAAAAAAAAAAAAAGAAACAAAACCCCACCCAAACTAATATACAGCCCATATTCACATTTCTCCAGTTGTCTCAAGGATAATACATTGGATTTAGTTATGTCTCCTTCATCTTTAATCTAGAATGATTTCCAGCCTTTGTCTTGTATGACACTGACATTTTTGAAGAGTCTGGGCTAGTTATTTTTGAGAAATCCTTCAATTTGAAATTGTCTTATTGTTGATAGTTTTTGGGAGCAATACTACATGGATGATATTTTATTTGAATTTTAAATAATGAGCATGTATTATTTTTATAAACATAAAAAATAAAAATTAATATGATGTTTTTGAAAGAAAAATTGATAAGGTATTATTAAAATTTTAAAAATTAATGTCGTAATTTTACATTTAGAAATTTGTCATAAGGAAACAGAATTGTTTCATGGGGAAATAAAAAAAGGAAACAAATGCAAAGACATATGTATAAGAATATACTCCATTGCATTATTTATGATAGTTACAATGTGATAATTGATATATCCAATAAATAAAGGTTTGGTTAAAAGTTCAGAGTATGTGCCCACAAATGAATATTCTGTAGCTGTTAAAGTATACACACATATATATATATACACACACATATATATTTTTTCTTTTCTTTTTTTTTTTTTTGAGGCGGAGTCTTACTGTGTTGCCCAGGCTGGAATACAGTGGCGTGATCTCGGCTCACTGCTGCCTCCGCCTTTGGGTTAAAGCGAGTCTCCTGCCTCAGCCTCCTGAGTAGCTGGGATTACAGGCACGTGCCACCACGCCTCGTTAATTTTTGTATTTTTAGTAGAGATGGGGGATCTCACCATGTTGGCCAAGCTGGCCTCGAACTCCTGACCTCAAATGATCCACCTGCCTCGGCCTCCCAAAGTGCTGGGATTACAGGCATGAGTCACTGCACCCAGCCAATAATATATTTTTTATATTAATTGGTATAGAAAATGTTCATCATATGTTGTTTAATGTAAAAGCAAATTGCAGTAAGACAGTTTAAGACAGATGTAAGATGTAAGATGTCCCTAAAATGTATATTTACATAGGTAAATATGCATATAAAGAAGATTGGAATTTCTGATCGGTGGGATTATAGTTTAAAAAAGCTAGTTAAAATTAAACTTGTCGGTATTTTCTAGTTTTTTCTACAATAAACATGTATTATTTATGTATTCAAGAAATAATGCAAATTTTAGCCCTCTGAGCAACCCAAGCTTGTGGTGGTGTTATAGTATTTTTTCAGATGATACAAGAATAATGTGTTCTGTGCCTACCCTAGGAAGCAAATCCAGGATATTCAGTAGATCACATAGTGAAGAGAGAAGTGAGGACAAGAAGGACTGTAATGTATGAACGAGGGTCAGGTCAGAGAGTATTCATTGTGGAATTGAGAGTAGTGGTTAGCAAGAGGGTAGGTGCTGGTGGAGGCAGTGGGAAGAATGCTGGAAGCACATAAAAAAAGTCTCTTACTGAGAAAAGTTGAAGGGCAAAGGAGATTTTAGAACACCTTCTGGTTGCTGCAGTGGTAAATAAAGTTCTGAGCCCAAGGTGTTTGGTACGGCTTGTTTAGGAAAGGAGGGGAAATAGGGACATTGAAGTATGATGCACTGTTAAGTAGGCCCTGAATTAGACAGACTTGGTTTCAAATCTCAGCTTTACCACTTACAAACTGTATGACTTTAGATAAGAAACTCTTTAAATTCCAGTTTCCTTATCTATAAAATGAGGAAATAAGATTTACTGTGTGAGGCGTCTGTGAGAATTAAATGAGATAATGCATGGACAACATCTAGCTTGGTGTTTAGCATATAGTAAGGCAATAGACCAACACATGTTATTTCCGTTCCCTTCTGATTCTTGTCTGTAGAGAATAAGACCTGCGTAGTGACATTGGTTGTGTGAGTGGCTGAAAGTGAATTTCAGCTATATTCCACTGGAATTTGGGTGTAGGCTGGAGTTGTAGAAAGGCATTCCTAGCAAATGAGGAAGTATAGACCTAGACAGAGGTCATGTAGCATACAGGGAAAATCAAAAGCTCTGGATTCAAGTTCTAGTACCATTCCTTACTAGCTCTATGATCTTAGGCCAGTTTCTTTATTTTTCTGCATTCATTCAGCAAGTATTTATGATGTCACCCGGCTCCCCGCCACATTGCGGAAACAAGCATGGAGACGGGGCACTGCCTGCACAGGGCACATTTTGGGGGACAGCTACCCTGTCTGGTGTGTTAGGCAAGTTTCTTAATGGCTCTTGGCCTTGGTTTCCTTATCTGTTAATTTAGACACAGCCTTTTTTTGGAAGATAAGTAAGAAGCACTTTTCCTACACATTTTAATAAATTTTGACAAGTGTATATGCCTGTGTAACCACCACTACAAAGTATTGAATATTTCCATCACCCCAAGGGTTCCTTGTGCCTTTTTTTTTTTTTTTTAGCTTCAGCCAATCCCTACCCTTCACTTCTGGCCCCAGGCAACCACTGATCTACTTTCTAGAATAGATTTTTCTTTTCTAGCAGTTCAAATAAAGGGAAACTATACAGCATGTATTCTTTTGTGTCTGGCTCCTCTCACTCAGCATCATGTTTCTGAGATTGATCTATGTTGTTGCATGTATCAGTGATTCAGTACCCCGTCCTCCCTTTTTTTTTTTTGAGATGGAGTTTCACTCTTGTTGCCCAGGCTGGAGTGCAATGGTGTGATCTTGGCTCACTGCAACATCTGCCTCCTGGGTTGAAGGGAGTCCCCTGCCTCAGCCTCCCAAGTAGCTGGGATTACAGGAATGCGCCACCACACCTGGCTAATTTTGTATTTTTAGTAGAGACGGGGTTTCTCCATGTTGGTCAGGCTGGTCTCGAACTCCCGACCTCAGGTGATCTGCCCACCTTGGCCTCCCAAAGTGCTGGGATTACAGGCGGGAGCCACGGCACCCGGCCTCAGTCCCCCTTTTTGCTGAGAACTATTCCATTGCATGGGTACAATTTATTTATCCATTTACCTGTTGATAGACATTTGAGTTGTTTCTAGTTTTAGGCCATTATGCGTAAGTTGCTACAAACTTTCAAGTACAAATCTTTGTGGGGACATATTTTTCATTTCACTTGGGTAAATCTAGAAGTTGAATTGCTGAATCATATGGTAAGAGTATATTTAATTTTATAAGAAACCGCCAAACCTTTTTTCAGAGTTGTTCCATTTTATCTTCCCACCAGTAATGTATGAGAGCTTCAGTTTCTCTATATTCTCATCAGCACTTGCTATTATTAGACTTACATTTTAGTTATTCCAGTGGGTGTGTCATGGTATCTTATTGTGGTTTAAATTTGCATTTCCCTGATGGCTAATATCATTGAACATCTTTTCATGTGCTTATTATAAATATATATATATATTTTGAGACAGAGTCTTGCTCTGTCACCCAGGCTGGAGTGCAGTGGCATGATCTCAGCTCACTGCAACCTCCGCCTCTCAGCTTACTGCAACCTCTGCCTCCCAGGCTCAAACAATTCTCGTGCCTCAGCCTCTTGAGTGGCTGTGATTACAGGCATGTGCCACCACACCCAGCTAATTTTTTTTATTTTTATTTTTAGTAGAGATGGGGTTTTGTCATGTTGGCCAGGCTCTCTTGAACTCCTGGCCTCAAGTGAACCTCCCACCTCAGCCTTCCAAAATGCTGGGATTACAGGTGTGAACCGCCATGCTTGGCATCATATTTTTTTTATGGTATTAAGTGCCTGTTCAAATCTTTTGGCAACATATTAAAAAAAAAAAATATATATATATATATATATATATATATTCCTTAATCTATCAATTTTACTTTTTTAGAAATGAAAGTACCAATATTCAGTGGAGAAGGCTAGGAACTAGGAACAAAACGAATCAGTGGAAGAAAGGCTGAATGAATTGTGGTATACCATGGGCTATTATGCAGCTATGAAAAAGGATGCATTCATGCTCTAGGAGATAACTCTGAGAACTTTTGGCAAGTAGGAGTGAATGAGCAAAGCAAAATTACAAGCAGGGAATATTACCTCAATTTTGTAACACAAATAATGACCAAAAAACCTGTTTCTCTCTCTCTCTTTTCCTTTTATAATCTAATAGTATTATATAAATAGGGAGAAAAATAAGAAAATATTATAAGAAAAATAATATCAGGTTGCTAAAGTGGTTTACCTGGGCGTTCTGCAGGATGGAGTGTGGGTGCTGATGTTGGGGGAAAGAAGTGTCTGCAATAAAAGTGCATATTAATTTAGGTAAAATTATGTGTGAAAAGGAGAAGAATCCCTATCATACTAGAATGAGAGTTAAATGAAGTATATGCAAATTACTTGGTAAGTACCTCACACATAGTGAATTGTCAGTAAATAGAAACTCATGGAAAATTAGACAGTATTCCCGTTTGTTAATAATTAACTCCTGAGAACAGGAGATAGAATCCAGGAACAGACTTACTTCGTGGTTTGTCAATACGAATCGTTTGATTTTTGGCATTTTTGAAGCTACCTATTAGATAATCTACATTTTACAACCTTTTTTAATTTGGAGGAATGGGGCATAGGGATGATAAGCTCAGGAAAAGTGTGTGTAATGTAATAGAGACTTGTGCCTGTGGAAATGTAGGCATTTGGCAGTGTAGGTCATAGGGGCCCACTGGTGGCTTACTGAGGAGGAACTTCCTCCCTCTTTTTCACAGTGACTTTTCTCTGTTACTTGGTGGCTTTCTAGGACCTCTAAGGGAGAGGTCCCTTTCCCTCAAGTTCTGGTAGTACGTCACCTTCTCTTTGATTTTTTATTAATTCTTGTCTTCACTTCCACCCCCAGGATCATGTATATGAACTTCTCAACACCATTGATGCCTGCCAGTGCCATTTTGATATCGTAAGAACCTTTGCAATTCTCTTCTATCGTAGAGTCAAAGAAAAGGCCAGGTCTAGGTTGGGAGGTCTAGGTCTACTCACAGGATGGGGTGGGAAGGGACTGGAAGGATGGCTATTTTGTTTATTCCTTCTCAGGACTACTATAATTGTTTTGTAAAAAGTGCTGAAGTGAAAATATATTTACATGTTAAGCAGATCAGCAATGTGATTTAATTAATTAAAAAATTACATAAAAATCTTCTTCACCTTTTCCATCTCCTAAAAGCTACCTTATTTCCTGGCCTCCTTGTATATTGAGCTCACTTTTAGCCCCTGACTTTTGTTCCAATTTTCTTATTCTTCTTTTCAATCCTGTCAGTTCCTACTTCTAAATAGATTCACTCGGAATATATTGAGCACTGTCCAGAGTGGTTGGGGAAAGAAGGAGATCCAGGTTAATTGGCCATGCTGTCCTTGGGTTCCTATGTATTTTCCTTGTAGAATCTCAACTTTGATTTCACTCGGAGTTACCTGGACTTGATTGTAACTTACACCTCAGTCATTTTACTTCTGTCACGGATTGAAGATCGGCGGATACTCATTGGCATGTACAATTGTGCCCATGAGATGCTGCATGGGCATGGGTGAGTTAAGGCGAGAGTATTATATGAAGAGTCTCATACATGGTGCTATGATGTAGAGAGTCCCTCATGCAAAGGAAATTGATGCCATGATTTCTTATATGAGAACCTATAATCTACATTGACCCAGGCAAAATAAGGTACACTTTTACATATTCAGTTGACTCTGAAACAACACGGGTTTGAACTACGCAGGTCCACTTTATACATGGATTTTTTTCAACCAAACATGGATTGAAAATGTAGTGTTCATGGGATGTGAAATCCACCCTTAACAGAGGGCTGACTTTTTAAATGGTGTGGGTTCCGCAGCACTGACTGTGGGACTTCAGTATGCACGGGATATTGGCATACGTGGGAGTCTTGGAACCAATCTCCCTGCTATAATGAGAGACAACTGTGGCTAACTCTTGAATATCTGCTAGTGGATTATTCAATTTGCATCATCTCTGAACAATTTTTAATCCTGGACTGGCTTCTACTCTGATTTTCAGGTTATTACAAAAGGCAAAGAAAATTCTTTTTAGTGTTGGTAGGAATAATATTAGTAAGGTAAATCCATTAGAGGTAACTAATGCGTGATAATACATTTGAAGCCAAATATAAATGGATTTTGAATTGTCTGCAGTTCTGTCCCCCTCCATTAGTGCAAATGTAAGTATTTAAGGGCTGAAAAAATGAAGACTAGAGGGATCAGAGTGGGTTGTGGCACATCATTCTATGATGATGTGTATTCCCACATGCCTACGTGGATACCTAGACACATGCCTTACCTGTTAGCTTTGAATATTTATATATCCTTTTGGGTTGTATAACGATTTGAATCTAGGCATATTACTGGATTTTGAACTAATTAACAGATTTATAGAGTACCTATCATGTGTCCAACCCTATTTTTGTGCTTATAAGGAAGAAAATTTCATGGACCTGCCCAAAATGAAATGGTTCTATTTAGCCATAGCTTAGTAACCTGATCCTGGAGTGGGGTATCTTTATATGTAATTTACAGTGTAGTATGTATATCTTTGGAGGTGGTGGGGAGTGCCAGCCTATGCACATATCTTTATCCTATATGCAAACATAAGAGTTCAAGTCATGGGTAAGGGAGGGCTGTAACCCCTCTCCTCTGCTTTCTTCTAGTGACCCCAGTTTTGCCCGTCTGGGTCAGATGGTCTTGGAGTATGACCACCCTCTGAAGAAGCTGACAGAAGAGTTTGGGCCTCACACAAAGGCAAGTTCCCTGACAATGGAGAATTCCTCAGGCAAAAGTATATTGTCCTCATGATTGCCGCTAAGGTTTCATTTGCTTTTCCCCACAGGCTGTGAGTGGAGCCCTCCTCTCTTTGCATTTCCTCTTTGTCCGAAGAAACCAGGGGGCTGAGCAGTGGCGCAGTGCCCAACTTCTAAGCCTCATCAGCAACCCCCCAGCCATGATTAACCCTGCTAATTCAGATACAGTGAGTGCCCTTTTCCTTTTGTTAGTGGAAGCATTCTCTTTGCCAAGGCCATCATCTCTGTAGAGGGTGCTTCTTTCAGGAAATATCAGTACTAAAGAATGCTTTAGTCTTCTTCTAGGGTATGTCTCTAAGTTGAGCACTTCTTGTAGCTAAAAAATCATGGTTGGTTTGGGGCTTTTGTTTGGATCAGGGTTAGTGGTTTAACAAAAGTGATCTATAAGCAGTTAGCCTGTCCATAGAAGGAATTTAGTAAATATTCATAGAATGAATGAATGGATGAAACAGAGTCATTAGGCACCTATTAAGCCTAGCAGCAACTTGATTTTAGGAATCAATTAACTTATTTTTATTTTTTTGAGACAGTGTCTTACTCTGTCACCCAGGCTGGAGTACACTGGCATGATCACTGCTTACTGCAGCCTCCACCTCCTGGGCTCAAGTGATCCTCCCACTTCAGCCTCCCGAGTAGCTGGGACTACAGGTGTGTGTGCCACCATGGTTGACTAATTTTGTTTATTTTATTTAATTTTAATTTTTATTTTTGAGACAGAGTCTCACTCTGTCGCCCAGGCTGGAGGGCAGTGGCGTGATCTTGGCTCACTGCAACCTCCCCATCTTGGTTCAAGCAATTCTTCTGCCTCAGCCTCCCAGGTAGCTGCGACTACAGGCATGTGCCGCCACACCTGGGTAATTTTTTTTTTTTTTTTTGTATCTTTAGTAGAGACAGGGTTTCACCATGTTGGCCAGGCTGGTCTTGAACTCCTGACCTCAAGTGATCTGTGTGCCTTGGCCTCCCAAAGTGCTGGGATTACAGGCGTGAGCCACCGCGCCCAGCCTGTTTATTTTTTTGTAGAGACGAGGTATCACTATGTTGCCCAGGCTGGTCTTGAACTCCTGGGCTCAAGTGATCCTCCTGTCTTGGCCTCCCAAAGTGCTGGGATTACATGTGTGAGCCACTGTGCCTGGCCAGGAATCAATTAATTAATAAATGTTTTTGTTTGATGACTGTGGGCTCAAAGTCCTTCCCTCAAAGAACTTATAGTCTGGTAGGGAACATATGCCATGTAGTCACAAAAATACAACTGATGGTACATGATTAGTGATAAGTGCCAAATGAGTGATTTACATTTTAAGCAGTAAAATAATCCAAAGGATTAACCATCACAGGGAGAAATCATGAGAAGATTTCTGAGTCTTGCTCTCTTCATTTTATTGTTATTAAAAATATCTGAACTGTTGAAGAGAAGTTATGTGAAACCTTTTGCTTGTTCTGACTTCTAGTCCAAGTTCCTCTTTATTTTCTCAACTGTATTGTTTTTCCCTTACTCCACTTCCAGTGCCTCATCACCTCCATTATTGGCAGGCTTCCCTGCTGTTGGTTTATCAATGTGCCCTAAACTAGTCTGGTAAAATAAAAGTTAGTTTTTTAAAAAAATTTAGAGACAGGGTTTTGCTCTGTTGCCTAGGCTGGAGTGCAGTGGTACAATCACAGCTCACTGCAGCCTTGACCTCTTGGGTTCAAAAGATCCTCCTATCTCCTCCTCCTGAGTACCTAGGACTACAGGTGCACACCGCCATGTCTGGCTAATTTTTAAATTTTTTGTAGAGACAAGGTCACACTGTGTTGCCCAGGCTGGTCTTGAACTCCTGGCCTCAAGCTATCCTCCTGCCCCTGCCTCCTAAAGTGTTGGGATTAAAGGCGTTAGCCACCACCCCTTGCCAAAAGTTAGTTTTGATACTCAGATCCTAGTTTGTCCTTTCTCCTTTAGAGGAAGGCCAAGTTAAATAACTGATCATCTTTGCTTCTCTTCTCACAGATGGCCTGTGAGTATCTGTCTGTGGAAGTAATGGAGCGCTGGATTATCAGTAAGTTTAGTGGGATTAGATGGGAGTGGATGAAGCAGTATGTTATATGAAGAACAAGTTCTAAAAGTCTTCCTCTGCACTGTTTTCCCACCTACAGTTGGGTTTCTTCTTTGTCATGGGTGCCTCAACTCCAATAGCCAGTGCCAGAAGCTGTGGAAGCTGTGTCTGCAGGGCTCCCTCTACATCACCCTTATCCGTGAGGATGTGCTGCAGGTGCACAAAGTCACCGAGGACCTGTTTAGCAGTTTGAAAGGGTGAGAGACACGAGAGCCAAACTGATCTTCCTTGAATAGTTTTTAGCCCCTCCAATATCCTTTTTCAGTCTCCACAAGTGTTCCCAGATATAGGTGGTAACGATTAATTCTAACTATTGAAGAAATATACATTAAATACCTACTATTAGCTAAGTGCTTCACTGGGTTTTAGGGACACAATAATGAATAAGACAACATGGAGGTTAAGAGCACAGACTCTGAAACTAGATTGCTTGGGTTTGAATTCAGGCTCTACCACTAGTTGTGTGGCCTTGGGCAAGTTGCTCAAATTTCCCATGCCATTACCTCAATTTCCTCATCTATAAAATGTGGATAATAGTAGTACCTCCCTATGGCCTACCTCATAGGGTTGTTGTGAAGAATAAAAGTGTTATTATTTGTAAAGCAGGTAGAAAAGTTCCTGGTACATTGTAAGTGCTATGTGCTTGTTAAAGAAAAAAAAAAGACAGTTACTGCTCTCGAGGAATCTATGAACTGGTAGAAAATAAACAAATTGTTTGATAGAGTAAGAGATTATAATGTGTAAACACAAAGTACTGTGGAAGCATTTAGAAGGACACTTAAACTGGCCTCTCAGGATCTAGAAAAACCTGGAGACAGGTAGATCTGAAAGGCTAAACAGTTGAAGAGTGTGTGTATGTGTGTGTGTGTGTGTGTGTGTGTGTATGTGTGAGTAATTGTGTGTGTGTGTGTGTGCCTGTGCATTGGGTAGAAAGGTAGGGGAGTTGCTTGAGGCAAAGAAAGATATTCTAGGCAGAGAAACTATCAAGATTTTTGAGGCAACAAAGAGCATGGCAAGTTCTGAGAAGTTCATGTAGTTCAGTGCATGGGCATCTGGGTTATAAAAATGAAGATGTTGAGGATGAATTTGGAGAGGTAAATTAGGATGTTGTATGCTTTGCTATGGAGTTTGAATCCATCCCAAAGAGGATGGGGAACTATTGAGTGATTTCAGACAGGGGAGTGACATGATCATATTTGCATTTTAGAAAAGATCATTCTGGCTGCATGGAAGAAAAGAAATTAGATGGGCAAAACTAGAGGCAGAGATTAATTAAGTAAATTAGAAGGAATTGAGGATGATGTCGAGGTTTCTGGCGTGGATATCTGGTATTCCTTAAGATAAGAGAGCATGTGATAAAAGTAAGTTTGTGGGAGAAAGATTGCGTGGTTAGTTTTAAACAGGTTGACTTTGAAATGTCTGTGGGACACTGAAGACAGATGTGTTAGGCCTTCTATTTTATGGTTCTGGAACTTGGGAGTGAGGTCTGGATTCAGATAAAGATTGCTGAGTTGGTAGTTAAAGCCAGAAGAGTAGTTGAGATTACTCAGGAGCACATGTGGAGTGAGAACAGAATGGGAAAATCCTCTGTGTATGTTGATATTTAAGGGCCAGAGAAATCAGTGGGAGATACTGAAAAGAAGAGGGAAAAGAGAAGCCAACAAAGAAAGCATTCCTAGAAGGAAGGACCAGTGATCTGTTAGACGATGTTGGGAGATCAAATAAAATAAGAATTGAAAAAATGTTCATTGGATTTGGCTCTAAAGATGGTTTTAGTGCCCTTCTTGTGAACAATTTGAGTGGTGAAGTTGAAACCTGGGCTGCAGTGAGTTTAGGAGCAAGTGAGAGATATGGAATTTAATAAACAGCTCTTTCAAAGTTTGACTGTAAAGGGAAGAATAGAGAGAGGTAAAATGAGAAGGAGGAGTGGGTTTAAGGAAAGGGTCAAAATACCAATTTTTTTTCTGGTTGCAAATAAAACATCCAGAAATGTAAAAAGTGCAAAGTGGAAGTTGACTACACTATCACCTCCCAGAATAGTTTGATGTGCATCCTTCAGATGTGTGTGTGTGTGTGTGTGTGTGTGTGTGTGTATAAACACATAAAGATGGCATGTATTTTCAACCTTATGAAAGTAATTTTTAAAAAGCAATGGAGCCACACTCTATATTATGTTCTATGGTTTGCTTAAAAAAACTTACTATGTTTTGGATATCTTTGAATATCAGTCTATAGAGACTTATTATTTTTAACAGTTGAATAATATTACATTATGTGGTTGTAACATAGTTTATTTACAAAATCCTCTATTGATGGATATTTAAGCTGTTTCCATTTTAAAAAATCATTGTAAACAATGCTGTAATGAACATTCTTAGGCATATATCTTTGTGAATCTGTGAATATTTTTTTATTTTCTTTTTTTTTTTGAGACTTGAGTTTTGCCCTTGTTGCCCAGGCTGGAGTGCAATGGTGCCATCTTGGTTCACTGTAACCTCCACCTGCCGGGTTCAAGCGCTTCTCCTGTTTCAGCCTCCCAAGTAGCTGGGATTACAGGCATGTACAACCACCCCCAGCTAATTTTTTGTATTTTTAGTAGAGACGGGGTTTTACCATGTTGGCCAGGCTGGTCGCAAACTCCTGATCTCAGGTGATCCACCCACCTCGGCCTCCCAAAGTGCTGGGATTACAGGCGTGAGCCACCGCGCCTGGCCTTGAATCTGTGAATATTTCTATAGGCTAAATTCTTAGAAGTGGAATTGCTGAAGTAAAGGGTATGTACATTTCAAATTTTAATAGCTCTTACCAAATTGTGCTCTAACCAGTTATTATCAAGAGCCTATAAGAATACTGATTTCTCACACTCTCAACAACTAAGTATTGTCATTAAAAACCATTGCCAGAGTTAGAAAGAGTAAATCTGAGATTAATAATTAGAAGTTACAGGAGGTGGATTTGGGCATATGCATGAAAAAACTTTCTGATGATTACTGCTTCTAAGGAATGGAAGAGATGTTCGAAGGGTGTTCAGTTCTCCATCACTAAGAGCAGCAACTAACTTGTGTGATTTATAGTTTAGGGAGTTCTTTGACATAAATGATCTAATTTATCTTCATGAAAATTCAAGAATAAGTATTAATATCTTTTTTTATAAATGAGAAAATGGAGGCTCAGTCTCAGTGTCACTCAATAAGAGGTGAAATTAGGACACAATTCCAGGTTTCTGGACTCTGAATCTTTTCTCTTTCCATTGTGCTATGCAGAGATTAAAATAATTATCCAATAGATTGCTGTGAAGTTGAATGTTGATTTAATTAAGATACTTTCCAACACCAAACTTCTTTGATTTTGTGCTAGTTCAATAAAGTAGTGGTTTGGAGAAGGGAAAGGAGAGGTGATGAAGTCCCAATAATGTGGTGGCAATAGTGATACAGGACAAGAGAAAACAAATGTAAGGAACATAGAGAGCAAAGAGTCTAAGATAATGCTGGGATTCTGAGCATGGGTCACTAGTAGAAAAAAAGAGATGTGGTTAGGAGAATCAAATATTGCAGAAAATTAAAAACAATGAAAAGGCCTTCTAATTTGGTGATTCAAAAGTTCACATTGACTTTAGAGAGAGCAGTTGCTTAGTGCTGAAGGCTTTGTGGGATTCAAGGGTCAGTGAGAGGTGAGGAAGTAGAGAGAGTATAGGTGTCTCTTTAGAGAAGTTTGGTGGTGTGGGAAAATAAGCAGAATTCGGTGGATTGTCAGGGTCAAGCAAGGATCTTCTTAGAATACGGGAGGCTTTGAACTTATTTGTTGGGAGAAGAGAATAAGCCAGTGGAGAAGGAGAGATTAAAGTATTAAATAGATAACTGATACAGTGAAATTCTAAAAGGAAGTTGGTGGGAATGGGACCCAAGGTAGAGATTGAGTAACTACTTTTACTTGAGAGCAGGGCCTGTGTTGTATTTATACACTGCTCCCTTTAACCCCCTCAAACCTGGAAGAGTACCTTGATTTGAAGGAGTCAAGGCAGGAGCACAGGAAGAGAAGTCTAGCCCCACCTTTGCCATTAAAGCCCTATGTGACCTTGACAAGTCATTTCCCTTCCCTAGGTATTATTTTCTGTATCTGTAAAATTATGAGGTAGAGTTGAATGATCTCTAAGCTGTGAGTCTTTTATTAATAGGCTAGGGTGAGAAGTAGGGTTTGGAAAGATCCTGCCTGTGAGGGCTGCCCATGCTCCCACCAGGGTATAGGCTGGACTCTCTGAGGACTGGGAAGGTGAGGCAAGGGCCCTAATGGGTAGCATGGTCAACCCCATTGTGCTTGTGTCAATCCTCAGGTATGGCAAGAGAGTGGCAGACATAAAGGAGAGCAAGGAACATGTAATTGCAAACAGGTAAAGGGTGGTGAATGCACTCTCTGAGAGGGGATGGAATAGGAATCTCTTCTCACTTTTGTTCTCACCTAAGCCATCCTTAGTTTCTGTACAGCTTTATTGCCTCAACCCAAGAACTTGCTGCTACCCCATAAATTCTTTTTTCTTTTCTTTTCTTTTTTTTTTTTTTGAGACAGAGTCTCGCTCTGTTGCCCACGCTGGGTGCAATGGCATGATCTCGGCTCACTGCAACCTCCATCTCCTGGGTTCAAGTGATTCTCCTGCCTCAGCCTTCTGAGTAGCTGGGATTACAGGCACCCACCACCACGCCCAGCTAATTTTTGTATTTTTAGTAGAGACAGGGTTTTGCCATGTTGGCCATGCTGGTCTTGAACTCCTGACCTCAGGTGATCTGCCCACCTCGGCCTCCCAACGTGCTGGAATTACAGGCAAGAGCCACCACTCCTGGCCCTTTTTTCTTTTTTAAACCAAGTCTAACTTGAGCATTGAACCTTCCTTCTGCCTGATATCCCTTCCTAAATATAGCTTTCTTCTGTGCTGCCTGTGGAGGGTTTTTAAGGGTGGGAGAGGTGATAGTCATGTTCCCCTTTTCTTCCTTAGTGGCCAGTTTCATTGTCAACGGCGGCAATTTCTGCGGATGGCAGTGAAGGAGCTGGAGACTGTGTTGGCTGATGAACCGGGACTACTGGGTCCTAAGGCAAGAGGAAGAAATGTTGGGAGGGGAATGATGGCCAGTGATAAGAGACTGTGTAGCTACGTGGCACTCACGAGATTTTGCCTTTCTGAGTCTTTTGTCATTCATTTGTATGTATATATGCGATTCCCTTGAACATTCTTGGAGTATCCCAAAACCTTTTGTATCTCTTTTTTTGGCACTATACGTAGTATGTGGTGTATTAAGATTACTTTTATACATGTCTTATCCTCTATTTGAGTGTGAATGAATTGGAGACAGAGCTTGTTTTTTTGTTTCAAACCACATAAATGCCCAGTAAATATTTCTAAAACTTTATTTGATAGGGAGAGAAGGGTACTAATTGTGAGCCAGTGTCAACATGTGTACCTGCCTGATTGTGTGTTCTGTAGTTGAGGTTTTTTGGTGAGTCTGAATGTTTATTATTCACACTGTTGTGGCTACACAATTACATCCATACCTATATTATCATGGTAGTTTACTCTGTGCTTTGAAATCCATTTTTAAAGTTGAAAATTCTAATAGTCTCTACCCCCTCCATAGGCTCTTTTTGCTTTCATGGCCCTGTCCTTCATTCGTGATGAGGTCACCTGGCTGGTTCGCCACACAGAGAATGTCACCAAGACAAAGACACCTGAGGACTATGCTGACTCGTTAGTACTTGACATGGCTAAGAACCTTGTCCTTAGATGGACTGGGGACAGGGAGGCATCAGATGACCTTAGGAGGTCTCAATTTCTGCCCTGATATCACTGTGTTTGTCTCAGTTCATATTTCTAGTCTTATTCATCTCTGTTCTCATCCTAAACTTTATAGGAGCATTGCAGAGCTACTTTTCTTGTTGGAGGGGATTAGGTCTCTGGTCCGAAGACACATCAAAGTGATACAGCAATACCACCTTCAGTACTTGGCAAGATTTGATGCTCTTGTGCTCAGTGACATCATTCAGGTATGATATTTAATTGATTATACTTTGGAAATTTCAGGATGATCCCTAGTGATTTTCCTATTGAAACCACTCTGGCTGAATCTCATGCTCTGTAAGTTGGGTGTCAAAAGGTCCAATCTAGGCTGGGCGCGGTGGCTCACGTCTGTAATCCAAGCACTTTGGGAGGCCTAGGCGGGCAGATCACGAGGTCAGGAGATCGAGACCATCCTGGCTAACATGGTGAAACCCCGTCTCTACTAAAAATGCAAAAAAAATTAGCCGGGCATGGTGGTGGGCACCTGTAGTCCCAGCTACTCAGGAGGCTGAGGCAGGAGAACGGCGTGAACCCGAGAGGCAGAGCTTGCAGTGAGCCGAGATCGCGCCACTGCACTCCAGCTTGGGCGACAGAGCGAGACTCTGTCTCAAAAAAAAAAAGGTCCAATCTGCCCCTTCATATTTGTTAAAAGAAAAAGAAAGGACTAATAATCTCAGCCGTCTTTTTTTCCCCACTAAGTGAAATTACATAGAAATAGGAGAGAAAAATAAAGAGAAACTGGATGTTAGAATGGCAGGGAACCCGGAAAGTTTCCTTCATCTCTTGCTTGGCTTTTTCTCTCTGTTTTTAACACTTAGCAATTCTTTCTACCTTCATACGCTGACTGAGCCTCATGGTCCTAGTTTCTGTCCTAGGGAACCTGTGCCCACTTGACAGTAACTGCAGCTCCTTTTTTAGAACTTGTCTGTGTGTCCAGAGGAGGAGTCCATCATCATGTCCTCATTCGTCAGTATCCTCTCCTCTCTGAATCTCAAACAAGGTAACTGGAGGGAGGTGGGGGAGGCAGGACATATGTGAGGATGAACATCTTTTATCCGGAAATATTGATCTTTGAGCCAGGAAGTAGGACAAGATGTTTTTGAAGAGGATCTACCATTCTATGTAGTTGGATATTGGTGTGCTGTTTATTGTTTCCTTTTATACTTCCGTTTTTCTTGCAGTTGATAATGGAGAAAAATTTGAATTCTCAGGATTGAGGCTGGACTGGTTCCGCCTACAGGTAATGATCTGTTCCTGTTAAAGATTCTCATCCTCAGATTCTTCCTCCCCCACAATCCCTTCTCTTTTTATCTCCTAAATTTGCTTTATGGAGTGAGTCAACTTTGAAAACTGCTAATTGGACAAGACATACTCAGGCCAAACTGTAATTCCAAGGCTGGGGGCCTTTTTCATTCATCTTATTTTTCTCCACACTTTCCCAACTCCAACCGCAGGCATACACTAGCGTGGCTAAGGCCCCTCTGCACCTGCATGAGAACCCTGACTTAGCCAAGGTGATGAACCTCATTGTCTTCCACTCCCGAATGCTGGACTCCGTAGAAAAATTGCTGGTGGAAACTTCTGATCTGTCTACTTTCTGGTATGTCTTGGTTCAGAGCTCTCTTTAAAAAGTTTTATTGTTTCCTTTTTTCATTTTTTTCTCCATTATGCCACTTACTTCAAAGAATTTTGTTTAATTTTTTTTTTTTTTTTTTTTTAAAGAGACAGATCTCACTATGTTGCCCAGGCTGGTCTTGAACTCCTGGCCTCAAGCAATCCCCCTACCTCAGCCTCCTAAGTAGCTGGGATTACAGGCGAGAGCCACCAAGCTCTGAACCAGAGCTCTTCATCAATTCATTTGCTCTCTTGCCTGGCCTCTGCGGAGGACTGTCATTCCCCTAGACAATTGGAAAGTGTTGCTGTTTTTGAGATCTCCTTAAGGTGCTCAAACTCCGCAGCTCACTTGTGTCAGCTTTTTACCAATAATCTTAAGTGATAGGAATTTGAAGTTGATTCCTTTTGTTCTGTATTCTCTTTTGTTCTTTTGTGGAAAGCCATTTGGATTTTACATAGTCTTCGCTTCTCTGGGGTAGTTAGCCCATATGTCTAGTTTCAATCTCCTCTCTTTGGAAACGTCTTCAGATTTTTTTTTTTTTTTTTTACTCTAGGAACATTGTGATTTAAAAGAAACAGGAAAAACTTTGAGTTTTAGTGGACAGGAGTGAAAATAAGTGAGAGGCCTAGAGAATAGGGACTTTGGAGAATGAGCTGAATGAGTTTGTCTTTCTTAGATAGCACTTGACGTTTTTAGGTGACCACTGTTGTACATAATTCCACCCTTTGAAGGATCAAACAAGGAGTATGTAGCTTACTCATTCATTCAACAAAACACAATGTGTTGTCTCTGCCTTCTGTAAGCAATGTAGTTGGGGAGATATAATACCTATATGTGAAAAGGACATCAACATAGTACTTGCAAATGTAAGAAAGTGTAAAAGAGTACATGAAGTTGAGAGGACATGGGTTGAGGAAAGATCAGTCTCATGGGATTAATTTGAGAAGATTTTCTGGAGCCTGAGTGTTAAATTTTGAGAAGAATGTGAATTAACACTACTGAAGGACTTCTAAATTAGGGGGAATGGCCCAAATCATGCCAAGGTTCTAAGGGAAGAATAGCAAATTTTGTGCAAGGAAAGGGAAGAAGATTATCATTAAACTTGCCTGGGGTCCTTTATAAAAGTCTGGAAGGATTAAGTTTCTTGGGTTCCGTTCTATCTTAAGGGTTACAGAAATTAAGGAGAGAGTGGTAAATATCGGTAAATGTTTTTTGAAAGAATGAATATCCTCTCCGCCTCAAAGGGACTAGCTCTTAAACTCTATTTTTCTTTTCCTTTATTTTTCACTCACCACTTTACTAATAAGGACTAAATCTTGATTTAAAGTCTTCCCGTTTCTCTGCAGCTTTCATCTTCGTATCTTTGAGAAGATGTTTGCCATGACCTTGGAGGAATCTGCCATGTTGCGTTATGCCATTGCTTTCCCCCTGATTTGTGCTCACTTTGTCCACTGCACTCATGAGATGTGCCCAGAGGAGGTAGGTATCCTGATCTCCAGACCCTGTCATCTTTCTAGTCATCATCCTTATCACCCAAAACACAATTCCAAGGGTTGATTTTGGTCCCAGAAAGGGTATAAACATAGATGTATGATATGAGTCCCTAAATATCTCAGCTTGATGTATCCTGTCTCTGGGCCTCAGTTTCTTCTTCTGTAGGAATGGGTAGGAATCTTCTGTAAGATTCAGGCAAGGGATGAGAGCAGTATTGTGAGGAAGAAGTGGCCGTGCTGGTGATGACAGTCTCTTCTTTGGTCCCTCTTTCCCATAGTACCCCCACCTCAAGAACCATGGTCTTCACCACTGCAACTCCTTCCTGGAAGAGTTGGCCAAGCAGACCAGCAATTGCGTCCTGGAGATCTGTGCTGAGCAGCGAAACCTGAGCGAGCAGGTAGACTCAGCCCTCTCTGTTTCACTCTCCCCTCTGCCAGCGCTCAGTGCCTTCCCCTCTATCTAACTTTGTTTCCCTCTCAGATGCCAAGCTCAGTAACTCTTTCTCTGAAGTAGGGCTAGGGCCTTTCTGTACTTGAGTTTATGGCAGAATTCTTTTCTTAGTGTAGTCCCTTCAGTCTTTCCTCCCTTAGGACTGGATAGAAGTGTCTAAAAATACTCTTATTTGAACAGCTGCACTCCAACAAAATCTGTGCTCTCACTTGAAGAGTTCTGAGAGATGAGTTAACTTTCTAATTTACCCCTCCTCTCTTTGCCCTGCGTACACATACTAAGGACAGTGGCCCCCAGGTCACCTGTCTTATCTCATCTTTCTGTCTATCTGCATCTTAATCTGTGGCTCTCTGGACATTTTGAAGCACCTCTTCTGTGTTTATCCTCAAGGCTGCTTTCTTGCCTTTTTCTTCTTATTTTTCCCCTCTCCTCCCTTGACTGACTCTTAGCACCTCGTCATAATTAGTTCAACCTAAATTTCAGAAAATTTGAAAATGAGAAACTTGTTTTGCTGTTGCCCTGGAGTCTTCTGGGTTTTCCAGACTACCCACCTTTCCTGGGTTTGAGTCAGGCTTGGTAAAGGGGAGTGTGTGTATGTGTGTGTGTGTGTGTGTGTGTGTGTGTATACAGATGCACAGTTACATTATTACTTAACCTTTTTATTTTTCATATGCAAATTACATACAATGGGGATAAAAATAGTTTCTTTACAGAAGTGTCTTAAGGATTAAATAGGGTATATTTAATATTTGACATAAAGCACTCAATAAATGTTACCTGCTATATTAGTTGGTACTTACCGGGCACAAAGCCCTGTGCTGGGTTTTTGGGGACCCAGAAGGAAGGTACACAATTCCTGCCCTTGGGGAATGTCCCAGTTTAAGAGAAAAGGGAGTATAAATACATGTTTGAAAGAAATTTAAATAATTAATGCAAGAAGATATGCAAATGAGTACAATTGCAGGTATATTCATTACTCAATATGCTTAATCTCAGCCAAAAGGCTGAGAAAGCCAAGAAGAGATCATCAGTCAATATGAATAACTACTACTTGCAAGAACACTGGTAAAGAGATTTGCTCTGTGCTGTCGTCTCAGGGATGACTAAAACATGATGCGAATAATTTTCACACATACAGAACTTTCGCAACCAAATGAGTATAGGCTTTCTAAAGTTAACATTCTGAGTAAATAATTACTGGCATTGCCATTACTAGTGGAATTACATATTTTGGAACTGCTTTCAGAATCTGCTACAGACACATAATCTTTTGCACAATCTCAGGGTTGACACATCTTTTTCCATCAAGGTGGACTTGATTTTTTTGAAACAGCCAAGAGTTTGGATTTAAAAAAAGAAGGCACGACTAAAAGTAACAAAACTGGTTTCCTTGTGTGGGTCTTATGCTGCTCTCAGAGTGATTTCAACTGAGGAGCTTCCAGACATGCCCTGCTCATGCTCAGCAGCTCTGGAGTAAATGGAGAGAATTCCAGTCACCCTGAAGGAGATGTCTGACTAGGATGTCTGAGTGAAGACAAGAGATGCCAGGTTGATGTTTAAGCTAATTAGCAAGAAATATGCTACTTAAAAAAAAAGTGGAAAGACAATGCTGGCCACATTGTGAACTCCAAATCTTTGGAGGGCTGTGGTGATGTGGGTAACTGTCTCATGAGATAGAATAGGAAGGGATGTAGTATGTGAGATGATTGTCCCATCTAGCAAAAAATAACTGTTTTCCTACATTGGAAGACCCTGCAAAGCACAACTGAGTGGGACTTTTAGATCTTGTTCTTTATACTTGAGTTTTTCCATTAAGAAAGGTTCTCTCAGGATGTGGGTGTGGGAGTGAGGCTCTGATCCCAGAAAGACACTGCCATCTTGAGACTTAGAGCCTGTACACACAGAGATATTTATGAAAACTGAAAGAGGTGAGCACATTCTGAATAGGCCCCCATTAAAGAAAGAGGTGTGTGGAAGGAAAGAGAGAGGAAGGCAGAAAGATAAAATAACAGACAACAATGGACAACAACCTTTTTATAACTGTCAGGTGCCGTTTTAGCAACAAATCCCCTTTCTCCATTTACCTGTGTTTGTTTCTGAAGCTTCTACCTAAGCACTGTGCCACTACAATCAGCAAAGCCAAGAACAAGAAAACCAGGAAGCAGAGGCAGACTCCCAGAAAAGGAGAGCCCGAGAGGGACAAGCCAGGAGCTGAGAGTCACCGGAAGAACCGCAGCATTGTCACCAAGTGAGGACCTGGGCCCTAGATGGCCAGCTGGGTACTGCATCAAAGAAGGCAGGAAAGGAAAGAGGGAAGGTGACACAGAAAGAAAAGAGCGCAAGTCATGGTGGGGAATGAGGGGCATGGAAAAGCACTTAAATGCGAATTTCCTACTTTGCCTTTGAAGTCTACATCAATGTGTACTCTTCTAGGCTGAGTATCCCTAGAAACTGGGTCATGGGCCCAACACGTCCTTCCTAGACATTAGCAGGCAGTGCCAGACCTGTAATCCAGGCTCATTTTCCTTTCTAGCATGGACAAGCTACACCTAAACTTGACAGAACTGGCACTGACAATGAATCATGTATACAGTTTCTCCGTGTTTGAACATACTATCTTCCCTTCTGAGTACCTCAGCAGCCACCTGGAGGCCAGACTCAACAGGTATCACTCTTTCCTTGTCCTCTGTTTGGACAGTAGTCTTCATACCCTACCATATACCTCTATGTGTAGTATGGTGGTCCTCAAAGTTGGGTCCCATTACATTCATCCTGGTGGTCATGCCACACGGTGGAGATTCTGTTGCAGTCAGTCTAGCATAGGTCCCAAGCATCTCTATTAAAAGCAAACAAAAGGAACCCCAAACCTCTATAGGTGGTTTTGATGAACACCCTAAATTGAAACCACTGGTTTAGTAGAATGAGCAAGGCCTTTGCAGTGAGCAGACCTGTGTTGACAACCTGGTCATTAGCTAAGACATTGGAGCAGATCGTCCAACTTATTTGAACCAGTTTCTTTCCTTGTAAAGTAAGGATAATGGTATTTACCTTATTTATGGATAATTGAGAATTACCCATAATTGAGAGTTGGTAGAGAATTAAAGTTAGTAATGAGTGCAAAGCTCCTGACATATGTTAGGCTTTAATAAAATACATCCCTAGCTTCCACTTTGCGCTTCACTCCATTGCCCCATAAAGTAAGATGCACATTGGAATTGGGCACTACAGTCTGCAAGTGGGTGAATGGGAGGAAGAATTATTATGAATAAGTCTCAGCACTTCTGTGTTTTCTTTTGGAGTATGTAGCTTATTCATTCATTCAACAAATGTTTATTGAACACCTGCTGTGTGTCAGGAGTATTCTAAAAGCTGTTTATACAGCAATATACGAAACAAATAAAAACCTCTGCCTCCATGCTTACTTCTAGTGGGGAAGATAGATAAACAAAATAAGAAAGCAGAATACGTAGTAGATTAGATAGTGATAAGGACCAAGCAGAAAAATAAAGTGGGAAAGGGAGATAGGAGGATGTGCGGTGCTGGTGGTGCTGGTGGTGGCAGAAGTAGGTGTTGCAGTTTTAGATGGAGTGTCCAGGAAAGGCCTCTTTGAGAAAGTAACAATTGAGTAAACCTGTGAGGACACTGAGAAAGCCACGCATGTAACTACTGGGGAAAGAGCATTCTAGGTAGAGGAAACAGCAAGTGCAAAGGCTCTGAGGTTCGAACATGCCTTCTAGGTTCAAGGGACATGGAGAAAGACAGTGTGTCTGCAGCACTATGAGCCTGGGAGAGACTGGTAGGATGTAAGGTGAGGGAGGTCAGAAAAGTGGCAGATTGTGTATGCGCTTATATGTCATTGTAAGGACTTCGGCTTTTATTCTGAGTGAGATGGGAGATGGGGAGCCTTGGCAGGTTTTGTGCAAAGCTGCAATGATTAGACTTGACTCAATATTTTACTCTGGCTACATTAGCGGGGGCAAGGACAGAAGCAGGGAAACCAGTTATGAATCTATGTTTTGATTGTCAGAGAAGCAAATTTATTTTTCAATTGAGGTTTTTGCTTGGGTGAAGTTAAATTAGTTTGTTTTCATTACATACACGTTAACTATAAGGAAGAAAGTGTCTCAGTTGCATACACAATGTCAGGAAGATGACAGTTTGATAATGGCCCATGTGCAAGCCTTCAGATGCTGGTGGTGGTTTCCAGGCCCTGGAGCAGCATGAGTGTGACATTCAAGTTTTACCCGAATAATCTCTGATACTTGCTTCACTGACATCATTGTTCCCAAAGCCCTAAGGTTGGCCTAGAGGTTTGGCCTCAGTGTTAACTCTAAATTAGATCAGTCTTGCCCTTAGTCTGTCCCTTCTGTATTATCTTCCCTTAAGTGGTACTTGAGAACCTTTTCCCTTTCATTTGTGGAGCAGACCAGCCCCACCTTTCCCATCCCCTCCCCTGCCATAAGCATTTTGCCAAAAAACACAAAACAAACAAAAAACTACCTCTTTCCTCTGTGGTTTACATTTTAACAAGGAAAAAAGTCCTTAGTCAGAGGACTGACTCTAATTGTGAAATCTCAGATACTTGGGGGAGGTATTTTGAAAGGAGTTGGGGGTCCAGTGGTGAGGGGTCTTGCTGGTGTGCCCCTACAATAATATAGTGTGGATAGTTATTCTCCCCTCTCTAATGTTGCCTATAGCTGCATGCCAGCCACGCATGATCTCTATTCAGCCCTGGCGTGCCATGGCTACTCAGGATTATAATATACTTCCAAGGATTTCTAAGCATGGTTTTCCATTTCTGGCAGTGATCGGAACTAATTCTTTTCAAGGGGAAAAGATAAATACTTTCACTGGGAATGCAGAGGGTGTGAACTGTCAGGTAGAGTTAGATGGAATTAGAGAGCCCAGGTCTTCTACTACCTGAGCTATTTCTCCAGAGGAGGAAGAAAAGCACAGTAATTAGGGATCAAATGTTACTGGAATCAAGTCCCAGCTCTGCCACTGCCAGCTGTGTGGTCGTCAGCAATGATTTATTATCTCTGTGTCTCAGTTTCCTCATCTATAAAAATGAGGATAATAACTGTCTCTAGCTTATTAGGTTACTATGAGGTTTACATGAGATAATATGTGTAGTAAAATCCTAGCACAGCACCTGGAACACAATATACACTCAACAATTGTTACTGTATTTGCCATTATGATTGTAATTCTAATTTTTTTTTTTTAAATCACCTAGAGCCATTGTGTGGCTGGCTGGCTACAATGCCACGACCCAGGAGATCGTACGGCCTTCTGAGCTGTTGGCAGGAGTCAAAGCATACATTGGTTTCATACAGTCACTGGCCCAGTTTTTGGGTGCAGATGCTTCCAGAGTCATCCGCAACGCCCTCCTGCAGCAGACACAACCACTGGATTCCTGTGGGGAACAGACAATCACCACACTCTACACAAACTGGTCAGTGTTGCTTAGGCTTTTCCACTGCCTTACTTTGTGTTGGCACTTTTTCCTTTACACGGTAGGACCTCAGGGCCCGAGCATTTTAGCTCCCAGGGTCATAGACTCCAAAATGGAGGGTTGCTTCTCCTTGAGGAATGGAGCAATAACCTGAGACAAGCCCAGATCCCCTTCTGTCCACCACGAAGTTTCCTTCTCACCCTCACTGGAACATCCTTCAGCCTACCCTGCAGTTATTTGACCTTTTCTCTCTAATATCTAGTTCTTAACCTTTCTTTTTTGGATTCTTACTGTTTCAATTTCAAATGATCTCTCTTCCTCTTTCCAAAGTTCTCTTATTTCTCTTTTTGCCCTTACTTCTCCTTCTGAAAACCATCTGCCTACTACCATCTCTCTGGAACGTCTCCTTGTCCCCAGATGTGACTATTGTTCTTAATAGAGAAGGGAGCCTCCTCCCTGCAACTGGAGAAGGTGGGAATCAGCACTGTTTCCTTTGACATGTTAAGGAATGGAAAGGAGCTGGATTTCTACCTCCCCAAGCCACTGGGTGGCGCTCTTAACCCAAAATCAGCTCAGTAGGCGACAGGCTGCAAAGAAGAACCCCCCAGAACAAGGGGAAACAAAGTTTGCAAATGCAAATGCCAGTTGGGGCCAGGCAGGAAAGGTAAATGGATGTGCCACATGGGCCAGGCAGAGACTTTGAGGAGGTGGTGAGAGAATACCCCTCTAAAGGGAACAGCCACCGCTTAGCTCCACCTGATTGCTGCCCTACTAAATCCTTATATTTTATGTAAAAATCTGTTTCAAAATTTTGACAAAGAATTTTCCATAGGTGCCAGAGAAGGTGATTCAGCCCCTCTTCCCCTGTCAGCCGTTTCAGCGTAAATTCAAAGGAAAAAAAAAGTTTGACTGGGTTTGGCCCACTGACAGTTAGCTTGTGATGTCTATTAGATACAGACCCAGAGCAAGTGCCTGGGAGAGGCGGGTTGGTCAAGCCCTCCTCTACCCACATTGGCTGTAGCCCAGCTCCTTTAAGTTTGCCCAGAGGTCAGGAGGAAATATTTGGAGACTGATGACCTGTGCTCACAGGTACCTCTTTGCCCAGGAGGTTTGAGAGTATATTTCAAAGGAGTCTAATTAAGTAGTGACTTTTTTCTTGCCAGGTTGAGCCTGTCTTACCTGACAGAGGGTAAGGGTGAGGGGAATACAGCTGTTGGAAAAGAGCAGTGGTTGAGGGAGGGGAGTGCATGCTATTGCATTTGACGGTATAGCAAAATACCCTCCAGGTTAGAGGCAAAGTGGAATTCCAGTACTGCCAGTTGTTTTTGATCCATCAGCTTGGGGTGTTAATTAGAACATTGTGCCATCTTCTTTGAGTTTCTTCTCCCTACCCCAGTCTTTTGCAGAGTTTTTCTTTCTGAGCTCAGTGGTAGTAGTAGGGAATGCTGGTAGGGAGAAGGGATTGGATCCTAATCTATGTTTTCTTGGCCAACCCTGTAGGTACCTGGAAAGTCTGCTTAGACAGGCAAGCAGTGGGACCATCATCCTCTCCCCAGCCATGCAGGCCTTCGTCAGCCTGCCCAGAGAAGGGGAGCAGAACTTCAGTGCAGAGGAGTTCTCTGACATCTCTGGTGAGCTCAGGGCCTGGTCTTCTTGTCAAGGAGCTGAGCCCTTCCTTCAATGCACAGAGAATAAAAGACTAGGACATGTATTTAGGTTGGTGCAAAAGTAATTTTTGCAATTACTTTTCATTGCAAAAACCACAGTTACTTTTGCACCAACCTAATAGTGAAGGGTAAGGGATAAAGTATAAGGAGGACATTCTCCTGTTTGGAATTATTAAATAGTGGTCTGCTGTCATGGCATCTTCTTCTTCTTCTTCTTCTTTTTTTTTTTTGAGATGGAGTCTCGCTCTGTTGCCCAGGGTGGAGTGCAGCGGCACTATCTTGGCTCACCGCAACCTGCGCCTCCCGGGTTCAAGCAATTCTCCTGCCTCAGCCTCCCGAATAGCTGGGACTACAGGCAAATGCCACCATGCTGGACTAATTTTTTATATATATATATATTTTTAGTAGAGATGGGGTTTCACCATGTTAGCCAGGATGGTCTCGATCTCCTGACCTTGTGATCTGCCCGCCTCAGCCTTCCAAAGCGCTGGGATTACAGGCATGAGCCACCACCCCCAGCCAGCGTCTTATGCTTTAGGGATACATTTTAGAGTCTTAGCCAGTGTTTGGATTGCTGATGTTTAATAATAACGATGATGAGATGATACATGACATTTATTGTGGGCTAAGTTCTAAGTGTTTATACATATTAACTCACTTAATCCTCATAACAGCCTTGGGGTATAATAGATACACTTATTCCCGTTTTTCAGATGAGGACACTGGGACACAGAGAGTTTAAGGAACTTGCCTAAGTCCACACATTCATAAATAGTAGGACTTGGAGTTCGACTCCAGGCAGTCAAACTCCAGGAACTGGGGGCTTAAGCACTGTACAGCGCTGCCTTCCAGTGTCTAGAAGTGCTTTTGTGTCTCAGGGGGAGACAGGTAAGGAGTGTGTAGTGAATGAGATGGGAAGCCTTTCCCTTTCTCAAGAGGGTTTGAAACTACAAGATCCTTTTTAATAGGTTTGTTTTTACCAACTAATTCATGAACTATCCTACTTCTTTCTCCTTCCTCTCACCTCCATATAAATCAGGGACGCTGCATAGTATCTGGGACAGGGTGAAGATGTTCCAGTGACGCTGTCCTCTCCAGTCTTCTTCTTTGGGGGGTGCTAAGAAAGCCAAAGTACACAGTTCTGTTTTCCAGTTCTGCCTCCTTCCCATCATCCCGCCTCCATCAGTAAGCTGACCCTACGCTTTACCTGCTGCAGGTTTCAGATGTCCCCTTCTCATCAACTCTACCCACAAACTGTAGGCAGCCTCTAAAATCAGCTTTAGGTCTTGCTGACAAATGACAAGCAGCAGGAGGTAATGCTGATTCCCCCTTCTACCACCCCCACCCCAATTTCCCTTGGTTGCCATAGTGATGGGGCAATGCTACTGCAAAAATAGATAGATGGAAAGAGAAGGATGCCCTAGGGTTGCTAGCTGGGGGTAGAGAAGACTGGAGTAAGGAGCTTTGGCAGATCCAAACTGGTAGATCAGTGTGTCTCCTTTCTGTCAGCTACAGAGGGCGATTCAGCTCTTCTTCCTCTCTGTCAGCCATTGCGGCATTATCCAAGTTGATCGGTCAGGAAATCCTTTCATAGTTCTGAGCTCAGTTCTTCCTATTAAAACAGGTTGACTCTAAAAATGTCTAACATCTACTGTGGACAAGACTCTGTGTCAGTGGCTGTGACCAGTTCCATTTCCTCTGTCACTGATGAAGGTGGAGATCACTGGTCCTGCTTTGAAAGACTTGAGTGTGGAGCCTTGACTTCCATTTCTCTCTGAACTCTTATTAGCGATATTAAACTTGCCTTTCTTCTACTGGTCTCTTGTTGTTGTTACTTCTGGTCTTTCATGGTTTTCCCTGCTGGGATGGCCCACAGCCAGAGATCATAGCTAGAGCTCCTTCCTATCTGGATTTGTCACTAGTGTTTCTGACATGGGATTTCCCCAGGCAGGCTTTATTTAATTCACAAAGGGCCAGAGCAGGCTGGGTGGCAAGGGATAAAGCACTGGGACTACTAGAGAAAAGAAGGATTTAGAGGAATAAAGAACTGAGACTCTGCGGGATGTGTGTTGATTATGAAAAAAGAAAAGGTAGCTCAAGGAGAGGAAAATTTGGACAGTGGGACACTAAGTAAGGGAAGTAAAGGGAAAAACATACAATAAACATCAGATCTTAGATGAGGAAATAGTTGTATCTGCTGGGATGCAGTAAGGGGCAGTAAGACATTGCACTAGGCTTCCAGTACCAGCCCCTGCTGTGGTTAAGTGGCTCCGGACAAGCACTTAACCCCCTTGCCTGTAAAACCACGATGATCCTTCCTATGCCACATAATTCAGAGGACTCATAACATCATCATAATACTCCTTTATCCATATATTTTCCAAAGTTTTTATAATGTATCTTATTTACTCTCACATCAATTCTGTGGGTTGTTCATGGCAGATATTCATATCCTCATTTTACAGAGAAGTAAACCAGGCTCAGAGAGGTTCAATGACTTAAGGTCTTACGTCTAATAAAACTAGTATAGCTAGTACAGCAAGAGTCAAACCCAAGTGTCATATAAAGGAACACGGGAAAGTATAGATTCTTATAGGAAAGTAAAGTAATTAGTTATCATTTGTGGTAAGTCTTGGTGTGAGTACCAGTGGAGAGAGGGTAAATGTCCCATGGACTTGCCAGACTTGTCACTTGAATGTAGGATTTTAGGCTATTTTTGCTCCTTGACTTCTCATTTTCTTTTCTTGCTGGAAAACATTTTAAATATTCAAATTACCCTATAGCTGTTGTACAAATACTCCAGTGCCTTCTGAGTCCCATCTGGGGCCTCTGTAACTCTGTTCCAGAGATGCGGGCCTTGGCAGAACTCCTGGGCCCCTATGGCATGAAGTTCCTGAGTGAAAACCTGATGTGGCATGTGACCTCTCAGATTGTGGAGCTGAAGGTACTATGGAAACAATCCCTTGGGGAAAAGATCCTACCTTGAGGAAAGAGGGTGGGTATAGGAGACTGGGGGGGAAGATGTAACATTGGTCTCTTCTTTTCCTGCTTAATGTCTCTGTGTTCCTGGACTACAGAAGCTGGTGGTGGAAAACATGGACATACTTGTTCAGATCAGATCCAACTTTAGCAAGCCGGACTTGATGGCTTCCCTGCTGCCCCAGCTGACAGGTAAGCATCCTCTTCCCCTATAGTGAGAAGGAGCTGTGGAATCACATTGCAGATGACAGGGTTTTCAGGAATCTGGAGGCTAGGCGGGGTCTGTAGAATCAAAATCATCACCAATCCCTCTCTAAATTATCTTTTCTAACACGCTTCTTTCTCCTCAGGGGCTGAAAATGTGCTAAAGCGCATGACCATCATTGGGGTTATCCTCAGTTTCAGGGCCATGGCCCAAGAGGGACTTCGGGAGGTGAGTTGGTGGGGAGGGGTCTGTCACAGAGTCACAGATACCTCTGTGGGTAGGGTTTGTATGATAATTTGTGGAAGTATTGCGGGAATCAGTTTTAACTTCTGCTTCAGAAGGGGTTGGTGAGCATTGAGAAGAGGGAGAGTAATTTGGCAGAGATCCTAGAAGATCCCTAGGAATAAATGAGCTTAGGAAACCTAGAGGCATAAGGAGAGGGATGGCTTGGAAAGCTGGCTAGGTTCTTATCTAAATTGAGTGCCCCTCCTTTTTTTTTTTTTTTATTTCTACCTATTTTTGAAGGCATTGGTCATGGTCTTGTGGACTCATTTATCTTCTCTTTCCTCCAGGTTTTCTCCTCCCACTGCCCATTTCTTATGGGTCCCATTGAGTGCTTGAAGGAGTTTGTCACTCCAGACACAGACATCAAGGTATGGAGGAGTGCAAAGTAGAATCTAATTAGGAGACTTTTGTTGTTGAAAAGGAGGTAGCTAGGATCTTGTAAGGGAGAGCGGGTTCTGAAGAACACCATAGGGATAAGGGCGAGGGTTTGAATAGGAAAACTGGTCAGATGAATATTCTTGGAGAGAAAGAGCAGAGCTGGCAAGATGTAGGGGGATGGAGAGAAGTGGGAGGCTGGGAGACACTATGAGGGTTGGGGAGACATTACTGGAGGGGGAGGGGTAAGACCTAGGATAGTATCTGTAGGTTTTCACCTGATATGAGCACTGTGCAAATTAGATAAACTATGTGCAAACAAGTCCGCTCTTTAGTCTTGAGGTTAGGTACTGTTTATAGGAAGATTTGTTCCTTTCATTCCCACCCACCCTGCCTGCCCTCAGTCTTTTCTTTTCCTGGCCTTTTCTTCCTCCCATCCTTAAGCTTTCTGGTTCCTCTATGTCTGTTTCACCTGCCTCAGACCCCCATTTACTACAGGAGATGGTGAGAGGAAGAAGGGCTTCCACAGACAATATAAGTTAAGCATCCATTTCCCACCCATCTCCCACCTTTGAGTCATCTTGTCTTTTGAATCATCTGGAACTAAGAAGTATGCTATGGCAGGAAATACAGCTAGAGCCTAGGAATAGAATCCTTCAAATGCATAGGGCAGGCTCCTTCTCTTATAATTGATTCCTTTAATGGAGAGTGGTCTGTGTTAAGAGGAAACTAGTTAGCAGGAAGAATTAAAGTTATGTGTTAAGAAAATCTTCATTACTTTGAGATCAAAAGAGTTGTGAAATTTCCACCTCTATCTGCCTAAAATCATGAGGGGCAAGTGACTGTGGGGGCAGTGAGGGGGCAGTGTTTCACTAGGATAGCTGCCCCTCTTGAAAGATCTTTGATTTTAAGCTGAGCCTGGGTTTCTGGCACCTGCTGATGTTGGTCCAAATGCTCTAGGCTGTCAGGAGCTTGTCTAGCTGATATCTCCTGGGTAGCTCCAATCTTTAGGCTCTGCCTGCCTGTGAAAATAAGCAGGTAGGGGCAGAGAGGGAGGATGGCCTGTCCATCAGAGATGCTGTTACTGCCTCAGAGGAGCAAGAAGATTAGAAGAAGAAAAGATAAAATCCCTTCAACCATCCCTTTCTTCCTCCAGAAAACCTCATGAACCAGGTTCCTTATCTCTGAGGCCGTGGTTCCACAAACGGTCATTTAGGTAGTAGGGGATTTAAATAAGGGCAGAACAGAAGGTGGCAAAGATTTGGCTTCTGTATCAGTACCACAGCAAAGTGTGTGTATGTTGGTATGTCTGTGGGATTCTTTTTTTTTTTCTTGAGACAGAGTCTCGCTGTGTTGCCCAGTGCTGGAGTGCGATCTCAGCTCACTGCAACCTCTACCTCCTGGATTCAGGCAATTCTCATGCATCAGCCCCCCGAGTTCCTCCTGGAACTTCAGGTTCATGCCACCACACCTGGCTAATTTTTGTATTTTTAGTAAAGACAGGGTTTCACCAGGTTGGCCAGGCTTGTCTCCAACTCCTGGACTCAAGTGATCCGCCCACCTTGGCCTCCCAAAGTGCTGGGATTACAGGCATGAGCCATTGCTCTGGCCAGTCTGTGGGATTACTTGCATAAGATACTTAGTTGTCCAGTATTAAAACAATTATCCTTGTTCTTTCAAAAAACATTTTTTTAAATCTAAAAAGGGGTCTAGGTACTTAGTATGGGAGTAGGGGCTTGGGGCTGTGTCCTGGGAACCTGATTGTAAGTACAATGAGACATTCAGGTATCAATCAATCAATATTTATTGAATGCCTTCTATGTGCTCAGCATTATGTTAAACACTAGAGAAGGTAAAGAGAAATGCAAAACTCCTGACTTTAAGATAAAGGAAGAGGATGTAAAGGCATCACATTTTCTCTGTTAGTCACTAGGGTCGATGTGTGGTCTAATTTAATCTTCACAACAACTATGTGAGGTAAATGTTATTATGCCAGTTTTATAGGTGGGAAAATGAGGGATCAAAGAGGTTAAGTAACTTTTAGTCAAGGTCACACACTTAATAAGTGGTGTTGCTAGGACTTGAACCCAGATCTGTCTCACTCCAAAGCTTTTTGCTCCCTTCACTATGCCATGAGGTTTTAAAAAGCTATCTATTTGGCAAGATAAGGAGATGAGTCTTGCATTCCATCTAAAAAGATAACTAACACCAGATGCTGTGTGTGATCAATGCTAAGTCAGTGGTACCAACGTAAGGAGGGAAGAGCTGGCTTTGGGCTGAAGTAATCAGGTAGCGCTTTACAGAGAAGATGAGATCTAAGGGATGGACGTAACAGATATAAATAGAGGAGAGAAAAGGACCCTCAAAAGAGGGAAGCACCTGAACCAGAGTATGAGAGAGGAAGTTGTAGTTTGGGGACAGTGAATAAATTATCCTGGCAGCACCGAATAAAGGAAGTATTTAGGAAAATGAAGTTGAAAAAGTAAATTTGTACGATGGAGTGTCCCAAAGGGTTATTTTCCCTGTAGGATAGGGAGAGCTATGAAGGGAATATATAGAGAAGATGACAATAAACCAGAAGTTTAAAATCTACGATTAGCTGGACACTGTGGCTCATGCCTGTAATCCCAGCACTTTGGGAGGCTGAGGTAGGAGGATTTCTTGAGCCCAGGAGTTTGAAACCAGCCTGGACAAAATAGCGAGACTCTCTCTTTCTCTACATATATATAAAAGCATCTTTAAAAAAAAAATTAAACCTGTGATCCAAAAGTCCTGGCTATGCATTCCTTCTGTCAAGCCATTGTGTCCTGCGAATCCTCTCTAGAATGTTATTTTCTTCTCTCCAGGTGACCTTGAGTATCTTTGAGCTGGCATCTGCTGCAGGTGTGGGCTGTGACATTGACCCAGCCTTGGTGGCTGCCATTGCTAATCTGAAAGCTGGTAAGATTGGGGAAAGGGGGCGAGATTTGGGAAAGGAGGGCTTGGGCCTTATTTTGGGTGAAAAAATGTCAATGTCAAAGAAGCCTTTATTTGAGATTATATATTCAGAGGATATAAGCTGGGAGTGAAGGAAGGACCCTAACCTTCAGAAAATACTTACATAGGCGATTTAGATTTATCCTCAGGTTTCAACTAGTTGATCTACATCCTCAGGTTCCAACTAGTTGATCTACCGGTCAGCTAAAAAGTACTAAGTGAGAGTCTGTTTGGTGCTCTGCAAGTGCTCAAAGCCATTTACAATCTGGTTGGGAAAATAAATTAATGCAAATGAAACAATGAGAGAACAATACAAAATAGTGGGTTGTGTGGTATAGCACCCAAACTCCCCATAGTGATTTTGTGCTTTCTCCCTCCACATAATCACCTTGACACTGTTTATTTCTTCCCATCTCACACTTAACACTTTTATTTTCCATTACACATTTCCTCTGATTTCAGTCATACCTATACACACTCAGAACAGGATGAACCAAGGGGCTAGGATTAAGGCCTTTCAAAATGGCCAGACTTACCCTTCTTCTTCTCTCATGGTGGGTGAGAACCTTTTGTCTTCTTTCTGCCTCTCCATCCTATCAGGCAGTGGACAGGCATCCTAGGGTTGCATTGTACATCAGCAGAGCCCTTGGCTGAAAGTTCTGCCCTGTTGCCAGGGAGGCCTCCAGGACTCAGGCCCTTCACTATAGGTGGATGCTAGTCCTGTTTCTTCAGGAAAATTAAGTAATAACTTGCCCATAGGCTTTATAAAGTGTTTTCATGGATATTTTCTCCTGCGATCCTCACAGCAATTCTGTGAAGTAGGACCCCTGTAACAGATAACTTCTGTTTGCTGACTTTATTCACTTTTCCTCTTTTCCTTTTTCCCTCTCACCAGATACTTCATCTCCTGAGGAGGAATATAAGGTGGCCTGCCTGCTCTTGATCTTTCTGGCAGTTTCCCTCCCACTCCTTGCCACTGACCCTTCTTCCTTTTATAGCATTGAGAAGGATGGTAAGTAAGGGGTAGGTTTGAGACACCAGTGCTATTCAAGTTAGTGTCCTGGGGTAGAGAGAGGAGACAGAGATACTGGAAAATATAGACTTCTGACTTGGGTGTAAAGTTCTGTTTCAAAAAGCACTTGAAGGCTGGACACCGTGGCTCATGCCTGTAATCCTAGCACTTTGGGAGGCCAAGGTGAGGTGGGTAGATCACTTGAGCCCATGAGTTCCAGACCAGCCTAGGCAACGTGGTGAAACCCTGTTTCTACAAAAATAAATAAACTAGCTGGGCAGGGTGGCCTGTAGTCCCAGCTACCTGGGAGGCTGAGGTAGGAGGATGGCTTGAGCCCAAGGGGTCAAGGTTGTAGTGAGCCATGATTGCGCCACTGCACTCCAGCATAGTGACAGAGCAAGACCCTGTCTTTAAAAAAAGAAAAAAAAAAGAAAAGAAAAGGAACAAAACACCAAAACACCCCCTACCCTGAAAAAAAAAAAAACCAGAATGAGAGAATGAACTATGCATAATTCGATTTCAATAAGATTTCATAGGAATATCCTGCCTCTAATCTCAAAATGCCTTCTCATCCTTTTGGTGTCAAATACTGGTGGCTCAGCCTGAAAACATGAGAAATTACTAGTTTGGGTCATCCTGGAGTGGCTTACTTTGTCATTTCCTCTTTTTTCTCTCCATCTATATCAATAATAACCTAGGTTACAACAACAATATTCATTGCTTGACCAAAGCCATCATCCAGGTGTCTGCTGCCCTCTTCACGCTCTACAACAAGAACATTGAAACTCACCTCAAGGAATTTCTGGTGGTGAGTGGGTCTAGGTTATAAAGAATGGAAGATTGCAAAGGGCTGGAATTGGTTTGACTTAAATCTGTAGACAATTATCGTTGAACAGGCTTTTGAGTCTAACTTCCCACCTAATTCATTCAGTAAAGAGTGAGAAGCTACTATGTGAAAGGCAAGAGTTTCTTCTAAATTTCCTAACAGCTGGTGTTTCAGCCTCTGCTTGAATATTTGGAAAGATCATTGGACAAAGAGTCAGAAAATCTGAGTTCTGATTTTTGATCTGCCATTAAGTAGTTGTGTGACCTCTGAAGTGCCAAGATTTTGGGGCCACGGTATTTTCATATATAAAACAGTGAGATTAAACTGAACCCATGAATTCAGATTAAACCGAATCCATGAACCTTGGTATGCATCAGAATATCTTGGGGAGCTTGTTAAAATACAGATTCCTGATCTTTACACCAGACCTACTGAGTTAGAATATTGTAGGGTAAATCTAGGCCTCTGTGTTTTTAATAAGGCCTCTGGGAGATCAGATGCACATTCAAGTTGTAGAGACACTGAGTTTTATCATCTCTAAGGCCCTTTCTAACTCTGTATGGACAAATGATCAATGACTACTTCTCAAACTTTAATGTAAATCAGAATCACCTGGAGAGTTTCTACCTTAGTAGATTAGGGTGGGGCTGAATAATGTGCATTTCTGTTCCCAGGTAATCTTGATGCTGCTTGTCTGGGAATCTCACTAGAACCAATGGTCTAGATTTCTAGGGACTGGAACTTAAAACTAGGCAGCGGATTCCACTGTAGGTCATATCCAATTTCTTAAAAAAAATGTTAAAAATTTTAGCCAAAATTTGACTTCCTGTAACTCTCACCATGGATCTTAATTTTGCCTCTGGGAAAACTCAGAACAAATACAATAGGCCCTAGAATTTTCCATTCTAAATCCTCCATGGAGGAATTTTGTTCATATACTTCTGATACATGGTCCATTCCCCTCTGCCTGCTTGAGCATTCTCAGTAACAAAGAGCTTATTTCTTTGCAAAGTATGGTCCCGATATAAGAACCAGGGCCTCATCTGTCTCCTTCCAGGAGGAAACACAGCGGATCATATTGTTCTCTCAGGAATTATACCCTCATTCTGAGAAGTACATGTCAGGGATCATAAGATTGGTTGGTGTGTCTCTATTTAAGCTGAGGCACCCAACCAGATAGACCTGGCTCTCAGCATCTTAAATGCAAAGAGGATTCACACCAGATCTCTGAGAAGGGGTGAGAAGGGAATCCCCCACCCTTGCCTTCCCTTTTATCCTCTGTTTGCTAAATGCAGGTCACCTGGGCCTGGGATACAATGAATCATGTTTCTTCTTTGATCCTTTGGGGGTTTGGGGATGATGGAGATGACAGCCATTTGGGAATTGACTGGAGAATACCACGAGCAAGAGCTGTGTCTGAATCAGAGGCTCACTGCCTCTAGTCAGATAGGGAGTCAGCCATAAACAGCCTGATGACAGTGGTGTCTGGAGGCTGCCTAGGAAAAGAGAGGTTAATCTCCTGGCATACATCACCTGCCTTTGCTCTAGGTCGTTTCCCTGCCCCTTGCAATCTCTCCCCTAGCACTCCTGGCAACCTGTTGTCTGCACTGGGAGGTCAGTGAGATCCAGGCTGGCTTATAGGCAACATGTATCTCTGAAACCTAGGAGATTTGCCACTTTCCCACCCTGAGTCTTCAGGAACATTCTAGCACTTCTTAACTCTCTCCTTGATCTTTTCTTAACTTCCTGCAGCCTGAGGCCATTTGATACTGACCTGTATAAAAATCTGCTTTACAAATTCTTCCCTTACAGGTGGCCTCTGTCAGCCTCTTGCAGCTGGGCCAGGAGACTGACAAGCTTAAAACCAGAAATCGAGAATCCATTTCTCTGCTCATGCGCTTGGTAAGTACCTTATTTAAATTGGTGTGAGAATAGGGAATGGAAGGGCCAGAGGGAGACTTCTGTTTAGGGTCTTTGCATCCTTGCCATTCTTGTCACCCAAAAGCATTAACTAAGGACTTAACTCTGCATAACCCTCTGAATGTAGTCCTCACATTCTGATTAACATTCTAAACTTGTCCTATAATCCCAGAGTAGAGTCTTCAAGGACTTCTGCAAGACAGGGCCTTCCTGGCCCCTAAGCTGGCTGGGCCCATGTCCTGCAATGTTCCCGAGTCTGATCTGATAGGGCAGCTGTGCCCGTTATTGGTAATTACCTGTCCAGTACATGTTTGGTTTCACTTGACAATTTTCTACCACTGCATTTCTTGTTTTTAAGAGTACTATGAAAAGAGTGCTGGATAACACAGAGCTGAACTCAGAGGTTGAGGGGTGGGGGCTCAGAGGAGGGAAAGGATTTTAGCTAAAAAGCTCTAAGGCAGGGAGCCTGGTGGGCCATGAATCAGGCAGCTCCTGCTGTCTCTTCTCCTTGCTTCCCAAGCTGTGGGCTTCTCTCTACTCTGGCAGAAAGTTTTGGGAACTCTGACTCAGTTAACTTTAAAAGTTTTTTTCCTCATGGCCCTGTTTCCCTCTTCAACACTCTTACTCACTCTTTTGCTCTGATTCTCCATGTTAGTAATGCACTTAGGTATGGACAGGAAGGGCTTTTGCCCTGGGCCCAGTGTTTAAAAGGCCCTCCTTGAGCCTTCCTCTAGTAGAGTGTTCTGGGGCCCTCCTCTGGCCAATGGGAAGAGGTAGAGCCTGTACCCCACCTTGAGGCCCATACGAGAGATATCTGGGGCCCCAGAATATTTTGCTAAGTAGCTTCAGCCCACTTGTAGGGCCTGTGTTAAACTTCTTCCTACTGAGGCGGACCGTCCTACTGGTGGATATACCTCTAGTGCCCAAGGGACGTGTGGCTGGAGTTTAGATATGCAGATAAGGAAGTCTACAAGTGCACACAAAATCCCTCTAACTGAGGGTGGGAGGAGAAGGGGGACTGGGCTGGAAGCTTGTTTCTTCCCTTCACCCTGTTCTGGTGCAGAACTTGGAGGAGCCCAAAAATTCTTAATTCAAACCTGGGCTTCCATAAGACTACAAATGTACATTGTGAAGGTTGAAAGCTAGAATATACTAGTTTGTTAGCTTGATTTAATTAGTCATGTGGTATGTGGACCTCCATCTGTATTCTTGTCCGAGGCCCAGAAATGCTAGGGGCCAGGGATTCCTGGGATTCCCTCCAGGTCTCCTTCTTGAAATACACAGGCACTGAGTGATATTTATGCCTTAGTTTCTCCAACTAGAAAAAGGCCTAGGCTGGGCTGGTTAAGGATTATGAGAGAGAGGAGAATGGACTTGGGGGTGGATGTATTTGTGTGGGATGTGTTTGGTGAGGCAAGAGGGCAGAGGAGGTAGATGAGGGGAGAGTGAGGGCAGTGCCCATGGTGGTGGGCTATGTGGGGGCACAATACATAGAGCAGCAGCATGGCCTTGGCAAGGCAATGAACTCTTCTGAGACTTCGGCTCTCTATCCATAAAAGTGGGTAATAATCCTTATGATAGAGTGGTTAGAATCCGTAAGGTATTATGCGTGAAAGTGCCTAGTACATAGTAGATGCTCAGCAAATGTTAGTTCCTGCTGTCTGCAGCTCATTTTAGGTTCTGGATTACTTTGGCATGACTCTTCACTTCCTCAGGTAGTTTTCACCCCTGTCAGGTTGGAGGTGATTCTGTATTACCCACCTGTATTCTTACCTCCTTCTGCTTAGACCCCTTCCAACACCCCAAAATGTGGAAAGTGTTTGCCCCTGTGGCCTTCCAATGAAGCCAACAGAGTGACGGGAACAGAGCTAGGATCAGGTACTTTTTGTTGGAGGGAGAAACTAGAGGGACTAGTTGCTGTGAAGCAATTTAAATGCAAATGTTTCCACAGAGAAATTGGAAATGACCGAAGGTGAAGGAGCTGTATTCTGAGTTAAGAGGCTACTCATGTAGCCTCAAATTCTGACCAGCACTTCTGTCCCCAGAGTCTTTCTGTTTTGGCTGTCAAGCCTGGGCCATGCCTGCACCTCAGTGTTGCCAGTCTGTTCCTGGCACAGGTTTCCTGGGGAAAGACATGGCTCTTATAGAATCATGGAATCCTAGATGCCAGAACCAGACCAGATCCTGGCAATTAGTCCAGTACTTACAAGTCATAAAGATGAGGAAACTGAAGAATAGGGAGGGAAAGATGACAATCAAGGTCTCCCCTAAAATATATGGCAGATTTGGGACTAGAACCCAAGTTTCTTGGCCATCACTCTAGGGCTGTTTCCACTCCCGTAAACTTCTGCCACTTGGGAGCCCTGTTATTTTCTTGTGCTTTATGGAGAATAGAAAGTCTTGGGCCAGTGGATTTGCTTGAAGTCATTATTCATTTCCCTGTACCTGAGGATAGCACCTTGGAGAAGACAGCTCATCTCTTTCCCAGCTGAGGGCTTGAAAGTCTTGCCTAGCAAGAAATTCTTTGATATTTAACCTATCATCAGGGCTGCAGTTTTACCAGCAGATTTCCCTTCCTTCAGCCTGCAGTTTCTGCTCTTTTGCAGCTGTTGTGTGTGCATGTGTTTGAGAATAGGAAAATCTTACACATTTTAAAACTTGAAAGGACTTCAGAGAGAGAAACACGTTAGAGTAGATATGGTAGATTCTCTTTCCTTAGTGAATTTTCAGGACTTGGAGTACCAGATATATTGTGGAGAACCCATCTGTGTGAATTGCCAGAGGATATGGGACACCTCTCCAGAGTGTGTTTTTTAGTCTCATTACCTCTTGGATAAGGAAGGCACTGAAGGAAATACACCCTGCTCCTTCCTCAGGGATGGGGACCCTCCAGTCCACCGCTAGGCTATGCTGCTCTTCATGAACATGCCCTGTCCACCCACCTCCCCCTCTTCACCCTCACCCCCACTCTCATTCTTCTCCGGGCATCTTGATCTATCTTCCTGCTTGGCTGTGGGGGCTGCTGGGATTACCGCAGCACACAGGCTTCTAATTAAACTAATTAATCATGCCTGCTCCTTTATGCGGCATCCTTACTGTTCCCCAAGCACTGTACTGAGAGAGGGAGGAGACTGAGGCCCAACACAAGAGGACCCATGTGGATTCCAGGCCCCCTTCCGTGGCCTGCAGTGGTGTTTGTTTCTCTTGCTGCAAAGCTTTGTAATTAGCACTTTTATACATCTTTACCTGCATCTGTGTGCTGCCCACCCACATGTGATTTAGCATCCAGAATGGGAGAGAATGGGTTTTGCTGCACTGGGAAAGTGGTTCTCTCCTGCTGTCTGCTTCTGTGCCCTTCACATAGTCCTGATGAGGGGGTCAGGGTCAATGATAATGGAGCTGAAGATGCCACATTGCCTTCCTGCAGCCAAACCAAGTGAGGGAAGAGGGGGGTGTGATTTGGAACCCTGTTCACTTGTAACTCTCAGGGCCTCAGAGGGCCTGGGAACTATGCAAAAGGAACAGGGTATCACAGACAAATGCCCTACCTGAGGTTCTCATCTCTTGGCCCCATCTCTTTCAGGTGGTGGAGGAGTCATCCTTCCTGACCCTGGACATGCTGGAGTCCTGTTTCCCTTATGTCCTGCTTCGAAATGCCTATCGGGAGGTGTCTCGGGCCTTCCACCTAAACTGAATGCCTGCCAGTACCCACTGAAGAGCCCTTTGGACCTTCCTAAACCCTTGCCATAGTGGAAGCTGTGGTCACTTTCGCAGGGGGTGGGAATGGGGTGGGGTCACTAAGGAGAGAGGGTCAGGAGCCAGAGTTGATGAGCAGATCTGTGGAAGAACAATCCAGGGCTGAGAAATCGTAGAGCAGTGAGGCAGGCTGGGAGCATGGAGGACAGCTTATGGAAAAAGTTAGGGCGTGGGGCCACATGTGTGAATTTTACAATGAAAAAAGGAGTAACGTACAAGTATATTTTCTATCTTCTGGTGACTTGAGCTTGAGCTCTGACAGGCATGGGCCTCTCCGACCTTCATCACTATTCTTAGGATAATGCTGGCGGGCAGAGATGATCAATCATCATATTAAATCATAATGAGCTTATAATCCTCCCACTGGAGCTGCTATTGTCTCCTGCACATTCATTAGGACCATTATCTTCTCTCTTCCTTTTTCAAATGTGTTCAGCAAACATTCAACCTGCTCCTACTGCAGAGTAGCAGCAAAGGAGCCCCTCTTTTCCTTTGTGGGGCTCTTCGAGGGGTCATTGGGTCTCTTCCTTTGCCCCCAGCTTGACTGCGTTTCCTACTGGGGCAAGGAGGAAGTGCCCTTCAGAGATGTTCACTGCCCACCTACTCTACTACATTGTTTGTTACAAGTTCTCTCTTGCTTTAACCCCTCCTGCTTTGATATCTCCACAACCCAGAGCAGAGGGTCAGTTAGTCTCCGTCAATTCTAGGTTACATGACAACTGATTGGCCCAGACTTAGGTGGGTTTTCCCTCCTGTACCATTTGGGGGTACTCTGCCTTTTATTGGGAGGGACTAATTTAACCCCAAATCCTTTTGTCAGCCTGGGTATAGCTGTTGCTCCAGGAAGGGATTTCTCTTCTGGATCTTAAATTTCACAGACCTCATTAGGTTGTATGGCCCTGAGAGTGGGTATCCTTGAGGGAGTACAAGCTGTTTCAACTTAGCCCTTTTCTGCGCTAATTAGAATTTCAAGCGTCACAGAGCCTGGGGGCTTTCAAGATAGCACTAAACTAGGTTTACTTAACTCCTTGGCAGGAAATAGTGGCCCCCATGCATCACTTCTGTGAATCCACTGCCAGGGAGAAGTGGAGAAACAGATCATATATGTCACAGGTCTAGAGTGGTTGGAATTGACAAATATAATTAGCTAGTTGGTTAATTAGGGTCATGTCCATACTTTCATGATGAAAGGGAAGCAGTTGTCGGTTTTCAGCAAAAACGATTCAGCCTTCCTGAAGCCTATTTGATAGCTGTTTTGGGGTTTTGTACATGTGTTTGCTTTTTATTTCTTGAGACCCAGGCTTAGTCAATACTTTCTTAACTTGGCACCCATAATCAACATACAGATTTTTCTTAGCAACAGTTGTCTGCTCTTTAGGGTGGAAGCGATAGAGAATCCTGCTTCGTGCATCAGCAAATCCTCCTTCCTTGCTATGGGAAGGGCTTATGTTCTAAAGGGTGATTCAGTGTCAGGCTTATGAGACTGAGAGTAAAGTTGATGAGGAAGAGGAGGCTCAGAAGTATCTGAACAACTACTCTATATGTTTATATTTTTCTGCTTGAGGGGATAGAGATCCCTCCTCCATCTGCATCTGCATATAGAACTGCTTAAGAGGACAGCAAGACAAGTTGCTGCAGGGGGATGGAGGGTAGACAGAATGCCTTTTTTTAAAACTGAAAATTTTATTGAGATACTTAATCCACCTGCACTTGTAAGAAATCATACAGAGAAATTCTATTTTCCTTTACACAGTTTCCCTGAATGCTAACATCTAGCAAAACTGTAGTACACTGCCACAACCAGGATAACTGACATTGATATAATCTACTGATCTTGTTCAGATTTCCTTCCCCAGTTTTGCTTATGTTCATTTCTCTCTGTGTGTGCACGTGTGTGTGTTATCTATTTCTATACAGCTTTATCATGTGTAGGTTTGTGTATCTGCCACTGCAGTCAACATACAGAACAGGCCGGGCGCAGTGGCTCACGCCTGTAATCCCAGCACTTTGGGAGGCCAAGGCAGGTGGATCACCTGAGGTCAGGGGTTTGAGAGCAGCCTGGCCAATATAGTGAAACACCGTCTCTACTAAAAATACCAAAACTAGCCGGGCGTGGTGGTGCATGCCTGTAGTCCCACTACTCAGGAGGCTGAGGCAGCAGAATAACTTGATCCCGGGAGGCGGAGGTTGCAGTAAGCTAAGATCCTGCCACAGCATTCCAGGCTGAGTGACAGAGCGAGACTCTGTCTCAAAAAATAAATAATAATTTAAAAAAAGATACAGAACAGTTCCATCACCACAAGGATCCCTCGCATTGCTCTTTTATAGCAATTTTATAGCAATTTTCTCCTCCCACAACCCCCTTCCCCATCTCTAGCTCCTGGTAACACAGATATATTCTCTATTTCTAAAATTTTGTCATTTGATATATCTTTTTGTAAACATATAATTATACACACATATTTCTCTACCACTTATACTTTTTCAAAGTGCTTTCACATCCTTATAGCAATTCTGCAAGGTAGCCAGGGAAGGCTTTCCTATTTCAGGTCAGAAAACAGATTTAGAAATATTAAATGACTTAATGAAGGTCACATGTTTAGCAGTAGAACTAGAACTGGGACCCAAGTCTGATGTTCAGTCCTAGACCTTTTCTACTTGCCCGGTCTGCCTCTTCACAAGGGAAGACTTGGGTTTTAGAATCCAGAGACCTTAGAAGGAGCAAATTGGAGAAGGTGAGGACATGATGGCCTTTACTACCGGAAGCAAAAAGTGAATGTCCAGAGGTGAAGGGACAGAGAAGTAACAGGACCCATCAGCATTTCAGGCAATTTGCTTCCTTTACCAGGAGGGTCTCTGTCCTCTTACAACCTGGGAAAAAATAAGTTGTGTCCCAGGTTGTAAGTTTGCTTTACTTAGGCCCAAAGGAACTAAAGAATGGATATCAGAAATCTCACCCCAATTGTTTTGTCTTACAGGCACAGAATAGGTTCTAGCCTCAGCATTTTCATTAATGTAGTGTTTTTATTAACATCTCCATTAACTTGCTTGCAGCAATGAGATGGAATTATGCCTCCCACAAGGCCTGGGGCAAGATACTTGCATAGGTGCCCCCTTTTGTTTGGACAGTAGAAACACTGCCTCCCCTGCCATGGTGTTCAATCCAGTTGGCAGGTGGGCCAGCTTCAAAGTGCAGAAGGAACTGGGTGTGGTGGCTCACCCCTGTAATCCCAGCACTTTGGGAGGCAGGCGGATCGCTTGAACTCAGGAGTTTGAGACCACTCTGGGCAACACAGTGAAACCCTGTCTCTCCAAAAATACAAAAAATTAGCTGGGCATGGTGGCTGTTGTCTGTAATCCCAACACTTTGGGAGGCTGAGGCCAGTGGATCTCTTGAGCTAAGGAGGTTAAGACCAGCCTGGTCAACATGGCGAACTCCGTCTCTACAAAAAAATACGAAAATTAGCTGGGCGTAGTAGTTCCTGCCTGTAGTCCTAGCTACTTGGAAGGCTGAGGTGGGGAGGATCGCTTGAGTCCGGGAGGCAGAGGTTGCAGTGAGCGAAGATGATGCCATTGCACTCCAGTCTGGGTGACAGAGCAAGATCCTGTCTCACAAAAAAAAAAAAAAAAAAAAATGCAGAAGGTCCAGGGCCTGGCCAAGGGGATGATGCCCTGTAGCACTTTGCTTTGCAGGAAGGGAACAACTGTGCTGTGAATACCAGGATCCAGGAGGGAGGGAGGGTATATCTGTGTCCCCCAGCTAGGGACAAGGCTTCCTTAACCTTAGGTCCTCATGCTTATATTAGTTCTTCTCCAACAAAGTTTGACTTTGAGAAGAAGCTGGCACATGGCTGAAATGCACTCACGCGGTTGGGGGAAGAGTGTTCTTCCAGTCCTCCTCCCCACAGGGCCTCCTGCTTCTCCTAAGTACCTGTCATCAAAGGAGATGAAGATGAATCCCCCTTCAGCCCCCACACCTCAATGAGTTGTCAAGTACTCTCCCTCCCACTTGAATAGGAAGCAGGAGCAGCAGGCCAGGTTGCAGGTTGAGGAAGTCAGAAGTTAACTTGAGCTGAGTTTGCAGCTCTGGAGAGATTGAGGAGCAGACTTTTCTCTTGTCACTTTGGAAGGAGAGGATTGTGAGGCTGCCCCTTTAAATAGCATTCCCGTAGGAGGCAGATCACATCCATCCGTCACCTACTGCCAAAGCATCATTTTTGGTTTCTATCAAACTCAAAGCTTGTTGGAAAGGATTGTGGGGTTAGGGGAGTGAGGAGGCAGAGCCTCCTAGGGGTAGGGGGCAGTTTAGAAGCTGAAAAGGAGAGGAATGAGAAGGAGCCTGGGAAAGGTGGGGGATGAGGACAAGAGGAAAAGACAGGGAGAGAATAGTTGTCTTTTGAGCCTCAGAGTGGAACAAGTATACCCAATTCTTATCTGTTTAGAGACGCAGCAAGGTAGAAATGGGATTGTATTGCAACAAGAGGAATGAGGTTGAGACTAAACACCAGGACTGGTGACTAAAGAAAGTGAAAGGAGCCACAGAGTGAAAAAGGCTGATAGACTTGGCTCTGGTTTTATCACTTACTCTCTGTGAGACCCTATAATTTTTCTGGGTTAGTTTAGTTCTCATTTATTTTTATTTTTACTTTTTCCATCAAACTGTGTTGTCTATGAAGTTTTCCCATTTATTAAATGAAGGGAATTAGAGTGGATGAACTCTAATGTCTCTTTCACGAATAACTTTGTGTGTGTGTGCGTGTGTGTGTGTGTGTGTGTGTGTGTGTGTGAATTAGCCTTAAAATGAATCAGGAGCAGGGGGTCTTGGGAGAGCAGGATGTGACACTGTGTTAACAAGAAATGTTGAGAGAGCCCTCTGGATGTATGTCTTGCCTCTTTCCCACCTATTCTAGTTTAAAGACCTGCCTAAATTTGGAAACTCCTTAGCTCTAATCCTAATTTACTAATTAGAGCTCTTTAGCACCATCCTAATTTGCAATTCTTTTGTAGTTTCCAGCCCATTTCATTTTCAGTTGATAAGGAGGAGATTGCTCCCAAATTTTCAGAAATGGACTGTGTAGGAGTGTGACTAGGGTCTCAGATGCAGCCATTTCTTGGCTGGGTCTGGGGAAAAGCCAAGGGATGTGTGCTAAAGGTAGATGGACAGAGGGTGGGAAGTCCCTTATTATTTCCACTTTTTTCTCCATCTCTGACTCTGCCATCTCTTTCTGCCTCTGTACTTTCTGGGAGCTGGTTCTGCTGATACTTCTGCTGAATCTAAATGCTGACCTAACTTGGCAATTCTTTTATGTTAGGAGTCTTAGCTGTGACAGTTCATCCGCTTCTTCGCCCTTCCATTTCACTTCTTTTCTCCTTCTCTGACTGGGAGAGGAGGAGCCTCCACTCAGTATTTAGAACAGAGTAAATACCTTCTCCTGATCACTCCTCCTTCCAACCTCCAGAATTTTTTGAAATTAAAATTCACATTCTGGGATCCTGGATTAGTGGCCTGTTTTGGATTCAGTAGTTAGTGAATATATCTCCACTTTCTGTTGACATAGGAGTTTCCCCAATGCCAAAGCAGGTGGTCATTAAGGGAGAGAACAATATGGAGCAAGAGAGGTGGTTCCTGCAAGAGTCCTAGGTAGGACTCGGTTGGATGGAGGAGGCTTTGCCCTTTTACAAGGTCTTGAGTTCAAATTCCAGTTCACTCCTTCCACAAATGTTTATTAACCAGCTAGGCTGTTTTGTGCTGGGCCTTTAGCTCCTAGATTTCTTTCTCTGAAGACAGAACAGAAAAAATGAGCTGGAAGTGCTTCAGGAGGGGTTTTGATATCAGGAATGCTTTCCTGGCTGTGTAGAGTTATTACCTAGTCAAAGAAGAAGATGTTAAGCTGGGTGCGGTGGCTCACACCTGTAATCCCACCACTTTGGGAGGCCGACGTGGGCGGATCACGAGGTCAGGAGTTGGAGACCAGCCTGGCCAATATAGTGAAACCCCATCTCTACTAAAAAATACAAAAATTAGCCGGCGTGGTGGCCCGCGCCTGTAGTCCCAGCTACTCCAGGAGGCTGAGGCAGGAGAATCGCTGGAACTGGGGAGGCAGAGGTTGCAGTGAGCCGAGATCGCGCCACTGCACTGCAGCCTGGGCGACACAGACTCCTTCTCAAAAAAAAAAAAAAAAAAAAAAAAAAAAAAAAAGATGCCTGCTCTGGAGAGCTTTGAACTTGGAAGAAATTCCTATCTGCTAGGCGGGCAGGCAGAAGTACCATGGAGAAGGCCACAGTCTTGGAGACAGGTGGGGAAGATCAAGCTGAGGGACCCGAGGCCAAGTGTGGGATGCCATCACAGCTCAGGGCACACCCTGAACTTTTCCAAGACAGGAGCACAGGTGGGGTCTGGTCCGACTGGGTTCCGAGTCCAGATCTAGCAGGGAAAGATGTGTGCTCATCCCCTACCCCGCACTCAGACATGGGACACGCAGGCAGCTAGGCACACGTGGATACATGGAACCACAACCACATACACAGAAACTCAAAACACACGGAGAGAACCCACACAACCACCCACACCGAAGTCCAGCCCGCCGCCTCCGCTGCACTCTGTAAACACGCACTCACATCCGCCAGTACAGGGCACACGCAGCCACTCGTCCCCGGCGCCTGTGTGCGTGCGCTCGCCCTTGGGCGCTTCTGTCTGTGTGTGCCCCCGGCTTCCAATCGTTCCTTTGGGAGGGGGAGGAGTGGCTGTGAGGAGTGAGAGACTGGCGGGCAGGCTGAGGAGAAGGGAGGGAGAGCAGAGGGAGGGGGGAACCCGGCCGGGGGAGGAGGAGAGAGGCGAGGAGGCGGCTCTGGCAGCGCGCGGCGGCGGCGGCGGTAGCGGCAGCAGCAGCGGCGGTGCGGAGAGCTTGGACTGGGAGCCCAAAGCTCGGCTGGGCAGCGGGAGAGGAGGAGCCGCAGGAGCTGCAGCTCTGCCAGCTTGGGCCGAGCCTAGAGACACCGGCCTGGCTGGTCCACGCCAGCCGCAGGTGGGAAGGGCCTGGGATGGGGGGTGAGGGTCTCTCGGCTGGGGCTGAAGCTGAGCCGAGGTGCTGTCTCCTCCTTCTGTTCCGTAGACCGTGGCTGAGCATGGAGCTGTCCCCCCGCAGTCCTCCGGAGATGCTGGAGGAGTCGGATTGCCCGTCACCCCTGGAGCTGAAGTCAGCCCCCAGCAAGAAGATGTGGATTAAGCTTCGGTCTCTGTAAGTCCCCGGCCCGGGAATGGGGGGAAGGGACCTTAGGGAGCCTGAGCGGGAGGAGGAGGGGGGATAACTGGAGCAGGGCTGTGGGCTGGTAGATTCTCTTTGGCACAGATGTTGGCAGGTGCGAGGAAGCACGGCCCTGACACGCGTGGCCAGGCCACATGTGCAAGGCATGTGCGGAGCAAGCTGGCCAGTTGGAGCGGGCTTAGGAGTTGCAAAGGTAACGATGTGCCTGTGCCTGTGGACCCCAGGCTGACACACGCAGCGCCTAGAGGCAGCACAGTATATGCAGTGTGGCAGGGCTGCAGGAGGGCAGTAGAGGTGCCAGGCTGACTCACACATATCCATGTGCAGAGTTGTGCAGATGTGAGCCACATGACATGTGTGTGCATGAGTGAGCGTGGGTCACAGAGGTATGTGGAGTGATTGCACACAGCTGTAGATCTACTGCATGGGAATACTTGTGCCAACCTGTGGGTCATATGTATCTCAGTTGGGATTGGTAGTTTCTGCCTCATGCACAGGAAGTGGGGTGGGGGTTACCCCATGCCTGAGCTGCTCATCTCTTGGGGCCTGGAAACTCACTCTATGTATTAATGATGAGGGGACCCACGTGGAATCTGGAGGGGGGGTTGGAGCCCCCACCTGGAAGCTGAAGGAGGTGATGATGGTGAAGAAATATTGATTGACAAAGGCAAGGTAACTGGCTTAATCAGAGGCTTTTTGTTTATATAGGGTCTTCCAGGATCTCCAAGCACATTTGGGCATCTTTTCCTATTGTTGCAGTACCAGGGCATGTGGGGAGGAATAAATGGGGGAAGGAAGAACTCAGGTATCTGATACTCCAGTCCCAGGGGAGGAAAGGAACTTTTCCCCTGCTCCTTAGAAAAAAAAGAGGATTGGGTCAAAGACAAGCCATGCACCATGTTTATCTCCCAGTCAGCTGCTGCCATTGGGAAATCTCCGCAGTCTGTTGATTCTTAATCAGGGAACAAGAGAAGATGTCCCTCTCTCCGAGATGAATCCATGGCCCCAGGAAAGAGGAAACAGATAGGAGACTATGGATGTTTAGAGAGGAAACACAGTAAACATAGCCCTGAACCCAGTTCCTCCTCAATGTTCTCCATAGTGAGCACCGAAGCTTTCTATTTCTGGGTTCTGGGAGAGGGAGAGATGGGGGTAGGGGATGGATAGATGCTTATGTTGTATTGTTCTTTAAATACTTCACCTATGGTGATAAGATGACACCTTTTTATGGCAGATGGGTCTGATTTATACACTAGCTACTTGGAGAGGCGTTAGGGAGAACTGAGGCATAGTGGGCAACAAGGCTTGGAATCCAAATGTACTTCTCAGTCCTCCTCCTTGGCTGCCTCTGGCCAATCCAATTTGCTGGGCTCTATGAAGCACAGCCTTGGAATGAGTTCTGGGATGAAGAAATGGAAAACCAGATTGAACTGATTTTTGTTGGGAGGAGCACTGTGTGATTCTTGATAGAAAATGACGCTGCGTTAATGGTAAATGAGCTGGGGAAAGGGGCAGATAAGGAAGTAGTTGAAAGGTAAAGAAGGGCCCCAGGTCCATAAATGGGAGAATTCAGGATGGCTCCCCTAACACTAGTGGCTCATCATACTTACCTTGCCTGTATTCCAGGTAACAGGGCCCTGCGAAAGAGTGGGTATTACTAGTTTCACTATCTCCCACACATTTCTAACCAAAAGCCTTTCCTGAAAATGAATTGTTGTTTCTTCCTTTAGTGTGAGAAGTGCTCAGTGGTGAGAGAAGAGGATTCCCAGAAGGAGGCATGAAACCTGGGAAGAGAAGGGAGTAGAGGCATCTGTCTCTCCAGAGTGCCTTAGCTGAGATGTCCTTACATGAGATTAGGGTGGACAAGGATCCCTATTCTTATTGATTAGATCATTCTGGTCTTCACTCACTTCAGCAGTCTGGTCCTTAAGAATGCTAGCTTTGTACAATAAATTTACAAGTAAAAAATAAAGCTAGCTACATGTAATATAACTTACCCAAAAAAGTACAATCTCCGGATTATTAATTGGCAGGAATAGATTCCCAGTCTTACGTCCTTAAAGCAGAGAAAGACCTTGAAATCAAGGTAGATCCCAACTTGATCTATGTTGATGGCCTACTGGATTTTGCCTTTTTGAATATTGGGGAGGCTTTGACTATCAGATGAAGGGAAATAAAAGGATTTAGGGCTTTGCTGGGTAAGAGGTGGGAGTTTCCCAACCCTCTCAATGGGATGGTTTCTGAATAGGTGAGAAAGGAGATGTTCCCCCTTTTAAGTGGAAATAAAGATCCCCCTGCCCCTTTGGTCAAGGTGGGAAGGGGTTGCTAAGTCTGGAAATAGGAAATAGACATGATTATCTTAGGACTGGGTACTGCTTGGAAATGGAAACATGGCATATATACTTGTATGTATTTATCTAACTATCTATCTAGATTCTTCTACTCAACACATCCTATTCCCCCCCTTCTACCCTTTTAATTTCTAATCAGGACATCCAGACTTTCTTCAGGGAGACTAGGCCTGGTGTTTTTGACTCTGGATAAAAAGCCCACACTAATATAATAGTGCAGGGCAATTTTTTGTTGGGAAGAGCATCCAAGAATTCTGTTTCCCACACTAAGACCCTGTCAAAAATAAATTCAGAATCTAATCTGTATCATATGAGCTGAAGAGAATCTCTTAACTGTGTGATTTTACCCCTATTTTCAGAACAATTTCTCTAATTAAGCAAACTCATAAACTGAGGCATGAGAGAGGGTGAAAGAGGCCATCTGGAGATGATGAGTTGGCCAGGATGATTTTCAGCATCTGTAACCCTAAGAGGAAGTATTTGACTTGGCTGTCCACCCTTCTCTGAGATCAGAGGGCTTTAGGGAATGGGAAGAAGACCAGAAGAGATAGAAATGATTTTCTGTGTCTTTTGTGATTCAAGAAAAACGATGAGCAGACATTGGTTTGCCATCCTCAGCTCATTTATTTATCCAACAACTATTTCTTGAGTGCCTTCTATGGACCAGGTGGCATGCTGGATGCTGAGAATACAGTCGGTGGTGGACAAAACAGACATAGTCCCTCTTCCTACAGAGCTTGTAACCTGCTTCAACTCCATCAAGTGGTGTAGAGAGGCAGGGGGCTCTGTATTCCCTGTTTTGCTACACCCACCCAAGTGATGAAATTCTACCACTCTGGGTTTCTGCCTCATTTTTTCTTTAGGGGGGTTATATACATAGGAAAAGCATAAATATGAGTTCTCTTTTTCCCAGGATGGTACAAACACCACTCTCTTTTCTCTGCTCCAGTTTCTCTTGGAATTTTACATTTTACAGATGGAACTTCCCCCTTCCTTTGGGACAGTATAGACATAGTCCCTTTCTCTTTTTCTTTCCCCACATGGTACGCACTCGGGACCCTCAAAGTCTAGGCTCAATGTTCTATGCTGTGGTTCAAGGTCATTATAGATGAGCTGGAGCAGGGACCCCACTGGGGATTATTTTTGCTTATCTTTGTTTCATCAGAGTCTAGTGTGATACCTTGAACATAACAGGCACTCAATAAATGCTGTTAAATAAAGGAATGAACAAATGAAATAGTGAATATATGTACATATGTTACGAGGTCCAGTTCTGTCTCTGGTTCTGTGGTGCGTGTATACCTCCGTGTTTGTTGAGTGGCGGGGGGAGGAGTAGGAAATGGAGGTGGAGGAAAGGGAGATGATGATGATGCTGTTTTTTTGAGAGGGTGATGCTTAAAAGATATGGGGTTTAGGGACCTCAGGACAGAGCCTGGAACTGAAGGAGTTACAGAGAGGATCCAGAAACTGTGGCGTTTGGATTGTGTGAATGAGATATGTTAGGATGAAATTGTGAATGCCTGCCTGACACGTATACATGTGTTTGGGTAAAGGTTGATATGTATGCTGGGGACAGAGCTCCATGAAGATGTGTCTGTTTTTATAAGTGGCATGTGTAATAATAAATATATTGGGAAGGTGTGCACTTACCTGAATACCTGAAATTGTCCTAGTTATGAGATGATGTATGTGTGTATGTAGGTAATGGGATAATACCTATGTGTGATCTTGTGTATGTATTTGTGACACTGAGATTTTTTGACATTCCTGGGGAGATCCAGTGGATGGGAGGAAGAAGCTGAGACTGGGTGCCTCATTGGTTTAACCCTGGCTTTTGCCCTCTTTTTGTATAGGCCCCATGGAGTGATCTTCTATGGTTCTTACCAGTTTTGAAAATCATGCTGCCATTCTCCTTTTTCTGTCTATGGATGTGGAGCTGCTGTGAAGATTGCAGCATAAACTATGGTTCCCTGGACCTCTGGAGAAAAAGGAGTGTCATTTTTCTCATGCCTTGGTGGGGACAGTTTTTTAGTGCTATCCTCAGCAGATTAGTCCTTCTTCCTCTGCTTCCAGCCATAGCAAAGGGAATCTCTTCTCCCTCGGTTTCATACCCCACTTTTCCATCAAATGTCTCCTGTCTCTATTTCCTCCATCAGCTTTGTCTTGAATGAGGACTGTGTGGTATCTCTGGGAAGGTAGAGGGTAGAAAATTCCTGCCTTAAGTTGAAGGGAAGGTGCAGAGGTAGGGGATCAAATTCAGCCCCAAGGAAGAACTTCACAAACCTCTGGTCAGGATAGGTGGCTGGAGGGAGGGAAGCAGGGAGGCAGAGTGGTGGTAGTGGAAGGGCATGGGGAATTTTGGGAGACTTGAGTTCGAGTTCACATTCTGCCCTAACAATTACAACGGTGTAATCTTTAAGTCACATAGTCTCTCTGAGTCTCAGTTCTTCATTTAATATCATCATGTAAAAGTAACTTTGAAATGATAAAGCCTGAAGGTCTTTTTCATCATGGGAGAGCTTGCTTTGTGAAGAGGCAGGGGAATGGGAATGGATGGGCAACTATTGGCTGGGATGAGGGAGACAAAGATTCAAGAGGTAGGAATATGAATTACCTAATAGGTTTGAGCCGTGATTGAAGGAGTCTTGTTGATGGTTATCTGGAAGGAGTGAAGGCATGTGTCTGAACTTAGAGACCAGAAGGATAGGTGGGACTAGAGGAGGGCAATATTATGAAGGATGTGGGCCACTGAGGTCAAAAGAAAGGAGAGGAACTTCCTCCTTATCATTTTTTCCCAATGGTCAAACTGGAAGTGGATGGAGCAATTGCAGTTCTGAGACATGGTGAGTGTGGGAAGCCCAGGGGCTGCCATAGGTGGGTTCTATGAACATTGGGGAATTCCCTTCGGACATTTATCCCAAGTCCCTAGGCCTGAGGGTATCATCAGTTATACCACATCCTATTTTAGAAAATCACTGAAGTCTCTTAGAATCCAAATATCACTCTGCTTGTCCAGGAGCCTCAGGAGGTGGTTTGAAAAAAGACAGAGGATTCCACATTTGAGGTTGCATTTGCCACCTTTGCCCAGAGGAAGGCGAAAGAGGTTGGGGATGCATGGGACTAGAAGGCCAGGTGAGATGCTCAGTAGGAAAGAAGCCTGCACATCTATATAACTACACCCTGCCAGGGAGTTCCTGAAATCAAAGGAATGGTAGCTTCCCTATCTCCCAGATTCCCCCAACCTTTAAATCTTTCTGCCACCTTCAGACTGGGATGGAGGAGCAGAAAACCTTGAAAACAGGTCTTCCCTCTCTTTTTGAGTCTTTAAAGGAATCCTTGAGAATTTGTGTCCAACTCCTCTGCTCTCTCTCATTTTCTCTTCTTTGATTCTTCCATCTTCTCCTTTGCCTCATCTTTCTCTGGGTTCTCTTTCGCTATGAGGCTCCCTTTTGCTCTTCTCCCTTGTCCCACTTCCTCTCTCTGTCCCATTCCTTTTGACTTACCCTTTCGCTCTTGCCATCAGTACTTCTCCTCCCTCATCTTGGCTAGGAGTCAGAAAATCCCCGTGGCTCCCTCCCCTCACTGAGGGGTTGCTGTGGTGATGGTACAGGATAAGCTTGCTATAGGTGCCCTCTGGGGCCTTAGGAGTCCAGCCCCGACTCCTGTCTTCTGCAAGGCGTGTCTTTTGCCTTCTCAGTGACCTCATCCTCCTAGTCCCTCTGGGGAGGAAGCCAAGTAATTGCCTTTGAATCTCAAGGGGCTGATTTTTCTCAGGTACGGAAGTTGAGTAGCTATTTTCCAACTCTCTTCAGGATAGCAGCAGAGAAAGAGGGACAAAACCAGGACAGCAGGTGGGGTGGAAGTGAGACAACTGGGGAGACTGGAAGTTGTTAGATAATGAAATTGTCCCCTAAGGCAGCAAGACTACATGGTCTGAGAGAACTGTGGGACCATTCCTCCGTTCCTTTGGGAAGGGGCATAGATGGGAATTGAGCAGGGAAAAAAGAGTGACTGAGAAGGGAAAAGGATAAAATCAACTTATTATCCATACAATGCAGGGAGGTCCTTAGTGCCCCTGCCCTTGCCCCTGTGCCCTAGTATCCCCCAGTCCTGCAACTGCTCCTTTTCCCTCAGCTGGGGTTGCATCTATGGAGCTTATCGCTGTCTGAGAAGAAAACACCAGGTCCAGATTCCACTTCAGCACTCAGACCTGGCAAAGGTGCACTGAGGGAGATGTGTTGGGGTTTTGGTAGAGAGGAAGGCTTGGTGGGAAAAGGGTCAGGTTGTTTTTGGGGTAAGGCCTGGGGGCATAGGGCATGGAGAAGAGCTAGAAAGGGGGTGCTTCAGGTGGTGCTGTTGGAAAGAGCCAGACTTCCAGGTCAGTTGATTCCACAGCTGCAGTGAGAAGTCAGATTTGCAAATAATTATGGTGGCTACAGTGGGGTGATTAGGCTGCCAGCTGGTGTTGGCACCATTTAGGTTGGGAAGGGAACTTGGCTGGTGGGGGGTTGAGGGCTGGGGGCTGGGGGCTGGGGGCTGGTTGTAGGGAGAGGCTGAGTGATTCTCTGGCAGGCAGGACCTGGGGAAAGTTTTTCCTTTTATTCCTATTTGTTGGCTTCCCTGCTCCCCTGTTTATCAACTCCTGCATATCTGCTTGGCACCATGTCCCTAGTTCTCTTCTCTGTGCCCACCTTGTTTGGAAACTTCTTGTGGCCTGGACTGAGTGAACACACAGGCCAACGGAATTGCCAAACTTCCTAAACCATGAGCATCTCTCTTCCAAGCAATTGCTTTAGAAATTCCAATCTGGAAGATGTATAATAAATCAAATTGCACTAGACACCTCAAAGACTTCTTGGTCCCTCCTATTCTCTCCCCTTCTGCTCTTCTTTGAAATGCCAAGAAAATTTGCTGTTGTTTTTTAAATTGCAGTGAAATAAATTGAAGACAGATATGCAGGAGAACTTCCTGGAAAGTTCCTGGAGGTTAGACTGTGGCCTTTCTCTGATAAAGAAAAAATCTACCCTTCTCCTCTAAGCACTGGGTTAGAGCTGATTTGGGGAAGCAGTGAGCCAGTCAGAAAGGATGAACTCTGGAACTGGGAAATTGAGGCCCAAGCATCCTACTTCCCCAGTGTCTCCAACCCAGTCCCTGAATCTGAGAACCATAAAGGCTACAGAGGAGGAACAGATCCCCAGAGATAGTTAGTAAAATCGGGGCAGTGCTGGGACCAGACCCAAATCCTGCTGATCCATAATCTGATGCTGCCCTCATCACACTTGCAGTCAGACTCTTGCTAAGCTTTTAATTTACTTTCCCATCCCAGACTACCTTCAACATCTGTTAGGCCCCATGGAAGCAGGGCATCTGCTGGGAACAGCTGTTAGGATGTAGTTTGGAGGGCTGGTGGGGTGGTCCATGTGGAGGTGGTTAATGAGCAAAATCAAATGGTGTAGGGAGGGAGAAGAGGGGTGGAGAAATGAACCAGAGAAAGAGTTCTTCTGGACTGGGTACTGGGAGCCTCCTCTTTAGTTTGCCTTCCTCTGACCTTCTCACCCACCCCTCCCAATTCCTCTCTCTCTCAAGGGCTGAAGTCTGATGGAAAGGTGACTCATTTGTGTTCTTGGCTGGGAGCTGGGACACCTGGGTTCTTATTGGTCTGGGCTGAGGCTCAAGCTGCTTAGATTATTCCCTTTCTCGTGTGATCTGAGTTGTGCTGGGCTGTTGCTAGGAACACCTGTTAGAAACGGCTTCTGGTCAGAAGGCACAGGCACAGGAGGAGTCTGAAAGCAGTCTCTCCCACTTCTTCAGTGTGTTCCCAGCTTCTCGAATGCAGCACCTTTCAAATCTCCTTTCCTTTCCTCCCTGCCCCCTTAATACCTCCTACCCCTTTTCCTCATCTCCCTTCACCCTCCTGGTTTCTGTCCTTCCCCCACTATCTTCCAATCTTCCCTAGGGCCTGCCCCATTCCCTTTCCTCATCCCACCCCCACCCGTAGCTCCTCTGTCCAGTGCTGAGGGCTCTCTCACCACTGCTGCCATGTCAACAGTGCCTCCCAGGATGGCAACCCAGCTTTGCCACTGGGGGGCTATTTTTATCTGTGGAGCCACCCCCGCCACAATGCCCAGCCAGCTGCCAGAACTGGGGCTTTCTGTATAGCAATGGAAGCCAGAAGCCAGGGGAGTGGGGGAGTGGGAATGCTCGGGTGAGGTGGAGAGCTGGTTGTTCTTGGTTTCTGGAGCTACATGCTCTACATACTCTGCAGCCTCTGCCTCCACTGCCTCCCCAGGGCCTCTGGAATAAGAAGCCAGAGAGAAGCCCTAAACGTCCAGAGTGGTGGCGTCAGGGAGACTAGAGCTTTCCCACCAATATCCAGGTGCCATCTGAGGCCTGGATGGAAAGTCAGGGGTCCTGGCTGTAAGAGTGGGCATATGGGACTTTGTTTATGAATGACTCAATGAATATTTGCTGAACTAACTAAAGATTTGGACTAAATAATTATCCTTCATATTCATGTATCACTTTAGGGTTCCCAAGGTGTTCTCATACCATATCTCATTAGGTCCTTGTGAAAATTCTGTGAAGCATGTATTATTTACCCATTTTACAGACCAGGAAACTGAAGCTCAGAGTGACTTTCCCAAGGTCACACATAGTAATAAAATCTAGGCAAAAGTTTGTGATTTCTTTTTAAATTTAGTTTTTTCTTTTCAACTGAGCTAGCCAGAAAAGTCTCCTGATTTTATAAACTTACGCCCTCTTTCTATTGGAATTAGATGATTTCCTTGGTTCTTTCAATTTCTGAGATTTTGGAGATTTGAAGTCAGCCAGTGAATCCCTTCCCGAGCACCCACCCCTTTACCCCCACCCACCCCCACCCCTTTACCCCCACCCACCCCCACCCCTTTTCTCTTACCAGAGGCAGAGTCTCCCATCCTTTGTTTCCTACCTCGACCTTATTCTTCACTGCAGGCTGGGCAGGCATTAGAGTTGGGTTCCTTTCTATTTTTAAACTACATTTAAGGGCTAAAGGAAAATCCATACTGGACCCTTTGTTGAGGTCATCACATTTATGTCCTGCCTGCCAGCCAGGTGACAGTCTCCTTAGAGGTAGAGTGTGGGGTGTGTGTATATGTGTGTGTAAGTGTCTATGTGTGAAATTTTTCCTCAGGAAGGGATGATGGTTGATCATTATCCCTCCTTATTAGGAAGAGTAAATAATAATAACAGGCTAGGGCAAAGTATGCAGCATGCATACCTGGGCTGAAGTGGTGAGCAGCCATTCGTCCAACCAGCTTTGGTTCTAATGGGTAAGAGAGGAGAGGAATGGACAAGATATCCTCTTCGAGGCTTTTCTAGTCTAAGAAATCTTTACTTTTCATTAGGAGAGTTGAGGTTAGCACTTACTTGGCTAGAGTGGCAGGGTCTGGAGTGAGGGTACAAGACGAGGCAGGGAAGTTGGCCTGGGTTGGAGGTTATTAGTGTTTCAGGCTGTGTGCTGCCATCTGCCCCCACTCTCAGCCCCATCCTGCAACGCAAGCATGTCCACAGAACATGCCAAATGACCTGTCCTCATCTCCTGGGTGGCATTCAGGGTCTCTGACACTGGGTCTAGTCCTTTCTCTCTAAAAACACTCATCAGCTTGTGGTCATTGTGGGGAGGGTGGTGGTGGGACACAGAAAGAGATGGATACAGAGAGAGTGGGTTTCTTCCCTCCCAAGATCTGCAGCAGCCCTGCTTCACGGCTACCAGGTGTTCACTAGAGAACAGCCTTAAGATATTTGACTTCCACTCCTCTTGTTGAGATCGAAGCCCACTTCCACTTGTCCCAGTACTCAGTGGAACTGAGAAACAGCAGGTTCCCAAACTTCATTTATTTCTGATTCTTCAAGGCTTTGGCATAATGACAAGGTATTTTCATTTCTTCCTGCTTTTGACGGGTTGGGGTAAAGGGAAAACTTCCTGTTATAAAATCCTAGCTCTTGGCCTGTGTCTTCTCTTTTCCCTTTCTGCTGACATACTCAACCCCATTAGTTCCTTTTCCTCTTTACCACATCACCCGCAGCCATAGACCTACATCTAAGAGATTGCAGATCCCTGAACTCTTTTCCCCAATGCGTTGGGCTTCACCCGCCAGCTCTTCTCCTTAGCCCCGCCCAACTCCTCAGCTGGCCAATCACGGCCCCAGCGTACATGTATTGGTGGCGACATCTCCCAGCCAATCAGGAGGCGGGCTGGGACTGTGTGCGCACGTCCACTTGGAGCTGCAGAGGCTGGGTTCTTCCCTCCCCAACCTTGGCGAAAGCAAAGTCTGAAGGCGGGAGAGGGGTTCCTGGTCCTCAGACCCCTTCTGGGTGCCTCTTTTGGCCCCTCCTGGGCCATCTCATCGCTTCTCCTTACCTCTGAGCCGATTGACCTCTCTCTGGTTAATTCATGGTTATTCCCCAATTTCCATTTTACAAATGAGAAAACTGGGGCTGGGGGTGTTAATTTGCCCAATCCCTTGGTTTCTATGAGCGAGTTCTCTTGACTTTCCTTCTCTGCTTGCGGGTGGAGGGCCCTTCCCTCCCTGTTGAGCCCGGTCTCTGGATAAGGATCCCCTGACACCTAGCTTCAGGAAGCCCCTCCCTACAGTTTTTTATCCTCTGTGGGAAGTTCATCCCCCTGTCTTGCTTCCATTCTGTGAGGTGGGTTAAAGCTCGTTTTGAAGAATGGCCCCAGAAAAAGACCCTGAAAGGGAGCTGAATCTGCTTAGCTCCTTTTGGGGGTTCTTGCAGGGCCCCTTCCCCTCCCGCTACAGACCTCCTCTCTGTGACAGATTCAGGATGGTTCCCTGTCCCTGCACTCTTAAGCCTCTTGCTAACCCCCTTTTTCCCAAAAGAGGAGCCCCACCTCCTCAGAGCAAGGGGCTGGCCTGTGCTATTTCTGTCCTTTCTGGGCTTCTTCTGAGAACAGATTCTTGTTTTCCGTCTGATTCAGATGTGAAACTTTTCCCGCAGCCTCCCCTCTCACCCAGTTCCGGTAGGCTGGGTCTCTGCCTCCCCACTCTCTTCTTCCTGCAGCCAGGCCCCTCCCCAAAGTTCTCTCTGGTCAGTTGCTCAGTTCTACTGGGACCTGGAGGAGGAAGGCAGGGGCCAAAGAGGAAGTTGTCCCCTCTTGGGGGCCCTGGGGCTCCTGGGGTCAGGATTTTGATACTCTGAAGCAGGAAACTTTGATTCCCATGGCAAACCCTGTTCCTGTTCAGAGGAGCCACCTCCAGGGCCCCATTCTCAGGTAGGTGCCAGGGATGAGAAGAGGAAGGGGGAGGAGGGAAAGGACAGGTTGCTCATGGATCCACCAGTTGTAGTTTAGTGAAGTGGAGAGATCAAGACCTGGCAGTCCCCCATATGTTTTGTGCGTGTGTGTGTGTGTGTGTGTGCGCGTGCCAACTTCACCTTTTACTCTGTCCATCTTGCCCTTTACCTTATTCTCCTCCCATTTCCATCCCCCCCCACCTTTGTAAAAATTGCTTCTTCTTGACTATGGTAGGTGACTTATCATTGTTTCTTCCTTTTCTCTCCTTCCTGACTGCCAACATCCTTAGGACCTCACATTCCTTCGAAATTTCATCTTGTCTTAAGAACCCAAACTGGAAATAGAATTCTTCTCTTGACTCCCATCCCCTATCTTATTCTAAAGTCCTTCAGAGTTAGAATCTCCCCAGACGCACTCAAAATCTTCACATCACTGTTCTTCTGCAGGAAGTCCTTCTCTGGCTTCCCTGTCCTAAGCCCCCTACTTATGGTGATCTTTTTGGGAATGTGGGTGCTGGAAGCGGAGGCAGGGGACTTTGGAAATCCCCAGAACACCAGCCATGGTGAGCCAAAGAAATGAACTGTAGAAGCTGGAGAAGCTGAGCTCTTCTGAGGTGTTGGGGTTATAACTGCCAGAGTCTTTTCCTCCCAATGGCTGCCTAGAGCTAGGAGAGACTGTGGACTTCCAGAAGTTGGGATCTGAGGCTTTTCCAATCGTGCAGGGACTGAAGGTAAAGCAGAAAGAAGTGGTGGTGGTGAAACGGGCAGGGATGGAGTTCGAAGGAAAGTTGGGGGAAGCTGCCAGTTTTCCTTGGGGCCAGATGTGGACTGGACGGGGTTGAGCATCCTGTTCTACAGGGAAAGGTACCTTTACTGTGCCAGATTCCTTGATGGCTGAAACAGAGGGTTTGGATTAAAACTGATGTTGGTGGGATAGAAGGACTTCCTGCAGAAGAACAGTGAGGTGAGGACTTTGAGTGGTCTGGGGAGATCCTAACTCTAAAGGACTTTAGAATAAGAGAGGGCCCTGGCAGGCCAGAAAGTATGGGGTGTGTGTGTGGAGTGGGTTATTTGACTTCAGGAGGTTGCAGTTCAGCACCTTCAAGAGGGTGCTTTCAGCTGCTTGAGTCCAGGTCCTCTTCTTAGACTTCCCATTTGTCAAATTTATTCTTTAATCTTTTTTCCCCTCCCTCCCTGCCTCCTTCTGGTGTCTGGATTGTGTTTGGTTCAGATTTCAACAGAAGCTATACAAGAGCTCCTGGACAAGATCTGTAAGTGACAGAAGGAGAAACTCGGAGGGAAACCTGTGCTTGAAGTCAACCTACAACCTTACTCTTCTCAGGCTCACTGTTATTTTTAGAAACCCTGGCTCAGAAATCTCCATTGTGAGCTCTGGGAGATAGCCTCACACCTGATTAATTTTCCCCTTTCCGTTTTATTTATTTAATGAACTTTTACTGAGCATGTTCTGTGTGCTCTGAGGATGGAGGCCAAGATAAACAAGCCACTGTCAGCGTCATCAAGACACTCACAGTCTCCTATGGGCCAACCGACAGAATTAATTAAGGTTGGACCGGCTGAGACTGCAGAAGCTATGGTGGAATGGGTTCCAGCCTCTCTCTAAGCTAACTGCATGATTAGGTTTGTTCTGCCTTAACAGCTTCATTGTTTGGGGACACGGTTAGGTTCCATTAGCTTGAGTTGTAGGCCTTGACAACCTGACTGAGATGGATGAGTTGTGTGACCTTAGACAAGTCACTTAACCTCCCTGATAAGGAGTTTGTGAAGATTAAATGAAGTTTGTAATTGTAAAGGAAAGATCATGGCTATTATCTTTCTCCCATTTCCTCTGTTAGGGAGCTTCCTAATTACCAGCCTCAATCCAAACCAACTCAGTCTTCTCCATCTGGACTTGGGAGAGAGAAGGTACTTGTATTTGAAGGGAGTGTGGTGTGAGCTGGGTTAGGACCACCATGATTTGATGTTGATCAGTCAATTCCTATTCAAATTACATTTTTGGAGACCTTTTGTATGTGCCAGGCCTTTTAATGTATTATATCACTTAATCCTCTTATTAATAGCCCTGTGAAATGTTTATTATCATCCTTACCACTTTATAGATGAACAAGTTGAGGCTCTAAGATAAACATTCTCAAAGTTTAGTGTATATTAGAATAATCTGGGGTGTTTTTTAAAAATGCAGATTGGGTTGCGAACTGTGGCTCACACCTGTAATGCTAACACTTTGGGAGGCCTCAAGCTGAGGATTGCTTAAGCCCAGGAGCTTGAGGTTACAGTGAGCTATGATCATGCCACTTCTAGATCTTGTCCAGGAGCTCTTGTATAGCTTCTGTTGAAATCTGTTGAACCAAACATGATCCAGACACCAGAAGGAGGTGGGGAGGGAGGGAAAGGAAGATTAAAGAATAAATATGACAAATGAGAAGTCTAAGAAGAGGATCTGGACTAAAGTGGCTGAAAGGATCCAGGTGCTGAACTGTACCCTCCTGAAGTCAAATAACACCCCCCACACCCATACTTTCTGGCCTGGCAGGACCTTCTCTTATTGTAAAGTCTTTTGGAGTTAAGACCTCCCCAGACCCACTCAAAGTCCTCACCTCACTGTTCTTCTGCAGGAAGTCCAGAGCTATGATCTGGGTGACCTTGTCTCTTAAAAAAAAAAAAAAAAGCAGGCCGGGTGCAGTGGCTCGTGTCTGTAATCCCAGCACTTTGGGAGGATGAGGTGGGAGGATCACTTGAGGCCAGAAGTTTGAGAACAACCTGGGCAACATAGCAGGACCTCATCTCTACAAAAAATAAAAAAAAATTAGCCGGGCATGGTAGCACATGCCTGTAGTCCTAGCTACTCAGGAGGCTGAGGCAGGAGGACTGATTAAGCCCAGCAGGTGGAGGCAGTTGTGCCAATGCACTCCAGCCTGGGTGACAAAGTGAGATCCTGTCTCAAAGTAAAAACAAAACAAACAAACAAAAAAAAACAAAAAAGCAGATCCCTGTCCAGCAGATCCCTGGACAGAAATACTGATTCAGCAGCTGTGGAATGAGACCTAGAATCTATATTTTTTACATGGATCCAAGGTGATTCTGATGCTGGTGGGCTACAGACCACATTTTAAAAAGCACCGATTAAGAGTTAGTGACTTGCTCAAAGGCTCACAGCAGGAAGTACTAGCTTTGAATCCAGGATTCCTGCCTCCCAGACTGGTGCTGCTGCTGGATACATCTCACCAAAGCTGCCTCCTGAGCCTTGGTTTCTGCATTGTAAATGGAAATGGCAATTCCTTCCCCGCCTCCCTTCTTCATAGGCCCATTGTGAGGATAAAATGAGATAATGTAGGAGAAAGCACTTTTAAAAATGTAGAACTGGCAGCATTGTTAGCGATTATGCAAATACATGCAAATGAGTGCCGTGGGTGTGGCTGCTCACTTTGGGAGCCAGTGCTGGGATGTGGGTTTCAAAAGGTGGGTCGAGAAGGGAACTGGAAGAACTTTGATGATGGGCATTGATCCCTGGGGAAAGTTTTGTAAAAAGGGCCGAATGAAGCAGAAGGCTGGGGTGGGAATCTGGGGGAGAGAGAGAACTATAGGCAGAAGAAGAGGCCTTCTTTCCTTTTTGGGTTTTATGTCACCAGATTTGAGGGTCCCTGGCTATGGGGACTGATCGGCAGAGGGAAGCCCCAGCTTGTGCCTGGGCACCAAAGGCAAAGCGTACCTCTTTGTTCTGTGATCTCTGGGCGGGGTACTCTGGGAGACACTGGCTCATAGCCCCTTTCCAGCTCATTTAGCTGGGAAAGCCTTTTATGATATATCTCGCCTCTATTCCTCCTCCCTAATGAAGCTGGAGCTGGGGCTGAGCTTTACTAAAATCATCCTCTTACTTGTTAAACAACCTGCTGTTTCCACATGGAGATGGTGCAGCAGGAAGGCTGAAAGTGAGATTTGAGGATAGCCAACCAAGGAGGCTGCAGTGCCGTCCTCCAACTTCTTTGCCACTTTCCCTTCTGTCCCATTTGCTCTCAGACGTGTCATCCAGGATTGCTAGGCCCTGAGGTGAGAACTGGCCTGTGATGCTTCCTGGGGCTGGCTATTTTGGGCACCCCATTCCAAAGCTGCCGAGACCCCGGGATTCTAGAGCTACTTCTGTTCAGGAACGCCATTGTTCTCCCTCCCCCGGCATCCCTGGGAATTGATGCTAATTTCAGCCTCTGATCCCTGACTCATTCTCTTCTCCTCCCTGACTCATAGGGTGACCTTGGGTTTTTGAAGCCCCTCTCAGTGGGGAATTATGATGGCCACCATTTCAGCCCCAGATTGGTTTTAGGTGGGTGGGGCAGGGTGAGGGAAAGGAGAGAAAGGAATATTTAACTGCTTTCATTAAAATCACCATCTGAAGAGCTTTGTTTGCTTTGTGACTGCCTGGGCTGAACTCACCAGGCTTCTAAGAAGTCTCCCAGTTAATCAACAAACCCCAGAATTCATAAGTGTAAAACATGAGGTGATTGTTCCTTCAGGCAAAACATCCAGTGAATGAGATCCCTGGGCCCACCCCACCACTTTTATCCTGGAAGAAGCTTCAGTGGGGACAGAGGCAGGGGATGGGTACAGTAACTCTGTCAGAGGTTCTCTCTGGTGTAAGACTGGAAAGGCAGGGGTTAACCCGGCTTTGTCCTGGTTGATGGATTCTGGAATCATAATCCATTAGCTTTGCCTGCATGGAGAGAGGCCAGGCGAAAGCATTCAGATTTGTCTTTGTTCTGTGCTTTTGCCATGCCTGCCAGGCACAGAGGGGCTGTGGACACGTAACCCCCACCCCCCACACCATGACCAAGAGACAATGAAATACTCTTGGGGGCTATCTTGATTGCTATTGATCCCAAAGCCCTCTCCCATGGGGGAAATAAGCAGTTTCAGCTCTTGGTTATTCAGGCTATGAAACAGATCATCCTAAAAACATCACTCCAGGGGCTTGTACCTGCCTAATTCTGCTGGGCCCTGGCATTTTAAACAAGACTAAGCACTGACTAAAGAGCGGGTTTCGAGAAGTCAGATGGTGGTGGGGATGGTGGAGTCAGGAAAACCTGGCATTAAACTTTGGGTGTAGATAAACTTAATACAGGCAGTGGCAATAGCCTGAGATTAAAAAAGAAACATTAGCTGCTATTATTATTAATGTTAGAATGATTAACTATTTACAAAAGACTGAGGATGTTTCTGTAAAATGTACCTTATTAGGGAGTATGCTGTTCTCATGATAAGGTAGCTGTGCCTAAGCAGCCTCTCTGTATCTGCTCCCTGCAGGCTGCGCTACATGGTGAAGCAGTTGGAGAATGGGGAGATAAACATTGAGGAGCTGAAGAAAAATCTGGAGTACACAGCTTCTCTGCTGGAAGCCGTCTACATAGATGAGACACGGTGAGAGAGACCGACAGACAGAGAAGGAGAAAGATGTCAGACATAGTGTTCCAGAGAGAGGGGTTAAGACAAAGATAGACACATGTGGCATGGACAGAGACCGGAAGAAAGAGAGAGGGTGGACCAGATATAAAGAGCTCTAGGTAGTGGCTCACACCTGTAATCCTAGCACTTTGGAGGCCAAGATGGGTGGATTCTTTGAACCCAGGAGTTTGAGACCAGCCTGGGCAACATGGCAAGACCCTGTCTCTACAAAAAAAAAAAAATTAGCCAGGCATGGTGGCATGCTCCTGTAGTTCTAGCTACTCGGGAGGCTGAGGTGGAAGGATGGCTTGAGCCCAGGAGGCAGAGGTTGCAGTGAGCTGAGATTGCGCTGCTGCACTCCAGCCTGGTGTGACAGAGCAAGACCCTGTCTCAAAATAAATAAATAAATAAATAAATAAAAAAAATAAAAAAAGAGCTCCAGGTATCCAGGGAGAAATAGTGGTAAGAGATAAAGAAGCAGAGGCAGACATAGAGATGCAGAGATAGAGACAAACACAGATATCAAGAAGGACAGAAGACTGCTTCAGAGTTGGAAGGGACCTTAAAGCTCATCTATTCCACTGTGGAATACCTCTAGATGTGTGCTGCCCAACATGGGAGCCACCATTCTGGGTGGCTATTGAGCACCTCAAATGTGGCAAGTATGAACTGAGATGTGTACATAAAATACATGATGGATTTCAAAGACTTAGAAAAAAGAATGTAAGATATTCATATATATATATATATATTTTTTTGTTTTGAGACAGAGTTTACTCTTGTTGCCCAGGCTGAAGGGCAATGGTGTGATCTTGGCTCACTGCAACCTCTGCCTCTGGGGTTCAAGCAATTCTTCTGCCTCAGCCTCCTGAGTAGCTGGATTACAGGCATGTGCCACTACGCCCAGCTAATTTTTGTATTTTTAGTAGAGATGGGGTTTCTCCATGTTGGTCAGGCTGGTCTCGAACTCCTGACCTCAGGTGATCTGCCTGCCTTGGCCTCCCAAAGTCCTGGGGATTACAGGCGTGAGCTACCGCGCCCAGCCGATATCTCATTAATATATTTTATAAGGCTGGGCGTGATGGTTCATGCCTGTAATCCCAGCACTTTGGGAAGTTGAGGCAGCCTGATTGCTTGAGCCCAGGAATTCGAGACCAGCCTGGGCAACATGATGAAACCCTGTCTCTACAAAAAATAAGAATTAGCTGGGCATGGTGATGTGCATCTGTAGTCCCAGCTACTTGGGAGGCTGAGGGGGGAGGATCACCTGAATCTGGGGAGGTTGAGGTTGCAGTGAGCTGTGATCACACCACTGCACTCCAGTCTGGGCGATAAAGTGAGACCCTGTCTAAAAATACACACACACACACACACACACACACACACACACACACACACACGGTTTCATGTTGAAATGATATTTTGGAGGTATTAGGTAAAATAAAATTTATTGCCGGGCACGGTGGCTCACGCCTATAATCCCAGCACTTTGGGAGGCTGAGGCGGATGGATCAACTGAGGTCAGGAATTCAAGACCAGCCTGGCGTGGTGGTAGGCACCTGTAATCCCAGCTACTCAGGAGGCTGAGGCAGGAGAATCGCTCGAACCCGGGAGGCGGAGGTTGCAGTGAGCCAAGATCGCGCCATTGCACTCCAGCCTGGGCAACGGAGTGAGACTCCATCTCAAAAAAAAAATTATCATTAAAGTCAATTTCACCTATTTCTCTTTTCCTTTTTAACGTGGCCTACTAGACAATTTAAAATTTCATATATGCGGCTTGCATTTTATTTCTATTGGATGGTGCTGCTCTATAGCATCCCTGAAAGATGCGTTCCATTTCCTGCTTAAACACTTCCATAGTTGGGATGCTCACTACCTCACATGGAGACCTGTTTCATTATTGGAGATGTTAGATAAAGAAATAAAAAGATATAGAGAAAGAAAGGAAACAGGGTTGAAGACAGAGAGCTGGCATGAGAGTTACTAAATGTGGGGTATGGCTGGGTACAGGGTCTCTAGGCTGTGGAAGCACCTGCTGTCTTTCCTCTGTGACTCCCCTTCTGGGGTCTCAGGCAAATCTTGGACACGGAGGACGAGCTGCAGGAGCTGCGGTCAGATGCCGTGCCTTCGGAGGTGCGGGACTGGCTGGCCTCCACCTTCACCCAGCAGGCCCGGGCCAAAGGCCGCCGAGCAGAGGAGAAGCCCAAGTTCCGAAGCATTGTGCACGCTGTGCAGGCTGGGATCTTCGTGGAACGGTGAGGCTCGCCCACACTCAGCCTCCCTCTGCCTTTAGCTGTGCCCCTCTTTCCCAGCCACCCTGGTCTTCCATGACCACCAGCCATATGATCCCATGGCTCATCCCCACATCCCCAGCTGGCCACACCTCCACTCCCAGACCTTCATATGTGGGCTTCTTCTCATTGTTCTCTCTCAGGATGTTCCGGAGAACATACACCTCTGTGGGCCCCACTTACTCTACTGCGGTTCTCAACTGTCTCAAGGTAATCTCTGGGTTTTTGGGAAAGAGGAGAAAGTTAGGGGATGGAATAGCCACTGGGACTTCTAGACCCTGTTTATGGCATTATTTTTGCCTTCCTTTTTTTTTTTTGAAATGGAGTCTCGCTCTTGTCACTCAGGCTGGAGTGCAGTGGCGTGATCTCGTCTCACTGCAACCTCTGCCTCCCTGCAAGCGATTCTCCTGCCTCAGCCTCCTGAGTAGCTGGGATTACAGGTGCCCACCACCATGCCCAGCTAATTTTTGTAGTTTTAGTAGAGATGGGGTTTCACCATGTTGGCCAGGCTGGTCTCGAACTCTTGACCTCAAGTGTTCTGCCCACCTCGGTCTCCCAAAGTATTGGGATTACAGACGTGAGCCACTGCGCCCGGCCTGCCTTCCCTTTTAACTGTTGTTCCCACATTTATCAAAACTGCTTTTGCCCAGTATAGGAGCAAACTCCTGCCTTCCTGTCTCTCCCATACTGAGAGATATATGGGAAGAAAGAGGCACACTTTACCATTTCTTTGCTTTCCTATTTACCAAGACTTTGTACTCATGGGAAGTCCTTCTTGAAGTCTAACTTCAACCCTTGCTGCTGCTGGAAAGCCACATAATCTATTGTTTCTCCATAGAACCTGGATCTCTGGTGCTTTGATGTCTTTTCCTTGAACCAGGCAGCAGATGACCATGCCCTGAGGACCATTGTTTTTGAGTTGCTGACTCGGCATAACCTCATCAGCCGCTTCAAGGTTGGGCAGCATCCTACCTCTACCTCCAGGCAGGATTCTCCACTCCTCTCATGCCTGTTCTAAAAGCCTCCCAACAAACAGATTCCATAGATCCCCTCACTCAGTCTCAACATCAGGGAAGTCTCCCCATGCCCACGCCCAGCCTAGCCTTTCTTTCACTTGCTGCAGTCTTAGTTCCAGACTTCATTAATTGATTTCTAGGGGGAGATTCTCGGTCTGCAACCATCTAGCCTGGGATTCTGCTCTCTCCCGCTTTGCTTTTTTCCCCCAACTTGTCCTCTCTAGGCTGACTTGCAGTGTGGACACTGGAGGCCTGGAGTTCAGATGCTGTCAGCCAGTGCCCTTTGGGACTAGAAACCATGTTTCCTGGATAAAATTGGCCACTCCCTCCCCCGTCCCCCAGTTCTGGTCTCTGTGCAAGGAATTATATAGAGAAGGTCAGCTCTTGACAGGGCTCGGGGCGGGGGCTTGTATGACAGGGGGACGGTGTGTGAACTTCATTTGCTCTTCAGCTTGTCTGGATGGGAAGAATTATATGAGATTAAGTCCTTCCTAGATCCTGTACCAGGAGGGAGCATCTTTTGGGAGGGAAAAAGTGCCAGGAAAAAAACAAAACACTTTCACATGGACAAATCACATTTGGAAGTAGAGGGTGAGGGAGGTTGAAGAGCCGTAATGGGGATATTGGGTCAGCACTTTGGGGAGCAGTAGATGTTAAAGGTGAAGGGAAACGTGGATGATCTGAAGGGCCATAGAGAGGGGCGGTCAAAGGAGTCCAGGTGGAGGGTCCCCTCCCAGGCCGGCTTCGGGAGGTCATTCCATCCATCCTCTGCCTCCACTTCACTAGAACAAATTATCTGTGCATGTAAGCCCTTCCTTCACCCTTGACTCCTCCTTTTACAACAACTCCCTAGGGAGTTTCCAAAACTTTCCTGAGATGCTCAGCTGAAATTTTCTTAAGTGCCTTCCGGAAGCCTGTTCTGCAATTTTACTTTCTTCTTTCCAATCCTGCCCTCTCCAGGACAGAGAATAGTAGGGCTCTCTTTTTCCTAAGACTTTTCCCAGCTCATGTTTCCCCAAACTGGCTCTCAGACTTCAGTCACTAGATTCTCCTAAACTCTGCCTCCTTACCTGGAAGGACTGGGTCTGGGGGACCTCAAGAGTAGCTGTTTTGGGTTAGGTTTGGCCCAGTCCCAGTCTGCTTTGCTCCAAGGCAGTTAGAGGAAGGAGGGGGTGCTTCTTGTTTTAGTTTTCTCTGATGATAGGGCCAGCAGCAGCTGCCCTTCTCAAACTCCACATTCTTTTCCTGGGCACCTAGCCCCTCCCCTACTCCTCCCTTTTTCTTCCCTTCCCTCCAGGGACGCCATGGCAACGCAAAAGCAAGGGCAGTTGTCATGGAAACAGTCCTTTAAAATTTCCTGAATTTGGGGCACAGCCCTCCAGGGGTGCGGGTGGGGGATGTTAGGGTCTGACTGACTAGTGGTGCTTCTTCTGTGTCTCTGTCACTATATTGCTCATCTCTACAGAAACCTCCCGAGTCCTGAACCTTCGTCCCCTCCTAGCCTCAAGAGATTCAGGGACAGATCACCAGTCCTGTCCTCTGGGAGCCTTGAGCCTTTTGAAGGAGGCAGACATACCCTAAGGGCGTACACAGAGACAGGGCCCGGATTCAGAGTAGCTGGACAGAGCTCTGGCTGCTGGTGCTTTTGTGTGTGTTCTGTGGGACTGAGGGCGCGGGTACTGGTGCATGTAGAGGGTAAGTGGTCAGGGAGGGCAACCCACATCTGGCTGGAAGAGTCCTCTCTAGGTCATCTTCTTCATTCCCTTACTTCCGAGCCCTTCTTCATGGTTTTGGATGTGGGGATGGAGTGGGATGTTTGGAAGGTAGGAGGGAAGCTTTCTTTCATTTTCTTTGAAATCTCCAGGGAAATAATAATAATTATAGCTATTCTTTAGAGAGCATTTACTAAATGCCTTGTACTTATCTCATTAATTTCCAGGTAGGTGGTATTATCTTTCATTCTGCAATTAAGTATCTGAGGCACAGAGAGGCATGTGACTTACCCAAGGTTGCACAGCCAGCAGGTGGTAGAGGCAGGATATGAGCCAGGTTCACCTAACTAGGTTCTGTGCTCTCTCCCTATGCCACACTGCCTTCTAAAGAAAGTTGTTGATCTCGGTCCGTAATCACCACCATTCCTGTGGATCCTTGATATATCTCCATTTCCCCTAACTCCCCGCAGATTCCCACTGTGTTTTTGATGAGTTTCCTGGATGCCTTGGAGACAGGCTATGGGAAGTACAAGAATCCTTACCACAACCAGATCCACGCAGCCGATGTTACCCAGACAGTCCATTGCTTCTTGCTCCGCACAGGGATGGTGGTAGGTGCCCTGGAGATGATTCTTCTGTGATTCAGGGCCTATGGCTACAGAACTGGGAGGTCTAGACTGTACTCCCATTTCCATTTCTCCTCGTTGGTTCTTCTTGGGCACTCCAAAGCCTTGACAGAGCCAAACTGGATTAACTCACTCTAGAGAATTCCCAGGTAGACTAAAACTCGTTGGACAGTGCTAGGGACATGTGCTGGGATGCAGTGGGAGTGTTGCAGGTTCGGATGGAGGAAGGTCCTTGGCCATTTCAGGAGCTGAGAAACCTGGCTGCATTAACCAAGAGCTGGCCTGGAAGCATGGAAGGGATGGGATGAGTGATCTAGCCTGTGTGTGGAGGTTCCTGGGAAGTGACCAGCAGGCGTCACCCCTCTCTCATTCTTTCTCTTTCCTCCTGTAGCACTGCCTGTCGGAGATTGAGCTCCTGGCCATCATCTTTGCTGCAGCTATCCATGATTATGAGCACACGGGCACTACCAACAGCTTCCACATCCAGACCAAGTGAGGGGTGGGGATGTGGCAGGGGCAGGAGGGGCCAAGAGGAGGTGGGGAGGTTGCCGGAGTCCCTCCTTACAGGGGGTGGTCATGATGACCTTTGGCTTTGTAGGTCAGAATGTGCCATCGTGTACAATGATCGTTCAGTGCTGGAGAATCACCACATCAGCTCTGTTTTCCGATTGATGCAGGATGATGAGATGAACATTTTCATCAACCTCACCAAGGATGAGTTTGTGTGAGCAGAAGCCAGTACTTGGCATCCCTAAGAGACTCCCTTACCACAAACTCCATTTTCCACTTCCTGGACCTCCTGCCCAGCAGCGCTGAGGGGACTGATTGCTTCTCTTTTTATGTCCGCTCAGAGAACTCCGAGCCCTGGTCATTGAGATGGTGTTGGCCACAGACATGTCCTGCCATTTCCAGCAAGTGAAGACCATGAAGACAGCCTTGCAACAGCTGGAGAGGTGGCATCTGGTGGGGTGTGGCTGGGGCCAGGCCAGAGGGAGGGGTGTGTGAACTGGGGGGGTATACACAAGGGTAGTTGGTGTGCCAGGTCTTTACCTCGCTGTAGAGACTCCACTGGCTTCAGGTATCAGACTGCATCTCTATGTGAGAGAGAGAGAGAGTGTGTGTGTGTGTGTGTGTGTGTGTGTGTGTGTGTGTGTGTCCTTACGTTTACTCACAGCCTTGGCAGCTGATCCACTGGAGAGTGCTTTGGGCTGGGAATCTAAGATGGGGGTTCTCATCGTAGCTCTGGGACAGGCTTACTCTGGAATGTTGGAAAATTCATTCAACCCTTCTGCCCCAGTTTTATTACCTCTGAAATGGTGAAAATGATACGCCTCCCCCCACAACAGCTTGCCCCTAGTTCCTAGTCTCATAGGGCTATTGGGAGAGTCATACGAGGTTTAAAAAAATGCATAGAACAAATGCCATAATTACATCTAATGTTGCTTAGAAGTGAGTGGGAATGTATAAATGTGTGTGAGAGTGGACTGTGTGTGTGTGTGTCCTGAAGGTGTGTGTTAATCTCTGTGTAAGGTGTTTATGTGTGGGATGCAGTGTCACAGCGGGTCATTGTTGAGGGTATAATAATAATTATTACTATTCTAGATAATATCTACTGAGCACTTATTATGTGCTAGACACTCTCCTGAATACTTATTTGTTGTTTGTCACTTAATTCTCAGAACCACTCGATATGTGGTAGGGTTGTTATTTCCATTTTAGAGTTGAAGAAAATGAAATATGGAAATTTTAAGTAACTTGCTCAGTGTCACGCGGCTAACATGTGGTAGGTATAGACGTGAACCCAGGCCCTTTGATTCTAAGAGCCTGGGCTCTCAGCTACTAACCCGTGCTGCTACCTAAACATATATAAGTGTGTGTGTGTCTGTGTGTGGGGTGTGTGTGTAGCTTTGGAGGGTGTTTGAAGTTATGTGAGGCCGGGCGTGGTGGCTCATGCCTATAATTCCAGCACTTTGGGAGGCCGAGGCAGGTGGATAGCTTGAGGTCAGGAATTTGAGACCAGCCTGGCCAACACGGTGAAACACTGTCTCTACCAAAAAAATACAAAAATTAGCTGGGTGTGGTGGCATGCACGCCTGTAGTCCCAGCTATTCGGGAGGCTGAGGTGGGAGAATCACTTGAACCCAGGTGACAGAGGTTGCAGTGAGCTGAGATTGTGCCACTGCACTCCAGCCCGGGCAACAGAGTGAGACCCTGTCTCAAAAAAAAAAAAAAAAAAAGGAAGAAGTTATGTGATAGGGTGTGCGTGGGAAGTTAGGGAATGGTCCTAACTTCCTTTTCCTAAAAGATCAGTCTCCCTTCCCTTGCCATCTGCCCCAACCAGGATTGACAAGCCCAAGGCCCTGTCTCTACTGCTCCATGCTGCTGACATCAGCCACCCAACCAAGCAGTGGTTGGTCCACAGCCGTTGGACCAAGGCCCTCATGGAGGAATTCTTCCGTCAGGTAGCGTGGCATCTTTGCCTTCCCTGTGCCTATGGGGGCCTTCTCTCCCCTTTTGCCCTCCAAGTTCCCCAATCCTGTTCCACATCCTCCTTTTGCTACCTGTAGTCTCTGACCTGATCCCAAATCCTTGGGGTAAAACCCCATTATCCTAAAAGCCTAACAATAGTTGCATTTCATTTGCATATATTTCATTTGCATATTACTAATTTCCAGGTCAACAGTGCAGAAATTTCACACAACAACCCCCCACCCCCACCACTTGCCACCTGTACCCCAGATCTGGTAGGTCTGAGGTATCCTCTCCAGCTTTCCTACCCTGTTCCCTCCTCTAGGGTGACAAGGAGGCAGAGTTGGGCCTGCCCTTTTCTCCACTCTGTGACCGCACTTCCACTCTAGTGGCACAGTCTCAGATAGGTGAGTGTCCTCTCCTGCAGGAAGGGGAGGACTGGGAGGGGGAAAAGATGCTGCCTGGGTCAGGATTGCTCCAAGTCCTCAATCCCCCCAAACCATTCTTCCTGTAGAGGAAAGCCTACTGTGCTAGAGCATGGGGTCCTGGGTTAGGAGGCCAGGGGGCTGCAATGGCAGGAAGGAGCTCTCTGGGGCACCAAGACATCATCCCAAAGCCTGCCCTGCATTGGGAAGTTTTCAGCCCCAGGTTACCTCTCCATCCTCTTTCATAAGCAGCCAGGGGTCCTGGCCATGCCAGCTGCATGCTCTGCCTAGCCCTCCAGATAATAGTAAGACATCTCTACGGCATTGCTCCTCCACTGCAGGGTTCATCGACTTCATTGTGGAGCCCACATTCTCTGTGCTGACTGACGTGGCAGAGAAGAGTGTTCAGCCCCTGGCGGATGAGGACTCCAAGTCTAAAAACCAGCCCAGGTGAGGGTGGCTGGGGTAGCCAGATATCTTGGTTCAGGAAGGCAGTGGTAGGGAGGGATTTGGACTCACAGAGAGGACCGACTCACAGCCATGGTGGGGTGGTGGGGAGGCAGACTGCTTCAAGCTTGGGAGTCCCTCTGCCGTCAGGGACAGAAGGATGGGATCAGAAGGGTGTGACCTGTACCTATGCTCCCCTTCACCATATTTTTGTTTCTTCCATTAGCTGTCTTTCTGCCTTCTGGCTAATCTTGTTTTAATTTTCCTTCTACCAGGAGGGAAGATGTGGAGAGGGAGGGGTGAAATGAGGGGGAGAGGGACAGGGACTTGGGGAATATCTAGTAGAGGAAAAGAGGAAGATGAAGTTCCCTGAACCTTCTCCTGGTCTTCCATGTCCTGCACTCCCAGGGCTAAGGTGGTTCTGGAGTGGGCTGGGGCTTACCTCTTGCGGCTTTTGGGGGTTCTGCTTCTAGCTTTCAGTGGCGCCAGCCCTCTCTGGATGTGGAAGTGGGAGACCCCAACCCTGATGTGGTCAGCTTTCGTTCCACCTGGGTCAAGCGCATTCAGGAGAATAAGCAGAAATGGAAGGAACGGGCAGCAAGTGGTGGGTACCATGGCAGAGGGCAGGGGTGAGAACTTGTGTGGGTGGATCATGGAGCACTAGGAGGTCCATTTTTCTTAAGCCCCTGGGGAAACCCTTTGCCGGACTCCTTGATTTGGGAGTGGAGCTGATCAGACCAGTTAGATCACAGGAAAGACTGGCTGAGTGGCCTGGAATGTTCTAAGAATGGGGGCCGTAGAGATGATAGAGACAGTCAGATATTCCACAACCCAAGGGTCCCTGTGCACACTGTGGTCCCTGTAAATGGTGCCCCTGTAGATTTGGCTAATTTGGTGGCCCTGGCTGGGAAATCTCTTCCTGTGTGAGGGGGTGGTAGGGTGGTGTTGAGGGTTCTGAGTTTTAGCAAGGCTGGAGAGGCTCTTCCCAAGTGGGGATGGGTTGAATGTAGTTCAGCTTGAAGGCAGGTTGATGGATGAGAATCCCTTACATGTCTCCACATACTCCTTGGGTTCTGGGGAAGAATACTTCTTGGCCTAAGCTCAGCCTCCTTTATGCTCCTCTACAGGCATCACCAACCAGATGTCCATTGACGAGCTGTCCCCCTGTGAAGAAGAGGCCCCCCCATCCCCTGCCGAAGATGAACACAACCAGAATGGGAATCTGGATTAGCCCTGGGGCTGGCCCAGGTGAGCCTGTTGTGGTGGAGGGTGTAGGAGAGCTGGTGTCTATCATGGCATCTTTGTTGGGTCGTCTCTGGGCTCCAGTGGATGCGACATTCTCTCTCCCCTTTTGAGCAGTAAAATGGAGCGAGTGAAGACATAGAATGGAGCCAAAGTGTGGGTGGAGCAGGGAAATCCTCCCACGCTCTTCTGTCCCCCAGTCCCTGCAGGAACAAAGGAGGTACCTTCTCAGAACAGCAGCAGAACAGGGTGGGCCCATGCCAGGTGACAGCTAACCTGCACCGCACCTTAGGGAGGGTTAGGGAAAAGGAGCCCAGCCAGGGCACACAGCTCAGTGAGGGCAGCTGAACGTGACTTCGACTTCAGCCCCTATTCACCCCCTTGGCTGGGCACCCTTCTGAAGGGCATTTTTTGCACAGCTCTACTCGGGACTGAGTGGGGATCAGGACTTGGAGAAGGAAGGTCAGGTTGGAGGTGAAGGCAAAGCTCAGGGCACTGAAGTTTCTCCCTCTTTCCCCAGGTCTTCATTGAGTCCAAAGTGTTTGATGTCATCAGCACCATCCATCAGGACTGGCTCCCCCATCTGCTCCAAGGGAGCGTGGTCGTGGAAGAAACAACCCACCTGAAGGCCAAATGCCAGAGATTTGGGGTTGGGGAAAGGGCCCCTCCCCACCTGACACCCACTGGGGTGCACTTTAATGTTCCGGCAGCAAGACTGGGGAACTTCAGGCTCCCAGTGGTCACTGTGCCCATCCCTCAGCCTCTGGATTCTCTTCATGGCCAGGTGGCTGCCAGGGAGCGGGGAGCTTCCTGGAGGCTTCCCAGGGCCTTGGGGAAGGGTCAGAGATGCCAGCCCCCTGGGACCTCCCCCATCCTTTTTGCCTCCAAGTTTCTAAGCAATACATTTTGGGGGTTCCCTCAGCCCCCCACCCCAGATCTTAGCTGGCAGGTCTGGGTGCCCCTTTTCCTCCCCTGGGAAGGGCTGGAATAGGATAGAAAGCTGGGGGTTTTCAGAGCCCTATGTGTGGGGAGGGGAGTGGATTCCTTCAGGGCATGGTACCTTTCTAGGACCTGGGAATGGGGTGGAGAGGACATCCTCTTCACCCCAGAATTGCGCTGCTTCAGCCCCATCTCCAGCCTGATCCTCTGAATCTTCCTTCCCTCCCTTTCTGATACAGTGACTGGGGCAAAAGGAGCCATTGTGACCAGGGGCTGCGGGAGGCCTTTCCTGGGACCTTCCTTGGGACTGGTCTGGGCCCCTGGGGCTTGTCGCCTGCCCTGAGTCCGGAGCCCTTTGCCTCCTTCCTCTCCCCTGGGGCTGGGAGGCTCCATCCGACCAATGTCTGTAAAGTGCTTTGAGGATCTCCCCAGCAAAGCACCTTCAGAATGTATCGACACCAGCTGGGTTAGGGTCAAGGGTGCCTGGGGAGGGTGAGTAATCCTGCATTGCTAAAAGAGAGGGTCTGTCCCCTCCTCTCCACGTCCCAGAACTGGCCCAGCTGCAGGCACTAAGAAGCTCCTCCCCTGAGACAAGTGAGGGGTAGTCGGTGAAAGGCAGATGGACAAGGGGCTCAGGGCTGCTGCCTTCCTGTCCTCTGGAGAGAACCCAGCCAGGCGCGGTGCCCCTTCCTCTCCTCAGGCTCCTCCTTGCCCCCACCTTGCCCCAGGAAAGGCCAAAGTCCAGGTGACTGCCCTCCTTCTTTCTTGTAAATACCAACCATGCATTTGTACAGTGGGCCCTGTTCATGCGAAATCCACATCCATGGTCTCCTAGACCTGCTACCCTGGTACTTCCACCCTACCCCACCCCGAGAAGGGCAGAGACGCATGTGACTCACCCCTGCCCTTGGTTTCCCAGACCCCTGCTATAGCCAGAGAACAATAAAGAAGGGAGACCAGGCCTGACTGTGTGTGTTCACTGGGTACAAGTTGACCAAGCATCTTCACATACATACACTCTTTCCAGCATGATAAAATCTGGGTGAGGCGTTCTCCCTCATATATATATATATATATATTTAGGTATGTATCTGGGCAAGCTGAGGCCCAGGAGGAGGCCCCGAGGGCTCATAGTAGCTGCATGGCAGAAGTGGGACCTGACGCTTCTCAGGCTCTGCTCTTGCCTCTGTACCACATGCTTCAGCAGGGAGGGGGAAAGAATCTTGCCTTCCCTCCTTTCCTCTCTCCCACTACCTGGGAAAATCAAAAACAGCAGCAGGAGAGAGGCCTGGCCGTGAGATCTGAGACAGTTTCTTCTCTTATGCTTGGTTTTGGTCTTATCTGGGCCCCTCAATGTCTAGGACAAGGGAACCCTTCCAGTCTCCAGCATGGGCCTCTTCATTAATAGCCACTGTGTTCTCTATCCATTGTTGCTAACGGGTTGAAATAAGGGACAGCGGTCCCACAGCTGGAAGAGGGAACACATCCTGAAGCTTGGGAATCCAAAAGGAAGGCAGCTGGGGCTTGGAGGGCAGGCGAGGAGGTATCGGCACACCACCATACCCTCTTTCCCATGGGCCAAGTGCCATGGTGCAGTTCCCCTTTTGTCCAGCAGATGGAGCCCACCGCACAGTCACAGCTGGACACGGCACAGGCCTTAGAGCGCCGAGTCTTCCAGCTGCAGGGCAGGCCTGTGAGGTGGTCGGATCGTTCCTCAATAAGAAAAGAGAACCTGGGGCTTTTCTTCCTTCTTGGCACCCTGGAAGTTAGTCCTCCCACCTATCTGACCCTCATCTCTCTTCCCACAGCAAGTAAAGTCAGGGCTAAGGGAAGAACTCTTCCCTGCTCAAGGCTTCTGCCTAGCTCCTGTTTCTTCCTTCCCAGAGGCAGCTTGGCAGGAGGGTGGGGGCTACAGAGAGGGCAGGGCAAGAAGGCAGGGAGAAAGGATTCTCCCAGTTGGAAAAGAAGGAAAGTGCCAAGGACCTAACACCAAATTTATCACTTTTTAAAAACAAGAGATTTTCCCCAAAAGTGAAGGAATAAGAAACAAATCCGGTGTCCATGCATTCCCAAACTGCAGTCTTGATCCCAAGATACCTCCTCCTCTCTCAGACCTGTTATGGGGGAAAGGGGACAGAAAGAGAAGGTGAGAGGCCAGAGGGTCATTTTGTCCCTTCCCCTTCTGGCCATCCCATTTGTCAACATCTAATGTCTCAGAAAGCTTGTTCTGATGTCTGAGAGCAGTCCTTCCTGTGTCCAGTCTATGCAGGGGGCTGCGGATTATGAAATCAAAGCTCAGGAAGTTATCTCATCAATGCATCCTCCAGGCAGGGAGAGCCACTGCCCACTTCAGCTGGGCAGGTGAGGATCTCCCTTCGGGTTCCAAATCCCCTTTATCAAAAAATCCATGGCCTACTGCTCTCACCCATTCCAGGAGCCAGAAGTCCTACACAAAGTCTAATCTCAATCCTTCTTGCTGCAGCTATCCATTTCTTTTTGTCTGTCAGAGGAGATACAAGTCCTTTTACCATAAAGAATAACTTTTTAGGGACTGAAGCTGGTTCTTTGTTTTCCTTTTCCTAGACTCCAAATATTAGCCCCTTGCTTTTGTCCACAATATTAGCCTCCTCTCCTATGACCTGGCAGCCCAGCCCTGGGGTCTTACCGAGTTGGCTCCCTTGGAATCCAGTGGTGGTATATGGGTTGAGGGTTCTTTTGTGCTGGGTTCCTTACTGCCTCTCTCGTGAGTTTTAGGGATGCATTCTGCAGTTTCTGGGGAGGGAACATAGGGGTGGGAGGAAGAGGTGGCATTCATAAAGGTGTTGGGGAGGGAACTGCTTCTCCTCACTGCACCCATACCCCAGTGGCCCCTGAGAGGGCCCCAGGACCAAGTTGGGTGCAATCAGGCAAGACCAACAGGGTTTTCTTTGATCACAATTACTACTATATGTTCACTTTTAAAAAATCTTCAATCAAATTGGAAAGAATAAACCCTCTACAGTTTAAAAAACAAAACTCAATATGTGTCTAAACCTGACATGAACTCATAGGAGGCTGTTTTTAGTCTTTATTCTGCTTAGTGAGACCATTCACTGGATTGCAGAAATATTATGTGTTTGATTGTAGGGTTCTCTGCCGGGAATACTATGCGATACACAGTTTATGTACTATATCTTCATAAAATTGGAAGCATTCTGAATTCTGGAATATATCTAGGATAAGGGACATAGCGCACTGCTACCAGCTTCCACTTATTGCATGCTCTGTGTGTGTCGGGTGCTGTGTCAACAGCCAGTCTCATTTAATAGTCACACACAACCCACTGCAACAGGCACCCTCATTATCATTTTATACCCTGAGGTTAAGTCGTTCAAGGCCTCTCAGCTGGTAAGGTAGCAAGTGGCCGAGCCAGGATTCTAGCCTGTGATTGCTGTTCCCATGAAGGTGGGTTTCCCCCATGTAGCCACAGTGGGGCTCTGAGGTTCAAGTTGGGAGGGCTTGGTGTCACTCAGTAAGGAAAAGTGAAGATTCAAATATATGCCGAACATGCCAACAGATCCATATCCTTGAGACAGTTTTTGCCTACTACTAGGCCTCTCCCAGGCTCCAACTCTTTCCCCTCCCCGCAGTGGGTAAGGCTTGCCTCCTGCTGGGCTGGGAAATAGGATGCCTGGGGCCCTCCCCAGCCTGAACATACTTTTTGCTGTCCCAGAGGTGCCCAGCCTTGACTCCACTTCTGTGTCTGGGATCCCAGGTGGGCGGGACTCCTGGGTTCCTGTGCTCTCAGCGGCCCCCTCAGGTTCCTCTCCTTGCTGCTGTTGCCCCAGGTGATGTTCAACCATCATCTGGAGCTCTGGGGACACAGAGAAAGGGAGGGAACACTGGATATGACTGCCTAGCGTCTCCCCTGTGGGCCTCCGGATTCAACAGCCCCACTAAAGGCTCAGCACACATTGCTGGGTGTTTGACTTTCCCATCCACTGAGATCTGAACAAGGAGGGGACATTAGCTGGCAATAAGGAGGAATGAAAACTAGACCATAAAAAGTACTCTTCTTCACAGATAAGGGAGGCATAGGAGAAGAGGCTTTAAGAACAAGGGATACTCCTCACTTGCTGGGATACATGGTCTTCCCTGGGGGAAGGTGGAAAGGCTCAATTTAGATTCAAGAAAAATTTGAGTATCTTGTACATGTTGTGCACTGTGCCGGTGAGTTCACATATATTATTTTATCTGCCATAATGAGGTAGTATTCAAGGCTCAGTAAGTTAAGCAGTTTCTCCCAGATCACCCAGCTAGTCAGTGGCAAAACTGGGATTTCAGCCTCAGTTCGTCTAGCAACAGTTCTACCATAATAAAGGCAGATTTAACGACCTCCCTTCCAAAGGGCATTCGGTCTCCTCTTCAGCTTCAGGCACAGAGGAGAAAAAGGGATGGGAGGGGTCTTGCAAACCTTTCATTGTGGGTGTGATCCTTGTCATCTTCTTCCGTTGCCGTGGAGACATTGCCAAAGTGGACTGTGAAGGGCACAGAGCACAGATGGGCGCCAGCCCCCCCTTGCTCTCCAGACCCCTCCCTTGCCCTCTAGCCCCCCATGCCCTCCAGCCCCCCTTGCCTTCCTCCTCTGCCTTGCCAGGCTTTTGGATTGGAGCCTGGGGTAGGTGTGAGCTTCAAAAAGTGGGGTAAGAAAACGCCTGCTTCCCCAACCACCTCGACAATGGTGAGCAAGGAGACTGTGAGTGTGTGTGTGTATGTGAGTGTGTGTGTGTGGGGTGCATGTGTATATGTTCACTCATGCACATTTGGGGGGTAGAGGTACAGGGAAGCGGGAGTCAAAAAGATCCTAGAGATGGGCGGCAGGGTTTTAAGGAATAATCCCCTAATGAATGTGGGGGTTTTTTGGGCTGGGCTTAGTGGGATGGGCCAGCTCACCTTGAGATGTGGGTTGGGGATCCGGTCTTCATCTATCTCTGAAGGGAACAGGGAAAGGAGAGGGTGATAAGGACAGGAAACCAGGGATCCCCATAGAGCTGACTTCTCAGGGGAGGGGATTCTGCAGCCATGCTCCTCCTGATCTGTCCCTCACATCTGCCCCCAGGCTCTTGGCCCTCATGGCTGCCCCAGACCTCCTCCCCGAAGCTCCTCTCCTGTGCTTCCGCTGCCTCCATCCCTCTGCATCTAGTCCCGTCCTTGGCTCTGTGGTCAATTTGCGTCTGCATCTTTGCCTCAGACCTGGAGATCCCCAAAGGCAGGATCTGTAGTCTTTTTGCTTTTTTTCCTCCTCTGAAGTATCCATGTCTCTTTCTCTTTCCAATCATTCCCCCACCCCAGGGTCAGCCAGAACTAAGCCCTGCATAGGAGGGAACAGTGATAGAGGACAGTCAATTTATTCTGTGCAGGGTCTGGAAGGTATAGCTGGAGGCAAGCTGGAGACCCCGGCATCCTGAACCCCAGCCTAGCTTCTTAGCCTGTCCCCCTCGCTTCCATACTCCTGTCAAGCTCTCTACCATTCTCTGAGAACTTGTTTTCTCCCCAGACCTCGATGGGGATGCTGGTGACCAGAATCTCAGCTGCTCCCTGAGCTGCTTCTAACCTTCCCCTCCCCCTCTGGGGGCTGTGAAGAGCTGGTGGAGGCGGTCCCTCCCCCTCACAGCTGACACTGCCTCTGGGGGTGGGGGTGGCAGCATCTCAGTTGCTGGAGAAATCTGGAAGGCTGTTGTCGCAGCAACCAGCACTCAGTTGACCACCCCAATTCCTGGGGGGCTTAGGAGCCAGGTGGTCTCCCTCCCTTTCCTAGAACTGCTCCATCTTTCCAAAAGCAAAGAATATTCTGCAATCTAGCCACCACCTTCCTGCCTTCAGTACTGAGGACATCCCCGCCTTCTCAGAGCTGTTCTTCTTCCATCTAGCGCCCATCTTCTCATTGGGACCTGCTGCCATAGTGGCCCCCACGCCCTTCAGCAACCTATCCCTTGGCTTACCTGGGGATGACTGGTCACTGGTCAGCACGAGGGTGGCAGGGGTGGGGCGGCGCCTCCGAATCTGAGGGAAGGTGGGAAATGGGGAAGAGGTCAAGTACACGTGGAAGCATCAAAGCCCCACCCAAAACCACTCAGTAACATAATCCAGGCTAGCCTACTTAACACACCTCAAAAAATGCCATGTTAATGCAGCTGGAGGCCATTATCCTAAGCAAACTTATGCAGAAACAGAAAACCAAATACTGCGTGTTCTCACTTATAAGTGGGAGCTAAACATTGAGTACTCATGGACATAAAGATAGGAACAATAGACACTGGGGAATAAAAGAGAGGGAGGGAGGAGGGCAAGGGCTGAAAAACTACCTATTGGGTACTATGTTCACTCTCTGGGTCAATCATATCCCAGACTTCAGCACCATGTAATAAACCTTTGTAACAAACCTGCACATGTACCCCCCTGAATCTAAAATAAAAGTTGAAAAAAAAATGCCATGTTACATTGGTGAACCAGGGTGAACATCCCTGGGCTCCTCCCCCTCCCCTGGGGAGAGCTAATCCTAAGGATCCAGAAGACCACCTCGCCTCCCTGCATGCCCCCATTCCCCTGTTCTGTCTCTCCACCTCCCCCTGGTCCTGGCCCCAGCTCTCCATCTAAGCATATCTGCTCTAATGCATTGATCTCTGGCTTGCTGTCCTTCCGTCCATCCTGGATCAATGGTCAGAAATAACTTAAGAGGGCACAGGGCTTTCTCTCAGTGTTCTAACCCACTCCCCAAGCAAGATGTTAACATTTTGTGTGACAGCGCCTGGAGAGAGCATCCTTTTCAAGCGCCCCCCAGCCTGGGAGGACAGCACAGAGGAGGATCTGAACGTGCATCTCCTCTGGCCTGTGCCCCTCACTCCCTAATGTCCTCTCTGTCCTTGGATACATTGCCTTTCTGATTTGTCAAGAAATGGGGTTGGGGGAATCCTTGTCATGGTAGATATAATATCAATACAAGGAGGAGCCCTAGGCAGGACCCTGGTCAGGGCCCAAAGCGTAGCTGAAAAATCTTATCCTAGGCTCCAGGTCCTAGTCTAAGAAATTAACATATAAAGCTGACTGACTGCCCTGCCTCTGAGCCCCCTTTCCCCCCACTGTTGTTCTTTTGTCACGCTGCCAATAAAGTTGATTGTTGTTGAAGTCAGTTCAAGGACTCCTGGGAGGTGTAGTTTTCCCCCTTTCTCTGGAGGCTTTAGAGGCTTGGAAGCAAGTGGAAGGATGGGGGTTAGAGGATGACCCTCTAGGTTAGCAGTGGGGAGGGAAGGCAAATGGGGCTGGGAAAAGGGCTAGAATTATCCTGGGCTGAGAGGAGTAGGATGAGGACACTGAATGATCAAACCCTTATCTTTGCATGTCCATTATTTAGAATCATCACCACTGGCCGTGGGGGGATGACAGAGGTGAACACTGCCCCTCTCTATGCCCAGAAAAGTGGGGGGTACTGGCTATGGTAAGATGGGCTGTTTAAGCCTGAGGGGGGAACTCTTTCCAAAGAAGAAACAGGATGCAAAGAATGGGGGTATGTGGGGGTAGGGCATCATTTTCCCAGGAGAATTCAGTGGCATCTGTTTTTGGTGACATTGCAAGGTCCCCGCAGTACCAGTCCTTTGTGTATGTGTGTAAGTGTGCACATGGATGAGCCGCACAGACATTAACTGTGAGTCGTCTCTGGTCATTCCTGATACACATGGGCTGGGGACCATCTGCTTCATGTATATGGGGTGGGGGCCATCCTTCAACTAGAAGACTCCTCTACTTCTTTCCATCCTGGAGGGGCAGGGTGTGGTGGTGGTAGTAGGAAAGAGACAAGGAGGGTGGAGTGGCGATCAGTGGGTTGAGATAACATCAGAGTGGGGAGCCCAAGAAAGAGACTGCAAGTATGACAGAGGGCAGCAGGGCTGTCTGGTCTTGGACACATCACTTCCTTGACCTATTCCTTTGCTTTGGACAAGGTTTCTAAGCATTCAGAGTCCTTGGGAATCGTGATACCCTTACAGCAGGAAGGAGGAAAGTCAGACTTCCTGAGGTACCTCCCAGGCACCTGAACTAGTGGGAAATAAGTAGATGGTCTCTTTTCCTTTTCTCATACCTATCCCAAATCCTAGCTCTCAGGAGCATGTGATAACTTCGCCTCGGATTTCTTTCCAAAGCAGTCATGCCAAGGATCTGGAAGCTGTGGGCACCCCTCCACCGCCTGCCACTCTGTGCTCTATAACTCAGAGCTTCCAACTCCTTTTGCCCTCCCATGTTGGTCTGGGTTAGGAGCACCTGCCAAGCCTGGAGCTTTTTGCCTAACACAGCAGGAGGGGCTGAGGTTAGGCCACAGGAAGAATTTCAGGCCTAAGAGACACAAATTCTGAAGATTAGTGAAAGTAGGCCCAAGTCCCGGCTCTCTTTTTTCCCTCTGACTCCTCAGGATTGCCTTGTGCCCCTCCCTTGTCTCCTAGATCCCTGAACCAGCTGGCCTTCCTCCTCCTCCTCCCTACCCACCTACTACACCTGCCTCCTCCAACACCCAACAGATACAGGTGTCGGGCCCTGTCTGTGCCAGTGGGAGGCAGTTCTCCTTGGAACTGCATCCCCAACCTCCACAGTCCAGACTCTTGAGCCCTTTTTCCTGGGTCTGAGGTTATCCTGGCTGATGCCCTGCCTCCAGGCATAGCAGCCTTTCCCCTGACTCCCAGGGAACACAACCCATGCTGATGGCTCTCCATCCTCCTCATCCTCTACAGATTTGTGAGGCTTCACCAAGAGCCTTCCCGTAGTCACACCTTAGAGCTCTGAGGTGGTGGCTCACCCCAGGCCAGAGAGAGGACGGAGACGCAGGTACCTAACCCTATCTCCACATTGGGAAGCTGAAGTGGTAGGGAGAGTGTGTACCCCTGCCCGCTTCCCTTCACATCAGACCTTATTCTACCAAACAGCTGGAGCAACAAAAATGACAAAAAACACTCTCTCCACCTCATCCCAAGAGGTCACAAAGTTTTTTTCAGGTTGGGGGTGGCCAGCCAGAGCCTGGCAGCTTGTTGAGAGAAACAGAGAACTGACCTTGTGGGAAATTGATATTCTTTAGGAATGGGAATGTCTAGGCAAATGGACAGAGATTACAAAGAGATGGAGCAATAGGCAAATAAGCAAATATTTGGCAAACAAGGAGTAGTAAGGACCACGGGTGGCCACCCTCTCCACACATACGCTCACTCTCACCGAGGCATACACTTGCTCACACACTCTCATACACTGCCCCCTCTGCCAGGCTGCTCTGAGCTAAAAATAGACCAGGCTAGGAGGCTGGGCCAGGGCCCTGGACTCCCACCCCTTGAGCCAAGGCTGTCACAGTGCTTCTCCCTTGCATATTGTTCAGCTTGGACCCCAGCCCCTGGAAAGACTCCACCTCTGGCCTCCCAGTGCTGCTGGCTCAGTCCCACCTGGACTCCCCACTCCAAAGGGCAGGAGTTGGGAATAAGGGCCATGTGCGGAGACTTGAAGAAGGGAGCCTCAGCCTACAACTCGACCACCCCTCTCCCCTCTCCCTGGAGCCCCAGCCCTCTCAGTGGTCCTCAGTCCCTTCCTGTTATCACTTTCGGAGCCCAGCAAGGTGGCCCCCAGTTAGGAGGGGACAGGGAGAGCTGTTTCTCCTCTTCCAACTCCCACCCTTCCAGGCTCCCTCTCCATTACCGACCCCTCCCCAGGCCCCTCCCGCACTGCTGCTGATTCCCTTCAGCGCCACCACCAAGCTCAGAAACTCTAGTGGGGGTTGACTGGGTGGGGGATGCAGGGTTGTTTAAGGAGGGAGGGGTCGTGTCCTCAAGCAGGCCCCCTCCCCCAGGACTGGGGAGGAAGAGAGCGACTCTCGCGGGGCCAGGCATCGAGTGGAGGCGCTCTTCCTTCGGTCAGTCTCAAAGAAGCACAGATTCGAGATGTGGCTCCGACGGTGGGGGAGGGGACAGAAGACCCCCCCCCGCCCCCCGCAAACTGAGCGTTCGTCCTCAAAAGGGCGCACTGCTAAGGGAGGACTAGGCAGGGATCCTGGGTCCCACCAGTCCAGGGGTCCCTCGTCCTTGGCTGGGCGAGTGCCCTGCCGCCCCGCCCTGCTCCGCACCTGCTCCGCCGCCTCGGGGTCAAGGTGCGGCTCCAGCAGCGGGACCGTGAACTGGATCTTTCGGGGGCTGTTGTCTTGCTCCATGGCTGGGGCGGCGGCCGGTGGGCCCGCGCTGCGGCGGGAGGGAAGGCGGCGGGACTCGGGGCTGGGGCGGGCGCGCTCCCTCTCCGCTCCGCTCCGGCCCCGGCCCCAGCCCGGCGCGCTCGGCTCCCGGCTCCCGGCACAGCGCTCCCAGCTCGCGGCTCCGGGGACTCTGCCGCCGCCGATTGGCTCCGCACCCGCCCCTCCCGGCCCCCTCCCCCTCCCCCAGCCCGGAACCTTAACCCCGTCGTGGCTGCACCGGCGGCTGCGGGGGTCACCGCCCCGCGGGCCGCCGAGTCCGGGCGTGGCCCGGGAGCCGTCGTAGTGGACAGCTCAGGCAGATACCTCAGTGTCCTCGGAGTTTTGGGCAGGGCGTTGGGGTGGGGAGTGGCTAGGAAGAACTTCTCCTAGCCGGAGCAGGTTGTTGGGGCTAGGAAAGTAGAGGGGCGCTGCAGGAGAGGAGACTAAACGCGAGAGGAAGATTGCATTTATGATTTTAAAGGGGGTTGTATTATAGAGAAAAGATGGAAAGGGGATTTAGGCATGCAGCAGGAGGGATTAAGGTTAGACTTCGAGAGGGACTTTCCTTTGCAAGGAAAACACTAGGCGGAGGTAAAAACTTGGAGGGAAATACGAAGTCTGCACACCCGTCCTGTGTTCCCTCAGTGCCAGGGAGAGGAAACTGAAGACTTCAGAGGGTCTCCGGAGGGCGCGTTTCTCTCGAAGTGCCTGTGGGAGTGGGTGGAGGGCTTGGGGAGAGAGGACCATCTGGGACTCGACAAAAGGAATAACGATGGTGGGGAGCCAATCCTGCTTGTGAAATCGAGTTCTCTTTCTGCTTGCTAAATTAGGGGATGGTAAAGTAGGTGAAAGGCCTGCAAGGGGAAAATGCCTGGGGAGGGAGAGAGAAACTCCTTTGGTGGGGTGGCTTGTTTACAGATAGGGTTGGTTTCTAATTTCACTATTGGCAGGATACTGAAAACGAGCTGCTGTAACTGAAGGAATGGAGGTTAGACTATGGGAAGAACTGACTAGTTTGGTGGAAGACTAAGATGCCAGTCAATACGAGCCAGTGAGGGAGACAGGATATTCACAGGAGCTGGTGTGCTCGGTCTAAGGACTGGGGATCACTAGATGGGGGAGGGGATGTGCTGGGCACTGGGGAGGGGTAGGGCTGGATGCATCTTTTCGGGAGGAGAAGGTGGAGAGAAGAACTGGGGATGGGGAGGAGGGCACAGGGAGTCCTGGAAGAGGGGAAGGGGTCTGTCTCTTTAGCCTTAAACCAAGCAACTGGCAAGTGCCATACAGATTCATGCCTGGTTCTTGGAGAACCATATGGTCATCTTCTCCTCTAAGGTGTCAGCCTCAACTCTCAGTTGCCTCCTCTCCTGGGCAGCCCTTTCCAGACCTTGATTTCACAAGGCCCCTTCCCCTCTAACCTCACAAAATAACTTGTCCTGCCTTCCCCCCAGCCATATCTTTTTACACATGTCGGGCTCAGTTTTCTCAGGGTAAGGCTGGGGTTATGGGGACCCAGTGGGCCAGCTGGACCTCTGTCTGCAGGTTAACTGGCCCCTGTTTTGCTGTCACCTGGACTCCAGGATTGACTCCTGACACCCAGCCTGCACTTGCAGGGCCCCTTTGCTCTCTGGTGTGGCAGGGCCAGGTGGAAAACAGCTGGTTGGGCTTCCCCGTCTCCATTCCCAACCTTTGCGCAGATCCCCCCACAAGAAGTGACAGTGGAGAAAGAGATCGTGAAGGCCCTGAAGCAGAGAGGATAACGGTTGGGGGCTAGGGAGATACCTGGCTCATTAGGGCCCAGTTGCTTGCTCTGGCCTCCTTCCTACTCACCCCACCTCCTAACCACACATCCACAGAGCAGGATCCCAAATATCCTCTAAATAGGTGACTTGTCTATTCCCCATCCCATTCTACCAGGACCATGGGATGTGAAGCCAGGATTCCCACATCCCTATGTCTGGGGACTCAGGCTTCTCTCATGAGCCTCCATCTCATTTGTAAAACAGACAGAGGATCCCACCTCCTAGGGTTGAGTATCATCTTGGGTAGAGTACCTGGTGCATAGAAGGTCACGGTTAATTGTAGCTGCTGGTTTTATTGTTATTTCCTGGCAGGACGGCAGAGTTGAGGGGTGGTCACCTCTCAGAGTGGTTACCTCTCCACCCCCACCCCAGACATCCAGGCTGCCTAGTCCTCTTTCGTATTCCGTGCTCTCCCTCAAACTTTGGTCTGGTCATGGAAATTCCTCCCCAAGTCTCTCACCCACCCTATGTTGCCTTCTCAAGTCCCGGATTCTCAGAGTCCTTTGTCCTGAAAGCCACGGGTAAGGAGAGAGACCAAGAGAGCTTGAGCTCTGGAGAGATGGCTGATGAGGGGCTGCGTGGGAAGAGGGGTCCCGGCAGCAGCTGGTGCTGGGGTAGAGGCAGCGGAGGAGAGAGGAGGGAGAGGGAAGAGGGATGGCTCCCAGTACTGGCTTTGGGAGGAGGAGACTGGGGAAAGTGGGCGAAGCGTTTATGGTTAGCAGGGAGGTGGAGTGTGGCTGGGTGCAGCCTTTGGTGCCGGGTAAGCTGGAATGGGTCTGTCTGTGAAGGTGTGTGTTTATTGTCATTTTGACTTTTATTTATGTCCATAGCTATGTGAGTGCCTGTTGGGCCGGTGGGTGTATGAAGGTATGGGTTGCTCACACACAGGCCTGGGGCACTGCAAAGGGCCTGATGCCTGCTCTTGGAACCTTTCCTAGAGTGAGTAAGAGTTAGAGCCTGCCTCATCCCAACTCCTTCCCTCAGCTTGCATGTTTCTATGTTAGGCGCCTGTGTTCACAGCCCTGCTGCAGTCACAGCCTGGGCTGGAGGAGCAGCAGCTGTATGTGGTGCACTGCTGGCTCCATGAAATATTTAAAGTTACAGGGATGTGACTGGGTGATGCAGTCACTTAATGACTCTCACCCTCCCCTATTTTCGGCACTGGACTCTGGGTTAATGGGGCTGCTCTTTGTCGCTGTCAGCACTTTCTGTTTTTATCTATCCACCCTTCTCACCCCTACTAACCCTCACAACCACCCAGGAGGGAGGACAGGTATTAGGGTGTTTATTTTGCTTCTCGAGGGGAGGGTAGTGTAGAGAGGTGTTGCTAAGATGGGCCACCTGGGCCAGGATATGAAAGGTCAGGGTTCAATTCCTCCATCTGCTATCAACTCTCTGGGTGACTCTGGGGTTGCTCCCCCAACCCCCAACCGGACTCAGTTTCCTAATCTTCAAAATGAAGGGGACCGGGTGACTTTGCAGGTTTCTTCTGCTCTAATATTCTGTTATTCTGAGTTGAGGGTGCTCCTGTCACACAGCCAGCATGTCTCAGAAACAGGGTTAGAACCCAGGAGCCCCAGGACCTTATCTGTATCTTTGCCTTTCTCCCTGCCTGGGCAGTGTGGCAGAGGCACACTCCGGCTTGTTGACAACATGATGCACACACACTTTTTATACACACAGCTCTGAGGAGATAAGGGCAGAGACTGCTGTTATGCACCCAAAGGAGCAGCGACCCCATCCAAGTGGTCCCCCAGGAAGCCATATGCTCATGCCAACGTGCTGCAGTTTCTCAAACATTTCTGGAAACTCTTGGAATCATCTCAGAGCTTGAGGCATATGCTCTGAAAATCCCCATGGGGGGTGAATCATTGTCTTTTAGGGTGGCTTTGCTCCTTTGGAAATGACCAATAGCCTTTAGGAGCCAACCCTTGTGAAGACAGAGGGAGGCCAGGTGGGGAGTAAGCCTTCATCTGGAAAAGAGATGTAGGTGCCCGGCAGTGAGACTGTTTGTCCTGCGGGGTTTTGAGCCCATCTAGAAGACTTCCCTGCAAGAAGTTTCCAGAGCTTCTCGTGAGCCCCAGAAGCAGCATTGGAGGAGATGGGTGGCCTCCTAGGGGATGACTTGGAAGTCCAGCCTCCTCTGACTGTGCAAGTCCTGGTTTGCCTGTGAGAAAAGCCCAGAGTTGCAGTTCTGTCAGGCTTGAGTGCACACCCTCCCTGCAGCTGGCAGTCTTGGGAATGGGGCCAGAGCTGGTGATTCAAACAGAGGGGATGCTCATTTTCAAAGTGCTTTGCCTCTTCATGAATCCCCAAATCCACTGGTAGGGTGAAAGAGACTTCAAGAACAGCCAGTTGAACCCTTCAGGCTAGAGAGGAGAAATCAAGGCAATGGGGAGGAACAGCTCTTCCAAGGTCCAGAAGCCAGGCCAGCACTTTCCCCAGTAAACCAGATTTGGTGGCCATGGCAGGGTAATGGCTGAACCTAAAGCAGGGTCATGGACTAGATGACCTCTTGAGATGCATTTTTTTTTTTTTTGAGACAGAGTCTCGCTCTGTCACCAGGCTGGAGTGCAGTGGCACGATCTCAGCTCACTGCAACCTCCGACTCTCTGGTTCAAGCGATTCTCCTGCTTCAGCCTCCCGAGTAGCTGGGATTGCAGGCACATGCCACCACGTCCAGCTAATTTTTGTATTTTTAGTAGAGACGGGGTTTTCCCATATTGGCCAGGAAGGTCTCGGAGATGCATTTTAACACTATGATCATCAGCAGTCCAGAAGACCCCATTCCTAGCTAATAGCTAGCCTCTAGCTAGCCCCTTCTATCCCAAACCCTCTAAAAGGTTAAATTTATTCTTTTAACAAATATTTATTGAATATTCCTATGTGTCAGATATTATGCTAAGTGCTGGGGAAACAGTGGAGCATAAAAGAGATACAGTCTGTCCATTGACACACAGCTTATGGCCTAGCAGGAGCCAGGGCAGTGGTGGGTGAGTCATGATCAACCATGAGTTACAAAAGTGGAAGCACAATATGCTACAGAATCAGGGGCATCAGGAAGGAGGTCAGCGTGACCTCTGACCGCAGAGACCCTCTTCTGCCCCTCCACACTAGCTCCTGTCAGCGTTGTGGTTAAACACCCAGCCTCTGGAGAAGTCTGCCTAAGGCCAAATCCTAGCTCTGCCACTTAGCAGATTTGTAACTTTGGGCAAGGCGCTTAACCTCTCTGGGCCTCAATGTTCTCACCCTTAAAACTGGATTAGCAATAGGTATCCCTATTATAATAATATATAGTGAGAGGTAGGAAGAGATAATGTCCATAATGTGCTTAGCGCCCCTTAAACACTTGCGACTATTTTCTCCTTTGATTCTTGAAAAAAAAAAAGGGCTGAAGAATGGGGATTTCAGTGCTTTCAGAATTTAGGGGGAAGTTGTCTACAGAAGCACAGTTCCTGCGTCTTTTCAGCCAGGTCCTGCTTCTCCCCAGCCTTGTTGGATCAGCTATTCTTGATGTCCAGCTGTGTCCTCATCAGCATGGACAATCATCCTGTTTTGCTAATTAACACCCGCCCTGTTAATGATTAAATCTAATGACTTTGACTTGCGTGTGGGAGGATGGAAAATTCCCCAGCCACAGGACGGGATGAGGGTAGGTTTCCAGGAATGGGAGGGCAAGGGCCCCTTGGGCTCTGGACATGTTCCTCTAGGTGACTGGGGAGCAGATGCCTGCTTTTCTCTTGGGGCTGCTCAGCAGGGGAGTGTGTATAGGGGAGTCATTTGAAAGTTATAGCCCAGTCCTCCTTCCCCCGTCCTCCCAGGCTTGGCAGAGGGTACTGGGCCCCAGCCCCAGCCCAAACCTTGCATCCCTCTTGCCAAGGGTTAGCCATTGCTTGTTGCTGTGGCTGGAGAAGGGGTGAGAAGTGAGAAGTCCCTAGGACTGCTGTAACAAAGTGCCACTAACTGGGTGGCTTAAACAACAGAAATTAATTCTCTCACAATTCCGGAGGCTAGGAGTCTGAATTCAAGGTGTCAGCAGTGCCATAGACCTTTAGGGAAGAATTCTGTGTGCCTCTTTCAGCTTTTAGTGGCTCTGGTGTTCCTTGGCTTATGGCAGCATAACTCTGATTTCTGCCTCTATCTTCACACAGCCTTCTTCCCTCTTTTTTTTTTTTTTTTTTTTTTTTTTTTTTGAGACAAGTTCTTGCTCTGTGGCCCAGGCTGGAGTGAGTGCAGTGGTGTGATCTCACCTCGCGGCAATCTCTGCCTCCCGAGGAGCTGAGACCACAGGCGTGCTCCACCACGCCTGGCTATATTTTGTATTTTTAGTAGAGACAGGTTTTCACCATGTTTGTCAGGCTGGTCTCGAACTCCTGACCTCAGGTGATCCACCCACCTTGGCCTCCTAAAGTGTTGGGATTACAGGTGTGAGCCACTGTGCCTGGTCCTTCTTCCCTCTTGTGTGTCTGTGTTCTCTCCTCTTCTAACAAGGACACCAGTCATTGAATTTAGGGCCCACCCCAAATCCAGTATTATTTCATCTTGAAATTGTAATTAATTACATTAGCAAAGACCTTATTTCTGTATTCTGAGATTTTGGGTGGACATGAACTTTTGGGAGACACTAATCAACCTACTACAGATGGTGAGAGTGCCTGACAGGGCAGGGAGATGGTGAGTGCTCTAAGATTAGGATAGGGGGTCCTGCCAGAGCAGGCATAGGAGGCCAGTAGCCTTCTGTCTCTCTCCCCTCCCCAAGAAGACGAGGATGTGTTCAGAATCCCTGGTTGGGGTTGGGCTGGTCTCAAGAGGCCTTAAAGAGGAGGCTACTGGTGGTGAAGACGGGGAAGAGATGGGAGGACCGGTGGTCTAGACTGGAAAAAAGAAGGCTGAGAGGAGGACTTGGAAGGGAAAACTTTGGGTCCCTGTAACTTAGTCCCAGTGGAAGGGGAGACTGTAACGTGTGTGATGAACAATCACAACTTGTCGTATGATGAAAAAATGAAGTTGCATTTTGCTTACATAGTCCAAGATGCATTTTAGTTTCATGATACTTGTTGTTTCCCAGCATTCCTTTATACTTTATTGCGGGGTGGATAGGGGTAAAGTTTTCCTTGCTTCTGGGCGAAAACCCAGGAAAGCCTCTGAACCTTGCTGCTCACTCTCAGGTGAGGGATAGTCTCTATTCAGAAATTAGAACAACCAGGCTAATATATGAATCAAAACCTGAAACCATTTAGTGTCACTTCTCCAGGCTGCTGGGCCCTGCTTCAGTCAGAAGCTTGTGTGGGAAAGCAGGGAGTGAGTGGCTGGCTCTGCTCCACTTCTCTGTCCTGCTCTCCCTCCTGCTCTGCCCCTAGCCCGGCCTTTCCCCCGCCCTCACTAGAAGCTGTTTCAGAGTGAGGTGTGTTGGTGAGGGGTGGGGTGGTGCAGAGCCGACTGGCAGGGGTAGATCAGTTTTGAGATCAGTTGGTACTCAGCCTCCTCCATCAGTTGGTACTCAGCCTCCTCCATCAGCTGATACCACCCTCAGGCTCTTTCTCTGTGTTCTCTGGTGATTATTCTCTGACAGGCGTTTTCCTGGGTCTTCAGGGTTCACCTCACCTGTGTCCCAGGAGTTGAGACTCCTTCCTCAGCTGCTGGGGTCCTTTTGTTCATTGAGGTAGCCCTATTGCACAGGATCCAAGATGGACCCAGGGGAATGCACCTGTCTCCTTCTCAGGGGCCCGTAGCTGGTTCTGCCCTGATTAGGCAAACCCTGTGGTGCAGGGTGTCTCAGTAGCAGCTCTGCTGGAATGCTCACATGTCCCCAGTCCTCTCTCTCCTTCTAAACTTCTGGGAAGTACCCAGACTCCAGAACACTCTGTTCCCAATGCTGGGGGCCACATTCTCAGCTCTTCGGGTAACCCGTGCAGGCATCTCACTGGGTTTGCTGTAAGGGAGTAGGCGCCTCTCTCCTTCCTTGGGAGGGAGGGGATGGGGCTAACAGCAGTTTTCTCCATACATTTCTTCCTCGCAGAATCCTCCCTCTCCTCCATACTATGACCCTCTTTTATATTCTTGATCTGGCTGAGGGGGTCAGAAACTAGTTTTTAAAATTTTTCACATGATGATTTGGTGCCTCGGTTTGAAATTTCCTTTGTTGTATCTTGGTGCCTGGAAATTATACTTTTATATCCTTTTACAAAAGGAACTGGGTTTAAGACTGTGCCAGGAGGGAGGGGTGTCAGGCTCTAAGTCTATACTAGCAACTTCGCTTCTCTTTGTCAGGGAAAGCTGGACACAAAACAAACATTCCATCCCAGAGGTGGAATGGCCAGCAGAGGGCAGCAGATCCTGCTTAAAACCCTGCTTCCCTCCTTGGACTCATTGGTGCTAGATTATTTCATTCAATCTCCAGACGCCACATGTCCCCCAGGTGCTGGGGCTCAGCTCTCATGGCATCTCAATCAGTTCCCTGGCATTAGCCCCACTTCCTGGCTCTCTGCAGTCTAACCACCATTCTTCCTTTTTGAAGTATCAAAAATGAATCAGTCTGCATTGGATGCTAACAGCCGTGTACTAAGCACCTGTGTTGCAATGAGTGCAGAGATCAAAGCCATACTCTCTGCCCTGGAGAAGCCAAGCTGGTGAGGGAGACTTGTGAACAGACACTGAGAGCTGCAAAATAGTAACTGCTGTTGTAGAGGCAGAAATAAGGACTTTGGGAGCATTGAGGAAGGGGCAGCCTGAAGGAACCAGAGAAGGCTTGCAGAGGAGGGCGAATTGGAGTTAGGCTTTTTTTTTTTTTAATTTAAAGTTGAGTAGGACTTACAGGAAGAATAATGTGAGAATAAGGGGGAAGCAGATTGACAGAATTCTGGTGGACAAGGGAGGTGAAATTAGCAAGGGAGGCGGAGAGAGGGTAGCAAAGAGTGGTGGCTACGGCAGTGTTTGGAGACTAAGGGGAGACTGGGGTCTTGGGGGACCCTTGGGGAGACACCTTAGCAGAAGAAGAGCTTCCTTTTCCTCTCCCAGTTTCCAGAAAGAGGGTCTGAGGCTCTGGGGCTGCAAGGATTCTATTGAACTTAGAGGTTATTGGAAGAAATGGAGGGGGATGGGAGTCTTGAACTCTTCAGAGAAGCAACACTTGAAGGATTCGATGTTGTTTAGCTGGGAGAAAAGAAGATTCGATGTTGTGTAGCCGGGTGGGTGAGCTTGGCATAATAGAGGGAGTGAGAGCATGGGCTTTGGATGGAGTCAGTCCGGCCTTGGAACAAATCCTGATTCTTCCAATACTCCAGTGACCTTGGGCTGGTTGCTTTACTTCTCTGATCTTATTTCCTTATCGAAGAAATAGGAATAATAATAATTCCTACATCTTAGAGATGTTTCAAGTATTGAATGGGATAATATACACAAAACTCTTAGCACACTTCCTTGTTAGTTCTCATTAAATGGTATTATTTATTATTAAAATGATTGTCTTTAGATGTTTTAAGGGTTGTCATGTGGAAATAAGAACCCACGTACCTGTGCTGCTCCACCAGGCTGAACAAGTTAGAGGGAGACAAGTTTGACTGGCAGGGAGGCAGAAGGCCCCATCTAAGCCACCAGGGCCTGGAGGAAGCTACCTTATGCAGAAGGAGTTCTCTGCTGATGGAGGGATCCAGGCAAAAACTGTCTGGGGGCTCTTTCCAAATCAATGCTTCAGAATCCTGGGTTGTTCTGAAATTATGCATCAGTCTATAAGTGAAAGATTCTGTGATTCCACTTGAAGGAAAAGGGCCCCTGGGACAGGAGAGAAGGAGCTAACAGGAGAAAGAATAAGTGCTTTGCTAATCTAGAGCCTTATAATCTGAGGCCTCAACTGTTCTGTCTCCTTGGGTAAGGGAGGACTTGCGGAGGGCTCTATGGAGGCTGTCCTGACCCTCTTCCTACCCCCCTGTGAAGGAACTCCATATTCTGTGTAGGAAGTTTGGGAGTGAAGGGGGACATTGTTTTTTTGATAAGACCCTTTCCCACCCCCTATAAAAGAAAGTCCCCATTTTGGAGTCCCCCTACCTGAACATGTGTTGAGAAGGCCTTTCTGCGCTATAGCTTCAGGCTTCTTTACTTCAGGCTTCTTCACTTCAGGCTTCCTCACTTCAGGCTTCCTCTGATGCTGGGTTAGGTTCTGTGGGCAGGTGATCTTCTCCTCACTTCTTCAGGAATCCTGTAGAGGTGAGCGGGGAGAGCACTGGGCTTTTGAGCAAGAAGGCTTCTCAGCCCCTCCCAGCATCCTTTTCTTCTAACCACTCTGGGAAAAGGTGACCCTTATCGGCTGCCCCATCCCTGTGCCCATTTCCATTAGAGGGGAGGACTTTGCTCCCTACCTCACACGGGGGTGGGTGTCAGAGTGAACCCTTCTAGCCTCTCGCTGTTCCTTACTTGCTCTTTTCTAGGAAAAAAAAAGTAGCTAATTTTACTGATCATTCATTCATTTGTTTATTCAATTCACTCATGAATTCAATTCAAATTCATTCATCGAACTTCAACTCTTTGCCCAGTAATTACTGTTCAAGGTACTGGAGAGAAAATAGTGAATAATAATGATTGATACGTTCCCAGGTTTCATGGAGCTTACATTTTTGTGAGGTAAAAAAGTATATAAACAAGTGAATAAATGTAAAAGTAGGAACATTTCAGAGCATAGGAAATGCAATGAGGGGAATAAACAAGGCGAGGTGACAGAAGTAACTGGGGGGAGGATGGGTGGGAGTGGCCAGGGAAGCTCTCTGATAAGATGACATTTGAACCAAGACCTGAAGGGTGAGAGGGAGTCAGCTATGCAGACAGCAAGAGGAAGAGGATTCTAAGCAGAGTGAACAAGGATGAAACTGGGAAAGAGGCTGGTGTGTCCAAGGACCGTGAAGGGCGCCAGCATGGTCACGCTGTATTGGGCAGGAGAGCGGAATGAGATGAGGTTGGGGGGATATTTGGAAGCCAGACCACACAGGGCCTTGTAGACCCTGCTAGAGAGTTTGGATTTTATTTGAAGTGTAATGGGAACCACCTGATAATTTTAAGGAGCAGACCTGATCTGATATATACTTTGAAAAGACCACTTGTCTAGTTACTGACGGAGCCTGGATTGTATGGGCTTAGAGTGGAGGCAGAGAGCTTACTCAGAAAGCCATTGCAGAGGTTCAGGTGGTCAACAGTGGAAGTGGAAACAGGGTGGTGGCAGAGAGATGGGGAGAGAGGGGTGAAGTCAGGATATATTTCAGAGATAGAATCTGTAGGCTTGTTGGTGAATTAATTGTGGGGATTGAGGGAAAGGCAGAAATCAAGATTGACTCTTAGGTTTTTGGTTTGACTAATTGAGTATATGGGGGTGATACTTAACGAGACAGGAAGATGAGATGAAGAGGTCTATTAAGGCATTAGTCCAGGGGTAGTAACAAGATTGTAATGGCATGGCTTCAACAGAACAGAAGTTAAACAGAGATAATATGGTGGCTCCACAATATTCTGGACATTCTATCTCGTTACCCTTTCTTTTCAATATGTAGCTTCCATTTAGTGGCCTAAGAGGGCTGCTCTAGCTCCCATGCCTTTATCTCATTCCAGTCAGCGTGAAGGATTTAGAAAGGAGAAAGGGAGGACACACTCTTTCTGTCAAGGGCACCACCTGTCATTTGCCCTTATTGTATTTGTTCATATCCTCCTGTCCAAAACCTAGTCACTTGGCCACATCTGTCTGTAAGGAAGCTTGGGAAATGAAGTTATTAGCTACATGGAAAAAATGGCAGGGTCAGTGAATCGGAGGTCTGGATCAGGTCAAAGAATTGTTACAACTGGACTTCTACTGTAATGGAGATGGAAGGGCAGGAAATTGTGGCCAGACGTGGGATTCTTGAATTTAGGATTTTGGAAGTGGCTGTGGTGGCGCGTAGGCTGAGGTACAAAGGTTAAGAACTGAGAAGTCAGAGTGTTGGGGGGTCATCGGCATGAACACTGACAGTCCTCAAAAAAGGACAGGAGCAAGTGGGAAGAGGAAGACCAGGTGCTGAGGTTAGGGGCTCCCTGTAAGGGAGAGGGGTTGGTAGGAGGGCGCAGCATGTATTCTGAGCTTCAAAGAAGGGGAGATTTTGGAGTAGAACGGAAGAGGAATGGTTTAGAAGTGGCAGTGGAGAACAAGGAGGAAAATCCTTCTTCCCACCTTCGGATTCTGAGGCGGTTGGTGGCTAAAGGAGAAAGCAGTTTCCACTTGAGAGTGAAATAGAGGTTGTCAGAGTCTCAGAAAATCTGAAATTATTATTATTATTATTTTTTAAAGGACAGGTTCTTACTCTCTCACCCAGGCTGGAGTACAGTGGCATGATTGTAGCTCACTGCAGCCTTGAACTCCTGGGCTTAAGTGATCCTCCCACCTCAGCCTCTGAAGTAGCTGGGGCTACAGGCACGTGCCACCATGCCCAGCTAATTGTTTTTATTTTAGAGACAGGGTCTTGCTATGTTGCCTAGTCTGGTCTTGAAAACCTAGCCTCAAGCGTTCCTCCCACCTTGGCCTCCCAAAGCTCTAGAATTACAGGCATGAGCCACCACACCTGGCCTTAAAATGTTATTTTAGATTAGGCAATATCAGTTGAAAGATGGGAGAAGAAAGAAGAAAAAACGGGTATCAGTTGAAAGTTGGGAGAAGAAAGAAAAAAAAGGGAGATTAAGCAATAGAGAGAAAATTCAAAACAAGACATTGGGAATACCAAGGAATTTACTGACCACTGATCAGGAGTTCTAGAGGGCATAGTAAAAGGGTTTGGCAGAGAGAGACTGGGCAGAGAGAATTGGGCTAGATTTGGGGCTGACAGAGCCAAACAGGGTAGGGGTTCTGGATGACAAATATATCTGAAAGCTTTGGCTTGGTCCTGGAAGTGACTGTGGTCAACAGAGAGACAGAACCCAAGGATCTTGGTTGCCCACCTTTCTACAAGAGGAATCAGGACAAGGAATAGACCTTGGTGCCTACCTGAATGGTTTCAAGGCCTTTGGTGACTGATTCCTATGGCTTAAGGGGGGATGTGAGTGGTGGCTAATCCCATGGGAGATGTGTGGGAGCAGAATAACTAATGGCCCCACAAAGAGGTCCACGTCGGAAATCACAGAACCTGTAAGTGTGTTGGGTTACACTGGCAACAGAGAATTAAGGTTGCAGATTGAACTGAGGTTGCTAATCAGCTGGTCTTAAAATAGGGAAATTCTCCTAGATTATCTGGGTGGGCCTGGTATAATCTCAAGCATCCCTAAATGTGGACAAAGGATTCCAAAGAGATAACTAGACTGATGGCAGGGTGAGAAGCCTTGGCCGGATGGGGCTGGCTTTGAAAATGGAGGAATGGGGCCATGGGCCAAAGACTGTGGACAGCCTTTAGAAGCTGGAAAGGGCAAGGAAATGAATTCTCCCCTAGAGACTCCAGAAAGGAACGCAGCCCTGCCTGCTGACATGCCTTGATTTTAGCCCAGTGAGACCCATCTGGAACTCCTGAACTACAGAACTGTAAAATAATTAATTTGTGTTGTTTTAAGCTGGTAAATTTGTGGTAATTTGTAATTAGAAAACTAATACAAGATGAAAGGCTCTCTTCTGGGTGACTGCTCCTTCCCACAGGGTGAGATGCTATGACAGCTGGTGAGACAGAACATTTATTACACCACGTTTCACCAGGGGGCGGAGTTAATGCATCAACAGGAATGTTCCTCAACAGCTTTGCCTCTTTCCCTCCTGCCCTCTCTCATGAGGGTGCACACTTGGACAGGACTTCACCTTCCCACCTCTTCCCTGGGGGATGCATGCTGTTTCTCTCACCGTTTAGTGGCTCAGGCAGGACAGAGAGAAGGCCCCTTTTGGGCTTGTGTCTCGATAGCATTCTCCAGCTCAGCCTTGCCAGAGAGGTCAGAGTGCTGTGGGTTCCCCGGCACTTGTCTGGCTGTTAATACAATCGATGTTTTGGTTTCCTTTTTGCTCCTTGTTCTCTGGACACCTTCTCCATTGGCCAGACTCAGAGGGGCAGAGGGATGACGTGCTGGTGGCCCTCCCTGGAGCTGTGATGGTGAAGTCAAAGACTGGCCTTGGGGGACCCAAATACAGTGGATTTTAACAGCAAACACTCTAAAGGTAACTCTGACCTGCAGCTGCGTGGGTGCAGCTGAGGCTGGAATGAAATTATCCCAATTCCACTTGGGTACAGAGCATAAGGCTGTGAAATTTTGGCTTCAGATGATGTGTGTTAATATTTAGTAGGTGATGCTAGGTTGGCTGTCCAACTGATTGTCTAGTTTGGTTTCTTTTATGTTGTTGTTCACTTTTTTCCTAGTTTTCATTTAACACGTTTCTCTTGTTCTTTTTTCTCACCCACAGATGCAGGTCCCAATGTGTGCTTTGTTTTGAACTGCATTTAGGGTGGCAGGAAGACTCAGGAGGGATTTTGTTTATGGCCTGATCACAGGCTCCTGGGATTATTTCCTACCACGTAGTCTCAAAGTGGCTTGGGGTTGTACATTTATGAAGCTCCAGCCAGGGTTTCAGATTTCAGAGTCCCACTGTGGGATTAACCACAGAGGTGTGGTCGACTTCATACAGATAAAAATAATGGGATCCTTTATGTGGAGGAAATGTCACTGGGTGAAAGTGAAGAAAAACTCCATGGAATTACTATAAACTTGAAGAGTATGGGAGAAATGAACAAGTCCTGTACCTGGAAAACTCTTTAGAAATCATATTTTCCTAAGAATCAGGGAAACGTGGGGTTCATATAAGGTACAAGTCTTGGTCTTATAGTGAGACAAGTCAGACAGAAAGGGAAAAGAAAAAAGAGGGCAGTTCTGTTGATTGAGTTGGGAGAAAAGATGAGATTTTCTCAGGAGAAAGTTTGAGTTCATAGAGCCCATGCTTGAGATACATTAAAAGAGAAGGGAAATGGCTCTATGCCTAGATAGTTTTAAGGATGGAACTAGAAGAGAGCAGAATATTTATTTATTTCTAGATCACGGAGGGTGAATGGGGCCTGGAGAGATTTAACAACGATGCAAAACAGTTTGAGGCCGCTAGAGGGAGCGTTGACCCAGTCACTTGCACAGAGTGAGGGAAGACGAACAGGAAGTTTAGTGGTGAAACATTATTAGGTAAGTTTCAAAGGAATGCAGGTTTTTTTTTTTTTTAATGGGGGTTTGGGGGCTGTTATTGCCCATGTCCTGAGGAAGCATGCCACAGAATTACTGAGAAGATGAAATACACTCTAAAGGGAATTCATGCGTGAAATAAATAGATCTAGTCACGTCTGAGATTCTATGTTTTCTAAAAATTTTTAATTTTTTAATTGACAAATCATAGTTGTATACATTTAAGGGGTACAATGTGATGTTTCGATATATGTATACATTGTGGTATGATTGAATCAAGCTTAAACTTCTAAATATCATAAGATGATAGAAATATCCTAAGCCCCCACTTTGAAAGAAGAGGCTGTATACATGACCCCACCCTCTGAAGGCAAACTTAATGCCAACATTAGTCACTCCACGAGAGATTTCTCCCACTTGTGAAGTCAAGGCTTTCTCTCTTCTTGCAGATACCACTTAGTTTCTGCCACAGTATGATGCTGGCATTAGCCATGGGATTCCTGCACAGCTCAAGTGCCCCATGTGTCTTTTGAGCCTTGAGGAGGAGACTGACATGGAGATGCCTTGCCATCCCCTCTTCCAACGCAACTGAACCTTCCCTGGTTAAGCAAGACAAATTCCTCCCGCTATGCTGCCGTGAGCTGCTCACTGATAATGACATGTAGGAGGAACACAGATGAGATGAGGCCCACAAGCAGCAGCAGAAGTGTGGCTGGAGAACCTGCATGGAGCCAGGTATACCTGAGGCACTGCGGCTGAGCGCTGGCCCTCCATGACATCTCTCTCTGCACCTTGAACCTGTGTAGAAGGTTTTTTTCTTCCACCTTCTACCCCTGCAAAACAAACAAACAAACAAACAAACAAACAAAACAACCCTTAAAAGCCCCACAAAAAACCATGCACTAGGGCCTGGGCACATAATTGCTCTGGGGCCTGAGAATGTGCTTGTGTTTCTGAGTTTGGTTGGTGCAGAGCTGGTGCATGGTATTTCGTGTATCCTAGTTACTCTAACTTTGAAAAGGAGGGACCCATGAGCTCCTTGGGGTTGGATTAAGTCAACCTTGTAGATGCCAGAGGAACTACTCACATTTCAGGGGGAAAAAGACCAGGAGGGAGCCAGTCCCCTGCCTCCAGGCATAGCAGCCTTTCCCCTGACTCCCAGGGAACATGCCCCATGCTGGTGGCTCTGTGTCCTCCTCATCCTCTACAGATTTGTGAGGCTTCACCATGATCCTTCTTGTAGTCACACCTTAGAGACCTAGGCGGTGGCTCACCCCGGGCCAGAGAGAGGATGGAGACGCAGGTACCTAACCCTATCTCCACATTGGGAAGCTAAAGTGATAGGGAGAGTGTGTGTACCCCCCCCTTTCTCTTCCAGATCTTATTCTACCAAACAGCTGGAGCAACAAAAATGACAAAAACCACTCCCAGGCTGGGTGTGGTGGCTCACGCCTGTAATCCCGGCACTTTGGGAGGCCCAGGCGTGCGGATCACAAGGTCAAGAGATTGAGACCATCCTGGCCAACATGGTAAAACCCCATCTCTACTAAAAATACAAAAATTAGCTAGGCATGGTGGCCCGTGCCTGTAGTCCTAACTACTTGGGAGGCTGAGGCAGGAGAATTGCTTGAACCCAGGAGGTGGAGGTTGCAGTGAGCTGAGATCGCACCATTGCACTCCAGCCTGCTGACAGAGCGAGACTCCGTCTAAAAAAAAGAGAAGGAAAAAAAAAAAAAAGAAAAAAAAACCACTCTCTCCACCTCATCCCAACAGGTCACAAAGTTTTTCATGTTTGAAGGCCCAGCCAGAGCCTGGCAGCTGGTTGGGGGAGACAGAGAATGAGTTTTTGGGAATGGATTTTCTATTTATTTATTCAGAGACATAGCCTTGCTCTGTCACCCTGGGCTGGAGGGTAGTGGCGCAATCATAGCTCACTGCAGCGTTGAACTCCTGGGCTCAGGCGACCCTTTTGTGTCAGCCACCCAAGTAGCTGGGACTATATGTGTGCACCACCATGCCCAGCTAATTTTATATATATATATATATATATATTTTTTTTTTTTTAAATAAGGATGGGGGTCTTGCTATGTTGCTCAGGCTGCTCTCAAACTCCTGACCTCAAGTGATCCTGCCACTTTGGCCTCCTAAAGTGTTGGTATTACAGGCGAGAGCCACCATGCCTGGCTGGGAAATGAATTTTCTTTAAGAATGGAGATGTCTAGACAAATGGACATACCTAGATGCCTTTTGAATGAGACTCTGGGCTAAGGATGAGGAAAACATTGGGAGGGGAGGAATTTTGGACTTTACTTTTCTTGCACTGAAAGAGTGTATTTCAATTTTGTTCTTTGTGCCTTTTGAAATTAGGAGGATTGCTTGAGCCCATGAGGCAGAGGTTGCAGTGAGCAGAGATTGTGCCACTGCATTCCAGCTTGGGTGACAGAATGACAGAATGAGACCCTGCCTTAAAAAAAAAAAAAAAAAAAAAGAAAGAAAGAAAGAAAAATTAGAAGAGGTTTTATGTTCAAATTTAGGACTTTTTTTTTTTTTTTTTTTTTTTTGCTGGTGTTGAATTATTTGATCTTTTATGCTGCTACATAGTACTTATTTGTAACCCTCAAGTGAGCTCTACTGAGCAACATGACTGAGCAGATTGGAGAGAGGAAATAGAGTCTAGGGAACAGTACAGTCTTGGAGTTAATTTGTGTTCTATTTGAACTCAAATCAGAGGCTTGGGTATCAACAGTAAACTTGTCAAGCCACCAATTTCAGGAGGAAAGAACTGTGGTGAGGAGCTGTACTTTAATTTTTTTCATCTTAAAATGGAGATAACAAACTTTTTAAGTCTTTTGCAAGGGCTAAATTGGTAAATATGTATAAAGCATTTGCAACTAGGGCCTACCACATAGTGGGAGCTACTGTATATTAAATCAGTGGGCATATGGTAAGGCCACTTTTTAAGGCCACAAATGGCCAAATAGCTGCAGGGTAGAAGACCACTCTGATGTGCTGCTGATCTTCTCTCCCTCACCCCTCCAATCACAGCTGTGGCTGATCGCAGATCTCAGGCTCACCTGTTAAGCCCAAAGGCTTCAGAAGAGAGAAGGCTGTCTCTCTTATGTGACTCTGTGTTGGGGGCGTTCTTTCCTATCCCCTCCCAACAAGAAGAGCAGGTTGGAGGGAATATTTCCCAGTCTACCTTTCCATTCCTTCCCTCCTCCTCCCGGGGGAAGAGTAGTTGATCTTACAGATAAGAGCCTGATAGTGGCTTCTCCAGCCCTGTTTCTGTTCATTCAGTGAGTCAGTCGGGGTTGGGAATGTGGGCAGGGGCCCTTTAGCCTGAGGTCTCCCATCCAGTTTCCACAGACAGCCCTGCGCTCTGGGCTGTGGCACAGCTGTCCAGCCATTAATAAGATGGATGCTTTGATCCTCACTGGGTAACAACTCTCATATCCTTTTCTGTATTGGCCTGAACTGGAGGACCAAAAGGATGAATCTGGGGCTTCTTAATCTGCAAGACACTTCCATGTTCCTAATATCACCCACTCAGGAAACTTCCCTCTAGTTTTTTTTCCTGAATTCCACAGGCTCCTACCTTCCTTCCTCTGTCATTTTGAAAATAATTTTTCCTTATCTTAAGCTATATCTTGAGAAAGACCCATAATAGAACTTTCGATCTAGCTTGGGAGATGTTTTTGGTGGAGTTGTGTGTTCTTCCACTGGGAGGAAGGTGGGTAAACGAGGGAAAGTGGACATGTGGCAACTTTCTATACTAGGAGAAAGCAAAGGGAGGAAGTAGACTATTTTATCTGCCTCCAGGTCTGAATGTATTTCCAGATTCTCCTGGGCCAGGACAGACCAGCTCTGCATTGCAATAGGTCAGTTGCTATGTTGATCTTCTAAGCACATCTTTTCATGTGTCCTGGAGGTAGGACACTAGAGATCAGAGATATTTCCCTTCCTGCCATCCTACCTGCCCTTGAGTGACAGCTTCCCTTCATCTGTAAGACAGAAACCTTCATTTTCCCATGCTCTTCTTTACCCATTGAATCTCATATGCTGTTACAGTGAGAACTGGCCAGGGTTGGGAGGAGATTGGCACATATTAGGTAGATGCGCCTGGCACATAGTAAGCATGTGGGGGGTGTTTGTCGAGTGTGGGAATGGGAGTCATCCACTCTGTGGTGAAGCAGAAGTCTTGGCAGATGAGGGTGTAGAGGAAGAGGGTGGAGAGAAGACAAGAGGTTACAGGATGAGATGCTGGGAGCACAGAGTGTAGTCCAAAAATGTGCTGGGAAAGGAACAGGGAGCTTGGAGAGCTAGGAGAGGGCAGTGTCCTGGAAAGTTAGTGAGGAGAAATTTCTAGAAGGGGTAATTGTGTCCAGTTCTACAGATGCTGTCACAGGATTTGTTGATGCTTGTGACTCTTTGGAGAGCAGTTGTGGAGGCTGGATGGATGCAGATGGTAGACTGTAGGGGCATAAGGCGTGCACAGGAGCTGAGGGCCATGGGGCAGTGCATTGGTGAGGTGGGGGCAGTGGCGAGGAGGGTCAGGACTTTGCAGAAGATGTTTTGGGATGTGGAGACATGAGCAGGTTTGTAAGCTTAGAGGGATGAGAGGTTTAAATTCAAAGGGATAGGGTAACTAAGAAAGAAACCCAGTAGAGTGGGGGCATCCTGCCTCTCTTCCTGAGCCCAGCAAAGCCACCACAGAGTCAGACTTGGGACACAATGCTTTAATACATGAATTTGAGGAGCCGAAAGATGGCTTTTGGATGTGGCGTCTCCCACAGCCTAGCCTGGAATTCAGGCACCCTCATCATTAGGGCCTCATGACATCATTGGCGCTAGGGATTAGGTTTTTCAGATAGTTTATGATTCCTTTCAATGCTTTGTCCAGATTCTTCCCGATTTTATGGGCCAGTTTGGCAAGTTTTCCCTCTGAGGCGGTTGCTGAGGAGTACTGAGAGGGAAATGCCAAGTTAAGGCTGGTTCCCTTCCCCCCTCTCCCCTCCACCCCAGCAACAGCCTTTCACAGGGCTGGCAATCGATGCTTCATTTGACTCACACTCACATTTAGTTCTTGTTCCTCCACAGCCTCCTTTCTTTTTCTAACCCCACCTATTTCCACCCAAGTAGCTCCCAGCCCCTTCCTTTTCCTGCTCAATACCTGCCCGGGGGCTTGCCCCTTCCCTGGCTCATACCAGCCCTGGGAGCCAGTTCTGTAGTCTCTTCTAATTGGAGCTTAACATTTTTGAAATTGTCCTCTTGGGGTGTGTGCTCTTTTGACAGCATTCTTTTTGGAAACCAGCTCTTCTTTGGAGATGAAGCGCTCCTAGAGAGGCTTCATTGGAAACATGGTCCTTCTTGGGGTGGCTGCTAGGGGTGACCTGGGCAGCTGGAACCAGGAAGATAAAGGGAATGGGGGGCAGAGTGAGAGCACATGGTGAGAAGCAGTCAGCCATCCCATGTCATGTCCCTTAACATGTGGAGTCTATCAGGGTTGAGTCATTGCCTAATTAACATACAAGTAGGACTGAGGTCCCGTATCAGAATCCAAATCTATGAGCACCTGAAAGGCACATCTCTGATTTTGAATGCCATTGATTAGGAATTCCACTTTCCCCAGCAAATTTACCTTCCCAATGAGAAGGGATTAACTTTGCAAACATAGGTCCCATTGTCTGGCCCATTGGAGGAGTTCAGTAAATATTGTTTTTCTTTTTTTTTCTTCTGAATTCTGGGTATTGCTTGAATCTGCCTTCTCTGGCTTCTCCAAGGTAGATTGGGGGAAGCTAGCCTGAGATTAAACCATGTCTATGGATAATACACAAAGCAGAATCCTGAAATGTTCATGGTTTCTGGGCTGTGGCAGTGGGGAGCCTGGAACGGATGAGCCACTCCAACATCCTCACCTCCATGAGCTGAAACCTTTTACCTGCTAGCACTTGGGTGTGAGGTGTAGTCCCCATTCCTATCTCCAATGACTAGCCAGCAGAAAGGGCTATTCAAATGATTCCTGGCCCTCACATCTTGGTCAATAAGTGCAGCAGGAAGGATTAAGGTTCAATACTAGGAGGGCTTATCTTTGCTCCACTTCTTTCCCAAAGGGAGAATTCATCATTTACTGGACAATCTTTTACCACCAGTGACTTACTCTAAAGGATGCCAGCATGAGACTTACAGGCATCTGCAGGCTGAGTCTCCGAGTGAATTTCACCTTCTGGCTCTGAAAAAGAAGAGGTTAAAGTCTTCAGAGGTCTCAAGACAGTTAATATATGAGTTTTTCCCTCTGTAACCCCTCCTGCCCCAGCATTTTCAATCTTCCTTACCTTGCTTTACATCCTCCTTAGCATTTCAAACATACTTTGTAATTTACTTAATATGTTCATTGTTTGTTACTTTATCTTAGAATGTAATTTCAATGATGACTGAGTTTCTATTCTATTAGTGTATCCAAGTGCTTAGAACTACGTGTCTGGCACAGAGTTAGTGCTCAGTAAGTAGCTATGGAATGAATATGTGTGTACATATTGTACAGAGGGAGGCACGGAAGTCCAGAGAAAGGTAGTGACTCTGCCTGGATTATCCAGCATCACCAGAGGCTGGAATCTGATCTGAACCTCCATTGACCCAGAGTGCATCCTGATTTGGCCCCTCTGGCTCCTGCTCCAGGCTTTCTAGGTTGCAGAATTCCCGGGATCATATGCCCTAGTCCCTCACCTCCATACCTAGGTCATCCCAGGTGTGAACTTTTGGTTCTGCAGCTTTCCACCTCTCCACACAGCATATTACAAGGATTAAGGAAGGCCCTTTCTAGTGCTGAGGTCTCTCCAGCTGACAGCTCAATAACCCTTAGGGGACTGAGAGTTGTGGAAGGAGGCCAGATTCAACATCAAGGATGGCGAGAGAGGTGGCGGCTAGGCTGGCTGGCAGCAGGACCATGAAGAACTTCATGGTGGAGCTGTAGCAGGATCAGTTTTTCCTGGGGGAGGCTGCTTAGAGTTGCTGAAGAGGCAGCCTGGCAGGGGCTTTATTTATTTTGGGGTAGGGATGGACTCTGGGGAAACTGGACCTGGGAACATACTAGGTTTCCCCTCCTGAGTTTCCCATTCTGAATAGGTTTGTTTTTGGGAACTGGAGTTTCTGGGAAACCGGTTAACTGGAAAGTAAGGCCCCCAGCCTTCCCCCTGGCTCGGACCATGCTGAAGGTGTGTCGGCTCCAGCTTTTACCCCCAGAAGTCCATGGAATAAGGACATGGGTGTGAGTTTCCCTCTTTCATGGTACTCATTACTGTGTAATTTTACTTTCATTAGTATGATCATTTAATTAACATCTATCTCCTCCAGAAGAATGAAACTTCCAAAATGGCTGGGATTATATCTGTTTTGCTTGCCATTGTTTTTCCAGTACCTAGCAGGTATGTGGCACATAGTAGAGTTCTAGGAAATATTAGTGGAGTGAATGAATCAAGGAACGGTCAGGCTGTCCTCTAGGGCAGCGGTCCCCATCCTTTTTAGCACCAGGGACCAGTTTCATGGAAGACAATTTTTCCACAGCCAGGGGGAGGATGGGGATAGTTTCAGGATGAAACTGTTTCACCTCAGATCATCAGGCACTAGTTAGATTAGCGTGCAACCTAGATCCCTTGCATGTGCAGTTCACAATAGGGTTCGCACTCCTGTGAGAATCTAATGCTGCTACTGAGCTGACAGGAGGCACATCATGGTGGTAATGCTCACTTGGCTGTTGCTCACCTCCTGCTGTGTGGCCCGGTTCCTAAGAGGCCACAGACTAGTACCAGTCCGTGACCTGGGGGTTGGGAACCCCTGCTCTAGGGTGCAGATAAAACTCCCCATCAGTTCAGGAATGAAGGAGTGAGGCAGTTACAGAAATTCTGACTATATGCCAGGTAGTGTCCTGAGTTTGTTCCTATGGGATATCTCATTTAATTCGTGATGGTTTGGGAGGTATGTGTTATTTACCAAGGAAAAAAAAACTGATGTTCATAGAGGTGAGATTACTTGCATAAGGCCACATATATGGGTGGATTTGAACCCAGGTCAGTCTAACTCTACATCTGGGGTCTAGTGGCTCTAAAATTGGACAAGATGGAGCAGCGGGATGCCCAGAGAGGCATCTGGAGAGCAGATGAGGGTTGTGCGTAGGGCCTGGGTCTTGGTCGTGGGCCTAGGAACTGATCTAGTTGATCTTGTTTCCTCCTCCAGCTGGAAGTTTGATATTCTCTCTGAAACCTCTCCAAGAAGGAGAAGGCTGCTGTACCCTAACACTGAGTCTCTTATCCTCAGCAGGGGGCATGGCTTGCTGGGCATGTGAGTAGGTAAGGTAACGCCTAGAGACCACAGTTGGCTGTGCTAGCCAGTGTGAGGCCTTTGCCCGGGAGAGCCCTAAGGGGCTGGCAGTTGTCCTCCAATTGTTCCAGCAAAGCTCTCTCCTTAGGCAAGGTGGTGCAGTGAAGGAAGTTTGTCTTGGGCTGCCTCCAAGCACCCCTTCCTCCCTGACTCCCCCTCTCACCAGCAACCTCTCCTCCCATAGCCCAGGGCACTTGGGAACAGGACGGGGGCAGATGAGGGCATTCACAGCAAGTCTATGAGGGTAGGGTTTCAGCACTGCAAGCTTATTTCCTAATATACATAATTCACATGTTGAGGCTCTCATCATCTCCAGACTAGGCTATTTTAGTTTTTCACTGCTCTTCTGGCTTCCAGTCTGTCTCCACTACAGTCCATTCTTCATGCTAATGCTGGAGGGATCCCACAAAGTTCATGCCACTTCTGTACTCAAAAGTCTTTAACCACTATCCATCACCATGTGATCAAAGTCCAAACTCCTTGGTCTTCCACCTTCACAGCCTCATTTCCTACCCCTGTGAATTATTCCCTACTCCTGGAGTGTTATACTTGGGTTCATGCCGTTGCTCTGTCAGGAATCTCTTTCCTCTCCATCTGTCTGCTATGTTCCCACAGCATGATCCAGATCAGATGTCATCTCCTCCCTGGAGTGAACACAACCTTCTCACCATCCCTCCTCCCTTGGTTAGTCACTCACCTCTGTGGTTCCATGATGCATTGTTGATATCTTTATCTTTTCATTATTACATTCCACTATTATTTATTAAGTGCCTGCCATGCAGCAAGATTTGGAGATATAATGGTGAACAAAATCACCTGGACCCTGGCCTTAGGCCTTTATTGTCTAGCACTTACCACACTCTATTGTAATGATCTGTTTTGAAATCTGTTGCTGTTACTGGTCAGTTACCATGTTGAGGACAGAAGCCATAGCTTACTTGTCTCTGAATCCCAATTTATTTAGCGCAGATCTTAACTCTTGCTAAGTTTCCAGTCTGGTTTTGTCAAATGAGTCAATGTGCCTTTTCAAAGATGGCTCCTGGGGGATATGTTTGTTCAACAAAGTATCTCTTTAGTGTGTGTGGCAGGGGACTTCTGAGAGACCTTCTCCCGCACAGAGTTCAACAAGAATGTCTGCCCTACACCAGGTATGGTGTGGGCGCTTAAGCTCCAATGCTGAGCAAAACAGACCAGGTCCCTCCTCTCCCAGGTAAGGGTGCCAGATAAAATGTAAGTCACCCAGATAAATGTGAATTTCACAGAAACAATGAAAATGTTGTCAATATGCCTCAAATATTGTGCAGTACCTAAGTATGTCTCAGATATATCTGAAATTGCATTTAACTGGGTGTTCTGTGTTTATTTGCTAAATTTGGCTCCGAAGGTTCCAGACCAGCCTCAGACTTGGATTAGAAGCAGGCAAGACTTTCCGTGTCCATCCTTCCTGATCTGTCCTCCTCAGAGCCCAGTCTCATCCTGGGTACTCAGTTACGGGAAAGATGTCCTGGAGGGGTGACCACGTGTCTGCCACACCTATAACTCCCTTCTGAGAAACGAGGTCACTTGGTTCTTAGCACACAAGATGCCAGACTTTGGGTCAGATATCTCTGTTACCCTAACCACTCCTATTTGTGAGGAAGCCTGGGCTTATTCAGAGGTAACAATCAACAGGCTGGACACAAGGGAGGCCATGGCCTCTCAGGAGACCTGTCCATTTCCGGGGCTTTCTACTGGATAGTTCCTAACCAAGTGGATGGGGTCACTCTCAGTGAAGTATGAGTCAGAGAGACAGAGAGAAAGAAAACTCAGAGATGTAAAAACAATAGAAGAAGAGACAGGCCAGGATGGAGGGTGAGGTGAAGACTCTTGTCTAGGGGAGCCTCTGGGCCTCAAGCTATGACAAAGTGACTGTCCACAGAGTGGCTGGAGGGGCTCACAGCCCAGCTGGTCTCTGCTTGGTACTCTGTGAAGCCTGCTGAGATGGCTTCCTGATCTTCCTTCCTTCCTTCTGTCACTTAATGGAATCTGAGTGAGTCTTGTAAACTTGAAAAAGCCTATTTTTAAAGCTCCACCCACCCCACCTCAAGCATCATTAGTTTTTAGTGAGGACACCTGGGTCCAAGATTCAGCTCTGCCACGGACTCACTCTGCAGTCCTCGACCAGCAGCTGCACCCCCCAACCCCCGCCCCACCGCCACCTCTCTGGACCTCATCCTTTTCCTCAGCAAGGAGAGGGAGAGTCCAGATGGATCTCCAAGGATCTCTAGGACTCCCGTTCCAAGACCTGACACCCTCTTGGAACAGGGGTGGAAAACTTCTTGGGAGATTTTTATTTCAAGAACAGCATCAGGCTGGTTGTTCTCAAACTTCACAACCAGCTGGGGAGTGCATTTGAATCCCCTTTCCTCTCCATTTGGTAGGCCTGGGATGCAGCCCAGGAACCCACATTTAAAGAGCAGCATCCAGGGCAGTTCTGATGCTGAGAACAGGACTACCCTAGGCAGACACAATGGCTTCTACACAAAAGCTCAAACTTCTTTTCTGGTAAGGATTTTGGGAGGTAGAGAGTCTGTTGTTTTTGTTGTGTGAGTGTGTGAGTGTGAGAGTATGAGTGTGTATGTGTGTGTGTGAGTGTCAGAGAGAGAGAGAGAGGTAAGGGGGGACATCACCATGGGGGTTGCTGCCCTGGGGCAGTGGGGCTGGAGAAGAGAAGGGGGAAAAGGAGACCAACATTCTGTGATGTCTGACCTTGAGCCAGGTGCAGGATTATTTAATTCTCATAATAATCTACAGGGTAGTATTGATAGTCTCTGACAGATTGGGAAAACTGAGGCTCAGAGAGGTTAAGTAAATTTACCAAAGTGACATGACGGCAACTGGCATGGCTGGGATTTGAACCTGGAACTGCTTGGCTCTGATTCCCGTGCTCTTCCCATAATGTCCCACCCACACCAAGCATCACTAGAGTCAATGTCACAGCAGCCATAAATCCTTGGCTTCCCGGTGGAACTCCATTTCACACATTCTGTGCTGTTTCCCACATATCCATTGACTATTCTAGGAAATCAATGTTTCTGCCTCCAAACACTTCCCAAACTTCACCTTATCCCCTATTACTAGAATAGGGAGGAAAAAAAGCCTTCGACAGAGGAGCTTAGTAGGTAACACAGCCAGAGGGAGCAGGTCCACATTAGAGATGGGAGAGTCGTTAGAGAAAGGAGTCAGGAGAGAACCAGCACAGGGGAGATAACTGCAGAGAGGTTCCACTGCTGTGGGACCCTGGTGTAGGTGGGAAGGCGAGCAGCTTCTGTCTTGTTCCCAGTCTGGATCTAGCAGTTCTTTCTGAGTGAGACTCTATTCTCTTCTTCAGGGTCCATTGCTGTCATGTCCATTCCAGCTATATCCAGTTTCTCCACAAGAAGCTCTGAGCCAGACTTGGCTCAGCCTGGGCAGTCTGTGAAAACACACTCTCTCTCCATCTGGAAGATGGGGCCTTGGGAATGTTACCCACATGGGCTAGTGGCTCAGTGTCCCACATACAGCCCCATGAGCTGGGTTGGGAGTGGGTGAGTGGCTGTGGGTGTGGAGCTGGATGGGCCAGCTACACAGAAAGCTGCAGTTCCTGGCATGCCTCGTGATCACTCACCCATCCATGGGTAGGCTTTTTCCTTTCCTCTTCAAGTCCTTAGGAGCCATCCATCAAACTACATAAGCAATTCCCAAATTGGATGCTTCGTGTCAATAGCTCTGGTAAGCGGGGTTATATTCCAGTGTGAGGACTGCAAGCTGTGAGAAGGGGCCATAGCAAATCAGGATGGTTGGAGGGTAGACACCCTGAAGGCCAGGGCACCTGTCCTTCCCACTTGCACATCAGGAGAGGAAATGCAAATGGCAGAGTCCACAGTCAGAGGATGGAAGTTGTTCTTGGGGAAGACTGAAGATCAAAAAATTTTGGAATTCTGAATCTGGAAGGAATCGTGTGACTTGTGAATCCACAGAGAGGACTCTAAGTAAGGGAAAACCAGAACACGTTGTGGCTGTGACCCATCACGGTCACATCTATGTGTTAGGGAGACTTGAATTCCCACTAATTCCCTCCCGGGTGTGGGGAGGAGGGTTTAACACTGGGGCCCTTGTTTAGGGATGTACAGGCTTCATAACATAGACTTCAGTTGCAACCCAGAGCACCCAATTTCCTACATAGTCTGAGGTAGGATGCTCTTAGTGGGGAATAATGGGCAGTCCAAATCAGTTGGCTCAGACAATGAAAAAGGCATATCTCGTGATGCAAGAACACTAGAGGTAGGTTTGGTAAATTCAGCAGCTTAATGAATTCACGAAGGACTTAGATTCTTTCCATTTCTCTATCCTATTCTTCTCTGTCCAAGAGCCTGGTCTTCTGGTTACCTCTCTTCAGGTAGCTGGCTGCTGCCATACCAGGTAGCTTCAGCTGGCTGCTGCCATACCAGGTATCACATCCTCACAATGTCCAGAGGCAGAAAAATGACCTTCTCTTCCTGTGTTACCTTTTATGCTCAAGAGAATCCTTTCTTGGGAGTCTTGATAGCGTACTCTCTCTCATGTCTCGCTAGCCAGAATGGCATCACGACATGTCAACCAGGCTTTGGCAAAGGCAATGGGACCACTTTGATCGGCTCTGGCTGACTGATTCATCTCCTGATGGGGCCTGCCTCCCCAGAAACACACGGCCATGAGAAAGGGGCATAGGGAATAAAATCAATCTGTCCACAAGGAGAAAGGGAGGTGCAGCTGTTAAAAAGGCAACCAATAGCATTTAATGGGCATATTCAACAGTCTGAACCCAGGGTTCAAATATGTAATTGTTTTATTTTCCTTTAATTGCTGCCTTAAAAATGCTCCGGGGAACCTCCATTTCTAATCCTTTAATAATATCTCTGGTATATTCTATAGGTAGGTCCAATTTAATGTTTCAGTTTCACATCCAATTCAACACTCACTTTCTCCACCTCCTTTTTCTTCCATCTAGTTTGTTCTCTGCTCCTCCCAGCATGTTTAAGCAAGGAGAGAATCAATGAAAAGAAATAAACATCCCTTATCTGATTGCTGTCAGACTCTCTCTTCTCTTGGCTAGTGCTGCTTCTCGGGCCAAGACTGGCTGATCATGTCCTGTTTGTGGCAAGAGACCAAATGATGGCTATCTTAAGGAAGGGGTGCACATGTGAGTCTTTGGGGCACCTGCGGGCTCCCTACTGTACAGTTTTCTCTTTCAACCACCCTAAGAAGCCATTCGGCAGTCCACCCTATATATTCTCACATCGGAGGTCTGCTTGTCAAGCGACTTCCCCTTTTGAGTGGGATGCCAACAAGATGGCTCAAGCCACAAGATCTGTTTAATCCACAGGAAACTCTTGCCCTCTTTCCGTACCAATCAGTATAAAAGACTGGTCATCTCACTCCTCACTTCCTTCTAGTCTTCTATTTTTTCCTCTGTTTGAGCAGGCACAGAGGGCAGATCAGCAAGTCCACTGTGCAAGCAGGTGTTGAATTTGGAATGAGATTTCATTCTTCCTTTTGGCAGGCACCAAGCCCTTGCTGCTTGGCTTGAGGGTGGAGGGAAGGGATGACAACTCATGACCCTGAAAAATCTCCAGTTTTCCTTCTCACCCTGTTCTTAACACATACTGGGGAGTAGGGTGATGGTGACAGGACAAATTCTGACTTCTGAATCATCAGTCCTGAGGGTTGTGTCTGGTACCTCCTTGTTGGCTCTCTTTAGGTTGTAGAGTACTCAGCACTTTATTGTTTTCAACTTGTAGCTATAGTTACAATAGAGATTTTATTTGGCATCTTTCCAAATCATCCCCCCACCCTAGCCTTTCAAATAGCTGGGACTAAAGGTGCATACCACCATGCCTGACTAATTTAAAAAATTCTGGTTGGGGGGATAGAGACAGGTTTCTCTATGTTTCCCAGACTGGTCTTGAACTCCTGGCCTCCAGCGATCCTCCCACCTTGGCCTCCCAAAACATTGGGATTAGAAGTGTGACACGTGTGCCTGGCTTTATTCAGCATCTTATTTTAGGTGTCTGCTACAGTTCCACTTTTGGCTGTCCATCGTTTATAAACACCGTTCATCACATATACACACTTAAAATTTTTTGTGCTAGATGAAACACAATGCCTGCATCTCTAAAAGAAGATACTCGAAAGCTTCTCATCTGTTTGCTGTACCTAATTGCAGATCCAGATCTCAAGCCTAGCTGCAATTCCTTGATGTCCTATGACCTATGTTTAAAAGATGTTATATATCATCGAAACATCCAGTATACAATAGTGGAGAAGGAAGACTGTAACATAATGAAAAGTTCCATCAAAAAAGGAGTGATGGGAAATTTCTCCAGTAACCAGTGATTCACAGTAAATATTCTGCTGGGCAGAAATAGCAAGGGTGCCCTTCCTAGCGCTGAATTAGTAACCTTTGTTGGCCAATTTGGCAGCCCTCAGGTCTGTTTTCTGGGAGAATCTACTGTCTATTGTCCTTGAAGGCCATTATCTCTAGGGTGGACATTGAACAGAATGCCTTTGAGGGGATTTACTTCACTTTACAACCAAGCCTATTTAAAGGATTGGTTGTATTTGTTTTGGCCAATTCCTACCACACTCATTCTAAATCAGGCTTTCACCCAAACCATCCCACTGAAATTGTTCTTGTCAAGATAGCAATATTGCTAATTCTAATAGTCAGTCCTTAGATCTCTTACTTTACCTATCAGGAGCGTTTGACACAGTTGATCACCTCGTCTTCTTGGAAATATATTTTTTCTTTTGGCTTCAAGGACACCACGTTTTTCTGGCTTTCTTCCTACCTCACTGGCTGCTGCTTCTTTGCTGTTTCTTTTTTGCTAACTTTCCCCAACCTCTAAGTATTGGAGGAGACATTTTTCTCTATTTATAGTTCTTTGGCCATTTCATTCAATTTCATAACTTTAAATCCTATCTATATCTGATCTATGTATTAATTGGTCCTAAATGTGTATCTTCCAGCCTAGACCTCTCCCTTCAACCCCAGCAAAGAAATAAAGTGGAAAAAATTGCTGAAATATTGGTGGGAAGGAATAGGATACCCCATATCTATATTTCTTCTCTAAAAAGTACTTCATGTTGCTATGTCCCTTTGGTCTTCTTCCCCCACATCCTGTCATGTTAATATTTTCTAGAATTTTAGTTTTGTGATGTTATAGATTTAGTTCTATGACGTTCTCTTCTTCCTTTCTTTCATTTCTTTAGATAATAATTATTATCATTTCCCATATCTCTTGGGGCATGTTCCTAGACTGATTTATCTGAATGCTTCTATGATTGTTTTCTAAGTAGAACTTTTTGTGGCAAACCTTTTGAGTATGGTTTTATTACCACTACCACTTAAATGATAATATCACCTTTAAAAAATATGAATGTTAAATTGTTGTCAAAGTCCTTTGGAGCATCGTGAGGATATAAACATATGCTTTTTATTTGTTAACAATTTATATATATATATATGCACACACATATGTATTATATATTTATTAACCATATATATAATATATAATTATATTCATACATTTCCTAATATCAAACCATTCTTTCACTCCTGGCATGGACCCTACTTGCTGCTAGATTTTATTGATAGTATCTCATTTAGAACTTTGCCCTAATGTTTGCAAGTAAGAAAGATGGATCTATATTTTCTTTTTTGGTGGGCAGTCTTTTGGGTTTTTAAATAAATAATCTGCTGACTTTGATATGTATTTGGAAGCGTTCCTCCTCCCTGTGTTCTGGAACAGTTTAGTGAAATTTGGTTCCTTAAAGGGATAGAGAATTCACTTGTAAAATTCTCTGGGTGTGGTGCTTTTTGGTGTGATAGCTCTGATATTTTCTATGTCCTGTATCGTAACTTATCTGTTTGTAGTTCACCTCATCCAGGGTCAGTTTTCTTGGATATTTTTTCTTTTTTCTTTTCTTTTCTTTTTTTGTTTTTTTGAGATGGAGTTTTGCTCTTGTTGCCCAGGCTGGAGTGCAATGGCGCGATCTCGGCTCACTGCAACCTCTGCCTCCTGGGTTCAAGCGATTCTCCTGCCTCAGCCTGCCTGGTAGCTGGGATTACAGGCATGCACCACCACACCCTGCTAATTTTGTATTTTTAGTGGAGTTGGGGTTTCACCATGTTGGTCAGGCTGGTCTTGAACTCCTGACCTCAGGTGATCCACCCTCCTTGGTCTCCCAAAGTGCTGGGATTACAGGCGTGAGCCACCGCACCCAGCGGTCTTAGATATTTTTTCTAGAAAATAATTCATTACACACATGTAAAAATCGATTTACTCAGGTTTAAGCAAAATAATCTTTTCATTATTTGAATTTCCTTTTTACCTTTGTAATGTCCCCATTCTCATTTCTTATTCTGGTTTCTCTCATGCCTGCCCTCTTTACCTCTCCCTTTTTTAAAGTTAGATAATAGTTTATATTTTCCATTAATAATTAGCTCTGGATATTTTAAATTTAGATTCTATAATTTTCTGTTGTCTATTCAATTAACTTCTGCTTTTACTAATTTATTCTTTATGTTTTCATTAAATTTAGTTCATTCTTTTGAGGTGGGTGTTTAATTAATTTTTAAACATTTTTTTGATTAATATTAATATTTAAGACTTTGAAATTTCCTATGCACACAGTTTTAGCTGTATCTCATAGATTTTAATATATAGTATATATACTATAATATATAATATATAGTATTTTCATTATTGTTTTATTTTAGATAGCAATTTTGGTTTTGTTTTCTTCTTTGAATCAAGAGTTGTTTAAGAGGGTGATAAATCTCATATGGATAAGATTTTAAAGATTACTTAGTTCTGTTCTTAATTTCTAGTTTTATTGTGTTATTATTGGGGAATGTTCATTTGCATCATTTCTGCACTTTAGAGTTTATTCAAGTATTGGTTAGGAGTGTAGACTCTGGATCCACACTGCGTGGGTTCAAGTCCTGGTTTTCCCATGTATCAGCTGCATGACCTCAGGCGTGTTGTTTAACCTCTCTGTGTCTCAAGTTTTATCATGGGGTTGTTATGGGGATTAAAATAATTAAGATCTACAAAGTACTTATGAATAGTACCTGGTACATTTTAAAGTTTCATAGATATGTTAACCATTAGTATTCATATAGTTGTTTATCATATACTTTTTGATGCGTTTTTCAAAAGTTTCTGAAATGAAAGGATATTCTGGTTTTTCAGGAGTATTACATTAACTCTATTTTCCTGTTTAGGTTACTTAGATACTCTGTAGTCAAACTTTTCTTGTTTATTTGACCTTTATGGCTTGAGACAGGTGAATTTGAGCCTGTCCAACTATGAATCTCTTTGCATTTCCTGAAGTTTTGGTGCTCCTTAGAAGGTGCAGAAATCTTTGTGTCTGTTTTTATTGTGGAGTGTGGAGTGCAACCTTTATTCTTTTTTTTTTTTTTTTCTGAGACGGAGTTTCGCTCTTGTTGCCCAGGCTGGAGTGCAATGGCACGATCTCGGCTCACTGCAACTTCTGCTTCCTGGGTTCAAGCGATTCTCCTATCTCAGCCTCCTTGTAGCTGGGATTACAGGTGCCCACCACTATGCCCGGCTAATTTTTGGTATTTTTAGTAGAAGCGGGGTTTCACCATGTTGGCCAGGCTGGTCTCGAACTCCTGACCTCAGGTGATCTGCCCACCTCGGCCTCCCAAGTGCTGGGATTATGGGTGTGAGCCACCGCGCCCAGCCGCAGCCTTTATCCTTATAAATACTTCTCCTTCTCTCATTTAATATGTTTACTCTGAAATAAATATTGACTTGATATTAAGATCAAGATTCTGTTTTTTTTCATTTGCTTGGTGGGTTTTTGCTCATCTTTTGACTTTTACACTTTCTGAGTTACTTAAATATTCTTTTTCTATTGAATTTTTTGGTAATTCTTACAAACCAGGACATTTCATCATAACCTCAATGCAACCATTAAACTTAGGAAATTAATATTTGATACACTACTGATACATTATAACCATATCAACCACACACCCCATTTAGATATTTCCCATTGTTTCAATAATGATCCTATGACAGAAGGATCCAGTCCAAGATTATGCATAGCATTTAGTTGTCACAGTTCTTCGATCTTTCCATGACTTTCATGACATTGCCACTTTTGAAGATTATAGACCAGTTATTGTGCAGAGTGTCCCCAGTTTGGGTTCATCTTATGTTCTTCATGATTAAATTTCAGGCTTTTCACTTTTGGCAGGAATATCAGTCAGTCATACTGAATTCTCTGCATTGCATTCTATCAGCCGGCACATGATTTTGATTTATCCGATTTCTGTGATGGTACTGATTAAGGTGATGTCTGCCAGCTGTCTCCACTGTGAAGTGACTCTTTTTCTTCTAGTGAAATTAATAAATATTTTGTGGAAAGGTACTTTGAAACTATGTAAGTATCCTTTTCCTTATCAAACTTTTACCAATTAGTTTTAGTGCTCATTGATGTTTCCTGGTTGAATTATCACCCTGATGGTTGCTGAATAGTGATTTTCTACTTCAATCATTCCTTCTGAATTTATTAGCTACCATTCTACTGTAAGAAAAACCTTTCTCATATCCCCATTTACTTATCCATTCATTTATTTAATCAATATGGACTCATGGCTTCCTATTTATTCAATGATTTATAATCTTCATTTCTTTTCCTTTCTTCCTTTTTTCTCTTCTTTTCTTTTCCTTTCCTTTCTATTTATTCAATGATTTATAGTCTTCCTTTCTTTTCCTTCCTTCATTTTTTCTCTTCTTTTTCCTTCCTTCCTTCTTTCTTTTCTTTTTTCTTTCTCTCTCTCTTTCTTTCTTTCATTCATTTTCTTTCTTTCTCCTTCCTTCCTTTCTTTCTTTCTATTATAATCTTTTATAATACTTTTCCTTTCTGCTGAATTTTGTTAGTCTGAGATAATTCAATATTATTGGGATTAAGCTAACCTTCTCATTAGATTTTGTATTCTTTTGATATGTCTCCATCATTTTTTGAGCATTTTCTTACTTTCTGGTACAACAAGTCATTCCAGCCTTATCATGTACTTTCTCTGTCCTACCCCTGGTATTAGCCATTTCTCCAAGGATCCCTGTTCTCTTAATTGTATTTGGAAAAGAAGATATAGGCTCTATATATGCTCACTGTTCTTAGGATGTTACTGCTTCTAGGTCTCCTAGTGGTCAAGCTAGGAAATGTATCTATGTATTTATATATGTATGTGCATTCCTATGAATAAATTATATATGTGCATTCCTATGAATAAATTATATATGCATATTTACACCTACATGTATTTCTACATCGAATTATATATCAAAGACCATAAGTTCTCACCATTACCTCCAATTCCAGTCTAACACCACATTGTTCAGGCTCAGTCACCCTGCACCACCTAGACCCCCTCACTCTGTTTGAGCTGCAACCCCCCACATCAGGCCGGATGGGTGCCCTTCTCATCCTACTCGGGCCCTGATGCCCCATGCCAGGTCACTGCTCCCCTTCACCCACTGTGCTCCTGGTAGATGCCCTCCTCATCTTCTGTTCCAACACCTTTCTCTGGCTTTCTCGTAATCCCCCACTCCCTGTTCATGCAGATGCCTGCCTTGCTCTGCTCTACCCACTGGCTTTTGTACTGAAATTCAGAAAGTAAGGCAGGAATATAGGCAGACAGGAAGGGAGGCAAAGTAAAGCAGTTCCATTGTTCTTGATGTATAATATTTATGAATCCATTGTTTATAGTTTGGTTTTGCTTTATGTCCTGATCTGAGACTCTTGCTTTTTATGACATGAATTTGTTTTATTTTTGTTTGTTCACATGAAAGGCATGTTTGTACTAGTTATATCTTCTTAATGCCATCCTTTTATTTTAACAATTTAAAATGTATATTTTGCTATATGATCTGTTTTTTCCTTTTTATGTATAGTTCTGCTAATATAAAAGATTTATAGTTTGTTTATAGTCCTATTGCTTATCTTTTTAATCAACTTCAAATGATGTACTCAAATCTTTATTCAGAGTTTACTCCCTCTACTATCAACTATTAAAACAGTATACTTCTACTTTCTCCTTTTCCCTTCCTTTTTATCATCTGGTTTTCATGGATTATATTATTATGAATTCTTCTAGTGATTTACTTTAAACCTTGATTATTTGATTTAGCATGTTAAAAATATTTTTTGATCCTTCAACTATAAAAGTTGTAAAGTCCACCTACTTATATGAATTCCCTCTTTCTCTTCCATCCGTATGCTGATTTTTTGTTACATTCTCAAAGTTTATAACATTTACCCCCTACTCTGTAACCATAATTTCCACAGCACTTTTAGCTTTGTCCTGCATTAAAATGGATTTAGCACTCATAGCTACTCCTTTTACCTCATATTCTCCATTTATCTCTTGGCTGGCTGAAGTTTATCTTCTAATGGTTTTTTAAAAGAGTTAATAGAATGGAATTCCTTCAATTGTTGCATATTGAAAGTATTTGCCTATTGCCTTAGCCTGGTAAAATAGCTTGACTAAAGACAGAATGCTTGGATATCACCTTTCTTCTCCCAGAGGACTGTGTAGGAATTTCTCCATGGTCTTTTGATGTTGAAATCAGGAGCTAGCCCGATCTATTTCTTTTCCCTTCAGTCCGTGTGTTGATAGTTTTGGCTGGATGCCCAGATGATTCTTTCTTTATCTTTGAAGATAAGAAACTCTATTAGGCCAGTTCTTAAAATTGGTCTTTTTGAATCAGTTTTTTTCTTTCAATCTGTAGATTCAAGTTTTTTTAAAATTAAAATTTTTAATTGTGGTAAAATACACAAAACATAAAATCTACCAGCTTAGCCATTAAGTGTACAGTTCAATGGTGTTAAGTATATTCACATTGTTATATAACCAATCTCCAGAACTTTTGCATCTTGAAAAACTGAAACTATATTTATTAAACAACTCCTTATTTCCCCCTGCCCTCTGCTAGATTCAAGTTGTCTTCCCTCCCTTCCCTCCTTCCCTTCCTCTTCCCCTTCTCCTTCTGTCCTTCCTTCCTTCCTTCCTTCCTTCCTTCCTTCCTTCCTTCCCTCCCTCCCTCCGTCCTTCTTTCCTTCCTTCCTTCCTTCCTTCCTTCCTTCCTTCCTTCCTTCCTTCCTTCCTTCCTCTCTTTCTCTTTCTGTCTATTGAGAGACAGTCACACTATGTGCAGGCTGGTATTGAACTCCTGGGCTGAAGCAATCCTCCTGCCTCAGTCTTCAGAGTCACTGGGATTACAGGCGTGCACCACTGCTTCTGGCTAGAATTTTATTTTTAAGAAATCTTTTTTCACTTATGTTTCCTATTCCACGTGTTCAGTTCTCTTTTTCAGGAGCACTCATTATACATATGGTTGCTCTGGTTACAAACAAGGTGACCTTGCTTTTGCTCTTCTGGGTTTGTCATGTACTTAGAGAAGTCTGCGTATTGCCAGCTCTGCCCATGATCTGTTATTATGGGACACTGTGTCAGCATCCTCCCTCCATTTGGTTCCAGTTTCACTGGAATTGGCAGAATTTCTTCAAAGAAAGTGTTATTTGGGGTTGTAAGGGCTTTCTATTTTCATCTAAGATGGAATTTACATATCTGCATTTATTTTCCTTGTTGTAAAATTCAGTTGGTTTCAGAGGTAAGAAATTAGTAGATATATCTTTATTTCTTTTCCTTACATTTAGAATTATGTTATTGAATGTTTTCCCCATTAATTTGTATATAATTTATTTAGAATGTCATCCATATCTGAATGTTAAAACTTCCATAACCTCAGAAAGCAGGAAAATGACTGTCAACCCAGAAGTAGGCTGTTTTTCATTAAATCAGCATTTTCAGTCATTTCATGAAATATTCAGTGGAAAGGGAGGTAGAAGGCTATGCTCAGCCTTCCATCTGGTACAGATGTGTTTGTGTATGCCTTGAGTAGTTTGAACATGGGTCCACCCTGTCCTCACAATAAAGTCACATAGTCCACAGGCCTGTGCCACAAGGGGGAACTATCTGCTCCTTGTTTCTCATAGACCCTTTGGATTGCTGCCATTGTCTCTGGGGTTGGTAGGGATTTCATCAGGATTGGGGTTTTCTCTGAAACAGTATCTGGGGTTAGCTCTTGCTCCTTCATCAAGCTTTGTCATAATCACTGTGTGTCCAAAGTCACCAATTTGTGAATGTGAAATGGTTGAAGTTGTCTCTCCTTTGAGGAGGATGAACCTGGGGAATTTTGGGGGTGCTGTAGGCAGGTAATCCTAGAGCTTGCTTCTCCTTCGTTCAGTACACAGACAACTGGTTAACCACCTGTTTCCTGCCGAGTGTTAGGCATTCTGAGATGAATTCCGCCTGGACCTGCTTCTGAAGTGTTGCCTCTCTGGTGAAGAGGTATTATAGCAGACATGCAAATGCATATTCTAAGAACAGAGAGGATGGAGACATTCATCTCACAGGATATAAATGAGGAGGTGGGTGGAAGTGGGTGAATTCATTCAACATTGAACCAATGTTTCTTGGGTGCTTTCTGTGTTCCAGGCACTATTCTAGGCACTGGGGATATAGAAGTAAAAGAGCAGACAGAAATCCCTGCTGATATGGCTTCGCTGTGTCCCCATCTAAATTTCATCTTGAATTCCCATGTGTTGTGGGAGGGACCTGGTGGGAGGTAATTGAATCATGGGGGCAGGCCTTTCCTGTGCTGCTCTGGTGATAGTGAATAAGTCTCATGAGATCTGATGGTTTTATAAAGGGGATTTTCCCTGCACAAGCTCTCTTCTCTTGTCTGCTGCCATGTGAGATGTGCCTTTCACCTTCCACCATGATTGTGAGGCCTCCACAGCCACGTGGAACTCTAAGTCCAATAAACCTCTTTCTTTCGTAAATTGCCCAGTCTCCACTATGTCTTTATCAGCAGCATGAAAACTGACTAATACACTAAACTGGTACTGTATTAGCACTGATTAATACAGTAGAGTGGGATGTTGCTGAAAAGATACCTGAAAATGTGAAAGCAACTTTGGAACTGGGTAGCAGGCAGAGGCTGGAACAGTTTGGAGGGCTCAGAAGAAGACAGGGAAATGTGGGAAATTCTGGAACTTCCTAGAGACTTGTTGAATGGCTTTGCCCAAAATGCTGATAGCAACATGGACAATAAAGTCCAGGCTGAGGTGGTCTCTGATGGAAATGAGGAACTTGTTTTGGGAACTGGAGCAAAGGTGACTCTTGTTATGTGTTAGCAAAGAGACTGGCAGCATTTTGCTTCTGCCCTAGAGATTTGTGGAACTTTGAACTTGAGAGAGATGATTTAGGGTTTTTGGTGGAAGAGGTTTCTAGGCAGCAAAGCATTCAAGATGTGACTTGGGTGCTGTTAAAGGCATTCCGTTTTATAAGGGAAGCAGAGCATAAATGTTCAGAAAATTTGCAGCCTGACAATGTGATAGAAGATAAAATCCCATTTTCTGAAGAGAAATTCAAGCCGGCTGCAGAAATTTGCACAAGTAATGAGGAGCCGAATGTTAATCCACAAGATGATGGGGAAAATGTCTCTAGGACATGTCAGAGGTTTTCACAGCAGCCCCTCCCATCACAGGCCTGGAGGCCTAGGAGGAAAAAGTGGTTATATGGGCCAGGCCCAGGGTACCTGTGCTCTGTGCAGCCTAGAGACTTGGTGTCTTGTGTTTGAGCTACTCTAGCCATGGCTGAAAGGGGCCAACATAGAGCTTGGGCTGTGGCTCCAGAGGGTGCAAGCCCCAAGCCTTGGCAGCTTTTATGTGGTGCTGAGCCTGTGAGTGCGCAGAATTCAAGAATTGGGGTTTGGGAACCTCCACCTAGATTTCAGAGGATGTATGAAAACACCTAGATGTCCAGGCAGAAGTTTGCTGCAGGGGTGGAGAACTCATGGAGCACCTCAGTTCTTTGGAAAGTTTGGAACTTCTTAGAGATTTGTTAAGTGATTGTGACCAGAATGCTAGTTGAAATATGAACAGTAAGGCCATTCTGATGAGATTTCAGATGGAACTGAGGAATAAGGTATTGGAAACTGGAGTAAAGACCATCCTTGTTATAAATTGACAGAGAACTTGACTGAACTGTGTCTACATTTAAGGGCTTTGTGGAAGGCCAAACTTGAGAGTGACGAACTAGAGTATCTGCAGAAGAAATTTCTAAGCAAAATATAGAAGGAGGTGCATGGTTACTTTTGGCCACTTATGCTGAGATTTGGGAGCAAAGGAATAATTCAAAGACAATTATAAAGATAAAGAAAATTTACATTAAACTGGAAGCAGAGTGGAAAGAGTTGGAAAACTGTCAGCCTGGCCACATGAAGAGTGAAAAAGCACATTCAGAAGAGGAGATCAAGGGTGCAGCTAAAAAGATTAGCACAGATAGAAGGGAGCCGGATGCTATTTCTCAAGACGATGAAGAAAGACCTGAAATGCATTTCAGAGATCTTTGAGGGTGCCCCTCCTGTTATAGGCCCAGAGGTCTAGAAGGGCAGAATGGTGCCTTGGGACTCTGCCCTGAAACCCCAGTGCAGAGCTTCATGGCTGCCCTAGCCAAGGCTCAAGTGACCCCAATTGTAGCTTGTGCTGCAGTTTTGGAAGGTAGAAGCCATAAACCTTGGCAGTGTCCAGGTGGTGCTGACTCTGCAGGCTTGCAGACAGCAAAAGCTGTGGCAGCTTGGCAGCCTCCACCAAGATTTCAAAGGATATCATCAAAAGCCTAGGAGCCCAGGCAAAGATTTGTCACAGGGGCAGAGCCACTGCAAAGAGTCCCCATCTAGCAGAGCCATGGAAGTGGTGCCACCGTAGAGAGTCTCCATTAGGGTAATGCCTAGTAGAGCTGTGGGAGTGGGACCACTACTGGGAACCCAGAAGTGTGCAGTCACTGGCAGTATGCAACACCCACCTGGGAAAGCTTCAGGCACCAGACTCCAATACCTAGGAGCAGTCACATGGGCTGCACTGAGCAAAGCCATAAGGGTGAGGCTGCCTGAAGTCTTGGGGGCCTAACCCATACCCCGTTGTGGATGGGAGGCCACACACAGAGTCAAAAGAAATTATTCTTCAGCTTTAAGATTTAATGTCTGCCCTGCTGGGTTTCAGATTTGCTTGAGACCTGTTACTCGTTTCTTTTTGTCTATTCCTCCATTTTGGAATGGGAATGTCTGTTTTATGCTTTTACCACAACTGTATCTTAAAAGTAGATAACTCGTTTGTATTTCACAGGCTCACAGATGATACTCTGGACTTTGGACTTTTGAGTTGGTGCTGGAATGAGCTAAGATTTTGGGGCTATGGAGTTGGAATGAATATATTTATATTTGAGAAGGACATGAGTTTCAGAGGGCCAGGAGTAGAATGGTATAGTTTGAGTGTTTGTCCCCTCCAAAACTTACATTGAAACTTAATCCCTAAAGTAACAATATTGAAAGGCAGGGTTATTAAGAAATGATTGGTTCATGCTGGGCGCAGTGGCTCATGTCTGTAATCTCAGCACTTTGGGAGGCCTAGGCAGGTGGATCATATGAGGTCAGGAGTTTGAGACCATCCTGGCCAACATGGTGAAACCCCGTCTCTACTAAAAATACAACAAATTAGCCAGGTGTGGCGGTGGGCACCTGTAATCCTAGCTGCTTGGGAGGCTGAGGCAGGAGAATTGCTTGAACCCGGGAGGCAGAGGTTGCAGTGAGCCGAGATTGAGCCGTTGAACTCCAGTGTGGGCGACAGAACAGGACTCTGTCTTAAAAAACAAAAAGAAAAAGAAATGATTGGGTCATGAGGTCTTTGCCCTTGTGAATAGATTAATCCATCTATGGATTAATGAATTAATGGGTTAATGGATTAATGGTTTGCCACAGGAGTGAGACTGGAGGCTTTCTAAGAAGAGGAAGAGAGCTGAGCTAGCGTGGACAGCCACCTCACTATGTGATTCTCTATTCCAGCTTGGGATCCTGCAGAGATTCCCTGCCAGCAAGAAAGCTCTTGCCAGACATGCCCCCTTGACCTTGGACTTCCTAGCTCTAGAACTGTAAGAAGTACATTTTGCGTCTTATAAATTATCCAGTTTTAGATATTCTGTTATGAGCAACAGAAAATAAACTAAGATGGGGTGGGAAGAACAGTCTAGAATCAATGGCTCCGGGCATGTTAAAGAGCAGAAGACCCTGTGCCTGGCCTGGGGAGGGGTCTGGCAGAAGATCTGACTGCTTTCTTTGCCCCCTGAAGTCATGAGTGATCTTCCCTGGTTCATGTGTGTGCAAGACACAGCCATGAGCTGTAGGGGAGGAAAACAAAGTTGCAGGAGGAGAAAGAGGTGACCAAGACCCCTTTGAGAGACTTTAGTCCTTTGGGGAAGATAATTTGCACATCTAGAGCACAGTCAAAAGTGGTTTCTCTGCACCACATCACAAGAATAACCTTAATGGATTCAATTGGTCTTCTTAGCCAAGTGCCAGTTGTCACTGTAGTAGCTCATTACTTTACTGTCTGACCTAATTAGCCATTGCCAGCCACTTTGGCCCAGTGTAGAATGTACGAATAGAGGGCAGGAGAGATGAATTTCTGATAAAGGTACCAGAAAGTGGCTTTAGTATAAATGGCTCAGGCTTTGATTATTTTCAGGATGATAAATCCTGGTTCTTTGGAATTTGATTTAATTTTTGGAAATGCTCAAATGTCACTAGGAGTAATGTGTGAAGAGTAAGAGGGGGACGAAAACTGGAGTGGCATTTGGACTCAAAGGAGGCTCAGCAATGTGGATGTGGCTCCAAGTGAATAAAAGGGCTTGTTAGAGGCTCTGCCTTCCAGGCAGCCTGTGACTGGCCAAGGGCCTGGGTCAGGACATCCTATGCCTTGTGTTGGTCCAGGGAGGGCTTTTCTCCCTGCACTTCCTCCAGGGCCCATCCCATAGAGCACAGGCACACAGCAAGTTGGATGCTTTCGTTTTAATAGCTCTGGGCTACAAGGGTATTTAAGGCTTTAAGTCCAATGATCCCATTCTTTTCAGCTTCTCATGCCCATGGTTTTAATAGACTGAATTTCTTCAGTAATTTTTGTGCAAATTCACTTCCATCTAGAAGGAAAGATGAGACAAATGAGGCTTTTAGGACCCCAGGCACCAGCTCCACCCCTTCCATTTCTCCTCAATTCCATCTCTGCTTTCCAGACTTACTGAGACTCTGGAGAGGCTTACACAGAAGTTGGAGGGATTGAGATTAGATTCACCAGAGCCTGAAGGACCTACCCTCTTCCCCACCTTGGCAGGGGCAGGGGACAAGAATAGAAACAAGCAGGCTCTGCTGCGGGAAGGTAGGGGGTTAGACCCCAGGTGAATCAATATCAGACAACATGGCACATTGAATCTGTTCTTTTTTTTTGAGACAGGGTCTTTCTCTGTCACCCAGGATGGAGTGCAGTGGCACAATCTCGGCCCACTGCAATCTCTGCCTCACGGGCTCAGGTGATCCTCCCACCTTAGCCTCCCAAGTAGCTGGGACTACAGGCATGTGCCACCACGCCTGGCTAATTTTTGTATTTTTTTGTAGAGATGGGGTATCGCCATGTTGCCCAGGCTAGTCTTGAACTCCTGGGCTCAAGCGATCCACCTGCCTTGGCCTCCCAAAGTGCTGGGATTACAGGCGTGAACCACCGTGCCCAGCTGGCAATTTGAATCTGGATGAGAAATTGGAAACATATGAAAGCACAAAGTGAGGGGTCTTCAACAGCAGGGGCTGTGGCAATTCCAAGTCTCATATGTGAGGTGGAAATGGGGGCAAGTTCTGTCCCATATCCCACCCCCGGATGGTGGGTGGTGAGTATTCTCATTCCCACAAAGCCTTGCCTTGGGATGCACTCACTTTCGATGAATTGTTTTCCACCTGGCACGCCTCCGTGCATTCCTTTTCCTGCTTTTGCAAGGGCTTGTTCTGTTAGTAAGATACTTTTCTCCACTATGGATTCTAATTTTGGAGCAGAACAATCACATCAGCAGAAAAATCACCTCATTTAAAGAGAACTCTGCATTGCCCCACCTGCACCCGCCCCCCACCCCCACTCCACCCAGGACATCATCCCTACAGAAAGTCCTAAAGTGCAGAAGTTTTGCTGAGGGCTCCAGCACTTCTCTCATAGGAAGTTGTGTGAGCCAGGACAGAAACCATGTATTGTGCAGGCTGCAACATCTACTATTGTGAAAACGTTGTGTGTGGGTGCAATGCACAATCCCATTTGTGCCTTTGTGTTCAGCTGTTTGAGTCTACCTGCTTCTCACCAGGCTTATCTCTGTGCGTGGAGGTGTGATGTGGGCCTGCAGCCAGAGACTTTTCTAGGTTGTTGATCTGGCATAGAGACAGAGACTTACTCAGGGGGTTTAGTTCCTGCCTGCTTGAGGTGACCTTGGCTGTCCCCTGAACTGCTGCCGCCGAAGTCTCCTGGGCTGTTGTGGTTGTCTCTGGGGGTGAAGCTGGTTCTGCTGGACCTGAGATCTCTTCATTAGGCTTAGCTGTGAATGCACAAATTGATGGATTTTAGCAAAGTGAAAGTGTTTGTTTCTTTTGGAATGGGTTGCAGGGCCCCAGGATACCTAATGTGTGCTGGGTGCCAGGATACAGAAGTGATATGGCTTAAACGCTGCCCCCTTAAGGGAGATAGCATTTCTGCATGCTGTGTGTCTCTTGGAATGCAGCGGGCAGGGTTGGGGAAGGATTTGGACTAGGGGATGGTGAGAATCGGGGAGCACTTCATAGAGAAGCTGGATCTTGAAGGCAGGATGTTAGCAGGAGAGGATGTACCAAAGGGGCTTCCCTGGGGGCAGGCAGTGAGTAAGAGGTCAGGCGAAGGCATGTGTGGGGAATGGAAACAAGTTCAATTTAGCTGATGTGGGTGCGACATAAAAGAGAGTCATGGAAAATGGGGTTGGAAAATGAGGTTAGAGGCCAGATAATGGTTATCTTGCTAAGGAATTGGGAGTAATGGGAGGTGTTTGCAGGTGAAGGTATTAATGCCATGTGAGACATTGCCCTTACCACTTAACCTCATGTTTCTCTCCCTTTTATTCACAATAACCTTTTCCCCATGCTCCCTATTGTCCTTGCCTCTCTGGGTCATCCTCTTTTGTCCTTAGCCTTGTACCATTTCAACCCATGCCACCTTCTTTATTATATTACCTGCCCCTCCCCATTACCACCAAGCACAGAATCCAGATCTCCTCCCACTGGCTTCTTCTCCCAGCCACCACTCACATCCCTAACTGTTAAACCTTCCCAACGAGGGCTAGGGCAGCAGGGAGAGGAGGACTCACAGGTCCCAGCTTCCTGGGCAGGATCAGCACCCGTCGAGTCAGAGGAGGCATCTTCTGCAATGGGGGAAACATGCCAGATGAGAGCAAGGACCGAACCGGACCTACTCGAGCCACCCTCCCCTCCCATTCCCAAAGCTTATCTCCTGGGAATGCTCATGGATAGAAGGGGATCAATTTCCCTTTGGGTTGGACATGCCCTTCCACCATATCAGCGGGTCTACTGGGGCACTCTCTGATGTTTAACTCCTGTGGCTTTTGAAATAACTTCCCCTCTGAGAAGTGTAATGTCTCTTGGAACAGTGCCTTCCTCCTGACTGGCCCCTGGCTTGGTAGGCTTCCCTGAGGTGTCTGTCATGGAGCTGGCCATGGTCAGAGGGGCTCAACCTCCTCTGTGGTGGAGGAGGACAGTATGTGGGGGTTATGGGGCCATATTTGAGCGATTTGCAGGATTGAGACCCCAGCCTTGATTCCCTTTATTCTTTCAACACAACATTTATGCAAAGCTCTGTGCCAAGAGATGGAGGTGCAGTGCTGAAGAGGGCAGACAAGACCCCTGCCCTGACAGAGCTTACATCTGTCCTTTTACGAAATTATTTAATGGCTGGTGTGACAGTGCTGGAAGGGAACGTGCAGCCTGGTGCGAGAAGGGCACATGGATCTGATTTGTTCCGCATGTGCATGGAAGGCCTTTTTGGGGAATTATATGTAAACTGAGATTTTCTAGATGAAAAATCATTGGCCAGGTGACATTAGAGTTGGTTGGGGGAAGGGGCCAGGGAGAGGGAAAGCATTCTAGACGAGGAAAGGACAAGAAGGAAGATCCTGATGTTCAAGGAACAGCAGGATCATCATGGCCCAAATAGTGCTTCTGTGGATCAAAAAAGGCATCCCAGCAGGGCACGGTGGCTCACGCCTGTAATTCCAACACTTTGGGAGGCCAAGGCAGTCGGATCACCTGAGGTCAGGAGTTCGAGACCAACCTGGCCAACATGGTGAAACACCGTCTCTACTAAAAATACAAAATTAGCTGGGCAAGGTGGCATGAGCCTGTAGTCCCAGCTACCCAGGAGGCTGAGGCAAGATAATCGCTGGAACCCAGGAGGTGGATGTTGCAGTGAGCAGAGATCGTGCCACTGCACTCCAGCCTGGGCAACAGAGGGAGACTCGGTCTCAAAAAAAAAAAAAAAAAAAAGGCATCCCTTCCTCCTAAGAGACACAGCCAGGGGCCAGGCTCACTGCTTGGCAAGTAGAGTGTCGGCCAGATTTTAGCTTCTACCACTCCTTGCCTGGGCACCCTCGTGTAGGGGACACCCTGCTCAACTACATGCAGGGGACACCAGAGAAGCCAGTGTAGCTGAGGCATAGTGGGTAAACAATGGTGTGTGAGGAGATGAGCTGGGAGGGCAGGCAGAGGCCAGAGAGTTCTGGGTTCCTCTGGCCAGTGGGGTGCAGAGGCCACGTGTGGAGAACTGGGAGAGGAGTCACTTGCAGAGGCAGGGAAACCAGAATAGCACTGAGAGAGGAGGAGAGGGGTGAAGGCAGGAGTGAGGGGCTCCTTGGACTGGGAGGACTCTTGTGGGGCGCAGAGGAAAGGCCATACTCACCAGCATAGACCAGGGCCCCTGCTACAGCTGCCAAGAAGAGGAGAGTGGTAAATTTCATTCTTTGGGATGAGGAGTGAGTATAACCACAGAATCTGCAGAAGGTCTGGGGAATAAGGATGCTGAAATTGCTGGGCCCTTTTAAGGATATCAAGGGCCAATGGGAACCAAGCCTGGAGAGGTGTGACTTCCGCATCCTCCTCCCCTTCTTCCCCAAACTGTCACCTGCTAAGTCAACAAGGGCTAGGTTGGGCTGGCTGATACCTGGGATCCTTGCAGGCAGGTCCTGGATAGGAGCCTTTCTCTAACTCCCAGCCATCCCTTTTCTTTCTCCCTCCTCCCTTCCCCACCACACCTGCCCTCTGGGTTCACACCCCTGGGCTCTCAGGGACGGTAGGTAGAGCACATTTCACTTGGGGAGATTCTGGGATGTGTCTGTTGAGGGTTCTGGTAGAGAAATCTTAATCTTGTCATCTCTCCAGGAGGAGGTTGAGGGCTCAGGGGATTACATTGTCCACCTTCTGTCCCAGTCTACATAGGACTCAGTGCAGGGTTTGAAGGTTTCCCCAAACTAAGTGAGCCCGTTTCCTTGGGAGACCACACCTAGAACACTTGAGGCCTGAGTTCCTGGCTGCTTTCTCCCCATGAGGGGATGGGTTTGAAGGCGTGTGTGCCTTCTCTGGAGTTGTTCTCTGTTCTTGACATTATCCAGCCCCTAAAAAGAACTCCTCCAGGCTCACATAGGCCTGTCAATCTCTGTCTTCAGGCCTACTCAATGGGACCCCACATTTCTGAGAGAATCTCCTGGTCAAAGCATGATGGTGGTTCACTGAAATTGGAGCTTGGTTCTGACTTCAAGTGGGGAGCTGACCCATGGTGTGAATAATCCAGAAAAGCAGATTATTCTAAAGAAGCTTCTCTTTGACTTGGCGTTTCTTCCTTTCCTGATCTGGGACTCTAGAGGTCTGGATTTTGAGTTCTGGCTTTGTCATATGAAAATGTTAGGATTTGAAAAGTGATAGGATTTTTATTTGTTGTCTAGGAGTTGTGGCTCCTATGTACAGCATAGTGGTGGAGATTAAGTGGGATAATATACGGCAAAGCATTTTTTTAGACAGCGAAGTTCTATGGAGTTGTGTGGGGTTCTTGTACCATCTTTCCAAGTAGGTTTTTGTCCAGGCTGGTGCTAAATGCTAGATATTAATAGAACGGGCCGTGGAGCAGGAGTCAGTTGAGGGGCTGAAGGGTGGAGAATAAGGTGCTGGATGTCAATTTGTGACTTTCCCCTTGCTTGGTGTTGGCATTCACCCAGCCCCATGTGGGCTGATTCCGGAGGCTTCTCTGCCTCATGGTAGCTCTGAAGATGAGTGTGAGAAGGGGGTATTGAAGAGTTTTCAACATGAGGGTGTTTTGGGTGCCAGGGTTTAGAACATTAATCTTTTCAGGAGATAAAGGAAGATAAAATTAATGGGGTGGGACATTAAAGCCTTGGCAATTGCTACCTGCCTGAGGGTCTGGGCCTGGGAGCCTTGAAGGTGGTGGTGGCCTTACCTGGAATGGGGAAGGCTGAAGAACAAGAGAAAGTTTTGATGGCACCAGTGCCCTGGGTATGTGCACATACGTGTGTGCACGTGTGTGTACACTGCAGAAGGAGAAGTCCTGCAGATCCCAAACAGATCTAGATCCCGAGCAGTCTCCATGAGCACATTAAAAAAGTCAACAGGAGCAAATTATGCTATTTGCACAAGACTTTTCTAAGAGGAAATGAGAACTTTGGCGTCAACACTAGAACTGTCACAGAGCAGGGTCTTTCCAAATGTCACCGCATAGCCCTTTCCTCTCCCAAATCTTCCTCCTGGCCTCAGTAATTAAAGAGGCAAGCATTTACATAAATAGGGATGAGGTGAAAGTAAGGACATTTGTTTTATAGAAAATTTTCATTATTCTATAACAGGGCCCAGAGAAATGTTACCCCAAATTATAGAGCCTGGGAAAGAATTGGGTGCATAGATTAAAGAGGCAGACCTCATGGATATGGGTGAGAGGCTGCTCTGTGCAATGTCTTGACGGACCTCATGGATATGGGTGAGGGGCTGCTCTGTGTGATGTCTTGTTTTCTAGGTTATCTGACCTCCATGATGACTGTCAGTTCGCTGATCTGTGTCTTGTCTCATGGGCTGCTCGTTGTACCTCTCTCCCCTCTGCCTCAGGTTTATTCTCTCTCATCTCTGCACTGGTCTGGAAGGATGCCTCTATGGGCTGTATCACCTGGGCTCCCATGCCCTCTAGCTTCGAGTTGAGTTTGGCCAATGGGAGACACAGGTGGGAGATGGGAGGGTGGGAAAAGGGAGAGATTAAGGCATTTGTTCCTCCTGCTCCCTCTCTTGCTTTGGCATGTGTGGTAGGACGACTTCAGAGATAGCTCCTGGTGATGCCTACGTCTTGGCATTGGTGCCCTGCTGTAATTTCCTCTGCTTAACTGGGCTGGGTCTCGAGATTCACTCCTAACAAATAGAAGATGGCAAAGTGATGAGGTAGTCAGTTCTGAGACTATGACTTTAGTCTTGTTTACACACACTCTGTCTCTGGATCTTCTCAGCTTGCTCTGATGAAGTGAGTGGCCATGTGTGAGGCTGTCCTGTGGAGAGACCTACGTGGCAAGAAACCGAGGACAGCCTCCAGCCTGTAGCCAGTAAGGAGCCGAGGCCCTTAGTCCAGCTATCTGTGAGGAACTCAACCCTGCCAGCTACCACGTGACTGAGCTTGGAAGTGGGTCTTTCCTCAGCTGAGTTTTGAGGTGACCGCAGCCTCGATGATACCTTGACTGCAGCCTCATTAGAGACTCTGTGTCTGAGGGCGCATCTGTACCTGGACTGCTGATCCATAACAACTGTGGATAAGAAATCATGTGTGAAGCCACCAAATGTTTGAATAATTTTTACAGCCACGGATACTTAATGCAGCATGGTGTGGCAATGGCTGTTTCTCTCTGACTGCAGCTTCTGTCTGGTCCCTGTTTCAGAGCGCCATCTCTTGTTGTCAGGTGACATTATTCACCCCCACCCCCCAACACGCTGCTTCAGACTTCCTGCTGTTGCTAGTCCATACTTGAATCTCTGTAAATAATAGATACATTTTTCCTTAAAGAACCTTTTTTAAAAAAAGCCCTCCTGAGAACCACAAACCACTGCTCAATGAAATAAGAGGACACAAACAAATGGAAGAACATTCCATGCTCTTGGATAGGAAGAATCAATATCGTGAAAATGGCCATACTGCCCAAGGTAATTTAGAGATTCAATGCCATCCCCATCAAGCTACCAATGACTTTCTTCACAGAAGTGGAAAAAACTACTTTAAAGTTCATATGGAACCAAAAAAGGGCCTGCATTGCCAAGACAATCCTAAGCAAAAAGAACAAAGCTGGAGGCATCACATTACCTGACTTCAAACTATACTACAAGCTTACAGTAACCAAAACAGCATGGTACTGGTGCCAAAACAGATATAGACCAATGGAACAGAACAGAGGCCTCAGAAATAACACCACACATCTACAACCATCTGATCTTTGACAAACCTGACAAAAACAAGAAATGGGGAAAGGATTCCTTATTTAATAAATGGTGCTGGGAAAACTGGCTAGCCATATGTAGAAAGCTGAAACTGGATCCCTTCCTTACACCTTATACAAAAATTAATTCAAGATAGATTAAAGACTTAAATGTTAGACCTAAAACCATAAAAACCCTAGAAGAAAACCTGGGCAATACCATTCAGGACATAGGCATGGGCAAGTACTTCATGACTAAAACACCAAAAGCAATGGCAACAAAAGCCAAAATAGACAAATGGGATCTAATTAAACTAAAGAGCTTCTGCACAGCAAAAGAAACTACCATCAGAGTGAACAGGCAGCCTACAGAATGGGAGAAAATTTTTGCAATCTACCCATCTGACAAAGGGCTAATATCCAGAATCTACAAAGAACTTAAACAAATTTACAAGAAAAAATCAAACAACCCCATCAAAAAGTGGGCAAAGGATATGGACAGACACTTTTGAAAAGAAGAGATTTATGCAGCCAGCAGACACATGAAAAAATGCTCATCATCACTGGCCATCAGAGAAATGCAAATCAAAACCACAATGAGATATCATCTCACAGTAGTTAGAATGGCAATAATTAAAAAGTCAGGAAACAACAGGTGCTGGAGAGGATGTGGAGAAATAGGAATGCTTTTACACCATCGGTGGGAGTGTAAACTAGCTCAACCATTGTGGAAGACAGTGTGGCGATTCCTCAAGGATCTAGAACTAGAAATACCATTTAACCCAAAGATCCCATTACTAGGTATATACCCAAAGGATTATAAATCATGCTACTATAAAGATGCATGCACATGTATGTTTATTGTGGCACTATTCACAATAGTAAAGACTTGGAACCAACCCAAATGTCCATCAATGATAGACTGGGTTAAGAAAATGTGGCACATATACACCATGGAATACTATGCAGCCATAAACAAGGTTGAGTTCATGTCCTTTGTAGGGACATGGATAAAGCTGGAAACCATCATTCTGAGCAAACTATCGCAAGGACAGAAAACCAAACACCACATGTTCTCACTCATAGGTGGGAATTGAACAATGACAACACTTGGACACAGGGTGGGGAACATCACACACCGAGGCCTGTTGTGGGGTGGGGGGATGGGGGAGGGATAGCATTAGGAGAAATACCTAAGGTAAATGATGAGTTAATGGGTGCAGCAAACCAACACGGCACATGTATACATATGTAACAAACCTGCACATTGTGCACATGTACACTAGAACTTAAAGTATTTATATATATATATAAGCCCTCCTGAGTGTGCCATTTGTTTTCTACTTGGACCTCTCCACTGATACACCACTTCCTGTCTGAACTGTGATGAATGTCTTTTCCTCATTCCCCTCCCTGTGTGTTAGGCCATGTTCTGGGGGCTGGTGGGGAAGCAGAGACTCCAAAGGGAGGAATTGACATGGACTATTTAGGGTAGACTGCTCCTGCATTGGAGACACAGGCACACGTTGATCTCCGAGGGCCATTCTACCCTGGCTGCTGTGCTCGACATGGCTTGTCTTCTCTGCCAAGCCCTGTGGCCTGCACAAGCTCTGCCACACTCCTGTGATGCCTCCGATCTTCCACCTTGGCCATCGGGGAGGTGTAAAGACAAAGCAATGAGTGAAAAAATTTTAAAAATGTGAATTCTGTTTCTTTAACATACATACAGCATGTAGTATGTGCCAAGCACTATTCTCAGAGCTTTATCCATTTTAATCTCACTTAATCCTCCTAACAACCCAATGAGATAAAGTACTATTAATACTCTTACTTTCTAGATAAGCAGACTAAGGCAAAGGCAGTTTAAGATGCTGGCCCATGATAACACAGCTAGTGAGTGGCAGAGCTGGATTTCAATGTGGGCTTCCTAGTTTCAGAGTCTGTGCTGTCAACCACAACTCCTTGCTGGAATGTTAAATTCCATTTTAAAATAAATATGAGGACTCTGTAACATTACATTTCTCTAGTTTAACTAATTGGTACCTGTATTCATTAGGGTTCTCCAGGGAAATAGTACTAATTGGATATGTGTGTATTTGTATGTATATGTATTTATATATAGTATGAATATTTATAGACAGACACACACACACACACACACACACACATATATATATATATATCGAGAGAGAGATTGAGACAGAGAGAGAGAGAAACAGAGAGAGGTTGATTTATGTTAAAAAATTGGTTCATGTGATTATGGAGGCTAGCATGTCCAAAAGCTGTAGTTCAGGTCTGAAGGGTGTTAGGCTGAAGACCCAGGAAATAGCTGATGTTGTGGTTCAAGTCTGAAGGTCACCTTCTGGCAGAAGTTTTTCTTGCTCAGGGGAGGTCTGTCTTTTGTTCTATTTGGGCCTCAACTGACTGGATGAGGCCCACCTTCAATCTGCCTTACTCAAGGGCAATCTGCCTTACTCAAGGTCTACCAATTTAAATGTTAATCTCATCCAAGAAAACCCTCACAAAAACATCAGAATAATGTTTCACCACATATTTGGGCATTGTTGCCCAGCAAAGTTGACATATAAAATTAACTAGGACAGTACCCTTCAGCATTTTGATTTTGGAAGGTTTAGTGGACACCAACTGGGCCCAGAGGAAAAAAAGGGCATGTTATGGGCATCTTCGGAAAGCTTTTTCCAGACCTTAAGGGGAAGGATTTTTTTTTTTCTATCTCTAGTTTCACAAGTGAAGGGGTAAGCTCCAGGAAGCTGTGAAACAGTCCACAAAGAAGACCAATAAGCGGGCCCTCTTCCTGCCTGTGGTCTAAGCAAAAAGGATTCTCATGGCTCCCATGGGGTCTAGCTACCTCATCTGGCAATGTCCAGAAAGGGACTTGGGGTCAAAGGTCAGGGCTAAGGGTTGCAAATTTCAATGCCTACAGGAGTCAAGCAGGTACCATTAATGAGCCAGGCAGTCCAGGTACAAGGCAAACGGCAGCATAGGTGCGATGATAAGTAGTAATTGTCCTTCCCTTTCAGGTGCAGGAAATCAGGAGGAAGTGGTAGAGTTGGAGCAAATTGGAGTGTGCCTGCCCTTTGTAAAGTGGTCAGCTGTCTCTGCCTTGAGCGGATGGCTGCCAGACATTCTAATTCTTCAAGGAAAATTGGAAATCTGGATTTTCTTGTAAAACTCCTAATTTTCTTATTATTTCAGAACACTTCATTTAATATTTTTACTTTGTATTATTTTAAAGCTAATTAATTTAAAAATTGACAAATGAAAATTGTATATATTTATCACATACAATGTGATGTTTCTAAATATGGTTGCATGTGGAACAGCTAAATCAAGCTAATTAACATATGCATTACCTACTTTTTGTTTTGAAATAACTTCAGACTTACAGAGGATTTGTAAAAATAGTACAAAGAATTTTCACATCCTCTTTCTAGATCCAATGGGGACTTGAGCTCCCAAATGTCAACATTTAATTGTGCTTGCTTTATCATGCTCTTCCTTTGTTTCCATCTCTTTGCTTTTTCCTTAACATTTTGAGAATTAGATTTGAATTTTTAATATACATAACCGAAGACCCCTTTAGAAATGGCTGTCCTTGATTCTTTTTTTTCTTTTTTTTTTGAGATGGAGTCTTGCTCTGTCACCCAGGCTGGAGTGCAAAGGAGCAACCTCGGCTCACTGCTGCAACCTCTGCCTCCCAGGTTCAAGTGATTCTCCTGCCTCAGCCTCCTGAGTAGCTGGAATTACAGGCACACGCCACCACGCCCAGCTAATTTTTTTGGATTTTTAGTAGAGATGGGGTTTCATCATGTTGACTGGGCTGGTCTCGAACTCCTGAGCTCAGGCAATCAACCTGCCTCGGCCTCCTAGAGTGCTGGGATTACAGGCGTGAGCCACTGTGCCCAGCCCCTTGATCATCATTATGATGACAAATCCTGATGCTTGTGGGTTTATTTTTAGAAACAATATTTTCTTGAATAGGCAGGACTTGGTGGAGTTTGTTTTTCTTCAAACAGTGCTCCCAAATACGGATAGTCCCCGACTTACAATGTTTTGACTTTACGTCGGTGAGAAAACAATACACATTCAGTAGAATCCATACTTCTAGTACCCATAAAAGCACACTGTTTTCTACTGTCATTATGGTTTTCAATAAATTACATGAGCTATTCAACACTATTAGAAAATAGGCTTTGTGTTAGATGATTTTGCCCAGTTTTGGGTGAATGTAAGTGTTCTGAGCACGTGTAAGGTAGGCAAGACTAAGCTATGATGTTCAGTAGGTTAGGTATGTTACATGTACTTTTAACTTATATTTTCAACTTATGATGGGTTTATCAGGCTGTAACCTCATCCTAAATTGAGAGGCATCTTGTATGTGTTGTTAAATCTCCCTTTCCCATTTATTGATGACAAATTTAGAGGATTCCATTTATTCTAGTTCTTTGTGGTTGTTGAGAGTCCATCCAGTATAAAATCTTACCTCCCTTTCCTTTCCCCAGCATATACTTTACTGGAGAGACATGAAAAGGGGTGGGGTCTGGTTCTGGATCTCAGGCAAGGTGGGATGGGGCGGACAGAGATCTTCTAAGGTCACTGATCACAGTCAATGAGGGAGAAATCCTGATCTCCTCCTGGCTTGGTCTCCATTCTTCTGCTCCTCTGGATGCCTCCACTGATGCAGGGTGTGGTGGTCACCAGATAGTTGGTGATTAGCTTCACCTCAGCCCTGCCATTGCTGTGGAAACCCTCAAAGAGTGGCAGTTCCTTTGGGCCAGTGGCCCACAGTCTCAACCCTCTCACCAGGTTCTGCCTCCTCCCATCCAGCTTGGAAGCCCCCAGTGCAGCTTCTTGGCTTTCGATCCCTCTTCTAAATGCACTCATGAGAGCAATGGGAATCCTAAGTTCTCTTCCTTGCTCTTTAGTGGCCTCAGGAGCTTGGATGAGAGTGTCTTCTTGCATCTCTTCCACAGGCTACCATGAAAAACTTCTTGCTTCTAGAAATGTCAGACGATAAACAGGTACCCACCTTTTTGTTCACTTTGCCCTGTGGCAGAAGTTGCTACAGGGAGACAAACATTCATTTTGACCATCCTACTGCTAGGCATTTCCAGTCCTTGCAGTTAGGTGTGGTCACTGGGAGTGGGTTCTTATATAACTTGTTAGTATAGCTCATACAAACCTCCAAGCAATCTGTTCCATGCTCCTTCCCCCTTTCTGTAGTTGGAATGGTGATAAGATGACAGAATGATCTTGAAGCTAGATATTGAAGGTGGCAGGGCTGTTGGCATCCTGGAATCCTTAAACGACTCTGTGGAGAAGACAGACTATTGCCTCTTTCCCCCAAATCTGGAGCAAACCATCTTGACTTGTACATGTTTGTGCAATTATATCTTGGATTATTGTTTATAGTAGATTAGCCTTCCCTAATTAATATAATCTTGATGCCTAGGGACACGGCTTTCTCAAGAGCTGTCCTACTGTGCTCCAGTCTGGGCAGCTTCAGGTCAGTCTAGAGGGTGCATTCAGCTGGGGATGGGAGGTTGGTGGGGGAGATGCCTGTCTCCTCCTGGACTGGAACCTTCAATCTAGGAGTGATTTCCACAGCCCTTCACTTGACTTGAAGGGTAGAAGAAGCATCTCCCTCCCTTCTTCCATGGAGATCTTCAAGAAAAATCTCTTTGCTATGTGCACTGCTTTCCCCAGTGCTCATCAGAGCCAGTGACCCTGATGATTCCACTTTTCTCCTTCTCCACGGGGTAGCGAATGATAGTTCTGTGATTGATTGGGATTGGGCTGGCTTTTCTAGCTCTAAGGAAGTCCCAGGGTGGTGGGCAGGCTCCAGATGTCAGAAGTTCTCCATGGAATGTGGGGTATTTGGGGGGTCTATGATTCTAGCTGTGGGTCCTAGAGCCAAATCCAGGGCAATGAGAAAAGTCCCACTCAACACTGATGCATAGTAAAATGGCATTGGGCAGGCAGAATGAGGGATAAGGAGGCAACCAGTTTGGGACTTGAGGCTTAGACCCTGCAGATATGGGTGAGGGGCTGGGCATGAATCAAAGAACTTGCTGGAGCTGTGCTCTCTGGGAAGGCTGGGTCTGGAAGCTGTGTTTCGGGAGGAAGGGCCAGGGTGCCAATTGAAGCCTCATGGAGTGCTCTTCCAACCTTTTGGGCTCCTGGCCAGGTTTCATACCCCATCTCTTCTTAAGGAAAACACACACATACTCCAAGTATTACAGATGCTTTCAGTTTAATAGCTGTTTTAAATTTTTTTTTTTTTTTTTTTTTTTAGGTTTTAGGCTGAAGACGTAAAGCCTGCTGCTCCTGGGTATCATTTCTCAGCTTCTCCTTACAGCTATAGTACTGAGTCAAGGACGTCTTTAACGTCATGGACGGCTCCTAGGACAGCCACAGAAAAAAATGGGGTAAAGGGGTAGGAAGAAAAAAGGAAGGGAAAGAGAGCCAGGGAATTGGGGAAGGAGAGGTAGGGGAAGGGGAAGGGGAAGGGAGGCCTGGAGGTGCTTACACAGAAGTCAGAGGGATGGAGGTTAGATTCACAGGAGCCCCAAAGACCAACCTCTCTTCCCCACCTTGGCAGGGGCAGGGGGCAAGAGCAATAAAAAAAAAAGCAAGTTAGACCCCAGGAAGTATCAATATCAGACAAGAATGGCAATTTAAATCTGGATGAGGAATTGGAGACATTTGAAAGCACAAAGTGAGGGGTCTTCAATGGGGGGGCTGTGGCAGTTTCAGATCTCATGCAAGGGGTGGAGACTGAGGCTGGTCCTGAGGGAGGAGTGGGGACATATACTCACCTTTACCCACGCTTTCTAGATCTTCGACTGCATCTTTTCCTAGTTTTCCGAGTCCCCCCACAGCTTTTTTTGCTCCGTCTAGGCCTTTTTCTAGGGTGGATTCAGAAAAGAAGAGGTCATAGAAGCAGAAAAACTACTTCCTTTGTAGGAGAGCTCCCCCGCTTCCTAGGCACCATGGGCACCCCTAAGGTGAAGTGGTTTTGCTGAAGGAACCAACTTCTCTGTCATGGGAAGGTTGGTAGGCCAGTATTAGCTGCAAAACCTATGGCCCAGAAACCCTGTATGTAGAAGCAGGTGTGCACCCCAAGCCCTCCCTAGGAATATGGGTGTAGCTGTGTCCCTGTGCTTGTGCCTGTGAGGGCAGACTGGCCCCCAGATATCTTGCTGTTTCATGCATCAGAATTCTATACCAGGCATTGGGAAAGAGGCTTACCCAGAAGGCTGGATCTCTGCTTCCTTGGCTTTGGTGCCTGTCTGGCTAACCCTGGGTCTTCACCTGCATTTTCCTTTTGAGCTGCTGATGCTTCATGGCAAGCTGCAAGGGTAAGGGAGTGAGAGGAATAATAGCTATTTCACTCTTTCCACCCTGGTCGGGGAGCAGGTGGTGCTTTTACCCCCTCAAGGTCTGGCTTGAGGATAGCTCCCTCTCTCCCAATTCCTCTAGAGCTTGACTTTCATGATGTGTTAGGTTCTTTAGCATCCCTCAAGCTTTTTCCTGCTGCCTCCAAGACTTTTCCTGCTCCTCCAGGGCCCTTTTCTAGAGTAGATTATGGTTCAGGGAAAAGTAAAGTCATTTTGGCAGAAAGATCACCTTAAAGAGACTCCCCCTAGTTTTCATCCCTTATACCAGCCCCCTAGTGTGGGGAGGTTTTGCAGAGGGCACTAGCTTCTCTCTTCTAGGCAGGTTGGTGGATGAGGACAGAAATTTGGCAGTCTCTGAAGGGGGCTTCTGTAGCTGTAAACAATCCATTTGTTTATCTGGAAAATCAAAACTTCTGTTATTGCATTGGTGTGAAACGCTCCAGGGGCATCTGAGAAGACACCAAGGTGCCCGGTGTTCCCTCTGGGCTTTATGTGAGAAGGCAGGGAGGGTGCAGGTGTGTGCTGTGGTTGGGGCTCGCAGTGCAGTGAAGATGTGCAGAAATACAGTTTATCTTTCTGCCGTTAATTATCCAGAGTGTGTACATGGCTGGGGAAGTAGAAATGAATGAGAATTAGATCTCTCTCTCAGGGGCTTACAGTCTAGGAAAAGAGACAAAACTGCTATATATGGGAAGCCCAGAAGAGGGAGGGATGAAAGGAGAGACTGGGACAGAGGCACCATACACACCAGGCAGGGAGGGCTTCAGAGAGCAGCTGGGACTTGAAGCTTGTTAGAGCACGGACAGGTAGGGGTTGAAAAGGTACCCAGGAAGAGGAACGTTGGGTAGTAGAAAGTTACTCATGCTGTCTGATGAAACAAATGTATAACGTTTGATGTGGAGAATGCAAGCAGTGGAGTCTAGGGAAATTATATTTGAAAAGTACCCTGGATCTAGATCATGGATACCCTGAATGTCAGGCTAGGAGGTGAGAGTTTCGTGATGAGAAATGGGAAACCACGTGAAAGGTTTTTGAATTGAAATTGTTGGTGAAGGTGGGGCAGATGAAAACCTCTGAACCCATCTAATGTGAAGTTCCTCCTCTTGCTCAAGAAAAGTATTCTTTTCTTTCCCATTTTTCTTACTCCACTTCTACTTCCAGACAGGGCCACCCTTTCCCCCATGCTCTGTCCTTCTCCAGTGCATGAGTCTCTCAGGAAGTCTCCCTTCTCCATGTCTCCTAAAAGTCGGCCTCCCAACTCTCCTTCCCCGGACCCCCCTTCTGCTTCTCTGACTTCCTCCACTCATATCCCAAGTCATTAACCCTCCCACCCAGGACTGGGGCAGGAGGAAGAGAAAGGACTCACGGTTCCCCGATCCTGGGGCAGAGGCGGCCTCTGGATCATCTGCAAAGGAGGGAACAGTGACCATGTCAAGTAGGGCACAGTTGCATGAGCTGTATCCAGCCAGGGCTGCCTAGAATTCCCAGGCCTCTAATCTCAGGAGTGTGGCAGTGGACAGACAGGAGAGAAATCTCTGCTTCACAAGGGGCCCACTAGAAATGCTTTTTGGTATCTCAACCAAATCCCTCTCTCTGTTATCCTCCCTAGACCTAGGCTACTCAGAACATCCCTATGGAAATGGAATCATTCTCTGACTCTCTTCTATGTCTTAGATGTCCAAGTTTCATAATGAAAGTTGAAGGGGCATGACCACGAGGGCATGACCACAGCACCTGCTCTAGTGACAGGGCAGGAGTTGTTCTGATTGTCACCTGATAGAATGACCTCAGAAGGACCTTCCCTCCATTTCTTTATTCTTCCAAAAGCATGAATGAAGCACGCATTATGCACCAGACATGGTGTTAGAGGCTAGAGATACAGCTGTGAGGAAGACAGACAGTGTAATTGCTCGGGGAAGCTGACAGTCAATGGGGGATTTGGAGGAATTAACATAATTACATAAACAATTATTTAATTACATTTGTGATAGTGCTAGGAAGGAAAAATACAGGAGGCAAGAAAATGCAAAATAGGGGCCAAAATGATTCTGGGGCTTCAGCAAGCCTGCTGTGAGGAAATACATGGACACAGAGAGCTAGCAGGGCGGACACTTGGAAATTGAGTAGGAAGGAGGTTGACGTGGGTGGGTGAAATAATGGGCAGGGGAAAAGACAAGAGGATGTGCAAAAGTCTTGGCAGTGGGAAATGGCTTGGTTCATTGAGGGGAAAAAGAATGCCAGAGTGGTTGGAGCAGAGTGGGCCAATCACAGACTGAGAGGAGAGGCAATGGAGAGCCAGGCTGGGGCCACAGGGCTCCTGGCTTCCTCTGACCATAGAGTCCCTGTGTGGAGAACCTAGTGGGAGGCAGGAGTGGGCTACAGAGACAGACTTGGGTGAACTGCCTCTGGCGAGGAGGGGAAGGGGAAATGAAGGCAGGGCCCAGTCTTCAGGGGACTATATGGTTGGGTGTCGGGGAAGAGCCATACTCACAGGCACAGACCAGGGCTCCTGCCAGAGCTGTCAGGAAGAGGAGAGTCATGAACCTCATGCTTCTGTGTGCTGGAGTGGGTATGCCACCAAATCCTTGGAGATCTTGGGATCTAGGGTGTCAAGACTGCCTCTCTGGGCCTTTTTTTAAGCATGACAGGGACCAATGGGAACCAGTCTTCCAGTGGTGTGTTCTCCTCCTCCTCTTCTCCCACCTCAGAGCCACCTGTTAAGTCAACAAAGGCTGGCTGGGGCTGGCTGGTGCCCGCCTTCCCTGCAGGTAGGTCCTGGACAGCAGCTCTGGAGTTGGCACTGTCCTGACTGGCATCCTTTTCCTGCCTCTCCCCTTCCCATCTCGCTTGTCCCTGGGCTCCCATCTCTGATTGCATCTGGGGTCCTGGGGAAGACTGTGAGAGGTTTCTGGAGAGGGCCCTGGCAGGAGGGCTGTGCCCAGAAGGCTCTCCTTCCACCTGGAAACAGAAGGGGGGCCCAAGATGTCAGATCCAGCCTCCTTAGGAGAGAGTGGGGGTGGCTGAGGCTTCCCTTGAGTGGGTTAAGCCCACCCTAGGGGGCTGCCCTCACAGCATTTGGGGATCCCACCTGACTAAGGTCCAGAGAGGCTGATGTCCTCTCTAGGGGTCTCCATGTGGTAACCAGAGCTTCCCAGCCTCAGTAGGCCCTGACCAGGGTGTCTTCAGTCCCAGCTAATGATCCTCTACCCCAGAAAATTCTCCTGGTAAGTTAACCAGAATATGAAGTCAGTTCCCAGTTTGCCCTTCATATAGGGGAGGGAGGCCAGTGGTGTGGATAATCCAGAGAAGTGGAGAATCCAAAGGTGCTTCTCTCTGCCTCAGAATCCCTTCCTGCGGACTTGTGTTTTCTTCGAAATGGCAGAAAGTCCTGGAGATGTGGGTTTATGACTCGATTTTGTTGTTTACTAGCTGTGTGGCCTTCAGAGAGGCAATTTACCTGCCCCACTTCAATTGTTTTTCTTTCTTCTTTTATTTTATGGTAATATTTAAGGTGTAACATGAAGTTTTGATATACATGTATTTAGTGAAATGGTTACTATAATCAAGCAAATGAACACATCCATGATTTTACATAATTAGCCTTTTGTGTGTGTGTCTCTCTGTATGTGTGTGTGTGTGTGTGTGTGTATGTGTAAGAGCACCCAAAATCTGCTCTTCCAGCAAAAATCCCAAATTCAATACAGTATTATTGACTCCAGCTCTTGTGTTCCACTTCAGCTGTTTTGCATTTGATGGTGAGAAATGATCATTTTAATCCTACAGGTTTCGTGTGAGGAATACATGTGTCAAAACTGGTCAGCTCCCTCCTCCATCTATTCCAGACCCAAGCTGGGGAGCTGAGGATAACTTGGAACCTTAGTTTCTGCTCCTCACAAAGCCAGTTACTTCCTTGAGATGTCTTCTCTCCACGGAGTGGAGCCTGCCCTTGCCCTGTTCCTGGGACCTTGGTGAAAATGGACTGAGATTTGTTTCCTGAGGTGCTCTGTCTGTGCCAGACACCGTGTTGGACCCAGACAGATAAAGATGAGTAGACTGTGGTCTTGCCTTGAGGGGATACACAGTAGGCAAGGATCTCAGACAGATGAAGGGACAATTGATGGTAGCAGGGGACTCTGTCCTGGTAGACAAAGCATGCTCTTCCTAGCCTATGGGATTGAAGCAAAGTTGTGCTCCACCACTTAGAGGCTGAATGATTTTGGCATGTCACATAATCTCTCTGACTCTCATCTCCACAGTGTGACCCAGGGTACTTGTGAAATTCGAACAGGAATAGCTCAGATCCACTTTCTGGGTCAACTTTCTGGGGCTCTTCCCTGTTCTCTGGATGTCTACCTCTCACCTCCATGGGAACTCAGTCCATCTGAGCTCTCACCATCTCTCCTGTTGTGTGGTTCATTGTGAGACTTTCTTGGCTTTTTTCCTTCAACATACAGACATCTTAAAAATAAGCAAAATGTTCCCTTTATACTCTCCCTATCTAGCTTCTTTCCAATCCTTCTGCAACCAAGCTTTTTGAAAACAACTCCATTTTTTTTTTGGCCTCAACATCCGTGTTTTGCTTTATGTTCTTATCACCCTGTAATGTTTGCACCACCATCCCTGGAACCGAGATACATCCTTGCCAAGGTACTCGGATACAGTCGCCACTTTTCAGCCTTTATCTTATCTGATCTCGGTGGGCTCTGACACTGTTAGAGCCACTCATCTTTTGAGGTGCTGGGGTTTTCTTTCTTTCTCTCCTTTTTTGGGCCACCCTTCAGTCCCACTTTGACTCACCTTGCCTGCCCCTTTGATATTCTCCAGTGTTCTATTCTTAGCCTTTTTCTTCTCTCCTCTTACAAACTCTCCTGTGTGACTCATTCTTGGAGTCACACTTCCTGGCTCCCACATCTTCATTCCGGCCCAGACCTCTCTCCTGAACACTAATATCCACTAATGGATGGGCAGTAATGCACTGATGAACCCTAGGGGTTGCAACTGGCCTCACCTACGTTCCCCACATCTTCCCCATCACCTGCTCCTCCTCCTGCACCATTTTCCATTCTGATTAACAGTATTGACATTCACCCAGTTATCTAAATAGAGATCTGAGAGTAATTTTACATTTTTCCTCCTCTTGGCCCCCTATGTACAAGGACACCGGGGTCTATGAAGTTCTGCCTCTTTGTCAATCCCAGGGCTCTGGCTCAGAAGCCTCTGCCTGGGGGCCTTGCCATTTTTTATGTTCACTGAAGAAACAGCTTCACAAATGGTTTTCCCTCTGACAGTCTCAAGTTCAAACTCCCAGCTGTCTAAGTGATTTATAGTAGACAAACTATGTGCAGAGCACACACCATCTTTCATGAGCTGGCTTCTGTCCGTCCCTTCAGTTTCAACCCTTCTCATTCCCTCATCAAGACTCTGCCTCAGTCACATTAAATTTCTTTCAGTTTCTTGCATAGATTTAATTTTTTCTTGCTTCTGCCTCTTCACGTATTTTCCTCCGTGTATTGTCTTTAATGCCCTCCTACGATTAGATGACAGAGCTTTTTCCTACTCATCCTTTAAGATTCAGATCAGAAATACCTTCTTCCTGGAAGATTTTCTTTTTTTCTTTTCTTTTTTCTTGAGACGGAGTCACGCTCTGTCACCAGGCTGGAGTGCAGTGGTGCAATCTCAGCTCATTGCAACCTCCGCCTCCCAGGTTCAAGCGATTCTCCTGCCTCAGCCTCTCAAGTAGCTGGGACTACAGGCACCCACCACCACCCCTGGCTAATTTTTGTAGTTTTAGTAGAGATGGGGTTTCACCATGTTGGCCAGGATGGTCTTGATGGTCTCGATGTCTTGACCTCGTGATCCGCTCACCTCGGCTCCCAAAGTGCTGCAGTTACAGGCTTGAGCCAGTGGGCCCAGCCCCTGGAAGATTTTCTGGGCATTCTTCTTGTCTTCCTTCCTCTCCCCACCAAAGTGAAGTCAGAGTTCTGGGCTATGCACTTCCACCAGCCCCTTGCTCTTCTCTTTATCTGTGCATCACCTCGATGGTATTGGGATTGTCTGTTTAGTGCTTGGTTTTCCACACTAGACTTCAGCTGTGCAGTGCAGGACCATGTTTAATTTGTCTGTGCACCCCAGCCCCAGTGAGGATGCCAGACACACAGTTAGAATGCAGTAACTTTTGGTGAAGTGCAGCTAGAAACCTACAAGTGAGTGGGGCTAGAAACCTTCAGAATTTGGGCAAGAGATGTGGACTGGTGGATAAAGCTTAGATTAGACTAATAACATTAATCTGTTGGAAAGAGATATGCCAAGCTGCTTTTTAAGAAACTATTTAATATTTGTTTGTAGTTTTTTTCTTTGAGGTAAAACTTACATACAATGAAACTATACAATGAAACATACATATTAACTGTATTTTTTCGTCTTGTCAAATGCATCTACTGATGTAACCCAGACTCCAATCAAGATATGAAGCATTACCAGTAACCCAGAAAATTTCCTCCTGCCTTTTCCCAGGTGATACCTGCCCCAGCTCCTAGAGGCAAGCTGAACTGCTTTTTAAATACACTCTTTTTTTATTTTAAGAGACAGGATCTTGCTCTGTGATCCAGGCTGGAGTGTAGAGATGCCATCATAGCTCACTGCACCCTCAAACTTCTGGGCTCAAGCGATCCTCTCGCTTCAGTTTCTCAATTTAATGCACTCATTGCTGGAATATCTGTGGGGTTTATTCAACCCTAGCTTGATAGCTTTCTTTCTCTGTCTTGTAATGTGGGCTTATGCCTGTAGAAACCTGACAATTCAGGCCATAGAAGCATCCTTGGGTCAGGAAAGAGAGCTTGCATGTTTTCAAAGGTGTGGAGAGTCTCTTTGGTGTTCCGTGGTGAAAAGAGTCAGCACTGGGCCTTCAATTTTCATGCACTTCATCGAGTGATTCCCCAGGAAGGGCCCAGAAGAAAGATTAAGATATGGGGAATACTTGCCTTTGGACAGAATCCGTTTCTGTTTAACTGATGTCTTCCAGCTGGTTCCTCAGAAAGAAAAGGTCAGGTAGGTTCAGAAGTCCAGTGTGGGAATAATGTGGTTAAGAGTTGGGAGTCAGGAGGTGAATTAAGTCTAATATCAAAGGTGGGCAGTGGAGATCTGTGCAGGGCAAGGAGAATTCAGAGAAAGGTAGGCAGGGGCTTCATTCATTTTGCAGGTACTGGGTACTGGCATCTGAGGGATAAGTATGAGTTGGTATCCACCCTCATGGAGCTCATAGTCTCGGCTTGGAAATAAAGTTATGCTAAATAATTCGATATTAATATGACCCATAAAGGAGTACCTAGAAGGGAAAAATGAAGGTCTGAAGCAGTTCAGGGATGTTGAGAAGAGGGGAAACGTTAGAGGAAGCACTCAGGGGCATTATGGTCAGGAAAGTGAGGGAGAGGAAGTGCTCCATTCCTGAAGATCTGAAATCAAGTGAGTGATAGGGCCGGAGATGGAGAGGCTTGAGTATGGGGAGGGCACATGTGTGTGCATGTGTGTGCGTGTGTGTGTGTGTGTGCGCACGCACATTTGAGTGGGAGGTACATGAAGGCAGAGGGCGATGCTCCCTTCTCAGTAGGAACGTCATCTCGGACAGATCATTACACAGCCCTCAGGAACAGTTCTTGCTATTTGCACAAGTATTTTCCAGGAGGAGATTCCAGGAGGAGGAACCTCAGGGTTCTGCAATCAGCACTGCCAAGGAGCAGTTTCTCGGTACTCCTCCTTGCCTCCCTTCCCTACCTGGGCCTCAGGAAAGAAAGGAGGAGGTACTCCCAGGAATTGTGGGGAGGGAGCAGAGGCCTGTAAGGTAAATACCTTTTTTCCCCCAACACTTAAAAAAGATGCTTTTCATGAATTTAAAACAAGTCTGTAATATTCATTACCAAGCTTAGCCTGTTACTCATTATGGAGAGGGAGGCATGGGATGGGAATGGGGGCAGGGATGGTACCCAGAAGACTGCAATTCCTTTTCTCCTGGATGTGGTTAAAGAAAAACACTCCAGTTCTCTGGCTTCCTTGAGGGGGCAATTGTCCGTGGACACCTGGTTGTAGACCCTGGTGCTTGCTGGGGTGCTAATCTGCCCCTTCTCCTGTTCTGCATGTTCTTCCCCTGTTCTTCATTCTTCCCTATCTGGGTACAGTGTCCTATCCTAGACAGTGGGGTGGGGAATGTGGAACACAGAGGGAGGAGGTGACCCTGCATTTACGAGGATGGAAGGTTGATTCCTGTATCTGGGCGGACATAAGGGCCTTTACCTGGCCATCTCACGCTGATCCTAACTGACTTCACTGCTGTTTCTGTTACGCACCCATTGGCACTACAGTAATGCCTTGTTTCTCTGAGCTGGTGGAAGCTAACCAGTCATCTTGGTCAAATGTCAAAAGGTTAACTGCCTGAATTTTATAGGCAATTGCCAGAAAAAGCATCCTCAGAATCAATGTCCCTGGCTTTGAATAATTTCCAGGTGACACATCATGTACCTCTAAAAATCAAATTAATATTTGGAAATGGTCATTAAGAACCAAGATTGAGGAATAAAGTGGAGAGGCATTTGGGTTGAAAACTCTACTCGGTTATTTCATCATAAGGTTCCCATTCTCGTCTGGCTTCTAAACAGGTTCTGAAAATCGATTCAAAAGGGCAGATAATTTTGGAGCAATGAAAGCCCATTTGGGGTGAGTATGGCTTCCCAAGGTGACTAGTTTGAAGAATGTGGTGCTCATTTAGATGTAGAAGTTCTGGCTTATTTGTGACAAATCAATTCTCTTCTCCTTATTATCAAGTTTGAAATTGGCCTTAGCAAGGTCTTTGGTACACTTAGGACATTCTAAATTTCTCTATCCCAAGGGTCTGGAGAATTGAGGAGTCATCAGACCTTAGGAAGTTACTGGGAATTAATCTGGAGAGGCTTCCTGGACCAAGAAGACTGTGGAGAGAGATGGAAGTGACAGCCTTCAATACTGGGGGTTGGTTAGCATAAGGACAACAGCGCTATCCTTGGATGCAGAATTTGGGCATATGAACTGAGCAGAATTGACTTGGGGAACCCTTAAAATAAGCGCACAACAGAGCTGAGGGCAGCAGCTGGTAGAAGGCTAAGATAAATTGTTAGAATGGAGTTTTAAACAGGAGGAGAGGAAAATCATCTTGGTTGTCTGCCATTCCTGCCTCTGAATAACTGGAGCCAATTCTAAAGTACTAATAGGGCCTGAGTAGGGTCTGGTACTCCCCAGTTTTGTGATGCACTCCCTTAATCCCTAGAGGTGGCAGGGGGTCAGGCCCAGCTGCATGGAGAGCCAATTGCCTCAGGGAGATGACTTAGACAAATAGGACTTTTATGTTCTTGTTAATTCGTGTGTGAGCCTGGGGCATTGTGGGAATGGAGCTGAGGAAAAAGGTTGCCAGTGAGGTTTGCAGGAAGCAACCGGCTTTGTTCTCTGCTGAGATTCAAGGAACTCCAGGAGGTTGCTTTCCTGAAATGCCCCTAACTGGCCACAAGCCCTGGCTCCCTTTGCCCCTCTGGCTCTCTTCTGGGTAGAATTCTGACCACTTCCCTTCTTCCTGTTCTGAGCTAATGACCAGGAAAGAAGCTGCTGGGTAGGTGGGAACATATAACCTCTTGAGAGACTTAGAGACTCTTCAAGGGGGAGGATTGAGCGAGAAGTCATTCCATCCCTTTCAGACTGGCAGAGAGAAGGGAAGCAACTGGTCTAGATTGAAGGTATAAAAGAGACTGTGAGAGACAAATTCCTTGTCTTTGGCTCTGCCATTTACTCTGTATAATTCTTGCTATATCATGTTTTCCCTGTTTTATGCATTCATAGTCCAGCTTTCTCAATGTGGGGTCAGTGGAGAAAGCCTCTAGATCTATCTGCTTTATCTAATACTTTTATTTTTTATATATTTATTTATTTTTAGAGACAGAGTCTTGCTCTGTCACCCAGGAGTGCAGTGGTGTGGTCATAGCTCACTAACCTCAAACTCAAACTCCTGGGCTGAAAACAATCAATTAGCTCAGAGGATAAGCCTAATTCTCTGACTAGCCTCTGAGTAGCTGGGACTGCCAGCGTATGCCACCATGCCCAGCTAATTGAAAAAAATGTTTTTTGTAGAGATGGGGGTCTCACTATGTTGCCTAGGCTGGTCTTGAACTCCTGGCCTCCAACAATCCTTCCTCTTTGGCCTCTCAAAGTGTTGGGATTATAGGCATGAGCTACTAAGCCAGGCCCTCTAATACTTATTTTTAATACATGTTGAATAGACTTAACCCTCCTTCCCACTGGGAGATATTCAACTCCCTTGTCAACATCTGTGTAGATTCTCAGGAGCTTCAACTCTTAAAATCACTGTGCCCTGTGATTTTCTCTAATGAATTATCATTTGTGTCTTGATTCCTTCAGTTATTCCCTGTTCCCTGAATCCCTCCAAATATGGACACAGCTCCTTTCTCTGCATTTCTCTGGGCACCACCAATATAAGACTTTTGTCTTTGCTGAAAATTCCAACACAAAAACACTTTAACGATGCACATGAATCATCCATGCCCAAATTTAATTGGCCCTAGGGAACCTGAGCCATTGAAGTTCCCTGCTATGGGGAGCCTCACACCATCTCTCCTTAGACCTTAAGTCTCTCCTGGTTGTTCTCTTTTTCCTAGCACTCCATACCCATTTACTTAACTTCATTCTTCATTTGTTCACTCAATACATGTTTATTGATTGCCTACCATATGCCAAATACTGCGTTAGTCACTGATACATTTAAGTAGTTTAGTTGTCTTTGTCTCCTACCGTCCAGGGGAAATTCATCTTTCTTCACTGAGAATGCAAAATGGACACTGGGTATGCCCCCATTTTGACTAATTGTGTATATCACATACTTCACATGCCTCAGAGACAAAACTTTTCATCCTGTGGTAAACTAAAACAAACTCTGTCAAGCATTAGTCCTCCAAACAAATAAAGCCTTGGACCTTTATTCCATGAGTTGCTGACTCCCTAGTGAGGTGAAACTTATCTCTGACTTTTACAATATTGATGTCTGCAGATGACATAATAGCTCTTGCAGATATGGTAATCATGTGAGGAACTGCCGTTTTTATAACAGTGAAATAAGAAAGTGACCAACTGCTACTTCGCTGTTTTCCTTTACCTTCTGGTTATCTTACTCAGGGAGCCCAGCTCTAAAGGAATTCTTTGCAAACACTGAAAATAAAAATATTTTAAATGTTCAAATTTGCCTCTTTCTGGCTTTCTTTTAGTATCACCCAAAGGTCGTTTCTTTTGATGTTACCCGAAGCTCACTGAAACATTTTCTTATGCACAGAACCACGTACATCTGGACAGATTATGCCATCATTTTTGGAGGGCAGGAGATCTGCAGCCAGTTATTTTTTAAAATAAATTTTTCTGTAATAAGAATGATGCAATTTGGTTTGTATGTATGAGGAGGGCCTGGGAACAATGAGGAGTGTCTCACCAGGAGGTCCACAGTTATTTTTGTTATAAATTATTCAATAACAAGAATGATGCAATTGGTTTGTAGACATGAGGAGGGCCTGGGCAGAAAAGGAGAGTCCCACCTGAAGGATGAGGTAATTCCCTGGGCTATGGTTGACCTCAGGCCCTTGCTGGTTCTGACACACTGAGCCTTAGTTTCTGGCATACTGTCTACCTTTCCTCTGTACACCGAAACTCCTATCCTCCAGCTTTGCATACACTCCTCAGCCTTGTGGCTGACTGCCATAAAGAAAACAGAACTGGCTGGCTGATACTAGGGAGACGGGACTGCCCGTGAGCCCTACAGGGAGCGCTCCCGGGTAGGGTTAGAATTCTGTTAGCCAGGCTGTGTGAATCTGGTTTTTGTTTTTTAAATTCCATCTTTATTCTCCTTAAATAAAGTCATGCTAAACATTCCAGACCACTTCTGCTGGGTTAAGTGTGTTAATCTAAAGGTATTTTTCCATACACGGAGCTGGGGAGGATTTCAGGGGCTAGAATGTGGTAGCACGGCAGTGACATTCTCCAGAACGATTCACGGGGACGATTCTGGCTCCCTGGCCTGGCGGTCTCCCCTGTTTCTTCCAGCACAAAACTCTTAGCATCTCTGTTTCCAGGTCCCATTTATGAGTTTTCCAAGAGGATCAGGGGCATGGGGAATGGTGTGAAAACGAGCCTCGTCTGAGGAGAGCATCTAAGTGAGAGGAGTGATGAAGGGCCCCCACGGCAAGATGGTTTCCGTCACAACTCTGGACCTATTCTGGGTCCGGGTTGGAGCTGCTGTAGGGATAACACAGCCACCCTGGGTTTCCTTATACTTAAGCAGAGGCACCTGGAACTACCTTCCCTCCTTGATCGTAGAACGGTTTTCAGTTTTGCTGTAGATAATGCTTAGAAGCTGTGCATCTCTGGCCACGGCTGACATCCCATCCACAGGAAGCGTCCTACCACGCATCTGGTTCACCTTCGGTCTGTGAATGCCATTTCCAGGGAACAACGCTGAGTGGCTGAGAGAACCTGGATTCTTTTCACGGCTCTGCCACTAGCTCGCTAGGTGTTCCTGGAAAGCTACTACCCCTCCCTTGTCCCGTTTCCTCCTGTGAAAAACAAGTGGGCTTCCCTAGATCTCTCTCAGTCCCCCGCCAGTTCTGACAGTCCCTGTGTGTGGGCTGGGCCCTCCCAGGTCTCCCAGTGCCCTTGGGCTGACACGGGACTGCCTGAGACTCAGGGGCTGGAGCCCTGCGTGGGCGGGCAGTTCACCTTTCCAGAGAGCGTTCTGAGTACATGCCCTGGACTGACGGTCTTCACCCTCCTCTCTCCTCACCCTTTTCCCCCCAACCCCAACACTCTTCTGCTTTGGAAAAACACTGGCTTAACAATTTTTCCAGCCTTGTAGGTTTTCTGCTTCTCCCCAGTCCCAAGATCCGTTCTCAATATGTGGAGGCTGCCGCTGCGTGAATGAGGTTTAAAGTGCTTGAGGGGAGCCGCCTCCCAGGCTCTTCCCCTAGGTCTCCAGCATCAGGAGCTCTGTCCTAACAGCTATAGCAAATCTGGGCCAGCAGAGGGCACTACGGAAACAGCCTGAAGCTCTGAGGGCCTCCATGCCTCCAGAAAGCATCTTCTGCAACCCTCGCCTTAAGCCACTCTCCTTTACACAGCCCAGGCCAGCCCTTATCTTTTACAGTGTTGTAATTCCCAGGGCGCAATGTACACACACAGAAGATACACTGCGTAGAAACATACTTGGCGCATATTTCTCACAGGAAGGACTAGCTGAAAGAAACAAGTCTCTTCTCAGTTTCTACCTTCTAAGACAAAGGAGAGATGCCCTTATCTCAGCCGCTCCCCTGCACCTCCCTAGCCTTGCTGGCTCACTGAGGCCTTACTCTAAGGGTGTTGCTTCCAAGTGGCTAGAGACTACAGAAGCAGGCAGTGTTGAGTCCTGAGCAGCAGTCTTGGGTCTTTGGTTATGTGTAGGCTCTGTTCATTATTTGACTAAATCTCAGGGAGCTCCATCCAACTTCAAAAATATTCCTGAGAGAGAGAGACAGAGAGTCAAAGAGCATCGGTCTATGTCCATTCCCTGGAAGGAAGGTGGGGACTGCCCCCCTGCAGCCTCCTGCCTGATGGGAGTCTCATGGTGGGAATAATCAAGAAACCAAGGCCCTGAAAGACATGGACGTGGGCAGCATGCCACCTCTTCCTCCTGTAGAGGTGGTTCTGGTGCTCAGCATTGTGGTGAGGCCTGAGGCGAAGGTGCGTGGGGTTCTGGCTTGATTGCGGCAGGCTGGTTTCTCAGGGAAGAACACAGGCTGCTGGGGCCTTGGGTTGTTATTTTCTTTGAGCACCTGCACTGTGCCAGGCAACACGCCATGGACTGTTGTTGTAGGCTTTCAGGGAGCTTAGAGTTTAGCAGGTGGAGAGAGGAAATGGAAGACGCCTCAGAAGTGATTGAGATCTATTGAGTATAGACTCCACGGGCGAGAAAGGAAGGAGATCAGCAGGAGTGAAGAGGCTTCTTGGAGGATATAGCTAACTCAAGGAGGAGAAGGCAGGGAATTCCTGAGATTGGGAGCTGAGAGTGGGGATTAGTGGGACTGGTGGTGGTGGTGGTGGTGAGTTGTTGTCCCAGTCTACAGAAGGGATGTTCTTGAGAACCGTTGGAGAAGAGTCTGGAGGGTTCCATCCTGACTGTAATGAGTCCTTGTTCTATTAGTTCCTAGGAGAGCTGGTTGTTAAAAGAAGACTGGCACCTTCCCACCTTTTTGCTTCCTATCTTACCATGTGATCTCCACACACTCTCCCCTTTGCCTTCTGCGGTGAGTGGAAGCAGCCTGAGGGCCTCGGCAGATGCAGATGTTGGTGCCATGCTTCTTGTACATCCTGCAGAACCATGAGCCAAAGAAGCCTCTTTTCTTTATGAATTACCTGGAATACTACCCAGAATACTCAGGTATTCTTTTTTTTTTTTTTTTTTTTTTTTTTAGACACGTTTTCGCTCTTGTTGCCCAGGCTGGAGTGCAATGGCGTGATCTCGGCTCACTGCAACCTCCACCTCCTGGGTTCAAGTGATTCTCCTGCCTCAGCCTCCCGAGTAGCTGCACCTCTTTGATTTCCACTCTGAGCACTAATGGCTCCTCACATAGTTATTTTTGTGAAAGACAGGCCAGCGCTCTGTCCTCAACCCCATGTCTATGCACGGTTGCTCCTTTTGCCTGGCATAACCCTCCCAAGGTTGGCACTGTAGCCCTGGCTGGCTGTACTCCTAGTCTTGGCTCTTGCCAGGTTTTGTTTCCCTGGTTTCAGTTACCTGTGGTCAGCCACGGTCTGAAAATATTAAATGGAAAATTCCAGAAATAAACAATTTGTGTGTGAGTAGTGTGAAATTTCATGCTTTCCTGCTCCATCCCACCCGGGATGTGAATCGTCCCTTCGTCCAGCATATCCATGGTGTCTATGCCCCCTGCCTGTTGTCCCTTGGTAGCCTCCTTGGTTATCAGATGACTGTTGCACTACTGCAGTGCTTCTGTTCACGTAACCCTTATTTTACTTAATAATGGTCCCAAGCACGAGAGTAGTGATGCTGGTAATTCGAATATGTCAAAGAGAGCTATAAAGTGCTTCCTTTAAGTGAAAAGATTAAAGTTCTTGACTTAATAAGAAAAGAAAAATCATATGCTGAGGTTGCTAAGGTCTATGATAGGAATGAATCTTCTATCTAGAAAATAGTGAACAAGATATTGTTACATTGTTCTATTTTATTATGAGTTATTGTTGTTAACTTCTTACTGTGTTTTATTTATAAATTAACTTTGTCATATGTATGTATGTATAGGAAAAAAACATAGTGTGTAGAGGGTACTATCTGCAGTTTCAGGCATCCACTGGGGGCCTTGGAACATATCCCTGCATAGGGATAGTACTATACTATAACTGTATAGTACCCAGTTCCTCTTTCATAATTCAAACCAATTTGGAAATCTGCCATCATCTAGCTGTTACCATCTCTCAGGTGTAAGTCACCCAGGCTTGCTACATGCTGAGGGAGACCAGAGGGCCTCTCATTGCCTGCTTAGTTCTTGGAGACCCCCGTCTTCTTTCAGGGCCTGTGGCGTTGGAACTTAAGGCTGTTCCCTGTACTAATTTCCCTGTGAGTTTATAGTCTTTGGCACTACTCACGTTCCTCTTTAATCTGCTTAGTCTTAACTTCAGCAAGGACACATCGTATGTATTTTGGCCTCTGTTTTAGTCGTTAGGCCACACATTTAGCAGTTGGGAAGGCTGATGAATCCAAGAGGAGGTGAGTGTGTGGCTGTAAGTTCTTGCATCAGAAAGGCAGCCAATGTGGTGACGAGGAAGAGCCAGCACTGGGTAGTGCCAAGGATCAACGTCATGGCTCTTTTCTTTTTCCTTTTTAACAAATTAACAGTTAAAATAGTGTGCATTTATCAAGTACAAAATGATGATTTGAAGTAAATTTACATGGTGGAATGACTAAATCTAGCTAAGTAACATGTGCATTGCCTCACATAGTTATTTTTGTGGTGAACACACTTGACATGCACTCTCTTAGCATTTTTCAAAAATATGGTCAAGGTTCTTTCATTGATCTCATGCCCTGTCTTTGTTCCCAAAACCCAATACCAGGCTGGGGTTGCTGGCTTTTTGATCAGAGCCACACGTTGGGTTGGAATCAGCTCCCCCAACATCCTAACCTGGGCCCTGTGTAGGGAAATCCTTTTTGGAGACCTCTGGTACCCTTTTCTATCAAAGACCCCATTGGAATACCCTCAGTCAAGGAGAAGGGTGTGCACTACTATTGAATTCCAGGAGAGAAGGGGTCAGTGTCTTGATTCCTTTCCTCACAGATGCCTTGTTGGCTTCTGTGCATATTTGCCCACTTTCTCCAGGGATCTGTTGCAGTTAGTGAGGGTCATAAATCAACTCGCCTGTCCAGCCACATATAAACGGTCTGATGACACAATTTCCTCAGCAGAGTGAGTACTTACCCACCTTGAAACTGCATAATTAAAAGAATTATTCAGTGATTCCTACCATAACAATGATAATAAAAATCTGCTCGGAGGTGACTCTCTTCTCTATAGACATAATAGAGGCTGATGAAATCTTAAGTTCTATATTACAAAGCATCCCATTTTATAAATAATAATACATTTTATATTTGTATTAGTTAAGACACATAACTTGTTTAGCATGAGCTAATTAAGGTTGGCACATTGATTTCATGTAATTTAAAATAAAAGGAGAGATATTTTGTTTTCTGTGCATCCTTATTAGTTACATGTGTACTATTAGAATTGTTGAAAGATGGCAAATAGAAGACCCACACTATCATCTTCATGGACCAGTAGAGATCTGGTAGTTTTGTTTAATATGACAGGAAAACTTTGTTTCATATTATACAGACATAGAATATATTCCAGCTCAGGACTTCCTAAAAGGATGCTCCGCTGGGCCTGAAAACATGCATGCCCTGCTCTGCTTGTTTGCTCGTGTCTGTCATAGGCTCTGCTGAGGCTTTCTTACTGGATACACTAGCCAGAGAGAGAGCGAGTGTGTGTATGTGTGTGTGTGTGTGTGTAGTATACAATTCAGCATGAACATATATGTTTGTGTTGCAGGAAGTTCATGGGGAAAATAATAACTAATATTTCCAAAGTAATTTAGAATTTCAAAGTCAACATGCTTTCACATACATTAGATTATTTAAAGTATCTCTGAGAACAAAACAACATTCTGTACATGTATGAATATTTTTGAAGATAGACTCTTAGAGGTTAAATTGCTGGTTTAATTTTCTATGTATCCTTCCAAACTTTTCCCACCAATTTACAAACATGTGTATGATTAAAGGTGAGGTCCTTAAGCACTCTCAAAAAACAGAGAATGGACATTGAGTTCATCCTCATTATACTGGTTTCACCTTAGGCTATTCTTAATATCGTGAGTCTGAAAGTAGATGCATAATTATAAATATTGGTGAGGAAAATAATGGCACTGTATGATCCCAGAACAAAAGACTGACCATAAAGTCTGGACTTCAATCAGACTTCAATCCCAAGGCCTGAGATTTTCCAGGATTCAGGTTAGGCTTCTAGAACAGGGAGAAATGTCCTAATTGTGCATGTCCACACATACCAGAGGGCTTATTGAGAAGGAAATTATCCACATGGTCAAGGTAGTAGGGATTATAAAAGGTCCACTTGAGACCAAGAGGCAGATAGTTGGAGATTCCTTCCTTCCTTTTGAATTGTTGAGCTTCTACCAAGAAGTGTCTTGACCCTAGGGATTCACTTCTTGACTTCAAGAGTCATAGTGTAGTGGTGGAGATAAGAAAACCCACGATTATAATACTGTTTGAGAGACTGGCGGTAAGGCGATGGAGTCTGGCTATCACAAAGATTTGAATACTGGCTCTTCTCTATAAGCAGCACCTTTAATTTTCTATGTACTCTTCCAAATATTTTCCCACCAATTTATAAACATATATACATATGTTTATTTAAAATTGATTTAAAAATTCAAAACAGGATTATAATTATGTAATTATAATGCTAATATATTTAGCATTATAAAAATGCTGATATATTATAATTTAATTATAATTTTATAATTAAAAACAGGATTCTATTTTTATCTAAAGCTCTATGTCTTAATAGTTTGACTTTCTCTCTTGTATATCTTTCTTATTTTATTAGTACCTATAGCTGTATCTCATTCTTTTAAAACTATAGCCTAATATTTCAAACGATGAATATACTCATTTTATTTAGACACTTCCCTGTTGACGGATTTGTTAGGTTGTCTCCAATGTTCCCCTATTATAAATAATGCTGAAATGGAATAATGCTATTTTTGTACATGTATGAATAATTTTGAAGGATGGACTCTTAGGGGTTGAGTTGCTGGCTCAAAGAATATGTTTATTTAAAATATTGATAGATATTTGACACTGTCTTCTTTTTTTTTAAATTTTATTATTATTATACTTTAAGTTTTAGGGTACATGTGCACAACGTGCAGGTTTGTTACATATGTATACATGTGCCATGTTGGTGTGCTGCACCCATTAACTCGTCATTTAGCATTAGGTATACCTCCTAATGCTATCCCTCCCGCCTCACCCTACCCCACAACAGTCCCCGGTGTGTGTTGTTCCCCTTCCTGTGTCCATATGTTCTCATTGTTCAATTCCCACCTATGAGTGAGAACATGTTTGGTTTTTTGTCCTTGCGATAGTTTGCTGAGAATGATGGTTTCCAGTTTCATCCATGTCCCTACAAAGGACATGAACTCATCATTTTTTATGGCTGCGTAGTATTCCATGGTGTATATGTGCCACATTTTCTTAATCCAGTCTATTGTTGTTGGACATTTAGGTTGGTTCCAAGTCTTTGCTGTCGTGAATAGTGCCGCTATAAACATACGTGTGCATGTGTCTTTATAGCAGCATGATTTATAATCCTTTGGGTATATACCCAGTAATGGGATGGCTGGGTCAAATGGTATTTCTAGTTCTAGATCCCCAAAGCAATGGCAACAAAAGCCAAAATTGACAAATGGGATCTAATTAAACTAAAGAGCTTCTGCACAGCAAAAGAAACTACCATCAGAGTGAACAGGCAACCTACAGAATGGGAGAAAATTTTTGCAACCTACTCATCTGACAAAGGGGTAATATCCAGGATCTACAATGAACTCAAACAAATTTACAAGAAAAAAACAAACAACCCCATCAAAAAGTGGTCGAAGGATATGAACAGACACTTCTCAAAAGAAGACATTTATGCAGCCAAAAAACACATGAAAAAATGCTCATCATCACTGGCCATCAGAGAAATGCAAATCAAAACCACAATGAGATACCATCTCACACCAGTTAGAATGGCAGTCATTAAAAAGTCAGGCAACAACAGACACTGTCTTCCTTGAAGTTGTTCCAGTTATATCTTAACCAATAGTGTGTGAAAGTGCCTGTTTCCCATATGCTGATCACCACTAGATACTGTCAATATTTTAAATTTTGGACAACTTGTTGGGCAAAAGATAATATTTTGTGGTTAATACTTTAATTTGCATTTCTCTGCTTACCGGTGATTTTGACAGGATTAGTAGTCTTTTGTATTTTCTCTCCTGTGAATCATTTATGTCCTTTGGCTTTTTTTGCTATTTAGAAAAAACTTTCTCTCTCTGACGTAGCTCCTTAAGTACTTTGATTGCTAACCTTTTGTTTGTTGCATATTGTTAGAAGAGGGAACAGCTTTCCTTCATTCCAAATGTTCCCATGTTGAGGAAACTTGAGGCACAACAGTTGAGGTCTCTCTTTACCTCTAGTTAAGAGTGACTTAAAATAATTGTGGAGTTTGGAAGAAAAGACGAGGCAGATGTGGCCAGCAGAGAGCCTTATTCTCTTCCTTCCTTTGGGACCCAGGCTGTCTGGGGGAGCACGTGTTCTGCTGTTTGCCTCCATGCTAGGAGCCTCCCGTGGGAGGAGGCCTATGGTGGCCCAGAACTATCTTTTGGTAACTGTGTTTAAAAGAAAGTTTCACTTCTATAGATATGACCCTCAATAAATATTTGGTGAATAAATGAACAGTGATCATTTTTCTAATTAAAAAGCTAAAAGAGAAACAAAGCTTCTGGAATCAGATGATGGAGAAACTTAAGCAAAAGAAAAGCAGGAGAGAACTACTGCAGAGATGAGACCTGCTCTTCCCCAAGGAACCCTGGAGAAAGTTGAAGCCAGGGATCAATAAGGCCAAGGTGAAACTGGCCCAGGGGATAATAATCATAAAGGTAAATAAGCAAATGACTTTTCCTGGAACAGCCATTTCTGTTCCATTCCATTCTGTCATTTGCTTATTTGCCAGTCTCCAGTCATTTGCCAGTCTCCCTCCCTCCCCTTTTTGTGTTTACAGAGTGACTGGTTGAAGGATGTGCCCTGGAGTGAGCAAATGGAGGAAGGAGTCGAGCAGGACCTGAGGTAACTCTGGGCCTTCAGATGGTCACAGAGGAAGAAAGGAAAAGAAAGGAGGAATGTTCTTTACAACGGGACACCGGATTGCCTATTGGCTCCACTTCCATACATTCACCATCCACCATCCAACCTTATTGGGAAACCTTTCTGTCAGCATCCTCATCGTATTCACCCCTTGCACCTTCCATGAGAGAAGATGAGAGAAAAAGGGAGAGAAAGAGAGAAAGAGAGAGACTCATCATGGAAACAGACATATAGAAACCTATGCCAGATGCCTATAGCATTGCAAAGTGCCAAGAGAGGAAGAACCAAAGGTACTGCATTTAAAACAAAGAATTACTAAATATTGAAGGAAAATGAATGATATTGAAAAAGAAGAACCTCCCTTGTAGCCTAGTGGTTAGGAAAAATAAAAATAAAAAAAGAAAAAGAAAAGAAGAACCAAGATGAATAAACACAATAACTGATCAACAATGAAACAAAACTTTTCATTTCAGATAAAATGCTAATTGCTTAAAAAAATTAAGTGGATATTAAATCAATAAAGCTAAGGTAGAGTTCCATGAAGAAAAGCCAATCACTAAAGAAGAAAGACTTATGATTTTAAAAGATGATTATAAGAAGAAAGCAATTAATAGAAGGGCTGAGTAACTGAAAGTATGTGGTCGCAGAATAAATTAGTGATTTAGAAATTAAGGTGTTTTTTTTTTTGTAATGTGAAGGCAGAAAGACAATAGAAATTATGGGACTGACATTAAAAGATATGGAGGATATGCCCAGGGGACCAAATACTCACTTAAGAGAAGTAAAAGAGAATAAAACAGATGGGAGAGACAGGGTCGAAGAAATAATAGAAGAAGTTTCCCTGATAGCAAGATATCCTCCAGACTTTAGATCTAAAGCATACACTAAGTGCTAGGTAGGACTACTGAAAGGCACCCACACCTAAATTCATGCGGGTGAAATTTCTGGATTTCAGAGGTTTAAAAAGGCTTACTAATTTTCAGAGAAAAAAGGTAACTTGCAAAGGAACGCAAATAAGATTAGCACCAGGCTTCTGGTCTGCTCCAGAAAATTAATGGACAATGGATCAGGGCCTGCCAAGTTAGAGCTAGAGTTACATAGCCAGTCAAATATGAGGCCAAAATAAAGAACTATGAAAATATATCACTCATGCTCCTTTTTGGAAAATCTAGTCTACAGACAATACAATTTCAAGGAAGGCGAATAGGATATACAAGAAAGAGTGGTAAACAGAGAAACTAACAGAATATATAGTTAAGTCTAACAAATTCTTGTTATTATCATTGTGTTTAATACCATTGCTAAGAAATCCTAAAATAGAAATACATCTATTATATAATAAAATAATTATATTATTTGTATAATTATATATATGATTATAAATAAAATAATATATAAAATAATACAGTTATATGTTATATTAATAACAAAAATTAACCATATCTGAAATAAAATTATAGATACTGTTAAAGTCTTACAAGATAGGGAAAGAGGGATAAATTATACATGATACAGGTCTCATTTTCTGAGGAAGGTAAAGTCTGGTTATTAGTTGCTGATACTGATACAAGCATTGATTTAAATAGGTTTGTTAGAAACTTAAAAATAATATAGAATGGGTATGGTATGTAGATGGTGGTGGTGATGATACTGGCCTACTCAGTATCCATACTTGCTTTCTTTCTAAGTAATAGAATTCTAATTTTAGTTATCGGGGTAATGTGTCTAGTTAAAAGATAACATTCCTAGCCACATTTGCGGTTAGTAGTGGCCACTTGATTGAATGTAAATGGAAATACTGTGTGAAATATGAGCAAAGATTTCTTAAAAGGAGCTGACTCAGCAGACACGTGTTTTTGTGCCCATTTCCCTTCTTTCTTCCCGCTGTTTGGAAATTGGACAGGTTGGCTGGAGCCACCACAACTGCCATATGGCCTTGAGACTAGAAGTTGTGTCCTTAGGTCCTTGAGAATGATAGGGCAGAAAGAAAAGAGGTGGCTGGATTCCTGAGGACAGCGGGGCCTCCTACCAGGAGTCCTAGGCTGCCTTTCTCTAGTCTTCTTTTACTTAGGGGCTGGGGAGAAGCTTATGTCTTTACGCTGCTTATTTTGGAGTTTCTATTCCATGCAGCTGAACTGAATTCTAACTGATTTATAAATCTTTTAACGTGGCAGAGTAGAAAAGAGCAACAACAACAAAGAACTTGATCAATCCAGCAAAGATTCAGAAGGAAAGAAAGAACAAGAAAAGAATAAATAAATGGCAGGGTTAGAAGGTGAACTGCAGTCATAGATTTCTTTTATAATAGACACACCAGAAATAAAGTGACACACAAATGTTGAATATAAAGAGATGGAGAGAGAAATGTTAGGTAAATGGAATAGCAACATTATCTGGCAAAATAGAACGCAAGGCCAAAATAATTAAAGAGAACATGAAGTGCTGTTTTAAATCGCATAGGTTTAAAAAAGGTAAAATTCACTGAGAAGATGTAATAGTTACAAACTTTTATGCATCACACTTGCATTGAAACAAAGCAAAAACTGTGATGACTATGAGGACTACCTGACAGAGCCACACTCTCTGTAGGAGACATCGATCTGTTAAGTCTCGGAAGGTGACAGTTTATGTGGACAGAATATAATTTTGTATACAGAACATTTGAATAACACAATTGACAAACTTGCTTGAATGTTATAGCCAATGAAAAGAATAAACATTTTTTCAATACCTGTGTGGTTTTACAAAATCGATTAAATACTAGGTATCAAAGAATACCTCAATCCATTCTCCAAAGAAGAAATTGTAAAGGCCACTTTTTCTTACCACCATATAATACAAGTTAGAAATTAAAAATGAAAGGCAAATCATAATAATTAAAAAAAGAGTCCCTGGGGAAAAACAACAATCTTTCTTAGGTTAAAAGGAAAACAGTTGTGGGGTGGGGGGAGGGGAAAGGGATAGCATTAGGAGATATACCTAATGCTAAATGACGAGTTAATGGGTGCAGCACACCAGCATGGCACATGTATACATACGTAACTAACCTGCACATTGTGCACATGTACCCTGAAACTTAAAGTATAATAATAATAATAAAAAAAAGAAAACAGAGCCTTAAGTGATGATTGTTTTGGAAATGGATATGTGAACGCTGCGCACCTTTACTTTGCAGCCAACTGTTCTTAGAGGATCCCTGGTGTTTAGTATTTTATGAGAAATGAACATGTAGCAAAAGTAAATTCAAGTTTAGAAACTAGAAAATGTCTAATCAAACAATGTGAAAAATAGAAGAGGGCATTAATAGATGTAAAAGCAGAAATTAACTAAATTAAATTATGCAATCCCAATAGGAAAACATGGTTCTCCCTGAGTCTCTTCTGAAGTGCAGTCCACTCATTCCCACAGCCATGCTTCTTAGGTTGGGCAGTGGAATTCACAGACATGTGGATCATCCTAGACTCCACTGCAGAGTCCATTGAGTCATATCACTAATACCTCCTCCTCGGAGGAGTCTTGGGTCATCTGTCTACCCCTCCTCATTGTTTCACCTGCTGGGCTCCCAGCGACTCCTTTCCTTCATGGAAGACTTACTCCTGAGTGGTGGTCTTCTTTTTTGTTTTAAGCTGCTGGACAACTTCATGGATCATGACCATGACTTACCCAGAAGTCTGGGTTCTAGGGAACCATGGAAGTTCGGGTGAAAGTAGAAATTGACCTTATCATAACTTTCACCCCAACTCCCATGGTCAATCTGTGGCCGTGGTCATTTCTTAGAGTTACTCCAATTCTGAAAACACCCACATCCTCACCACATATCACCTATCCTTCCAACTCTTTCATTCTGATACTTCTTCTATATTTATTTTTCAAACTTCAGTTCCCTGACCATTTTATTTTCTCTTTTTCTGTATGCCTACTCCAGTCTTCACGTTCTTTCCTTTCCAGGTTAAATTACATGGTCTTCCACTTAGAGAAGTTTTTTGCCAATCTGTGTCACTTCCTGACCTCATTTTTACAAAGTTTGGCAAATTCTGAGTCTTGATAAATCTAGCTCTCTACTCTCTCTGTCCTATTCCAGGGCTATTGAGCACTTGTAGGAAAAAAAGGATATAAAACCATAAAGATTATACATTATAAACTTCTGGTTTGTAACCTCAACTAGGATCCCACTACATCCTTCACACACACCTAGTGACTTCATCAGCTTCACAGAGAAAATACAAGTGTTTTGGTACAAATTCCCTTTATTTCCTACCAATATATTTGTAACCTTACATGTACTTGTGTCCACCTTTTCTTTCTTTTTTACAGTAACTATGTGAGAGTTTTTCTTTCTCTTGCCTAAAACTTAACCCTTCATCTAAGATCTGACTCCTGTCTCCTCCTGCCTTCTCAGGAATATTGCTCTGTTGATTATCGCTACTCTTCCTTGCACTTTAATTTCTCCTGGACCTTTAAAAAATATCAGTTAAACAAGGCTTTTGAGGTCTTTCATGATCTGGCCTCTTCCTACCATCTCTTCCACATTTCACCTCTTAGTTTATGTCCTAGCTATGCATTTTTCTTTGAGTTCCTTGAGCACACGTTGTTTGCACTTATCTCTGGGATTTTGCACCTGCTGATCCTTCTTTCTGAAACATTATCTTCCCTTTCTCCTCCAATACTCATATTTGAGTAATTTTTCATTTTATATCACTTTCTCTGGGAATCTTCTATCCTGAAAGTTTTGATTAGGCTTAGTTCTAATAGCTTCATTGCACCCTCTAATAGACTATTGTAGAACTTATTATTCTAAGATGTACTAAGAAATTTATTTTTCTGACCTTTCTCACTCTTGTTTCCTCCAACAAGACCAAGATTGTCTTGTTCAGTGTTGATTTCCTAGCATCTGGAACATGTCCGGCATAAGAAGCATTAAATATGTTTTTTTGTTGGATTGATTAAAATCTTTGTCTGAATCTTTGGTCCTAAAGCATAGTATAGAACTTTAGGAAGCTTAATTGGACTGCATGGGAAATACATTTTGTGTGGTTTAGAGTCCTAAATTGTGCCATTTGTTAAGATTAAATCTTGGAACTTGCCACTCAAGAAAGATGAAATTCACACCATCGGTGTCAAAGGAAAATGAGTCATAGAGAGGTTTTCATGTACACAGGCACATTTATTCTGCCCTGGTCCTCAACTAGAAAACATGGCCTAATGATGGTCTAGAATCTGACCAATCAACCAAGCATTTCCCCTCCTTCAAAATGAGTGAAGAGGGAGCTTCTTCCCCTAGAGACCAGTATAATAGTATAACTCAGTGGAGAAGGTTAATCAGTGAAACGGAGGACTAATATTTGAGCTCTGCTAATGCAATCCTGCTTGGGCAGCTTACTCACTTTGGATATATTCTTAACAAATACTCCCTACTTGAATAGTATGTTTATGAGTTGGGGAACTTGTAAAATTTTATATTTCACGTGGTGAAAGCAGGCAGTATAAAATACTTAACATGGATATTGAGTAGGGTAGGGTGGCCATATGTCCTGTTTTGTCTGGGACAGTCCCAGTTTAGGGCTGTTCCCCCTGCTCCCCAAGTGTCTGGTCTGGGTAAGCATGTGACCTGGATTTTTATATTTTAATGAAGTATTATTATTATTAATGGCTACATAAAAATAAACTGACACATTTTGGTAGACTTTCCCTTTGAATTTCTGCCATAGTCTGGTCTTGTAGTGAGAACTACTTTCACACATTTGGAATACAACTAGACTTAACTTTTCTTTCTTCTTCTTGTCTTTTCTAGGTGCAACTTGACTAACACCCCCCTTTCAAGAACAGCATGCAGGGCACTCCCTGATAAAAATAGTATATATATTGGGACAGTAAGAGACAGTGTTCACTTTCAGGTCTTGGAGGTGGTGGGAGAAGTATTTGATATTGCTCCCCTGTCAGCCACTTGGTGTGCCTTCCAGTTGTTCAATAGCCTGTTGAAATGAGCGGGGAAATGTTCAGTATATCAGGGCATAGGTTGATAGAGCCAGCGGGAAACTTGGGAAATTGTGCGAGATACGTGTAAAAAACAGGCTGATCAGTTACACGATAGACCTACAGAAAATAGCCTGCTTGTCCTTGCTACAGTAGTTTTGTCATCTATGATATGGTACAAATTTCACTTACTTATTTATTTTATTGTTTGGTATTGCTTTTTAAATTGTGAACACTTTTGGCAGCAATGAACTAAAACAAAAAAACAAAAATTAAGTACCAGTATTCATTTTTTAGAGAAAGCTGTTGATGCATATAAAACTTCTACAAAATGTTGATATTTACCATCCACTTTGGAGATCATAGTGCTATCACTGACCACATGAAAGCCAGAAAGCACAAGTTTGCTAAGGAAGTATTTAGTATCAACTCGCAGTTAGTAGTTATTTGAGAAGACAACGATTTAATACCTGCAGCTGCTGAAGCCACATTTTTGTATTACTCCACAGAAGCACAACTTTTTGCTTAGATCAGATGGATATTCTAAATAATTTTTACAATTTTGAATTTCTGAGTTTTCTTGAGCATGTATGAAATGTGAACTTATAGCTGTTAATTTATTAGCTCCATTAATAAATGAACTTTGCAAATAGTTAAAAAATGACGATTTTATATCAGTGTCCTCAAGTGTTTTAAGTAGAAAATCAGTTAATTCTAGTAATGATTCTATTTTTTTTTTTTTTTTGCAGCCAAGTCCTGGAATCAAAGTAAAGCTTTTGGAAGTTTATTTGACATTGTTGTTAATGCTATTTTAAAGTTAGTTAAAAGGTTTAATTTTGAAGACAAAATTATTTGTTTTTGTGGTGATAATATGAACAAGGTTTTTGGTATAACATAATGTGTGGTAAATATTTTAAAATAAAAAAATCAATGGAGTAGAAAGTACCTGTGCTGTGTACTTGTGGTACACACGCAATTTAGAATTGAGGCCACGTAAATGACAATATTCTACCGATCCAAATGTAGAGGGATAATTATCAAAATTTATAAATATATATGTGTATAATATGTATGCATGTATTATATATACATATATGTAAAGTGTGTCTATTTTATATGTTTTGTATATGTGTATGTGTGTATATATATGTAATTTGTGAGGAAGCTATCAGTCAACCTAAGTGTTTTACAATGATACTAGAGTTAAAAAAAATTAGCAGAATAATTATTGTTATATATTCATGGACGTTAATCTGTGAATTGTTGAGTGTATTTTGTTTAAGAATCATTGTAAATCTTTCATCAAAATATTCCAGTGCAGTGCTGAAAACTTCACCACTGGAATCTTTCAGTAAATTTCAATGATTGAAAACAAAGCTTGCAAACAAAAGGACGGTGAAATTTGTCTGCACAAAAGCAAGTGAACAACTGAACAAATTAAATGATGAGTACTCAAATAGTTTACAAGGTTTAATCTTGAGATTTTAGACTATCTCAACCTTGTGGGAAGAATCTTTTGATAGAGCTTCTATATTTAAATTAATATATTGATACTGTATTCTGGAACTGGGTGAAATTGAGGCCTGTGATTTTTCAGCATCTAAATCTGGTGAAACATTCAAAGAACCATAATCAAAGATAACTTACCAATTCATCTTGTCTTTTAAAAATATTTGTTAAGCAATGCTACTCTGAACAGGATAGAAAGACAGTATCTGTGAAAATATCTGGGCTAAAATCTTTACACATTTCAATGAGAAAAACTTAGACTAGAATATTCTTCCTGGCAGAATTTTTTGTTTACCATGTACTTCAGCAACTGTGTACAGAGTATTTTATCACCTAAAATATTCTGATCTGGAGAAAAGAGTTAATTGATGATGTCGACACGTTTAAATTTTTAAATCATAAAACACAACTTTGGCAAAGTTTATTGGCAATTTTAATAAAATATAAGACCAGGTGCAGTGGCTCACGCCTGTAATCCCAGCATTTTGGGAAGCCGAGGCAGAAGGATCATTGAGGCCAGAAGTTCGAGACCAGCCTTGGCAAGATGGCAAGATCCCTGTCTCTACAAAAAATTAAAAAAATTTCCTGGTGTGGGGGTGTGTTACCTGTAGTCCTAGCTACTTGGCGGGAAGATCCCTTGAGATCAGGAATTTGAGGTGGGACTGTGAGCTAAGATTGTGCCACTGCACTGCAGCCTGGGTGACAGAGCAAGACTCTGTTTCTTTTTTTTTTTCTTCTTTTTTCTTTTTTTTGAGATGGAGTCTTGTCCTGTTACCTGGGCTGGAGTGCAATGGCACGATATCAGCTCACTGCAACCTCCGCCTCCCAGGTTCAAGTGATTCTTCTGCCTCAGCCTCCTGTGTAGCTGGGATTACAGGCACCCACCACCATGCCCAGCTAATTTTTTGTATTTTTAGTAGAGACGGGGTTTCATCATGTTGGTCAGGCTGGTCTCTAATTCCTGACCTTGTGATCCCCCCGCCTTGGCCTCCCAAAGTGCTGGGATTACAGGTGTGAGCCACCGCGCCCGGTGGTTTCTTAAAAAAAAAAAAAGAAGAAAGAAAACCCAAGATCATATTGAAAAGAATGTTCTTCAGAATAAAACTGGTGACTTGGTGTTAGAGACAGACATGACTGAGAAACGGATTAAAATCTGTGAGTATATACCCAGAGTAATTATTCTACCGATGTTATTTTCTAATGTATGGTTTTGAAGCATGCTGTGTCTATTACATTACATTCTAGAAATTTCAACAATTGTACTTGAATTGTACTAAAATTTACACAAATATATTAAGTGATAATTATTCTGTTATTTTCTGTGTTCTCTCTCTAAAAGTGTTTGGAATTAATGGTCTTCTAGAAATAGTCCACCTAGGACTCTTTAGGTGAGAGATGTTTAGTCACATTGCCTGACAATTTCTGGGATCTCTAAGATATTATCCAGTCATCAGAATCAATACATCAGAATGTTTAATCCCTTGAAATGATTCTTTGTCAGAGATAGTCCACTCAGGTCCCTAAAACTACAGCACTTGGTGCTGGCCTTGTGGCTCCAGGGTGTATTGTCTGAATCTTACTGTTTAGAAAAGGAGGAAAACATCAGTGAAACTTCCAGTGACAAAAATATCCCTTTGTAGTCAGGTCTTACCCCTCTAAAGAGGGAGAAGCAGGATTTTTGGAACTTCTGTTGCCAGAATCTATGCTTTATAGAAATCAAAAGGGATGGAGAATTCAGAAACAAAGCTTCATTGCTCTATTTCACAAAGCATCAAGCAATAATCCCAACCTTTCCTGACTTTCTGAGTTTTTGGATCATAGTTTGAAGCATACACTAATCTTTCAGTGGACTCAAATATTTAAAACATTTGACTTATTTTTTAAGAATGATTTGGCTGTCATACACATTGTTAAAGTACCTGTAATCCCAGCACTTTGGGAGGCAGAGGCGGGTGGATCACCTGAGGTCAGGGGTTTGAGACCACCCTGGCCAACATGGTGAAACCTCGTCTCTACTAAAAATACAAAAAATTAGCCAGGTATGGCCAGGCACCGTGGCTCACACCTGTAATCCCAGCACTTTGGGAGGCTGAGGCAGGCAGATCACAAGGTCAGGAGATCGAGACCATCCTGGCTAAACAGGGTGAAACCCCTACTAAAAATACAAAAAAATTAGCCAGGAGTGGTGGCTGGCACCTGTAGACCTAGCTACTTGGGAGGCTGAGGCAGGAGAATGGTGGGAACCCGGGAGGTGGAGCTTGCAGTGAGCAGAGATTGTGCCACTGCACACCAGCCTGGGCGACAGAGCGAGACTCTGTTTCAAAAAAAAAAAAAAAAAAAATTAGCCAGGTGTGGTGGTGGGTGCCTGTAGTCCCAGCTACTTGGGAGGCTAAGGCATGCGAACTGCTTGAACCGGGAGGTGGAGGTTGCTGTGAACCAAGATCATGCCACTGCACTCCTGCCTTGGCAACAGTGCAAGACTCCATCTTGAAAAACAACAACAACAAAACAAAACCAATCAACCAAACAAACAAAACCCAAATTGTTAAAGTATCATATGAAGACCTTCGGCAAGGCTGAGACCTCCCTAGAGAGTGGGTCTGCAATAATCTGGGAAGCATACAAAGGATGGTTCATGGACACTCAGGGTATGGGAGATGGTCCAGTGTTGTTGTCATGGATATTTTTTAAAAATGCAGTTTGTGTAAAATTGGTCATATATTAGTTTAAATGAAAAGAAGTCTGTCACAGAGTCCTTAAGCACATACATAACTGTCCCACTCCTGCCTTCTTGGTGTCTGTACTTCTTCAACTGGCCATTGTTGGAGAAAATAATATGCTAGTTGGTCTTAGTTTAAATTGATTACTACAAATCTACACTGGGCACTTATCATTGCCTATCAGTTCTACAACACTTCTCTAGTCAACATGTCTCTCTACTCGGCGGATGGATGAGAAACCTGAAAGGTCCACCAAAAAAAAACAAAAACAAAAACAAAAACCTGTTAGAGGCTGGGCATGGTGGCTTATGCCTGTAATCTCAGCACGCTGGGATGCCGAGGCAATTGGATCATGAGGTCAGGAGATTGAGACCATCCTGGCCAGCGTGGTGAAACTCCGTGTCTACTAAGAATGCAAAAATCAGCTGGGCATGGTGGTGCCTGCTTATAATCCTGGCTACTCAGAAGGCTGAGGCAGGAGAATCTCTTGAATCAGGGAGTCAGAGGTTGCAGTGAGCTGAGATCACGCCACTGTACTCCACGCTGGTGACAGAGCAAGACTCCATCTAAAAAAAAAAAAACCTGTTAGAACTAATAAACAAATTTAGTAAAGTTGCAGGATACAAAAATGACCACACCAAAATCAGTTTCCTTTCTATACACTAACAATGAACTATCAAAAAAGGAAATTAAGAAATCAATCTCATTTATGATATTGCCTAAAACAATAAAATAATATAAAGGAAAGTCTCTCCAACAAACGGTGTGAAAAACTGGATAAATAAGTGCAAAAGAATGATATTGGATCCTTATTTTACATCATTCACAAAAATCTCCTAGACTGGATTAAAGATTTAAATGTAAGACCCCAAAACTATAAGGCTCCTAGAAGACAACACAGGGAAAAAGCTTCTTGGTATTAGTCTTGGCAATGGTTTATTGGATTTGACACCAAAAGTGCAGTCAGCAAAAGTAAAAAATAGACAAGTGGGGCTATATCAAACTAAAAAGCTGCTGCACAGCAAAGTAAACAACCAACAGAGTAAAACAGCAACCTATGGTATGGAAGAGAATATTTGCAAACCATATACCTAGTAAGAGGTTAACATCCAAAATATATAAGGAACTCCTACACCTCAATAGCAGGAAAACAAAGCCCTATTAAAAAATGGGCAAAAGACTTGAATAGACATATCTTCAAAGAAGACATACAAACGGTCAAGAGTTGTATGAAAAGGTGCTCTAATTATCAGGGAAATGAAAGTCAGAACCACAATGAGCTATCACCTCACACCTGTTAGGATGCCTGCCAGAATGGTTTTTAAAATGCAAATATGATCCTGTCACTCCTTGCTTAAAACCTTCCAAAGCCTCCTAATTGCTCTTAGGGATAAAACTCTGATATTTAGCAGAGCAAACATGACCTTTCCTGATTTAGCCCCACCTAGGTTTTAGTTTTTTTTCCTCTCCTCAATCCCTCATTTGGACTTCATGCCTTTGATACAAGAATTTTTTTGAAAATTTCTCAGTGGATCAAGTTTTTCATTAGTTAATAACTTTTCCCGTGTTGCTGCTCTGAGAACCTTTGTCTTATTTTCGCAGTGTGTCTAAATCTACTCATCGTTTATGCCTCAAATTGGGAATCTCTTTCTACCTACAGCTTTTTCTGAAGTTCTCTGAATTCCCCCAATCCTTTCCAGCGTGGGCAAACAGTATTGGCTGTGGGCTTCCCTGGCACGCTGTGGAGGTGCTGTGTGAGGTTCTCTAGGACAGGCCTCATGGGAAGTGTCAGAAGCAGGGTTAAGACACCTTGCCTGGCTTGTTGGTGAGCAGGCCTGCCCTATCTCAAAGGCTGCTTCTTGTAGGGGTTGGGAGATAGGGAGGAAGTTCCAGTAGGTTTGCAGGAGACACTGAACTCAACACGAAGTGGAAATAAAGTGATCGGGAATTGCAGGGCCTAGGAGTCAGCCGGTCCTCTAATTAAGAATGTTCAGGAGGAGATTCCTGGCAGTGTTGGGGTAGAATGGGGTGGAGGAGATAGCAGGAGATGGGACAGGATTTCTAGACTTGGGCCCCATTTATCCATTAGGTAATTTTTGTTTTCAGGCACTGATTATGGAGGGGGAAATGTGTAGATTCCTATTCTTAAAGGATTCATAGTCAGCATTAAAATTGATATAAAGAATTTGTGATTGCTCTGGATTCTTAATGGGGGATCTCCCAAAAGAGAGAGAATGAGGGTCTGATGTACTTTAGGGTCAGTGTGTAAAGGGCATGTGCTGGATAAATATTCAGAGGTGCCGTGGACTTTGGAGTTACTTACATGAGAGAAGTAGGGGAAATGGGTAGGTCCTGCATGTCTGAGGGCTTGAGTCTGGGAAACACTGGTGTGTGTGAGTGTGTGTGTGTTCGTATGTGTGAATGTGTGTGTCTGTGTGTGTATGTGTATGGATGGGTGGGCAAAGAGAAAAGCTCTGAACCCAGGACCCCAATAATCTCCAGCAGCAGAGCCTTAGAACAAACCATTGCAAACTTTGGAACTGCGTGTCTTTTCTAAGAGGAAATCAGATATCTGACAGTAACACCAAAACTGCCACAAAGCAGGGTCTTTCTAAACATCATTACTTATCATTTGCCCAGTCCTCTTGTTGCCTCATTCCTGACTTCAAGAGTTAATGGTAAACCATTTACAGAAATGGAGATTTGAGACATAGGGGCATGTATTCTGTGGCATTTTCCCCCATTATATACATTAGGTCTCAGATGCAATGTCATTTTAAAATGTAAGGGAAAGGAAGAAATTGAATGTGCCTGTTAGGTGGATACTCTTTGGAGCCTGTCAGAAAGAAGACTCCTCCCCTCTCGTGTGGCCTGTTGAAAGCCTCTTCTCCACTAAGCCATCTTAGAGCTGATAAATAGCCATCTATTTGCAAAGTTGGATATCCTCAACCCGTTAGACTTTCCTGAACAACTTTACCCATTCTTCTGCCTTCTCCCATGCAGACCTTGCCTGGGAGTGGGAGGAGTAAGAGACTCCAAAAAGGAGAAAATGACTCCGACTCATTGAGGTCCAGATGTAGACAGGTTGTGTCTATGAGGGCCATCTTAGCATGACTGCTGTGATTGATGTGACTGGTCTCTGCCAAGCTGCTTCACTCCCCTGACACCCTTGGCTCCTCAACTTGGCCTCGTAGGGGATAGGTAACTGGAAGGCAATGGAGCTGAATTTTTACTAGATGCCTCAGAAGATCCTTCAAGAGTCAACATGGGCAAATCTTGGTCTTTTGTGGGTTGACTTGATTTTTGTAAACAGCTGTAACTAGTTTGTGGAGCAGTTTGAACTTGGTGTGGTAAATATATCATTGTTTTATTTTTCCTGCAATCATTGCCTCCAGGTATGCTCTGTCAAATCTTCCTTTCCTGTTTTTTAATGGCACACTGGGAAGATCCCATGACTTTCTAGTCATTTGGTTATTAAGGTCTATTCTTGAAACTTTACTATCAAGCTCATTATAAACCTCATCTTCTTTCCTCCTCCCAACACAGGCTAGACAAGTGGCAGGTGTGTGGTCTGGTTCTCGGATACCTAGTATCTGCTAGACAAATGAAGTCCCAGCTACATTTTCTGTTCAACTCTACCTAACGCTGTTTCCTGTAGCTCCCCCTCCAGCTGTTGGGCACTGGAGTCAGAGAAATTAGTTTAGTAAGATTCCCTGCCTCAAAAACTTTACAGCCTAGGAATGAAACTGAACTTAATGTAAGAATTTGAGATCAATGTAACCTGTGCTAAGAAGCCCCTAGAAGAGAGGGACAGTAGTTTAGGAATGTGGGGCTAGAGAAAAGGGTATGTGTTGAATAAACACAGCAGTTTATTCAACTGTAAGGACAAGATCAGCTATTCAACTGTAAGGACAAGATCTGGCTCCTGGCTGAACGTGGGGATTATGGGTGAGGGAGAGGGTGGCATGCCCACGGGATTCAGTGTGAGTGGCTAGCAGGGTAGCATGATCTTGGCAGGAATGGAGGAATCCGAGGTGTAGTGGAGGTGGGGTGTGTGCATGCACTGGTGAGTGCACCACTACAGGCAGAGGTGGGTACTGCATTCTCAGTCTCCAAAGTCAGTCTTGTTAGATCCCTGAAAACACAATAGGGCAAGTCCTACTGAGCATGAGCCTTTTCTCAGATGGAAATTAGCCCTCAGAGTTCCCAACTCAGAACTTGCAGCAAGAAATTACCTCTCCAGCTCCAGCCCTGCTTGCCTTTCTCTCCTCCTAAAGCCGAGGAATTGAAGGGGAATGAGCTTAACAGGAATGAAGGGGAAGGGGCAGGGGGCTGTTTGGTCAAGACTTTTTCATTAATTTAAAAAAGGTGGCCCAAGTTCAATATCAGTCCCAAATGGGGTAAGAGGTACAGGCATAGGATGAAATGGTTAAAAACATACCCTTTTGTTGGCCAGGCTGGTCTTGAACTCCTGATCTCAGGTGATCCGCCCGCCTCAGCCTCTCAAAGTGCTGGAACCCTGTCTCTACCAAAAATACAAAAATTTAGCCAGGCATGGTGGCATGTGCCTATAATCCCAGCTATTTGGGAGGCTGAGGCAGGAGAATTGCTTGATTCTGGGAGGCGGAGGTTGCAGTGAGCTGAGACCACACCACTGCACTCCAGTCTGGGTGACAGAATGAGACTCCTTCTCAAAAACAAAACAAAACAAAACCAAAAACCAAAAACCAACCAACCAAACAAAAAACCAAACACACACACACACACACACACACACACACACACACACAAAAGAACAACAACAAAAACATGCCCCTTTGTGAGTAACGGGGCTGGGAGGCTGCCCTCAGAGGAGGACTGGTGGAAGATCCGATGGTTACATGCCTCACTGCCCCTGTGTCCTGCATATCCTTTCTCTAGTCCTTTTACTGCATGCAAGGACTTGTCCTGGACAGCAGAGGGTAGAGAATGTGGAATCCTGTAGGAGAGAATGACCTAGATCCTTCTAGAAGCTCCTCATCTGATGGAGGAGACACTTTGCATATCCAAGACACAGATATTAATTGTTATTACACGAGCCATCTCATACCCAGCACTTTGACTTCACGGTCTTTCTATCAAGCACCTGTAGGCACTGCAGTGGAGGCTGTTTCCCTGATTGGATGCAAGCCAACCAGTCACCTTGGTCAAGGTCACTGGGTATGACCAGAAGGCAAAGAGGCTGAATTTTATATGCACTTACCAGAAAAACACCTTAGATAAATGTCTTAGGCTTTCAATTGTCTTGGAGTAACACATTATGGACCTATAAAGTCTGAGTTGATGTTTGGAAACAGTCAAATGGCATTGCCATTTAATGGTAAGGAATAAGAGGAGAGAGATTTAAATTGAAAACAGGGCTTGGCTACACCATGCAAGCCTTTCTGGTTTGCATGGCCTGCTAAAAAGGTTCTAAAAGTTATTATAAAAGGGAGGTCCTACAAATATTTTTGGAGCAATGGCTGCTTTTTTGGAACAAGTGCTTTACCTCTTAGAGTGACTAGTTTGAGGAGGATAATGGCCACTTAGGAGTTCTGGTTTATTTGTGACAAAGCTGTGCTTCTCACCTTGCCATCTCATGTCTTGGACTTGGCTTTAGCAAAGCCACTGACATATTTAGTGAAAGCTAAACTTCCTTGTCCCAGAGGGATGGGGAGCTGAGGCATCATTAGATCCTGGGAAATTCTGAGGGAGGCAATGAATTTTAGGGGGCTTCCTGAAAGAAGAAACCTGTGTGGCAGCAATGGATATGAGGGCAGGTAGAAGTGCGGGCCTCTGGAAAACACTGCTCATTGTGAGTCTTGGATGTAGAAGGGGAAGGGCAAAGCCAGGATAAATAGGCTTAGTGGTATTGATTTTAAGTGAAGAACAACATAGATGTGAGGTGGAAGGAGTCGTCTAAAGAGTGGGATGGTTTATTTTATGGGAGGCTGTTATAAGACAGAGTCCTAAACAGGAGAAAAGAGTCACCTGTTTGCTCTGTCTTTATCTACTTTTGGCAATTGGAGACAGTTCCAAAGAACTGATGGGCCTGAGTTAGGTCTGGGTCCTTGCCAACCTCCCGTCCTCCTGACCCACCCCTTAATACCTGGGGGCACCAGGGATTCAAGCCCAGATACAGGAGTTGCCAATTCCGTTATGGAAATGACTTGGACAGGTACAATTTTTATGTTCCTGTTAGTTCACTTGTGAGCTGGGGTTGGGGAAAAAAGAATTGCCCAGTGGGGTATGAAGGACACAAGAGTTCCTATTCCCTGCTGAGATTCCAGGAACTCAGGAGGTCATTGTGTCCTGAAATGTCCTAAATGGCCACAATCCCTGCTGGGTTCCCTCTGGTTTTCTCTTGAGTTGGATTCCATTCCCTCCCACTCTTCCTCTCCTGAGGGAGTCACAAGGAATGGGCCAGCTGGATGTATGGAGGGATTCAGCTTCATTCATGATTCAGAGATAGAGGGGTGGGGGCTTAGGTGGATATCATTCCATCCACACCTATTAGACAGCCCAGAGGAGGGAAGGAATGTGCCTGTCTGCTGTGTAGCAGAGTGTGTTGTGCACAGTGGAGCTGGGTGAGTTCTTTACTCTGGCTTTACGTCTTGCTGTAAGTGCGTAGCTTTTCTGTAAAGGTGTATGCTATGGCTGTATATTTATAATGTATCTATCTCAAGTCTGGGAGTCTCCTTGTCCTCTAATCTTCTTTAATCTCTCTTTTTAATACATGAAAAATCACATACAGGAGAAGACCAGCCCACTCTTCCCAAATATCTGCAGATCCCTGGGGGGCTTTTGAATGATCATCTCTCCCTATGATTTCCTCTTCCTGCACCACTGCTATTCTCATTGGTACCTTGTTCTCTGCAGCTATTCTGTCAGCTTTGAATCCCCACTGCCCCCATACCAGACTTAGTCTCCTTTCTCTGAGTCCCCCCTGTTGTGGGAGACAAGTTCTTGCTGAAGGCTTGGGTTGACATCACAGCATGACAAACAGTTTTGTATTGACTATTAATCACTCACAGCCTAAGTTTATTGGCCATGGCTGACAGAATTTCTCACTATCCAACCTCCTCTCAGGCCTCGTCCTCCCACGAGGCTTCTCTCCCTGGACTGTCTCCTGGCTATTGTCTCTCACCTCTGGCCCCTTTTGTAATTTCTTTCACTTTTTGAGGACACTCATTCATTTACAAAACAAGTATTTATTGAGTGCTTACCACCTGCCAGGCACTGGTCTGCACACCAGTTAGTTTAGTTTTCCTGTCTCCTGTTGCCTAGGAGAACCTTAGTCCTCTCCAGCAAAGACCATTCAGAGGTGCTCAGGATGTATTTGTAAGAAAAAAAAAAGACAGAAAGAAAGAAAAACAAAGACAAAGCCCCCCAAAAAACAAAATAATGAAAAACATCTGTCCCTGGATGAAAGCTGTCAATCTCCTACATGACAGGAGGTCTGTAGTCAGTTATTTTTGTCATGGTTTTTTAAAGTCTCTAGAGTCTATAATTAAGATGGAGGTACTAGGGGTAGTGAGAGAGAGAGAGAGAGTGTGTGTGTGTGTGTGTGTGTGTGTAAGGACTGGGAGAATAGGCAGGGTCCCACTGAAGGGTGAGGTGATTCCCTGGTAGTGGTCGATAGCATTTGTTCATAGCAAGATCTGAAACTGACCGTAGGCTCCCGTCCTCATCTCTCCCCAGCCCCTGGTGTGCTCTTAGCCCTCTGGCTGACTGCCTGCCCAGGACCGGTGCTGTGGGTCCAGTGCTGCACAGCTGATCTTATGGGGGGTGGTAAGGTGGTCTATTAACTGTCACAGGGGAGTAGACTGTGCATTGACAAGCTCCTGGGTGGTGAACGGGAGCTCCCAGGTAGGGAGCAAAGCGAAGTCAGGGAGGTTTCTGCCCATCCTTTCAGGGGAGCTTGGGAACAGCGATTTTGGGAGGCAGGAAGTAGAATGGAGCTGTGGCTGTGAGCTCAGCATGGTTAGGCTAGGACCCTATGGGAGAGGCAACATAACAGGCTCTAGGGTTAGGGTCCCCAGGTTTGAATTCCAGCCCTGCCCCTAATTTCCCAAGTGACCTTTAGGATTTCCTGGGCGCTTGTGTCTGAGAGATGGGCGTGGCAGGGTTCCTACCGTCTAGTTCCGATTAAAGTTAAGTAAAAGAATTGGAGGTTAATTAGCTTGTATCATAAGGGGGAAGAATAGAAGGAGGAGATTGAGAGAGATTAAGGGTCTGATATTGTTCAGGGACAATGGGTATGGAGAGGAGGGGAGGCATTAGATGTAAACACTGCAGTGTCAGCCAGGACAGGATGTGGCATCTGCCTGGGAGGCAGGGAGAGGGAGAGGGGCTGGCAGCCTGAGGGTTTCAGTGTAAGAGTGTATGAGGGGTGTGAGGTGTGTGCATGTGCTGTGTCCGAGGATGTGTACACATGTGTGTATGTGTTGGGTCTGTGTGTTTGGTATATGTATGTTGTGTATCTATTTTGCCTGTGTGTGCACATGTTGTATGTATGATTCACTTTAATTTTAATTTTCCAGGGCTAGCTTTGGGAGAAGTGTCCCAAGCAGCAGGAATGTGAACAGGTGAGGCTTCCAGCCCACAGGAGCCTGCAGAGAGTGTGCGAGACTGAATTGGAAGGATGCCCACAGTGTGGTTTTCTGTGCCTCTGTTGCCTTCTCAAGTCTCCTGAGTGACATTCTGGGCTTAGGGCTTGGAGCCATGTGGGTCATCTATCCAGGAGAGGTAGGCACTCGGGTGACTTGAAAAAGAATCTTCCCTTGCAAGGTCCATGTCCCTGCAACCACTGCCCCCTCACCTTCCCCAGCCCACTTTTTCTATGACCTTGGGAGAGTGTACTTCCGGGCGACAGTGATGCCAAAATAAATACCACGCCGGTGCTGGCACTGAACCCTGGAAAAACACTTGCCAAAGAGCAAAGTATAATAATGCCCCCAGGCAGGGAAAGGTGGATCAATGGATTTGGGGACAGATGAAGGATAGAGGGAGAATGGGAGCTGAAGGACGATTCTTTTGGCAAGGTAGCCTGAGCCTTGTGTGGGCTACTGAGGATGGTTCCCTCTGGGGTTTAAGGATGAGCGTACAACTCTCAGATTTCTGGGGGAACATTTGGAAACTTCCACTACATGTTCCTGCTGTGGCCCTATTTCTCTATCTGCAGGAGGGAATGGCTTGGTTTCTTGGAGACACCTCCCTCCTTAGATGAGAAGGGACCCAGTGAGTGAGGGAGGTCATGAAATCATTCTCCCTGGCTGGGGTGGAGGGTTGAAATGGAGTCCCGGGTAGTGTCCTCTTCTCTTAGGGTTGACAAGGGACATCTAGCAATGACCAGTGAACACCTATGCCTGTAAGATGTCTCTGTGTCTGTGCACACCTGTGCCTGTCTCTGTGATCCACAACTGTAACTTTGAGTGTGGTACATTCAGCAAGCCTCACCCAGCTTTGGGAGAGACAGACACTTGGAAGAATATAAACAACTCCACTACATTCTACTGGGAAACCTGAGGGAGGTTAGCTCCTGCAAGTGTTTTCTGTCTAGTTCCTCATACCTGTCTCTCCCTGTGAGCCACAGCTTAGCTCAAGGGGCAGACTTGCTCACACTCACCTGTCTTTTCACCTTTTTCTTTCCCTTTCATTGTGCCACATGTAGTTTCTCAGTCTTTTTCTCCCCTGTGCAACTATTGCCTGCTTTAAATTCATTCTGTTTTAAATAGTGAGTTTGATTTCTGTTTTCCAAGTTGGGCCCTGGCTGGGATAGAGTAGTGATCAGAACGGACTAGGTGCCCGTAGTCATGGAACTTATATCTTTGCTTGGGGTTGTGGGGAGGACACAGAAAATAACTATAATATGCCAGGAGGTGATGACGGAGATAGGTGATGGAGAATCCCATGCTGGGGATGGGGGGAAGGGAAGACCCTTTTGATGAAGTGGCATCTGGGCTGCAGAAGGTGAGGAAGTGAGTGCGGCTGGTATCTGAGAGAAGAGTCTGCCTGGCAAAAGTCCCAAGGGGCAGCATCCTGGCACGCTGGAAGCAGTGAGAATACTGCATGGCAGAGTGGAGTGAGTGGGAGGGGTGGTGGTAGGAAATGCAGTGGAAGAAGCAGTGGGGGGCAGACCATTCAGGATACTGCAGACCACTGTGAGCACTTTGGCTTTTACCCTGAGTGAGAAGCAAAACCACTGGAGGATTCTGGGTAGAGAAGGGATGTGATCTGACTTATATTTAAGAAGGACCACTTAAAATTAGCCAGATGTAGTGGTGTGCACCTGTAGTCCCAGCTACTTGGGAGGCTGAGGTGGGAGGACGGCTTGAACCTAGGAGGCAGAGGTTGCAGTGAGCTAAGATCATGCCACTGCACTCCAGCCTGGGCGACAAAGCAAGGCTGTCTCAAAAAAAAAAAAAAATTAGATCATTTTAGCTGCTGAGTGGAGAATAGACTGAAGAAGCAGAGAGACCAGTTTATCTACCCAGCTTGCTACATGTAACAGAAAATCTAAGATTTTTTTTTTTTCATCTTAAAAAAATCCAGAGGTCACGGTTGAGAGCTGGAAAGGTAGCTTCCCAAAGTCATCAAGGATGCAGGCTTCTGTATTGCTGTTTCACCATCCTGAGTTTTGGCTTTCACCCTCCTGGATACTTCATGGTCTCTAGTGAGTGCTGAAACTATGGACCCTGGACCCACTCTGAAGGGAGCAGAAGGAGCTGGTCTGCCCCCCTTTAACAAGTCTTCTCATCAGTCTCATTCAGCATTTCTGATTCCATCCCAACCACCACATGGGAGACACATGGCCACACCTAGCTGCAAGAGAAGCCAGGAAATATAGCTTATCTGTTACACATATTGTCCAGGTTTTTGTCCCTGAGGAAGAAGGGGAGGATGGATTTTGGATGGCAGTTAGCATCCTCTACCACCCAGTTGGAAGGCTCTTGTAATAATCCCAGGGAGAGGTAATGTTGGCTTTTACCAGTTGGTAGTGGAACAGATGGTGCAGGTGGTCAGAATCTATAATATTTTGAAGGTAAATCTGACAGCATTTGCTGAAAAATTGTGTGTGTGTGAGAGAGAGACAGAGAGAGAGAGAGAGGAATTTCTGCTATGGAATAAATGTTTGTGCCCCCCTAAAATTCATATTTTGAAGTTCTAATCCCCAATGTGATGGTATTTGGAGGTGGGGCCTTTGGGAACTGATTAGGTCATGAGAGTGGAGCCCCCATGCATGGGATTAGTGCCCATTATGAGAAGAGACCTCAAAGAGATGACTGTTTCTCTGCCATGTGAAGATACAACAAAAAAGGAGGCTGTTGTCTGCAAACCAGGAAGCAGTCCCTCACCAGACACTGAATCTGCTGGCACTTTGATCTTGGATTTTCCTGCTTCTACAATGGCGAGAAATAAACGTTTGTTGTTTAAGCCACTCAGTCTACCGTAATTTGTTATATCAGCCCAAGCTGATAAGCTTTGACTAAGATCAAAGGGAGGATGATGCCAGGTTTTTGGCCCGAGCAGCTACAAGAATGGGGTTGCTATGGACTGAACTGAGAAAGGCTCTTGAAGGAGCCCCGTTGGTGAGGGAGTGTTGTCTTGGCTGTGTGAAGTTTGAGAGGCTTAATAGACATCTTGGTGGAGCTTTAAAGCAGGCAGTTTGATACATAAGGCTAAAGTTCTGGGGGTGTTTCTGGGCTGGATGATGTTTACAGCCAAAAGATTGCATGGGACTACCTTGGGCATGGTACAGATGGAGAAGAGGATGAGGTCAGGAAGATGGGAGGGGCCAGCAAAGGAGACTGGGCAGCAGTGTCCAGTGAGGGAGCAAGGGAACAGAGTGGGGCATGTCTTGGAAGCCTGTAGGATATAGTGGGTCAAGGAGGCCAAGATTAACTATGTCATATGCTGCTGAAGGTCAAGGAAGACAAAGTGGGGTTTAATCAATCAAAAGGTGATTGATAATCTTGAGACTCTACTCATGGGGAACTGAAACCTGCTTGGAGTGAGTTCAAGAAAGACTGGGGTCAATATGATGAACTAGATATTCTGAAATTTTTCTTCCACTACAAAGCAACTGGAACCTGCATAGAACATATCTTTCCTTGCATTATCGGGCTGGCAAGAAGTCAGGGAACTTCCCAGGAAGCACAAATCCTCAAACCGTGAGCTGAGAGAGGGTGAATTCCAATTTGCTGCTAAGGAGTGAATTCACAGCAGTAAGCTGCTTCTGCTGGGCACAGAGATTCAGGGGCATCAGGGTTCAAAGTTCTTAGCCTCAACCACATTTGATCAAACACCCTCCTTCCAAGGTCACTCTCCTTTCCCACCGGTGCGCAAACTTTGGCATAAGAGACCTGGAGCAGCTGAACCTTTAACTGGTGTTGCAACTCTGAAACTCTTCCAATCAGACCAGCCATGGTCCTCAGCCCTATGTTCCCTGTGACTACAGGAAATGGGAGAATCCTCCAAAGCTGCTACGAAGGCCTCCTGTTCTCTACATGTTCCTGATTGTATATTAATAGTTCTTTCTCTCTCTCACTCGTTCTCCTAATTATACACTCTAGCCCTGTAAGAAGAAGCCAGGTGACTACGATTTTTACAGCGCACCATTGTTGTCATAGCAACTAAGTGCTGAAGCCAGTCCATCTCCTGGTGCCTTTCTTTCTCTCGACCTGCACTTCTTCCGGTGTTACCACTAGAGACAACGGGAGTAATACGATGCAGCAAGCTCAAAACATGGATTACTAGTGTCTCAGTTCCCCATGGCAAGGAAGGCTATTATGCCAACTGTTGAGAAAATCATCAGATGCGAATGACCTTGGCCAGACTTGTTGCACGAAACCTCAGGAGAGTGATGAATATTAACAGAATGTGGAAGATGTATCAGGAACACCACACAATTTTCCTGACATGGTGATAGTGTGGATGATGGCATGCTGACAGGATAGTCTCCCCTTCTTTCTACCTCTTCCTCTGCCCACTGAGTCTATAACAGCCAAAAGACTGGAGTAGTACAGGGTGCTGCTGACCTGGTAGCGGTTTTTCTAGTAGCATATAAATTATCAAAATTAATTCAAGAATATTTTGAAAAATGGACAGTCGAATCACAGCAGAATTTTAAAAGATGACTAAAACCTACATAGTACTAAAAAGGCACAGGGATCAGCTGACTTTAGAGCTGAATTATATCTAAGTTTTAAGGTAGCGTTCCTCAAAATTTCCCAGGTGAAGAATCAACTTTAAAAATTTTCAGAACATTGTAGACTGATATCTGCTAATAAAAATAAAACAAAAAGACATGCAAAACACAAACCCCAATTTTCTATTAGTAGATTCAGCAGACATAAAATTACTCTGTGGAACTGCAATAGAAGTTTCTAAACACTCGCAATTCTTGTGTGTGGTAGGCAGAATAATGCCCCCAAAAGATGTCCACATCCTAATCTCTGGAACCTATGAATATGGTACCTTACAGGGCAAAAGGACGTTGCAGAGGGGACTAAGTTAAGGACTTTGAGACGGAAAGATTATCCTGTATTATCCAGGTGAGCCCAATGTCATCATGAAGGTCCTTATAAGGGAAGGAGACTTGAGGAGTGAAGCAAAGGTGGGAGTGAGATGAGCTGAGGAATGTGAGCAGCCTCTAGAAGACTTGAACAGGCAGAGAAGAGCTTCTCCCCTAGAGCCTCCAGAGGGAGCACAGCCCTGCTGATGCCTTGACTTTTAGCTCCTTGAGAATTCTGACCTCCAGAACTGTACCATTCATGCCAGTAAGTTTGTGGCAATTTGTTACTGCATCAAAAGGAAATTAAAACACTGTGCTTACCTTGTTGTGGATTGGGAATGTACATTTGGCAGACTGGCACTGGTTTGAGGGCCACACTTGAAGTAGGGATGCTTTAAAGACCATATAATTTGATGTTATTTGAATTATTGCAGTCCATAGAAAAAGATGACGAGCTTCCCAATTCATTTTATGAGGCCTGAATATGCTAATATCAAAATCTAATAAAAAGGAATATAAAAATAAAACTATAAAGAATTTTACCGGTTAACATAGAGGCAAAAATTCTAAAACATATTAGCAAATGAAGTTGGCATTATATTAAAAGAATAGTGTACTATAATCAAGAAGAGTATATAAATAAGCGTAAGGATGATTCATTATAGAAAATCTTATTAAGAAATATTTTAATATATTTTATCACATCAACACATAAAAAGAGAAAAATTATTAATAGATTATTTCCAACTTAGTAGATTCTCTAAAGGTCATTATTATACTCATCAGCCATTCTGAATTAAACTCTAGATAAAAAAAGAAGCCAGGAAACTATAGAGACTATATATTAAAAATCAGTAACAAACATTTTACAAATGACAAAATATGAAAGCAATTGCCACTTATATGAGGAAAATATGGGGTGCTCACTATCTCCATTATTACTCAATATTATTTTGAAGGTTTTATCTCATATATTTAATAAAAAAGGAAATAATCAGAATTAATATGGTAAAAAAGAGAAACTGTATTTTCATTTACAGATGATTAGCTGATTAAATGATACATTTCTAGAAAATCTCAGGTAGTCTGCTAACAAAAACCTATAAAAGAACTTGGGAATATGTTTGGATGTAAGACAAATGCAAGAAAAGCCAGTAGCTTTTTTCTAACCCAGAAAAAACCCCAGTTAGAATTAGAAATGTAAAAATATATTCCTTCTTCAATGTTGAGGAAATGAGTGGGAACTGCTAGTACATTTGGAAAGAAGAACAATGAGAGCACTGGCACTCCAGATATTAAAACTCATTCTTAAACTACTATAATTCATTCATTGGTTCATTGACTTTTTGAGCACCTACAATGGGGAAGGCACTTTTCTAGGCATTGAGGCATCTTTGGGGCACTGGAGAGATAGCAAAGAGAATATAAAAAACAAAGTCCTTGTCCTATGGAAGTTGTAGTGTGGCTTTGACACAAGAATAGAACAGAGTTTAAGTCAGAATAGAAGTTATAGTATGGCTTTGACAGAAGAATAGAGAGAGACATACTCAGTAAGACTGAGTGGAGAATCTACATGACTTAAGTCTAATTGGAATTCAGTGGCTGATTTGTCACTTAATAAAAGATGTAAGAATAATCAGCTTTCAACTAGAAGAAAACAGTTCCTTACTTTACCTAATGTATAAAACATATTCCAGATGGCCTAAACAATTTTTAACCCCTCCATCTCTAAACTTAGATGAACATTCAGGAGAATATGTAAATCCATGTAAATCAAAAAGATCTTTTTAAGCAAGGGAGAAGAGAAACTGAAAAAGAAAATAAACATTTATGAGAACCTACAAATTTAAATGTTGTCCATGTCAAAAGATACTATAAATGTTAAAAGATAAAATAGAGTAGGATATATATTTTTAGCTATACATATGATATTCAGAGGGCTACTATTTTTCTTATGGAGGGAATGTCTATAAAATGACAAGAAGAGAAAAATAACAATCACCAAACTAGCCATAATTATAAAGAGGAAATCTATTGAAAGAAAATACATATTGCCAATAAAAATATGGAAATCTTTCTGATCATTAGGGAAGTGAAAATTAAAACACCAATTAAGGAATTTTTTTCAGCTATCATATGAGGAAAAATTGGAAAATTGATAAGATTGAGCAGTACCAAGTATATGGGGAAATTCATGGGCTGTCAGTGAGAACATGGCTTGCCACAATCTTTCTGGAAAATAATCTGACAATATCTATTAAAATAAAAATATATAAATCATTTGTCCTAACGTTCCCAATTATGGGACTGTATACTATAGAGTATACAGAAGCACACATACATAGGGATGTATGGACAAAGATGTTTATCACAGACTTGTAGCAGCAAAAACCAAACAGATAAATACATACATACATTCAGCTAAAAAAATGAGAACCAAAACTAAAACCACATAGAAAAAAATACATGTGTGTCTGTCTATAAGGGGTTACTTGCGTAGATTGTGGTACAATCTCAATACTGTCCAGCTGTTAAGAGAGTGAATTGGATCTGTATAGTGGAACCGGAAGAATGTTTCTACCAAATCATTAAGTTAAAAAAATGAGTTGTAAGAGCACACAGTGAGATTCCTTATGTGAAACAAAACAAAACAGCACAGATATTGTTTATAGGATCTTAGAGAGAGGTGTGGAAGACTATATACAAAACTATTCACATATTACCTCAGGAACTGGGATTGGAGAATGTGGGACAGGAAGGGGTCATGACCTTTCTCTATCTCTGTGCTATTTAGTGTAAGAAAAGAGCTTTGTAAGGACAGGGATTTGTATCTTGTTCATTGCTGCCTCTTTGGTATCTAAAACATAACAGGCAGCTTGGATCCATTCAGTAAGATTTATTGGCCAGACATGGTGGCTCACACCTGCAAGCCCAGAACTCTGGGAGGCCAAGGCAGGCGGCTCACTTGAGGTCAAGAGTTGACCAGCCTGGCCAACATGGTGAAACCATGTCTCTACTAAAAAATACAAAAATTAGATGGTTTTGGTGGTGCACGCCTGTAATACCAGCTACAAGGGAGGCTGAGGCAGGAGAATCACTTGGACCCAGGCGACAGAGGTTGCAGTGAGCCGAAACTGTGCCATTGCACTCCAGCCTGGGCGACAGAGCAAGACTCTGTCTCAAAGAAGAAAAAAAAAGTATGGAATAAATAATCATTTGTTATTTCTTTAATTTAAAAAAAAAATGGGATAAGACAATGGAGAATTTAGAGTAGAGTAACCAAGAAGAGATGTGGAGAGGGCTACTGCAGAAATGAAAGCTCTCTTCCTAGAGTAACCTGGGAACTTTTAAGTCAGGAGTCAAAAAGTATATGGAGGAGGAGCTAGCCACAGGGTGAATGTAAAGGGGATTAAGCAAGCAACTCTCCCAGGAAAAACGAGGGTCCTCTTCTCCACTTGTTTTCAGGAGTGGCTGGTTTCAGTGTTTGCTTCCAGGTGAATGTGAAGGGCTCAGCTGGTATGAGAGGTCAGAAAGAGACAGGGCAGGATCTGATGTAATTCTGGGTTTTCAAAGTAGTCTCAGAAAAAACAAAAAACAACGGGCTGTTACAGAGAACCATACTAAAGCCAGTCATTTATAGCAAATTCATTCCCAGATTGCCTGCTAGCTCCCCATTCACACACCACAAGGGAATTGGTTGGCAACCTCCTCATCCCATTTATCATGAGCCTGCAGTTGGCCAGCTCCAGGGAGAGACAGTCCCCCTATACAAATGCTGAAGGAGCCAATGCCTGGTGTTGATGATATTCAACTTAGTACTTCATTTAAAGCAAAGAATTAGCAAATATTTGAGGAAAATTAGCATCATGAAAAAGAAGTGTGAAGAAGATTAAACAGGATGACTAGCTAAGGAAGAAACAGAGAAAGATACCCTAGAAGAAAACCTAGGCAATACCATTCAGGACATAGAATTGGTCAAAGACTTCATGACTAAAACACCAAAAGCAATTGCAACAAAAGCCAAAATTGACAAATGCGATCTAATTAAACTAAAGAGCTTCTGCACAGCAAAAGAAACTATCATCACAGTGAACAGGCAACCTACAGAATGAGAGAAAATCTATCCATCTGACAAAGCTCTAATATCCAGAATCTACAAGGAACTTAAACAAATTTACAAGAAAAAACAAACAGCCTCATCAAAGAGTGGGCAAAGAATATGAACAGACACTTCTCAAAAGAAGACATTTATTCAGCCACAAACACATGAAAAAAAGCTCATCATTACTGGTCATTAGAGAAATGCAAATCAAAACCACAACGAGATACTATCTCATGCCAGTTAGAACGGCAATTATTAAAAAGTCAGGAAACAACAGGTGCTGGAGAGGATGTGGAGAAATAGGAACGCTTTTACACCATTGGTGGGAGTGTAAATTAGTTCAACCATTGTGGAAGACAGTGTGGCCATTCCTCAAGGATCTAGAACCAGAAATACCCATTACTGGGTATATACCCAAAGGATTATAAATCATTCTACTATAAAGACACATGCACACATATGTTTATTGCAGCACTATTTACAATAGCAAAGGCTTGGAACCCACCTAAATGCCCACCAATGATAGACTGGATAAAGAAAATGTTGCATATATACACCATGGAATATGATGTAGCCATAAAAAAGAATGAGTTCATGTCTTTTGCAGGGACATGGATGAACCTGGAAACCATCATTCTCAGCAAACTAACACAGGAACAGAAAACCAAACACCGCATGTTCTCACTCATAGGTGGGAGTTGAACAATGAGAACACTTGCACACAGGGAGGGGAACATCACACACTGGGGACTGTTGGGGGGTAGGGGACAAGGGGAGGGATAGCATTAGGACTAATACTTAATGCATACAGGGCTTAAAACCTAGATGATGGGTTGTTGGGTGCAGCAAACTAGCATGGCAGATGTATACCTATCTAACAAACCTGCACGTTCTGCACATGCATCCCAGAACTTAATATGTATAAAAAAAGAAACAGAGAAAGATGAAAAAAACCTTCAGAAATGATATTTAGTATCTTCAGAACATGTTGAGAGGATGTGATATTCATAATTCAAGGGCTAATCATACACAAAAAAATTCTTACAAATTAAAATATTGCTTATCAAAAGAAAGTTCCAAATAATTAGAAGACATGATTTTAAAATTAATCGCTGAGTTGGAAATCAAGGTATGATCCCATAACATAGACCAAAAAGACAAGGAAATGGAAATTATGAGGATAAAGATAAGAGATCAAATATATATACACATATATATGTATATATACACCCACATATATACATATATATGTATATATACACCCACATATATACATATATATGTATATATACACCCATATATACATATATGTATATATACACCCATATATATATACACCCATATATATATACGCATATATGTATATATATACCCATATATATATGCATATATATGGGTATATATATATACACACACATATATATGTTAGAAGAATAACAGGAATTAGGAAGGAGCAGGAGGAGGAGGAGAAAAATTTAAAAAGTGAAGATATATTTCATACTTCTGATCAAAAGTACATCCTGAGGGTAGAAGGGAATAGCTAGGTGAAATTTCCAGATTCTGAATTTTAGGGCTAAGGATAATAACTTACGAGTTTTCAGAAAATAAATTACACGCAAGGAAAAGCCAGTTGGAAGGGCTAAAGACTAGTTTAAGATTAAATGTCAGTGGACAAGGGAGCAGAGGCTACTTGGTTCTGAGGAAAAAGAATTGAGAAATTGAAATTCTGTAATTAGAAAATGTCATATAAAATTTGGCAAAAATAGGGTTTTGCAAATGTGCCATACCATTTCTGGAGAAATTACTATTAGATGAAAAATTCAAGAAATAAATGATGGAGATTACAATCATAGTTGGTGAGCAAGAAAACTTTTATGCCTCACAGTTACATTTAATAACAATTATTATTAATAATATATTTCATACAATTACTAATAGTGATTCCTATGATAAAATAGTGTATAGTACAAAACTGATAACTTGGAAGTAAAATCATACTAACATTTGGGAGGCATGATTGGGAAAGACAGAAATTAAAAATGATACATATCTTATTTTGAGGGGCAATCACAATGATTAATGGTTGATACTTACAGGGAAATGTCTCTTTAAATAGCGTTATTAAAAAATTAAATGTAATAGCTGGTAGAATGGCTATAGTATGTATATTTTGGCAGAGATTTCAGTTGCCTATCTAGTATCCTTTCTCCTCTTCTTCCTTACAAAGAGAAGGAAGTGGTGCTATGCTCAACTAAAATACCATGTTTTCTTATTTTCCAGCCACACTTGCAGATTGGTATATACTACATATCTATAGCCACATCCATGTGATTATGTTCTGGCTAATTCTATGTAAGTAGAAGTGCTGTGTGAGACTTCAGAGAGGGCTCCTGCAGTGGAGCTGATGCAGTTGAACATGCCCTTTTGCGCCCTTCCCTCTTTCTTCTCCTTGTTGCGTGGAACTTGGGCATGAAGGTGGGAGCCCTAGCAGCCACCTTGTGACTTTGAAAAAAAAATTACTCTCCAAGAATGGTGAAGCAGAAAGAGAGTGGAGCCTGGGTTCCTGAGGGCAGTGGTGCCTCCGTCTCAGCCCTGGACTGTCTTCTTCTAGACTTGTTTTACATGTAAGAATGTATGTCTTCAGCGACTCTTCTTTTGGGTTTCTTTACTCAGTGGAATCAAGTACTGACTGATATATAGATCCTTGAAACCACTAGAAGAGAAATAGAAGCAACAACCTAAAACCCAATGGATCTTGCAAAGGTCTGTAAGGGAAGAATAAAAAATACAAAAATGAAGGAAAAAAGCTATGAAAATAATAGACGGTAGAGTCAAAAAGTAAAATCCAGAAGTATGTTTTTTACAAGAGATGCACCAAAAATAAATGAACACAGCAAGGTTGAAAAATAAATGGATGGACAAATATATATGTGAGGTAAATGCTAACCAAAAGAAAACAAGGTTTGATACCATGGAAGGATCAAAGCAGAATCAAGTCCAAGATCTTTAAGTGGTACAAATAATACTGTTTTATTTAGAAAAAAAGGTGTGATTTGCCAAGAAGCTAGAACAGTCACGAACTTTTTTGTACCCAAACTACTTTGCACTGACACATACAAAACAAAATCTGTTAAAAATATAAGAAAAAAACCCAATAATCATAACAGGGGACATTTAAAATATCTCTATTTAAAAAACCAAAAGAAAACAAACAAACACAAAAGAGAAGATTTGAGTACTATGATGAAGAAGCTTTATTATGACTTTGTGCACAATGAACAAAGAATTTTAATTCCCATGGGGCATTAAAAATGGGACATGGATCAATACTAGGCACTAAAGAAAATCTCGATAAACAACTAAGTTTGAAAATGTACAGGTCACATTTTCTAATACAATGCCACAGAAGTAGAATTAAAGACAAAATTCGAAGTAAAACATTTCAAACCACTTGGAAACACTAAAATAAATAAATAAATAAAAGAACAAAAAAGAGCAGTTTTCTGAATATCTTCCTGTCAAAGGGAAAAGTGAACATTCAGTTACTGGCTATTTGGGAATTGACAACATGGACACTTCACATCTTAACATGTGGTTGCAATCAATGTGGTTCTCGGAGAATTCTTCACTTTTAGTGATTTCTTTATTGCAAAATGAGATGTATCAAAAGCAAATAAACCAAATATTTAGTTTAAGGAACTAGAATATAAAGCCAAATAAACTAAAAGAAACTAGGAAGGAATGAATAGACATAAAAGCAGAAATCATTTAAATAGAACACTGCAAACAGAGTGAAACACGGTTCTCAGGAACACCTGTTTCCCTCAGAGGCTCCTGAAGTGCAGCCTCATGTGCTCTGCAGCCTGTGCTCCTCAGGCTGGGAGGGGGAGTTCACAGTCACATTGAGCACCTTGGTCTGTATTGCAGTTTCCAGACCACACAGCTTACTCTGCTCCCCTGAGGCTCCTGTCCTCTGGATACCCCTTCTTATTACATCTTCCTTTCATCTCCCAGTTACTCCCCTTCCTTCATTTAGACTGACTCTTGGATCACCCATCCCACATCCTGCCAACATTCCAGATAATTTTGTTTTCTACAGCTTTCCAGTTCTTTTACCTCCTCTTTTCCAGTAAGTTTCATCTCAACTGCATTGGCAACACACAGGCCTAATTCGCTACCTAAATTTGCTCCATTAATGAAATTCTTCATTTCAATATCACCCTGCCCCTGACTCTTCCTGCCACCTATTCCTGACTCTCTGCCATAGATAATTCATTGATGCCTTTTCTCTCACCTTCGGTGCCTTGGCTTCTCCATCCCTGTCTTGACCACCTTCCCTTTCTGGGTTAGATTTCCTGATTCAATACACTCAATGCACGAAATGTAGAAGTTCTGGTTTATGTGTGGAAAGTGACTAATCAGTTTTCCTCACCTGCCATCAAGATCACTAGCTGATTTATTGCAAATTAAATTATTAATTCCTAATGAATCATCAGGAGCCCTGAGGAGTCATCAGCTTTGAGGAGTGTGAGGATAATCTGGGAAAGCTTCATGGAGGGAGAGGCCTGAGGGGTGGCTGATCCGGGGCTTGTCAGCAGGGAAAGGGGACGTAGAGTGGGGTGGGAACGCCTCTGGGAGCCCTGAGGATTCAAAGGGTGATATAATTTGTGAAGGGGCCAAAATATCATGGAGGTCCCATCAGAATGGATGGAAGAAGTTAGTGCTGGGAATACAGTATGGGTGAGGCTTCCCCTCCCCCTCCCCCTTCCCCACCCCCGCTCCTCCTCCTCCACGGAGTCTCGCTCTGTTGCCCAGGCTGGAGTGCAGTGGTGTGATCTCGGCTTACTGCAATCTCCACCTGCCGGGTTCAAGTGATTCTCCTGCCTCAGCCTCCCGAGTAGCTGGGATTACAGGCGCATGCCACCACACACGGCTGATTTTTTGTATTTTTAGTAGAGATGGGGTTTCATTATGTTAGCCAGGATGGTCTCGATCTGACCTCATGATCTGCCTGCCTCGGCCGTCTAAAGTGTGCTGGGATTACCATGTGAGCCACTGCGCCTGGCCGAGTCCACCTCTTCTGATCTTATTTATGATTCCAGGAACTCCAGGTGGTGAATGAATCCAGAAATCCTCCAGCCTTGCCACATACCTTGGATCCCTCCTGTCTTCTGGCCTTTTCCAGTCAGTTACGCCTCCCTCGAATTCTGAAAGAGTAACTCACAGAGAAAGGGACAAGCTCTGCAGTGGGATAATTTAGGAATCAGAGAGACTGAGGGGTTGAGGAGGATTTATTATTATTTAGGTGCACCCATCCAGTCGGATTACCATACAAAGGACTGAGCCCTGAACAAAGAGTCAGGTTACCTTTTAAGCATTTTGTGGGGTCGGGGGAGATCTGTGCAGGGGGAAGCATATTGCAGAATCAAGAAACAAAGGCAGTTATTTAATTGAGACATGCGTTACATTATTTCTTATTTTTCAAGGAAAAACATGTTTTATGACTTGGGTTTATCTGTCTAGTGACCTTGCAGCTGCACAGCTAGAGAAACAGGGTCTTCACAATGCCTGGGAAAGGGAGAGATAAGGCTCAATAGCCACAGGCAGAAAAACAGGGAGTTAATTTTTAAAGGACTCCACCTCTTTCTCTTTCTCAGGGGGAATTGGGTTTTCTTACATACAACTGAGTTTTTGCTTACACATTCATTAATTTCTTTTAATTCCTGTTCCAGGTCCACAAAAGATACAGGTACAATTAGAGGGAAAAGGGCTCAGAGAAGTTATCCCACCCTTTTCCTTCTTAGGTAGGAAGAGACCAAGGATGTCACTGCTGTCCTTGAGTTTTCTGGGAATCCTGGGGGCTGGGGCCCTGTCTACAAAGGACAGAGGAAGAAGCCCTCCCTGAAACTCTGGTCAGTCAACTGGTCAGTCAATCCTCTGCCTGTCTTGGTAACTCTCTGTGCCAGGCTCCATGGTGGGAGAGAGCAGTGAGGAAACACGGAAACGCTAGAATCAGGACACCCACTCAGAGTGACATTGAGGCCTTTTCTCACCTGATTAAAACTTCTTTTAGCCTCATTTCCCAACCCTATTCCCTCCATCCACTGCTTTCATTCAAGGCACATCCAACTGTTCCTGAACATTCCAAGATGTTCCCATCTCCTTGCCTTTATTTATCCTACTCCCTGTGTCTGGAATGCTCTTCCCACCCTTCTCTCTTGTCAAAAGGCTCTCTGTTCTTAAGGCCTTGCATAGAAGACATCTCCTGTGTGGATTCTCCACGCCTCCCAGGCCTGAGTTAATTATTTCCTTTCCTTTCTCTTGTCAAAATGCTATCTGTTCTTAAGGCCTTGCATAAAAGACATCTCCTGTGTGGATTCTCCACGCCTCCTAGGCTTGAGTTAATTATTTCCTTTTGACACTCATGCACTCTTCAGTGCAGCACTGAGCTCTGCAATTGGCTTGTGTGTGTGTATGTGTGTGTGTTTGCATGTGTGTTGACCTGTGTTGTAGACACTGTGCTCCTTGAGGGCAAGAATATTTGTGTACAATTCTGGCATGTAGTAGGTGTTGAACAAATATGTCTTGAAATGAAAATAATTTTTGCTCAACGATGTCCTGAGGGGATATAGAAATATGCAGGAAGTAGAGGGGCTTGGAGCTGTAGAGGAATCTCAGAAGGGCCGGTTGATGTTGGAGGAATAGAAGAGCTCATTGGTGGTAATGCAGAGAGGGAGGGACATCTTGTATATGTGAAATTATTGAAAGTTAAATGATACAATTCTTGTTCTTGAGGTTATTTGCGCACTTTTAGGCTGGTAATTGAGATAAGGCCTGTGTGTGTGTGTGTGTGTGTGTATGTGCATATGTATGTCTGCAAATGAGAGAGAGAGAGAGAAACACACACACACACAGAGAGAAGACTATCAGGAAAGGATAGGGGAAGACCATGAGTTGAAGTATGTAGCCTTTCTTCAAGCCAATACTGGCTATGACTAATGTGGTAGGCAGAAAAATGCTCCCCCCACTCCAAGATGTCCACATCCTAATCCCGAGAACCTGTGATTATGTTATGTTACATAGCAAGGGGGAATTAAAGTTGCACATGGGATTCAGTTTGCTAATCTAACTGACATTGAGATAGGGGATTATCCAGGATTATGTGGGTAATCACAAAGGTCCTTCTGAGTAAGAGAGGGAGGCAGAGGGTCAGAGTCAGAGAAGGAGATGGGAAGCATAGTCTAGAGTGATGTGATGTGATTGCCAGCTTTGAAGAAGGAAGCGGGGCCATGAGCTAAGGAAAAGGCAAGGAAATGGATTCTCCTCCAGAGCCTGGAGAAGGAATACAGCTCTGCTGATGCCTTGATTTTAGCTCTGTGAGACCCATTTCAGACATCTGATCTTTAGAATGGGGAGGTCTGTGTTGTTTTATTAAGCTGCTAAGTTAGCGGTAATTTGCTAAGCAGCAATAGGAAATGTACAGGGAGGCAGATCTTTTTGGCAGGCTATTTTGTCCAGCAGCATCTCCCTCAGTGAGATTCTCCTCCCAGGGCAAAGCCCTAAGCAGCTCTAAGTTTTGAGCTAATATGGGAGGGCAATTCTGTGACAGCCCCTCATGTGCCCGGCTGGCTCATGGTAAAGACGGTGGGAAAGGAGAGCATATTAACAGGAATAGAGTGCAGCATCTACGTAAGTGCTTAGGACTTGATGAAGACTCATACATGAGGACAGAGTGCTACCATGTATCTAATTCCCTTTCCCTGGGTGCATTTCTTGGTGTGACTTGGAGTCACTGGGTGATCCAGGAAGAGATCTTTTTGAACCTCAAAGTCCTCATTTGTAAATAAAGGGGCTGAATCAGATTTTTCTCAGGCCACTGGCAGCTCAGACCCTAGCTTTGCCCTTCACTCACTCAGTGTCGCCTTTACCCCACCCACCCTTTTATTATCTTGCCTATGACATACTGATGCCATGGGGCCCAGAGACTTCTCTCTGGGGTGTGTGCCCTGCACAGACACCTTTCCTCAAACCCCTGGCTCCTCATTATCCTGGGAGAAAATCTTTGTACAGAATAATTGTCACAAACTATGTGTTTTTACCATATTCCCCAGATTCCAAAAGATGGTACTTCTGATGCAGAGGCTGCTTGCTGCTGGGGTGGAAGAGGGGAAGTACTATATGGAGAGACCTCTCCAGCTTTTTCAGTGTTGATTTTTGCTGTAAATAATTGGTCCTAGCTTATACAGAACAGCAGAGGGTGCTGTTGGACAACTAAATTTTGAGATGTTAGCTGAATGCCTGTGTGAATTTCATTTTTGATGATTCTGTGACAGGTATTTAAAACTGATTACAATTAATCTAGTTTGTGAAATAATTCAAATAAATACACAAGAATATAATAATATATTGAATACCCATGTGACGAACCTACTACTAGATCAAATTTTAATTGTGTATTTAACATTTTTAAAAAAGAAACAGCACAGTATTAATTTACCCTAGAATCCTCTCTTTCCACTCAGAACTACCCACTTTCATTAGTGTTTAATCTCGCCTTTCATGCTTTTAGTTTTTGTTACGTAACCATGTATCCATTAGTTATAATGGATACATTATAGTATCCATTATAACTATATATATAATAGTTATATATATATACTATATATATATAATATATAATCCCATATATATTATACGGGATTGCTTTGCAGATTTAAAATTTTATATAAATGGTCTCACACTTTCATTTTCTTCTGAAACTTGTTTCCCTCCCCGCTACTCTACAGTATACTTCTGAGCTTTATTTTTGGTGCTAAGTGTATCTCTAGTTCATTTATTTAAACTTCTGTGCAATATTCTGTTGTATGAACATAGCTGACTTATCTATTCCTCAGTTGACAAATTTTTGGTTTTCTATTTCTTTCTCTTATTAAAAATACAGGCTGGGCACAGTGCCTCACGTTTGTAATCCCAGCACTTTGGGAGGGTATCGCTTGAGGCCTGGAGTTCTAGTCCAGCCTGGACAACATAGTGAGACCCCCATCTTTACTAAAAATAATAATAAAAAAAAATAGCTGGGAGTGGTGGTGCATGCCTGTGGTCCCAGCTACTTGGGAGACTGAGGTGGGAGGTTCGCTTAAGCCCAGGAAGTCAAGGTTACAGTGAACTGTGTTTGTGCCACTGCACTCCAGCCTGGGCAACAGAGAGAGACCCTGTCTCAAAAAAAAAAAAAAACCAAAAAAACCAGCAAGAATGTTTTTGTTCTTACCTGTTGTGTACATAAGATAGAGTTGTGGGACTGTGTGATATGAACATCTTCAACTTTAGTACACATTGCCAAGTTGTTCTCCAAATGATTGGGCCAAATGCTCAGCAGCGGTGGTGTACAAAATGTATTTGATTTTTCCCATTTGCTCCAACACTTGCTATAATCAGACAAAAATTTTGCAAATACAATAAATATGAAAATGGTTTCTCCATGTTTTAACTTGCATTCCTCTAATTTTCAGTGAGATTGAGCTTCTTTTCATAGGCCTATTGTCATTAGCATTTATTCTTTGAATTTCATTTTACTCTTTTTTGCTCATTTTTCTATTCTCACTTGACTTTGCTTTAATTTATTAGGTTATTAAAGTTTTCTATAATATTCTGACTACTATTCCTTAGGTATATGAGTTGAAAGTATCTTCTATGTCTGTTTCTTGTCTCTTAGATTTATTTATGGTGACAGTTTTGGTTAGTTTTAAGTTTTAACGCAGTCATATTCATCAGAATGTATCTGTATAATTTGGGCTTTTTGAGCCTTGTTTAGGGCTTCTCTACCCCTATATGTTATAGAAATATTATTGTATATATTTCTAAAGGTTTAAACATTTTATTTTTCACATTTAAGGCTTTAATCTACCTGGATTAAAGTAGGCATATAGTTTTATTTTATTTTATTTTTTAAAATTTTACTTTAAGTTCTGGGGTACATGTGCAGAACGTACAGGTTTGTAACATAGGTATACATGTGCCATGGTGGTTTGCTGCACCTATCAACCCTTCATCTGGGTTTTAAGCCCCGCATGCATTAGGTATTTGTCCTAATGCTGTCCCTCCCCTTGACCCCCCATCCCCAACAGGCCCTGGTGTGTGATGTTCCCCTCCCTGTGTCCATGTGTTCTCATTGTTCACCTCCCGCTTATGAGTGAGAACGTGAGTGGTTTATTTACACGTGGACAATCAGTTGCTCTGAAGCCACTTATGAAATAGTTCCTCTTTCCTCAGTAATCTGCGATGTCATCTTCGGCGTATCTCAAGTTTCCTTATATGCAAAAATATGTTTCTGGGATCTCTATTCTATTCTATTAGACCAGAGTTTTTCAACCTTGGTAATATTGACATCTGGGACTGGATGATTCTTTCTTATGGGACACTGTCCTCAGTACTGCAGAATGTTTAGCAGCGTCCCTGGCTTCTCCTCACTAGATGCCAGCAGTATCTCAGTTGTGACTATCAAAAATGTCTCCAGACATTTCCCTTAGCTGAAAATTGCATTAGGCTAATTATCAATCCCTACACCAGTACTAGAGTCTATCTTTTCCCGTCCATTTATTTTTCAGAAATATGTTCAGTCCCATAGAAGGAAGGAAAGGACAACAAGAAAGCAAAGAGAAAACATTACAAATAAAAGGCAAACTTAGATGGAAGAAATAAATCCAAATATGGTAGTCACGAACATGCAAAAATTAAACTGAACAGTTAAAATGCTAGGGAGTCTCATATTGGTTATAAAACCAAAATTTTTCATATCATTAAAAAGAAACACAACTGAAAGCATAGTGACACAGAATGCTGAAAGTAAAGAGAAGGAATTAATATCCCAAGGAAATCTGTAGCTATGTTAATATCAGGCAAATGGAATATTAGATACAAGGGACTATTAAGATAATGTGGGGTGTTCCTTACGAGGAAAAAATACCTTACCCAAAAGACGCTAAATCTGTTTGTGCCAAATCATGTTTCGTCCACTGGATCTGTCCTTCATGACTTTTTCTTTGTATTTCTTTTTATCTTTTATACTGCATTTCAGAAGAACTTCTCACCTTGCTATTTCAGTTCACTAGTTTTGATTTTAATTTTATCCATTTTGCCATTCAGACCATCTTCTTTTCTTTTCTTTTTTTTTTAACTTTTATTTTAGGTTTAAGGGTACAGGTGCAGGTTTGATATACAGGTAAACTGTGTGTAATGTGGGTTTGGTGTACAGATCATTTATTACCCAGGTAATAAGCATAGTACCTGGTAGGTATTTCTGAACCTCTTCTTCCTCCCACCCTTCACTCTCAAGTAGGCCGCAGTGTCTGATGTTCCTCTTCTAAGAGCCAGATGTTCTGGTTGTTTAGCTCCCACTTATGAGTGAAAACATGTGGTATTTGATTTTCTGTTCCTGTGTTTGTTTGCTTAGGATAATGGCCTCCAGCTGTATCCATTTTGCTGCAAATGGTAAGATCTTCTTCTTTTCTATGACTGTGTAATATTCCATGATGTGTATGTACCACGTTTTCTTTATCCAATCTACCATTGATGGGCATTTAGGTTGATTCCATGTCTTTTTTTATTGTGAATAGTGTTACTTTGAACGTACGCATGCATGTGTCTTTATGGTAGAACAATTCATTATTGGGTATATACCCAATAATGGGATTGTTGGGTCAAGTGGTAATTCTGTTTTAAGTTTTTGTGGAATTGCCACACTGCTTTCCACAATGGCTGAATTAATTTACACTCCCACCAGGAATGCATAAGTGTTCCCTTTCCTCCACAACCTTGCCAGCATCTGTTATTTTTTGACTTTAATATAATAGCCATTGTGACTGGCGTCTTTTCAATGAGCCTAATAAACTCTTGAATATTGCTGAGGCTTGAATATTGCTCTGTTTATTTTGTGTTCTCAGTGGTTAGTTTTCTTTTTTAATGCTTAGTATCTCTCCTAATGTTGGTTTCTCCCAAATGTTTGGTTAGTTTTCAGTTGTTGCATATCTGAATTTGAAAATCTGAGCTTGCTTATTCTGTTACTGTCGTCTACCTCTAGTGATGGTGGATAATTTCTCACTGTGGGAGCTCCTCATCCTTCCTGTGAAAGGCAATGCCCCTAAGCCCATTGTCCACACACATCACTGCCCAGTGCACTGGAGAAATAGAAGGGAGATCAGCTGTTTAAATGACCTGAATGTAGTTTCTCACTGATCATGCTAATGAATGCTCTTGAAGCTCACATTCCATATATCCATTGACTTTGGACTTAGTCTCCTCAAACTGCTCCTTCCTCATCGCTATCTTTGCTCCTTCCTCATTGCTTCTCCTTGCCCTGCTTCAGGCATAGTTTTGTCTCATTTTGTTCCTCGATTTTCCCGATCCTCTCTGCTTTCTATTTTTTAAGATTCCTTAAAAATACTGGCAGTGCTTATTCTGGTCCCCAAATTATTATGAAGATATTCTGGTTTCTTTTGTCCTTTATGTTATTTCTCCGAGGCTGGGGTGGGAAGGAGAGTGATGCTTGTGCTTAATTTGCCATCTTTGTTTACTCATTTATTGCCTTATATTTACATATACTGTGTAATTACCATCCAGACTTTTTATTTAGCAGAGTATAAATTTCCAAGTGTATTATTTGAATCTCACATAATGAGAATATATTTATGTCACCTGTATATTAAAAGAGAAGAAATGAATGGCAGTGAGAACATTATCTGTCAAAACTTATGGCTGAAGTGGTGTCTGACCAGAGAAGGCTTTGAAATGCATTAGCTATTAAATAAAAAACAATAAAAAGAAAAGATCTAGTTTAGAGAAAGAATAACAAAATAAACTTAAGGAATGTAGAATAGAAGAAGATAAATGATAGATTAATAGATCAGAATACAGATAAAGAGGAGAAATAATAAATAAATTCAAATATTTTAAAAAGACCAATAAAATTAATCGATAGAAATGGCAAAAGACCAAACACCTATTAATGAAAATTAGATACAAATATAACCATAGATACAGAACTTGAAATAAGATTACTCTTGGCTAATATATCTTAAAATCTCAAAATAATAAATACTACTTTCTATGAAAATATGAATACTTAACATTTGCTCTGAATAATTAAGAATACAAATAGACAAATAATTATAGAAAATGTTTTAAAATTTGTCATCATCGGCTGGGCGCGGTGGCTCACGCCTGTAATCCCAGCACTTTGGGAGGCTGAGGCGGGCGCATCATGAGGTCAGGAGATCGAGACCCTCGTGGCTAACACGGTGAAACCCCGTCTCTACTAAAAAATACAAAAAAAAAAAAAAAATAGAATTAGCCGGGTGTGGTGGCGGGTGCCTGTAGTCCCAGCTACTCGGGAGGCTGAGGCAGGAGAATGGCGTGAACCCGGGAGGCGGAGCTTGCAGTGAGCTGAGATTGCGCCACTGCACTCCATCCAGCCTGGGAGACAGAGCAAGACTCCGTCTCAAAAAAAAAAAAAAAAAAATTGTCATCATCATTCCCAAACTCCTTCATCATCCAAAGCATCAGATCTGCATGGTTTTACTGTCTAGTTCAATTAACCGTCTAAGAATGAGAGTATACTTCTGGTATTTAAATGATTTCAGAACATTGAAAAGATGAAAAATTCCAAATTTCTTTTTTGTGAAGCTAATGTAACTATTGTACTGAAACTTAAGTAAAAATACAAACATTAAGATCAATCCTACTTATGAAGAACAATACAAAATTCTAATTACCATACACGGTAATGTCAAATCTAATTTAGAAACAAATTATGAGGACAACACATGATTTATGACCACCAAGGATGCTTCCCCCATCCAGCTTCACTGAGGTATAATTGACAAATAAAAATGTATATATTTAAGGTATACAACATGATGATTTGATATATGTATGCATTGTAAAGTGATTACTGCAATAAATTGACACATTCATCACCTCACACAGTTACCATTTTTTTTTTTATGGTGAGAACACTTCAGATCTACTCTCTTAGCAAATTTCAAGTATACAATACAGTATAATTAACCATAGTCACCATGCTGTACATTAGAGTCCCTAGAATTATTCATTTTATAACTCAAAGTTTGTGCCCTTTGACCAACATCTCCCCATTTCTCCCACCCCTAGCCCTTGGCAACCACCGTTCTATTGTCTGCTTCTATGAATTTGACTTTTTAAGATTACGCATATAAGTGAGATCATATAGTATTTGTCTTTCTCTGTCTGGCTTATTTCACTTAGCGTAATGTCCTCCAAGTTCGTTCAAAGATGCTTTTTAAAAGAAGTATAGCAACGGGTTAAGATTATAATTTTTAACATTAAATTTAACACATCACAAAGCAAATGGAGAAATGTCATATGATCATTGTGATAGATCTATAATTGACATTTGTAAAATAAAATAAAAATTTAAATTAAAAATTCATTTCTGTTAAAAACTTTTTGTATGCTTGAAACAGAATCAAACTGTCATATTCAATAACGTAAATTAAAATGTGTTAACTTTTTTTTTTTTGAAATTGAGTCTTGCTTTGTCACCCAGGTTGGAATGCAGTGGCACGATCTTGGCTCACTGCAGCCTCAACCACTCAGGCTCAAGTGATCCACCTGCCCCAGCCTCCTGAGTGGCTGAAACTATGGGCACCTATTTTTAAACGATAAAGTGCTCATAAATTGTACCAGTTAATATACATTTTTCTTCAAGTTATGTAATACCCAAACTAATAGTAGCTTAAGCAAAATGATGTATATTATTTCTATAAACATTACAGAGATAGGATAGTTTCACTTCCAGGATTAATTTAGTTGCTCAATGGTGTTGTCAGGGATCCAGTTTCCTTTTGGCTCTGTGGTTCTGCATCCTCAACATATAGGCAACGTTGTTCCTCATGGTGGCAAGAAGGCTCCAGTACTTCCTACATGTCCCACGTAGACATGACAATGGTGAAGAATATGAGCGTCTTCCCCTAATCATTTATTTTCATTAAGGGGTGGGAGATATCTTTTCCAAAAGCCCCATCCAAGCCTTTTTTTCAGCTCCCATTGGCCACCTTCCCCTAATTGAAAGGGAGGTAAGAGGCCGGGCGCGGCAGCTCACGCCTGTTATCCCAGCACTTTGGGAGGATCACCTGAGGTCGGGAGTTTGAGACCAGGCTGACCGACATGGAGGAACCCCATCTCTACTAAAGATGCAAAATTAGCTGGGCGTGGTGGTGCATGCTTGTAATTCCAGCTGCTCCAGAGACTGAGGCAGGAGAATCGCTTGAACCCAGGAGGCAGAGGTTGCGGTGAGCCGAGATCATGCCATTGCACTCCAGCCTGGGAAACAAGAGTGAAACTTCATCTCAAAATAAAAAAAAAAAAAAAAACAGAAAGAAAGAAAGAAGGAAAGGGAGGTAAGAAAGTGGCCATCATCTGCCTTTGGATCCTTGATAGGGCAAGTGAGCTTCTGGGAGGAAGAGGAGCATGGTGGGTGAAGAAGACATGGGCTAGCAGTTGGATATCCCGCTGAGCATCCACCACATAAGTCAGTGAGAAGAAGTTGATGAATCTAACAGAAAATTGTGCTAAGGATATGATCAAATAATTCATAAGAGAATCCAAATGGCCAAATAACTGAAAAAGTTCAGCTTTGCTAGGGAGTAAAGAAATGCAAATTTAAAAAATGGAATATTACCATTACCTATTATTACCTTTGCCTAAATACTACCTTTGTCTATTATTTTTGCCTGTTGGTGAAGGTGGAAAAAAATAAAATTTGGTGGGATTCTGGAGAAATTGGGAACACACACACCATGTTAAATGATTGTAAATGTGTTGGTGTACCTTAAAATTGTTAAAAAGACATATATATGCATGTATAGTATATTGTATTAGTCAGGGTTCTCTAGAGGGACAGAACTAATAGGCTAGATGTATATATAAAGGGGAGTTTATTAAGGAGTATTGACGTGCACAATCACGAGGTGAGGCCCTACAGTAAGCCATCTGCCAGCCAAGGAGCAAGGAAGTCAGTCTGAGTCCCAAAGCTGAAGAACTTGGAGTCCAACGTTTGGGAGCAGAAAGCACCCAGCATGAGAGAAAGATGTAGGCCAGAGGACTAAACCAGTCTAGTCTTCTCATGTCCTTCCTCCTGCTTTTATTCTGGCCATGCTGGCAGCTGATTAGATTGTGCCCAGTCAAATTGAGGGTGGATCTGCCTTTCCCAGTCCACTGACTGAAATGTTAATCTCCTTTGGTAACACCCACACAGACACACCCAGAAACAATACTTTGCCATTCTTCAATCCAATAAAGTTGACACTCAATATTAACATTATACATCTATCTATCTATCTATCTATCTATCTATCTATCTATCTATCTATCTATCATCTATCTATCTATCATCTATCTATCTATATCTATCTATATCTATATCTATCTATCTATCTAATCTGTCTATCTATCTATCTATCTATCTATCTATCTATCTATCTATCTATCTATCTATGTAGTTGGGCAAGATACAATTTTGTTGCTTCTATCCATTGTGGAATTTTCCATAATGGGATAATTTATTTATCCATTTCTCAAGTGATGGTTACCAGGTTTGATTCCAACTTTTTGGATTGGGATTAGTCAGTTTTAGGATGTATGCATATTTAATATCACCTCAGATTGCCAGACTTCTTCCAAAATAGTAGAACCAGTTTATGCCCCCTAGCAACAGCTGATGAGAATTCTCTTTCTCCACATATCCTCATCAATACAGAATATACAAACATTTGGTTTTATCTACTTTTCTATTTTTTTTTTGCGAAATTAATGATGGTAAGATGGTATCTCATTGCATTTCTGTTACTAAAAAGTTTAGAATATCTATTTATACTTATTAGTCATTTGTGTTCCTCTTTCTGTGAATTACATATCCTTTGCCCATATCATTTATGGAATTTCATATCCTTTATTATATCTTGTTTTGTTGATATAATAAAAATCAGCTAAGATTTATTGAATATTTTCTATGTGCTAGAGCAACACTCCTCTAAGTAATTTTGTACTCACAATAACCTTATGAGATAGGTATTATTATTGCTATCTTCATATTATTGGTGAAGAAAATGTGACCAGAAAGGTAAAACAAGGTGTTCTAAATTAAACGGCTAGTAAGTTTTGGAACTGGGGTTATACAAGTGCTCTTTTATATATTACATATTAATCTCTCATTTTTATATATTGTAGATGTATTTTTGAGTCAGTCATTTGTCTGACATCCTTTTCTGAATACAAACCCTTAATTTCTATAAACCAAACTCATTCTTTTTTGCCTTAACTTTTGTACTTATTGGGTCGTTTATAAGATGTTCTTTCCGACTTCTAGTAAAAAAGATATTCTCACCTATGATTCTCTTTTATTGGCTTTATTTTTTGTTTAGTTCTTCCAAAAATTTTAATTGACAAATAATAATTCTGTAGATTTATTGGGTACAATGTGATGTTTTGATGTATGTACACAATGCAGAATGGTTAAATCAAGCTAGTTAACATCCACCATATCTCTTACTTATCTTTTTTTTTGTGCTGAAACATTTGAAATCTACTTTCTTAGAAAATTTGAAATATGCAATACATTATTGTTAACTATAGTCACCATAGTTGTACAATATCAAAAACATTCCTCCTGTCTGACTGAAATTTTGTACAATGTTGGTCAATATCTCCCCTTTCCCCATCCTCTCCTCCCTCCCCCCGTAACCACCATTCTACTCTATACTTCCATGAATTTGACCTTTTCAATCCCACATATAAATGATTCTATTGGCTTTGTAGTTTTGGCTTTCACATTTAGAACTTAATTTTTCTGGAGTCCACTTGCATCATGTATATACAGAGTAATTTATCAGTTATCTCCACACAGTGAGACAGTTTTTGTTATACTCTCTACAAATCTATGCTTTCTCCTTTTATTTGTAGAATATTAAATTTGGATCTATTTCTTAACTTTTTAGTCGCTTGCATTGGTTTATTATTTTCTATGCTGATACCATGCTGTTTAGTTTATGTGGCTCTGTGGCATGTCTTAATCTCTGAAAAACTGAACGTCCACTCCTATGTTTTGTTTTCCAAAATGTTGTTAGCTGTCTATAAACCTTTATTCTTCCATATAAATTTTAGAGTAACTGTATCAAGTTCCTAAACTTATCCAGCTAGATTCTATCAAGAAAATATCATATTTATAGATTAATTTAGAGAAAACTGCTATCTTTACTATGTTGAATCATTATATCATAACCATGGTACACTTCCATTTTAAACTTTCTTTTATACCTTTTAATATCTTTTTTTGAACCAAAATGGTCTTGTCTTTCTTTAATAGGTCAATTCTTCAATATTTTATAAATTTTGTTGCTATTGTGAATGATGTCCTTTTTTTCCTGGTTGGTTATCGACATTATAGAGAAACACACTTGAGCCTTGTAAATTTTTTATTTGTGAACTTTTCTAAATTCCTTTGTGATTTCTTATAGTTTATCTGTTTTTTATGTTTTCTTGTGTTGCTGATAATATTATCTGAAAAATATATTTCTTTATTTTGCTTGTTATTTGCATTTAATTTCTTCTTTATTACTTGCCTGCCCTCTTAGTATATTATCTGCATGAGACCAAAGACTTTGTTCTGCTGCATCCCCAGTGCCTAGGATACTCTGTTAATATAGTATATGCTTAGTACATTTTGTGGAATGAGGAAGTAATGGCAGTTGTTAGCTATATTGCATTATGTTCATTACACATTACTGTTTTAAAAAACTTACACTACAGTGTTGCCCAGGAATTGTAGAACTATATTAGATCATAAAGGTGATTCTGGGAATCATTTTCTCGCTCCCAATCTTATGTAAAATGCTTTTAACAGTTCTCCATTATTGTGATGATTTTGGTTGATTTTTTGTTATATAGCTTTTTCATTCCCATTTTTACTCTCTGAGAGTTGATTTGTTTGTTTATTTCTTAAATTTATGGAATCATACTTTAACAACACAGGGTCAGCTCCTTCTCGGACAACCTAAGGACACTTCCACCTTCTAATATCACCTCATCCTAAGAGTCTAAAGGTGAATCCCTAATTGCCAAGTGAAAGTGTCAGACAATGAGGGTAACTGGCAGTGGTTCTTTGGTATTTTACGTTTTCTACCCTGAGGATTAATTTTTTCCACTCTGCATAAATGAACCTGAGGGGACACAGACACCCAAGGTTTTTGATGTAAGCAACTGAAAGGATGGACACAAGCAACTGAGATGAGAAAAGCTGTGGGTTTGCAGAAGATCAAAAAATTAGTTTTGGATAATTAATTAGAAATGTCTATTAGAAGTTTAATATTTAATAGTTTAATTAAAGATCTTTATTAGGTGTCAAGTAGGCAGCTCAATATGCATAATGGAACTTGGCTTTTTGCTTAACCTGTGTCGAGGGCAAATAACTCTTTTAATGAGTTTTTCGCTAAAGAAGAAGGAAGAAATGGTGTAGACATATTTTTTCTTCCTTTAGTCCTAATTTATTGTTATTATTTCTTTAAAAAAATTTATTTATTATACTTTAAGTTCTGGGATACCTGTGCAGAACGTGCAGGTTTGTTACATAAGTATACACATGTCATGGTGGTTTGCTGTACCCATCAACCCGTCATCTACATTAGGTATTTCTCCTAATGCTCTGCCTTCCCTAGCCCCGCATCCCCTGACGGGCCCTGGTGGGTGTTGTTCCCCTCCCTGTGTCCATGTGTTCTCATTGTTCAACTCCTACTTATGAGTGAGAACATGCGGTGTTTGGTTTTTTGTTCCTGTGCTAATTTGCTGAGAATGATGGTTTTCAGTTTCAACCATGATCCTGCAAAGGACATGAACTCATTCTTTTTTATGCCTGCATAGTATTCCATGGTGTATATGTGCTACATTTTCTTTATCCAGTCTATCATTAATGGGCATTTGGGTTAGTTCCAAGTCTTTGCTATTGTGAACAGTGCTGCAATAAACATATGTGTGCATGTGTCTTTACAGTAGAATGATTTATAATCCTCTGGGTATATTCTCAGTAATGGGGTTGCTAGGTCAGATGGCATTTCTGGTTCTAGATTCTTGAGGAATGGCCACAGTGTATTCCACAATGGTTGAATTAATTTATACTTCCACCTAAAATGTAAAAGCTTTCCTATTTCTCCACAGCCTCACCAGCATCTGTTGTTTCCTAACTTTTTAATGAACTCCATTTTAACTGGCATGAGATGCTATCTCATTGTGGTTTTGATTTGCATTTCTCTGATGATCAGTGATGATGAGCTTTTTTTCATATGTTTGTTGGCTGCATAAATATCTTCTTGAGAAGTGTCTGTTCATATCCTTGACCCACTTTTTGATGGGATTGTTTGTTTTTTTCTTGTAAATTTGTTTAAGTTCTTTGTAGATTCTGGATATTAGCCCTTTGTCAGATGGATAGATTGCAAAAATTTTCTCCCATCCTGTAGGTTGCCTGTTCACTGTGATGATAGTTTCTTTTGCTGTGCAGAAGCTCTTTAGTTCAATAAATAATGATAAAGGGGATATCAGTACTGATCCCACAGAAATACAAACTACCATCAGAGAATACTGTAAACACCTCTATGCAAATAAACTAGAGAATCTAGAAGAAATGGATAAATACTTGGACATAAACACCCTCCCAAGACTAAACCAAGAAGAAGTTGAATCCCTAAATAGACAAATAACAAGTTCTGAAATTGAGGGAGTAATTAATAGCCTACTGGCTGGGCGCGGTGGCTCATGCCTGTAATCCCAGCACTCTGGGAGGTTGAGGTGGGGGGATTATGAGGTCAGGAGTTCGCGACCAGCCTGACCAACATGGTGAAGCCCTGTTTCTACTAAAAATACAAAAATTATCTGGACGTGGTGGTGGGCACCTGCAATCCCAGCTACTCAGGAGGCTAAGGCAGGAGAATCGCTTGAACCCGGGAAGTGGAAGTTGCAGTGAGCCGAGATTGCACCACTGCACTTCAGCCTGGGTGACACAGCGAGCCTCTGTCTCAAAACAAACAAACAAAAAACAAAGAAACAAACCAACCTGGGAGTAGATGGATTCACAGCCGAATTCTACAAGAGGTACAAAGAGGAGCTGGTACCACTCCTTCTGAAACTATTCCAAACAATAGAAAAAGCAGGACTCCTCTCTAACTCATTTTATGAGGCCAGCATCATCCTGATACCAAAACCTGGCAGAGACACAACTCTTGCCTTTAAAAACCCTTACCTGTGTGCCATCAGGGAGTTTGGGTTTTAAGCAGCATGAGCTGTTCTGATTCTCCTTGCTTGGTGTCTTGCAAATAAATGGCTCCCTTTCTACTGCTGCAATAACCTTTTTGTGGATATCTGGACTTAACTGCACTGGGCAAATGGAACCTAGTTTGGTTCTATAACAATATCTAGTAGGCAGCAAAGACTCAGATTTTGGAGGCTGAAAGTCTGGTGACTCTCGTTATGCAGGGGCAACACATTTGGATAAAAGAAACTGCAACAGTTGGAAAACTTAACTGTCTGCCACCTGGTGTGGTGTCAGTGAAAAGGATGGCAAAAAGGCAGAGTATTGGGGTTGGTTGGCTGCTTCTTACTGCTTTCATCCAAGTTCTAGAAAAGAGATAAATTCAGGCTAGAGCTCACCAGTCTGTTAACAGAGATACAGACTGTTGGAGGTATAGCTCTCTTGCAGGTGCTCCGTGCCTGAGGCCTCTAATTTAAATTGACTGAAGGTCTGGAATTGGAGCCTTGCAGTTTGGTAAAGAAAATCAGGAGCATACCTCAAAGGGAAGCAGTTATATGCTGTGGCTGTGAAAAGACAGCCTAAGCAGGAGATAAAACTGTGGTCCTAAACCTTTTTCAGTACCTTTTATTAAGAGTTTTCTGCCAGACAATGAGAGCTCAGTGCAACAGCAAAGATCAGATTAAGAATCTTGTTTTTATGCTAAAACAAGGGTTTTTTTTTTTTTTTCTTTCTGAGGGCTTCTAGACTGCTGCCATTAACTTTATGGCTTAAGAGGCATGGATAGAGGAGAGAAGCCAGTAAGCACAGACCAGAGTCTTCAGATTTAAAAACGATGTGCAGATGCATTTGGTTGTGGAATATTTGCATGTGGGATGTCTGGAACTAACCACAGGCAAACAGATCATAACTCTACTAAGGTTTTGAAGGAATTATACTGACAGAGGAATCACAAGCCTGGCTGTAAAAGCCTGTGACTGTTCCACCCCTAAAGCCCAGGCCTCCAAAACAGAGAGTGGGAAGTTGTGCAACACCCAAGTAGGTAATACTTTCCAATGTTGTATTAGTCAGTTCTCACACGGCTATAAAGAAATATCTGAGACTGGGTAATTTTTAAAGAAAAGAGGTTTAATTGGCTCATGGTTCTGTAAGCTGTGCAGGAAGCATGATGCTGGCATTGTCTTGGCTTCTGGGGAGGTCTCAGGAAACGTACAATCTGCACGTGGCTGGAGCAGAAGGCGAGGGGAGGTGCCACACACTTTTAAATGACCAGATCTTATGAGAACTCTATCATGAGAACAGCACTGGGGGCCGGTGCTGAACCATTAGAAACTGCCCTCATGATCCAAATCACCCCCCGCCAGCCCCCCTCTCCAGCACTGGGGATTACATTTCAACATGAAATTTGGGTGAGGATACAGAGTCAAACCATATAAAATGTCTATTTCAATTTGTTCATGGAAGATAATGGACAAGAGAGAACAGATTAGACAGGACAGTGGACAAGGGAATTACTCTCCAAGACCAGAATCCAGGATGTCAGATGGTCAAAATAAGCACTCTACTACCAAAGAACAATGGAATTTATTAATTATAATGGACTAGTGACTGCTGTGTATTTTCTCTGCTCCCCATTACCAAATCGTAGATTTAATTGCATGCAGTTAATCTGCTTCTTGCTCCTCCATTGCATCTTTGGTGTTTTTGAGGCAGATGAGGTCACCAGATCACAAAGATCCATATCTAGACTTGACTGAGAGTTATCTCCCAGAGGTCCTGGACTTTGATCTGGAAGCTGTGCCTGGTTGGGGCTTTGCTGTTGTGTCTTTTGAGGAGGGTATGAACAGGTCCTTTATGGAGAGGAAGGTTGTGCACAGGTGGTTGGGTGACCAAAGGGACTGACTGTATTGGAGACTGCAATAAGAGTTCCAAATATTCATTCGTCCCTTCTTCCTTAGTAAGAATCCTCAAATGTTAGATGGAAGCTTGGCTGCTGGACCTAAAGATTATTTTTCAGCTGTCATTGCTAGTCCTATGGACACAAGACTAAGTTTTGGCCAAGAGTGTACAAATGACTGTGCTTGGTGCATCCGCTGAGAGGTGTCATTAGAGGGAAGAATGGGAGAATCCTTTAAAACAACAACAAAAAATCTTTCCTGCTGGCCAGAATGAGTTTGCTGGAAGTGGAAGGGATATTGTCAACCAGGAGGTAATGTGGAGTCCACATGATGAAGATGGTGGTATAAGATAGAAGAAAGCTGGATTGTTGACAATGGAGCTCCCCAGAATAGTTGTAGGTTGCCTGTACTTATGTGAAATAAAAATGTATTTTTGGATCAAATTCTAATGAATACACATTTTACCTTAGATTTATATAATTAGGTAAAAAAACCAGAGCAGCTTTTTTTTTTTTTTTTTTTGAGATGGAGCCTCACACTGTCACCCAGGCTGGAGTGCAGTGGTGTGATCTTGGCTCACTTCAACCTCTGCCTCCTGAGTTCAAGTGATTCTCCTGCCTCCGCCTCATGAGTAGCTGGGATTACAGGTGTGCGCCACCTCGCCCGGCTAATTTTTGTATTTTTAATAGAGATGGGGTTTCATCATGTTGGCCAGGCTGGTCTTGAACTTCTGTTCTCAAGCAATCCACCAGCCTTGGCCTCCCAAAGTGCTGGGATTATAGGCATGAGCCACCACACCCAGCCCATTGCAGCATTTTTAATGATCAAAAAAACAAACAACAAAAAACAACCAAACTTAAGAGAACCCACTGGAAGTGGAGGCAATATGGTGAAGATATGGATTTGAATAATGTTTTATATTCAATTTGACTCTAAAAAGACATAACAAACAAGTTGTATTTTCTTTTCTCTCAGAGACCACTTCATTGAGTAAAAGCACCTGATGTGTTGCTTGGGATTTAGGGGTGGAGCTGCTTTGCAACTTGATGGCAATTTTGAAGCAGGCCCGTGTCCCTGAGATTGGCTTGATCCTTCCCAGTGAGGTACAGTCCTTGAACAGTTTCTCTAGTGATATTTTTCATAAGCAAATTTTTCTTTTCTTCAACATCAGGCATAAATTAAATTTATAAAGGGGCAAAATAGCTTGGTTCAATGTTAAGAGGACTACATACAAATAATGTAAATGCTACCTAAATGCCACATAAAGGCAAAGTATTTTAAACAAGTTGCAGTTATCAGCCCAGTTATGATACCATATAACAATAGAGTATGTGATACTGGCTACTTTAACAATAAATGTGTCTATATTCTATGTATGTTAGAAATACTCTTTATATAATACATTAGTCAAATGGAATTATTATACCACAGTGAAAAATTTAATGCTAAAAAGTATATTTGAAGCATTTAAAGGTCATAAACATTTCAAAATATATGAAATAAAGAAACCATAATATCCTTTGTTTCTAATAAAATCTTACTCTGAAGTGTGGTACTTAACGAAGTTGAGAGTTGAGTTCCTCTGATACAATCTCTGATGGATACATGGTACAGAGCCCTGTTCACATAGCCCTCTCCCTAATCCTGGCTTGGGCTGCTCAGAGGTCTCAGGGAAATGCCCAGGGCCTGTGGGGGTAAAATTAGGTAAAAATCTCTCTAGTTCTATGCTGTCATTTAACATAGGAGGCAAAGTTACGCTTTTGGGGTCATATCATTGAAACTGCTTTTGCAAAATTATATCAGTGAGAAAATTATGGCAGTGGGAGAGATCTGATCTAGCCAAGCACCCTTTTGCCTTTAGCCTCCAAGCTGCCTTTAATTATTCTTGGTATAGCTTTGAGAGACATTTAGTTTATAGTTTAATTGATAACAGGCCTTCCCCAAAACTCAATAATCTTTGTAAAGCTAACAAAAGGCCATCAGGTTTGGAGGAGGAGAGAAGCCTGAATTCTCCTGAGGTGTAGACATAAACAATTGCCAGCCATTATTCTGGAGGTCACAATACATGCAACTTCCCTGATTACTCCTGGAAATAACATCACTATTCTAGAATCTCCTTTTGTGATATCTTTTCAGGTTTTTTGCGTGTCTGACACCTGGCTCCATCTGGACCCTCCAACTACTCCTGTGACCCTACCCAGAAGCAACTCAGTGAAAGAGATAGCTTCAACTCCTTATAATTTCATCTCCTACCCAACCAATCAGTAGCAAGCACCTATTGCCTAGCTACTCCCACCCCTTCCCCCAAAACACTTTTGAAAAATCCCTAACCTCTGAGCCTTCGATGAGACTGATTTGAGGAATAACTCCATCTCCCGTGTGACATGGCCAGCCTTGTGTCAACTAAACTCTTTATTGCAACACTGTGAATTGGCTTTGTTTGTGCAGTGGGCAGGAAGAACCCATTGGGTGGTTATGTCATGCGCACTCAGAATCCTCACTGTGATTGGTCTGTCTCAGGAGCTCTGTAGTGTTATGGCCCAGGGTAGGACTTCTGTCAGGAAGTGCCTTCTGTATGACTCTGATTTGTTTGCTGGGTATGCTAGAGAGAGCCTGCAGGTGCGAGAGGGACAGAGAAGGGAAACGAGAGGTGATGAAGGGGAAGGGAAGTGTCAGTTTTACTCCTTATTTAGAGTAATCTGATAAGAGTTTCTTTCTTCCTTCTTTCCTTTCTAACTTCCATCAAACTATACTTTTCAAGAAATTAAAAAAAGACTCACGATATAATATGAGACTATGTAAAAGACTTACTTAAGTCATTAAGGAGGAAACCAGCAGTATAGGAGGGATTGATATACTTGTTAAATTAAAGAAAAATGCTGGAATAAGGTTGCAAAATTAGATACAAAATTGGTTAATATCCTACAGGATATTAACTTTGGAGTAATTTTTTCTGCTGGACAGAAACTCATTTGTGACTTACCAGTCTCCCCCAAATTAACATCTAACTTTACAGAATAATAAATAGTAAGCCAAACAATACCATATTCCCTAGAATCAGATGACCATTGATTGAGCTTGTTAGACAATGTCCTAGTGTTACCAGCAGCAAATTTATGTTAGTCCGCAGCCTACTCAATTCTTGCCTCCCTGGAGGAAAGAATTTGGCCAAGGAGCAGAAGTAGTTTTAAGGCAAAAGGAGAAACGGAGGCAAGTTTTAGAGCAGGAGTCAGAGTTTATTTATCAAACATTTTAGAGCAGGAATGAAAGGAAGTAAAGTACACTTGGAAGAGGGCCACGCAGGCAACTTGAGAGATCCAAGTGCCCAGTCTGGCCCTTGACTTGGGGTTTTATACATTGGCATGGTTCTGGGGTTTGCGTTTCTTCTCCCTTGATTCTTCCCTTGGAGCGGGCTGTTCGCATGCATGGTGGCCTGCCAGCACTTGGGAGAGGCCACATGCCCAGTGTGTCTACTGAAGTTATGCACATGCTCACTTGAAGCATTTTTTCCTTAACAAGCGTTCCTCAAGGAAGGTCAGATACCAGTTAAACGCTGCCATTTTGCTTCTCAGTGAGCATACTTGAGCCCACAGCTGCTGATCACTAGCTTCAGGTGTTTTCTATCTATTGGGAGGCTGTCTTTTCCTGGTGCCAGCTGTGACCAACAATTATTTTAGAGAGACAGTTTAACAACTACCTGACCATCACCTGATGGTCGCCTGACATTTCTTGGTAGGGGGGCTCTCCACTCTGCTAATTACTGTCTAGCTACCTACTCTAACACTAGTACGACTTTGAAAGGGTGCACAGTAGTCTTCCTGTCTTATTTCCAAGTTTTAAATAATTTTTCTTAATTCTTTCTTTTTATTTTAAAATTTCTTCTTCTTCTCCTCCTCTCCCCCTCCTTCTCCTCTCTTCTTTTTCTTCTCCTCCCTCTTCTTCTTCTTCTCTCCTCCCCTTCCTCCCCTCCCCCTCCTTCTGCCACTCCTCCTCCCCTCCTCCTCCTCAGCTGCTGCCTCCTTCTTCTTCTTCTCTCCTCCCCCTCTTCCCCTCCCCCTCCTTCTCACACTCCTCCTCCCCTCCTCCTCCTCAGTCGCTGCCTTCTTCTTCTCTTCCTCCTCCTCCGCCGCCTCCTCCTTCTTCTTCTCTCCTTCCCCTCCCTCTCCTTCTCCCACTCCTCCTTTCCTCCTCCTCTTCTTCCTCTTCTTCTTCTCCTCCTCCTCCTCCTCCTTCTCCTTCATCTTATAATCCTTTCTGAAACTGACAGAGCCCTGTTCTGTGCTCTGAGATACAATGGTGAGAAGGCATCTCCAGAGCTCTAACACCTCTTGCTCTATCCAGCTGTCTTCATTGGGATGACAGCTCTACCATCCAACCCAATCTGGTGTGAGAGGTGAGGACAGTCAGACCTGCCTGATTCTGGAGTCCTGCCTCAGGATTTAGTGTAGTCCATTCATCTGATAGGGGTGCTCTGACAGCTTGGTAAGGCTAGTTTCTGCTGTTAGTTGACAGACTGCCCTGTGGAAGGGTGAGCAGGCATGCCATTTGTTGCTCATAAAACAGCCACAACCAGTAAGTGGAGTTCTTGAGGTTCACATAAATTTATCTAGGTCTTTACCATGTTTTTGGCCCTACATTTGTAAGGCATTTCATAATACACATATCCAATATTCTGCTCGTCATTCACTCTTCCTCTGCCTTTTACCATTTCCATCTCCCTCCTCAGAGTCAGTCCTTGCTCTTTTAAAAAATAATAGCTGTGATTCCATTTTGTTTGAACATTATTACATGACAGAGAGCTTCCAAAATAATTCTTGTGACAGACAGAAAATGTGGTGACAGTGGCTCATTATTTTTCTGTTTCCAGACAGTAATTTTGTTAATTACACTATGCTTTACTACTTTCTGAATAAACAACTGAAGAGCATGAACCAAACATGATGTTACAATTGTGTGAGTTTGCTTAATACCTTTACAGTTTATAAATATTTCTATAGCCAACTTTGCTATAGCTGTGTGAAACCCTGAAATCGCTCTGAAATCAAATGAAGGAGCACCCCAGTATAATGCATATTTTGAATTAAAAACCTTTAGGAATCAATGGGCCCTAGAAGAGACTTTTCTCCTATCTCCATAAAGATCAGATGGATCCATCAAGAACAATTGCTTTTCCTTTCCTTCATTGTTATCTCATTATCTATTAATATTTCAGGAAAGGAAAGAATGTAACCAGACCTGGCCCAACCATTTTGCAAAATAATTCCTGTCTCTCAGTTCGTTCAACTTCCAAAGAGAACCATTTGAAAGTCCATCTCTGTTCCCCCTTTCATTCATTCTCCCAAGTACCCATTCTTTTTCCTTTGGTAATCATTTACTGTCTCTCCACAGTTACTATATTCCCTATCTTCCCCCTCCCCTCTGAAAGAAGATTATATAAGTGTTTGGGCCCCACTGGGAAATTGGGTAATCTCTGTGATTCTCCCCATGCACACGGTTAAATAAATTTGTACGCCTTTTCTCTTATTAGTCAGCCTTATTGTGAGGCAATAATGGTTCGCTAATTTTTTCATTGAAAAGAATTTGCTGATTTTTTTTTTTTCAGTGAACCTTTCTAGGGCAAGGGGGAAGCTTCTCCATGGCCTCTACAGTTTTGGCATAGTCAATAATGGTTCACTGATTTTTTCACTGAAAAGGGTTTGCTGATTTTTTTTTCTGTGAACATTTCTAGGGCAAGGGGGAAGCTTCCCCATGGCCCCTACGGTTTTGGCATAGTTGGCAGAATCATCAAAGCCATTGTGCACTTCTGGAGACCATAGTGAAGGGAATCCAGGACCCAACAAAGTTGGCAAAGAAATGGTAAGAATTCCTTACTGGTCAGCCTCCCAGTTTCTTTCTTTCCATGAACTCTCTGGTCGAGTGAATGGTAAAAAAAAAAAAAAAAAAATCACTCTCTCTCTTTTCCTTTCCAAATTTAAGATTAGTGAGAGAAAACGTTTTATATGGGACTAGTTGGGTTTTAGCAACTCTGGTGTATTTAATTTGGGGTGTGAATATTTATATTGTTTTATTACTGGAAAGGGGTCCCAATCCAGACCCCAAAAGAGGGTTCTTGGATCTTGTGCAAGAAAGAATCTGGGGCAAGTCCATAGCGTAAACGAAAGCAAGTTTACTAAGAAAGTAAAGGAATAAGAGAATGGCTACTCTATATGCAGAGCAGCCCATTTTTATGGTTATTTCTTGATTATATGCTAAAGAAGGTATGGATTATTCATGAGTTTTCCGGGAGAGGGGTGGGCAATTCCTAGAACTGAGGGTTCCTCCCTTTTTTTTTTTTTTTTTTTTTTAGAACATTTAGGGTAACTTCCTGACATTGCCATGACATTTGTAAACTGTCACAGTGCTGTTGGGAGTGTGCCTTAGCATGCTAATGCATTATAATTAGTGTGTAATGAGCAATGAGGACCAGCAGAGGTCACTGTCATTGCCATCTTGGTTTTGGGAGGTTTTGGCTGGCTTCTTTACTGCAACCTGTTGTATCAGCAAGGTCTTTATGACCTGTATCATGTGCCGACCTCCCATCTCATCCTGTGACTAAGAATGCCTTAACCTCCTGGCAATGCAGCCCAGTATGTCTCAGCCTTATTTTACCCCGTCCCTATTCAAGATGGAGGCACTGTGGTTCAAATGCCTTTGACAGTTTGCACTCTTTTTCTCTCAGAAATAGCCTTTTGTTGTTGTTGTTCCATTTTCCTTTGTCTTTCTGTGTTATTCTTTTATAAAGAGGGGTACCACAGGGTAGAACATGAGCCTAGATCCCCTATAAGCCCACTGTTCAGGCTGGCCCTGCAGACTGGTTAGTTTTTTGCTGAGCTGACTAGATGAGCATCTGTAAAGATAAACTGCTTTTAGTCCCTGAAACAAAAACTGGATTTTTTTTTTTTTGGTTTATAACCTTGGGAGCTTGTCTTTGTGACTAAGTGTGGGTACTCTCTTAGTCTCTGCCATCAGGAGGGTATGAATTTTTGGGTTCATGTTAGGTGACCAATCTGAAAAGACTGGGAGTCTGAGACATGTACGATTTTAAGCAGCACATTATTTATACCAAATGTGCCAAGCTTTTAGGGGAGATTTGCCATAAAAGGTCCCATTTTTATGGGACTTTTGTTGTCTTTTGTTACTTTCAGCCTATTTCTGAGAGTGAATTTTTGGGCATTATGGGGACTGCCTCTTCTGTGCCCTCTCCAGAAACACATCTTGCTTATACAGTGACAACCTATTCTCAACCTGGGAAATTACCACCTTGGCTTACTATGAAGAGGCTTATTGGATTAAGTCATTATTGGAATAAATAAACCATTGAAAATTCTAATTATAAGTGGCCAGCAGAGGATCTTTTGAATGAGAAAGGCTTAAATTTAAGGAAAATTTTAAAGAGCTCTCATTCTAAGCATTTGCCTTATTTGTATTTATGAGAAGATCAAATTGAAAGAAAGACATGCACTAGTGTTGTGGCTTGCTTTAAGAACTCTCCTGACAAGATTAAAAAACAGAAATCTAATCTAGAACAAAAGTTAAAATCTGCCCCCAATTTAAATTTCCCTACAACTTATACTCTTCTTTATCCTCAACTACATGTCCCAGACCCCCCGAGAAGATTCTTTGATCATCTGGGCCCCTGGTCAAAATCCCCCTCCTCAAAATCCAGTCTTAACCCCACAGCAAACTTCTGTAATAACCCCTAAAACAATTACACCCCTAATGTCTCCAGAAAATCCTTTAGCTAACCAACTGCCTAATCTGACTTCTGTGTCTCTGCAGGATTTGCAGAAAACACTTGGACCTAATTTAAAGTCCGGATGCATACAGGTCAATTGTATAAGAGCTGACAAGCAAGAGAAACCCGTTAGATAAACCAGGCAGTGCTTGACTTCCTGTGCCATATGATGCTTCTTCCTTTCCAGGCTATATAAGTAACTCCAACAGCTCCAGGCTTTCCTAGGCAGTGCCCCCTGAGAATATATCCACGGCCTCCATGACAAAGAATTTATGTCCCCTAGATGGCAGCAAATCTTCTGAATTACGAAACCCATTTGCTCCTACTTTCAGAAGATCCTACGGAATCAGAGAGGCTAGTAGCCATTTACAGTCTCACTCACAGGGACCTTGACCGGCTACTAAGGGGTGTACTTCCCACCCATCCCACCCATGATTATCCTGTAGTCCATAGACAGGCCAGAAGGCCTGCAGGGGAAAACCCTAAACACAGGGGGAACAGGTGGCCAGATCCTCTCCCTGGCCTCCCTGTGGATGACCAGGAAATGGCTCAGCTAGAGGCTAATATTCAGGGTCTGAGGTGGTGATATTAGAGGCTTTCCCTCCTAAGGTTAATTGGTCTAAGTTCCAATTATGTAACCAGAAAGAGGGAGAACACCCTAAGGCTTTTATTGAGGGGTTTATGCAAACTTTTCAGGGGAATACTGGATTAAAACCCGATGCACCAGAACACAGAAATCTTTAAATTTCTGCCCTTGTTGAAAATCTACTTCCATAATCACACACACACACACACACACACACACACACACACACACATCTAGAACAGTATAGTTGGTTGGGCTAGTCAGCCTCTCTATTAGTCTGTTCTCACACTGCTATAAAGAACTACCTGAGACTGGGTAATTTATGAAGAAAAGAGGTTTAATTCATGCACAGTTGCATAGGCGTAATAGGAAGCATGACTGGGAGGCTTTAAGAAACCTACAATCATGGCAGAAGGTGAAGGGGAGGCAAGCACTTTCTTCACATTGCGGCAGGAGAGAGAGACAGAAAAGGAGGGGGTGCCATACACTTTTAAACCATCAGATCTCATGATAATTCACTCACTATTATGAGAACAACCAGGAGGAAATCCACCCCATGATCCAATCACCTCCCACCAAGTCCCTTCCCCAACATTGGGAATTACAAATCAACATGAAATTTGGGTGGCGACATAGAGCCAAATCATATAATTGCAATCCAGAGCCCTCTCAAATCTCATGTCCTTCTCACATTTCAAAACATAATCATGCTTTCCCAACATTCCCCCAAAGTCTTAACTCATTCTAGCATTAACTCAAAAGTCCAAGTCCAAAGTCTCATCTGAGACAAGGCAAGTCCTTTCCACCTATGGGCTTGTAAAATCTAAAACAAGTTAGTTACTTCCAAGATACAATGCAGGGACAGGCATTGGGTAAATGCTCCCATTCCAAAAGGGAGAAATCGGCCAAATGAAAGGGGCTACGGGCCCCACGCAAGTCTAAAACTCAGCAGGGCAGTATTAAATCTTAAGGCTCCAAAATAATCTCCTTTGACTCCATGTCTCACATTCACGGCCCACTGATGCAAAGCATGGGCTCCCAAGGCCTTGGGCAGCTACACCCCTGTAGTTTTGCAGGGTACAGCCCCCTTGGCTGCTTTCATGGGCTAGCATTGAGTGCCTGCAGCTTTTCCAGGTACGTGGTGCAAGTTGTTGGTAGATCTACCATTCTGGGGTCTGGAAGACGGTAGCCCTTTTTTCACAGCTCCACTAGGCAGTGCCCCAGTGGGGAATTTGTGTGGGGCTCCAACTCCACATTTCCCCTCCACTAGTAGAGATTCTCCATGAGAGGTCTGCCCCTGCAGTAGACTTCTACTTGGACATCCAGGCATTTCCATACATCCTCTGAAATCTAGGTGGGGATTCCCAAACCTCAACTCCTGCCTTCTGTGTATCCATAGGCCCAACACCATATGGAAACTGCCAAGGTTTGTGACTTGCACCCTCTGAAGCAATGACCCAAGCTGTACCTTGGCCTGTTTTAGCCATAGCTGGAGCTAGAGCAGCTGGGACACAGGGTGCCATGTCTTGAGGCTGCAGAGAGCAGCAAGGCCCTGGGCCTGGCCAACAAAACCATTTTTTTCTTCTAGGCCTTCTGGCCTGTGATGGGAGGGGCTGCTGTGAAGGTCTCTGACATGCCCTGAGGACATTTTCCCTGTTGCCTTAGCTATTAACATTAGGATCCTCTTTACTATTGCAAATTTCTGCAGCAGGCTTGAATTTCTCCCCAGAAAATGGGTGTTATTTTCTACTATGTGGCTGGGCTACAAATTTTTCAAACTTTTATGCTCTGCTTCTTCTTAAAATATAAATCCCAATTTCAGATTATCTCTTTGTTCATGTATTTGAGCATATACTTTTAGAAACAGTCAGGTCAATTTTGAATGCTTTGCTGCTTAGACATTTCTTCTGCCAGAAACCCTAAATCATCTTTCTCAAATTCAAAGTTCCACAGATCTCTAGGGGGTGCAAAATGCCACCAGTCTCTTTGCTAAAACATAGTAAGAGTGATCTTTACTCAAGTTCCCAATAAGTGCCTTATTTCCATCTGAGATCACCTCAGCCTGGACTTCATTGTCCATATCACTATCAGCATCTTGGTCACAAGCAGTTGACAAGTCTCTAGGAACTTCCAAACCTTCCCTCATCTTACTGTCTCTTTTGAGCACTCCAAGTGGTTCCAACCTCCTCCTGTTACCCAGTTCCAAAGTTACTTCTACATTTTCAGGTATCTTAATAGCAATGCCCCACTCTTCAGGTACCAATTTTCTGTATTTCTCTGCTCTGACACCACTATAAAGACCTACCTGAGACCAGGTAATTTACGAAGAAAAGAGGTTTAATTGACTCACAGTTCCACAGGCTGTACAGGAAGCATGACCTGGAGGTATCAGGAAACTTACAATCATGGCAGAAGGTGAAGGGAAAGTGAGCACCTTCACGAGGCGGCAGGAGAGAGAGAAAAGAGGGAAGTGTCACACAATTTTAAACCATTCGATCTTGTGAGAATTCACTGACTGTCATGAGAGCAAGGAGGAAATTAGCCCCCATGATCCGATCACCTCCCACCAGGTCCTGGCCCTAACATTAGGAATTAAATTCAACATGAGATTTGGGTGGGGACACAGAGCCAAACCATCTCAGCCTCTAAGCATTATTATGGAAGCAGCTACACAGTTCTTTGAAAACAACTCACAGAACAACAACAAAAGAGAAAGATTTGAAATATGCAGCCCTTGGTTTGCAGGTTGAGTCACTGCAAAAGTAAAATCAGACCCCTGAGAGCAGATCAAAATTCTCTCATCAGTCACAGAACATTCCTCCAGATGTCTGCAGATGCTGTAGGAATTCTGGACATTTGAAAAACAATTGTCTAGCCCTTAAAGTAAAAGAAAACTTAAAAAATTCCTCCATCTGACTCAATAAGTTTATTTCTCTCCTTCTGTGGGACAATATCTTGTTGGCAGGGTCAGCCAATCTTCAGCTGCACTCCAGAACTTACCATTAAAGTTAAGATAGAGCATCAGGCTGGGCATGGTGGCTCATGCCTGTAATCCCAGCACTTTGGGAGGCTGAGGCAGGTGGATCACCTGAAGTCAGGAGTGAGTTCGAGATCAGCCTGGCTAACGTGGTGAAACCCCGCTTCTACTAAAAATACAAAAATTAGCCAGGCGTGGTGGTAGGCACCTGTAATCCCAGCTACATGAGAGGCTGAGGCAAGAGAATCGCTTGAAACCAAGAGACAGAGGTTGCAATGAGCCAAGATTACACCACTGCATTTCAACCTGGATGACTGAAACTCCATCTTAGAAAAAAAAAAAAATAAAAAAAGATAGAGGATCAAGAACTGGATTTTAAAATTGATACTGGGGGTGATGTTCTCTACCATTTGACCAGAAGAATTACCTCTACCTCTCACCTCTAATTCTATTCAAGTCTCTGGGCAACCTATTTCATTTCATTATTTATCTCTCAGATCATCCCGATATTCCTAGGCCCTCTGAACACACACCATGACTTTTCTCTGCCCTCAGACAAAACTCCAAACTTTCTACTCTCCCTAATGGAGACCCACTCTGATTTAAATTCCTCTGAAGATAAAATCTTAAAGAATGCTCCATCTAGTTTCCAGTACTCGCATGCAAATGAAGTCAAATTGCTGTTGAGTGTAGAGTCTATGTACACTTCCTGAAAAAGGAACAAATCAGCCAGGTGCAGTGGGTCTATAATCCTAGAACCTGGGAGGGGAGGCAGACAGATTGCTTGAGCTCAGGAGTTTAAGACCAAACTGGGCAACATAGTGAAACTCCATCTTTACAAAAAAACCAAAAAATTAACCTGGCTTGGTGGTGTGCCTGTAGTCCCAGCTATGTGGAGGGCTGAGGCAGGAGGATTGCTTGAGCCCAGGAGTTGAGGCTACAGTGAGCCCAGATCACATCACTGCACTCTAGCCTGGGTGACAAAGTGACATCTTGTCTCAAAAAAAAAAAAAAAAAAAAAAAAAAAGAACAAATCTTTCCAACACTCTTTCACTTGTTTTTACTACTTCATCCTGTAACACCCCAATTTTACCAGTAAAAAAGGAAGGAAAGTTTGATTCAGATGGAAATCAAATCTATCCATTTGTTCAGGATCTAAGAGCTGTAACTTTGTAATTCGTTGCCACCCTATTGTGCCTAATCCTGCTGCTATCCTGACCTCAGTTCCCACTGATGCAGTCTGGTTTATAGAAATTGACCTTTGCCCAGCATTCTTTTCAATTTTGTTGCACCCTGACTCAAAATTTCTCTTTGCCTTTAACTTCAGAGGGAGACAGTTAACACGGACTCGAATACCTCAGGGATATGAGTCTCCTTCAATATTCGCTCAAATCCTCCAAGCTGATGTAGACTCTGCAACCTTTACCTAAGGTTCCATTGTTGTTCAGTATGTTGACAGTCTTTTGCTCTGTAACCTGACCAAGTAGGCTGCCCTTCTAGAGTCCCTCACACTCTTAAAGGCTTTAGCTGAATGAAGCCACAAAGCCTCTAAGTCTAAACTTCAATGGGCGCAGACAACTGTTATTTACTTAGGACATGAGATATTTCAAGGCACTCAAAAAGCTCACTCCGAAGATGCCATGAGTCTATTTTGTCTATTTCTGTTCCCCAAACTATGAAACACCTATTAATTTCTAGCAGCAGCTGGCTATTGCCGCCAGTGAATTCCCAATTTTGGTGCTCTTGCAAAATTTTTATATGCCCTCCTCCCGGATTCCATTCCAGAAATCAGCATTATTCATATCCCCTGCTCTCAGCTGACCTCTTATCTCACCTAATTTTGATAAACCCTTCCACTTACATTGCCATGAAAATAATGGGACTGCTGCTGGTATTTTAGGACAGCCCTCTTCCTCCCAGATCCATCCTATAGCATATTTTTCTTTCCTCCCCTTCCCCTTTCCCTTTCTCTTCCCCTTCCCCTTCCCTTCCCTTCTCTTTTTTCTTTTCTTTCTTTTTTTTTCTGTTGAGACAGTTTCGCTTTGTTGCCAGGCTGGAGTGCAGTGGCATGATCTCAGCTCACTGCAACCACTGCCTCACAGGTTCAAGTAATTCTCCTGCCTCAGCCTCCCAAGTAGCTGAGTGCACGCCACCACGCCCAGCTAATTTTTGTATTTTTAGTAGAGACGGGGTTTCACCATGTTGGCCAGGATGGTCTCGATCTCTTGACCTCGTGATCCACCCACCTTGGCCTCCCAAAGTGCTGGGATTACAGGCATAAGCCACTGCACCCGGTCCCTTATAGCATATTTTTCACGCCAGCAGGACCCTGTGGCAGCAGGTGTGCCGCCAGGCCTATGTGCAGTAGCAGGAGCTGCCACTTTAATTGATAAAGTCAGCACTGTCACATTAGGTTTCCCTATTCACTCTTATGTTCCTCATACTGTGTCTGCTGTCTTACAAGTTCATAAAACACAGCACCTCTCTACCTGATGACAGGCCACCTATGAGCAACCCCCATTGACCAATCCCTCCATTATTTTATATCATTGCAACCCTATAAATCCAGCTACCCTCCTGCCTCTCCCTGAGGATGGAGACCCTCACTCCATTTCACATGATTACCTTGCAGCTGTTGGTATGGTTTGAAAGTCACAAGAGGGTCCCTCAGACATTTCTTTAGACAACCAAGATTTACTTATTTTTTTGTGATGGCTCTTGTAAATGAGATTTCAAAGGGAATATAACTGGCTACGCTATAGTTTCCTCACATGAAACCCTCTCTGGTAGGCAGACCATCTGCCTACCATAAAGTCAGCTGAAGTTGCTGAACTTGTCGCCCTTACTAGAGCTTGCACATTGGCAAGAAACAAACAAACAAACAAAAACCAAAACCAAAAAACTGCCACTATTTATGCAGACTCCAAATATGCCTTTGGAAACTGTCGTACACTTGGTACAATTTGGAAATCCTGTAGTTTCTTAACCTCTGCTGGCACTTCTATTGCCAATGGGCCTATAACTGCTGGCCTATTATAGGCTATCCACCTTCCCACTAAGATTGCTGTTGTTCATTACCCAGCTTATACCAAGGATATGGATACTGTACCCCAAGGAAATGATTGAACAGACAGGGCTGCTAAATCTGTGGCCAAATGGCCCTCCCTATCCTTTTTATACTCAATTTATTAATCTGCCCTTATCCCTGTCTAACATTATTGATTATCAGGCTAGTGCCTCACAATGTGAAAAAGGATAAATGGATATTAAAGGGTGCCAAACAATTATCAGATGGGTTGTATACTGGGCCAAATAGACCCCCATAGCCCCTTTCCTTTTAACTCTTTGCCTTGCACTTATCTCCCATCAGATGGGATGTATATGCAAATGGGGAATAATTAATAAATTAAAAGATAGTTGGTACTGCCCTGGGAACTATAAAATTTATGGCCAAATTATTTCCCAGTGCACTATTTATAAATATCACCAAATCTCTAGAGGAAACCAATATTCCTCAGGAAGCCCCCAAAGGCCCATGTTGCCCCTTGCCGCGCTCCAAATAGACTTTATGGATTTACCTCCAGCTTTGTGCTTTTCTCACTGCTCCATTATTTTTCTGCATGTTCAGTGGGTGGACTGATGTTATCCAACTAGGTGTGCTGATGTTACAGCTGTGGTAAATAAATAAGTAGCAGATTATTCCTCATTTTGCTATTCCCTTATGGATTGGGTCAGACCCATGGACTTATTTCACAGCAGAAATAAACCACTTGCTTGCAGAGGCTCTGGGGTACTCATTAAAATTTTATACCCCACATCATCCCCAATCCTCAGGGCAAGTGGAACCTAAAAATTTAGACAGAAAAAGAATTTTGGGAAAATTTTGTCAAGATAGTGGACTTAAATGGCCAGAAGCATTATCTCTGGCCCTTATAAAAATCTCTAACACTTCAAATAGGAGACAGGGATTAGCCCCTTTTAAAATAGTGTTCAGTCACTCCTTACCTACTGACACCTCTAAACCTTCTCTTCTTGGGCTGAATGAACACCATGGGGATTTTTATTAAAAATTTTACTTTACGTTCTGGGATACATGTGCAGAACGTGCAGGTTTGTTACATAGGTATACATGTGCCATGGTGGTTTGCTGCGCCTATCAACCCATCATCTAGGTTTTAAACCCTGCATGCATTAGGTATTTGTCCTAATGCTCTCCCTCCCCTTGTCCCCCACCCCCCGACAGGACCCGGCATGTGTTTTTCCCCTCCCTGTGTCCATGTGATCTCATCTTTCAACTCCCATTTATGAGTGAGAACATGTGGTATTTGATTTTCTGTTCCTGTATTAGTTTGCTGAGGATGATGGCTTCCAGCTCCACCCATGTCCCTGCAAAGGACATGATCTCATTCCTTTTTATGGATGCATAGTATTCCGTGATGTATATGTGCCACATTTTCTTTATCCAGTCTATCATCAATCGGCATTTGGGTGGGTTCTGTGTCTTTACTATTATAAATAGTGCCACAATAAACATACGTGTGCATGTCTCTTTATAGTAGAATGATTTATATTTCTTTGGGTGTATACCCAATAATAGGATTGCTGGGTCAAATGATATTTCTCGTTCTAGATCCTTGAGGAATGGCCACACCGTCTTCCACAATGGTTGAACTAATTTACACTCCCACCAACAGTGTAAAAGCGTTCCTATTTCTCCACAGCCTCACCAGCATCTATTGTTTCTTGACTTTTTAATTGAAAGGTGATTAAAGATTGCCTGAACTTATCTCTCTCATACTCCCTTTGATCTTTCGCTGTGACTCTTCTTTTGAACTGTGCTTTGCTTTTACTAATTCTTGCTATTTTTCTAGACGGTCGGGCACAAACCCTTTGCACCAGTCTTTTAAATCCTGACAACATTAGTCAGTCTAATTTTGGTTATGCCAATATCTAGATGATGCAAAAGAACCTGAAATTATTTTTGTTTCTGCCAGTATGAGCACCTGGTGGATTCAGTCTAGAAGATGGATGTATGACAAGATATGGCATCCAGAACCAGAGAAACAAAGTCACATTGCCTCTCTTATGGTAAGTCAACTGGACACAGAAAAGCCACCATGGAAGCTCAAAACTGTCTTTTGCTTAGATAAAATTACTAGAAAGAAAATTTTCCTTCTGCATTGAAAACAGGAATGATGCTGGACCCTTGCTAGGTGACATACTAGGCAATATTGCAATCAGACCTTATAGTTTGATTCCACAGATGGCATTCTTGCACTTCTTACACAGACCATAGGTGGTCCTGATGCTGACTCATGAAATCAATATTTATCAAATCACCAGATGTTATGGATGGCTCACAAGCCAGCCCTGGTGTGCAACTTGGGGTAGCTTACCTGTCAGATACTAAAGATTACATATGGATAGACCCAAAGTCTGGACTGATTTGGCTAGGTGACAAAACCAAGCCCTATAACAGCCAAAACTAAAGGTCTTTTATATAAAATATTTCACAACCTGTTTTGCTCCCACAGATTGACAGGGAGACATGATAGCTGCAGATGTGGAAATGCCAATAACAAAGAAGACAAGGCACAGCAAACTTCAGGCTGAGGCGCCACAGGCTTCACCCTGACCCTATCTGTAAATAACAGCGGCCTTTTAATATTGCGTGGTAACAAGATATACAAGTGGTTCCCACCTAGATACTCAGGGTGCTGTGGACTCAGTTATCTGACATCCTCTGTTACTAGGTACTCCACTTTAAATGGCAGCCAAATTACAAATGGGCCTTTTTGTTCATAAAGTGGTGCCACACAGAGGTAATGAATGTGACTTTGTAAAAAACCCACCTATATATCACAAATCTATGTTCTTTTCAGTCCTCAGAACTTTTCCCCTGGCATTTGGAACTTAAGAAAATGAAAGGGCAGTTTAAAATCTTTCCATGGCAATAGAACAAGACTTCAGTATCACTACCCAAGCCTTGGGAGCACTCCAGTCAGAAGTCAACAGTCCAGCTTCTGCTGTACTTTAGAACTGCTGCAGCCTGAATGTGCTGACAGCCCAACAGGGAGGAGCTTGTGCAGCTATTGGTGACAAATGCTGTTTCTACATAAACCGCTCAGGGCAAGTAGAGACTGATCTGCACCTCTTGAAGGTCAAGGTAAAATATTATCCATCAGGTAAACAAGGCTAAACTGTTCTATTGGTCTGACCTATTCCTGGGAATGGGAGACTGGTTTAATGGGGTGTGGGGAAGTGTGCTTAGATATGTTCTTTTCTCATTTTAATCTATGTTCTTTTCTTCCTTTTCAGATCTCTTACTACCCAGCTACTAAACCAACTTCTCTCTCCAGAGCCACTAACTTAGGATTTTTTTTTTTTTTTTGAGACAGAGTCTCACTCTGTCACCCAGGCTGGAGTGCAGTGGTGTGATCTTGGCTCACTGCAACTTCCGCCTCCCAGGTTCAAGCAATTCTCTGCCTCAGCCTTCCAAGTAGCTGGAATTACAGGTGCCCGCCTATAATCCATACCCAGCTAATTTTTGTATTTTTAGTAGAGACGGGGTTTCACCATCTTGGCCAGGCTGGTCTTGAACTCCTGACCTCATGATCCACCTACCTTGGCCTCCCAAAGTGCTGGGATTATAGGCATGAGCCACCGCGCCCGGCCTAACTCAGCTTTTTATGTGTGAAACTTCTAGGGGAGTTCCAGACAGGGAGAATGAATAAGCTCCTTGGTATAATGTATATTTTGAATTAAAAGACTTTATAAATCAACAGGCCTCAGAAGAAACTTATCCCCTAACTTCAAAAAGATCAGATAGGCCCATCAAGAACAATTGCCTTTTCTTCCCTTCCCTGTTATCTCACTATTTCAGGAAAGAAGAGGAAGAATATAACCATACCAGAACCAACCATTTTACAAAATAATACCTGTCTCTCAGGTTCTTTTAACTTCCAAAGAAAACCATTTACAAGTCAATTTCTGTTCTCACCTTCCATTCATTCTCCTAAGTACCTATTCATTTTTCCTTAGTAATTATTTAATGCCCCTCAACCAGAATTACCTCTATATTCCCCATCTTCCCCCTCCCCTCTGAAAGAGGTTATAGAAGTGTCTGGGCCCTGTTGGGAAATTGGGTAATCACTCTATGATTCTTCTCGAGCACATGGTTAAATAAATTTGTATGCTTTTTGTCCTATTAATCTGCCTTACTGTAAATTGATTTTTTTCAGCAAACCCTCTGAGGGCAAGGGGAAAGCTCCTCCAATGCCCATACACAAGTGAAGAAGATCAAGAAGAATTTATCACAAACCTGCCTTGCTATACAAGTGTCTGATGTACAAAAGACTGAAGTGAAATACTTGTTAGCACCAATAAAATATAACTCAGTGACAAATTTTCTAAAAAGAACTTTGTATCTAGGATTGATAGGCTTGGAAAAATCTTACAAACTTTTCTTCAACATCTGAAAGTGTTTTTCAGTCTATAGTAATTGTCAGGCCTCTGAGCCTAAGCTAAGCCATCATAACCCCTGTGACCTGCACGGATACATCCAGATGACCTGAAGCAACTGAAGAACCACAAAAGAAGTGAAATAGTCAATTCCTGCCTTAACTGATGACATTCTACCACTGTGATTTGTTCCTGTCCCACCCTAACTGATCAATTGAGCTTGTGACATTCCTTCTCCTGGACAATGAGTCTCAGGAGCTCCCCACCGAGCACCTTGTGACCCCCACCCCTACCCTCAAGAGAAAACCCCTTTAACTGTAATTTTCCACTACCTACCCAAATCCTATAAAACTGGCCCACCCCATCTCCCTTTGCTGACTCCTTTTTCAGACTCAGTCTGCCTGCACCCAGGGAATCAAAAAGCTTTATTGCTCACACAAAGCCTGTTTGGCCGTCTCTTCACACAGACGTGTGTAACAGTAATAATATTATTTTATTTTTTTGAGACAGGGTTTCACTCTGTTGTGCTGGCTGGAGTACAGGGGTGTGATCATGGTTCACTGCAGCCTCAACCTCCCTGGGCTCTAGTGATCCTCCCACCTCAGCTTCCTGAGTAGCTGGGACCACAGATGTGCACCACCACACCCAGCTATTTCTTGGTAGAGATGTTTTTTTGCCATGTTGCCCAGGCTGGTCTTGAACTTCTAGGCTCCAGTGATCCACTTGCTTTGATCTCCCAGTGTTGGGATTACAGGCATGAGCCACCATGCCCAGCCCTTAGTAATAATTTTAAAAAGTCTTTTAGTTTGAAGTTTTTGATAGCCTGAGAACTGAGGCAGCATCTTCTTAAATTATTCTTGTAAAATCTGTGGGTTTGAAGTTTGATTAATGAGAACACAATGTGTTTTTCCAATGCTTCATATAGTGTCCCTTGTTCACATTCCTGTTTTATTCTTACTGCTTGTGTTCTTTATTATGGCTGGATTGGTACTAGAAAAAACAAACCTTGTTTGTGTATGAGTGTGGATGTGTCTGACAAGTACTTGAAATGTGACTTACATGATTTTGCTGTTTTTCTTTTTCATGAAATATTAAGGTGGGAAAGTTGACATTTTGCTTTTAATTCAACATAATATGATGTGAAGAATTTCCAAATAAGATTGTTTTCATGTAAGACTCATGGCCTAGATGCAATTAAAATAATAAAATAAAAATAAAATATGATTATTAAAAACTATTTTGCTTAATGTCAAACATGCTGGTATACTAAACAATTCTACAAATATTAATTTTGATTAGTCTTCCTCTTAATTTTATTATTTAAAATATATTATCTTTTTGCTCAAAAGGATATAATATTCTTTCTAAATTCAAGTAGCCAATGTACTCTTTTCATATTTGTATTAACCAACAATCAATTTATTGAATGATTTAAAAGTTCTTAAGAACTATTTTTATACATAAATGAGTGGATTTTGTAATCATCATTAATCCTTGCTGTGTCAGGGGTCCCGAAGACTACCATTAGATTTGATGATTCTCTGGAAGGACCCACGGAATTCAGAAAGGCTGTTATAGTTACACAGTTATAGTTTATTACAGGAAAAGAAAACAGATTAAAACCAGCAAACGAAAAGGTGCGTAGGCAGAATCCAGGATAAACCAAGAATGAGCTTTCAGTTGTCTTCTGCTGGTGGAGTTGAATGGATAGTGCTTAATTCTCCCAGCAGTAATGTGTGATATCATTTTTTTCTTTTTCTTTTTTTAAAAATTTTATTTTTCCATAGGTTATTGGGGTACAGGTGGTGTTTGGTGATATGAGTAATTTCTTTAGTGGTGATTTGTGAGATTTTGATGCATCCATCACCCAAGCAGTGAATGGCACCCTATTTGTAGTCTTTTATCCCTCACTCTCCTCCTACTCTTCCCCCCAAGTCCCCAAAGTCCAGTGTATCATTCTTATGCCTTTGCATCCTCATAGCTTATCTGCCACATAACAGTGAGAACATACAATGTTTGGTTTTCCATTCCCGAGTTACTTCACTTAGAATAATACTCTCCAATCTCATCCAGGTCACTGTGAATGCAATTAATTCATTCCTTTTATGGCTGAGTAGTATTCTATCTATCTATCTATCTATCTATCTATCTATCTATCTATCTATCTATCTATCTATCTATCTATCTATCATCTATCACAGTTTCTTTATCCACTCATTGACTGGTGGGAATTTAGGCTGGTTCCATATTTCCTCAACTGTGAATTGTGCTACTATAAACAAGCAAGTGCAAGTATCTTTTCCGTATAATGGCTTCTTTTCCTCTAGCTAGATACCCAGTAGTGGGATTGCTGGATCAAATGGTAGTTCTACTTTTAGTTCTTTAAGGAATCTCCACACTGTTTTCCATAGTGGTTGTGCTATTTTACATTCCCACCAGCAGTGTAGAAGTGTTCCCTGATCACCTCATCCACTCCAACATCTACTGTTTTTTGATTTTTTGATTATGGCCAGTCTTGCAGGAGTAAGGTGGTATCACATTGTGGTTTTGATTTGCATTTCCCTGATCATTAGTGATGTTGAGCTTTTTTTAATATGTTTGTTGGCCACTTGTATATCTTTTTTTGAGAACTGTCTATTCATGTCGTTAGCCCACTTTTTGATGGGATTGTTTGTTTTTTTCTTTCTGATTTGTTTGAGTTCATTGTAGATTCTGGTTATTAGTCCTTTGTCAGATGTATAGATTGTAAAGATTTTCTCCCACTCTGTGGGTTGTCTGTTTACTCTGCTGACTGTTCCTTTTGCCATGCAAAATCTCTTTGGTTTAATTAAGTCCCAGCTATTTATCTTTGTTTTTATTGCATTTGCTTTTGGGTTCTTGGTCATGAAATCCTTGCCTAAGCCAATGTCTAGAAGGGTTTTACCAAGGTTATCTTCTAGAATTTTTATAGTTTTGGGTCTTAGATTTAAGTCCTTAATCCATCTTGAGGTGATTATTGTATAAGGAGAGAGATGAGGATCCAGTTTCATTCTCTTACATGTGGCTAGCCAATTTTCCCATCACCATTTGTTGAAAAGGGTGTCCTTTCCCCACGTTATGTTTTTGTTTGCTTTGTTGAAGATCAGTTAGCTGTATTTGGGTTTATTTCTGAATTCTCTATTCTGTTCCATTTTTCTATGTGCCTATTTTTATACCAATACCATGCTGTTTTTGTGACTATGGCCTTATAATATAATTTGCAATCAGGCAGTGTGATGCCTCCAGATTTGTTCTTTTTGCTTAGTCTTGCTTTGGCTATGTGGGCTCTTTTTTGGTTTCATATGAATTTTAGAATTTTTTTTTCTAATTCTGTGAAGAATGATGGTGGCATTTTGATGGGGATTGCATTGAATTTGTAGATTGCTTTTGGTAGTATGGTCATTTTCACAATACTGATTCTACCCATCCATGAGCATGGTTTGTGTTTCCATTTGTTTGTGTCATCTATGATTTCTTTCGGCAGTGTTTTGTAGTTTTCCTCGTAGAGGTCTTTCAACTCCTCGGTTAGGTATATTACTAAGTATTTGTTTTAATTTTTTTTGCAGCTATTGTAAAAGGGGTTGAGTTCTTGATTTGATTCTCTGCTTGGTCGTTGTTGGTGTATAGAAGAGCTACTGATTAGTGTACATTAATCTTGTATCCAGAAATTTTGCTGAATTATTGTATCAGTTCTTGGAGCCTTCTGGAGGAGTCTTTAGGGTTTTCGAGGTAAACAATCATATCATCAGCGAACAGTGACAGTTTGAATTCCTCTTTACTAATTGGATGCCCTTTATTTCTTTCTGTTGTCTGATTGCTCTGGCTAGGACTTACAGTACTATGGTGAAGAGGAATAGTGAGAGTGGGCATCCTTGTCTTGTTCCAGTTCTCAGAGGGAATGCTTTCAACTTTTCCCATTCACTATTATGTTGGCTGTGGGTTTGTCATAGATGGCTTTTATTACATTGAGGTATGCCCCTTGTATGCTGATTTTGCTCAGAGTTTTAATTAAAAGGGATGCTGGATTTTGTCAAATGCCTTTTCTGCATCTATTGAGATGATCATGTGATTTTTGTTTTTAATTCTACTTATGTGGTATATCACATTTATTGACTTGCATATGTTAAATCATCCCTGCATCCCTGGTATGAAGCCACTTGATCATGGCGGATTATCTTTTTGATATGTTGTTGGATTCTATTAGCTAATATTTTGTTAAGGATTTTAACATTTATGTTCATCAAGGATATCGGTCTGTAGTTTTCTTTTTTGGTTATGTCATTTCCTGGTTTTGGTATTAGGTTGATGCTAGCTTCATAGAATGAATTAAGGCAGGTTCCCTCTTTTTCTAACTTGTGGAATAGTGTCAAAAGAATTGGTACCAATTGGTCTTTGAATATCTGGTAGAATTCTGTTATGAATCTGTCTGGTCCTGGACTTTTCTCTGTTGGTGATTTTAAATTACCATTTCAATCTTGCTGCTTATTCTTGGTCTGTCCAGGGTATCTAATTCTTCCTGATTTAAGCTAGGAGGGTTGTATTTTTTCAGAAATTTATCCATATCTTCTAGGTTTTCTAGTTTATGTGCATAAAGGTGTTCATAGTAGCCTTAAATAACCTTTTGTATTTCTGTGGTGTCAGTTGTAACATCTGCTGTTTTGTTTCTTATTGATGCTATTTGGATTTCTCTCTTCTTTTCTTTATTAATCTTGCTATTGGTCTATCAATTTTATTTGTCTTTTCAAAGAACCAGCTTTTTGTTTTATTTATCTTTTGTATTTTTTTGGTTTCAATTTCATTTAGTTTTGCTCTTATCTTGGTTATTTCCTTTCTTCTGCTGGGTTTGGGTTTGGTTTGTTCTTGTTTCTCTTGTTCCTTGAGGTATAACCTCAGAGTGTCATTTTGCACTTTTTCAGTCTTTTTAATGTAGGTATTTAGGGCTATGTACTTTCTTCTTAGCACTGTCTTTGTTGTATTGCAGAGGATTGATAGGTTATGTCACTATTGTCATTCAGTTCGAATAATTTTTAAATTTACATCTTGATTTTGTTTTTGACCTGATGATCATTCAGGAGCAGGTTATTTAGTTTCCATGTATTTGCATAGTTTCAAAGGTTCCTTTGGGAGGTGATTTCCAGTTTTATTTCACTGTGGTCTAAGAAAGTGCTCGATATAATTTAAATTTTCTTAAATTTATTGAGGCTCATTTCGTGGCCTATCTTATGGTCTATCTTGGAGAAAGTTACATGCACTGTTGAATAGAATGTGTATTCTGCAGTTGTTGGATGGAATGTTCTGTATATATCTATTAAGTTTATTTGTTTCAAGGTATAGTTTAAATCCATTATTTCTTTGTTGACTTTCTGTCTTGATGACCTGTCCAGTGCTGTCAGTGGAGTATTGATGAAGTCCCCCACTATTATTGTGTTGCTGTCTTTTTCATTTCTTAGGTCTATTAGTAATTGTTTTATAAATTTATGAGCTGCAATGTTAGGTGCTTATATGTTTAGGATTGTGATATTTTCCTGTTGGACAAGACCTTTTACCATTACATAATGTCCCCTTTGTTTTTTTTAACTGCTCTTGCTTTAAAGTTTGTTTTGTCTGACATAATAATAGCTACTCCTGCTTGCTTTTGGTGTCCATTCACATGAAATGCCCTTTTCCACCCCTTTAAGTTTATATGAATCCTTGTGTGTTAGATGAGTCTCTTCAAGGCAGCAGATAGTTGGTTGGTGAATTCTTATTCATTCTGCAGTTCTGTATCTTTTAAGTGGGGCATTTAGGCCATTTACATTCAATGTTAGTATTGAGATGTGAGGTACCATTCCATTCATCTTGCTATTTCTTGACTGTGTACCTTGGTTTTTTTTTTTTGCTTTTTAACTTGTGTTTTTGTTTTATAGGTCCTGTGAGATGTATACTTTAAAGATGCTCTGTTTTGGTGTATTTCCAGGATTTGTCTCAAGATTTAGAGCTCCTTTTAGCAGTTCTTGTAGTGGTGGCTTGGTAGTGGCGAATTCGCTCAGCATTTGTTTTTCTGGAAAAGACTGTATCTTCCTTTACATATAATGTTTAGTTTTACTGGATAAAAAATTCTTGGCTGATAATTGTTTTGTTTGAAGAGGCTGAAAACAGGGCCCCAATCCCTTCTAGCATGTAGGGTTTCTGCTGAGGAATCTGCTGTTGATCTGATAGGTTTTCCTTTATAGGTTACCTGGTGCTTTTGTCTCACAGCCCTTAAGATTCTTTCCTTTGTCTTAACTTTGGATAACCTGACGACAATGTGCCTAGGTGAAGATCTTTTTGTGATGAATGTCCTAGGTGTTCTTTGTACTTCTTGTATTTGGATGTCTAGGCCTCTGGCAAGGCTGGGGAAGTTTTCCTTGATTATTACTCCAAGTATGTTTTCCAAACTTTAGATTTCTCTTCTTCCTCAGCGATGCCAATTATTCTTAGGTTCAGTCATTTAACATAATTCCAGACTTCTTGGAGGCTTTGTTTATGTTTTCTTATTCTTTTTTCTTTGTCTTTGTTGGATTGAGTTAATTCAAAGACTTTGCCTTCAGCTCTGAATTTCTTTCTTCTACTTGTTCAATCTATTGCTGAGACTTTCCAGAGCATTTTGCAATTCTATGTGTCCAGCGTTTCCTGCAGTTTTAATTGTTTTTTTATTTATGCTATTTATTTCCTTGAATATTTCTCCCTTCACTTCTTGTATTTTTTTCTTTTTATTTCCTTGCATTGGGTTTTTGCCTTTCTCTGTTGCCTCCCTGATTAGCTTAATAACTAACCTCTTGAATTCTTTTTCAGGTAAATTGGGGATTTCTTCTTGGTTTGGATCCATTACTGGTGAGGTAGTGTGATTTTCTGGGGGTGCAAAAGAGCCTTGTTTTGTCATACTACCAGAATTGGTTTTCTAATTCCTTCTCATTGGGGTAGGCTCTGTCAGAGGGAAGGTCTAGGGCTGAAGGCTGTTGTTCAGATTCTTTTGTCCCATGGGGTGTTCCCTTGATGTAGTACTCTCCCCTTTTCCTATGGATGTGGCTTCCTGAGAGGTGAGCTGTAGTGATTGTTATCTCTCTTCTGGGTCTAGCCACCCAGCAAATCTATCAGGCTCCAGGCTGGTGCTGGGGGTTGTTTGCACAGAGTCCTGTGATGTGACCTGTCTATGGGTCACATCCCATGGATACAAGCACCTTTTCTGGTGGAGGTGGCAGGTAGGTGAAATGGACTCTGTGAGGGTTCTTAGATTTCTTGGTTTAACGCTCTATTTTGGTGCTGGTTGGCCTCCTGCCAGGAGGTGGTGCTTTCCAGAGAGCATCAGCTGTGGTAGTATGAAGAGGAACCAGTGGTGGGCAGGGCCCTAGAACTCCCAAAAGTACATGCCCTTTGTGTTCAGATACCTGGGTGGATAGGGAAGGACCATCAGGTGGGGGCAGGGCTAGGTGTGTCTGAGCTCAGACTCCTTGGGCAGGTCAGTTGTGGCTGCTGTGGGGGATGGGGGCGAGGTTACCAGTTGAATGGAGTTATGTACCTAGGAGGATTATGGCTGCCTCTGCTGAGTCATGCAGGTTGTCAGGGAAGTTGGGGAAAGCTGGCAGTCACAGACCTCACCCAGCTCCCATGCAATCTGTAGGGCTGGTCTCACTCCCACCGTGCCCCACCTAAAAGCACCGCCTCTGTTTCCAGGCAGTGGGCAAGCAGGGCTGAGGACCTACCCCAGACTACCTACCTCCCAGCTACAAAAGAATAGGGCTTTAGTTCTTCCTCTGCCTGTGGAGTCTGCAGGCCAGATTCATGCCTTCCCCTGAGTTCTGGCCAGGAGGCTTCTGGAGTGTTTCAAATTGTTACAAAGTTCAGCTGGAGGTTTCCTTCTCCCTGTGGCATTTTCCCCACACCTCTGGCTTCCCTCCCAAAGGATCCCTGTGATGCCAGGCAGGAATAGCCTGCTTCAGGACCCAGTCAACTTCCAGGGCCTTTCCTGGTGCTTCTTCTACCCTTGTGTTTCGCTCAGCTCTCTAAATTGACTCAGCTACAGGTAAGGTCAGAATCTTCTGCAAACTAGACCTTCAGTTTCCCCAGTAGGGGTGTGTGTTCTGGGATGGAGGATCTCCCTTTCTCACTTCTGCAGTTTGGGCAGTCACAGTATTTGGGATGTCTCCCAGGTCCTGCAGGAACAGTCTGCTTCCTTTGGATGATCTGTAGATCCTCACAGGTTTCCTGATTTATTCCTGCAGTCATTCTGGAGCTAAAATTCACAATGCAAGCTTCCGCATGCAGCAAGCTAGTCCTGCCTCCCATCCACCATGATGATCTTTTAAGTCTAATGTGTGACATCATTTTTGAAGTACTGCCAAACAGCTTGGCTCATTGGAGCCTTGTTGTCCAGAGTTTTTATTGGGGGTCAGTTGCATGGGCATGGAACATCCACTTGACTGACCTAAGCTACTCAGTTGCCAGCTCCCCCAGAGGTCAAACTGATGCATTGTGGCCCAGAAACAGATAAACAGAAACATGAATTCAACATAAATCACATTGTTCGCATAAATTATCTGGTGTGGCTCAAGGTCTTGGGTTTACAAAGACATTCATTAAGAAGGCTATTCCAAAAGGCTCAGAGGTTATCTCCCAGGAGCTGATCAAAGGCCAGTCCTTTGTTTGGAATGTGCAGGGTTTGAACACACCAGGCCTAGCTGAGATAACCTTTTACTGTATTTGCAGAATTTACTGCACTTGCAGAATTTACTCTTCACACAGAATGCTATGAGGGTTAGCAATGCATCTGAATGGCACACGTTTGTATTATTGATGTTGTTAGGTTATTGGCTATCAAGGAATCTTTAAGATAATATGATCATTGGTCATGCAGGTGTTCAGTAATGCCAGAAATGGATGTGGAAGTAGGTATTCAGATAAAGGCAGAAGTTGAAGTCAAAGTTGAAGAGCAGATTCAAAGACAAAAGAGATTTTTTTTATAAAAATGCATTTAAAAATTATTTATTTTTATTGATATATAATACTTTACATATTTATGGCATAAATATGATATTTTGTTGTATGCATAGAATGCATAATGATAAAGTCAGGGTATTTGGGTTATGTATCACCTTCAGTATTATCTCTGCATTGGGAACAATTCAAGTACTCTCTTCTAGCTACTTTGAAGTATATGTTGCAACTATAGTCACCCTACTCTGCTATTGAACATTAGGACTTATATCTTCTATCTGACTGTATTTTTGTAGCCATTAACCAACCTCTCTTCATCACTTCTTCCACCCACATTCTGTTCCCAGCCTCTGGTATCTATCTTCTACTTTCTACCTTCTCAAGATCAAGTATTTAGCACTCACATATGAGTGAGAACATGTGATATTTGAAGCCACTTGGTGAAAGTGGGCATACTTATCTTGTCCCAGTTCTTAGAGGAAAGGCTTTCAGCTTTCTACCATTCAATATGATATTAGCATGGATTTGTCACATATGGCCTTTATTGTTTTGAGGTACGTTCCTTCTATGCCTGGTTTGTTGAGAGTTTTTATCATGAAGGGATGTTGAATTTTATCAAATTATTTTTCTGCGTATTTGAGATGATCATATGGTTTTTGTCCTTCATTTTGTTGATGTGATGTATCATGTTTAATGATTTGCATATGTTGAAGCATTCTTAGATCCCTGGGATGAATCTTACCTGATCATGGTGTATGATCTTTTGATGTTCTGTAGGATTCAGTTTGCTAATATTTTGTTGAGAATTTTTGCATCTATATTCATCGGAAATATTGGCCTGTAGTTTCTTTTTTGTTGTGTCCTTGTCTAGTTTTGGTATCAGGTAATGCTGGCCTCACAGAATGAGCTAGGGAGAATTCTTTCCTCTTGAATTTTTTGAAATAATTTGAGGAGAATTGGTGTTAGTTTCTCTTTAAAGATTTGGTAGAATTTGGCACTAAAACCACCTAGACTCCTAGATTTGATAAATGAATTCAATAAAGTCCCAGGTTACAAAATCAATGTACACAAATCAGTAGCACTGCTACACACCAACAGCAACCTAGCTGGGAATCAAATCAAGAACTCAACCCCTGCCTTTTTTTTTTTTGAAACAGAGTCTCACTCTGTCACCCAGGCTGGAGTGCAGTGGCGTGATCTTGGCTCACTGCAACCTTTGCCTCCCGAGTTCAAGCTATTCTCCTGCCTCAGCCTCCTGAGTAGCTAGACTACAGGCACCCACCACCATGCCCAGCTATTTTTTTTTTGTATTTTTAGTAGAGACGGGGTTTCACCATATTGGCCAGGCTGGTCTTGAACTCCTGACCTTGTGATCTGCCTGCCTCAGCCTCCCAAAGTGCTGGGATTACAAGTGTGAGCCACCATGCCTGGCTGAACTCAATCCCTTTTAAAACAGCTTCAAAAACATAAAGTATCTAGGAATACACCTATCCAAGGAAAGATTTCTGCAAGTAAAACTGCAAAACACTGCTGAAAGAAATCATAGACCACACAAACAAATGGTAACACATCCCATGCTCATGGATGGGTAAAATCAATATCGTGAAAATGGCCATACTGCCAAAAGCAATCTGTAAGTTCAATGCAATTCCCATCAAAATGCCGCTATCATTCTTCACAGAACTAGAAAAGACAATCCTAGAATTCATATGGAACCAAAAAAGAGCCCATGTAGCCAAATCAAGACTAAGCAAAAAGAACAAATCTGGAGGCATCACATTACCTGACTTCAAACTCTACTACAAGGCTATAGTTACCAAAACAGCTTGGTAGGCAGTGTACAGTGGCTCACGCCTATAGTCCCAGCACTTTGGGAAGCTGAGGTGGGCAGATCACTTGAGGTCAGGAGTTCAAGACCAGCCTGGCCAACATAGTGAAACCCAGTCTCTACTAAAAATACAAAAATTAGCTGGGCATGGTGGCACGTGCCTGTAATCCTAGCTACTTGGGAGGTTGAGGTGGAAGAATTGCTTGAACCCAGGGGGCAGAAGTTGCAGTGAGCCAAGATTGTGCCACTGCATCCCAGCCTGGGGGACAGAGTGAGACCTTGACTCAAAACAAACAAACAAACAAACAAACAACAACAACAAAAAACAAAAACAGCATGGTATTGGTAAAAAACAGGCCCATAGGCCATGCGAACAGAATAGAGAACACAGAAATAAAGCCAAATACTTACAGCCAACTGATCTTTGACAAAGCAAACAAAAGCATAAAGTGGGGAAAGGACACTCAATTCAATAAATGGTGCTGGGATAATTAGCAAACCACATGTAGAATGATCCTCATCTCTCACCTTGTACAAAAATCAACTCAAGATGGATCAAAGACTTGAATCTAAGACCTGATACCATAAAAATTCTAGAAGATAATGTAGGAAAAGGTCTTCTAGACATTGGCTTAGGCAAAGAGTTCATGACCAACAACCCAAAAGCAAATGCAACAAAAACAAAGATAAAGAGATGGGACTTAATTAAAACAAAAAACTTCTGCACAGCAAAACAAATAATCAGCAAACAGACAACCCACAGAGTGGGAGAAAATATTCGCAAACTATGCATCCAACAAAGAACTAATATCCAGAATCTGCAAGTAACTCAAAGTCAGAATGAAAAAAACAAATAATCCCATCAAAAAGTAGGCTCAGGACATGAACAGACAATTCTCAAAAGAAGATATGCAAATGGCCAAGAAACATATAAAAAAATGCCCAACATCACTAATGATCAGGGAAATTCAAATTAAAACCACAGTGTGATACTACAGTCTTGTAAGAATGGCCATAACTGAAAAATAAAAAAAATTATAGGCGTGGATGTGGTGAAAAAGGAGTACTTTTTCACTGCTGCTGGGAATGCAAAATAGTACAACCACTGTGGAAAAGAGTATGGAGATTCCTTAAAGAACTAAAAGTAGAACTACCATTTGATCCGGCAATCCCACTGCTGGGTATCTGCCCAGAGGAAATAAGCCATTATATGAAAAAGATACTTGCACATGCATGTTTATAGCAGTACGATTTGCAATTGCAAAAATATGAAACCAGCCTAAATGCCCACCAATGAACGAGTGGATGAAGAAAATGTGATATTTTATATATATATTATATAATATATATAATTCCATGGAATACATATATGAATTCTACTCAGCCATTAAAAGGAATGAAATAATGGCATTCACAGCAACCTGGCTGGAGTTGGAGACCATTATTCTAAGTGAAGTAACTCAGAAATGGAAAACCAAACATTGTGTGTTCTCACTGATATGTGGGAGCTAAGCTATGAGGACGCAAAGGCATAAAAATAATATAATGGACTCTGGGGACTTGGGGGAAGGGTGGGGGGGCGTGAGAGATAAAAGTCTACACATTGGGTGTAGTGTACACTGCTCGGGTGACAGGTGCACCAAAATCTCACCACTAAAGAACTTATCCATGTAACCAAACACCACCTGTTCCCCAAACTGTTGAAATAATAATTAAAAAAAGAAACTAAATTAGTGTTACTCACAAGTAGAGGCCTGTTAATATCCCAATTTTCTATATAGCATCCTGGGATCTGACCAATCATAAACTCGTAGCATATTCCTCTTTTCTGGGCAAGAGTGATGGTGAGGGGGATTGGGACTCTTAACCTTTATTTTTTCTCCTGTTATCCCATGTGTTTAACAAACTTATGGTCAGCTTCTTGGAAGAATAATAGTTAAAATTTATTGATCACTTACAATATGCCAGGCACTATTCTAAACAATTTACATGTACAATTTAGCTTGATTCTCAAACTCATCTTTTGAATTAAGCATTATTATTACCTTTATTTTTTAGATGAGGAAAATGGGGCCAAGAGAAAGTTTCATAACTTGTCCAAGATCTTCTAGTTGTCAAGTTGGGATTCAAACTCAGGCAGCCTGGCTTAGAGCCTGCACTCTACCATTATTCTGATGGCAAAGATGGTAAAGTAGCTGATGCTGTGAAAAAATATTACACATACATTCACTTGAGACCAAACAATTGATTATACATGTTCTTTGATGTTTCCAGAGATGCTTACTTAATATATCCATGTAGAACTGAAATCAGTTAATTCGAACACAGTGCAATGGAGTTTATCTCTGCTGCTTGTTCATTCTTCCTGATTTTACTTTTGGATACAGCGTCTTAAGTTTCGTTACTGCACAGTTTTACAGTGACCTGCAGATGGCAGTATAGCCCAATTTAATGCAATGCCAGTAATAGAAAATGCCCTCTATTGAATGGTTTTGTTTTCCTCCCATTTTCATATCTCCATACAAAAGTTATGTCTCTAAATTGCATATTCTGCACCCTGATCCTACAGAGAAATTAGCTTTTAAGAATATTTCTTTTTTTCCCCAATTACAGCCACATGAATCCTTTCTGGGGAGGGTGGGTGTGGGTGGAATCTGGGTGGCTTCCTCTGCAGCTGCCTCAGACCCTGGGCACTGGTTACATTTTCAGTTTCAGCACCTACGTCAAAAGCTTATTTAGGGAAGGTGATGGATATATTAATCAGCTTGAGTTAATCTTTCTACAATCTATACATATATCAAAACAGCACACTGTACCCCATAGATATATACAATCATTATTTGTCGATTAAAAAAAGCTTATTGGTGAAACACATCCAACTATCGATGGAAATAAAGTGTTTCATTTTTCAAATAATTGCATCAAAAGCACTAATATCGTTACCCCACCCCAGGGATTTACTGAAGCCTCCTTGTTCTCCCTTTGGGTCTATAGATGAAGCTTAAAATTCTGACTTTCTCCCTTCCTGTGGTTCCGGGAATCCTGGCATCTTGATGCTACATTAGTGTTGGTGCTACCTATGGGCACTACCATGGTATCACATTCCTACAGCCTTACTCACCTGTTCTGCTCATTCTGTTTCTCTCTTGAAGGAACTCAAGGATATTTCCAGCATCATGTCATTTACAATTACTGCCATAGCTCCCAAGAAGGTTTTTATGCCAGAAAAATCAAAGAATATTCTGCCTTGGCCAAGCCATTTTTCTTCTAAGCAAGTGCTCCTTAGAAAGATAAATGTGCAAAAGAGTCAAGAAAAGCAAAGCAGCAAGGTTTTTTGGTTTGTGGTTAACAAACTCCTTTTAACAACTGCTTCCTCCCTACTTTCTTCTTCTTCTTCTTTTTTTTTTTTTTTCCGAGATGGAGTTTTGCTCTTGTTGCCTAGGCTAGAGTGCAATGGCACAACCTCCCTACTTTCTTTCCTTGACTGAGGTCTGTCTCTCTCTTGTAGATGCTCATATTTTTAAAACCTCTTAATGGGAGACTGCTCCTGATCCCACATTTCACATTCAAACAAAGGATCTTTTTTTTTCCACCTATACCAGCTTCCACCTTCCTCACTTTCAGACTTTCCTGGCACACGTGGACGCCTCCAGTACTTGCTCCATCATCTGCTGTATTTTAAGCCCTCGCATCCTCATCATCTAGTGTCCCTACTCCTATTTGTCTTTCCAGAGCTTTTCGACTACCTCTTTCTGGGAGGGCCCAAATCATGTTCTTCTTATTCTTTGTTTTACATTTTTACAACCTGTTATTTCACAACCTGTAGCCAGCTATTAAATAGTTATTGGATTAGATTGATTGAACTGCTTATTATCTTGCACGTGGTTCCTAAAGTAGAGATGTCTAGGAAACTGTGATACCAGTAATCCTTATGCACACCTTGGCTATATACTGCTACTGGTAGCTTAAAGGGAATACATTTCCAGATACTCAGTTTCCACATACTCTTTTCTAAAATTTGTTTGCCTGAGAACCAGCCTGTAACCAAGAAATCCTGCTGATGTGTCTTTCCCTTCTCGCTTTTCCAATTATCCTTCTATTTGAAAAAGAAAAGCAAGTTTCTCACCTATGCAGAACGGTGTAGATGCATTACACTGATGCAAAAAAATCTCTAAGACATCAGAGGGATATTTGAAATATGGTGCCAGTGTTAAGAAAGTGAATGACTTTAACGACTGAATAACCAGTCATTTTCCAAATCAAGTGGTGTCTAACTTTTTGTCAACTAATAGACTTTTACTTTTTTGGTAATAGATGTCTATGTGATGTTTCAAACATATAACTTAAAAAGGGTTCAAAGAATTGAGTTACATTGTTGAAAACGTTTATCTATTTTTGTCAACTGATTTATTTGAAATGATATTGTCAGTGCTTACAAATAAAAGTAGGAAATACAAGTAGCTTTGATGCTGAACTCTGTATAATTAAGTAACATTCATTCTTAGCTTCATGAACTAATTGGAGAAAGTCCCATCTATGAGATACATTTCCAATGTTATGTTTGATATTTGTCAGGATTTATAAGTTACATGTACTATTTTGATCAACAGTGAATAAATAAAAATTGTATCAGAAGTAAATTTTTAGCATTTGGAAACTTATGGCAACAGAAAAATTTAAATAATATACATATGTTCATTGCAGAAGAATATGATGAGGTAATCAATAACACTTTCAAGTACAAATATATATTAGGATAAAATTCTGTGGGAGGATAGAATATAAATACAAGTTCAAGAAGAAAAAAGAATCTTCTGAAATTTTTAGCTTTAAAAGTACCTTGTCTTTTAAAAATGTTTGATGGTGGGTGTCAAATTGCTATGGCATTTAGATTCCGCTGGATACATTTAAAAGAGTGAAGTAGCAGTTTTATTTAAAATGTCAGTATTATAATGTGCGAGAAGTTATATCACTTGCAACTATTTAAGCTTAAATAGTTTCTTTAAAAATCTTAAATGCCAATTACAAAATGTACGAGAGGAGATATAGTTTTTCCACATCTTTTTAGGGTGCTTGTGAGTAAATGTTTAGGAATCACTGGGCTGGGCCACAGAGTATCTCCTTTGACTCCAGGCCTAAATGGCCCCCTTCTGCTCTTGCTCAAGATTGAATTTTAGAAGTTACTACATTAGTACAATGACAGTTTAAATCTATAAATGTTAGAGGAGAAAGAGCCAAAGTGAGAATTTCCCCATTGCCTCTACCCACTGAAAACATGTCTTCATACTTGTTCTGAGCTTTGATCATTCAGAGCAGCACTCCTAGAGAATAAGTCAGGTATCAGTTGTCAATAGAAACAGTGAGGAAGGAGTTTGTACAGCAATCAGAGACCAGCAAATGATACTATGAATCTGAGGAATAAAATCAGTGAACCTGTGAATAACAAATTTGGACATGCTTATATAATTTTAGTGAAATACATTCCTTTTTGGGGGGATATCTTATGAAAACTATTTTAATTTGAATGGTAGATATGTTTAGATATGCTTAGTGACTATTATGGGTTATACATGCATTATAATGTGTACATTATACTATGTTATGTATTGAGTTGTGGCATGCCAAATCCAGGTTCACAATTTGAACATTTGCCACGAAACTACTATAAAATTCTACAATTGTTACATTATTATTTTCTTTTTATGTATGTTTCCCTGCCTAAGAATGTGGGAGATTTGTCAAAATTTGTCCTGTTTATTCTTGATTATTTTGGTGATTAATTTGTTAAATTTTCTAATATTTTATATTGGATGCTTTAAAATTGGGTGATTGTCCAAGTGGCTCATAGGCATTACAGTTTGGTTAATAAGGAATAAATGAATACTTAAGGCTGCTTAGGTATCTGTAAAGTCAAAGATTATAGTGTGTTCCCTGGCTCTGGGCTTTCTCTGTTGTGCTGTGGATTTAGGAGAACGAGAAGGAATCAGCAGTGAAATTCCTTCTGACTAAAGATGGACATCGCTTATGAACAGATGAACTATATTAGTAGTGGGAGAAGGGGAGATAATCACAAATGCTGCAGAGACTAAAAATACAATGAAGATGTCATGAATAATTTCATGGTAATGAATTTGAAAACATGAAATGTGCAAAGTTTCATAAAATGTAAATTAATGAAACCAACTCAAAAATAGAAAACCTCAATGGTGTTATGACAAACAAATGGAATCTGTAGTTAAACATCTTTCCATAAAAAGCAAGCAAACAAGCAAACAGATTACAGTAGGAGGTTTTACACATAAGTCATACCAATAATTTCAAGAATAAATAATTCCAAACATATACAACTCTTTTTGACAATATAAGAGGGAATACTATCTACTTATTTTATAAAAATAGCATAACTTTGACACTAAAATCTTTTTTTTGAATTTTTTTTTTACTGGTATGTAATAGTCATACATTTTTTGAAGTACGTGTAATGTTTTGATACATGCATGCAATGTTTAATGATCAAATCAGGGTAATTGAGATATCCATCACCTTAAACATTGATCTCTTCTCTATGTTGGGAACATTCCAATTCTTCTCTCCTAGCTATTTTGAAATGTGCAATATATTATAGTTAACTATAGTCACCATATTGTACTATCAAACAGTGCCTCTTATCCCTTTTAACTGTATTTTTGTACCCATTAGCCAATCTCTCCTCATCCTTCCTTCCTAGCCTCTGGCAACCAGCAGTCAACCCTCTACCTTCATGAGATCACCATGTACAAGTGAGAATATGAAGTATTTGTCTTTCTGTGCCTGGTTTATTTCACTGAATATAATGACCTCCAGTTACAGTCATTTTACTGCAAGTGACAGGGTTTCATTCTTTTTTAAATGGCTGAATAATATTTTATTGTCTATATGTACCACATATTCTTCATGTATTTGTCTGTTGATGAACATTTAGCTTGATTCTATATCTTGGCTATTATGAACAATGCTACAATAAACATGGGAATATAGATCTCTCCTTGATATACTGATTTCCTTTCTTTTGGACATATACCCAATAGTGGGATTGCTAGATCACATGGTAGTTCCATTTTTAGTTTTCTGAGGAATCGTCATACTGTTTTCCATAGTGGCTATACTAATTTCCATTCCCACCAACAGTATATAAGTGTTCCCCTTTCTCTGCATTTTTTTTGTTGTCTTTTTGTTAAAACCCATCTTAACTGGGATCAGATGACATCTTACTGTGGTTTTGATTTGCATTTCCCTGATGATTAGTGATGTTGAACATTCTTTCAAATACCTGTTGGCCATCTGTATGTCTTCTTTTGAGGAATGTTTACTCAGATTTTTGCCCATTTTTAAATTGGATTAGTTGCTTTTTTTGCTATTGAGTTCTTTATATATTTTGGTAATTTATCCCTTGTCAAATTGATAGTTTGCAAATATTTTCTTCTATTCTGTAGGTTGTTTCTTCACTTTGTTGATTGTTTCCTTTGCAGTGAAGACACTTTTTAGCTCGATGTAATCCCATTTGTCTAGTTTTGCTTTTGTTTCCAATGCTTTTGAGCTGTTACCCAGAAAGTCTTTGCCCAGACCAATGTCCTGAAGCATTTCCCCAGTGTTTTCTTGTTTTCTAGTATTTTCAGTTTCAGGTCTTAAACTGAAGTCTGTATTTTGATTTGATTTTTGTATATGGTGAGTGATAGGCATCTAGCTTCATTTTTCTCCATATGGTTACCCAGTTTTCCCAGCACTATTTATTGAAGGGACTGTCCTTTCCCCGAATAATATTATTGGCACTTTTGTTGAAAATAAATTGGATATAAATGCAGATATTAATATGTATTCTGTTCCATTGGCCTATCTGTTTGTTTTTATGCCAGTGCCAGGCTGTTTTGGTTACTATGGCTTTATAAGATATTTTGAAGTCAGGTAGTGTGATACCCTCAGCTTTATTCTTTTTGCTCAGGATTGCTTAGTCTATTTGGGGTCTTTTGTGATTCATATGAATTTTAGAATTGTTTTTCTATTTCTGTGAAGAATGTCATTAGTACTTTGATAGGGATTGCATTAAATTTGTAGATTGCTTTGGGTAATATTGACATTTTAACCATATTAATTCTTCCAACCCATGAGCATTGGAAATCTTTTCATTTTTGTGTTCTTTTCAGTTTCTTTCATCAGTTTTTAAATAGTTTTCATTGTAGAATTTTTTTTACTTCTTTGGTTAAATTTATTCCTAGATATTTTATATTTTGTTTAGCTTTCTAAATGGGATTGTTTTCTTCATTTCTTTTTCAGATTGTTCACTGTTGGCATTTATAAATGCTATTAATTTTTTATGTTGATTTTATATCTTGCAACTTTTCTGAATTTGTTTATTAGTTTTAACAGTTTTTTGGTAGTCTTTAGGTTTTTCTAAATATGCTATGTTATCTGTGAACAAGGCTAATTTGACTTTTTCCTTACCAATTTGGATGCCCTTATTTCTTTCTTCTGCCTAATTGTTCTTGCGAGGACTTCCAGTGCTGTGTTAAATAAAACTTGTGAAAGGGGTCTTCCTTTTCTTGTTCTAGATCTTAGAGGAAAGCCTTTCAATTTTTTTTTCAGTTCGGTATGATGTTAGCTGTAAGTTTGTTAGATGTAACCTTTATTATTTTGAGGTATGTTCCTTCTAACAGTTTATAGAGAGTTTTTATCATAAAAGGATGTTGAATTTTGTTGAATGCTTTTTCAGCATCTTTTGAAATGATCATATGTTTTTTTCCTAGACTCTGTTGATGTGACTTATTACACTTATTGATTCATGTATGTTGAATCATTCTTGTATTGCTGGAATTAATCCCATTTGGTCATAGTGAATGATCTTTTTAATTTGTTGCTGGATTCAGTTTGCTAGTGTTTATTTGAGAATTTTTGTGTCCATGTTCTTCAGGGATATTGTCCTGTAGTTTTCTTTTTTGATGTATCCTTGTCTGGTTTTGATATCAGGGTAATGCTGGACTCATATAATAAGTTTGGAAATATTCCCTCTTCAATTTTTTGGAATAGTTTGAGTAGAATTGGCAATTTAAATGTTTGGTAAAATTCAACAGTAAATTCATCTGGTCCTGGGCTTTTCTTTGATAGGAGACATACTACTGCTTCAATTTGTTATTGGTATGTTCAGGTTTTCTATTTCTTTTCAATGCAATTTAGGCAGATTGTGTGTGTCTGGGAATTTATACATTTCTTCTAGGCTTTCCATTTTGTTGGCATATACTTGTTCATAATAGTCTCTAATGATCCCTTGTATTTCTGTGGTATCAGTTGTTATGTTTCCTTCTTCAAATTTCATTTTGAGCTTTCTCTATTTTTTCTTAATTGTTCTTACTGAAGGTTTGCCAATTTCATCTTTTCAAAAATCAACTTTTTGTTTTGTCTGTACTTGGTATTGTTTTTTAGTCTCTGTTCATTTCATCTGGCTCTCGTCTTTATTATTATTTTCTTTCTATTAGTTTTGGGTTTCATTCGCTCTTGCTTTTGTAGTTTCTTGAGGTGCACCATTAGGTTGTTTATTTGAACTCTTTCTGTTTTTTGGAACATTTATTGCTATAAACATCCCTCTTAGTACTGCTTACACCATAGCCCATAGATTTTATTATTGTGTTTCCATTTCTTTTGTTTCAAAATATTAAAAAATTTCCTTCTTAATTCCTTCATGGGCCCATTGATCATTCAGGAACATGTTTAATTTCCATGTGTTTGTATAATTTCTTCAGATCCTCTTGTTAATAATTTCTAGTTGTATTCTATTGTGGTCAGAAAAGATATTCGATATAATTTTGGCTTTTTTGAATCTGTTGAGACTTGTTTTGTGACTTAAAATATGATCTATCCTAGAAAATGTTCCATGTGCTGATGATAACAATGCATATTCCATATCACTTGGATGAAATGTTCTGTAAATATTAGTTAGGTCCATTGGGTCTAGTGTGAAGTTTAACCTGGATTTTAAAAAATTGATTTCTGTCTGGATAATTTGTTCTTTACTGAGAGAAGGGTTTAAAGTCCCCTAACATTACTGTATTGAAGTCTATCTCTGACTTCATATTTATTAATGTTTGCTTTACATATTTGGGTGCTCTGGTGTTGAGTGCATATATATTTACAATTGTTATAGACTTGCTGAATTGGCCCTTTTATTATCACATAGTGACATTCTTTTCTCTTTTGATAATCTTTGACTTGAAGATTTTGGTGTCCATTTGTATGGAATTTTTTTTGTATCTCTTCATTTCAGACTATGTGTGTCTTTATAGGTAAGGTGAGTTTCTTTAGGCAGCATATATTTGAACCCTGTTTTTTTTTTTTTTTTTTTTTTTTTTTGTATTTTGAGACAGAGTCTTGCTCTGTCGCCAGGCTGGAGTGCAGTGGCACAATCTCGGCTCACGGCAACCTCCACCTCCCGGGTTCAAGTGATTCTCCTGCCTCAGCCTCCCGAGTAGCTGGGACTACAGGCGTGCGACCCCTTGCCCGGCTAATTTTTGTATTTTTAGTAGAGATGAGGTTTCACTATGTTGGCCAGGATGGTCTCAATCTCTTGACCTTGTGATCTGCCTGCCTCGGCCTCCCAAAGTGCTAGGATTATAGGCATGAGCCACCATGCCCAGCCTGAACCCTGTTTTTAAATCGATTCATTCATGTATCTTATTTTTAAAATTAATTAATTAATTAATTAATTGATTTTGCGATGGAGTCTCACTCTGTTGCCCATGCTGGAGTGCAGTGGTGGCTCACTGCAACCTCTGCCTCCTTGGTTGAAGTGATTCTCCTGCCTCAGCCTCCCGAGTAGCTGGGACTAGAGGTGACCGCCACTGGCTAATTTTTGTATTTTTAGTAGAGGCAGGGTTTCTGATCCCCCGTCTCGCCCTCCCAAAGTGCTGGAATTACAGGTGTGAGCCACTATGCCCAGCCCATTCATGTATTTTAATTGGAGTATTTAGTCCATTAACATTCAGTATAATAATTGATAGGTAAGGACTTACTGTCATTTTGTTACTTGTTTTCTGGTTGTTTTTTTAACTCCTCTCTTCCTTTCTTTCTGAGTGTCTTCCTTTGTGGTTAGGTAAAGTTTTCTGGTAATACATTTTAATACACTGAGCTTTATTTTTGGTGTATTTAATATAGGTTTTTGCTTTGCGGTTGCCATGAGGCTTACAAAATTATCTTATAAATATAATAAGTTATTTTAAACAGATGACAACTTAACTTTTATCACAGAACAGAAAGGAAGGAAAAACTAAAAAACTCTATACTTTAATTCCACCCCCCATTCTGACTTCTTGTTTTTTCAATTTACATCTTTTCATATTGCCTATCTCTTAAAAGGCTGCAGTAGCTATTTTTTATAGATTTTTCTTTTGGTCTTCATTCTAGATTTTTGAGTAGATTACACAATGACAATATTAGAATATTGTTAATTTGTCTGTTTGTCTGTGTACTTTCTTTTACCAGTGAGTTTCTTTCTTTCTTTCCTTTTTCTTTTTTTTGAGACGGAGTCTCACTCTGTCACCCAGGCTGGAGTGCAGTGGTATGATCTCGGCTCACTGCAACATCTGCCTCCTGGGTTCAAGTGATTCTCCTGCCTCAGCTTCCCAAGTAGCTGGGATTATAGGCACCCACCACCACACCCAGATAATTTTTGTATTTTTAGTAGAGATGGTGTTTCGCCATGTTGGCCAGGCTTGTCTTGAACTCCTGACCTCAGGTGATCCTCCCCCCTTGGCCTCCCAAGTGCTGGTATTACAGGTGTGAACCACTGCACTCAACCAGTGAGTTTCATATCTTCAAATGTTTTGCTTTTGTATGATAGCATCATTTTCTTTCAGACTGAAGTACTTTTAGCATTTCTTGTAAGATGGGTCTAGTGGTGATGAATTCCTTCTGTCAGCTTTTGTTTGTTTGGGAAAGACTTTATCTCCCCTTCATGTTTGAGGGAAAGCTTTTTCTGGGTACAGTATTCTTGGTTGAAAGTTTTTTTTTTTCCCATTAGCACATTGAATATGTCATTCTACTTCCTTTTGGCCTTTATGTTTTCTCCTGAGAAGTCTATTGCCAGATGAATCAGAGCCCTTTTATATGTTATTTGCCTCTTTTCTCTTGCTGTTTTTATGATCGTTTCTTTGTCCTTGACCTTTGAGGGTAAACTCTCAAAGTCTTATATGCCTTCGGGTGGTATTATTTGGATTGAAGTCATTTGGTGATCTCTAGCCTTCCTGTAGCTAGATTATACCTTTCTCTAGGTTTGGAAACTTTTCTGTTATTATTTGTTTAAATAAGCTTTCTAACACTTTCTCTTTCCCAATTTCGTCTTTAATGGCAATGACACTTAGATTTGCTCTCTTAAAGGTATTCTCTATATTTTGCAAGTGTTCTTCATTTCTTTCCATTCTTTTTTCTTTCTTCTCCTTTGACTGTGTATTTTCCGATAGCCTGTCTTTGAACTAACTGAGTTTTCCCACTGTTGATCCATTGTGCTGTTGAGAGCCTATAATGTATTTTTCAGTTTAGCAAACATATTTCTCAGTTCCAGGATTTCTGTTTAAATTTTTAAATTATTTGAATATCTTTGTTAAATATCTCTAGTAAATTTCTGAATTGCTTTTCTGTGTTATCTTGGAGTTCACTGAGTTTCCTTTGAACTGCTACTTTGGATTCTTTAACAGAGCTTATATATCACTGCCTCATTAGGATCAGTCTTTGGCTCATTGCTTTGCTCATTTGTGGAGGTCAGAGTTCCCTGTTTGCTGTTGTTTCTTATGGATATACATCTATGGCTTTGCATTGGAGGATTATTTACAGTTTTTGCTGTCTGGCTTGTTTTGGTCTTCCTAGGGTATGTTTGCTATGGGGTAATATTTAGCTGCCTGTTGGTCTCCTTATCCTACATTGTTGCCTCCTTTTCAACACTAGATGGTGCCTTAAGCCCAGATTTGGCTTGGGCTTCTTGCAACTGCTCAGAGTGTTGCCCATCCCTGACTGAGGAGAGAGAGGAAGTCCCAAAGAAGTTACCATACCCATGAGGGAAATCTGGCTAGGGATTTGTGCTCAAAAGACTGGTAGAATGTGCCTCATACAATGTCGTACTGCTGAACAGACACTCTGATTTGGCATCTCCTTTGCCTTAAAGACCAGGGTTTCACAGGCTGGGGTTTCTAGTCCCACTTTCCCTCTTTATCTCCAGCTGCCCTTGGGGTTTTCCTTCCTACAGGTATTTCCCATGAGTTGAGGCAGGAATGCTTTTCCTACAAGGGAATCCACGATGGTGGAGAAGCTGGCTATCTACCTCAATCTCACTTTTTCCGATCTAGAAACCATGAGTCTGGGGGAATTTTCCACAAATGGTGCCTGGCAGATTGAGGATCGGTATCAAAGATAGACAGGTTTGTTTCTCTTACCCGAAGCTCGGAGTTTCTCACTTCTCTGTGGCTGTAGGGATTGCCCCAGCCTCAGATTTGAGTTTTAGGATTTTGCTGGTTACTATATATATATATATATTTTTTTTTTTTTTGGAGGCGGGGACCGGGTCTTGCTTTGTCACCCAGGCGGGAGTGGAGTGGAGTGGAGTGGCTCCAATATGGCTCACTGCAGCCTTAACTTCCTGGGCTCAAGTGATCCTCCCACCTCATCCCCCCAAGTAGCTGGGACTACAGGTGTGCACCACCACACCTGGCTAATTTTTTGTGTTTTTGTGGAAGCAGGGTTTTGCCACATTGTCCAGGTTTGTCTCGCACTCCTGGACTCAAGCAATCTGCCCACCTCAGCCTCCAAAAATTCTGGGATTACAGGTATGAACCACTGTACCTGGCCCCTGGTGATAATCTTGATGCTGGATATTTGTTCTTGGTTTTCTGCTGGGGAGAGCAAAGTCAGATTGTTTCTGCTATACCATTTTGATGACATCCTTTGATACTAAAATCTTTTAAGGAAAATATAAGAATAATGTATCACAGGCTAATCTTGTTTATATAAAGATGCAAAAATATGATCAAATTAGCAGCAAAGTGAGCCTAACTATCTTAAAGACAAGACACTACTTCAGGAAAACTGGACTTCTTTCTGAAAAGAATTTTTTAAAAAGAAGTGTGTTATTATTACTCATCATATTTAGATATTAAAATAAAACATATATGATTATCTAATTAAATGTAGAAATAGCATTGGTAGCATTCAACATCCATTCATTGTTAAAAGTCTTAGAAAACAAGGAATAGAGGAAACTTTCTTAACATGAAAAATTAAGGTTATTTACAAATAATTTACAGGAAACATCGTATTCAATTGTAAATTACTGAATGCACTTATCTTACAATCAGAAATAGGCCGGGTGCGGTGGCTCATGCCTGTAATCCGAGCTCTTCTGTGGCTGAGGCAGGCAGATCACCTGAGGTTGGGAGTTCGAGACCAGCCTGACCAACATGCAGAAACCCCATCTTTACTAAAAATACAAAATTAGCCGGGAGTGGTGGTGCGTGCCTGTAATCCCAGCTACTCAGGAGGCTGAAGCAGAAGAATTGCTTGAACCCAGGAGGTGGAGTTTGCAGTGAGCCGAGTTCATGACATTACACTCCAGCCTGGGCAACAAAAGCAAAACACCGTTTCAAAAAAAAAAAAAAATTCACAATAGCAAAGACTTGGAACTAACCCAAATGTCCATCAATGATAGACTGGATTAAGAAAATGTGGCACATATACACCATGGAATACTATGCAGCCATAAAAAAGGATGAGTTCATCTCCTTTGTAGGGACATGGATGAAGCTGGAAACCATCATTCTGAGCAAACTATTGCAAGGACAGAAAAACAAACACCGCATGTTCTCACTCATAGGTGGGAATTGAACAATGAGAACATTTGGACACAGGATGGGGAACATCACACACCAGGGCCTGTCATGGGGTTGGGGGAGAGGGGAGGGGTAGCATTAGAAGATATACCTAATGTAAATGACGAGTTAACGGGTGCAGCACATCAACATGGCACATGTATACCTATGTAACAAACCTGCACGTTGTGCACATGTACCCTAGAACTTAAAGTATAATAAGAATAGTAAAAAAGAAAGCTTTGGAACATGAAAAAAAATCAGAAATAATTCAGAGAGTGCTGCTATTACTACATTTATTCTCATTATACTAGAGTTTCTAGCCTGATTATTAAAATCAGAAAAGGAAATAAAGGGTCAAATAGTTGGAAAGGAAGAAAGAAAAAAATGTCGTTATTTGTGGATGGCCTGATTATCTATATAAAATCAAAAATCAAAATAACCTATAATTTATCAAAATTAATATACTTCAATATCTTCATTTATAAAATATAGATAATAATGTCCATTCTGTTTAAAAGAATTAAATAAAATGCTGTGTATAGTCCTACGACATTGAAATTATACTGCAGTTTCTCAGCTTCTCTTGCAACCAGAATGCAGGCTTGTGAACTAGCTCTTCTAATTTTAGGAACTTTCACAAGACCTTAGCCTGGAGATGAGCAGTGTGTGAAAACAGCCTTCATTTTGCTGGCATATATTGCCTGCCAAAACATACAGGTTGAAAGGACAGCAATGATTGCAGGACTGATTTCTGATAGGGAAATACGTTTTACTGTTGTTTTAATCAAATTCTTGGCATTTAGTACTTGGCAGCACCCATGGCCATGCAGGAGGTTTTCTCATCAAACCAGTCCTGTGGCAAAGTTGTTAGCATTTTTACCAGAAGCTTGGACATCTTTTTCTCCAGCTTTTCTAATAATTTCAGGAACTGATAGTCTTTATTAAATTACTTTTCTGTTTAAGTTAGGCTTGGACTAGGATAGTTTGCAATAACTACCTTGACTAATACACAATTACTTTCACTTTTAAAAATCTTTATCATGCATGCTTATTTTACAAGGTTGAATTAGTTGTGTGTAGACAATATAGAATTTATATTTCTTTTTAATATTTTATTTTATTTTATTATTATTATACTTTAAATTTTAGGGTACATGTGCACAATGTGCAGGTTTGTTACATATGTATACACGTGCCATGTTGGTGTACTGCACCCATTAACTCGTCATTTAGCATTAGGTATATCTCCTAATGCTATCCCTCCCCCCCTCCCAAGACATTTATGCAGCCAAAAAACACATGAAAAAATGCTCATCATCACTGGCCATCAGAGAAATGCAAATCAAAACCACAATGAGATACCATCTCACACCAGTTAGAATGGCAATCATTAAAAAGGCAGGAAACAACAGGTGCTGGAGAGGATGTGGAGAAATAGGAACACTTTTACACTGTTGGTGGGACTGTAAACTAGTTCAACCATTGTGGAAGTCAGAATTTATATTTCTTACCAATTAATTTACCATGAGTATTCGTTCTACATTATTTGCTTTTCACTGTTTTTTATTTTAATGATTATAAGATAATTGAACATTGTGTTAGATCCATTTTGCTGCAGGACACTTAGGTTATTTCCAGGTTATGGCTATTTTAACCAATGTAGCAATAATCACTTTTATGCATTTAACTTTTTCCCCTTCTTTGAATCCATTCTTAGGATGATTCCCGTGGTGTGCATTTTGTACCTACTGCTCCGTTGATTTCCAAATATTGCCTCACGTTTCTCAACATAACTTTTGAAACCCTGGAATGTAACATATTTTCAGAGAATTTTTATACCCATTGCCTTGTGTATCCGAAAAAATTCTGTGTTTGACAGGGCAGGTTTCATTAAATTCTTTCAGTTGATAAACTGAGCTTCAGATTTTTTCATGATGTGCCCAGTTTTTACCCTGTTGGTAGGAGAGCTGACATGAGAACTCCGTGATGCCAGTAGTCTATTTCTGATGCCTTTAATTTCCATCAAGCACCTACTTGATTCTGAACACTGTTCTAAGCTATGGGGCTATAGCTGTGAGCAAGACAAGGTGAAAAAAAGTTCTTACTCTCATGGAATTTACCTTCCATGAGACAAGAAACAAAGGGGATAATTTCAGATAACTGTGTCATGAAAGTCCTGCTAAATAGATGAGTCATTTAGATACAGTTTCCATTTTGATGTTTCTGTGGAGGTATATCTTCAAATGTGTCAAGATAATCCTAGTTAAATTGATAATAATCTTACTTTTTTTTTTTTTTTGATGTAGTCTGGCTCTGTTGCCCAGGCTGGAGTGCAGTGGCACGATCTCGGCTCACTGCAGCCTCCACCTCCCGGGTTCACTCTATTCTCCTGCCTCAGCCTCCTGAGTTGTTGGGACTAGAGGTGCCCGCCACCACACCTGGCTAAATTTTTGTATTTTTAGTAGAGATGGGGTTTCACCGTGTTAGCCAGGATGGTCTCGATCTCCTGACCTCATGATCCTCCCGCCTCGCCCTCCCAAAGTGTTGGGATTATAGGAGTGAGCCACCGCGCCTGGCCAATAATAATCTTACTTTTACATCTTACCTGTTACACACTGTTATACTGTTCATCCCACTCGGCACTTTACAGGCACATCCTTCTATTGTCAGAATGAGTTCTGTGTAACATTAGGCGGGTTTATGTCTGAACTAAATGAGGATTTCACTCACTTACTCACTTGTTTATTCCTTCATTTATCTAATTTGCTTTTTCATTCATCAAATATTTTCAAAACTGTACTACATGTCAGACATTGTGCTAAACGCTGTAGCTATAAAGAGAAATAAGGCATGGTCCCTGCTATCGAAAAGCTAAGAGATGAATAGACTTTTGGATGAAATGTGTCGTTTCAGTCTTGTAACATTATCTGACTGTAGCTTATAGAGTTATAAAATCAATATTGTTTGCCTTATTCATCCTCGCATGATTTTCATTTTGCTTTAATCTTATCCTCTTTTGCTTTACCAAAATGGAGGACCTAATTTTAGTTTTGCTTCTAAGCAAGAACAATGTGTATTCTGTAGGGTGTCCTTTAAAGTTTCATGCCTCTGTTTTTAAGGTTTAGAGGGCTGATGACAGAGATTTCAGATACTTCAACCTAGTTAACAGTGTGAAATCCTACACCTTACCTCTGTAGTTTCTCATAATATCATTTCTCTGAGTGAACTGTCATTTGAAAGATGTGTTAATAGAACCTTGTATTTAAATAGCAGTTCATTTGTTTTTGTTTCTTATTAATGAAAAGTTATATCATAATTTCTGATCTGAAAAAATTGGTATAAATTCTGTCTCTTAGACTTAAAAAGCCTAATTACCTTAATAACATATTCTTTACCTTTCTTATCCTATTTTTTTTGTGTGTGTGGAAGATGTACACATATCTATCCCCATCCTTCCACCACTAAATTTGGCCACTTGTGAACAATCAGAGAAGCAAGGGTGGAATTTGCACTATCTGCTTACATGCATTAGTGTGAGCATCCTTGTGTGTTTCTTTACAAATATGAGCATTTATGTTTGTGTGCAGTTCAAAAACATGGTCAGTTTTGATAGCTAGAAATTTCATAACTATATTTATAGAATATTTGACTATAGAATTCAAAATGGCTATGCAATGAAATAAATCAATTTTAGCAACACTTTTTTTTTTCATATAGATTCAGGGCTTTGTGTTTTTAGGACTGGAAATGGCTGTATTTGAGGGAGAGATTGTAATTCTCTGAAGTGTGTGTGTGTGTGTGTGTGTGTGTGTGTGTGTTGACCTAATGAGATAAGGAATTAATCATATGGCATTTTCTGTAGATATCAGTTGCTTATCTGAAACTGCAGTGTTTGTATGAACTGATAATTCTTTTTGTCTTCTTCCTTCCTACTTGTCTGCCTCTCTCTTTTCTATCTTATTTCAGTTTCAATTTCTCCTTCTTCCTCTCCTATGTTTATTGAGGTATGTATGAAGGACTATGACCTACTTGGGGCATGGGTAAATATTTACAGTTTGAAGAGTGAACAAGATTTATAGAGTTACAAAAATGATTTATTAGGAGTTCCTGATAGAAATAGCACAATAAATTTCAGAAAGGGATTTTTTTTTTTTTTTTAAGAAACAGGGTCTGGAGTTCCTGATAGAAATATAATAAATTTCAAAACGGGATTTTTTTTTGTAAGGGACAGGGTCTTACTCTATCAACCAGGCTAGAATGCAGTGGTTTGATCATAGCTCACTGCAGCCTCAAACACCTGGGCTCAAGCAATCCTCCTGCCTCAGCCTTTCACGTAGCTAGGACTATAGGCGCATGCCACCATGCTTGGCTCATGTTTTAATTTTTAAATTTCTGTAGAGACAAGGTCTTGCTGTGTTACTCAGGCTGGTCTTGCACTTCTGGCCTCAAGTGATCCTCCCTCCTTGGCCTCTCAAAGCACTGGGATTACAGGCATGAGCCACTGCACCAAGCCAAAAAGGAAAATATTTTTAAGAGTATGATTTTGGAAACTTTTATTTCATTTTTTTTACAGTTGGTTTATCATTTTTTTATGATTGGCCCAGTGAAATACCTAGACCAATGGTTCTCAACTGGGTGGAATCTTGCTTTCCCAGGAACATCTGGTAATATCTGGAGACATTTCTTATTGTTGTAACTTGGTGGCGGGGCAGTGCTACTGGCATGTAGTGGGCAGAGGCCAAGGAGGCTGCCATAATGCCCAGGGCTTCCTTGACAACAAGAATTATCCTGCCCAAGAGAGCTGAGACTGGAATCTCACTGCTCCCCATCCCCACAAAAGCTGGGTATCGTGATTAAAGAGAAAGTGCCAGTGGGTCTTGGCATATTCTTTTTTTTTCTGACAAAAACTTTTATTGTGAAATATGACATACATACAGAAGAATACATATACACATACACACATAGCCATGCAATTTAAATAATATATGGATTTTTTATACTCACTACCCAGAATAAAAATAGAATATTACCAGCACCTTTGAGATATTCTGAATCTTTTTTTTATACACATATATTGTTTATTGTTTTCAGTAATAGGTACTGTGGTACTTCCAATACTTAGAATTCTTTTTTTAATTATACTTTAAGTTCTGGGGTACATGTGCACAACGTGCAGGTTTGTTACATGTGTATACATGTGCCATGTTGGTGTGCTGCACCGATTAACTCGTCATTTACATTAGGTATATCTAATGCTATCCCTCCCCTCTCCCCCCACCCCACAACAGTCCCCGGAGTGTGATGTTCCCCTTCCTGTGTCCATGTGTTCTCTTTGTTCAATTCCCACCTATGAGTGAGAACATGCGGTGTTTGGTTTTTTGTCCTTGCGATAGTTAAGAATGATGATTTCCAGTTTCATCCATGTCCATACAAAGGACATGAACTCATCACTTTTTATGGCTGCATAGTATTCCATGGTGTATATGTGCCACATTTTCTTAATCCAGTCTATCGTTTTTGGACATTTGGGTTGGTTCCAAGTCTTTGCTATTGTGAATAGTGCTGCTATAAACATACGTGTGCATATGTCTTTAAAGCAGCATGATTTATAGTTCTTTGGGTATATACCCAGTAATGGGATGGCTGGGTCAAGTGGTATTTCTAGTTCTAGATCCCTGAGGAATTACCACACTGACTTCCACGATGGTTGAACTAGTTTACAGTCCTACCAACAGTGTAAAAGTGTTCCTATTTCTCCACATCCTCTCCAGCACCTGTTGTTTCCTGACTTTTTAATGATCGCCATTCTAACTGGTGTGAGATGGTATCTCATTGTGGTTTTCATTTGTATTTCTCTGATGGCCAGTGATGATGAACATTTTTTCATGTGTTTTTTGGCTGCATAAATGTCTTCTTTTGAGAAGTGTCTGTTCATATCCTTTGCCCACTTTTTGATGGGGTTGTTTGATTTTTTCTTGTAAATTTGTTTGAGTTCTTTGTAGATTCTGGATATTAGCCCTTTGTCAGATGAGTAGGTTGCGAAAATTTTCTCCCATTTTGTAGGTTGCCTGTTCACTCTGATGGTAGTTTCTTTTGCTGGGCAGAAGCTCTTTAGTTTAATTAGATCCCATTTGTCAATTTTGGCTTTTGTTGCCATTGCTTTTGGTGTTTTAGACATGAAGTCCTTGCCCATGCCTATGTCCTGAATGGTAATGCCTAGGTTTTCTTATAGGGTTTTTATGGTTTTAGGCCTGACATGTAAGTCTTTAATCCATCTTGAATTAATTTTTGTATAAGGTGTAAGGAAGGGATCCAGTCTCAGCTTTCTACATATGGCTAGCCAGTTTTCCCAGCACCATTTATTAAATAGGGAATCCTTTCCCCATTGCTTGTTTTTGTCAGGTTTCTCAAAGATCGGATAGTTGTAGATATGCGGCATTATTTCTGAGGGCTCTGTTCTGTTCCATTGTCTATATTTCTGTTTTGGTACCAGTACCATGCTGTTTTGGTTACTGAAGCCTTGTAGTATAGTTTGAAGTCAGGTAGCATGATGCCTCCAGCTTTGTTCTTTTGGCTTAGGATTGACTTGGCAATGTGGGCTCTTTTTTGCTTCCATATGAACTTTAAAGTAGTTTTTTCCAATTCTGTGAAGAAAGTCATTGGTAGCTTGATGGGGATGGCATTAAATCTATAAATTACCTTGGGCAGTATGGCCATTTTCACGATATTGATTCTTCCAACCCATGAGCATGGAATGTTCTTCCATTTGTTTGTATCCTCTTTTATTTCATTGAGCAGTGATTTGTAGTTCTCCTTGAAGAGGTCCTTCACATCCCTTGTAAGTTGGATTCCTAGGTATTTTATTCTCTTTGAAGCAATTGTGAATGGGAGTTCACTCATGATTTGGCTCTCTGTTTGTCTGTTATTGGTATATAAGAATGCTTGTGATTTTTGTACATTGATTTTGTACATTGATTCCTGAGACTTTGCTGAAGTTGCTTATCAGCTTAAGGAGGTTTTGGGCTGAGACAATGGGGTTTTCTAGATATACAATCATGTCATCTGCAAACAGGGAGAATTTGACTTCCTCTTTTCCTAATTGAATACCCTTTATTTCCTTCTCCTGCCTAATTGCCCTGGCCAGAACTTCCAACACTATGTTGAATAGGAGTGGTGAGAGAGGGCATCCCTGTCTTGTGCCAGTTTTCAAAGGGAATGCTTCCAGTTTTTGCCCATTCAGTATGATATTGGCTGTGGGTTTGTCGTAGATAGCCCTTATTATTTTGAGATACATCCCATCAATACCTAATTTATTGAGAGTTTTTAGCACGAAGGGTTGTTGAATTTTGTCAAAGGCCTTTTCTGCATCTATTGAGATAATCATGTGGTTTTTGTCTTTGGTTCTGTTTATATGCTGGATTACATTTATTGATTTGCATATGTTGAACCAGCCTTGCATCCCAGTGGCAAAGCCCACTTGATCATGGTGGATAAGCTTTTTGATGTGCTGCTGGATTCGGTTTGCCAGTATTTTATCGAGGATTTTTGCATCAATGTTCATCAAGGATATTGGTCTAAAATTCTCTTTTTTGGTTGTGTCTCTGCCAGGCTTTGGTATCAGGATGATGCTGGCCTCATAAAATGAGTTAGAGAGGATTCCGTCTTTTTCTATTGATTGGAATAGTTTCAGAAGGTATGGTACCAGCTCCTCTTTGTACCTCTGGTAGAATTCGGCTGTGAATCCATCTGGTCCTGGACTCTTTTTGTTTGGTAAGCTATTGATTATTGCCACAATTTCAGAGTCTGTTATTGGTCTATTCAGAGATTCCACTTCTTCCTGGTTTAGTCTTGGGAGGGTGTATGTGTCCAGGAATTTATCCATTTCTTCTAGATTTTCTAGTTTATTTGCATAGAGGTGTTTATAGTATTCTCTGATGGTAGTTTGTATTTCTGTGGGATTGGTGGTGATATCCCCTTTTATCATTTTTTATTGCATCTATTTGATTCTTCTCTGTTTTATTCTTTATTAGTCTTGCTAGCAGTCTATCAATTTTGTTGATCTTTTCAAAAAACCAGCTCCTGGATTCATTAATTTTTTGAAGGGTTTTTTGTGTCTCTGTTTCCTTCAGTTCTGCGCTGATTTTAGTTATTTCTTGCCTTCTGCTAGCTTTTGAATGTGTTTGCTCTTGCTTTTCTAGTTCTTTTAATTGTGATGTTAGGGTGTCAATTTTGGATCTTTCCTGCTTTCTCTTGTGGGCATTTAGTGCTATAAATTTCCCTCTACACACTGCTTTGAATGTGTCCCAGAGATTCTGGTGTGTTGTGTCTTTGCTTTCGTTGGTTTCAAAGAACATCTTTATTTCTGCCTTCATTTCGTACCACATTTTCTTAATCCAGTCTATCATTTTTGGACATTTGGGTTGGTTCCAAGTCTTTGCTATTGTGAACATTCTTGACAGCTTGTGAGTGAGGTGCACATCAGGCCAAGTGAAATATGGACATGTGGTAACTGATGCACAAGGTCAGGTTGAGGAAGGGAAGGACAAGGAGAGTAATAATTGTCCCTGTTACTCTGTGTGCCCTCAGGGCTCGTTTCAGATTTGACTACATTTGTTTGGCCTTTCTGGGTTTGTGACACAATAGGCGCTCTAACTTCCTGCCTTTCTGGAGGCTCATGCTAGGTTTACCATTCCTGGAATCCAGTGGCGTATCATGTAACTTACATTTTCCTTTAAAAAAATATATTAAAACTTTTTTGAAATTTATATAGACTCACACGAACTTGCAAAGATAGTACAGAGAGATCCCATCTACCCTTCATCCAATTTCTTTTAATGGTTACATCTGAAAGAATTGTAGGACAATATCAAAGCTAGGAAATTAACATCAATGTAACGGGTGTAGTTCTATAAATTTTTTTTTTTTTTTTTTTTTTTTAGATGGAGTCTCACTCTGTCACCCAGGCTGGAGTGTAATGGCCCGATCTCCTCATTCCAGGTTCAAGCGATTCTCCCATCTCAACCTCCCTAGTTGCTGGGACTACAGCGCACCGCCACACCCAGCTAATGTTTCTACTTTCAGTAGAGATGGGATTTCACCATGTTGGCCAGGCTGGTCTCAACCTCCCGATCTCAGGTGATCCGCCTGCTTCAGACTCCCAAAGTGCTGGGACTGTAGGTGTGAGCCACCGTGCCCTGCCAGTTCTGTGATATTTTATGACACATATAGATTCATGTAACCACCATCACAATAAAGATCCAGAATGTTTTCATAATTAGAAAGATATCCCTCTACCCCTCTGTGGCCACATCCATCCCCCTTCTCCTACCATCCCTGACTCCTGGTGACTACTAGTTTTTTCTTCATCTCTATCTTTTTATTATTTTACATCTTCATTCTTTAAAATAACTTTTCTATTATAGGGAAGGTAAAATAACAAATTTAAAGAACGTTATAGGATAGAGTAATAAAGCCTTCAATTTTACACTATTTTCATCTATTTATGTCAGGGAATATCTGTGAAGCCACGTTGTCCATTTCTGGAAGAAATTCATTTGCAAAGTATTTCTTTTTCCTATGGAGTCATCTTTAGGTTTATTTTAAATGTGTTTTGCATGGAGGTCTGGAATTTGATTCTTCCTGCTTCTGCTTCTCTCCTTTGTTTTCTCTCTTGCCTTCTTCACAGGACCCTGGTATTCATACTACATGAGTCTTTCTGGTCAAAACTGGGTGAATTCTTGTTTTTAAGGCTTGGTCCACTCACTTGTGTCATTATTCTGGGAAAGCAATTTTCCTGATTACGAATGAGGTTGAGCACCTTTGCAAATGTTTGTAGGCCATTTGGATGGGGTGTGTGTGTGTGTGTGCGTGTGTGTGTGTGTATGTGTGTGATGTGCCTGTTTAAATGTCTTAAATTTTTTTCTATGTGGTTGTTCATATTATTTTCTTATTGATTTGTAGGAATTATTTGCATATTTTATATGAAAGTCTCGTTTTGTAATGTTAGCCGACAATATTTCCCCCATTATATGGCTTTAAAAATTAGACTTTATTTTTAAGAGTTGTTTTGGATTCACAGCAAAATTGAATGGAAGGTACAAATATTTTTCAAATATCACCTGCCCCCTCACATGCATGCCCCACTAGAGTGGTGCATTTGTTATAATTGATGAACCCACATTGACACATCATTATCACCCACTGTCCGTAGTTTACATTAAGGTTAACTCTTGATGTTGTACATTCTTTGGGTTTTGACAAATTTATAATAACACGCATCTATCATTACAGGGTTATACAGAGTAGTTTCACTGCCTTCAAAATCCTCTGTGCTCTGCCTATTCATTCCTCCATCCCCTGGCATTTCTCTTTTGACTGTCTCCATAGTTTGACCTTTTCCAGAATGTGATATAGTTGGACTCCTATAGCACATAGGCTTTTCAGATTGGCTTCTTTCACTTGGTAATATGCATTTAAGGATCCTCTATATCTATTCATGGCTTGATAACTTCTTTATTTTTAGTGCTATATAATGTTCCATTGTTTGACTGTACTGCAGCTTCATGTTTAGTCTTTATTTGTTTGGTTTTTGTAAGTACCTAGTAAGTGTATATATTTGCGGATTACATGAGATATTTTGATACAAGTGTAATAATCACATCAGGGTAAACAGAGTATCCATCACCTCAAGCATTTGTCCCTTGTGTTTCAAACAATCCAATTATACTCTTTTAGTTATTTTTAAATGTAAAATTAAGTTATTGACTATAGTCATCCTGTTGTGCTATAAAATAGTAGGTCTTATTCATTCTACTTTTTGTACCCATTAACCATCCCCACCTCCCCACCAGCCCCCCACTACCCTTCCCAGCCATAAACATCCTTCTACTCTTTACCTACGTAAGTTCAATTGTCTTTATTTTTAGACCCCACAGATAAGTCAAAACATGCAATGTTTGTCTTTCTGTGCCTGGCTTATTTCACTAACGAAGTGACTCCAGTTCCGTCCATGTTGCTGCAAATGATAGGATCTCATTCTTTTTTGTGGCTGAATAGTACTCCATTGTGTATATGTACCTAGGAGTAAGATTGCTGGATTGTATGTTAGCTCTACTTTTAGTTTTCTGAAGAAACTGCAAACTGTTCACCATAGTGGTTGTACTAATTTACATTCCCACCAACAGTGTATGCAAGTTCCAATTTCTCCATATCCTTGCCAGCATTTCTTATTGCCTGTCTTTTGGATATAAACCGTTTTAACTGGGGTGAGATGATATCTCATTGTAGTTTTGATTTGCATTTCTCTGATGATCAATGATATTAAGCCGTTTTTCATATACCTGTTTGCTATTTGTATGTCTCCTTTTAAGGAATATTTGTTCATATCTTTTTGCAGATTTTCAAATTGGATTATTAGATTTTTTCCTATAGAGTTGTTTAAACTCCTTATAAATTCTGATTATTAATCTCTTGTCAGACAGGTAGTTTGCAAATATTTTCTCACTTTCTGTGTGTTGTCTCTTCACTTTGTTGAATTGTTTCCTTTCTATGCAGAAACTCTTTAACTTAATGTAATCCCATTTGTCTGTTTTTGCTTTGGTTGCCTCAAAAACTATTGGTTGAATGAACAATTAAATACTAAACTGTATAGTCTCAAAATGGTTTATTTATTTATTTCAGAGACAGAGTTTTCTCTGACCCCCAAGTTGGAGTGCAGTGGTGTGATCATAGGTTACTGCAGCCTTGAATTCCTGGGCTCAAGTGATCTTCTTGCCTCAGCCTCCCAAGTAGCGAGAGCTACTGGCATGTGCCACTGCACCTGGCTTCAATGAGTTCTAGTAATACCTAGATCTTTAAGATCTTATGACTCTTGTGCTGAAATGATTTTGGAAGTTTTAGCACTCATTGTCACTCAACTGGAGCCTTTGGCAAATGCCTATTATTGCTACCTAGTGGCAATTACTGGTATTTTTAGACTAGAAACTTTGGACTAGCAGCTTCAAGGTACACTCCATTTGAAAGGTAATTACTAGCCTATTATTGGGCTCTGGTTGAACATGCTTCAATCAAATTTATGTCCAAACTGATGGACATAAAATTATTTTGAGAGTGAAAATGTACATCATGTCATAGGATATCATTCCAATAGGGATGAGGCACAGAGGCACTCCCTCATTAAATGGAAACAACATATTCAAGAACATATGACACTGGGTACCACTGGGGCTACTGATCCATATACATGAACAGGTGGTGTCTCTGTCTTTGCTCCCTACATTAGATCCCCTGATAAGTTACCTAATCCCATAGCTAAATGCATACCCCATTCTCCCTGACCAATTATCAGAGAGTGCCAAACAAGTAGCATGATTTATAGATGATAGCTTGAGGACAGAAGGGTAAAACTCAATTTAGAAAGCACCAGCACTGTGACTACTTGATGGCTTCATTTTAATTGAGGAGGGAAGAGACAAATGTGCTCAATGGATAGAATTAAGAGGAGCATCCTCATGGCATCAGAGGAACTAGATAACAATAGTGATATGGTATGGATTTTTTTGGTTTTTGATTTTTTTGGTAGTAGCCAATGGACTGGCAGTATAGTTTGGAAAATGGGTCTTCTTTTACTGCAAAATAAAAGAAATCCAAGTGTGGGCTACTTTGTTACAGAAAATTTTATGGATTTGAAGAGGAAAAATAAAAAAGGTGTATGTTAGCTCCTCATTTAGTGAATACCCTTCTGAACTCAGAAAGTGCTCTAAACTACAGTGCATTAACAGAAAATTTGAGATATAATCAGACCAACAGATCAGGAGACAATTGCCATTGCAACACCATGAGGGGCCACATGGAGAAGCACAGGTTGGTCAGGAGGCAGAGAGGGAGAGGAGGAAACTGGGCAACAGCCTTTTTGTAGTTTCTGTGGAAGGAAGGAATGATTAAGGCAGGGTAAGCAGGCCTAGGATTGGCTAGTTTGAATAATTTCAGCACACTCTGGAGCCTAGGGGCAATCCCTAATCATCTAGTAGTTGGCCCTGGGCTAAGTAGAGCAAGTGGATAGTGGTCCAGAGCACGAGAGCCTGGTGAAGGTGGTAGTTAGGACTGTGTGGGTTCTGGAATGGTTGGTTTATATTTGAAAGGTGTACTCTTAGTCAAGTAGTTTACTATTTCTAGGAATTGGCTAACCTAGGAGGGGCAGTCCCTCTGAAGTCAGCAAAGTCCCAGATATCAAAGTATCAGAATACAGAAAATAAAGAACATGGTTAATACAATTGCCCCTGTGATATTTTGACATCATATGGAGGCCTTGGTAGAAAGCTAGAAGTGGGAAGTACTGGGAGTTTTTTCTCCGGGGGGACTTACTTATATGAGGTGGTTGCCTCCTGGGGAAGGCAATCATATCTACTGACTTTTTAGAATGGAACAGATAGTAGTAACCTCACCCAGATTTCCCTCTGTGCATGGGTGTGTAGGAGTGCATGTTTTGGTAGAGAGCAAGGAGTTTACCAACATCATGTGCTAAACAGTCTGTGAGCTCAGAAAACAAATAGAATCCCTAATATCAAAAAAAGAAGAGCAATAAATGTTCTGTGTACAATTTTTTAGCACCTTAGGAGAAGCAGTCCATGGACATTACTGGAATAGAGGTTTTAATGTCTGGGGTAAATACATCTCCAGCACAGGGTGCAAAGTAATTTCCAAAGATGAAGTCTTGCTCTGGGATGATGTCATCTGAGGTGGTGTCACTTACAGAAGTGAGCTCCTGGGCTGAGGTGATGCCATCTGGAATGTGGGAATGGGGAATACATTCCAAGTAGAGACCTGCTCAGGTTGATGTGGGTATTGTGTTTGTGTCTTTTATGGTATAATAACAAGTCTGAGCTGTTTGCATAATTTGAAGACAACATTGGAACTGGAAGTTTGACTTGTAAATATTTCTTACATGTAGGGCCTTGTGGGTGCACACCTAGCAAAGCTGAAATTCTAGAACTTAATTGGGACAGTTAAAACCCCAATTAAGAGTGGCTGAATCTCACAATTTCCAACAATTAGAGGTTTTGCCCAGATGGGTGATAAGAAGGGTTCTGTTGCAAATGAGTTTTAAATCATATGGCTCGGTTTAGGTATAAGTTATTAATAGGATGTCAGGCTGTTTGCCAATTAAAATATCTATGGCTGAGATTGGAGCTCCAGCATTATCCTATGGGCAGACCTCTAATTTGTTAAATGACTGTGGGCTCTTTGCCTCAATTGTTGGTTTGGTTGGTGATGAGCAAGCTTACAAGGTTTGGGTTGGAGGGCTTGTATTAACTAAACTTGATGGCATGTGGGCCTCAGCATTTCCCATAATTGATTGAGCAATTACTTGGAAGGTCTGGATTGCAGACCAATGAAAGCACCCAGACCAATAGTAGTGATACCCACAGTTAACAAAATGGTGTACAGCTGCACTTGACAGTGTTTTTTCTTTTTCTTTCTTTTTTTTTTTTTGTGGTAGAGGTGGTGAGAATTTAGACTCAAATAGGTCCTGGGAAGACTACACACCTTTGAATTGGCCTCCAGCATTTATGGGATAGAGGCAAGATTAAACATTTATAAGTATGAGGAAGATATATTTAGGAGTCTCACGTGTAATGAATATTTATATATGTGAAGGGGAGATATATCCCCCCTTTAAATGTAGGAAAGGGCAATGGGAAAGTTTTTAAAAAATTGGTGTGAGACGTGAGTCACTGAAACGTCCTTGATTTAAGGGAGATTAAGGCCTGGGGCAATATAGAGACACATTCCACGGTCCATTTTATGGGAAGAAATTTGAAAAAGGATTGTTTGAGGAGACTGTTATGTCTATCAATTAAACCAGCTGTCTGGTATCTATCAGGGACATGAAAATTCTACTGATGCCTTTATGAAAAAGAGCCTGGGGCAGTTCCAAGATGGCTAAATAGGAACAGCTCCAGTCTACAGCTCCCAGTGTGAGTGATGCAGAAGATGGGTGATTTCTGCATTTCCAGCTGAGGTACTGGGTTCATCTCACTGGAGCTTGTTGGACAATGGGTGCAGAACAGTGGGTGCAGCCCACCGACCATGAGCTGAAGCAGGCTGAGGCATTGCCTCACCCAGGAAGCACAAGGGGTCAGGGAATTCCCTTTCCTAGCCAAGGGAAGCTGTGACAGACCGCACCTGGAAAATTGGGTCACTCCCACCCTAATACTGCACTTTTCCAGTGGTCTTAGCAAAGGGCATACCAGGAGATTATATCCTGCACCTGGATCAGAGGGTCCCATGCCCACAGAACCTCACTCATTGTTCACAGAGCAGTCTGAGATCGAACTGCAAGTCTGCAGCAAGGCTGGGGGAGGGGTGCTCTTTATTGCTGAGGCTTGAGTAGGAAAACAAAGTGGCTGGGTAGCTCTAACTGGGTGGAGCCCACCACAGCTCAAGGAGGCCTGCCTGCCTCTGTAGACTCCACCTCTGGGGGCAGGGCATAGCCCAACAAAAGGCAGCAGAAACCTCTGCAGGCTTAAATGTCCCTGTCTGAAAGCTTTGAAGAGAGTAGTGGTTCTCCCAGCATGGAATCTGAGAACTGAGAATGGACAGACTGCCTCCACAAGTGGGTCCTTGACCCCCAAGTAGCCTAACTGGGAGGCACCCCCCAGTAGGGGCAGGCTGACACCTCACACGGCCGGGTACCCCTCTGAGATGAAGATTCCAGAGGAACGATCAGGCAGCAACATTTGCTGTTCAGCAATATTCACTGTTCTGCAGCCTCCACTGCTGATAAACAGGCAAACAGGGTCTGGAGTGGACCTCCAGCAAACTCCAACAGACCTGCAGCTAAGGGTCCTGACTGTTAGAAGGAAAACTAACAAACAGGACATCCACACCAAAACCACATCTGTACATCACCATCATCAAAGACCAAAGGTAGATAAAACCACAAAGATGGGGAAAAAGCAGAGCAGAAAAGCTGAAAATTCTAAAAATCAGAGCGCCCCTCCCCTTCAAAAGGAGTGCAGCTCCTCACCAGCAACAGAACAAAGCTGGATGGAGAATGGCTTTGATGAATTGAGAGAAGAAGGCTTCAGATGATCAAGCTTCTCCGAGCTAAAGGAGGAAGATCGAAACCATTGCAAAGAAGACAAAAACCTTGAAAAAAGATTAGACGAATGGCTAACTAGAATAACCAGTGTAGAGAAGTCCTTAAAAGAAGCTGAAAGCCATGGCATAAGAACTACGTGATGAATGCACAAGCTTCAGTAGCCAATTCAACCAACTAGAAGAAAGGGTATCAGTGATTGGAGATCAAATGAATGAAATGAAGTGAGAAGAGAAGTTTAGAGAAAGAAGAGTAAAAAGAAATGAACAAAGCCTCCAAGAAATATGGGACTATGGGAAAAGACCAAATCTATGCCTGATTGGTGTACCTGCAAGTGACAGGGAGAATGAAATCAAGTTGGAAAACACTCTGCAGGATATTACGCAGGAGAACTTCCCCTACCTAGCAAGGCAGGCCAACATTCAAATTCAGGAAATACAGAGAACACCACAAAGATACTCCTCGAGAAGAGCAACTCCAAGACACATAATTGTCAGATTCACTGAAGTTGAAATCAAGGAAAAAATGTTAACAGCAGCCAGAGAGAAAGGTTGGGTTACCCACAAGGGGAAGCCCATCAGACTAACAGCGGATCTCTCGGCAGAAACTCTGCAAGCCAGAAGAGAGTGGGGGCCAAAATTCAACATTCTTAAAGAAAAGAATTTTCAACCCAGAATTTCATATCCAGCCAAACTAAGCTTCATAAGTGAAGGAGAAATAAAATCCTTTACAGACAAGCAAATGCTGAGGGATTTTGTCATCACCAGGCTTGCCTTACAAGAGCTCCTGAAGGAAGCACTAAGCATGGAAAGGAACAACCGTTACCAGCCACTGCAAAAACTTACCAAATTGTAAAGGCCATCGAAACTAGGAAGAAATTGCATTAACTAATGAGCAAAATAACCAGCTAACATCATAATGACAGGATCAAATTCACACATAATATTAACCTTAAATGCAAATGGGCTAAATGCTCCAATTAAAAGACACAGACTGGCAAATTGGATAAAGAGTCAAGACCCATCAGTGTGCTGTATTCAGGAGACCCATCTCATGTGCAGAGACACACAGAGGCTCAAAATAAAGGGATGGAGGAAGATCTACCAAGCAAATGGAAAACAAAAAAAGGCAGGGGTTGCAATCCTAGTCTCTGAAAAAATAGACTTTAAACCAGCAAAGATCAAAAGAGACAAAGAAGGCCATTACATAATGGTAAAGGGATCAATGCAACAAGAAGAGCTAACTATCCTAAATATATATGCACCCAATACAGGAGCACCCAGATTCACAAAGCAAGTCCTTAAAGACTTACAAAGAGACTTAGACTCCCACACAATAATAATGGGAGACTTTAACACCCCACTGTCAACATTAGACAGATCAACGAGACAGAAAGTTAACAAGGATGTCCAGGAATTGAACTCACCTCTGCACCAAGCAGACCTACTGGACATCTACAGAACTCTCCAACCCAAATCAACACAATATACATTCTTCTCAGCACCACACCACACTTATTCCAAAACTGACCACATAGTTGGAAGTAAAGCACTCCTCAGCAAAAGTAAAAGAACAGAAATTATCACAAACTGTCTCTCAGACCACAGTGCAATCAAACTAGAACTTAGGATTAAGAAACTCACTCAAAACCGCTCAACTACGTGAAAACTGAACAACCTGCTCCTGAATGACTACTGGGTACATAACGAAATGAAGGCAGAAATAAAGATGTTCTTTGAAACCAACGAGAACAAAGACACCACATACCAGAATCTCTGGGACGCATTCAAAGCAGTGTGTAGAGGGAAATTTATAGCACTAAATGCCTACAAGAGAAAGCAGGAAAGATCCAAAACTGACACCCTAACATCACAATTAAAAGAACTAGAAAAGCAAGAGCAAACACATTCAAAAGCTAGCAGAAGGCAAGAAATAACTAAAATCAGAGCAGAACTGAAGGAAATAGAGACACAAAAAACCCTTCAAAAAATCAATGAATCCAGGAGCTGGTTTTTTGAAAGGATCAACAAAATTGATAGACTGCTAGCAAGACTAATAAAGAAGAAAAGAGAGAAGAATCAAATAGACACAATAAAAAATGATAAAGGGGATATCACCACCGATCCCACAGAAATACAAACTACCATCAGAGAATACTAGAAACACCTTGACACAAATAAACTAGAAATTCTAGAAGAAATGGATAAATTCCTGGACACATACACCCTTCCAAGACTAAACCAGGAAGAATCCCTGAATAGATCAATAACAGGCTCTGAAATTGAGCCAATAATTAATAGCCTACCAACCAAAAAAAGGTCCAGGACCAGATGGGTTCACAGCCAAATTCTACCAGAGGTACAAGGTGGAGCTGGTACTATTCCTTCTGAAATGATTCTAATCAATAGAAAAAGAGGGAATCCTCCCTAACTCATTTTATGAGGCCAGCATCATCCTGATACCAAAGTCTGGCAGAGACACAACAAAAAAAGAGAATTTTAGACCAATATCCCTGATGAACATCGACGCAAAAATCCTCAATAAAATACTGGCAAACCGAATCCAGCAGCACATCAAAAAGCTTATCCACCATGATCAAGTGAGCTTCATCCCTGGGATGCAAGGCTGGTTCAACATACACAAATCAATAAACGTAATCCAGCATATAAACAGAACCAAAGACAAAAACCACATGATTATCTCAATAGATGCAGAAAGAGCCTTTGACAAAATTCAACAATGCTTCATGCTAAAAACTCTCAAAAAATTAGGTATTGATGGGACATATCTCAAAATAATAAGAGCTATCTATGACAAACCCACAGCCAATATCATACTGAATGGGCAAAAACTGGAAGCATTCCCTTTGAAAACTGGCACAAGACAGGGATGCCCTCTCTCACCACTCCTATTCAACATAGTGTTGGAAGTTCTGGTCAGGGCAATCACGCAGGAGAAAGAAATAAAGGGTATTCAATTAGGAAAAGAGGAAGTCAAATTCTCCCTGTTTGCGGATGACATGATTGTATATCTAGAAAAACCATTGTCTCAGCCCAAAATCTCCTTAAGCTGATAGGCAACTTCAGCAAAGTCTCAGGATACAAAATCAATGCGCAAAAATCACAAGCATTCTTATACACCAATAACAGACAAACAGAGAGCCAAATCATGAGTGAAATTCCATTCACAATTGCTTCAAAGAGAATAAAATACTTGGGAATCCAACTTACAAGAGATGCGAAGGACCTCTTCAAGGAGAACTACAAACCACTGCTCAATGAAATAAAAGAGGGCACAAACAAATGGAAGAACATTCCATACTCATGGATAGGAAGAATCAATATTGTGAAAATGGCCATTCTGCCCGAGGTAATTTATAGATTTAATGCCATCCCCATCAAGCTACCAATGACTTTCTTCACAGAATTGGAAAAAACTACTTTAAAGTTCATATGGAAGCAAAAAAGAGCCCACATTGCCAAGTCAATCCTAAGCCAAAAGAACAAAGCTGGAGGCATCACGCTACCTGACTTCAAACTATACTACAAGGCTACAGTAACCAAAACAGCATGGTACTGGTACCAAAACAGAAATATAGACAATGGAACGGAACAGAGCCCTCAGAAATTATACCACACATCTACAACCATCTGATCTTTGAGAAACCTGACAAAAACAAGCAATGGGGAAAGGATTCCCTATTTAATAAATGGTGCTGGGAAAACTGGCTAGCCATATGTAGAAAGCTGAAACTGGATCCCTTCATTACACCTTATTCAAAAATTAATTCAAGATGGATTAAAGACTTAAATGTTAGACCTAAAACCATAAAAACCCTAGAAGAAAACCTAGGCAATATCATTCAGGACATAGGCATGGGCAAGGACTTCATGTCTAAAACACCAAAGCAATGACAACAAAAGGCAAAATTGACAAATGGGATCTAATTAAACTAAAGCACTTCTGCACAGCAAAAGAAACTACTATCAGAGTGAACAGGCAACCTAGAGAATGGGAGAAAATTTTTGCCATCTACTCATCTGACAAAGGGTAATATCCAGAATCTACAAAGAACTCAAACAAATTTACAAGAAAAAAACAAATGACCCCGTTAAAAAGTGGGCAAAGGATATGAACAGAAACTTCTCAAAAGAAGACATTTATGCAGGCCACAGACACATGAAAAAATGCTCATCATCACTGGCCATCAGAGAAATGCAAATCAAAACTACAATGAGATACTATCTCACACCAGGTAGAATTGCAATCATTAAAAATTCAGGAAACAACAGGTGCTGGAGAGGATGTGGAGAAATAGGAACACCTTTGCACTGTTGGTGGGTCTGTAAACTAGTTCAACCATTGTGGAAGACAGTGTGGCGATTCCTCAAGGATCTAGAACTAGAAATGCCATTTGACCCAGCCATCCCATTACTGGGTATATACCCAAAGGATTATAAATCATGCTGCTATAAAGACACATGCACACGTATGTTTACTGTGGCACTATTCACAATAGCAAAGACTTGGAACTAACCCAAATGTCCATCAGTGATAGACTGGATTAAGAAAATGTGGCACATATACAGCATGGAATACTATGCAGCCATAAAAAAGGAAGAGTTCATGTCCTTTGTAGGGACATGGATGAAGCTGGAAACCATCACACTCAGCAAACTATTGCAAGGTCAGAAAACCAAACACCACATGTTCTCACTCATAGGTGGGAATTGAACAATGAGAACACTTGGACACAGGAAGGGGAACCTCACACATTGGGGCCTGTCATGGGGTTGCGGGAGGGGGGAGGGATAGCATTAGGAGATATACCTAATGTAAATGATGAGTTAATGGGTGCAGCACACCAACATGGCACATGTGTACATATGTAACAAACCTGCATGTTGTGCACATGTACCCTAGAACTTAAAGTATGATAAAAAAATTAGAAAAATAAAAACAATAAAAAAGAGCCCAGCATTAAGTATTCCGAGAATTGAAATGTGTGCCTTGGCTACTGTCAGGAAAGGAACTCCAAAGGGTTCAAGGAGTATACTTGTTATTGATTACTAGTGTTATTCCATTGAGGTCTGAAGGGATACTTGATATAATGTTTTTTTTTTTTTTTTTTTTTTTGAGACAGAACGTCACTCTGTTGCCCAGGCTGGAGTGCAGTGGCACAATCATGACTCACTGCAGCCTTGGCCTCCCAGGATCAGAAGATCCTCCCACCTCAGCCTTCTGAGTAGCTGGGGGTACAGGTGCATGCCACCACACCTAGCTAATTAAAATTTTTTTGTGTGTATAGACAGGGTTTTGCCATGTTACTCAGGCTTATCTTGAACTTCTGAGCTCAAGCAATCTGCCCTCCTTGGCCTCCCAAAGTGCTGGGATTACAGGCGTGAACCACCACACTGGGCCTGATTTCAATGTTTAAAAAGAGACTTGTTTTGTGTCTTAACATATAGTCTATCTTGGGGACTGTTTTGTGTACTGATGAGAGGAATGTGTATTCTGTAGCTGTTGAATAAAATGTTCTGTAAATTTCTATTAGGTCTGTTTGATCTATAGTACAGATTAAGTCCAATGTTTCTTTGTTGATTTTCTGCTTTGATGATCTGTTCAATGCTGGAAGTAGGGTGTTGAATTCCTCAACTATTATTGTAATTGGTCTATCTCTTACTTTAGCTCTAATAGTATTGTTTTATATATATGGATGCTCCAATGTTTAGGGGAAATATATTTAGAATTGTTATAGGCTCTTGCTGACTTGATCCCTTTATCATTATATAATGACCTTCCTGTCTCTTTTTATGTTTTTTTCACTTAAAGTCCATTTGGTCTGAAGTATAGCTACCCCTGCACACTTTTGGCTTCTCTTTGTCTAGAATAGTTTCCCCCATCTCTTTACTTTCTGTCTATGTGTGTCTTTACAGTAAAGTGAGTTTCTTGTAGGCAGCAAATAATTGAGTCTTTTTAAAAAACTTCTTCAGCCAGTCTATATTATTTAATTGGGGAATTTCAAGGTTGTTTTTCATTGGTGAGGACTTACTCTGTCATTTTGTTAATTGTTTTCTGACTGTTTTGTATATTCTCTCTTCCTCTTTTTTGCTTATCTTTACTAACTGGTGGTTTTTTGTAGCGATAACATTTGACTCCTTTCTCTTTCTCATTTGGGTATCTGTTCTATCAGTGAGTTTTATATTTTCTTATATTTCCATGATGGTAGATATTGTCCTTGTCCTTTTGCTTCCAGATATAGGACTCTTTTAAGCATTTTTTTTGTAGAACTAATCTAGTGGCAATGAATTCCCTTTGTTTTTGATTGTGTAGGAAAGCCTTTATTTTTCCTCTATTTTTGAAGGGTAGCTTTGCTGGGTACATTATTCTTGGCTGACAGTTTTTGTTTTGTTTTGTTTTGTTTTGCATGGCCTTCCAGTGAATGGCAGCTTTTTTCCATCAGGACTTTGAATATATTTTCCCATTCTCTTCTGGCTTGTAAAGTTTCTGCTGAGAAATAGGCTGTTAGTCTGATGGGGATTCCCATATATGTGACTAGATGCTCTTCTTTTGCTGTTTTTAGAATTATCTCTGTCTTTGACTTTTGACAATTTGGCTGTAATGTACCTTGGAGAAAACCTTCTTGGGTTGAATGTATTTGGAGATTTTGAGCTTCCTATATCTGGATGTATGTCTACATGTCTTATGAGGCTTGGGAAGTTTTCAGCTATTATTTTGTTAAATAGATTTTCTATGCCTTTGCTCATCTCTTCTCTTTCTGGAACTCTCAACATTTGAATATTTGGCCACTTTGTGGTGTTCCATGTGTCAGATGGGCTTTCTTCATTCTTAAAAAACTGTTTTTTGTCTGACTGGATTACTTCAAAATAACTGTTTTCAAGTTTAGAAATTCTTCTTGATCTAGTCTATTCTTGAATATCTTGATTATAGTTTTTATTCCATTCACCAAATTATTCAGTTCCAGAATTTCTGCTTGGTTCTTTTAAAAAAATCATATCTGTCTCTGTGGAATTTCTCATTCAGATCATAGATTGTTTTTCTGATTTGCTTGTATTGTTTATCTTTGTTCTCTGTGTCTCACTGAGTTTCTTTAATATTATTATTCTGAATTTTTAAAGGCATTTCATAGATTTCCTTTCTTTTGGGACTTGTTAGTGCACATTTATTATGATCTTTTTAGGTATCATATGCTTTACTTTTTCATGTCTCTTTTGTTCTTGTGTTGATATCTGCTCATCTGGTATAACAGTTGCTTCTTCCAATTTTATGGATTGGGTTTCATTGGGAATCAATTTTTTCCTGTAGATATATCTATAGTGTTGGTTTAGTAGGTTGCTTTGGCTTTGATTCTGGGTGGGCACAGTAGTGTAGTCTCCATATAATTTCTTCAGTTGTAATTACTGTCAGTGGTATCTGTGATCTCCTCAGTGGCTTAGGGTGCAGTTGTTAGTGGAGGCTGTAGTGAGAATTTGTAGAGATGGGCACACAAGGTGGGTCAGTCCTCAGACACCATTGGTGGCAACAATGGGCTGGTAGTGTCAGTCCTCAGTCCTCTAGGTGTCATACACAGGCATCGGTGGTGGCAGGTTTGGGTGGGCTGGTTCTCAGGCCTCCAGATGACACGCTTGGGTGTTGGTGGTGACAGTAGCAGACCAGGTGGGTGGGTCCTCAAGCTCCTGGATAGCGTACATGGTGTTGGCAGTGGCAGTAGTGGTGATGCGCCAAAACTTCGGCCCCCATGAGGCACACGTGGGTGTATGCTGGTGGAGACCATGGTAGCCCTGTTCTCTGGCCCTGGGTGGCACATGTGGGTACCGGCAGTAATAGGGGGTGCAGGCCTGTTTTCAGGTTCCCTAAAGGCACATGCAGGTAAGTGGTACCCTGCTGCTGGAGGGGACAGGGTTGCTGTCAGTGGCAGCAGTCCCAGGTGGGTAGCTCTCAGGCTCTGGGGAGTATACACTCAGGCTCCCTTTGTTCCAGGGACAGCCTCCCTGATGTGCCACTCCATATGTTCCCTGGAGTGTAGGACATTGCATGAGCTAGATTGCTGGAGATTCAGGTGAACTGCTGGGTCTAGCTGGCATAACAATTCTATAGTCTTCTGGGTGGACATGGGGAATGTCAATGGGGCTTCAGGGATGTGGAGATGCAAAGGCTATTGGGCCCCAGGGCACGACGTAGTCTGGCAGGGGTTGGGCTCTCAAAATGGCACTGTGCTGTGGCTGCTTGGATTTTGGGTGGTGTGTGGGACCCAGTGCAACCTAACTTTCTGGAACAGTGCTGTCATATGGACTCCAGGTAGCTCCCTCTACTGGTCTCAGGGCCCATGAGGGCCGAGGGGCTCTCCCATGGCTAGGATTTCAGGAGTCTCCAAATAGGAATTTAGACCACTGTGATCTCTCGCTTATCTTTCCTCACAATGGGAAGTTCCTCTCGGCTTTGAGGCAATCCTGGCTGGGATGGCTGTTTTGTTTTCCTCTCCTTCTGTGCCTCAGAAGTTCTCTGTCAACTTCCCTCCTGAATGCCATTGTTGTCTCTGAGATGCTTTATTAGATATGTGCTTATCTCCTCATTGTTTTAGTCCTTTTTTGTGCAGCAGGTGAGTGCTGGGTGCCTGTAGTCAGCCATCTTAAAGCCCCTCTTGCTTTGTCTTTATGAATTTGACTACTATAGGGAGCTCATATAAATGGAGTCATACAATATTTGCATCTAGCTTATTTTACTTAGCATAATACCTTTAATATGTATCCATGTTGTAGCATTTCAGAATTTCATTCTTTTTAAAATTTTCATTCTTTGTTTCACTGTATGTAGATACATTTTGTTTATCCATTCATTTGCTGATGGACGCTTGGGCTGTTTTCACCTTTTAGTTATTGTGAATAATGCTGCTATGAATATGGATGTATAAATATCTCTTTCAGACCCTACTTGTGATTATTTTTGGTATTATATAGAAATGAAATTACTGAATCATATAGTAGTTGTTTTTTTAATGTTTTCAGAAACCACCACACTCTGTTCTATAGCAGCTGCATAGACCAATGGCACATGGGGTTCCAATATCTCCACATCATCTCTAACACTTGTTATTTTCTGTTTTTCTTATAAAGCCATCCTAATGGGTAAAAAGTGGTGTCTCATTGTGGTTTTGATTTTTATTTCCCTAAAGATTAGTGATGTTTAGCATCTTTTCATGTGCTTATTGGCCATTTGTATATCTTTGGAGAAGTGTTTATTCAAGGCTTTGGTCATTTTTCAATTGGGTTGTTTTATTGTAGTTGAGTTTTAGGAATTCTCTGTATATTCTGGATATTAATTTCTTATCAGATATATGATTTAAAAATATTTTCTTGCATTCTGTTGGGTACCTTTTCACTCTGTTTACAGTGTCCTTTGATGCATGAAAACTTTCAATCTAGATAAACTTCAGTTTATCTATTTTTTCTTTTGCTACCCATGTTTTGGTGTTATGCCCAAGAAATCATTGCCAAATCTCATGCCATGAAGTTTTTACATATGTTTTCTTTTAAGAGTTTTATAGTTTTACCTCTTACACTTAAGTCTTTGATCCATTTTGAGTTAAACTTTGTATATGGTGTAGGATAGGAGTCCAACTTTATTCTTTTGTATGTGGATACTATTTCCCCAGCACCATTTGTTAACAAACTGTCCTTTCCCCATTGAGTAGTCTTGGCACCCTTATTGAAAATCATTTGACCTTATACAGGAGAGTTGATTTCTGAGCTGTCTATTGTATTCCATTGGTTTATATGTCTGACTTCATGCCAGTACTACACTGTTTTGATTACTGGAACTTCATAATAAGTTTTGACATCAGGTAGCGTAAGTCCTTAAACTTTGTTCTTTTTTGAGATTGTTTTGGCTATTTGGGGGTCCCAAGATAACCTTTGAAGCTTGCGCTAATTCAGCCCTATTCCATTTAACTGAGAATGGACAAAGGGGAGGCATTGGTCAGACTCATAGCTAGTTCTATGGTCCTATTCTGAGAAGAGGGTCTGAAGAGGGTGAAAATTAATGTCAAATGGAAAGAAAGAGGAACAACTGTTGATGAAAAGGAATTCAATCAATATATAATGCAAAAGAAAAAGCTAATGTTACCTTGGTGTCTTGTGAGAGGTTGGGAGCAAGAGAATATTATCTTTTAGCTATATTTATAGATGACCATAAAGGTGGAGCTATTTTTCTGCAGAAACCCTCTTCTTAGTTTGAAGCAGGAGGTTCAGGATAGGCCCCAGTGAAAATAAAGGCATTCAATCTGGATTCATCTCCATGATGTATCTTGATGACATTAACAATATCTCGTGAGTGAACACCTGGAATAAATCTAATGTAACTTTGTCTTTTGGCTCCTATTTTGTGGGTTATATCTATTACAGAGGATTCCTTTTGAGAGGTAGCATGTGGGAAATTTTGTCTCATGGATGTGCACAAAGGACTTTAACAACAGAGTCACAGATCACTATGTAACCATTAGCCTAGTTGAAAAAGTTTCCCAGATAAAATATTTGCTGTGCCTAACTTGTCATAGTATCATGTGCCTATAAACCATGTTTTTGTGAATGGATAGCAATAATAAAGAAACAGGAACTGCGGTGGAGCCAAGATGGCCGAATAGGAACAGCTCCGGTCTACAGCTCCCAGCGTGAGCGACGCAGAAGACGGGTGATTTCTGCATTTCCATCTGAGGTACCGGGTTCATCTCACTAGAGAGTGCCAGACAGTGGGCGCAGGCCAGTGTGTGTGCGCACCGTGCGCGAGCCGAAGCAGGGCGAGGCATTGCCTCACCTGGGAAGCGCAAGGGGTCAGGGAGTTCCCTTTCTGAGTCAAAGAAAGGGGTGACGGACGCACCTGGAAAATCGGGTCACTCCCACTCAAATATTGCGCTTTTCAGACCGGCTTAACAAACGGCGCACCACGAGACTATATCCCACACCTGGCTCAGAGGGTCCTACACCCACGGAATCTCGCTGATTGCTAGCACAGCAGTCTGAGATCAAACTGCAAGGCAGCAACGAGGCTGGGGGAGGGGCGCCCGCCATTGCCCAGGCTTGCTTAGGTAAACAAAGCAGCCGGGAAGCTCGAACTGGGTGGAGCCCACCACAGCTCAAGGAGGCCTTCCTGCCTCTGTAAGCTCCACCTCTGGGGGCAGGGCACAGACAAACAAAAAGACAGCAGTAACCTCTGCAGACTTAAGTGTCCCTGTCTGACAGCTTTGAAGAGAGCAGTGGTTCTCCCAGCACGCAGCTGGAGATCTGAGAACGGGCAGACTGCCTCCTCAAGTGGGTCCCTGACCCCTGACCCCTGAGCAGCCTAACTGGGAGGCACCCCCCAGCAGGGGCACACTGACACCTCACACGGCAGGGTATTCCAACAGACCTGCAGCTGAGGGTCCTGTCTGTTAGAAGGAAAACTAACAACCAGAAAGGACATCTACACCGAAAACCCATCTGTACATCACCATCATCAAAGACCAAAAGTAGATAAAACCACAAAGATGGGGAAAAAACAGAACAGAAAAACTGGAAACTCTAAAACGCAGAGCGCCTCTCCTCCTCCAAAGGAACGCAGTTCCTCACCAGCAACAGAACAAAGCTGGATGGAGAATGATTTTGATGAGCTGAGAGAAGAAGGCTTCAGACGATCAAATTACTCTGAGCTACGGGAGGACATTCAAACCAAAGGCAAAGAAGTTGAAAACTTTGAAAAAAATTTAGAAGAATGTATAACTAGAATAACCAATACAGAGAAGTGCTTAAAGGAGCTGATGGAGCTGAAAACCAAGGCTCGAGAACTACGTGAAGAATGCAGAAGCCTCAGGAGCCGATGCGATCAACTGGAAGAAAGGGTATCAGCAATGGAAGATGAAATGAATGAAATGAAGCGAGAAGGGAAGTTTAGAGAAAAAAGAATAAAAAGAAATGCGCAAAGCCTCCAAGAAATATGGGACTATGTGAAAAGACCAAATCTACGTCTGATTGGTGTACCTGAAAGTGATGTGGAGAATGGAACCAAGTTGGAAAACACTCTGCAGGATATTATCCAGGAGAACTTCCCCAATCTAGCAAGGCAGGCCAACGTTCAGATTCAGGAAATACAGAGAACGCCACAAAGATACTCCTCGAGAAGAGCAACTCCAAGACACATAATTGTCAGATTCACCAAAGTTGAAATGAAGGAAAAAATGTTAAGGGCAGCCAGAGAGAAAGGTCGGGTTACCCTCAAAGGAAAGCCCATCAGACTAACAGCGGATCTCTCGGCAGAAACCCTACAAGCCAGAAGAGAGTGGGGGCCAATATTCAACATTCTTAAAGAAAAGAATTTTCAATCCAGAATTTCATATCCAGCCAAACTAAGCTTCATAAGTGAAGGAGAAATAAAATACTTTATAGACAAGCAAATGCTGAGAGATTTTGTCACCACCAGGCCTGCCCTAAAAGAGCTCCTGAAGGAAGCGCTAAACATGGAAAGGAACAACCAGTACCAGCCGCTGCAAAATCATGCCAAAATGTAAAGACCATCGAGACTAGGAAGAAACTGCATCAACTAATGAGCAAAATCACCAGCTAACATCATAATGACAGGATCAAATTCACACATAACAATATTAACTTTAAATATAAATGGACTAAATTCTGCAATTAAAAGACACAGACTGGCAAGTTGGATAAAGAGTCAAGACCCATCAGTGTGCTGTATTCAGGAAATCCATCTCAAGTGCAGAGACACACATAGGCTCAAAATAAAAGGATGGAGGAAGATCTACCAAGCCAATAGAAAACAAAAAAAGGCAGGGGTTGCAATCCTAGTCTCTGATAAAACAGACTTTCAACCAACAAAGATCAAAAGAGACAAAGAAGGCCATTACATAATGGTAAAGGGATCAATTCAGCAAGAGGAGCTAACTATCCTAAATATTTATGCACCCAATACAGGAGCACCCAGATTCATAAAGCAAGTCCTGAGTGACCTACAAAGAGACTTAGACTCCCACACATTAATAATGGGAGACTTTAACACCCCACTGTCAACATTAGACAGATCAACGAGACAGAAAGTCAACAAGGATACCCAGGAATTGAACTCAGCTCTGCACCAAGCAGACCTAATAGACATCTACAGAACTCTCCACCCCAAATCAACAGAATGTACATTTTTTTCAGCACCACACCACACCTATTCCAAAATTGACCACATAGTTGGAAGTAAAGCTCTCCTCAGCAAATGTAAAAGAACAGAAATTATAACAAACTGTCTCTCAGACCACAGTGCAATCAAACTAGAACTCAGGATTAAGAATCTCACTCAAAGCCACTCAACTACATGGAAACTGAACAACCTGCTCCTGAATGACTACTGGGTACATAACGAAATGAAGGCAGAAATAAAGATGTTCTTTGAAACCAACGAGAACAAAGACACCACATACCAGAATCTCTGGGACGCATTCAAAGCAGTGTGTAGAGGGAAATTTATAGCACTAAATGCCTACAAGAGAAAGCAGGAAAGATCCAAAACTGACACCCTAACATCACAATTAAAAGAACTAGAAAAGCAAGAGCAAACACATTCAAAAGCTAGCAGAAGGCAAGAAATAACTAAAATCAGAGCAGAACTGAAGGAAATAGAGACACAAAAAACCCTTCAAAAAATCAATGAATCCAGGAGCTGGTTTTTTGAAAGGATCAACAAAATTGATAGACTGCTAGCAAGACTAATAAAGAAAAAAAGAGAGAAGAATCAAATAGACACAATAAAAAATGATAAAGGGGATATCACCACCGATCCCACAGAAATACAAACTACCATCAGAGAATACTACAAACACCTCTACGCAAATAAACTAGAAAATCTAGAAGAAATGGATAAATTCCTCGACACATACACTCTCCCAAGACTAAACCAGGAAGAAGTTGAATCTCTGAATAGACCAATAACAGGCTCTGAAATTGTGGCAATAATCAATAGTTTACCAACCAAAAAGAGTCCAGGACCAGATGGATTCACAGCCAAATTCTACCAGAGGTACAAGGAGGAACTGGTACCATTCCTTCTGAAACTATTCCAATCAATAGAAAAAGAGGGAATCCTCCCTAACTCATTTTATGAGGCCAGCATCATTCTGATACCAAAGCCAGGCAGAGACACAACCAAAAAAGAGAATTTTAGACCAATATCCTTGATGAACATTGATGCAAAAATCCTCAATAAAATACTGGCAAACCGAATCCAGCAGCACATCAAAAAGCTTATCCACAATGATCAAGTGGGCTTCATCCCTGGGATGCAAGGCTGGTTCAATATACGCAAATCAATAAATGTAATCCAGCATATAAACAGAACCAAAGACAAAAACCACATGATTATCTCAATAGATGCAGAAAAAGCCTTTGACAAAATTCAACAACCCTTCATGCTAAAAACTCTCAATAAATTAGGTATTGATGGGACGTATTTCAAAATAATAAGAGCTATCTATGACAAACCCACAGCCAATATCATACTGAATGGGCAAAAACTGGAAGCATTCCCTTTGAAAACTGGCACAAGACAGGGATGCCCTCTCTCACCGCTCCTATTCAACATAGTGTTGGAAGTTCTGGCCAGGGCAATCAGGCAGGAGAAGGAAATAAAGGGTATTCAATTAGGAAAAGAGGAAGTCAAATTGTCCCTGTTTGCAGACGACATGATTGTTTATCTAGAAAACCCCATCATCTCAGCCCAAAATCTCCTTAAGCTGATAAGCAACTTCAGCAAAGTCTCAGGATACAAAATCAATGTACAAAAATCACAAGCATTCTTATACACCAACAACAGACAAACAGAGAGCCAAATCATGAGTGAACTCCCATTCACAATTGCTTCAAAGAGAATAAAATACCTAGGAATCCAACTTACAAGTGATGTGAAGGACCTCTTCAAGGAGAACTACAAACCACTGCTCAAGGAAATAAAAGAGGAGACAAACAAATGGAAGAACATTCCATGCTCATGGGTAGGAAGAATCAATATCGTGAAAATGGCCATACTGCCCAAGGTAATTTACAGATTCAATGCCATCCCCAACAAGCTACCAATGACTTTCTTCACAGAATTGGAAAAAACTACTTTAAAGTTCATATGGAACCAAAAAAGAGCCCGCATCGCCAAGTCAATCCTAAGCCAAAAGAACAAAGCTGGAGGCATCACGCTACCTGACTTCAAACTATACTACAAGGCTACAATAACCAAAACAGCATGGTACTGGTACCAAAACAGAGATATAGATCAATGGAACAGAACAGAGCCCTCAGAAATAATGCCGCATATCTACAACTATCTGATCTTTGACAAACCTGAGAAAAACAAGCAATGGGGAAAGGATTCCCTATTTAATAAATGGTGCTGGGAAAACTGGCTAGCCATATGTAGAAAGCTGAAACTGGATCCCTTCCTTACACCTTATACAAAAATCAATTCAAGATGGATTAAAGATTTAAACGTTAGACCTAAAACCATAAAAACCCTAGAAGAAAACCTAGGCATTACCATTCAGGACATAGGCGTGGGCAAGGACTTCATGTCCAAAACACCAAAAGCAATGGCAACAAAAGCCAAAATTGACAAATGGGATCTAATTAAACTAAAGAGCTTCTGCACAGCAAAAGAAACTACCATCAGAGTGAACAGGCAACCTACAACATGGGAGAAAATTTTCACAACCTACTCATCTGACAAAGGGCTAATATCCAGAATCTACAATGAACTCAAACAAATTTACAAGAAAAAAACAAACAACCCCATCAAAAAGTGGGCGAAGGACATGAACAGACACTTCTCAAAAGAAGACATTTATGCAGCCAAAAAACACATGAAGAAATGCTCATCATCACTGGCCATCAGAGAAATGCAAATCAAAACCACTATGAGATATCATCTCACACCAGTTAGAATGGCAATCATTAAAAAGTCAGGAAACAACAGGTGCTGGAGAGGATGTGGAGAAATAGGAACACTTTTACACTGTTGGTGGGACTGTAAACTAGTTCAACCATTGTGGAAGTCAGTGTGGCGATTCCTCAGGGATCTAGAACTAGAAATACCATTTGAGCCAGCCATCCCATTACTGGGTATATACCCAAATGACTATAAATCATGCTGCTATAAAGACACATGCACACGTATGTTTATTGCGGCACTATTCACAATAGCAAAGACTTGGAACCAACCCAAATGTCCAACAATGATAGACTGGATTAAGAAAATGTGGCACATATACACCATGGAATACTATGCAGCCATAAAAAATGATGAGTTCATGTCCTTTGTAGGGACATGGATGAAATTGGAAACCATCATTCTCAGTAAACTATCGCAAGAACAAAAAACCAAACACCGCATATTCTCACTCATAGGTGGGAATTGAACAATGAGATCACATGGACACAGGAAGGGGAATATCACACTCTGGGGACTGTGGTGGGGTCGGGGGAGGGGGAAGGGGTAGCATTGGGAGATATACCTAATGCTAGATGACACGTTAGTGGGTGCAGCGCACCAGCATGGCACATGTATACATATGTAACTAACCTGCACAATGTGCACATGTACCCTAAAACTTAGAGTATAATTAAAAAAAAAAATTAAAAAAAAAAAAAAAAAAAAGAAACAGGAACTAATGCCAATGCTATGGACTTAGTTGCGTCCCCCAAAATTCATTGTTGAATGAACCCATCACCCAATGTAATGGTACTTAGAAATAGGACTTTTGGGAGTTAATTAGGTCTAGATGAGGTCCTAGTATGGGGTCCTTGTGATCGGATTAGGACGCTTGTAAAAAGAGACAGCAGAGAGTTTGCTTTCTCTCTCCATTATGTGAAGACACAGGAAGAAGGTGGTAGTCTACAAGCCAGGATAAGAGCCCTCACTAGAACCCCACCATGCTGGCATTCCAATATTGAGCTTCCAGCCTCCAGAATTATGAGAAAATAAACTTCTGTTGTTTAAGTCACCTAGTCTATGGCATTTTGTTGTGGTATCCTGAGGTGACTAAGACAGACAGTTTAGAGGTTACTTCTTGGGGGCTCATTCACACAGTGCGTAACCATAACATCTGCTGAACATGCTTACGGGAAGTTGTTTGGCACGCTGAAACTAAAATGTAATTGGAGGTGATTATTACCCATATGATGTTATCTTGGGAAAGACAGAATGAAACAGGGTATATGATGAGGCCCATAAGAAACTTGGAATCCAAAATTAACTTGAACTTAGCCCTTGATTCATACACCAATCCATGATAGCGTTTGGTATATCGACAAGGGCCACTCTATAGGGAAGGCTGAGAAAATACTGTTGTAATTTGGACTGATTTATTTTACAGTGATCTTAGTTGAACTCATAATATAACTACTCTTTGGTGTAATATTGGTGTCATTGGTAAGATTACTGATTTATATTATAATCTTCGTTCAACTTATAATACAACTATCTGGTGTAATACTCAGGTTACTGGCAAAATTAATTTTACTGATTTACTTAAACCTTATCTGATGATACAAATTAATTAGAGTTTTGGCAGTTATTCCTTTGCTTTTTTTTTTGTCTCCTAAATGTTGCCAAAGATGCAGAAGGAGGAGTGATGAGGAGCAATTTTTATTTAAAAAGCCTTGCCCAAGAGTCAGAGGGTGAACTATAGGGGATTTAGTTGACTTACAGCTGAATCGAAAAAACTCTAACTTTATCTCTGGAGGCTCCTGGATGTCTGCCTTTGGCTCTTGGTCAAAATAAGGGCAGTGGGATTTATGATGTCAGAAACTCCCCAGGCCAGTTTGTTTGTTGATAATTTACAAGTGTCATAAACTGGCTCAAATATGTGCCCAATGGGGCATAACAACCCCGCTGGGAACTTCTGTGTTACACTTTCCTGAAGCTAGGATTTCTTGCACAGATCTTGGTGGTTCATCTGGAAACAGAGTACCTCTCTGGGTCAATGAGAACCCTGGGAACTTCTGCACGATTGTCTCTCGGACTCCAATGCTCGTTTATACGCTCTTTCTCTTGCTGCACCATATCCTTTGCCTTTAAATATCTTAGTATTCCCTGTGGGGTTTAGAGAGGACTTTCAAATATCTGAACTTGGGAAATATTTGCATTATCCTACCACATTTCTCTAAAACATAATAGGCAAAAACATAAATTTGTATTTCATTAGTTTATAAATATTGAAGTGTTAACAATTTGGCATCAAACAGAAATAGCATTATAAAATAATTAGTAAAATTAAAACAACATTAATATGGTACAAACTATGATAAATAGTGCACAATAAAAAATTAAATATAGAGATAAAGGAAAAGCATCTTCTATCTCTTACATTACAGCATACTTAGAAGTCAAGAACTTCACTTTTATGTCCTTTAAAGGTGAGTGAAGATGGAAAATAGACAAGTGTATTCCTGACCTGGAGACCCCAGATATCCTGATTGGGGCTTCAATTCTAACCTAAGAGACCCAAAGCTATGCTAAATTGGAAACAAATTTCAAGTCCTGGTTTGTGTTTGAGTTTCAGTGATCAGGAGGTTTATTATCTTGAGCAAGTCCTCATATCCTGTTACCACTCTGATGCCTCAAATTCCATATTTTAAAAATCTAGGTAAGAATAATATTGAGTGATTTTATGAGAATTAAATAAGTTGATGTGTGTATACTTGATATAAAAATAAAGTGTTACACTAAAATGTATCTTATAATGACTCAGTAATATAATTTTTCATATTATTATTTCCTATTCTCACTGGCTCCATGATTTGCTGCAGAATCTGCCCTGGCACCCAGGGTTCTTCTGCATCTTCCCACTCACGAGTCCTGTGAATACAGAAACACTGTGTGTTCTCAGAAAGGAGCAGCATGTCCTTGGCTTCAGCCATGGCTACTGTTTGTTTACTTTGCCCAGCATTGGGATTCTGCTGGTTCTTGAGGCCCTGGCACAAATTTGGGTAATTGTATCCTTCTGGGTACTGGCAACCTTCTCCTATTTTCTGTGTCCTGTTAGGTCCTAGGTGAGAGAGAGATGAGCTTTCAGGTAGTGGATTAAAGCAAGAAGCCAAAAATGAGAGTTAAGACTTTACTCATTTACTGCAATGGTATAAGCAAGAGGCTAACACTGGAGAAAATGCTCAGTCCACCTGTTCCATTTTCCGCTTGAATGGCACACTAGTCAAGGGTCAGGTGGATCAGCTCAGACATTGAGATTGTCTCACTGTAGCTCAAAAGGCTTCTACAGTTTTATGGATTCTGAGGTGGGAGGGGTGGAGAACAGGGGGATGGGGCTTAGAATGGAAAAATAATGGGAACAGAGTCAGAGTGGGGGAAAATGTCTTCACGGTTTTTCCCTTCTCCCTCTATAAGGAGGTCTTAGCAGAAGTGCCTGAAGAGGACCTCTGCCCAGGGTCTCAGATAAAGAGACTTAAGAATTTGGGCATTAGTCAAAAACTGCAAATATGTGAAAGAGCATGGCCAGCCTGCACCCCTCTTCAGGGACTGCAGAGCACTGGTCGTGCACCAATTTTGGTGTGGGGACGGCAGTTTTCTCCCATGAAATCTGCCAGGTGAAACCATTGCCTGTGATCAGGCTTGAAAAATCACACATAGGTCTTTAAGTAGGAGCTGGACTCCACTCATCCCATCTCTTGTAAATCTGGGTTATGAGCAGTTCTGCTAAGTTTTTCAAAGTTGTTTCTTCAAACTTTTTTTCTATCTAGAAGCCTTTAATAAAAAATTTATCATTCTGTTGCTCACTCTGTTGTCCTCCCAGTGCTCTGATGACTTAGTACTTGTTCTTTGTCCTTGAGGCAGTGTCCCTCTGTATGTGATGAGGGAGCCTTTATACTGCTTTTCCTCCTCAGTTCTTGTCCACGCCAGTCTCTTCTTTCTGAATTCTTGCAGTCCTTATATTTCCACCACAAAAATCCATATTATTTTAAAATTTTACATTACAAAATATCATACAGTAAATTTTGCTTTTCTTTCCCATTAGTGTTTGGTCACATTTTTGGGTAGATTTGTGCACAGATTATGTAACCATCACAACAATCAGGACATAGAACAGTTCTATCAACCCCCAAAACTCCTTTGTGTTGTCCCCTTGTAGTCACAGCCTTACCCCACCCGTTATTCCTGGAAACCACTGATGTGTTTCTTATCACTATAGTTTTGTTTTTTTGAGAATGTCAAATCAATGGAATCAAACAGTATGTAATCTTTTGAGACTGGCTTCTTTCACTCAACATAATGTCTTTGAGATTTGTCCAAGTTTTTGAGTGTATCAATAGTTCTTTTTTACTGCTGAGTAATATTCTGTCATGTGGACATACACAGTTTGTTTATCCATTCACCCACTGGAGGATATCAAGGTTATTTCCAGCTTTTAACTGTCACAGATAAAGCTGCTATGAAAATTTGTGTACAAGTTTTTTGTGTGAACATAAGTTTTCATTTCTCTCAGGTGAATAACTGGGAGTGGAATTGCTGGGTTATATGGTGAATGTTTGCTCAACTTTATAATAAACTGTTAAATTGAAAAATCCTTCTTTCAATAAAAATATTATCATGTGATTTCAAGCAGTTTTCACTGTATTGGAAAAATAATTAGATTAAAGGAAACATTTCAGAATTTGTATTAAAACGAACAACTGCACAACCCTAATAGTATCAATGATGCAAAATTGTGAAATTTGAGGCTGCTTGTCATCTTCTGAATAGCTTTTCTATGTTTGGGACAAATATAAACCCAACCCTAAAAGAAAGGTTGAAATACAGTTTCCCAACCATCCTTGCAGCCAAGGCTCAGGCTTGTGTACTAAACTCTGCCAATCTGGCCAATCTCCCCAGGATTTAATTTTGGATGTGAACAGCATGTGATAACAGGCTTTATAGGGAGCTTCCATTTCCTGGGCATATACTGGTTTCAAAAGCATCCAACTTTCAAGGCTATAGTGATTGCGAGATTGGATTCTCATTCAGAAGTGCATTATGCTAATATCATTCACTGTTACTTGTAAACTTTTGGAATTTAGTGTTTGGCAGCACCAGTAGATGTTGTGGTTGTTTTCTCATCAGCCCAGTCCTGTAGGGTAGAGTTGTTGGCATTGTTCCTGAAAGTATAGGCTTAATCTGTTTGTCCAAGACCCCAAGGACTTTGTGAGCTTCCTTCTAGTCTGCTGTTCTTTAAATCACTTTTCTTTTTAAACTATTCTTAGATGAGGTTTCTTTTCATACTATTTTATTCTTTATTATATATATTTTATACAGTTGTATATGCACAGGCTACTTTGTGTATTTGCTTGCTAATTCATGATTTGTCTTTTATGGTTTAAAAATTAGCTGATCATAAAATATTCCATAGTTTGAATCCCAAGGAGCAGCGAAGATGCTGACAAATTTAAGAAATAGCATAAATGCGTTTGACTTCATGGGCCATGCAGTGAGGGTTCTCTGGACTTGAAAATGCCCCATAGGGATCTAATTAAACTAAAGAGCTTCTGCACAGCAAAAGAAACTACCATCAGAGTGAACAGGCAACCTAGAGAATGGGAGAAAATTTTTACAATCTACCCATATGACAAAGGGCTAAAATCCAGAATCTACAAAGAACTCAAACAAATTTACAAGAAAAAATCAAACAACCCCATCAAAAAGTGGGTGAAGGATATGAACAGACACTTCTCAAAAGAAGACATTTATGCAGCCAACAGACACATGAAAAAATGCTCATCATCACTGGTCATCAGAGAAATGCAAATCAAAACCACAATGAGATATCATCTCACACCAGTTAGAATGGTGATCATTAAAAAGTCAGGAAACAACAGGTGCTGGAGAGGATGTGGAGAAACAGAAATGCTTTTACACTGTTGGTGGGACTGTAAACTAGTTCAACCATTGTGGAAGACAGTGTGGCGATTCCTCAAGGATCTAGAACTAGAAATATCATTTGACCCAGCCATCCCATTACTGGGTATATACCCCAAAGGCTATAAATCATGCTGCTATAAAGACACATGCACACGTATGTTTATTGTGGCACTATTCACAATAGCAAAGACTTGGGACCAACCCAAATGTCCAACAATGATAGACTGGATTAAGAAAATGTGGCAATATACACCATGGAATACTATGCAGCCATAAAAAAGGATGAGTTCAAGTTCTTTGCGTGGACATGGGTGAAGCTGGAAACCATATTCTGAGCAAACTATGGCAAGGACAGAAAACCAAATACCACATGTTCTCACTCATAGGTGGGAATTGAACAGTGAGAACACCTGGACACAGGGTGGGGAACATCACACACCGGGCCTGTCATGGGATTGGGGGAGCAGGGGAGGGATAGCATTAGGAGATATACCTAATGTAAATGACGAGTTAACGGGTGCAGCACACCAACATGGCACATGTATACATATGTAAGAAACCTGCACGTTGTGCACATGTACCCTAGAACTTAAAGTATAAAAAAAAATGCAAAACAAAAAAAAAAAGAAAATGCCCCATAGGGGCTTAACTGAAAGGAGGCTCACCATGTCATTTTCTTCTTCTTGCTTCTATCTCTTAATGTTCCCAATATCAAAATGTATGCTCCCAGCTCAGAGCAGTGCGACCTTGGGACTAAGGCCTCAGGTACCTTGGGGAACCATTTTGTCCCCAGAATTTATGCCTGCTTTCATGCTCTGTCACTAACCTTCCTTCATCATTGGAGCCAACAAACTGGGCAACAGTGATGTCAGAGAAAATGCCAATTTTGCATTGGCATAGGTGCCTGGCAACACTTAGCAGCCTGCAAGAAACAAGAAGCCATATAATGTTGGCAAAAATGTCAGTTGAGTCACATGGTCAGGCTAGCAAAGGAAAATAGCCTGGAGATCTCCTGTTAGGTCCATTTTTGTCTCTGCTAAAAGGGTTCCTCGATTATGCTCATTGCTTGGTGTCACTTCAGCGCTCTCTTCAGCTTTCACTGTATTTCACCAGGCTTTTATGTAATTTTCTTTTTGCAGCAATAGAGGTTTTGATTTGATGTCTTTCTGAAGGCTCACACTGGCTTACTTTCCTGAAATAATGTAACTTCTACAAAATATTAATTTTGTAATTACATCTCAACTTGGAAAATCACTCTATACCTTGGTAAGAGGAAACAAAAAATTAAGATTTAATAATAAAATCAATCAGTCATTAATTCATCATGAAACAAAATTTTCATTCATTCATTATGCTATGCAGTGTCTGGGAGATTTTTTTACTCCTTTAGAGAGAATCTATTTTCCTGTGTCTGATAACAAACTCATTGGGCACCTGAGGCTGTTATTCAGTGTTATTCAGTGTTTATTTGTTTCTCTCATATATCACTTTTAAGCTCATAGTCAAAGTCAGATAACTTCTGGAAATGGATTTTTTGTAGTCTCCTTCCCTCATTTCCTTTTTCATCTTTTGCTTTTTCTCAAGATCCCTGTGTCCATCCTTTATCCCATCTTTCCAGACAAAGCTATGGTCATTGGTTCAGTTTTTGGTTTTTATTCTGACATGACTTGAGTGATGTCTGATAACAAACTCATTGGGCACCTGAGGCTGTTATTCAGTGTTTATTTGTTTCTCTCATATATCACTTTTAAGTTCATAGTCAAAATCAGATAACTTCTGGAAATGGATTTTTTGTAGTCTCCTTCCCTCATTTCCTTTTTCATCTTTTGCTTTTTCTCAAGATTCCTGTTTCCATCCTTTATCCCATCTTTCCAGACAAAGCTATGGTCATCGGTTCAGTTTTTGGTTTTTATTCTGACATGATGTACTGAATCTTTGTTTCTGAGGCTTGGCTTCACTCATTTCTGACTCTCCTCTGGGGTGGTGACTGTAGATACTTCTTTTTTTTTTTTGAGGTTTCAATATTTTTTCAAGTTTTTTTAAGTGATGTTAATTACAGCATTTGAAGAGGAGGATCTAATTCCACACAAAATGGAAGACTCTAAAATGTACCCATTAAACTGCTGAAAAACAAATTGAGTGGTGAGAATACAACAGAAGTCCAATTTAGATTCTGAGTGTTGTTACCATGTGATTACAATCACACAGACTCTTCTAAGCTTATAACTGGAGCTCCTGGAAGCTATTTCATACTTTGGTGCAAGGGCAAAAAAACACAACACGAGAAGGAATAAGTCCAGAATTATTGGCTTCCTCACATCCACCCTCTCCACCCCAAAATCGCACAAAAGAAACAGTGACCACACCCCGCAGACCTTTTGGTGTAAAAGAGGTGACGATGAACTGGGGTGGGAACAGGTCATGAAGATCTGACTAAAAAAGTCCCATTCAGGTGAGTTTATATACACCATCAAGCAGTGAGCCTCTCATCAATCAGGGTTAGGAAACCAAAGTTTGATTATCAGGAAATCACAATTTCATTCATTTACTCAATATGAATTTATAAAGTGCCTACATATTATCAGCTTCCACTTGCAGCCATTTCTAGATAAAAAAGAAAACTGGCCTCTCACAGGGGCCACCAAGTTTCCCCCAACTCTGCCACTGAAAAGACCTTTTTTGGAAACGGGTTTCTTCTGTACCTCTGAAAGGGTAACATCTTAAAGCTGCATCATCTTTAACCTGGAGGTCTAACATATTTAGCAATACTTGCATCCCAGACATACAACATTAAAGGACACACCAAATTCTGAAGGGTAGCTATGCTGCAAAATAGTTTAAAATTGAACAATTGTACAGTATTCATTTATGCTTGAAATTCCAGTCCTAGACCAAGCATGGGGCCACCAGCACTGACCTTCTTGAGATCCAGAAGAGCTGACAGTGTCAGTTTGATACCTGGCTTTAGGGTCTGAGTTTATCCTAAACCTATCAGGCTGGAGTTGTTCACTTTAGCCAAGAAGCAAGCGTCAGGGTCAATCTGATACTTGGCTGCTATTCTGAAGCGTATTACTGTTTCCTGCTGTCCAGACGAGACTGACAGCGGTCTCCAACTTCTTGTTCACCTTCTGGTAAATGGAGCCACCAAACTCTGTTCTGTCAGACATTAGTGTGAAGCTGGAATTCATCAGTCTTGTAGCCAACTGCAAAGTTGCTCTGAGTAACTCGGGACTTTGCAGTCTCAAAATTCATCTGGTAGTTGGCCAGCCAGCCGCCGTAACCCAGCACCAGAGCACACTGGATGGAAGGCCCAGCAATGTCGAAATCCATGTCGCAGCCCAGATTGATGTGTTCCCACTTGTACCCTGTCTTGATTTTAGCTTTTTTCCCCCCAGTGTTAGGTGAGAAGGATGAATCGAAGGTCAGCTTCAGTACACGTGCAAGCTGATCTTCCACGGTAATCTGGGTGCCTAGTGTATTGTCGGTGTTCCATTTCTGTGTAAACGTCAGGCCTTACTCAGTCCATCTGTACTTGGTTTCCAGACTGCCCATCACTTTGGTGGCCACAGTGTTGGCAGAGTCTGAGCTTGTAAATTCCAATCCATTCTCAGATTTTGTTTTCAAATCAAGCTTTATTAAGCCAAATCCATAACCTTTGGTGAAGACATCCCTGGCAGATTTGCCAAGATTGGCATACGTGAGTGGCACAGCCATCTTCTGCTCAGAGGCGGTGGCGGCAGGCTCCGCAGCGGCTACCAATTGTAGATACTTCTGTTATTCAGAGTGGAACATTTAAGGATACATTTCCTTTCTCTAATCTGTATCAGAATATATATATATTCATTAATGGTATAATCTCAAAACATTAATAATATACCAAACTACATCATCCCTACCATGGATGGGCATAGAGGGGAAAAGCAGCAAGTTAATGAAAAAAGAAGACAGAAAACCTGTTAAATGATTACATTATCAAACTAATAATGCTTCATAGGCCACCTATTATGATGACAATTTCCATATAGATTCAATAATGCTATATAGAATAACTGATATTGATGTTTTTCAATTAGTTTTCTGACTTGAATTTGTGTTTTGTTTTTTATGTATTCTCATTCTTTTAAATCTTTCCATTACTGTGAAATGTGTCTCACATAAAGAAAAGTGTCATGAATATAAATTTATAGCTCAGTGTGTCTGTGGTGTTCAAACTGATTATTAAATGGGAGAGTACCAGCACACGAAACATCTCACTGATTTTTTTTTGTTTTTTTTTGTACATTTATATTCATATTAATAGCAGCTTTATTCATGATTGCCAAAACTTGGATGCAACCAAGATGTTCTTCAGTAAGTAGATAAATAAACTGTGGTACATCTAAACAATGGAACACTATTCAGTGCTAAAAAAAGAAACAATCTATCAAGCCCTGATAAGATGTGGGGGAAACTTTTAAACTGGGGTACATGTTCAGGTTTTTTATATAGGTAAATTACATATCATGAGGGTTTGGTGTACAGGTTATTTCATCACCCAGGTAATAAGCATGATACTCAATAGGTAGTTTTTCAATCCTCACCCTCTTCCCACCCTCCACCCTCAAGTAGGCCCCAGTGTCTATTTTTCCCTTTTTTGTGTCCATGTGTACTCAGTGTTCAGCTCCCACTTTTAAGTGAGAACATGTGGTATTTGGTTTTTTGTTCCCGTGTTATTTTGCTTAGGATAATGCCCTCCAGCTCCATCCATGGTCTGGCAAAGGACATGATCTCATTCTTTTTATGGCTGCATATTTTTCTCTGGTATATATGTACCACATTTTCTTTATGCACTCTACCATTGATGGGGATTTAGGTTGATTCCATGTCTTTGCTACTGTGAATAGTGCTGTGATGAATGTACATGTGCATGTGTCTTTATGGAAGAACAATTTATATTCCTTTGGGTATATAACCAATAATAAGATTGCTGGGTCAAATGGTAATTCTGTTTTAAGTTCTTTGAGGAGTCACCACACTGTTTTCCACAGTAGTTGAACTAATTTACACTGTCAGCAGCACTGTGTAAGTGTTCCCTTTTCTCTGCAACCTCACCAGTATCTGTTATATTTAGACTTTTTAATATTAGCCATTCTTGCTGGTGTGAGATGGTATCTCATGGTGGTTTTGATTGCATTTCTCTAATGATTAGTGATGTTGAGCATGTTTTCATATGCTTGTTTGTCACATGTATGTCTGCTTTTAAAAAGTGTCTGTTTATGTCCTTCCTTTGCCCACTTTTAAATGGGTTTATTTGTTTTTTGCTTGTAAGTTTAAGTTCCTTATAAGTTCTGGATATTGAACCTTTGTTGGATGCTTAGTTTGAACGTATTTTCTACCATTCTGTAGGTTGTTTGTTTACTCAATTGATAGCTTCTTTTGATGTGCAGAAGCTCTGAGATTTAATTAGATCCAATTTGTCAGTTTTTGTTTTTGCTGCAATTGCTTTTGGTGTCTACGTCATGAAATCTTTGCCAGGGCTGATGTCCAGAATGGTATTTCCTAGGTTATCTTCCAAGGTTTTTATAGTTTTAGGTTGTACATTTAAGTCTTTAATCGATCTGGAGTTGATTTTTGTATGTGATGTAAACTAGGGGTCCAGTTTCAATCTTCCGCATATGGCTAGACATTTACTGCAGCACAGTTTATTGAATGAGGAGTTGTTTATCCATTGCTTGTTTTTGTCAGCTTTGTCAAAGATCAGATGGTTATAGGTGTGCGACCTCATTTCTCGGTTCTTTATTCTGTTCCGTTGGCCTATGTGTCTGTTTTTGTACCAGTACTGTGCTGTTTTGGTTACTGTAGCCCTGTATTATCGCTTGAAGTCCGGTAGCATGATGCCTCCTGCTTTGTTCTGTTTGGTTAGGATTGCTTTGGCTATTTGGACTCTTTTTTTGGCTCCATATGAATTTTAAAGTAGTATTTTCTAGTTCTGTGAAGAATGTCATTGGCAATTTGATAGGAATAGTTTTGAATCTGTAAATTGCTTTGGGTGGTATGGCCATTTTAATGATATTGGTTCTTCCTATCTGTGAGCATGCAATGTTTTTCTATTTGTTTGTGTCATCTCTGATTTATCTGAACAGTGTTTTGTAATTCTAACTGTAGAGATCTTTCATCTCCTTGGTTAGCTGTATTCTTAGGTATTGTATTCTTTTTCTGGCAATTGTGAATGAGATTGCATTTCTGATTTGGCTGTTGGCTTGGATGTTGTTGATGTATAGGAATGCTACTGATTTTTAGACATTGATTTTGTATCCTGAAACTGTGCTGAAGTTGTTTATCAGATCAAGGAGCTTTTGGGCAGAGACTATGGGGTTTTCCAGATGAAGAATCATGTAATCTGCAAACAGGTATAGTTTGACTTTCTATCTTCCCATTTGGATGCTTTTTCTTTCTTTCTTTTGCCTGATTGTTCTCACCAGGACTTCCAATACTATACTGAATGTGAGTGGTGAGAGAGGACATCCTTCTCTTGTGCCAGTTTTCAAGGGAAAGGCTTCCAGCTTTTACCCATTCAGTATGATGTTGGTTGTGGCTTTGTCAGAAAAGGCTCTTATATTTTGAAGTATTTTCCTTCAATGTCTAGTTTATTGAGGGTTTTTAACATGAAGGGATGTTGAATTTTATCAAAAGACTTTTTTTTGCATCTATTGAGATAATCATGCTTTTTATTTTATTATTTGTTTATTCTAATTTTAATTTTAATTAATTAATTTAGTTTTAAATTATACTTTATGTTCTGGGATACAAGTGCAGAATGCGCAGGTTTGTTACATAGGTATACACGTGCCATGGTGGTTTGTTGCACCCATCAAACCGTCACCTACATTAGGTATTTCTCCTAAGGCTATCCCTCCCCTAGCACCCCAGGCCCTGACAGGTCCTGGTGTGTGATATTCCCCTCCCTGTGCCTGTGTGTTCTCATTGTTGAACTCCCACTTATGAGTGAGAACATGCAGTGTTTTGTTTTCTGTTCTTGTGTTAATTTGCTGAGAATGATGGTTTCCAGTCTCATCCATGTCCCCGCAAAGAACTTGACCTCATCCTTTTTTGTGGCTGCATAGTATTCCATGGTGTATATGTGCCACATTTTCTTTATCCAGTCTATCATTGATGGGGATTTGGGTTGGTTCCAAGTCTTTGCTATTGTGAATAGTGTTGCAATAAACATACGTTGTGCATGTGTCTTTATACTAGAATGATTTACAATCCTTTGGGTATATACCCAGTAATGGGATTGCTGGGTCAAATGGTATTTTTGGTTTTAGATCCTTGAGGAATTGCCACACTGTATTCCACAATGGTTGAACTAATTTACACTCCCATCAAGAGTATAAAAGTGTTCCTATTTCTCCACATTCTCTCCAGCATCTGTTGTTTCCTGTCTTTTTAATAATTGCCATTCTAACTGGTGTGAGATGCTATCTCATTGTGGTTTTGATTTCCATTTCTCTAATGACCAATGATGATGAGCTTTTTTCATACGTTTGTTGGCCACATAAATGTCTTCTTTTGAAAAGTGTCTGTTTATATCCTTTGCCCACTTTTGGATGGGGTTGTTTTTTTCTTGTAAATTTATTTAAGTTCTTTGTAGATCCTGGATATTAGCCCTTTGTCAGATGGATAGATTGCAGAAATTTTCTCACATTTTGTAGGTTACCTGTTCACTGTGATGATAGTTTCTTTTGCTGTGCAGAAGCTCTTTCGTTTAATTAGATCCCATTTGTCAATTTGGGCTTTTGTTGCCGTTGCTTTTGGTGTTTTAGTCATGAAGTCTTTGCCCATGCCTATATCCTGAATGGTATTGCCAAGGTTTTCTTCTAGGGTTTTTATGGTTTGGGGTTTTACATTTAAGTCTTTAATCCATCTTGAGTTAATTTTTGTATAAGGTGTAAGGAAGGGGTCCAGTTTCAATTTTCTGCATATGGCTAGCTAGTTTTCTCAACACCGTTTATTAAATAGGGAATCCTTTCCCCATTGCTTGTTTGTTTGTTTATTTTGAGATGGAGTCTCACTCTATCCCCCAGGCTGGAGTGCAGTGGTGCGATCTCAGCTTACTGCAAGTTCCGCCTCCTTGGTTCATGCCATTCTCCTGCCTCAACCTCCCGAGTAGCTGGGACTACAGGTGCCTGCCACCATGCCTGGCTAATTTTTTGTATTTTTAGTAGAGACGGGGTTTCACCATGTTAGCCAGGATGGTCTCAATCTCCTGACATTGTGATCTGCCCACCTTGGCCTCCCAAAGTGCTGGGATTACAGGCATGAGCCACCGTGCTCGGCCCACCATTGCTTGTTTTTGACAGGTTTGTCAAAGATTGGATGGCTGTAGATGTGTGGTGTTATTTCTGAGGCCTCTGTTCTGTTCCATTGGTCTATATGTCTGTTTTGGTACCAGTACCATGCTGTCTTGGTTTCTGTAGGCTTGATAGTTTCTTTTGATAGTATAGTTTGAAGTCAGGTAGCTGATGCCTCCAGCTTTGTTCTTTTTGCATAGGATTGTCTTGGCTATGTGGTCTCTTTCTTGGTTCCATATGAAATTTAAAATAGTTTTTTTCTAATTCTGTGAAGAAAGTCAATGGTAGCTTGATGAGGATAGCATTGAATCTATAAATTACTTTGAAAAGTGTGGCCATTTTCATGATATTGATTCTTCCTATCCATGAGGATGGAATGTTTTTCCTTTTGTTTGTGTTCTCTCTTATTTCCTTGAGCAGTGGATTGTAGTTCTCCTTGAAGAGGTCCTTCACATTCCTTGTAAGTTGTTTTCTTGGGTATTTTATTCTCTTTGTAGCAATTGTGAATGGGAGTTCACTCATGATTTGGTTCTATGTTTGTCTATTATTGGTGTATAGAAATGCTTTTGATTTTTGCACATTGATTTTATATCCTGACACTTTGCTGTAGTTTCTTATCAGCTTAAGGAGATTTTGGGCTGAGACAATGGGGTTTTCTAAATATACAATCATGTCATCTGCAAACAGAGACAATTTGACTTCCTCTCTTCCTATTTGAATATCCTATATTTTTTTCTCTTGCCTGATTGCCCTGGCCAGAACTTCCAATACTATGTTGAACAAGAGTGATGAGAGAGGGAATCCTTGTCTTGTGCTGGTTTTCAAAAGGAATGCTTCCAGCTTTTGCCCATTCAGTAGGATATGGGCTACGTTTGTCATAAATAGCTCTTATAATTTTGAGATACGTTCCATCAATACCTAGTTTATTGAGAGTTTTTAGCATGAAGGGCTGTTGAATTTTGTCAAAGGCATTTTCTGCATCTATTGATATAATCATGTGGTTCTTGTCATTGGTTCCGTTTATTTGATGGATTACATTTATTGATTTGCGTATGTTGAACCAGCCTTGCATCCCAGGGATGAAGCTGACTTGGTCATAGGGGATAAGCTTTTTGATTTGCTGCTGGATTTGGTTTGCCAGTATTTCACTCAGGATTTTTGCACTGATGTTCATCAGGGATATTGGTCATAAATTTTCTTTTTTTTTGTTGCGTCTCTGCCAGGTTTTGGTATCAGAAGGATGCTGGCTTCATAAAATGAGTTAGGGAGGATTCCCTGTTTTTTCTATTGTTTGGAATAGTTTCAGAAGGAATGGCACCAGCTCCTCTCTGTACCTCTGGTAGAATTTGGCTGGAAATCCATCCGGTCCTGGACTTATTTTTCTTGGTAGGCTATTAATTACTGCCTCAACTTCAGAACTTGTTATTGGTCTATTCAGGGATTCGACTTCTTCCTGGTTTAGACTTGGGAGGGTGTATGTTTCCAGGAATTTATCCATTTCTTCTAGATTTTCCAGTTTATTTGCATAGAGGTGTTTATAGTAATCTCTGATGGTGGTTTGTATTTCTGTGGGATTAGTGGTGATATCCCGTTTATCATTTTTTATTGCATCTATTTGATTCTTCTGTTTTTCCTTCTTTATTAGTCTTGCTAGCAGTCTATCTATTTTGTTGGTCTCTTCAAAAAACTAGCTCCTGGATTCATTGATTTTTTTGAAGGGTTTTTCATGTCTCTATCTTCTTCAGTTCTGCTCTGATCTTAGTTATTTCTTGCCTTCTGCTAGCTTTTGAATTTGTTTGCTCTTGCTTCTCTAGTTCTTTTAATTGTGATGTTAGGGTGTTGATTTTAAATCTTTCCTGCTTTCTCTTGTGGGCATTTAGTGCTATAAATTTTCCTCTACGCACTGCTTTAAATGTGTCCCAGAGATTCTGGCATGTTGTGTCTTTGTTCTCATTGGTTTCAAAGAACTTCTTGATTTCTGCCTTAATTTTATTATTTACCCAGTAGTCATTCAGGAGCAGGTTGTTCAGTTTCCATGTAGTTGTGCGGTTTTTAATGAGTTTCTTAATCCTGAGTTCTAATTTGATGGCACTGTGGTCTGAGAGACTGTTTGTTATGATTTCCATTCTTTTGCATTTGCTAAGTGTTTTACTTCCAATTATGTGGTCAATTTTAGAATAAGTGTGATGTGGTGCTGAGAAGAATGTATATTCTGTTGATTTGGGGTGGAAATTTATGTAGATGTCTATTAGGTCTGGTTTGTCCAGAGCTGAGTTCAAGTCCTGAATGTCCTTGTGAATTTTCTATCTCGTTGATCTGTCTAATATTGACAGTGGGGCATTAAAGTCTCCCACTGTTATTCTGTGAGCGTCTAAGTCTGTTTGTAGATCTCTAAGAACTTGGTTTATGAATCTGGGTGCTCCTGTATTGGGTGCATATACATTTAGGATAGTTAGTTCTTCTTGTTGCATTGATCCCTTTACCATCATTAATGGCCTTCTTTGTCTCTTTTGATCTTTGTTGGTTTAAAGTCTGTTTTATAAAAGACTAGGATTGCAACCCCTGCTTTTTTTTGCTTTCCATTGCTTGGTAAATCTTCCTCCCTCCCTTTATTGTGAGTCTATGTGTGTCTTTGCACATGAGATTGGTCTCCTGAATACAGCACACCGATGGGTCTTGATTGTTTATCCAATTTGCCCGTCTGTGTCTTTTAATTGGGGTATTAAGCCCATTTACATTTAAGGGCTTACACATAATACTGTTATGTGTAAATTTGACCCTGTCATTATGATGCTAGCGGGTTATTTTGCCTGTTAGTTGATGCAGTTTATTCATAGTGTCAATGGCCTTTACAATTTGGCATGTTTTTGCAGTGGCTGGTAGAGGTTGTTCCTTTCCACATTTAGTGCTTTCTTTAGGAGCTCTTATAAGGCAGGCCTGATGGTGACAAAATCTCTCAGCATTTGCTTGTCTGTAAAGGATTTTATTTCTCCTTTGCTTATGAAGCTTAGTTTGGCTGGATATGAAATTCTGGGTTGAAAATTCTTCTCTTTAAGAATGTTGAATATTGGCCCCTACTCTCTTCTAGCTTATAGGGCTTCTGCAGAGAGATCTGCTGTTAGTCTGATGAGCTTCCTTTGTGGGTAACCCACCTCTTCTCTCTGGCTGCCCTTAAAACTTTTTCCTTCATTTCAACCCTGGTGAATCTGATGATTATGTGTCTTTGGGTTGCTCTTCTTGAGGAGTATCTTTGTGGTGTTCTCTGTATTTCCTGAATTTGAATGTTGGCCTGTCTTTCTAAGTTGGAGAAGTTCTCCTGGATAATATCCTGAAGTTTGTTTTCCAACCTGGTTCCATTCTCCCCATCACTTTCAGGTACACCAATCAAATGTAGATGTGGTCTTTTCACACTGTCCCATATTTCTTGGAGTCTTTCTTTGTCCTTTTCATTACTTTTTCTCTTACGTTGTCTTCTTGCTTTATTTCATTAAGTTGATCTTCAATCTCTAATATCCTTTCTTCTGCTTGATCGATTTGGCTATTGATACTTGTGTATGCTTCACAAAGTTCTCATGCTGTGCTTTCCAGCTGCATCAAGTCATTTATGTTCTTCTGCATACTGGTTATTCTAGTTAGCAATTCATCTAACCTTTTTTCAAGGTTCTTAGCTTCCTTGCATTGGGTTGGAACAGGCTTCTTTAGCTCAGAGGAATTTGTTATTACCCACCTTCTGAAGCCTACTTCTGTCAATTCGTCAAGTCCATTTTCCGTTTAATTTTGTTCCCTTGGTGACGAGGAGCTGTGATCCTTTGAAGAAGAGGCTTTCTGGTTTTTGGAATTTTCAACATTTTTACACTGGTTTCTCCCCATATTCATGGATTTATCTACCCTTGGTCTTTGATGTTGGTGACCTTCAGACAGGGTCTCTGATTGGACGTCCTTTTTGTGATGTTGATTCTATTCATTTCTGTTTGTTAGCTTTCCTTCTACTAGTCAGGCCTCTCTGCTGCAGGTCTGCTGGAGTTTGCTGGAGGTCCACTCTAGACCCTGTTTGCCTGGGTACCACCAGCAGAGGCTGCAGAAGAGCAAATATTTCTGCCTGTTCTTTCCTCTGGAAGCTTCATCCCAGAGGGGCATCTGCCAGATGTCAGCCAGAGCTCTCCTGTATGAGGTGTCTGTCAACCCCTGCTGGGAGGTGTCTCCCAGTCAGGATACACTGGGGTCAGGGACCCACTAGAGGAGGCAGTCTGACCCTTAGCAGAGCTTGAACATTGTGCTGGGAGGTCTGATGCTCTCTTCAGAGCCATCAGGCAGGGATATTTAAGATGGGGGTTTTATCTATAAGTCCCTGATGGGGGCTGCTTTCTTTTTTTTATTATTATATTTTAAGTTTTAGGGTACAAGTGCACACCGTGCAGGTTAGTTACATATGTATACATGTGCCATGTTGGTGTGCTGCACCAAGGAACCCGTCGTTTAACATTAGGTATATCTCCAGATGCTATCCCTCCCCGCTCCCGCCACCCCACAACAGGCCCCGGTGTGTGATGTTCCCCTTCCTGTGTCCATGTGTTCTCATTGTTCAATTCCCACCTGTGAGTGAGAACATGTGGTGTTTGGTTTTTTGTCCTTGTGATAGTTTGCTGAGAATGATGATTTCCAGCTTCATCCATGTCCCTACAAACGACATGAACTCATCATTTTTTATGGCTGCATAGTACTCCATGGTGTATATGTGCCACATTTTCATAATCTAGTCTATCATTGTTGGACATTTGGGTTGGTTCCAAGTCTTTGCTATTGTGAATACTGCCACAATAAACATACGTGTGCATGTGTCTTTATAGTAGCATGATTTATAATCCTTTGGATATATACCCAGTAATGGGATGACTAGGTCAAATGGTATTTTTAGTTCTAGATCCCTGAGGAATCGCCACACTGACTTCCACAATGGTTGAACTAGTTTACAGTCCCACCAACAGTGTAAAAGTCTTCCTATTTCTCCACATCCTCTCCAGCACCTATCGTTTCCTGACTTTTTAATGATCGCCATTCTAACTGGTGTGAGATGGTATCTCATTGTGGTTTTGATATGCATTTCTCTGATGGCCAGTGATAATGAGCATTTTTTCATGTGTCTGTTGGCTGCATAAATGTCTTCTTTTGAGAAGTGTCTGTTCATATGCTTTGCCCACTTTTTGATGGGGTTGTTTGTTTTTTCTTGTAAATTTGTTGGAGTCCATTGTAGATTCTGGATATTAGCCCCTTGTCAGATGAGTAGATTGCAAAAATTTTCTCCCATTCTGTATGTTGCCTGTTCACTCTGATGGTAGTTTCTTTTGTTGTGCAGAAGCTCTTTAGTTTAATTAGATCCCGTTTGTCAATTTTGGCTTTTGTTGCCATTGCTTTTGGTGTTTTAGACATGAAGTCCTTGCCCATGCCTATGTCCTGAATGATATTGCCTAGGTTCTCTTCTCAGGCTTTTATGGTTTTAGGTCTAACATTTAAGTCTTTAATCCATCTTGAATAAATTTTTGAATAAGGTGTAACGAAGGGATCCAATTTCAGCTTTCTACATATGGCTAGCCAGTTTTCCCAGCACCATTTATTAAACAGGGAATCCTTTCCCTATTTCTAGTTTGTGTCAGGTTTGTCAAAGATCAGATGGTTGTAGATATGCGGTATTATTTCTGAGGGCTCTGTTCTGTTCCATTGATCTATATCTCTGTTTTGGTACCAGTACCATGCTGTTTTGGTTGCTGTAGCCTTGTAGTATAGTTTGAAGTCAGGTAGCGTGATGCCTCCAGCTTTGTTCTTTTGGCTTAGGATTGACTTGGCAATGTGGGCTCTTTTTTGCTTCCATATGAACTTTAAAGTAGTTTTTTCCAGTTCTGTGAAGAAAGTCATTGGTAGCTTGATGGGGATGGCATTGAATCTGTAAATTACCTTGGGCACTATGGCCATTTTCATGATACTGATTCTTCTTACCCATGAGGATGGAATGTTCTTCCATTTGTTTGTATCCTCTTTTATTTCACTGAGCAGTGGTTTGTAGTTCTCCTTGAAGAGGTCCTTCACGTCTCTTGTAAGTTGGATTCCTAGATATTTTATTCTCTTTGAAGCAATTGTGAATGGAAGTTAACTCATGATTTGGTTCTCTGTTTGTCTGTTATTGGTGTATAAGAATGCTTGTGATTTTTGCGCATTGATTTTGTATCCTGAGACTTTGCTGAAGTTGCCTATCAGCTTAAGGAGATTTTGGGCTGAGACAATGGTTTTTCTAGATATACAATCATGTCATCCGCAAACAGGGAGAATTTGACTTCCTCTTTTCCTAATTGAATGTCCTTTATTTCCTTCTCCTGCCTGATTGCCCTGGCCAGAACTTCCAACACTATGTTGAATAGGAGTGGTGAGAGACGGCATCCCTGTCTTGTGCCAGTTTTCAGAGGGAATGCTTCCAGTTTTTGCCCATTCGGTATGATATTGGCTGTGGGTTTGTCATTGATAGCTCTTATTATTTTGAGATACATCCCATCAATACCTAATTTATTGAGAGTTTTTAGCATGAAGGGTTGTTGAATTTTGTCAAAGGCCTTTTCTGCATCTATTGAGATAATCATGTGGTTTTTGTCTTTGGTTCTGTTTATATGCTGGATTATGTTTATTGATTTGCGTATGTTGAACCAGCCTTGCATCCCAGGGATGAAGCCCACTTGATCATGTTGGATAAGCTTTTTGATGTGCTGCTGGATTTGGTTTGCCAGTATTTTATTGAGAATTTTTGCATCAATGTTCACCAGGGATATTGGTCTAAAATTCTCTTTTTTTGTTTTGTCTCTGCCAGGCTTTGGTATCAGGATGATGCTGGCCTCATAAAATGAGTTAGGGAGGATTCCCTGTTTTTCTGTTGATTGGAATAATTTCAGAAGGAATGGTACCAGCTCCTCCTCGTACCTCTGGGAGAATTCGGCTGTGAATCCATCTGTTCCTGGACTTTTTTTGGTTGGTAATCTATTAATTATTGCCTCAATTTCAGAGTCTGTTATTGGTGTATTCAGAGATTCAACTTCTTCCTGGTTTAGTCTTAGGAGGGTGTATGTGTCGAGGAATTTATCCATTTCTTCTAGATTTTCTAGTTTATTTGCATAGAGGTGTTTATAGTATTCTCTGATGGTAGTTTGTATTTCTGTGGGATCGGTGGTGATATCCCATTTTATCATTTTTTATTGCGTCTATTTGATTCTTCTCTCTTTTCTTCTTTATTAGTCTTGCTAGTGGTCTATCAATTTTGTTGATCTTTTCAAAAGCCAGCTCCTGGATTCATTCATTTTTTGAAGGGTTTTTTTGTGTCTCTATTTCCTTCAGTTCTGCTCTGATGTTAGTTATTTCTTGCCTTCTGCTAGCTTTTGAATGTGTTTCCTCTTGCTTCTCTAGTTCTTTTAATTGTGATGTTAGGGCGTCAATTTTAGATCTTTCCTGCTTTCTCTTGTGGGCATTTAGTGCTATAAATTTCCCTGTACACACTGCTTTGAATGTGTCCCAGAGATTCTGGTATGTTGTGCCTTTGTTCTCATTGGTTTCAAAGAACATCTTTATTTCTGCCTTCATTTTCTTATATACCCAGTAGTCATTCAGGAGCAGGTTGTTCTGTTTCCAAGTAGCTGAGCGGTTTTGAGTGAGTTTCTTAATCCTGAGTTCTAGTTTGATTGTGCTGTGGTCTGAGAGACAGTTTGTTATAATTTCTGTTCTTTTCCATGTGCTGAGGAATGCTTTACTTCCAACTATGTGGTCAATTTTGGAATAAGTGTGGTGTGGTGCTGAGAAGAATGTATATTCTGTTGATTTGGGTTGGAGAGTTCTGTAGATGTCTATTAGGTCTGCTTGGTGCAGAGCTGAGTTCAATTCCTGGATATCCTTGTTAACTTTCTGTCTCGTTGATCTGTCTAATGTTGACAGTGGGGTGTTAAAGTCTCCCATTATTATTGTGTGGGAGTCTAAGTCTCTTTGTAGGTCTCTAAGGACTTGCTTTATGAATCTGGGTGCTCCTGTATTGGGTGCATATATATTTAGGATAGTTAGCTCTTCTTGTTGAATTGATCCCTTTACCATTATGTAATGGCCTTCTTTGTCTCTTTTGATCTTTGTTGGTTGAAAGTCTGTTTTATCAGAGACTAGGATTGCAACCCCTGCCTTTTTTTGTTTTCCATTTGCTTGGTAGATCTTCCTCCATCCCTTTATTTTGAGCCCATGTGTGTCTCTGCACTTGAGATGGGTTTTCTGAATACAGCACACTGATGGGTCTTGACTCTTAATCCAATTTGCCAGTCTGTGTCTTTTAATTGGAGCATTTAGCCCATTTGCATTTAAGGTTAATATTGTTAGATGTGAATTTGATCCTGTCATTATGATTTTAGCTGGTTATTTTGCTCGTTAGTTGATGCAGTTTCTTCCTAGCCTTGATGGTCTTTACAATTTGGCATGTTTTTGCAGTGGCTGGTACCGGTTGTTCCTTTCCATGTTTAGTGCTTCCTTCAGGAGTTCTTTTACAGCAGGCCTGGTGGTGACAAAATCTCTCAGCATTTGCTTGTCTGTAAAGGATTTTATTTCTCCTTCACTTGTGAAGCTTAGTTTGGCTGGATATGAAATTCTGGATTGAAAATTGTTTTCTTTAAGAATGTTGAATATTGGCCCCCACTCTCTTCTGGCTTGTAGAGTTTCTGCTGAGAGATCCGCTGTTAGTCTGATGGGCTTCCCTTTGTGGGTAACCCGACCCTTCTCTCTGGCTGCCCTTAACATTTTTTCCTTCATTTCAACTTTGGTGAATCTGACAGTTATGTGTCTTGGAGTTGCTCTTCTCGAGGAGTATCTTTGTGGCATTCTCTGTATTTCCTGAATTTGAATGTTGGCCTGCCTTGCTAGATTGAGGAAGTTCTCCTGGATAATATCCTGCAGAGTGTTTTCCAACTTGGTTCCATTCTCCCCATCACTTTCAGGTACACCAATCAGACATAGATTTGGTCTTTTCCCATAGTCCCATATTTCTTGGAGGCTTTGCTCGTTTCTTTTCATTGTTTTTTTCTCTAAACTTCTTTTCTCACTTCATTTCATTCATTTGATCTTCCATCACTGATACCCTTTCTCTCAGTTGATCAAATCAGCTACTGAGGCTTCTGCATTCCTCACGTAGTTCTCATGCCTTGATTTTCAGCTCCATCAGCTCCTTTAAGGACTTCTCTGCATTGGTGATTCTAGTTAGCCATTCTTCTAATTTTTTTCAAGGTTTTTAACTTCTTTGCCATGGGTTCGAACTTCTTCCTTGAGCTCGGAGTAGTTTGATTGTCTGAAGCCTTCTCCATTCAGCTCATCAAAGTCATTCTCCATCAAGCTTTGTTTCATTGCTGGTGAGGATCTGCGTTCCTTTTGAGGAGGAGAGGCACTCGACTTTTAGAGTTTCCAGTTTTTCTGCTCTGTTTTTTCCCTATCTTTGTGGTTTTGTCTACCTTTGGTCTTTGATGATGGTGATGTACAGATGGGGTTTTGGTGTGGATGTCCTTTTTGTTTGTTAGTTTTCCTTCTAACTGTCAGGACCCTCAGCTGCAGGTCTGTGGGAGTTTGCTGGAGGTCCACTCCAGACCCTGTTTGCCTGGGTATCAGCAGTGGAGCCTGCAGAACAGCAGATATTGGTGAGCAGGAAATTTTGCTGCCTGATCATTCTTCTGGAAGTTTTGTCTCAGAGGAGTACCTTGCCATGTGAGGTGTCAGTCTGCCCTTACTGGGGGGTGCCTCCCAGTTAGGCTACTCGGGGGTCAGGGACCCACTTGAGGAGGCAGTCTGTCCGTTCTCAGATCTCCAGCTGCATGCTGGGAGAACCACTACTCTCTTCAAAGCTGTCAGACAGGGACATTTAAGTCTGCAGAGGATTCTGCTGCCTTTTGTTTGGCAATGCCCTGCCCCCAGAGGTGGACTCTAGAGAGGCATGCAGGCTTCCTTGAGCTGCAGTGGGCTCCACCCAGTTCTAGCTTCCAGGCCACTTTATTTACCTACTCAAGCCTGGGCAATGTTCGGTGCCCCTCCCCCAGCCTCGCTGCCGCCTTGCAATTTGGTCTCAGACTGCTATGCTAGCAATGAGCGAGGCTCCGTGGCCATATGACCCTCTGAGCCAGGTGCAGGATATAATCTCCTGGTGTGCCGTTTGCTAAGACTTTGGAAAAGCACAGTATTAGGCTAGGAGTGACCCGATTTTCCAGGTGCTGTCTGTCACCCCTTTCTTTGACTAAGAAAGGGAATTCCCTGACCCGTTGCACTTCCCAGTTGAGGCAATGCCTTGCCCTGCTTCGGCTCATGCTCGGTGGGCTGCACCTACTGTCCTGCACCCACTTTCCGACACTCCCCAGTGAGATGAACCGGGTACCTCAGTTGGAAATGCAGAAATCACCCATCTTCTGTGTTGCTCACGCTGGGAGCTGCAGACTGGATTAGTTCCTATTCAGCCATCTTGGCTCCACCCCTCCTTTTTTTTTTTTTTTTTTTTCCAGAGATGCCTTGCCCAGAGGGGAGGAATCTAGAGAGGCAGTCTGGCTGCAGCAGCCTTCCTGAGCTGTGGTGGGCTCTGCCCATTTCAAACTTCCTGAGCAGCCTTATTTACACTGTGATTATAAAACCACCTACTTAAGCCTCAGGAATGGTGGAGGCCCCTCCGCCCACCAAGCTCAAGGGTCCCATATCAACCTCAGACTGTTGTGCTGGTGGTGAGAATTTCAAGCCAGTGGATCTTAGTTTTCTGGGCTCTGTGGGAGTGGAACCCACCGAACCAGACCACTTGGCTCCCTGGTTTCAGCCTCCTTTCCAGGGGAGTAAATGATTCTGTCTCTCTGGTGTTCCAGGCACCACTGGGGTATGAAAAACAAACAAACAAACAAACAAACAAACAAAAATCTCCTGTAGCTAGCTTGGTGTCTGCCCAAATGGTCACCCAGTTTTGTGATTGAAACCCGGGGCCCTGTTGGTGTAGGCACCGGAGGGAATCTCCTGGTCTGTGGGTTGTGAAGACCACGGGAAAAGTGCAGTATCTGGGCTGGAATGTACCATTCCTCATGGCAAAGTCCCTAATGGCTTCCCTTGGCTAGGAGAGGGAAGTTCCCCAACCCCTTATGCTTCCTGTGTGAGGCAATGCCCCACCCTGCTTTGGCTCACTGTTTTTGGGCTGCACTCACTGTCCAACCAGTCCCAGTGAGATGAACTGGGTGCTTCAGTTGGAAATGCAGAATTCACCTGCCGTCTGCATTGATCTCACTGGGAGCTGCAGACTGGAGCTGTTCCTATTTGGCCATCTTGCCAGCAATCCCTGTCTTGCTTTCTTGTTCCCCTCCTTTGCCAAGTCCCTGTTCTCTACGTGGTCTCTACCACCCTCCAGCAGATGCAGGTTGCTCTGCGGGTTGTGGGCCAGAGAGGTCAGTTGCCTCACTCCAACATCTGTGGCCTGTTTCATTTCTGCCTTGGCCTGCTCCAGCCTTTGCTTCCATCTTGCAATTTCTTGGTCAGGCATCTCTGCAGGTCGCCAACAGTCAGTGCTGTCATTCAGATCATCACGGTTTGCCCCCGAAGATCTCCACTGTGCTGTGCAGCATGTGGGAATTGTTCTGCATCAGTCACTTGGGGAAGTTCAGGAGGCTGGCATTTTTATACTGTCTTCAGAAGCTCACTTATGCCCTGAAGGGAAGACCTGTTCATTTCATTTAGAAACCTCAAGCAGAGGGTTTGGAGCAATTGAGGACTGGCCTTGGCATGGTGGATGTGAGGCCATCACTGGCCTGGGATGCTGGCCCCATCTTGTCTTTGGCCTTTCCATGAACCTCACCCTGGGTTGAACCTCTTCCGGCCAGCTCTTCCTTTTTTATCACCATATGTTATCTCCTGCTCATAGAGGCCAACACAGCAGTGCATGCCTGGATCACCCAGAGTATATACAGGGTAACTGACTCTAGTCCCAGGATTCTGTACGTTACTAGTAGTACTGCCCAACTGCCCACACGTGGGCCAGCAGCAGCTGAGTATGTATTTCGTGGTGGGCAGCAGGCCCACCATGGCTCCTAAGGGCTTCACAGCTCTGGCTCCACTTGCCAGTGGCCTGTGGGCCACAAGTGACCACTCAGAACCATGTGGAGTGTTCTTTCTCTAACACAAACAAGGGCCCACAAAGCAGAGTAGACCATCTACTGAACTGGGAGGAGGGGAGCCACCTCATGTTCTAGAAAACTATGTCCCTGATTTTGCTGAGCAAATAGAAAGCAACATTACTTATGCTGCAGTGCCTTGAGGGAGTGGAAAGAGCTCATGGCAGCCCCTAGCTCAGGCTACTCCAGGCTCCCACCTCACACTACAGCACAGCTAGAGGTTCAAAGAAGGGCCATGCCATAGCCCCGGGTCCACAAATGATTCTCTTGGTGCAGTGTGGTGACCTGTCCCTGGTGAGGATCATTACCCTGATTTCACATTTCCTTCTGCTGCAGGGAAGCCTGCTTTTGGCTACAAAGAGTCTGTCTACCTTGCTAGATTTTGCTCCTTGAAGAAGGGGCTATGTTTTCTTCATCTCCATATCGCCAGTAGCTAGCCAATGCCCAGTATACACTAGAGGATCAGTAATTTTTTGTCTTGTTTTCTTTTTGACTCTGCTCTCACTTGGGACATGTCACTTCCCCTCTTGACCTCCATATGCAGATCTGTGAATATGAGTAAATGGGTAAAGGCCCCTCTAGCTTTAAAACCCTTCTGACATAGAGAGAACTCTGAACAGAACCAGAAGCTAAGGAATGATGAATAGAGCATTTTCCCTGGCATGATGGGTAGGCTCTACAGATCTGGCTATTAGGGTGGTATCTTGCCACTTGAATTTGACGTTGATTTTCAAATCACTCGCAAGAATGATCTTTAGAGTTGGTGGTTTTGTGTGTGTGTGTTTTTTTAGACTTTGTTGTTGACAACACCTTCTGGAAATCTTTTTCACAGAGAATATGGGGGCTTCTTTGGACAAATTGAGTGGATGCAGGGTCTATCTGCCTGACAGCTACTGTTTGGGCCACATCATGACTGCTGCATCCTGCTCCTCTACAGAGGTTTCTTCTACAATATAGTGTGTCTGGCCCTGTCATTTGTTACAGGTATAGAAACAACAACCGAGAACCTGAAACTGCTGGGATAAGTGCCTGCCACTGAATCCTGTCCCCTCACAGGCACATCTACAAGGTGCACCTGTGCTCTGGCCCAGGTGGTGGTGGTGAGGAGGTGGTGTCTGATTTCCAAGAAGACGGACCATAGGAACTTCCAGGATAATGTTGCCTTGGACACCACAGTCTGTGTGAACAGCAGGACCGAAGTTGTGAGAGTTGCCATGATGGTGAGGGCTGATAGCAGGACAGTCACATTAGAAAGGCAGCATCCTGGCCTTCCACGATAGGCTGAGTGACTTGGCCTCTGTCTCCCCATTGGACCTGCCATCTTATTGCCAGTTCCTGGAGGAGCACTGTGGGCTCCTCCCCAGGACCTGCTTCTTGGCTTCCCTTTGCCACGACTCCCTCTGAGCTGTGATGGCAGCCTCTCTGGCCCTGTGGGGGAGTGGGCACAGGGAGAGGAGGGGCAGCTGATGAGCTTGAGGCAAGTGGGTGGCCTGCTCTGGCTGTGGCACTTTCTTGGGCCAGCCCTGGCCTGGCTCCGGGGCTCTGCCTACTCCACCTCCAGGATCCTTAGGCTGCATCCTGCTGGCACGGCATCTTCCACCCACTCTCTGGATGTATTTTGCATGTGAGAAAACATGAGTTTTGGGGAGCCAGGGGTAGAGGGCTGAGGTGGGAGCCTGGAGTGGCCTGAGCTAGGGGCTGCCATAGCTCTCTCCACTCCCTCAAGGCGCTGCATAAGTAATGTCACTTTCTATTTGCTCAGCAAATAGAAACATAAGTTCAAAACTTATGTTGAAATTTAATCACTTTTGGGATAGTACTGCAAAGTGGGACTGTTAAGAGGGCTGTTAGGCCAAGAGGGCTCTGCCTTCATGAATGGATTAATGTCATGGTCATGAGAATGAGTTCATTATTACAAGAGTAAATGGTCATAAAAGTGAGTTTGCTTTCTCACTTGCTCCCTCTTTTGCCCTTCTGTCATTGTTCTTGGGAGCATGCAGCACAAAGGCCCTTACCAGAGGCTAGTGCCATGCTCTTGGACTTCCCAGCCTCTAGAACCACAAGACAAACAAATTTCCATTCATTATAAATTACTCAGTCTGTGGTATTCTGTTATAGCAACATTAAATGAACTAAGACAATAGCTATATTCTTAGTTTTCTGAGAATTTTTATCATGATTAGATACTGAATTTTGTCAAATGATTTTTGCTGCATGAATTGATGTGATCATGTGATTTTTATCACTTAGCCTGTTCATGTGAGGGATTACATTGATTGAATTTTGAATATTGCACTAGCCTTGCATACCTGGAATAAATACCACTTGGCATTGATATAGGAATTAAAAAGAAATTATTTAGGCAGATAGTGAGGGTAAGGAAGTCCTCGGTAAGGCTTTTCTTTTAGTGAAAAGCAGCCCCCAAATCATTTTCTTTTCTAACAAAGAACAGCCAGTAAAATTGAGCTACAGACATAGACAAGTAAGCTGGAAACTTGCACAGGTGAATGCTGGCAGTTGTGTCAATAAGAAAGGGGCTACCTGGGGGTTAGGCATGTTCAAAATGGTGGTTCCATCTTCCCTTTTCCTTGCCAACCATGTGTGCAGTCAGAAGCAGACAACATGGTGCTGACCAGGCAAAGATACCATTTGCATAATATTAGGGTGGGGTGGCCAGCTTCTCCTTGTGCTACGTAAATGTCACACCTGGTCCAACCAATCTTTGGGCCCTACATAAATCAGACACCACCTCCTCAAGCCAGTCTATAAAACCCTGTGCACTCCACTGTGGGCTGGAGGTCCCACTTGGGCACCCCTCTCTCTGGCAGAAGAGAGAGAGCTAATCTCCTTTCTCTTTCTTTTGCCTATTAAACCACTCTTAAACCCACTTCTTGTATGTCTGTGTACTCAATTTCCTTGGCATGAGATGATGAACCTCAGGTATTTACCCCAGATAAATGACACTGCTTCAGTATGATGTATGATTCTCTTTATATGGTTTGGATTTGATTTGCTAATACTTTGTTGATAACTGCATCATGAGAAATATTGATCTTTAGTTTTTACTTTTTTTAAATTATACTGCCTTTGTCTGGATTTACTATTGGAGTAATACTGGCTTCATAAAATGAGTTGGGAAGTGTTCCCACACCTCTTATATTCTGGAAGAGATTATGTAAAATTGTTGGTAATGTCTTTAAATGTTTGGTAGAATTCTCCAGGGAAACCATTTGGAAGTGGAGTCATCTTTAAAGGAGATTTTTATATTATGAATTCAATTTATTTAATTGTTATGGCCTTTTTCATATTACTTATTTCATATCAAGTTTGGGTAGTTTGTGTTTTTTAAGAGATTGGTCCAATTCTTCTTCTTCTTTTTTTTTATTATACTTTAAGTTTTAGGGTACATGTGCACAATGTGCAGGTTAGTTACGTATGTATACATGTGCCATGTTGGTGTGCTGCACCCAGTAACTCGTCATTTAACATTAGGTATATCTCCAAATGCTATCCCTTCCCCCTCCCCTGACCCCACAACAGGCCCCAGTGTGTGATGTTCCCCTTCCTGTGTCCATGTGTTCTCATTGTTCAATTCCCACCTATGAGTGAGAACAATTCTTCTAAATTGTCAAATTTATGAGCATAAGGCTGTTCATAGTATTCCCTTATTATCCTTTTTTTAATTTTCTATTTTATTGTATTTTATATACATATATGTATATATACTTTTAATCTCCCTTAAAATCTCTGCCCTTTAATTGGTATATTTGGACTATTTATGTTTATGGTAATTACAATTAAATCTGTCATTTTTTTTTTTTTTTTTTTTTTGAGATGGAGTCTCGTTCTGTTCCCAGGCTGGACTGCAGTGGCATCATGTCTGCTCACTGCAAGCTCTGCCCCTCGGGTTCATGCCATTCTCCTGCCTCAGCCTCCCGAGTAGCTGGGACTACAGGCACCTGCCACCAGGCCCAGCTAATTTTTTTGTATTTTTAGTAAAGACCGGGTTTCATCGTGCTAGCCAGGATGGTCTAGATCTCCTGACCTCGTGATCCACCTGCCTCGGCCTTCCAAAAATCTGTCATTTTATTATTTGTTTTCTATTTGTTTCCTCTGTTTCTTGTTCTTTTGTTTATCTCCTTTCTTTTCTGTAGGTTTCTTGAATACATTTTAGAATTTCATCTTGATTTATTTATTGCAGTTTCCAGTGTATCTCTTTGTAGGTTTCTTAGTGGTTGCTTTGGGTATTACAATGTGCATGTGTGACTTACCACAGTCTAATGGTATCAACATTTTAACACTTTGAGTGAAATGTGGAAATCTTATTTCCATTTAGGTCTCTTTACAACTTTTCTTGAGTATCACATGTTGTTATTTTTTTAGTCATCTAATATGATTTATAAAATTTATGCAGAGAAGGACGGTCTATTTTATGTACCCATATTTCTACTCTTACCATTGTCCTTCCTTCTTGATGCTCCAATATTTTTTCTTTTATCAATAGCTTTTTGTTTGAAGAAACTTCCTTGAAGATAGGTAAGTCTGCTAGTGACTTTTTAAAATTTTTGTTTATTTATTTTTTTAGTTTTTCTTTATCTGAGAATGTCTTCATTTCTCCTTTATTCCTGAAGAACTGTTTTGCTGGCTATGGAGCTTACAGTTGATGGTTCTTTTTTTTAGCACTTGAAAAATATGCCTCTTTCTGTTTTAGCCTTCGTAGTTTAGTTTCAGTTGAAAAATTATTTAGTATGTGTCTTGTTCCCTTATAGATAATGTGTCATTTCTCCCTACCTGCTTTCAAAATTTTCTTTATCAAATTTTGCTTTGTTTCCAAAAGTTTAATTAAAATGTACCTTGACCTGGATTTTTAAAAAGATTTATTGTATCTGGGGTTCACTCAGCTTCTTCAATCTCTAGGTTTATATCTTTACCCAATTTTAGGAAGTTTTGTCTTTATTTATTTGAATTTGCTTTAAGATCCACTTTCTTTCTCCTCTCCTTCTTAAACACCAATGATGTGAATATTGGCTCTTTAGTTATTACCCTATTCTCCCAGGCTTAGTTCTTTTATTTCAGTCTAATTTCTGTCTATTGTTCAGATTGGATAAATTCTGTTTATCTGTCCTGAAGTTCCCTGATTTCGTGCTCTGTCATCTCCTCTCTACTATTGAGCGCATACATTGAGTTTTTCATTTGTTATTGTATTTTCTAGTTCCATAATTTAAATTCAACAATTTTCTAATCTCATTTTATTGTGCTAATTTTTTTTTCTTCATTTGTGTCAGAAAAATTTGTAAGTATTTTTTGAAACATTTTAATGATGGCTTCTTTAATATCCTTGTCAGACAATTCCAACATCTGATTCCTTTCAGTATTGGCATCAATGAATTGTCTTTTCTCATTCAAGATATGATTGTCCTGGTTCTTGGTATCATGATGGTTTTTAATTGTATGCTAGATAGTTTTACTATTATGTTAGGAGACTCTGGATTGTATTTAAATGTTTTATTTTAGCAGATGGTCACTGTGTTTAGGTGTAGCACACAGAGTCTGTTTTACTTTTGTGAGTTGTGGTTCCAATTACATTGAATTTCCAAAGCCTTTGAAGAGCTGTTTTGGTTTTCTTGGTGTATTTGTTACTGCTGTGGCTCCCTCTGGTTCCTGCTGGCACTTTCTTAGGCCAGTCTGCCTGGTACCTGTAAGTTGGAGAAGGGGGTCTCTGGTCTGTGGGGACAAAGAAGCTTCCAGGCCACTTGTGGACAGATTCCCCTTGCTGTTGTCTCCCAAACACATGGTCTTTTGATAGCAGAGGGGAGTCTCAGGCCCAACAGAAACAAAAGTACAGGTGGGCCAGTTTCCCTCTTCCCTCTTCACTGTGAGGTACAAAGAGTTTTTTTTTTGTTTTTGTTTTTTTTTAGGTTGGGCTGCTGATTGTGGTGGAGTGTTTCTTGCTGCTGTTCCCTGGAAGTCAAGGGTCTCTTGGTTGAGCTGTGGATTCTTAGGCCCGAATGAAAAGGAGAGCACTTTTCCTGGCTACTGATTGTCAGTGGGGATTCCAACAAATTTTTATTGCCAGACTCAACTGGTATTTTGGGGGCTTGGACACTATCTGTTGCTAGGTTTGAGACTGGGAATCTTTAGACCTGGGTCACCCTTTTCTGTTGGAGGACAGGCGAAGGTCCTAAGATGCCTTGACACTATATTGCTTCTCCAGTCACGTGGTCTCTAACCTGTCTAACTTTCTCTTTTTTCCCATTTCAGAGTTGTTGTTTGGTGCCTCTTCTATTATTTCTAGGGGTTACAGTTGTATTTAGCAGGGAGGAGTAGAGAAGAACAATTGTACATCACATTGTCTGAACTGGAAACTTCTACACCATCTTTTAATCTTTCCATCTTTTTTGTTTGTCCTCAGAATGTGTTTATTGAGCACTGTATTATGCCCTGATATACATTAATTTAAAAAGAAATATATAACCTTTTCTGTCAATTCTAACTCCTTGCTGCCTCTTACATTCTGATGGTAGCCCTGTTTCTCATGGTAGAGATGAGGTTATCTAAGATGTGATGGTCAACCTGTATTCTTGAGTTTACAGATCATTCTCTCAGGATATCCATGTGCCCTGCTCAATTTATCTGATGGAGACCTGCTACCACCTCTTGATAATTCCAGTATCTGCAGTTGCCTGATGAATTCTGTGAAAACAAGAAGAGGCTTGTTCAGTGTTGCTCCAAAGGGCAGATACCCACCCAGCGAGTGGGTATCCTTGTCAGACAATTCCAACATCTGATTTCTTTCAGTATTATAAAGTTTTTTTTTTTTTCTGAAAAAGAAGAACCTTTAAGCCACCAGAGTTATCCAGCTGCAGACAATGCTTTTTTGTAACAGGTAAAAAGTTATCCACCTCTTTAGGTGTCTCAGGAAATGTAGGGCAGCCGTTTCTCTGCCAAGCACAATATAGAAGACATTTTACCTTGGTGAGGCCTGCTTATGGTTATGATAAGGACATGTGCCATCTCACGGTTGGCTATCCTGATGTGTTGTAGCAACTGAAATGATTCTTTCTTTCCTCTTCCAGTGAAGGGCATGTTACTTATATCATGGTGCATAGCTCGATCTTAGCTATTGTAGAAAGACTACAAACACTGGAAGGGTTTTTTAATGTTCTCTTTCCTCTTCCTGGGATACAGTGCCTCTAGATACTACATGGTAAATTCCAGATTCTTCAAGTCTTTGTTCAAATGTCACCTGATCAGTAAGGTTTCCTTTAGCAACTCTAACAATTGTAACTCTGACTCCCCAGCAGTCATCACTCATTCTTCCAATCTCTTTTTTTCTATATTATTTTTCTCTTTATTCTTATTGCCACTGAATGTACTATGCACTATGCATGTTGTTTATAGTATTTCCTGCAATAGTATCTACATTTCATGAGGGCAGGAATTTTTCTGTTTTTTTTTTCATTATTGTTTTCCTATTGCCTAGCATCACAACTGGCACATGATAATGCTTCATAAATATTTGTTGAGAGAGTGAATTAAATGGTTGTGAACTAACAAATGTTAGTTAAGTATTGCCATCTTAACAATATGAAGTCTTTTGATCCATAAATGCAGGATGTTCTTCCAATTATTTGGGTCTTTTAAAATTTCTTTTAATTATGTTGTTTAGTTTTTAATGTACAAGTTTTGGACATTCTATTAGAGTTCTCCAGAGAGAATGAACCAATAGAAGATACAAATAGACATAACTATAGTTATAGATATAGATATGTGAGGGAATTTATTAGGAGAATTTTCTCGTGCAATTATGGAGGCTGAGAAGACCCATGATAGGCTGTCTGCAAGCTGGACATCCTAGGATGCTGGTAGCATGGCTCAGTCCAAGTCCAAAAGCCTAGAACCAGGGAAGCCAATGGTGTAATTTTCAGTTCATGGCCAAAGGCCTGAGAAACTGGAGGGCTGCTAGTCTAAGTTATGGAGTCCAAAGGCTGGAGAGGATGAAGTTGTAATGTCCAAGGGCAGGAGAAGAAAGATGTCTCAGGTCCAGCAGAGATAAAGAGAGACAGAGAGAGAGACAGAGAGAGAGAATGAGAGAGAAAATGAATTGATCTCCTCTCTGCCTTTTTGTTCTGTCAGGTCCCCCAGCCAGTTGGGTGGTACTCACCCACATTGAGGGTGGATCTTCCCCACTCAGTCCACTGACTTACACACGAATCTCCTCTGGAAGCATCCTCATAACACATCTAGAAATAGTGCTTTGCCAGCTATTTAGGCATTCCTTAACCCATTCAAGTTGACACCTAAAATTAACCATCACACACTTTTTCGGTTAAATTTATTCTTAAGTATTTCATTATTTTTGATGCTATTACAAATGAAATTATTTTCTTAATTTCACTTTTGGATTATACATTGCTGATGTTTACAAGTGCAATTGATTTATTAATATTTATTCTATTATCCTGAAACATTGCTGAACTAGTTCACTAGTTCTTTTTTTTTCTTTTTGAGATAGGGTCTCACTCTGTTGCCCAGACTGGAGCACACTGTCGTGATCCACCTCCTGAGTTCAAGCAATTCTCCTGCCTCAGCCTCCCCAGTAGCTGGGGTTACAGGTGTGTGCCACCACGCCTAACTAATTTTTGTATTTTTAGTACAGATAGGGTTTCACCATGTTGGCCAGGCTGGTCTTGAACTCCTGGCCTCAAGTGATCTGCCTGCCTTGGCCTCCCAAAGTGTTGGGATTACAGGTGTGAGCCATCATGCCTGGCTAGTTCTTAAGTTTTAATAGTTTTTCTTTTTAGTATACCCCTCAGTATTTTATATATACCAGGTCATATCACCTGCAAAGAGAGATAGTTTTACTTATTTCTTTCCAATCTTGATATTGAATCTTGCCTACCTTTTTCTTGTGTAATTGCCCTAGATAGACTTCCAAAACAATGAACAGAAGGGGTAAAAATAGACATTCTTGTTTTTTTCCTGATATTAAGGGGAAAGCATCCAGCTTTCACCATTATGATGTTACTTGTAGGTTTTTTTGTAGATGTCTTTTATCAGGTTGAGGAAATATCCTTCTATTTCTATCTTATTCGGTGTGTGTGTGTGTGTGTGTGTGTGTGTGTGTGTTTTAATCAAAAAAGGGCACGGGTTTTTTTCAAATGCTTTTTCTGTGGTTATTGAGATGATCATGTGGTTTTTGTCCATTATTCCTTTAAGATGGTGCCCTCCATTGATTGACTTTTTCATGTGTTGAAGAAGTCTTGCATTCTGGGATAAGTCTTATTTGGTCATTGTATATCTTCCTTTTTTTTTTTTCCCCAGCAGTTATGTGCTGGAAGGGGAAGTACTTTCCTTTTTATATGTTGTAAAATCCCATTGAGATGGAACGTACATTTATCATGATATTCCCCCCTTAAATAAAGTCTACTTTAACAAGTGCCATAAATATTTTCTTCTTTAAACAGCTATGGTGCCTGTGACTTGCGTAGAGTCAGAGTCGTCATCATTGTACCCCGACCTCTCATCCAGGGCCTTACATGTGTTCCTTTGAACCCTTTGTCTTCAATCCCCAGGGACTGGTCAGGAATCCGTTGGTGAGTCAGATTCCTGAACCATTGCTCTAGATGACAGTTCACTGAAGCTAAGGACAGATTTTGATTCTTAAGATTCTGAGTATACTGAAAAATCTGGATTAGAGTCTCAGAATAACAGAAGCTGAATTTGAGGCCCACGTTTCTTTGTTTGCAAGAAGTTGGGCTATGAGCAGCTGTTTATAAGAAACTAGGTTAGTCCCAGGTAAAAGGAGGTGGGTTAGAGCCCTAGACTTCTTTGTTTGAAAGATACCTGCTGGACTAGCAGTCTTTCTTCCTGTCTCTCTCTGTCTGGAGGGAGGATTGATCCCTGACTTCCTGGGTTGGTAGTTTTTCTTCCTGGCTCTCAGTCTTGAGTGGGAAATTTTTCTTGGCTCTTTGTGAGGCCTCTCCATTCTCTCTATTTTATCCTGTTTCTCTCATGGAAAATTCTCAGTTGGCTGAAACTCCCTTCTTGAACTCCTACTGACTATATGCTCTACCAATCTGTCCACCTCCTTCCTGTTGGCATAAATTTGCAGAGAATAATTTGGAACTTCATTGTCCTCTTTGGGAAACTTATGATCTCCCCAAACTGGCTTCTGTAAGGCCTCTCCCTTCCCATTCCTCCTTTGTTCTTTAACCACTTTTGATCTTCCCTTCAGCGACCTTGAAGCCTTTGATATATCCCCCTTTTAACTCTACCACCTTCATCCCTCTGTTCATTCTGCCAGGCTTTTCATTTCCCACTTCAACCTCTCAGCTCCCAACAGTCACTTGAACTATAGACCCCTTGGCCTCCATTGGGGGCTCTCCTTAAGAGACTGAGGGATCCCTGAGGGATCCCCAAAAGCAATGATTAGAGGCTGAAAACAGAAAAAAAACTTTGGAAACAGACTGGATGTTTTGTACACTCAGGTGAGTGTTGGATACACACAAACAGCTTCATAATAATTCACCAAAATTTTAGCCCACAACTTCCCTAAGATGACAAAGAAAGTCTTAAAAATGTCTGCTACAAATGTTGGTGAACAGATATCCTTAATTTGTCCTATTTGCCAGAAACGTGATTTGGATAAAAATATAAAGTAGAAGAAAGGTGAGAGGCAATTATTTTATATAAACCAGAGAGTTTTGTATTACTAACTTATGGCTAAACTTTGAAAATGAAAGCACTAAGATCTCTACAGTCTGTATATTTCTGTATGTGTATATGCATGTATGTTATGTTTATGTGATATTTTTCTACTCCCAAATGGTATTATCAAATTAATTTATGCAATTTCTTAGAGGAATTCTATGCAAATTGACTTAGAGATAAATGAGTGCTTATATAAATTAAATATTCCTAAAACTCACAGAAATTTAGAAACTCAAATGTCTTTCAAGTTCATGTGACTTGGGTAAGTTTTTGGTAAATAAGATTAGTTTAATATTGTTAGTTTAGTAAAAACAGCTGTGTTCTGGGTAATCAGCATTAAGTATAATAGAAACATACATTTATATTCTACTTGGGTTTAATAGTCATATAAGGTTAAAATAGTTAAGGGGGAAATAACTTGAGATGATGACTAACTTTGCTTAATGTTACAATAAGTCTACCTGAAAAATAGTTTCTTTTTGGTAACTTGAAACCTTAAGTTATACTAAGTTAAATGATGCATATTCATTGAATATCTAGATTATTTCCAAATAAGATAAAATACTGAAACAATTACTGAGCATAAGTTTAAGTTTATATATTTTTGGCATCTTGCTTTTATACAGTATAAAGAGACTAAATATATTTGAGTCTGTTAATTTTTGTCACATTGAAAAATTATACTATGAGGAAGCATATGCCTCTAAAATTGTGAAATGGTATATTCATCACTTTTGCAAGCTTGCTACAGAATGCTGCCATGTAACAAAGACATTTCACAATTATCTACCTCCTAATTTTCTCTATAAAAGAAACCTTACTAATGGTTAAACATTACAATTAATATGTGAAAATAATTAGGAAAACAATTCTTCATCAAAAGTTTTCAGGGAAAATAGGATATATCTTTGATAGGAAATATACGAGTATGAAGGATGTGTTTTTGTTAAGGGAAAAAGAGAGTAATTTTATCCTAAAGTTAGATGACTAGTTGTTCCAGAATGAGGAATAAGAAAAATATAGAGCAAAAACTAAAGGATATAGGAAGTTGCAGAAGGCTTGTGGAAAATGAAATTTATGTGTAGTCAAGCTGGCTAAGATTTGAATTCCTTTGTTTACACATTTAAAAATATGAGCCTTAACATCAAAAGTACACTAATGCAAAGCTAGAATATGGCTTTCTTTCTGTTAAAAAGACAAATTTTGGGTGGGGGGATTATTGGTTTGCTCTTAATAAGAGATTGTGAAAGGCTTTTCTTTAACTTTTGCATAATCTGCCTGGGAAACCAATGTTTTGTGTCTTTTCTGAATAATTTCCTCTGTTTTATGTTGTCTTTATCATGTCTTTGATTACTTAAGAGTCTTCACAATATTAAAAGAGCTAAGGGTTTTGTTTACAACTATGTAAGCTTCTGTATTTGCCTTTAAAATCTTTTATTGTCACTTTGGTTAAACGGATAACTGTTGTTTCATGGTGGCCTGTGATCCTACTTACTCGTCTATTTAAACCTTTTGACATTTTTGACAATCTCTAACAATCGGATGCTTTATGAGGTCTTTTTGACCTAAAACTGACTGAGACATCACAGACGGCCCCTGGAAAATACCCAAGAGAATTTTTCTTTCATTTTGCAAAGGAATCTGGTAAAAATAATTTATATTATTTGATATGTTAAGCTGAATGGAAATGTGTCAAATAAGAAGTGATGCTTAACCTTCCCTAGGTTACATTTGTATAGGTAAAATGCTATTTTCAAGAAATCATATAAAATTTCTAGAAATTTTGTATGTCCTGGTATAAAGTGATCAGCTATAATTTGAGTTATTATTTTAAACTTTGTATGTCACAAAATAACCAAGCTTCCTTATTAAATGAATTATCATCAGATCTTTAACCTGGATTTATATTATGTTTTTCTTTTTAAATTCCTGTACCAGTACAGCACTATTCGTTACTGTAACTTTATATTAATTTTTGATATCTAGAAGAGTAAGAGTTGCTCATTTGACTTTCCTTAGAGCTGTCCTGTCCATTCTAGGTCCTTTTTCCTTGGCTTTTTATGTATGTTTTAATAAAGCATATTCTGTTGTGCATGCATTCATATTTACCTACACACACACATCCAACCTTTTGAAATTTTGTTGAGTTTTGCATCGAATATATAGAATTATATGAGGAGAACTGGAATTTTCTAATCTATGCAAATGTTTTATTTCTCAGTTTATTTTTCCTTTTATTTAGTTTCAATAATATTTTCTAGTTTTTTGTATAGATGAGATCCACATATCTTTACAGTTATATACACCTTTCCAATACTTGGTATTTTCAGTTCATAAAATTTCAACCCATCTGATGATGCCTAGTGCTATCTAATTGTTTTAATTTTTTTCCTTATGTCAAACAAATTAGAGCACATTTTCATAAATTTATTGGTCATAAAGATATCCCCTTTTCTGAAGTCTTATTCAAAACTTTTCCCCAATGGTTATATTGGATTATCTTTTTCTAAGGAATTTATACACCATGGAATACTATGCAGCCATAAAAAATGATGAGTTCATGTCCTTTATAGGGACATGGATGAAGCTGGAAACCATCATTCTCAGCAAACTATTGCAAGGACAAAAAACCAAACACCGCATGTTCTCACTCATAGAGGGGAATTGAACAATGAGAACACATGAACACAGGAAGGGGAACATCACACTCTGGGGACTGTTGTGGGGTTGGGGGAGGGGGGAGGGATAGCATTAGGAAATATACCTAATGCTAAATGATGAGTTAATGGGTGCAGCACACCAACATGGCACATGTATACATATGTAACAAACCCGCACATTGTGCACATGTACCCTAAAACTTAAAGTATAATAAAAAAAAGTCTACTTAACAGTCGTTTGTTAATTACATGCATTATAACTATACCCTCTGAATGCGTGGCTTGAATAGTGATTTGGATGTAAGAGCTTTTATATTCATTGTAGTTTAATTCATTAACCTATCTCTTCAGGGTTAGTGCTTTGATTTTGTTCTATATAAGACATATTTGCGTGAACTTCATGAACTTATTTTTCTATATTCTCTTTTAGAAGGTTTACTGTTACACTTATTATTTAGATATATTCTCTACATAATAAACTATTTGGAATTTATTTTAGTGTATTGAGTGAAGTTGAGTATTTTTTGCCTTTTATATGAATCTTGAATTTACCTATCAGCATTTTTAAACTACCTTTTCTTCACTTTATTTTAAAATTCAATCAGTCACTGTATATTTGTGAATTACCTTCTGGTCTCTCTCTTCTTTTCATCGTCTAATTGTAAATCCTCATCACAAGCCATACTCTTTCACTGGTGCAATTTTATTGTATTTTATTTTTAAAATTTATCTTTAAAGTTTTGTATATTTAAGGTAAACAATGTAATGTTTTGATATACACAGTGAAGTTGTTACCACAATCCAACTAATTAGCATAACATTCTCTTTACATAGTTACTATTTTTTGTGGTGAGAATACTTAAAATCCACTCTCTTAGCAAATTTTAAGTATAGAATACAGTATCATTAATCATAATGAACTAACTGTGTATCTCTAGAATTTATTCATCCTACATGATTGAAATTTTATATACTAAAAATAAATATATATATTTTTTATTTCAATAATTTTGGGGGTAAAAGTGGTTTTTGGTTATATGGATGAATTGTAGAGTGGAGAAGTCTGAGATTTTAGTGCACCTGTCACCCGAGCAGTGTACATTGTATCCAATATGTAGGTTTTTATTCCTCACCTTCCTTCCACTCTCCTCCATTCTGAGTTTCCAATATCCATTATGCCACTCTGTATGCCTTTGCATACAGATAGTTTAGCTTCCAGTTATAAGTGAGAACATACGGTATTTTGTTTTCCATTCCTGAGTTACTTCACTTAGAATAATGGCTTCCAGCTCCATCCAAGTTGCTAGTTGCTGCAAAAAACACTATTTCATTCTCTTTTATGGCTGAGTAGTATTCCATGGTGTACATATACCACCTTTTCTTTATTCACTCATTCGTTGATGGGCACTTATATTGGCTCCATATTTTTGCAATGTTGAATTCTGCTATGATAAACATATACACGTATGTGTCTTTTTGATATAATGACTTATTTTCCTTTAGGTAGATAGCCAGTAGTGGGATTGCTGGATCAAACAGTAGATCTACTTTTTGTTCTTTGAGAACTCTCCATACTGTTTTCCATAGAGGTTGTACTAATTTACATTCCCATCAGCAGTGTGTAAGCATCCCCTTTTCACCACCTCTACACCAACATCTACTGTTTTTTTGACTTTTTAATAATGGCCATTTTGGCTGGGTTAAGATGGTGTCTCATTGTAGTTTTAATTTGCATTTCCCTGATGATTAGCAATGTTGAGTATTTTTTTCATATATTTATTGGCCATTTGTATATCTTCTTTTGAGAAGTGTCTATTCGTGTCACGTGTCCACTTTTTGATGGGATTGTTTTTTTTTTTTTTCTGGCTGATTTGTTTGAGCTCCTTGTCTTGTTCCAGGTCTTCGTGGGAATGCTTTCAACTTTTCCCCGTTCAGTATGATGCTGACTGTGGATTTGTCATATATGGCTTTTATTATTTTGAAGTATGTTCTTTCTATGTCTAGTTTGTTGAGGGTTTCTACCATAAAGGGGCAATGGATTTGATTGAATGCTTTTTCTGTGTCCGTTGAGATGATCATGTGATTTTTGTTTTAAATTCTGCCTATTTATAAATTCTGCCACATTTATTAATTTGCATATGTGGAACCATCCCTGCATCCCTGGGATGAAACCCGCTTGATCATGATGAATTATCTTTTTGACGAGCTGTTGGATTTGGGTTGCTATTATTTTGTTGAGGACTTTTGCATCTGTGTTCATCAGGAATATTGGTCTGTAGTTTTCTTTTTTTGTTGTTATGTCCTCTTCATGCTTTGGTATCAGGGCATACTGGTTTCACAGAATGAGTTAGGGAGGATTGCCTCTTTCTCAACCTTTTGGAATAGTTTCAGTAAGATTGCTGTCAATTTTTCTTTGAAGGTCTGGTAGACTTTGGCTGTGAATCTACCTGGCTGTGGGCTTTTTTGTAGTTGTTGCTGGCAACTTTTAAATTACTAATTCAGTCTAATTGCTTGTTTGTTATTGGTTTGTTCAGGATTTCTATTTCTTCCTGATTCAAATTAGGAGGGTTGTATGTTTCTAGAAATTTATTCATTTCCTCTAGATTTTCTAGTTGTGTACATAGAGGTGTTATAGTAATCTTGAATTATCTTTTGTATTTCTGTGTTATTGGTTGTAATGTCTCAATTTTCATGTCTGAGCTTATTTGAATCTTCTCTCTTTTCTTGGTTAATCTAGCTAATGGTTTTCCAATTGTGTTTATCTTGTCAAAGAAACAACTTTTTGTTTCATTGATCTTTTTTGTATTTGTTTCAATTTCATTCAGTTCTGTTCTGATCTTTATTATTTCTTTTCTTCTGCTAGTTTTGGGTTTGGTTTGTCTTTGTTTCTTTAGTTTCTTGCAGTGTGATGTTAGGTTGTCAACTTGTGATCTTTTGAACTTTTTAATGTAGGCATTTAGAATTGTAAACTTTCCTCTTAGCACTGCTTTTGCTATATGCCAGAGGTTTTGATAACTTGTGCAACTATTATCATTCATTTTGAAGAATTTTTGAATTTTCATCTTGATTTCATTGTTAACCTCAAAATCATTCAGGAGCAAATTATTTAATTTCCATGTATTTGTATAGTTTTGAGGGTTCTTTTTGGAGTTTATTTTTAGTTTAATTCCACTGTGGTCTGAGAAAACACTTGATATAATTTCAATTTTTTAAAATATATTGACTTGTTTTATCTCTTATTATATGGTCTATCTTGGAGAATATTTCATGCACTGAGGAGAAGAATGTATATTCTGCAGTTCTTGAGTAGAATGTTCTGTAAATATTTGTCAGGTCAATTTTTTCTAGAGTGCAGTTTAAGTCCAGTGTTTCTTTGTTGACTTTCTGCCTCAATGGTCTATCTAGTGCTGTCAGTAGAGAGTTGAAGTCCCCAACTACTATTGTGCTGCTGTCTATTTCTTTTATTAGGTTTAGTAGTAATTGTTTTATGAATCTAGGAGCTCCAGAGTTAGGTGCAATATATTGAGGATTGTAATGTTTTCTTGTTGGATTGATCCTTTTCCCATTATATAATGACTTTTTTTGGGTTTTTATGTTTTTACTGTTGTTGCTTTAAAACCTGTTTTATCTGATATAAGAATAGCTACTCCTGCTTGCTTTTGGTTTCCATTTGTGTGGAATATCGTTTTCCACCCCTTTACCTCAAGTCTATAAGAATCCTTATGGGCTGGGTGTGGTGGCTCATGCCTGTAATCCCAGTACTTTGGGAGGCCAAGGCAGGCAGACCACAAGGTCAGGAGATTGAGACCATCCTGACTAACATGGAGAAAACCTGTCTCTACTAAAAAAAAATACAAAAAATTAGCCGGGCGTGGTGGTGGGTGCCCGTAGTCCCAGCTACTCGGGAGGCTGAGGCAGGAGAATGGCGTGAACCCAGGAGGCGGAGCTTGCAGTGAGCTGAGATCATGCCACTGCACTCCAGCCTGGGTGACAGAGTGAGACTCCGTCTCCAAAAAAACAAAAACAAAAACAAAAAAAATCAATGCTTATATTTTAGGTGAATCTCTTGAAAACAGAAGATATTTGGTTTGTGATTTTTTAATACGTTCTGCCAATTTGTATCTTTTAAGTGGAGCATTTAGACCATTTACATTCAGTTACATTCATATACATATTTAACATTGAGACATGAAGTAGTAGTTTCAGTCATCATATTGATTGTTACCTTGATACTTTGCTATCTTCATTGCATTATTGTTTTATAGGCTCTGTGAGTTTTATGCTTCAAGTGGTTCTATTCTGGTGCATATCCATCTTTTGTTTCAGGATTGGGAACTCCTTTTAGCATTTCTTGTAGGACTGGTCTGGTAGTGACAAACTCCCTCAGCATTTGCTTGTCTGAAAAAGACTATTTCTCTCCATTTATAAAACTTAGTTTTGCTTGATACAGAATTCTTTGCTAACAGTTATATCATTTAAGGAGGCTAGAGATAGGACCCTAATCCTTTCTGGTTTGTAAGGATTCTGCTGAGAAGTCTGCTGTTAGTTTGATATGTTTTCCTTTATGGGTTATCTGATGCTTTTGTCTCACTGCTCTTAGAATATCTTCCTTCACATTGACTTTAGATGGCCTGATGACTATATGTCTTGGTAATGTCTTTTTGTCATGAATCCCACAGGTGTTCTTTGAGCTTCTTATATTTGTGTGTCTAAATCTTTAGCAAGGCCAGGGAAGCTTTCCTCAATTATTCTCTCAAATAAGTTTTTGAAACTTTTTGCTTTTTCTTCTCCCTCAGGAGCACAAATGATTCTTAGGTTTGGCTGTTTTACATAATCCCATATTTCTTGGAGCTCTTGTTCATTTCTTTTATTTTTTTTCTTTATTTTTTCTGATTGAGTTAATTCAAAAGGCTTGTCTTTGAGTTCCAAAATTCTTCTTGGTCTAGTCTATTGTTAAAACTTTCCATTGCACTTTGTAATTCCCTAAATGTGTCTTTCATTTCCAGAAGTTCTGATTCGTTTTTCTTTAAGATATCTATCTCTTTAGAAAATTTTTCATTATTATCCTGAATTGTTTTTTAAATTTCTTTATGTTGGGTTTCACCTTTCTCTTGTAACTCCTTGAGTGGCTTCATAATCAACATTTTGAATTCTTTATCTGGCATCTCAAAGATTTCATATTGGTTTGGATTCATTGCTGGAGAGGTAATGTGATCTTCTGGATGGGTTATAGAACACTGTTTTGTCATATTGCCAGAATTATTTTTCTAGTTCCTTCTCACTTGGGTAGACTATTTCTCCTAATTATTTTTAAATTTATTTTTAATTTTAGTATGTTTTCTTAAATTTTTTTCTCATTGAGGATGTGACCTTATCATTATAGTTTATTAGAACTTAATTTGGCTCTGGGTGCTTTCAAATATGAAGACTCTGTAGGAATTCCTTGGTTATAGAGAGTCTTTGTATAGTGGCTTACTCAGCTACTGGTTGTAGTACAATATGCTTGGTGTGTGAGCAGGTGGGATTGGAATGGTGGGGGTGTCTTGAAGCTTATCTCATTCTCCAGTGGCACACACTTATTTATTTATTAATTTTCTCCCTCAGTATTTTATTTACTGGATTGAACAGTTCAGGCTTCTGGCCAGTATGGGAGGTGACCATGGGTATCAACTGGCAGTGACTAAAGCAGGTGGGTAAATGCGACATCCAATTGTGGACAGAGATCCCAGCCTTGACAGAGGCAGCTGGGGGAGGTCTCAGTGAAATGCACTGAGGTCTTTTCATTGGGGTAGGGAGGGAGCAACCTCATCCTCCTGTCAAGTCGCAGGAAAATGATTTGCCTCCCAGTCACACTGCTGACCAGTGTTTCAGCTATTTAGATCAGACAGGTACCTCTTTTCTTCTTCAGGAATGCTGATGTTCCATGTAGAAAGGGATTGTGACTACTCCTTGTGGAAGCCTGAACCTGGAGGGCACTCCTTGTGTGGGGATGTAGTCACCCTGAAGTGTTCCAGAAAGGCTGTGTACAGGTGCACCCATGCTCATCTCCCATAGGAGAAGTTCCAACTGTGTCACCTGTGGTGGGCAAACACTCCTTGAGCACCAGGGCTGCCTGACTGTTGTGGCGGAGCTGCAGACTTTCTGTGCTAAGCCCTGCACTGCACCTGTGCCTTTGCTTAGAGTCGCTTTTCACAAGCAGAAAGTTCTGGGACTCAAGGCCTGCTGTCTGGATTCTTTTGTCCCACCTGGTATTCCCTTGATGTGAATTCCCCCTGCCCCTGGAAGTAAGAGTCCCTGAGGGTCAGACTACTGTGAATGCTACTGCTCCTCTGGCTCTTGCTGCCCAGTGGGGTAGCCACACTCCAGGCTGGTGCTAAGGAATGTCTGCAAGGAATCCAGTGATGTGATATGTCCTCAAGTCTCCCAGAAGCAGGTACCAGGACCAGTTCTGATGGCGATGGCACAAGAGTGATGTAGAGTCTGTGAAATTCCTTGGTTATAGATAGCCTTAGTGTGTTGGCTTTCTCAAATACCAGCTGCAGTAGTAATAAACTGGTCATGTGCACAGACTCAGGACCTCCTGCTCAGCCAGAGTGATGCAGACAATGGTAATAGCTGATGATATGAATAAGTTTCCTTCCAGAATGCTGTATTATTCTGCCTGCAGATGCTGTAATGGACTGTGTCAGTTGGCCTCTAGCCAGGAGGTGGCACTTGCAAAAGAGCTCAGCTGTGGTGGTAGCAGTGGGATTGGTGTTTTCCTTATATTACCCAAGGGAGGTACTCTAGTGCCTCAGGCAATGAGCGGGGTCATAAAGTTTCCGCAAGTTTCTGTCCTTTGCATTAAGCTACCAGGGCAGGTGGAGGGGAAAAGCCAGGTTATGGCTGGGTCAGGCAAGTCCCACACTCTGGCTATCCATATGTGGGTATAAGCAGTGACTCCAGTGGGGATTGGAGGGCAGTTCTCTGGCTGCTGGCATAATGTTCCAGGGAGGAGCACAGCTGCCTCTGCCACACAAAAGAATCCACATGGGGAGTGGGGAGTAGCAGGTGGCAGTAAACCCCACCCAGCTCCCACGCATTTGGCAAAGCAGGCCTCATACCTGCAGTATTCCACTAGTAGCAGCTAGCAAGCTTCCAGGTAGTCTGTGCTCAGAACTCAAAACTGCCCCATGCCATAAACCCTCCCCAGGGATGAAACTGTATAATTTGACCAGTAGCTCCCCTTTTCTCTCACTCCTGTGTCCCTGGTATCCACCATTCTACTCTCTGCCTCTATGAGTTCAATTATTTTTAAGCTTCTACATGTAAGTGAGATCATGTAATATTTGTCTTTCTGTGCCTGGTTTATTTCACTAAGCATAATGTCCTCCAGGTTCATCCATGTTGCCATAAAATGGAAGGGCTTCCTTCTTCTTTTAGCCTAAATAATACATACATGTATATGTAGTTATCTATCTGTCTCAGAATTTCTTTATTCATTTATTAACCGACACTTAGATTGTTTTTCATGTCATGGCTGTTGTAGAACGATGCTGCAATCAACACATGAAGGGGCACAGATATCTCTATAAGATGCTGATTTCCTTTGAGTATATACATAGATGTATTGCTGGGTCATATGGTAGTTATTTTTTTTAAGTTTTTGAGAAACCTCCATACAGTTTTCCATAATGGTTGTACCAATTTTCACTCCTACAAACAGTATACAAATGTTCCTTTTCCTCCACATCCTCACCAACCCTGCCGTACTTTGTCTTTTCAATAATAGCCATTCCACTAGGTGGGAGGTGATATCACATTGTGGTTTTGATTTGCATTTTTCTGAAATGAATGATGTTGAACACCTTTTCAAATCCTTGTTGGCTATGTGTATGTGTTCTTTGGGAAAATGTCTATTCAGATTCTTTGTCTACTTTGTAATTAGCTTACTATTAGTATTTTTAGTTGTTGATTTTGAATATTAACCCTTTATCAGATATCTGATTTACAAGTCCTTAAGTTTCATTTCATTTTGTCGATTGTTTCCTTTGCTGTGCAGAAGCTTTTTGGTTTGATGTAGTCCCATTTATTTTTGCTTTTGTTGCCTGTGCTTTTGGTATCATACCCAAAAAATTATCACCATAATCAACATTCAGGAGGCATTCTCTTATGTTTTCTTCTTGGAGTTTTACAGTTACAGGCCTTAATAATTCTATACAAGTATTAGAGCAATTTCTGTAATTTTTCTTCAAGATTATCTTGACTCTATGTGGCTTTGAATTTTAATATAGAAAAGAATCAACTAATTAGTTTCCAAAAACAAATTCCCTACAATTTATGCAATTGCCTTCAATCTATAAATTACTTTGGAGAGAACAACATCTTTATAATATTGAGTTTTCCTGTTCATTTGTATTTTATCCCTCCATTTATTTTGGATAGTTCCTGCAGAGATGCTTTGAACATCTGTATTTATTACTATTTACTTGGTTACATTGCTGTTTCTATAAATTACATCGTTAAAAATTCTAGTTGTTTGCTGCATATATATATATATAAATACAATTTAGTTTTGTATATTGACCTTGTAGATAGAAAATGGCTACAGTTAATTTTATTTTTATTTTTAAAATTTATTCATTTTTAATTGACAAAAATTGTTTATGTTTATCATGTACAACATGTTTTGAAATTTATACTGGGGGATTGCTAAATCAAGTTAATTAGCATATGCATTACCTCACATACTTATCTTTTTTTGTAATGAGAACCCTTAAAATATACTCTCAGGCCTTTCTGTGCCTGGTTCATCCATGTTGCCATAAATACACAAATACGTACATTGTTATAGTCACCATTTTGTACAGTAGATCCTTGAACTTATTCTTCCTGTCTAACTGAAACTTTGTATCTTTTGACCAACATCTTATAGTTGATTTTAAATTCTCATTGTTTTTCTGTAGATTGTTTTAGACGTTCTATGAATACAATTGCTTCAACTATAAGTAATTATCTTTTCATAATTTCTTTCTATTCATCTTTTCTTTTTTTCTACTTCCTGCCTGATTGCCCTGTTTGAATCTCTAGCACATTATCAATATACAGTCATGCACCATGCAACAGTGCTTTGGTCAGCAACAGATTACATACAGGATGGTGGCCCCATAAGATTATAATACCATGTTTTTACTGTATCTTTTCTATGTTTAGATACGTTTAGACACATAAATATTCCCGCTGTGTTACAATAACTTACAGTATTCAGTGTAGAAACATGCTGTACAGGTTTGCAGCCTAGGAGCAATAGGCTATACTATATAGCTTAGGTATGTACTAGGTTATAACATCTACGTTTGTGTAAGTACACCCTGGGATGTTTGTGCAATGATGAAATCACCTAATCACCTAATGATGTATTTCTCAGGATGTATTCCCATCATTAAATGATGCAGGACTGTAAATGGTATCTATTGTTGTCCCAGGAGAATGCTTTTGATGCTTCAGTCTTTGGTATGATGTTTGCTGTTAATTAAGACAATACTTTTCTATTTATATTTTTGTAAGAGCTTTAAAATAATGAATGGGTATTGAATTTTATCAAATGTTTTTCTGCATCAGTTAAGATAATCCTATGATTTTTAAAAATTCTGTTAATTAGATGACTAACTTTGAAAGACAGAATATTGGGGCCCCAAAGATGGTCCACATTTTAATGCCTGAAACCTGCATTTATGTTAGATGGTATGGAAAGGTGTGATTAAGGTCGCAGATGAAGTTAAAGTTGTTAATTAGCTGAACATATAATGAGCAAGTTATCCTGGATTATTCAGGTAGGCACAGTGTAATCGCAAGGGTCTTTTAAATGTGGAAGAGGGAGACAGGAAAGTCAGGGTCAGTGTCATACAGAATGAGACAAACTCAAATAATCATTGCTGCCTCTGAGCTTAGAAAGGGCCCACAAGGCAAGTAATGTGAGCAGCCTCCAGAAACTGTAGAAGGAAAGAAAATGGATTCTTCTATAGAGACTTCAGAAAGAATGCAACCCTTGATTTTGGCCTAGTGAGACCCATTTCAGACTTCTGGACTGACTCCAGAACTGTAAGATAATACATTTATGTTTTTTGAAGGCACTAAGTTGGTGGTAATTTGTTATGCAGAAATACGAAAGTAATACACTGACATTCATTGATTTTCAAATATTGATCCTATCTTGCATTCTTGAAATAAATTGAATTAGGTAATGTCTTAACCTTTTTGTTTATCACTAGATTTGGTAATTTATTGTTTATAAATTTTGCTTTTATGGTCATGGTAATGAATGTTTTGTAAATTTTCTTTCTTATATTTTTGAGGCTTTGGCATCAAGGATATACTGGTGTCATCAAATTATATTAGAAGTCTTCCATCATTTTTTCAACATTTGGGAAGCATTTTGATAAGATGAATGTTTTTTCCTTTTCAAATTTTAGGTAGAAAGTCTTGATGAAGCTACCTGGGGCCCCAGATTTTTTTTATTGGGGGATAATGTATTATGAATTTAATTTATTTAATAGATCTATGGTAATGCAAATTAAGGTTTCTGTTAGATAGATTTTTTTTGATGCCCTAAGAGGTTGCTGAGGAACAATGCCCTTATGATTCCTAGGAGCTTCATGCTTAACAGGGATGAACCATGACACACATTTATAAAATCCTAAGACAGCCTAAGGATCTGGCTGAAAGGTGACACTGAATTTCTGAGACTTTAGCACAACATCTTTATAAATCTCATCTCTCTCTAACTTGTGATGTGCACCTAAAAGAGAAACTGATGACACTTTTGACATTTTGTCAGGAAATCTCCTTAACTAGATCTAGCAGTTCATTAGGTATATTTTTATGTCTTACCTTTCTTTAGGCAAGAGTTTTGCCAATTTCTCCCAGCCGTTAATAACATCTTACTCAATTTCCTTTAAGCCCTCAACAACAAGCTTTAGTCTTGTCAGGTGTTGGACTATTTTCTCCACATATCTTTTACATCTTCTTTCTTGCAATTTGTCCAAAGCCAAAGCTACATGTTTTATGTTTTTGTTATTACAGCATCCCAATTTTGATGCCAAATTTTATTTTGATCACTTATTTCTGCAGAAAAAAACCACTGCAAAATATCATGACACTACACAAAAACTATTTTAATAGACTCACAGACACTGTGGGTGAAGAAGCTGGGTAAGGCACTGAAGGAATGTCTTATCTCTTCTTGACTATGTATGAGGCACACTTGGGGACTAATTAAATGGCTGGAGGTAGAAATCATTTGGAGGATCCTTCAGACATATTTCTTGCACTTGGTCTCAGATGACATTAAGGTTGAGCTCAGCTGGGACTGTCGGCCAGAATGCCCACACATGGCCTTTCTTTGCAGCTTGAACTACCTCAGTATGATGGCCTCAAGGTAGTTAACACAATGGAGATGGTTCATCTTCTTAGATACTTTCATTGGGTATACTTTGTTACTGAGCAATGAGCTCTCTGCCCAATGCATATAGCAGTCAATGCTATAGCACCAGCTTTTGAGAAAAGGAGGGCCTTTATAGTGAGTTGACTGGCAAGGAGACAGGAGGTAACACTCAAATTTGTCTCCCCGAGCTGTGGTCTTGGGGCAGGTTTTACAGGCAGAGAATAACAATGAGAGAGATAGGAAAATGCAACAAGATGTGATCTGATTGGTTAATGCAAAGAGGTGGCGACGGTTTCCTGTCTCTTAAGTCTGTTCTGCAACAAAACAAGGCACCCTTCACTTCATAATTTGGTCCCCATTCTCAAACCAAGTACTTAGATTCTGCTTGTGGTTGACTTTTTTGTTCCAGCTGACTCTGGGGTTACCAGTAGGGTACACTTGGTTCATCTGGGCATGCTCAGGTTATGTGACCTGCAACTTGAGGGCCACTGCACCCAAAAACAACTCATGATTTGGTTACATTTTGTTACTGACAAAGTGAACTGGACTGGACTGGTTCTGCTGTTATAATTTCTGTACTGCTAAATATTTAGTGTATGTTTTAGCCAAAATTTTCTTACATACCTACAGTACAGTTTTCAATTTTAGTAAATTTAACATGGGTGCAATGTGTTCTTTCTCCTCTAAAAGTGTTTCTGATGTTATTTTTGATCCAGTGAGTTTCCTTATAAAACTGTTTTTCTCCAGTACACAATCAGGTTCAAGATCATATACTGCATTTAATTGCCTCATCTCTTTTGTTTCCTTTATTCTGCAAAAAAAACTTGTAGCTTTTTTTATGTTTTAAGACATTGACAAATTCACCACTCAGTAAAACCTTGCACTTGTCCTTCGAGCCCATATGTGATCCAGTTTTTCCGGTACACTGGGCGAGAACTTGAGATACAGAAAATGGTCACACTGGCCCTCTATGCTTGCCATAGGCGGAGGGTCCATTGAGCTGGTTAACACAAGCCGTCTGCAGATGGCAAAACTGAAAAAGCACACTGTAACACACACCCTCTTGGGCTTCAGGAGTCACAGACACCCATCCCTAGATGCTGCCATGGGGCTAGATCCCAAAAGTGCTCCCCATGGCCTCTGCACCTGCCCGTCTGCATGTTCCTCCTAGGGGTCTGACTACTGGGGCAACTGAAGGAGCGAGCCACATCCCTGTGGCATGACCTGCGAAGGGGATCAGGGAACCCTCCCATTTCAATAATAGTTGAAAATATCATTCTTCTGATTGTTTCACTTCATGGGAGAGTATTTTGTGGTTTGTTCCCAGGTTTCCAGCTTGGGGCAGCCCTTCAACATTAGTGGGAAAAAGATAGGGCAATGATAGGAAATGAGTATATAGCAGTGAGTGGGATGAGCCATGACTGGGGAAACAATGAGAAGTAGGAGAAAGACTGGAAGTTCTTTTACTTAACTACAAAGAGCCAGTGGTAGAGAGAATTTGTGTTTAGGAAAGATCTTTCCTGGTGGTAAAATAATGAATCAGGACACACAGAGCTCTGGAAAGAACTTCCCTTGCTTTTCATCATAGGAAGTGCCTGTGAGGTTTATTAGGGTAACTGAATAATGACTATGCTCACTTGTGTGGGTAACTTGTACTTTCAGCTTTAGGTGTATGCTGTTTTTCCTGTGTAACTGTTTATTTCCAGATTTCTGGGACTATAGGATCTTCCAGGCAATAAAACATTCCTGTACCTAAACACTATTTGAGTTTTATTTAGTTAATTCTGTTTATGGTTTTCCTGCCTGCCTACCCTTTCACAGCCTGAGGTTCTGCCTTCCAAGATGTCATCCACATCCTGCTTAGTCCTTTTCATAGACCTACGCTCCCTCCTCAATACTTTATGAAAAGCCATCCATTTTCATCTCATGCTTATCATATGAATTTGTCTTGCTTCTTTCAGCCTGTCTGCCTTCCTTCCTTCCTTCTTTCTTTTCCTCTAGTTAACTCTCATGTATCAAGAAGTAACCGAGTGCCGGGCACTCTTCTAAGTATTGTGAAATAGTGTTGAGCAATGAACCTATTTTTCTCTCTGTCTCTTAGAGTTCATTTACTGAGAGGGAGGCAGAAAACTGACAAGCAAAGAGCAAAGAAAGGCCGGGCACAGTGGCTCACGCCTGTAATCCCAGCACTTTGGGAGGATGAGGCAGGTGGATCGTCTGAGGTCAGGAGTTCAAGACCAGCCTGACCAACATGGTGAAACTCCGTCTCTACTAAAGATACAAAATTAGCCTGTCATGGCGGTGCATGCCTGTAATCCCAGCTACTTGGGAGGCTAAGGCAGGAGAATTGCTTGAACCCAGGAGGCAGAGGTTGAAGTGAGCCAAGATCACGCCATTGCACTCCAGCATGGGCATCAAGAGTGAAACTCCATTTCAACAAAACAAAACAACAAAACAAAACACAAAAAGCAAAGAAAGAAAGAGACAAGCAAATATCAGGCAATAATGGGTATTATGATAAGAATAGAATCAAATGAGGTAGTGATAATTTTGGGGATTACTTTAGTTTGGAAGCCATCGAAGGTGGCCTGAAGATGTATTTAATTTGAGATTGAATGGCAATAAAGTATGACAGAAGTTACGGGTCATGCATTGAAGAAACATGCTGTGTCTATAGATCATGCTTGGGGCACACATTCAGATTTCTAATGCTAGACAGTCACTGCACAGCCCTGTGTATGCCCCAGCTCCCTTGGCATGATCACAGGATGAGATCTTACCTTTGGTACTAACAGCAAATCCTGTTTCATCTCCCATCATCCTAGGACTTCCCTTCATCTCAATTCTTTTTTTTTTTTTTTTTTAATAAATGCAGTATCTGAACCCATCGTTAGTCTGTGTCTAGTTAATTCTTGTTTGTTGAAACTCAGCTGTGTGCCCTTGATGATCCCAGGCCACAGCTGCTGCAGGTTCTTCCAATTTCTCTGTGGTATATGGTGAGGAGTGAGGAGTCTGGTTTTGGACCAAGTTCCTGATGCTCCCTGAAGACCTCTCTTCAGGTTGGGGCTTCTGTGCTGCTTTCTCTAAAAGCCTGTCTCCCTTTGTGATATGCTCTACATTAGAGTGTGCAGTAATGATTAGGGCAGGTTTGTGATCCTTGAGTAAATTTGGGGATTAATAATAGATATGATTTTTGTGTGGAAGAATATTAAGTTATCACAGTTATAAGATGACCCAGCTGTGTGTTTTTCAAATTGTTTAATGTAGAAATTATAATGAAAACGGCAGTTCCACTTAATTTAAAAGCTCTAATCGTATATTGTGAATAAAATTAAAATGTATTAGATTGGAAAACTTTTTTATTTTTATAAAAGATAATAAGTTAATATTTCGTATATACTCAGAATCCTTAAAGGGATAAACACAGGAAATGCAATAGATAAAAAGATTAGAATATGTAAATCATGGAAGAGGAAATTCAAGTTGTCAGTAAGCCCAAACTTACTGCATTCAGGGAAATGCAAGTTAACATAACAAATATTGCTTCTGGCATAACAGTCCAGCAAAATTCAACTGAGATAACCTTTACTACTTGCAGAAATGGTCATAAAAATATGCTCTGATATTTGTTCTTGTTATTTTAATTTTTAGAACTCTTTGAGAAAGCTGTTGGTAATACATATTAAATTAAGTGTATACATATATTGTGAGTCAAAAACCTCTGAACATTTATCAAATAGAGACTTTGTACATAAGGGTACATTAAAAAGTATATCAGTGGCTTCATGATTTGATAATAGCAAAAGAATACAAATGACCTGAATTCCTGTAAGCAGGTAATGCTAGAGTAAATTATGATATAATCAAGCTACTGAAAGGAAAGATACAGATATATAGGGACTGAGTTAGAGTTCTAAGAAGTAGTGTTGAGTGCAAAAAGAAGAAAGAATGGTTTATAATTTAAGGCCATTTTGTACAGCATTTTAAAAGAATTTGTGTACAAACACAAATATATGGTCACTTGCATCTACATATATTTGCCTATTATAATAGGAATATGGGGAAATTTATTTAACATTTGCTTTTTGGTATTGATGATAGCAGTGTATGAAATATTAGCCATAAAGGAGTAGGAATAAATAACTACATATAAGTTCATATATGCATAAAATTTTCACAAATATATAATTACCAAGTAAAAATGGCAGTTATCTCATTGTTTTGGCCCATCTAGAGACTTTTACTTTCTTATGTATACTTCTATTTTAATTTTTATAAAAAATACAAAAATAATCTTGTAATGGGAAAGAGCAGTAGTAAAAAGTTTTGGAGCTATGTCATCCATTGAATTTCACTCTTAAAATTACATATCCACTAGTATATAGTGTATACATATATAGAGAGATAAAGTTTGGTTATACATACAATATATGATTTTATATAGAATATATTGCATAATATTTGACAGATGTTACAAAATGTAGATATTAGAAAGATCTCAGTTTAATTTTAATATAACATGCCCTATATATAATGCTGTTCATTTTAATGAACAAATTTGGTGTTAGATCTGAGTATATTTTATATACTCACATATGATACTTTATGCTTGAATTTTAGATCCCTCTTAAAGTGATAATATTAAAAACCTACAATTTGAAGCATTATAATATTATCAAAATCCAATAACTTCAGAAAAATAAAGCCTCAAAACTGTTGTAGGCCCCACGGGGCTCCCCTACACCCTGAGCCTTCATGTCCTCTGCACACTCAGGCCACTGGTTGCAGATTGTCTGCTTTCCCAGCAACTGCAGACCAGCTTCAGCTTGGGCAAACCAGCACTGTTCTCTGCCACCCAGAGGGCTGCTTCTCCAATGAGTTCTGAATATCAGCTTCAGGGAGGAGGGCTCTTTATTGTTGTCCTTCCTTGGATAGTCTCCCTCAACCCTAGGGTTTCATAGAACTTCCTTATAACTACTCATTTTTTTTTATTATTACACTTTAAGTTTTGGGTACATGTGCACAACGTGCAGGTTTGTTACATATGTATACATGTGCCATGTTGGGGTGCTGCACCCATTAACTCGTCATTTACATTAGGTATATCTCCTAATGCTATCCCTCCCCCCTCCCCCCACCCCACCACAGGCCCCGGTGTGTGATGTTCCCCTTCCTGTGTCCACGTGTTCTCATTGTTCAGTTGCCACCTATGAGTGAGAACACACGGTGTTTGGTTTTTTGTCCTTGCGATGGTTGGCTGAGAATGATGGTTTCCAGCTTCATCCATGTCCCTACAAAGGACATGAACTCATCATTTTTTATGGCTACATAGTATTCCATGGTGTATATGTGCCACATTTTCTTAATCCAGTCTATCATTGTTGTACATTTGGGTTGGTTCCAAGTCTTTGCTATTGTGAATAGTGCTGCAATAAACATACGTGTGCATGTGTCTTTTTAGCAGCATGATTTATAATCCTTTGGGTATATGCCCAGTAATGGGATGGCTGGGTCAAATGGTATTTCTAGTTCTAGATCCTTGAGGAATTGCCACACTGACTTCCACAAGGGTTGAACTAGTTTACAGTCCCAACAACAGTGTAAAAGTGTTCCTATTTCTCCACATCCTCTCCAGTACCTGTTGTTTCCTGACTTTTTAATGATTGCCATTCTAACTGGTGTGAGATGGTATCTCACTGTGGTTTTGATTTGCATTTCTCTGATGGCCAGTGATGGTGAGCATTTTTTCATGCGTTTTTTGGCTGCATAAATGTCTTCTTTTGAGAAGTGTCTGTTCATATCCTTTACCCACTTGTTGATGGGGTTGTTTGTTTTTTTCTTGTAAATTTGTTTGAATTCATTGTAGATTCTGGATATTAGCCCTTTGTCAGATGGAGAGATTGCAAAAATTTTCTCCTATTCTGTAGGTTGCCTGTTCACTCTGATGGTAGTTTCTTTTGCTGTGCAGAAGCTCTTTAGTTTAATTACAACCCATTTGTCAATTTTGGTTTTGTTGCCATTGCTTTTGGTGTTTTAGACATGAAGTCCTTGCCCATGCCTATGTCCTGAATGGTATTGCCTAGGTTTTCTTCTAGGATTTTTATGGTTTTAGGTCTAACATGTAAGTCTTTAAATCATCTTAAATTAATCTCTGGGATGCAAGGCTGGTTAACATATGCAAATCAATACACGTAATCCAGCATATAAACAGAACCAAAGACAAAAACCACATGATTATCTCAATAGATGCAGAAAAGGCCTTTGACAAAATTCAACAACCCTTCGTGCTAAAAACTCTCAATAAATTAGGTATTGATGGGACGTATCTCAAAATAATTAGAGCTATCTACGACAAACCCACAGCCAATATCATACTGAATGGGCAAAAACTGGAAGCATTCCCTTTGAAAACTGGCACAAGACAGGGATGCCCTCTCTCACCACTCCTATTCAACGTAGTGTTGGAAGTTCTGGCCAGGGCGATCAGGCAGGAGAAGGAAATAAAGGGTATTCAATTAGGAAAAGAGGAAGTCAAATTGTCCTTGTTTGCAGATGACATGATTGTATATCTAGAAAACCCCATCGTCTCAGCCCCAAATCTCCTTAAGCTGATAAGCAACTTCAGCAAAGTCTCAGGATACAAAAATCAATGTGCAAAAATCACAAGCATTCTTATACACCAATAACAGACAGAGAGCCAAATCATGACTGAACTCCCATTCCCAATTGCTTCAAAGAGAATAAAATACCTAGGAATCCAACTTACAAGGGATGTGAAGGACCTCTCCAAAGAGAACTACAAATCACTGCTCAATGAAATAAAAGAGGATACAAACAAATGGAAGAACATTCCATGCTCATGGGTTGGAAGAATCAATATTGTGAAAATGGCCATACTGCCCAAGGTAATTTATAGATTCAATGCCATCCCCATCAAGCTACCAATGACTTTCTTCACAGAATTGGAAAAAACTACTTTAAAGTTCATATGGAAGCAAAAAAGAGCCCACATTGCCAAGTCAATCCTAAGCCAAAAGAACAAAGCTGGAGGCATCACACTACCTGACTTCAAACTATACTACAAGGCTACAATAACCAAAACAGCATGGTACTGGTACCAAAACAGAGTTATAGACCAATGGAACAGAACAGAGCCCTCAGAAATAATGCCACACATCTACAACCATCTGATCTTTGAGAAACCTGACGAAAACAAGCAATGGGGAAAGGATTCCCTATTTAATAAATGGTGCTGGGAAATCTGGCTAGCCATATGTAGAAAGCTGAAACTGGATCCCTTCCTTACACCTTATACAAAAATTCATTCAAGATGAAAAACTACTCATATATCAAACTTTAGAAATTCTTTGTATCACACTTTTCCTGTTTAATCCACTGTGCAGTTTTGATCTCTTAAGGGGACCCTAACTGATACATATGTTTAATCTTTTTTTCTTAGCAAGCCAGTCATTGTCTTAAGTCTGTGTGGTGGGTCTCTGCCTCTGTGGAGGGACACAGTGGGCTCTCAATAAGTAACCGTCTCCTAGAAGACCCTTCAATTTGTGTCAGTGTTGTTGGGAGGCCTTACAAAGGTGACTGTAGGGCTTATTCCCTACGGGGTATAATCAGATAGTATCTGTCTTTTAAGTCTTCCTTCCTTCTTTATCTCTTTTAAATATTTCTCTTTCACTTTTCCTTCAGAATATGTGTTTTTTTCTTAGCGTTATTTATGCTAATCTCTCACCATATTATGACAACTCTGTGCCTCATGGAAGATATGAGTTTACCCAGGACAAGGACACTGACTTGTCTTTCCGAGGTTGAAGACCACTCCCTCAAGAATTTCCTCTGCCTTTCTTCATTCACCTGATGGGGACCTCTTAGCATGTTTTGGGGAGTAGACTGGTTGCTGTTATCAGACAGACTCTCCAATAAAAGGAGAAATAGATGTTCAGTGCTCTTCCAGATTACAGAGATCCTTCCAATGAGGGTATGACCCAAAAAGGCATACTTTGTATGAAGAAGAAGAACTTTAAAGCAAGGGAAATCTTTAAAATGTAGAGAATTCCCTATGATTCTGGGTATTCCAAATGTTCATCACCCCTCTTTGAGGCCTCAGTTGGGTCCAGCACTTGATTGTGCTGTAAATGTGGATTGTTTTCCTCCCTTGCTGTCTTTACTTAGCAGCTTGGCTCCATTATGACAAAGGGCAAGTAGATTGATGGAACTTGGGGCAGTGCTGGGCCCTACTCAACAACTGCAGAGAAGTCTGGATGACCATATTCTACATGCACTCACCATTGCTTTCCTTCAGACTGACCATTTCCTTTCCGTTGCATTATCCAAATATACCACGTTGTTGATTCCTCAGCTCCTTAAGAGTCTGTTCAAATATCACCTATTCAGTAATGCCTTTTTTGGTCACCTTATATAAAATTGCTCCCCATTTTCCATCTCTAAACTCTCCTTTCTTCTTTCCTGCCTTCTTTTTTTATTAGGCCTTATCACCTCACACATAATACATTGTGTTTTCTCTTTCTTTACTTTTTTAGTGTATGAATTCCTGCAAAACCATGTATTAAATAAAATTTTTGTGTGCTTTGTTCGCTGTTATTTTTCTAACATCTAGCATTGTGTCTGGCATACAATAATGCTCAATGAATGTTTTTTGAATGAAAAAATTGATTAAATGGATGCATGAATTAACAAATGTTAGTTTATTCTGTATACTTACTCCTTGATTTTGAATTTTTATACAATGGTTGCTAAATCCAGTAAGGTCATAGTTCGTTCTTTAGATCATTCAGTGTTGGACTCACTCTGCACCAGTGTCAGATGACCTAATTACATGTTCAGGAGGGAGGCCATGACTCGAAGAATGCACAGCCTGAGTTACACCGGATGGTCTTTGGATCAGGCTGCTCTACCCTGATTATTCCCCTAGGGGGAGACAGAGGTCTAAGCACTCTGTAAGTGTATGACTCCTAGAATCTATGAAAAGAGCACTGCAGATTTCAGGAAGGCTGGTTATGGGGCATCTCCAACCTGTCATAGGAGCTGGTAATTATGGAGACACTATACCCTACATGTAAGAGGATGCCTGGAAGAGAAGTTGCCTGGAGCATATTTAACATGAGAGACTCGAATTGAAACCTGTTTAGCCAGAACCAATGATTTGAATTCACAACCTTTCCAAAGGGCCCCTGGCTGTGTTGTTGATTCTCCAGTGGTTTGTGTCCCAACGTTTCCTGGCATTACCTAACCTGGATTCTGGTTGACAGCTCCTGATTGGTGCCCTCTGCATATATATTGTCAGGATGTGGAATCCTGAAGTCAGCGCCTTGCCTTCTCTTAGGCTTTGAAGCATTTTTGTCTGTGCTCCCTGATCTTCAGGTCACCACCATGAAGTTCTTAGCAGTCCTGGTACTCTTGGGAGTTTCCATCTTTCTGGTCTCTGCCCGTAAGTAAAGATTCTTACCTGAACATAAGTTTTGTGGGAATATACATAAAATATCTCCTCTAAAGATGTGGGCTTATGGTTGCTTAGAATGTGCTTTTTTACCTCTCCTAACTTGTTCTATCACCATTTTGACTGACCGTTCAAGATGGAGATGGTTATCCTTAGGCTCTTCTTAATTCAGTCAGATCTTACTTCAATAATACCTTGGAACCCAAGTTTATTGTTACTGTTAGTAAAATATGTTCAAGAAGGTAATCAGAGGTTTATTTCGGGAAAGGAAAAATGACCACATATTAGGTTTTTATTGGTTTTCATGGGTTTTATCTTATCTGTGCACTTGTTCTTCCTCAACTGGTACACCAAGGACTGAGGGTCTTCCATTGTAAAGTCTGGAATATTGTCCATATTCTCTCTTACCTCCATCCTCCAAACTGGTATTCAGCTAACATCTTAATTTTTCCTTCTTCTCTTTCAGAGAATCCGACAACAGCTGCTCCAGCTGACACGTATCCAGCTAGTGAGTCTGCACTTGAATGTCATCTCTTTCCAGCAATAACCATTTTTCACTTCCAGCCTCATGTCAAACAGCCAGTTTCCATGTGGATAGTCTTTGTTATAAGGAATCCTAAGCAAAAGTCTGTGAAAGCTATATTCCTGATTTTAAAATTCACCACAAACATAGTGAATCTGCTTATTTCTTATACATTCTTAGAATATATGAAATCTAGGCCATAGACTTATACAAATGTGGACTTATTATTCATTGTTTTCCAGCATAAGGCACAAGAGCATGAGGTCTGATGTTGTAGCCTGAGAATTTTTGAGAGATGCCTCTAATAAATGGAAGGACTGAATATATAGCCAGTGTCAAAAAGAGACCAGTGGGTCTCAGAATTTGAAGTGATATGAAAATAAGTCCATTTGGATCACAAGTGAGGGTGGTGTGTGGGATGTGGAGTGCAGGGGTCAGTTCTAAGCTTTACTCTTTGTAATGGTCTATATTCCTTATTCCCAGGCTGATGTTTGTTTCCCTTCTCTAACCTGAAAACGAAGGTGGTAGACCAAAGCCTTTAGTCATTCTTGGGCTTCTCCCAAAGTGTTCTTCACATTCTGTACTGTGTGTGTGTTGTGCCCATGCACAAGTTAAGGGGGTCTGTCTTTATCCTTCGCATCTTGGGAATTTGCATCCTTTGGTCACAAGGGCATTAGCTTTAGTCAGACCTCACATATATTTTTCCTGCCATGTGAGGCCCCATTTAAAAAATATTTTCTCTCTTAAATAAAGCCTGAGACAGCATGGATAGAGTGTGGGTTTGGAGGTGGAGCTACTTATTTGCTGAGGTGAGTCTAACTCACAAATGTGGGGCCTGACTCTTGATCCTTATCAATAGCTCTTGTGTAAGGTCTAGAGAGAGAGAGATAATTTTCAAAACTCTTACCCAGTCCCCTTTGTACATATAGTAATTAATGGGGAATTTTTTTACTATCAGAAGTGTATTAATTTCTCCTGTTATATCTAATGTGGCTCTCACAATTACCTCTCTAATAAACAGAGTCCAAGCTGCCACAGAGGGTGAGACAAATATGGCTCTTTTCATTCTAGAACCTGATAGAAGATATCTTACTGCACTCTAAGACAGGAGATATGACTCTAAGATGAGATACGTCTTCTTAGTCTGCCTCCTCCTTCCCTCTAGAGTTCATCCCTTTACTCATCCTCATTCATGCTACATTGGAATGTATGCTGTCTTAGGTTATTCTGTGGGACGGCTTCAGAATGTCAGGCTACTAGAGATTTCCTTATTGCTTCTGAGCAGTAGTCCCTGTGAATAGGAACACTCGTGGCCTTGGTCTTTTGTGCTCATACCTGGGACAAAGTACTTGCTTGTCTCTTTAATCAGTGTCATTGCCCTTGGAGGGAAACCCCAAATTCTTTCTGTCCCAGCAAAGACAAGACAGGGAAGGATGAAGCACAAGGAAAGTAGGCAGGTAGGCTAAAGGTAAGACAGAACTGATGACAGATTTGCAGAGATGAATTCAGGATGAGGAATGTATGTCTACCCCTGGGTGGGATAAATTTTGTTCCAGAAGGAGTCAGTCTCACCTAGAGCTTTTCCTTCTAATTTCAGCTGGTCCTGCTGATGATGAAGCCCCTGATGCTGAAACCACTGCTGCTGCAACCACTGCAACCACTGCTGCTCCTACCACTGCAACCACCGCTGCTTCTACCACTGCTCGTAAAGACATTCCAGGTAGCAAGACTCCTCCATCTGTGTGCTTCCTTTATGTGGCTCCTTGATTCCTTGGGTTCTCTATTCTCACAGAGACTCTATTTTTGAGGTCAGGGAGACCTCTTCTTTACATTGTTCTCTAAATCCTTGTAGTTTCTAAGTCAAGTCAACAGATAAATATCAGAGGAGTCAGGAGGTTACCTGACTCCTAGGTTACCAATATTACCTGAATGGATCTTGAAATATTGACATTTATTAAGGAAAACTCTTCCTTAGTAGAAACATCATTGGAAAGACCAAAATAAGTGTCTCCATGAAGCTAGGTAACTGCTTATTATTATTATTTTTTTAAATCAGGTAGTGTGTGTGTGTGTGTGTGTGTGTGTGTGTGTGTGTGTTTAAATCAGGCAATTTAAAAATCAGGTAATCAAGTAAAATCTTTGTTTCCTTTAGAGAATTTTCCCAAAATAGAAAATAGCTTAACAATGAATGATTTTACAATCTTTCTTGAGGCAGATTATTTTGAGTGCCATTCAGGGTATTTCTGGGGTTTTGGACATTCACTGAGGATCAATGTACATTCCTCCTATTCTGGGTTCACTTTTTCTTGACCTTTAACTTTCACATAGTATTGATTACAACATTTATTCAATCGGAACATATGCCAGGAACTGTGTCATAAAATTTACATATGTATTATAATTTAAATATCACAGTCATTCTATGAAGTAAACATTTTAAAGATGAGGAAATGGAAGAGTTGCAATGAGAAACTTTCCTTTGAGCACACAGGCAGAAAGAAAAAGGAAATTGCACTCAAACAAATGGAGAGTTACAATGAGAAACTTTCCTTTGAGCACACGGGCAGAAAGAAAAAGGATTCAAATTACACCCATACAATCAAAGTCCCTAAGAAATTTTCTTCAGATATTGCTTTATACTTTTTCATGTCTGAATCAGTGCTTGGAACTCTGTCAATAATCTGTAAAGTAGACTGTGAGTGAGAAAATGGCTTTTCTCTCTTACCAGAAGAAGGCTGGATCTCTGTGCCATATTATAGGAAAACTCATACGTATTGACTTTCTTCTAGTTCTCTCTAAAGTTCCAACCTACCTGGGCTTCCGTCTAAGGCTATATTTCCAAAATCTTTAAGGACAGAAATTGGTTGTTTATCTTCCCGTAATAACAATCCCATGTTCCTTTCGAATCCCCTGAGTTTAGTTGACATTTGACACTTGTTAGTTCCTTCAGATTCTGAAGAATAAATCCACATTCTTCATCCTTTGTCGAAGCCCCTTGACAATATTTTTTTCTCTTGCAGTTTTACCCAAATGGGTTGGGGATCTCCCGAATGGTAGAGTGTGTCCCTGAGATGGAATCAGCTTGAGTCTTCTGCAATTGGTCACAACTATTCATGCTTCCTGTGATTTCATCCAACTACTTACCTTGCCTACGATATCCCCTTTATCTCTAATCAGTTTATTTTCTTTCAAATAAAAAATAACTATGAGCAACATAAAAATGGTATTTCTTATGGGCTATGGGGCGGTTGTCCATTGTTTAGACAATCCAAGTGACAGACACTTCAGATTTTACCTAATACTTCCTTGTGCTCCTACTAATAACTAGACTTCCTATTTATTTCAGTTTCTTTTTTAAATAAGACACTAGTTTTGGGCATAATACTAAAGACTAGAGATTTCTCTAATATGGATAGACTAATCAATACTTACTAGGTACAAATGTTCAGTTTGATTCTGCCAAACTCTCCTATCAACTGACAGAATTTTTTTCTTACCTGTAATGACTTAGCATGTGTGGTAAGAAAGAAGAAAGGAACTCCTGGCATCTGGGTACTGGTTTGACACAGCCAAGTTTCAGAGTTGTTAGAAGGTGACTGGATGCTCACAGTTAGGCAATGGTGTTTTCCTGTTGGACACAATCTCACAAAATACCAGCATCAGACAAGGCCATTCAGTGACTGATGAATTGAGAGTAAAAAGAAAAACCAATGCATATTTTTTTAAGCACAGACAAAACCGGAGTTAGTGTGCAAACCATAGAATACTAAACATTCCTCTCTCTCATTCAGTGGTTCCTGCTTCATTATGAATTATAGGTTAAGCTTCACTGTAGTCTGCCCTCCTTTTAGATACTGTTTATCAACACACCTAATCTTAGCATTATTTGTGTTTGCTGACAGCATCCAATCCAGAGGTTAGCCTCACTTCCCTGATCACTCCCTCAAATCTCCTGACTCAAGCCCAAATCCTAAAATACTCTTTTCTAACACCCTGACAATAAGACACCTCTCTCAGTTCCCCATGGTGTGTGCTGTCTCCCATTGAAACAAGTAAGAAATCCAACTTTTTCAATCCAGATGTGCTCCTGGTTGTCACTGGCTAGAGGACTTTGACGCCTGAATGCATAATTGGGATGACTATTATATATGAATAAGACATGGTATATTGGTTTTTTTCACTGACTTGGTTATGATCAGATTCATCACTGGAACCTTGGACATCTCACTTAGGACTCTAATTGTGTACCTTTGAAGGCTTCGTCTTCACTCCTGACTGATTGATCACGGATCCATTGGTGGGTCAGACTCTTGAAGCATTACTCTGGATGATGTTGATAATCAGTAAGGACAGACTGTTATTAAGATTCTGTGTGTATTCTAGAAGCTGGGTTAGAGTCGCAGATGGAGGCAGCGTTAGGATTCTGTGCTTTCTGTTTGTAAGAAGCTAGGTTAGAGTCCCAGGAAAGCAGAAGTTATGTCAGAGGCTCAGGTTTCATTGTTTCAAATACCTGTGGGGCTGGAGGTCTTTCTTACTGCTTCTTTGTTTGGAGTAAGGATGATTCTTTTCCTGACTCCTGGCTCTGACCCTGGCCATGGGCTGGAAAATTCTTCTTAGCTCATTTGTTTCAAGGGAGGATGCAGTCCGTGACTCCTGGGCTGAACATTTTTTTTCCCCCGGTTCTTTGTGAGGTCTCTTTGTTTTCTCTATTTGATCCTGTCTCTCTCATGGGAACTTTTTAATTGACTAAAATCCCCTCCTTGAACTCCTGCAGACTTTATGCTTCTCTGAATCTGTCTACCTCCTTTCATTTGGCATGATTTTGCTGAGGTTAATTTAGAACTTCATTGACCTCTTTGGGAAACTTATGATCTCCCCAAACTGGCTTCTCTAAGACTTCTCCTTTTCCATCAGTTCCTCTCTTCCTTCTTCTTACCACCTTGAATCTTCCCTTCAGCACCTTTGAATCCTTTGATATGTCTCCCTTTAAACCCTACCGTTTCTACTCCTCTGTTCACTTCTGCTGGACTTTTTGCTTCATACTTCAATCCCTCAGCTCCTTATAATCACTTGAACTCTAAACCTTCTGCTACCATTGGGGGCTTTTAAGGGACTCAGCTTCCCCCAGTAGCAACTACCTGAGGCTTAAGATGTAAAAGGCTAATTGGAAACACACTGGATATTTTATTATCCATTTAGACGGGTATTGAAGCTCTCCAAACAGATGCTTGATGTCTCCTTAGTCCCTGGACTAGAATCTAGTCCCAGCCTCCATTAAATTGTCCATCAGAGCAATGAAAATCTTAAAGATGTTTCAACAAATAATACTTATTTCAACAAATAATGGTAAGAACTTTAGCCTTATGTTGAACAGGCAAATTTACCATGTTCCATTTTTGCTAGAAACGCAATTAGGATAAACATTTAAAATGGTAAAAAGATGAGATTCAACTGTTTTATACAAAGCAGTGTTTTATATTATTGACTCATAACTAATCTTTAAAATGAAAGCTATAGAATATCTGTTTTCATCAGTAAGCATGCATGTTTATGCATATTTATGTATGTTTATGTATGTATGTTATGTATATGTGACATTTTTCTATTGCTGGATTACCAAATTAATGTAGAAACTCTCTTAAAGAACTTGTATTCAATTGGCTTAGAGATTGGTCAGTGCTTATATATATTAAATATTCCCCAAACTCCCAGATATATAAGGACTAACCCAAATATCTTTCAAGTTCTGGTGACTTAGGTGCATTTTTGGTAAATAAGATTATTTTAATATTGTTGGTTCAATAAAAACAGCTACATTTTCTGACTGATTAGCATTAAGTATATGAACATACATTTTTATTCTTCTTGAGCTTACTAGTCAAACTAATACTATATATACTCGATGTTTAAGATTATAACATTTACAAATTCAATCTAAGGACAAATGTACAAGCAAAGATCCAGTAAAAATGAAATACGATTATCTCATGGTGTGTGCAACGGATTGGCTCCAAGACACTTCCCATCCACTCGCCACCTGCGAATACTGTATTTTCAATCCGACTTTGGTTGAAAAACATCTGTGTGTAAGTGGACCTTCACAGTTCAAACCTGTGTTGTTCCAGGGCCAACTGTTCTTGATATCTATTACTTAATATATCAAGGACAGTAGTAAAGAGAAAACAAATCCCATGTACTTAGCTTTTTAGGTTTTTGCTTTTGTAATGCATGCTTAACATGTATGTGTTGTAAAAATAATTTAACAGATACTAATTTGTGAATGATGACTAGTTTTATTTGGTGTTACAGTATGTCTGCCTAAAAAGAGTTTCAAAACTTAAGTGACTAGCAACCTAAGAGCTATGCTAAGTGAGGTAATACATATTCATTAATAATTTCTTTTTTAGACTAGAAATGTATTGCAATTTATTTAAACTTTTTGTGTGTATAGATGTAAATAGTTGCCAATATTTCCCGTTATAAACAGTGATATGATGAATATTCTTGTACAAGAGTGATTTTACACATGAGCAAATAAAGCTGTAGGATAAAATCCTAGGAATAGAATTGCTAAAGTATAGATAGATTTTAAATAATCATATGTGTTGTCAAATTACTTACCACAAAGATTGTATTAGGATGAACCTGAAGAAATTGCTGTTTTATTTCTTAATGCATTATAATAGTATATCTTTATGGGGCACAATTTGATGTTTTGATACATATATACATGTTGTCTAATGATCAAATCAGGACAATTTGTGCATTCGTCACCTCATGCCTTTATTTTTTCTCCCAGGTGATAACATTGAAAAGCCTCTCTTCCTGCTATTTTGCAATATACAATATCTAACTGTTAACCATAGTTACTCTTCTGAGCAATAGAACACCAGAACTTATTCTTATCTAATTGCAACTTTGTAGTCATTTACCAACCCCTTCCCTCATTGTACTTCCCCCTCCTCTCCTCAGTCTAGTAACCACTGTTCTTGTAACTTCTAGGATATCAACTTAAGAAAATTGGATTCCACAGATGACTGAGCTCATGTGGTATTTGTCTTCCTGTGTCTGGCTTATTTCACTTAACATAATGTCATCCATGTTCATCCATGTTTTGCAGATGACAGGATTTCATTCTTTTTTATGGGTAAATACTATTCCATTGTGTATATATACCACAAATTTTGAAATCCATTCATCCATTGTTGGACACTTAGGTTGATTCCATATCTTGACTACTGTGAATACTACTACAATAAACATGGGAGTTCACGTATTTCTTTGACATACTGACTTCATTTCCTTTGGCTACATACTCAGTAGTGAGATTGCTAGATTACATGGCAGGTCTATTTTTAACTTTTTGAGGAAACGCCACACTGTTTTTACACAATGGTTGTGCTAATTTACAATCTCACCAACAGTGTGCAAGTCTTCCCTTTTCTTCACATCCTTGTGAACACTTGTTTTCTTTTGTCTTTTTGATACTAGCCATTGTAGTTGGTGTGAGATAATATCTTGTGATTTTGATTTGCATTTCCCTGATGATTAGTGATGTTGAACATTTAAAAAACATATTTGTTGGCCATTTTTGAGGTGTAGGCAACAGTGGATGTAGTATGTGGGAACACTGAACTCATTGTGCTAGTGTTTCTCAGAGCTAAAGGAATCCAGAGAATTCTGTATGCTGTATCCAAGTTGGTGGATGAAGCTCAGGCCATGGAATACCTTTTCATAGGCTGTAGAAAGATTCAGTTAGACATTTTTCAGTTCAAAGAAATTCCACTGAGGTATTGTATGGTGGAGAAAAGTAGAAAGAAGAAGAAAAAAAGCTTACTAGGCTCTTTAGTTCTGTCTCCGTTTGATCTAGGCATAATACTCCTATCAAGGTTTATGTGATCATACAAGAAGTCAAGGAGACCCTCCTAAAAAGTAAGGGATTGACCATTGCCTGAGTTCCCATTTCAAGCTGTCTATAATTTCAGTGGTAAGTTAAGAAAATCGTAGGAAATCAGACCATGGCAGGACAAAGTTTGGACATTCACCAGAAAACATGGTAGTATCTGGTATGACACGAGAATAGGAGTGGTCTTTAGGGAGAATATTTTAAGGTATGTGCACCATGAATTTCCAGAGAGTGTCCTCTGTAGAATTAGATACAAGTTATTCTCACACCTACGGCCAACTGATTTTCAACAAAGGTGCCAAGAACAGCACCTTGGGGAAAAGACAGTCTCTTCAATAAGTGATACTGAGAAAACTGTATGGCCACATATAGATGAATGAGACTAGACCCCTACTTCTCACCATATACAGAAGTAAGCTAAAAATGGCTCAAAGACTGAAATATAAAACCTGAAACTATAAAAATACTAAATGAAAACAGAAGAGAAGTCCCTCAAAACTGAGCTGGGCAAGTATGTTTTAAACAAGAACTCAAAAACACAGGCAACAAAGCAGGAATAAATAAATGGGATTACATTAAAAAATATTTGCAAAGCAGAAGAAAAAATTAACAGAGACAACTCATAGAATGAGAGAAAATATTTGCAAACTATGCATCTGACAGGGGGTTAAGATCCAGAATATATAAGGAACTTAACAGCAAAGAAAACCAAGTAACCCAATTTTAAAATGAGAAAAAGACCTCAATAGACATTTCTCAAAAGCAGTTGATATTGGATCTGTCCTTTTCTCCTATCTTAGAATTCTACCTTAGGATTTCAAAGTTCAAGGTCTGAGAGATGCCTTATAGCGATCTTCTCTTCCCCTCTCAACTCCAATGCCCCTGTCTTTCAAGCACTAACAGTTCCTAGTACCTTTCAGAATCACACTTACTCCTTAGCAATTTTTTTTTTCCCAGTGAGAAAAACCACATACATTTAAATTCAGGTACAAAAACATTGTCAACAGCTGAGAAGCTGCATCTCCAGCTAACTTTCTTACATATTTTAAAAATCAAACTCTTTATATGAGTCATTTTCAAATAAACTCACTGGAAATACAGAGACTACAGTAATATGGTTTTCCTCATTTGCATACATAATTCATTACTAGGAAAATAAAATATTTAAAAGCATTAGCAGTAATTAAGAAAGTCCAAAATAAACGTACAGTTACAATTACTGGTTGTGGTTGAATGATCTTCCTTGGAGACCTATGCTGTTTATGAGTGGGAGAGACAGAGTCTGTTTAAATTAACTTTTGAGTTTCTCCAGAAAATTAACATATGGGGATTTTCTTAATGAAACCACATTCTTCATAAAACCACTCATTTTAATGCACTTATTTATTGATGAGCTGCTAGGATTGTACACACATCTTGCCTTTACTTTCCAAAACCTGGGTTGCAGTGACTTTGTCTTGTCTTTTTCCATATGCTAATTGAATTGCTAACTCAGCCATTTACATTGCTAATGTGCAAAGACATTAAGACAATAATAATAATTCTGCTACAGGTAGGAAATTCTTACTTTACATTCAGTACTCCCTGATGTCTTGTCAGACCACATTCTTATTTCCCATTTTCTACTGGAAATAAAATATAGATATTTGCAAATTTTGTAAGATCTAGTTTTCAGAGACTTCATGGTTAAACAGCATTTATTAAGAAGCTGCTTTCTCCACAGCCCTGAATTTAATGAATAGAAGAAAAGTCCCCTTAAACTTCTGGGAAGTAATTTTCTTCAAGTCTCATAAAGGAGTAAAAATTATTGTTTGTTCCAATAAGCAGGTGAAGGAATGAAATAAATTCGAGTGTAATCTTCTTGTATCAAATTGCTATGTTCAGATTGTTTCTTAGAAATGCTAGAAAGACTCAGATTGTCAAAGGCTAGGGATAAGAAAATATTGACTTGTGAGAATAAAAACCTTCTTTTTTTTCTTCTGACTTTTATTTTAGCTTTGAGGATACATGTGCAGGTTTGTTACATGGGTAAATTGTGTGTTGCAGATGTTTGGTGTACAGATCATTTTGTCACCCAGGTAATGAGCCTAGTATCCAATAGGTAGTTTTTCTTTCTTTTTGTTTCAAACAATTATTTGCATGCTTTATTACTTGGTTCAATTATATACATTATTATACCAGTAATAGGGGTTTTCTGGGAATTTACCAAATATAAAACAAGCAGAGAAACAAACAAAAACAATCTTTAAATAAAAGTATTTCCTCCATGGAAAAAAAAAACAAGTATTCAAATTAATTTTGTCTCTAACTAATGAAAACCTTTCTGGAAGAGTCCTATCATTTTCTTTTTGGCACCAAATTTATTCATAATTAAAAGTTCTGACTTGTTGCTAATAAAAGATGTCAAAAATGATCTGAAGCACTGCTAAAATTAACCTTGAATTTTGACTGAAAGAAGAAAACCCAATAAATTGCAATTATGTCATTCCATTTAAGCCTTGACATGATGCTTTTAGATGCTTTAATTTAGACTTTTAGATGCTTTAATTTGAAGATGTATTTGAAGGATTTTCCACTTAGTTCTTGATATTTTAGGGGGAAGACTTACATGATAATTAGGATAAAGCTTCTTGTTTTATTCTTTGAATGGATCTCCAGCAATCAGGAAGGCAGCTAGAGTGGTGTATTAGTCTGTTCTCACAATGCTAATAAAGACATACCCAAGGGTGGGTAGTTTATAAAAGAAAGAGGTTTAATTGACTCACAGTTCCACATGGCTGGGGAAACCTCATAAATAGTGTTCATCCCCTGAAATGATCTCAGGTTGCAAAACACAGTAGTTTATACCCAACCCAATGTTTGTAGGTTGGAATGTGGTGATTGCGATGGAAAAAAACAGTGGGTTTAGGGATGCAGAGAGGGGAGCATTGGGCCCTAAATTCAAGATGTCCCTCCTCATTTGATATGGTTTGGCTGTGTTCCCACCCAAATCCCACAATGAATTGTAATAATTCCCATGTGTCAAGGGCAGGGCCAGGTGAAGATAATTGAATCACAGGAGCAGTTTCACCCACACTGTTCTCATGGTAGTGAATAAGTCGCATGAGATCCGATGGTTATAAAAATGGGAGTTCCCCTGCACAAGCTCTCTTGCCTGCCACGATGTAAGATGTGACTTTGCTCCTCCTTTGCCTTCTTTTTTATTTTATTTTATTTTTGAGAAGAAGTCTTGCTCTGTCACCCAGGCTGGAGTGCAGTGGCACAATCTCAGCTCACTGCAACCTCTGCCCTTGGGGTTCAAGCGATTCTCGTGCCTTAGCCTCCTGAATAGCTGGGATTACAGGCATGCAGCACCACGCCTGGCTAATTTTTGTATTTTTAGTAGAGACAGGGTTTTGCCATGTTGGACAGGCTGGTTTTGAACTCCTGACCTCAAGTGATCCACTCTCCTCAGCCTCCCAAAGGGCTGAGATTACAGGTGTGAGCCACCATGTCTGGACTCCTTTGCCTTCTGATAGGTAGTTTTTTGATTCTCATCCTCACCCTCAACCCTCGAGTAGGTCCCAGTGTCCATTGTTCCATTCTTTGTGTCCATGTGTACTAAATGTTTAGCTTCCATTTATAAGTGAAAACATGTGGTATTTGGTTTTCTGTTCTTGTATTAATCCATTTAGGATAATGGCCGCCAGCTCCATCCATGTTGCGGCAAACGACATGATTTTATTTTATTTTTTTAGGGCTGCATGGTATTCCATGGTGTATATGTACCACATTTTCTTAATCCAGTCCACAATTGATAGGCATCTAGGTTGATTCCATGTCTTTGCTATTATTGTTAATAGTGCTGGGATGAACATACACGTGCATGTGTCTTCATGGCGAACAGTTTATATTCATTTGGGTAAATAAAAAGTAATGGGATTGCTGGGTTGACTGGTAGCTCTGTTTTAAGTTCTTCGAGAAATTGCCAAACTGCTTTCCACAGTGGCTGAATTAATTTACACTCCTGCCAACATTGTATAAGTGTTCTCTTTTCTCTGCAACCTTACCAGCATCTGTTATTTTCCTGACTTTTTAATAATAGCCATTTTGACTGGTGTGAGATGGTATCTCATTGTGGTTTTGATTTGCATTGCTCTAATGATTAGAGATGCTGAGTATATTTTTGTAAATTTGTTAGCTGTGTGTATGTCTTCTAAGAAATGTCTGTTCATGTTCTTTGTCCATTTTTTAAATGGGGTTATTTGTTTTCTGCTTGTTGATTTGTTCAAGTTCCTTATAGATTTTGGACATTGGACCTTTGTCAGATGCATAGTTTGCAAATATCTTCTCTCAATCTGCAGGTTGTCTGTTTACTCAGTTGATAGTTTCTTTTACTGTGAAGAGATGCTCTTTTGTTTAATTAGGTCTCACTTGTTAATTTTTTGTTTTTGTTGCAATTGCTTTTGGAGTCTTCATAATGAAATCTTTGCCAGGGCTGATGTCCAGAATGGTATTTCCTAGGTTTTCTTCTAGGGTTTTTATAGTTTTAGGTTTTACATTTAAGTTTCTAATTCATCTTGAGTTGATTTTTGTATATGGTGAAAGGAAAGGGTCCAGTTTCAATCTTCTGCATATGGCTAGCATGTTATCTCAGCACCATTTATTGAATAGGGAATCCCTTCTCCATTGCTTATTTTGTTGGCTTTGTCAAAGATCAGATGGTTGGAGGTGTGCGGCATTATTTCTCTACCCTGTTCCATAGGTCTATATGTCTCTTTTTTGTATTGTTCTATGCCATTTGGTTACTGTAGCCTTGTGGTATAGTTTGAAGTCAGGTAGCATGATGCATCCAGTTTTGTTCTTTTTGCTTATGATTGCTTTGGCTATTTGGGCTCCTTTTTGGTTTTCATATTAATTTTAGAAAAGTTTTTTTCTAATTCTATGAAAAACGTCATTAGTTCCATAGAAATAGCCTTGAATCTGTAAATTGCTTTGGGTAGTATGGCCATTTTGCCAATGTTGATTCTTCCTATTCATGAGCATGGAATGTTTTTCTATTTGTTTGTGTTATCTCTGTTTTCTTTCAGCAGTGTTTTGTAATTCTCACTGTGGAGATCTTCACTTCCCTGGCTACCTGTGTTCCTGGGTATTTTTGTTCAACATTCCTTTGGTGGCTATTATGAATGGAATTGTGTTCTTGATTTGGCTCTCAGCTTGGATGTTGTTAGTGTATAGAAATGCTACCAGCTTTTAAAAATTGATTTTGTTTCCTGAAATTTTGTTAGAGTTGTTTATCAGATCTAGGAGCCTTTGGGAAGAGACATTTGGATTTTCTAGGTATAGAATCGTATCATCTGCAGAGATAGTTTGACTGCCTCTCTTCCTATTTAGATGCCTTCTTTTTTTTTCATTTGCTTGATTGTTCTGGCTAGGACTTCCTAAAATCCTTCAAGTTGGGAAGATTCAAGACTTACCAGATTTATGTCTTTTTTGGAGGTGATGATAGGATGGTCCTCTAAAGAAGAAAAGAAGAAATTTATAGTTTTACAGTGTAACATATTTGGGAAACAGTGAGGGAAACATTAGGAGTATATGGTCTCTTCCCCAATGAATAGCCCCTTGCTGAAAAATAACTTGTATCAGTAGTTGTGGAGCAAGAGTAGGTTTACCTCAACCCAAACTTTGGTTCTTAAAATGTTTAATGTTATAGGCGTTTTACTCACATCAAGAAAATAATGACAAAAAAAAAAAGAAAATAATGACTACTTCCCTTCCTTACAAGGTATATTGAGATTGAGTACAATGGAATCTGTGCTACCCAGTATGCACAGTCATATGGAGAAATAAAGGACTTAACATCGGACTGACTGATGTGTAGACTTTATTTCTCTCAATCTAATCTGCTCTAGCTCTGTAGACAAGTGTCTGACCTATACTTTCCTTCCTATGCCATCAGGAAGGATTCAAATGCCCAGTTAAATTCAGTCCTCACAAAGGAAGTTTATTTGGATGGCTAACAATCCTTCTCCATTTAGACTCAATATAAGAAGGCTAAACTTGGATCTAAATTGTAAATCTGTCTTTGGCTTGAGGGTGGGCACAACACAAAGTATGTGGTTAGAGAGAATAATGAGACCAGTAACTGAAAGACATAATTAACATCAATCCACCCTCCTTCAATTAATTAAGTCTCCTTCAAATATGCTTGATTAAAAATTTTAAAATTCAATTTTGGGGTACTATTTGGACATATGGCTATTTACTAGGAGATTGTCATGCCCATTGATATCAGGAATGGCAAGGACTTCATGATAAAGTGTGGCAGGACAGCTCTACTGCTGAGGAAAAGGATAGAAACTGGGTTCCAGGCCCAGCTCACAGATTTGTTAACACTAGAGAAATACAGGTACTAGGAAGAAACTTTAGCTCTCATGTGCAATAGGATGGTTCAACCCGATAAGAATTGTTTGCAGAGAAACAACCATTTGAAGAACCAACAACTCAACCTGAGAGCTGAAGGCTAGAACACAGGTGTTTGGATTTGCGGTGAGCCCTACTTTTTGTCACCTGCTGGTCAGACTTCAACTTCGGTGGCTAGTCACTACCAAGCTGTGACTCCTTTAACTAAAATATTTGTGTGACAGCAGTCATATTAAACCTTTTTTTGAGGATATGACTTCTAGTGGAGAAATTACATGAGCTTGATATATCTTTTTTTCCACTGAGTTCTTTCTCCTCACCTGTCTTTAGTAAGCTTGTTATACTAATTAAGCCCTTTGACACCTTTCGCTTGCACCATTCACTAAGCATATAAGTATTCTCATATTTTTCCATTCTTAAAATAATTATTTTCTCTACATTTCACCTCATCTATCTACCAAATCATTTATTCTTTTTCCATTTGTAATAAACCTTTCACAGCGGTGAAGGAGTGTGGATGTGCTAAGTTGGCAATATTCAGTCAATAATTATAATAAGGATTGAAGAAGTCTTGGAAGTTTTATTATCTGGTGGGTGAAGTGAGAGTGAATGTCAGTTCATCTTCCTTAACAATTTCTGTCCCAATAACCTTAATGGAGTTGACTTGAATCAGAGAATTTGTAGTCTCACAGTTTGTGGAATACTGAAACACTGATATAGAAACTCCTGAAAGCAGCAGGATAAATATTTGAACAGAAGAGTGCTCATGTGAAGTTTGATCCAGCATGCCACTCAACATCAGGCTGCTCAGGAAATTAAGCAGTGCCTTACTGATATGAGCCAAAAAGTAACCAGTCATTTGCGTATGAAGGACAATAAAAAATAATCAAGTTATACTGTATGTATCCTACATTTTCAAAGTGTGGATTGCAACTTGGAGCCACTATTTCTTTTGTCCTCTTTCCCCCATCTCTGTTATGGACATGATAGTCTGTGGGAAAGATACATACACATACAAACATACATTCACACATCCTGAGATAGATGTGCTTGGTTTTTGGAATTTTATCCCAGTAAGAGAGGAAAACAGCAGATATTTTGTCTACACTTTGGCATTTTAAAGAGTGCTAAGGATTTTTCTAATTCTAAAGCTCTACCTTGTATATAAAGATAATTTTTTTTCCCTGTAGACCAGGAGTCAGCAAACTTTAAATGAGCAGACAGACTTTATGGGGGCATATATTCTGTCGGAACTAGTCAACATCGCTATTGTAGTGCAGCTGTAGACAATAGGTAAACAGATGGGTGTGACTACGTTCCAATGAAGCTTCCTTTACAAACAGGTGGTGGCCCAATAGTCCTGTGACTCATCTTTTGATGATTCCCTTAGACTCAAGCTGAACAGTTTTCCATTTTAGAATACTTGACTATGTGCTAGTTTAGTATATCTTCCGTTTATCTCTAAGCCAGTCTTTCTAACCTTAGGCCAAACTCTTGAATTTATTTAATTACGTTAATGATGGTTAAGAAGATGATGACATCTACTAGTTATGGAGATCCAGAAATATTTTAGGTTCTTTTTATATGTATAGTCAATTATCAATATTTGCAGGAGTTATGTTCTAAAAAGTCTCCACAAACTCTGAATTTGTGCCTAATGAACCATTGTTCTTAGCATAGTAAAGGGTTATATTCCTGAAAGCCTCTGGCACATTTTTGTCAACTGATCAAAGCAAAACTTTATTAAAATAATGTGTGTTTCTGTTTTAAAGTTATTCTATTTAATATATATTCTGATTTATTAACATTGAACTCATGTCCAACAGCGTTATAATTCATGTCTCAATGATGTTTATCTAACCCACATATTTTTTCCCTATGGCACATCACAGTGTTTTTGTACTTTGGAACACTGGACAGCACTTCAGTACTATGCTTGCAAGACATTTTAAACAGTGAAATCATCAAGAAAATTAATAAAAATATGAAAACATGGCACTGAGTAGATCACTCACTAACAAAACTTTACAGTATGAGAACTGAAACAAGGAGGCAGAGCATTGCCTTGTTCATCCTCAGCTGGAAACATGCACATCGGTGACAAAGTTTTCACCAGCTCTGCATGTCCATAAAGGACCATGAAAGTACACTGAGTATTGACTTTGGGCTTAGAAATAAGCTTTAGCAAGTAGACAGATGTGCAGATATGCAACCTATGAATAATGAGGATTGACTCTAACTTTAATAGATTATTTAAAATATGATATTTTATTAATATTCCCATTTTACAATTGGGGAACTAGAAGGTTAATCCTTAAATAAATTTTACAAAGTTACACAGTTAGTAAATGGAGAACCCTGTATTTTAGCTTTTGTTATACGATCTTAAGCAAATGATTTAATTTTGTTACGCAGAAACTGTGTGTTACATTAGGAATGTTAAAATAAATTTATAATTATTTACTTGGAAATATCCACCTTGATCCTCACTAGATTTCAGGTTGTATGAGTTTTGGCTATCTGTAAATGCAGGTCTCTTTGCTATGCTTTCTCATATGCTGTTTGTTGAAAGTGTGGCAATGGCATTGAAAGTGAATAGAGTGGGACAAACACATCATTGCATTATTTAAAGAAATTTAAGCATAAAAGAGGGGATATTGAGGGCAATTCTTAAACTGTTAATAATGCTAACAATAGTAACATTTAATAACATCATAGGCATATGCTAAATCCTTTCCATAGGTTATCTCATTGTTTTCCTCTCAGACCGTATGGTTTACAAGTATTATCATTCTTATTTTATAGAAAAGAACACTATGACTCAATAAAGTTATGTCATGCAAAGATCACAACAGCTACTAGGAATCAAAGCTTGGTTTTAATCCAACTACTTATCCTGTTATATTATTTTTACTTTAGATTTAAATATATTTGGGAAATCTTTTGATTATTTATGAAAATTGAAAGATTCAGAGAGAAAGACACAAGTTGTCATGGAGACAAAAATCAAATTCAGATACCTTGTACTCTTTTTGGTCCTATACCATTGCATTCAGCTGTCTTCAAAGTTCCATAAAAGTTAAGAAATGGCAATATGAGTTCTCAAGGTGTATGTGTGCATAATGCTCAAGCTCTCCTTGGTCTTAGGAAACTTTGTGCTCATGTAGTTGTGAGGGCATGAAACACTTTACACGGTCCCTAAAATTCCACATTCTTGACTTACTTATAGAGAACAAATATTTTCTGATGCATCTGTAAACTTTGTTTTGTCTTTATCTTTGTAAGTCTTTGAGTTCTGGAACCTACATCTCATTTTCATTTCCTACTCTATTCTGATCCATTTTCTTGAAGGATAGTCAATAGCCCCAAGAGGAAGGTTGCTTTATTTAATTGGGTTAATTTATTATTACTATTAATAAAATTAATATTGGTTTTGTCTGTTACATTAAGGATTTTCACAAATACTGGTGATGACAGTAGTAGAAGAGTAAGAAGTCAGAAGAACAAAAAATGTGACTCTAAGAACTTAAAATACAATCAGGAACACAAACATAAATATTTCTAGTAATTTCTAGTAATTTGCTGATAAATATTTTTAAAACATTTTTTAAAACATAAAGTCTTCTATTTATAGCATTTTTTGGTTTCTAGGGTACAATGTTTCTACCATGGCTAATTTATTTATTACCTTAAAGGTAAATGAATTAATCTAATCTCCTCACTGAAAAGGCAGTGGCTGAATGGATGAAAAATATAAGACTGAAAGTATAAGCTGTCTATAAGAAGCTCACTTTGAAATGAAGAATAGACATAGGCTAGAAGTAGGGGAGAATTTCTTTTTTTTTTTTTTTTTTTTTACAAATGCCAGCAAAAGACAATAGGATGACTATACTTATATCAGACAAAATAGACTTGAAGTTAAAATCTGACACACTAGACAAGGGCTCTGTACAGTGATAAGGCGGCCAATTAATCAAGAGGCTACTAAAATTGTAAATATATATACACCCAGCATATGCACAACTAAATATATAAGGCAAACATTGACAGAACTGTAGGGAGAAATAGATAACAATACAGTAATAGTAGAACTCTTCAATACCCTACTTTCAGTAGTAGATAGCAAATCCAGGCAAAAGACCAATAAGGAAACAGAGGACTTGAATAACACTGTAGACCAAATGGACTTAAAAGACATATACAGAGCATTCCACCTACCAGTAGAAGAATACAGATTCTTCTTAAGCATGTAGGTCTTTCTCCAGGATAGACCACATGTTAAGTTACAGATCTTAACAAATTTAAAAAGATTCAAATTTAACTAAAAATCATTTCTGACCACCATGAAATAAAACTAGAAAGCAACAGCAGAAAGAAACCTAAAAAATTTACAAATATGTGGAAATTAAATAACAAACTCTCGAACAACCACTGGGTCAAAGGAAAAAATAAAAAGAAATTAGAAATTACAAAAATGAAGTACAACATACTAAAACTTACAGAATGCACCAAAATAGTATTAAGAGGGAAGTTCATAGCAATAAATGCCTATATTAAAAAAAGAAAAATCTTAAAGAACCTAAATTTATACTTAAAGGGGCTATAAAAGAAGAATAAACTAAACCCAAGGTTAGCAGAGGAAAGAAAAAACAAAGATTAGAGAAGAAATAAATGAAAAATTTATTATAATGACATTAGAAAACCCTCAGTAAGACTAAGAGTTGGTTTTCTGAAAAGGTAAAAAAAAATCGACAAACTCTTAGCTAGACTTAGAAAAAAAGACAAAAGGCTCAAATAAATAATACCAAAAATGAAAGAAAATATGTTACTACTAATGCCACAGAAATGAAAATGATCATAAGACACAACTATGAAAAATTATACACCAGTAAACTATAACCTAAAATAAATGGATAAATTCCTACACATATACAATCTATCAACATTAAATAATACAGAAATAGAATGTTTACAACAGGCTTATAATTTGCATAAAGATTGATTCAGTAATTTAAAAATTCCCAACAAAGAAAAGCTTAGGACCAGACGGTTTCATGGGTGAATTCTACCAAATATTTAAAGAATTAACCCTAATATTTCTCAAGCTCTTCCTAAAATATTGAAGAGAAGAAGGCTGTTAAACTGTTCCTGTTTACAGACAATATAACCTGATTTGTAGAAAACCCTAAAGACTCCACCAAAAAGCTGTTAGAACTAACAAACACATTCAGTAAAGTTGTAGGACATGAAAACAACATGTAAAAATCAGTTGCAATTCTATAAACTAACAACAAAATCTCTGAAAAAAAATTAGGAAAACAACCCCATTTGCGATAGCACCAAAAAGAATAAATACTTAGAAATGAACTGCACTAAGAAGGTAAAAGACTCTTATACTGAAACAATAATAATGGATAAAAGAAATTAAAGCCTCAAATAATAGAAAGATATCCTGTGTTTATGAATTGGAAGACTTAATGTTATTAAAGTCTTTACTATTCAAAGTGATCTACAGATTCAGTGCAATCCTTGTCAAAATGTCAATGGCGTTTTGGATTAAAATGGAAAAAACAATTGTAAGATTTAGGCAAATCCACAAAACACCATGAACAACCAAATCAATCCTGAGAAAGAACAAAGCTGGAAACATCATACTTCCTGATTAAAATATTTTAGAAAGCTACAGTAATTAAAACAGTACGATGTTGCTATAAAGACAGACATATAGACCAATGAAACAGAACAGACAGCCCAGAAATAAATCCATACATATATGGTCAGCTGATCTCCAATAAGGATGCTAAGATAAATAATGGAAAAATGATAGTCTCTTCAACAATTGGTGTAGGAAAAGTGGAAATCCACTTAAAAAGAATAAAATTTGACCCTTATCCTGCATCAGACAGAAGAACAATCCTAAAATAAATTAAAGACTTAAATGAAAGACCTGAAAATGCAAAATGCCTAGAAGAAAATGTAGGGTGAAATCTTCATTTTATTGGTCCTGGCAATGATTTCTTGGGTATGACACCAAAATTACAGGCAACACAAACAAAAATAAAGTGGAAGTACATCAAACTAAAAATCTTCTGCACTACAAAGAAAAAAATTATAACATGAAAAGATAAATCCCAAAATCTGAAAAAATATTTGCAAACCACATATCTAATAAGGGGTTAACCTACAAAATACATAAGTAGCTCATGCAACTCGATAGAAACAGATAAATAACTTGATTTTTAAAATGTGCAAATGAATTAGTATTTCTCCAAAGAAGACATATAATTGGCCAATAGATATTTGAAAAGATGCTCAACGTCACTAATCATTAAGAAAATGCAAATCAAAACTATAAATAGATAGAGGGATATATTAACATATGGATCGGAGGCCCAAGAATTAGCCCTCCAGGACCCACAAACACTGGAGCCAGCATAAGCTATTCTGGTGCCACTGGGGCCCAAAGTCTGGCTCAGTTAGGTCCAAGTCCTCAATAAAACCTTACTACAGCCTCAACTAACAACTGTACCACAAGCCACCAAGGAAATCACAGATACCACGGGTCCTGTGTACTGCCAAAGAAATCACACAAACATTGCACTACCTATTGGCAAATACCCCATTGGCCAATTATATGTCTTCTTGGGAGAAATGTCTATTCATTTGCACATTTAAAAAATCAAGTTATTTGTTTGTTTCTATTGAGTCGTATGAGTTACTTATTTTGCAGATTAAGCCTTTATTAGATATATGCTTTGTAAATATTTTCTCCTATTTTTGAGTTATCTTTTCATGTTATTAATTGTTTTCTTTACAGTGCAGGCACTCAAAATCAAAGCCAAAATATCCTACTCAACCAACAACATATGTACATCTTCAGAAAAAACTATTCCCCTACAAATGCAATTTCAAAACATTGAAACAAGTGATGGCTATACCAGATGTGTAGATACCAACAGAAGGACACAAAAAACATGAAAAGCAGGGAAATACGACACCACCAATGAACAGAACAATTTTAAACAAAATATTAGCAACTAAATTTCAGCTATATATGTAAAGAATTACACACTATGACCAAGTATTGCTTATTCCATGATTGAGGATTGGTTCAATATTTGAAAAAAATAAATGTAATCAACAATATAAACAGGATAAAAATTACCTGATTATGTGATGCAGAAAAGTAATTTGACAAAATGTAATACCTCATCATGATAAAGAAAATCAGAAAATTAGAAAGAAGAAACATATCCAAAAAACACAGCTGGCATTATAGTTAATGACAATGACTGTTCTCCCCACCAAAATCAGGACAAGGAAAGGATGTACACTCTTTTCTACTTTTATTCATTATAATGCTGGAAGTTCTCACCACTGCAATAAAGCAAGGAAAAGAATGAAAAAGTATAGGAGCAGAAAGGAAAAAATAGTAAAGGATCCTAGGAAAACTTTGCAGATGTCAACATTGTCTATGTAGAAAATACTAAGAACTCTACAAAAATAATTTTTAGAACTACAAGTGAGTTAACTACGCATACAGGACACAAGATAATCATACAAAAATCAATTATATTTTGATATATCAGCAGTAAATATGCAGACACCAAAATGCAAAATGTATTATCATTTGTACAAATGTATTATCAAAATGGAGTTACCATTGCTAAAATACCCCAACTTAGATGTAAATTCAATAAAACACATACTAGACTTCCATACTGAAAACTACATAATGCTAATAAAAATATCAAATAATTTGTTAATGGAGAGACATACCATGTTCATAGATTGAACAACTCAACATAGTAAATATGTCAATTCTCTCGAACTGATATAAAGATTTAATGTAACTATAATCAGAATTCCAGCAAGATTTTTGTAGATATAGACAAGATTATTTAAGAATTTTTATAGAAAGACAAAGGAACTAGCATAGCAAAACAATTTTGAAAAAGAATAAAATGGGAGAAAACAGCTACCCAATTTCAAGACTTACATAGCTACAGTAATCAAGATAATGTGTTTCTGCGCAAGAGATGAATACATAGATCAATGGAAAAAACAAACAGAGAATTCAGAAATAATCCCTGGAAAAATATACAACCAAGTTTTGACAAAGAAGCAAAACAATTCAATGGTAAAGAAGACAGCCTTTTCAACAAATGGTACTGGAGCAATTGCACATTCAAAGAAAAAAAAGAAAAAATTTTTGACCTACCTAAATCTCATAACTGATGCAAAAAATAACTCTAAATTGACCAGAGAGCTAATGTAAAAATGTGAAACTATAAAACTTAGAAAATAAACAAGAGAAAATCTTTGGTATTGAGGGCTAGGCAAACAGTTCTTTGATTTGGCACAAAAGTGAATAGTGTAATGCAGGTATAACTGCATTACATGAGCAGTATGGAATACTACTCAGCAATAAAAAGGAATGGACTACTGATCATGCAACATGGTAGGTGATGCTCTAGAGTATTATGGTGAATGGAAAAAGCAATCATATAAGGGTACATACTATAGAATTCCATCAAATAACATTCTTGTCATGGCAAAATTGTACAAAAGGAGAAGAAATTAGAAGTTACTTGGGGCCAAAGACGTGGTGGGTGTGGGAGGGAAGTAGATATGGTTATAAAAGGGCAACATGAGGGATCAGCATGGGGCTGGAATTGTTCTGTATCATGTCTACATAAATGTCAGTATTCTGTTTGTGATATTGTACTAAAATTTTAAAAGATAATATTATTGGGGGACCTGTTTAAGGGTTTATGGGATTTCTCTATACTATTTCTTATAGCGGCATGCAATCTGCAATTATCTTTAAGAGTTTAATTAAAAATGATTATCACCAAAAGCTTTATGATCATGAGTGATGGAGCAGATTTAGGATACGTAGATTTTTAAAAATAGACCATTGTCTCTTGTCATTAGCTTAATTAGCAGAAGACTGTGAAATTCAGAGTAGCTCACTAGATTGCTAAAAATTTGAAACAAAACAGTAAGCCTATTATTGAGAATTGAAGTTTGTGGGTGTCTCATGTATCCTTTGAAACATAAATCTGAACCATAAAGGTTTGTGGTCAAATAATCAATGTAAAACAACGTACAGAAAGATGTGTTTGTGCACTCTGGCCTGAGGACTTTGAAAATGGGAATGAAATCTGGAGCAGAATTATAATTGTAAGGGCAATTCCCACTTGGACTTGCTAGTCTGATCATTTCCTTTGTGTCAGTGGGAGTTAGTTCATACTTAGTTAGTCACGTATAAAATCTTCAATGTTCTTCATTCTTACCTGTAATTATTCCTTTACATTTATTGATTTTTGTAAAAGTATCCACATACTTGCAGGTCTCCTTGAATCTATATAAAGTCTCTGTTTTTTGATGCTATCTCAAGGTCCTGCCCCAAAGCCCAGCTACACAATGCTTCACAAAGGGCAGTTGGTGAAGCCATAGATATCCTAGTCAACTCTAATAGATAATTGGTTCTATTTAGGAGCATTGGCAATACTAGGTAATTATGTTTATTCTTCTAATACTCATTGGCTGCTATTATAACTCATAAGATATTAGGTTAATCCTTAATATCGGTACTTTAAATTAACAGAAACAGGTATTTTAATGCAGATTAAATTGTTTCCCTTTAAGATACCATAGGATAATATCTTCGTTTGTAGTAGACAAAGATTTTTTAAAAATCAGTTGTCTTAGTCCATTTTGTGTTGCTATAACAAGTTCCCTGAGACTGGGTAATTGATAAAGAATAGAAGTTTATTTGACTCATGATTCTGGTGGCTGGAAGTTTCAAGATTGAACAGCTGCATCTGGTGAGGGCCTCGTGCTGCTTCCAGTAATAATGGAAAGCAGAAGGGGAGCACATGTGTACAAAGAGATCATATGATGCAAGAGGAAGAAAGACTCTCTAAAAAAAATAACCTGCTCTTGTGGGAACTAATCCATTCCCACTAGAGTGAGAACTCATTCGCTCCATGGGAGAGCATTAATCTATTCATGAGAGATCCTCCACAATGACCCAAACACCTCCCACTAGACCCCACCTCCTAATACTGATGCACTGGCAATTAAACTTCAACATGAGTTTTGGCAGGGAGATACCACATCCAAACCATAGCATTAGGACAGAAGTGTGTTAACTATAAAGATAAGATGTATAATTAGAGCATATTAAGAAATTTTGTCCATCAAAAACCACCATTAAGTGACTGAAAATTCACATCTGGGAGCACAGTTTCATATTTTTAATTCATATATACACATATGAGTCAATTTTCAAATGACTCATATACAGAATATGAAAACCATTTCCATAAAATATCAAGAAGACAACCCAATTAAAAGTGGTGCACTGAATAGACATTTCATAAAAGAGAATATTTAAATAATGTAGATACCTCAAATTAATTTACTTTAAAAGCTTTTCCTCTTTGACTATTCTTTCATTATGTTTTATTTTCCCACAATCTTCTAAGTGCTTTATGTATTTTAAATTTAATATAATAATTTCAGTTGAAGTAAACTTAGTTGTTCTTTATCAAAGTCATTTTTTCTATTTTAGGTCTTTTACCTTTCCACATACATTTTAAAATCAGCTTGTGAATTTCTACAAAATTGCCAGTTGGGACATTAGGGAGCATGGACATTTTTATGGCAGTTTATTGACAATTTATATACTTCCTTGTTATCTACCATTTCTTTTTGTGTGCGCCACTTATTACCTGTGTCAACTCAGACTTTGTGTCTGTGGGTGAGAATGTCTGTTTTGACCATATTATCTTCTACAGGGAAAGGAAGCAGAGTAGTCTTGCTAGAACATCCTTTTGTCATTCCTAGGAAGAAAGCATAAGGTTAAGATGACAGGATTCTCTCTGCCATTAGTACGTAGGGCAGTACTCATGGTCAGTTCATGGTTACTTGCATTATCTGAAGCCAGTTTCCAGTCCATTTTTTTCTTAGACATGTACACATCTAACAAGACAAAGTAAAATAGTGTCCTAAGCAGAAATGTCTTATTCTTCTGGCACAAGAAGCACAATTTCAGTACAATTGAATATGATAAAGTAAAATAAACATTTTCAGAAAGGGGAAGACAGTGCTGTGTAATTGCATCACCAGTCCATCAGACTTGATCACCATATCCTGAAAATTTCCTGCAGGTGTTCCCTCTTCACTACCATCATACACAGATGAAATGCCCAATTATACAGTTGATCAACTTAGTCTTTCATGTTCCTATTACCAGCCCATGACAAATCTAGGATTGTCTGAATCCACAACAACTTTAGAGGCAATATTTTACATTTCCATATAAGAGATGACATAAAATCTCTCACCTTTAGAGAATTTATAATCTAGAATAAAATACATAATATAAATGTTTGCCTCAGATATTGTGCAAAATGAGCACCTGAGTGAGAGGCAGCAGTGCTATCATAAGAAAACCAAAAAAGAGAAAAGATGATTTGAGGTCTAAAGAGAAGAAATCATGGATATAAATATGGAATGGGAGGTTGTATCAGTGTCCCAGGGAAAGCACAAAAAGTGCCTAGAAAATTGTATATATTCGGTAACCAAGATGAAGATACTAAAATGTGAGAGACACTGTACCCTGACCTCAAGAATTTGTTAGTTCTTCAGACAATATAGAATAAGCTACAATATCAATGATGATGTCAGGTTATAAAAGTGCGCATTGGGTGAAAAGAAGTTGAACAAAACTGCAGCTCCTTTTGGGTGTTGGATTACACCAGGTACTAGGAAAACAAGGATTTGGGAATCTAGCTCCTGAATATTTAGGGAAAGTCTTGTAATGCAATGAGCTAAGTGCAACAGGAGACTTGGAGAACATGAAAGTGCAGTTTATGGATGCATAGGATTAATATACCTTGATCCACCTGGGGAACCATTTCCTATAGAATTTCAACTGATATAGAGAATAAAAGAGTTTTCTAAATGATAAAACACATTAACAAGTGATGGGAAATATTCTAAGTAGAAGAAATAGCAGACAGAGAACATATATAACAGCTTTTCTGAGAATTATAACAAGTGGACTGGTGAGTAGAGGACAGACCCACATGGTGTTTAGAATGAGAAATTGATAGGGTAAAGACTGAGAAATAATGACTTGGATTTTTAAATGGGAGAGTAGATGGAAGGTGATGCTGTTTTCAGAAATAGAGTGAAGGAGTAAAACAAGACAGATGAAGAACACAATTAGAAAATAAATTTAAGACTGTAAATTTACAATAATCTTGAAAAGCCAAATGGGTGTGAGATCAGTAGTTTAATTTTACAAAGGTATCTGGACTAGAGATATTGGTGGTATCTACATGCCAATATGTTTAAATATTCTTCCATCTAAATCTTGTTGTTGGATCATGCTGGAAAACTGCATATTCGTGCTATAACAAATATATTTATTAAGTTTTTACTCTGAGGCAGGTACTATTCTGGGCATTGAGGAGAAAGCAGTGAACAAAACAAATATCCCACTCTTTTAGAGGTTACTTTCAGTTGTGAGGAACAGAATAATAAATGAATAAATAAAATATATCACATGGTGATAGCTGTTTTGCAGAAAAATAAAACAGGAATTAGAATTAGCATGAGGCACAGGAGAGTAAATAAGGGAGGTGCTTTTACTGGTCAGAGATGATAGGGAATATGTTCTTAGTGGTGTAGAATAGACAAGCTGGTTATTCTAGTATTTTTTGGATAGCTGTCAAAAAGAGGAATAAAATGTAAATTATGTTTGTCTTGATGGTCTATAGGAGAGAGTGGTGGTGAAGATGTGTGTTCAGTGGCAAAGAGGAAGTCAGGAGAAGAATGGTATTACACATGAAACTTCATTTCCCCAGAGCACAGGAACACCCTGGACGTGCTCTGAAATATTATGCACCAAATTGTGGAGTGTTGCGAAAGGAAGAAGCTCAATGATACTTCCTTTCCCTAAAAAGTTATTTCATTTCAAAAAGATGATTTTAATTCCTCCTTTATATCCAAGCTCAATGTGCACTTTTTTCAGGGAATGCTCTGATTTTTACTACTAAAATAAACCTTTATATTAAATCTGATTAAAACACTCCAATCTATCCCTTCTATAGCAATGACCAGAGTTATGATTTTTCTCTATTTTTTCTACATTTTATCATTTGACCTCAATTATTAGCTTCATAAATTAGGAGAGACATTTTATTTCTGTTGTCCTTTGGCTTACTTTAAAAAATCTCTTGTGCCTATAAGACTTCATGGTATATAGATGTCATCAATATTTATTTATTTATTTATTTATTTATTTATTTATTTATTTATTTTTGTTTGTTTAATACTTTTTTTATTTCAGTAGCTTTAGGGGTAAAAGTGGTTTTTTATTTTTTTATTTTTTTACTATTATACTTTAAGTTTTAGGGTACATGTGCACAATGTGCAGGTTAGTTACATATGTATACATGTGCCATGCTGGTGTGCTGCACCCATTAACTCGTCATTTAGCATTAAGTATATCTCCTAAAGCTATCCCTCCCCACGCTCCCCACCCCACAACAGTCCCCAGAGTGTGATGTTCCTCTTTCTGTGTCCATGTGTTCTCACTGTTCAATTCCCACCTGTGAGTGAGAATATGTGGTGTTTGGTTTTTTGTTCTTGCGATAGTTTACTGAGAATGACGATTTCCAATTTCATCTATATCCCTACAAAGGACATGAACTCATCATTTTTTATGGCTGCATAGTATTCCATGGTGTATATGTGCCACATTTTCTTAATCCAGTCTATCATTGCTGGACATTTGGGTTGGTTCCAAGTCTTTGCTATTGTGAATAGTACCACAATAAACATACGTCTGCATGTCTTTATAGCAGCATGATTTATAGTCCTTTGGGTATATACCCAGTAATAGGATGGCTGGGTCAAATGGTATCTCTAGTTCTAGATCCCTGAGGAATTGCCACACTGACTTCCACAATGATTGAACTAGTTTACAGTCCCACCAACAGTGTAAAAGTGTTCCTATTTCTCCACATCCTCTCCAGCACCTGTTGTTTCCTGACTTTTTAATGATCGCCATTCTAACTGGTGTGAGATGGTTTCTAATTGTGGTTTTGATTTGCATTTCTCTGATGGCCAGTGATGGTGAGCATTTTTTCATGTGTTTTTTGGCTGCATAAATGTCTTCTTTTGAGAAGTGTCTGTTCATATCCTTCACCCACTTCTTGATGGGGTTGTTTGTTTTTTCTTGTAAATTTGTTTGAGTTCATTGTAGATTCTGGATATTAGCCCTTTGTCAGATGAGTAGGTTGTGAAAATTTTCTCCCATTTTGTAGGTTGCCTGTTCACTCTGATGGTAGTTTCTTTTGCTGTGCAGAAGCTCTTTAGTTTAATTAGACCCCATTTGTCAATTTTGGCTTTTGTTGTCATTGCTTTTGGTGTTTTTGACATGAAGTCCTTGCCCATGCCTATGTCCTGAATGGTAATGCCTAGGTTTTCTTCTAGGGTTTTTATGGTTTTAGGTCTAATGTTTAAGTCTTTAATCCATCTTGAATTAATTTTTGTATAAGGTGTAAGGAAGGGATCCAATTTCAGCTTTCTACATATGGCTAGCCAGTTTGCCCAGCACCATTTATTAAATAGGGAATCTTTTCCCCATTGCTTGTTTTTCTCAGGTTTGTGAAAGATCAGATAGTTGTAGATATGCGGCGTTATTTCTGAGGGCTCTGTTCTGTTCCATTGATCTATATCTCTGTTTTGGTACCAGTACCATGCTGTTTTGGTTACTGTAGTCTTGTAGTATAGTTTGAAGTCTGGTAGCGTGATGCCTACAGCTTTGTTCTTTTGGCTTAGGATTGACATGGCGATGCGGGCTCTTTTTTGGTTCCATATGAACTTTAAAGTAGTTTTTTCCAATTCTGTGAAGAAAGTCATTGGTAGCTTGATGGGGATGGCATTGAATCTATAAATTACCTTGGGCAGTATGGCCATTTTCATGATATTGGTTCTTCCTATCCTTGAGCATGGAATGTTCTTCCATTTGTTTGTATCCTCTTTTATTTCATTGAGCAGTGGTTTGTAGTTCTCTTTGGAGAGGTCCTTCACGTCCCTTGTAAGTTGGATTCCTAGGTATTTTATTCTCTTTGAAGCAATTGTGAATGGGAGTTCACTCATGATTTGACTCTCTGTCTGCTACTGGTGTATAAGAATGCTTGTGATTTTTGTACATTGATTTTGTATCCTGAGACTTTGCTGAAGTTGCCTATCAGCTTAAGGAGATTTTGAGCTGAGACGATGAGGTTTTCTAGATATACAATCATGTCATCTGCAAACAGGGACAATTTGACTTCCTCTTTTCCTAATTGAATACCCTTTATTTCCTTCTCCTGCCTAATTGCCCTGGCCAGAAGTTTCAACACTATGTTGAATAGGAGTGGTGAGAGAGGGCATCCCTGTCTTGTGCCCGTTTTCAAAGGGAATGCTTCTAGTTTTTGCCCATTCAGTATGATATTGGCTGTGGGTTTGTCATAGATAGCTCTTATTATTTTGAGATATGTCCCATCAATACCTAATTTATTGAGAGTTTTTAGCACGAAGGGTTGTTGAATTTTGTCAAAGGCCTTTTCTGCATCTATTGAGATAATCATGTGGTTTTTGTCTTTGGTTCTGTTTATATGCTGGATTACATTTATTGATTTGCATATATTGAACCAGCCTTGCATCCCAGGGATGAAGCCCACTTGATCATGTTGCATAAGCTTTTTGATGTGTTGCTGGATTCAGTTTGCCAGTATTTTATTGAGGATTTTTGCATCAATGTTCATCAAGGATATTGGTCTAAAATTCTCTTTTATGGTTGTGTCTCTGACAGGCTTTGGTATCAGGATGATGCTGGCCTCATAAAATGAGTTAGGGAGGATTCCCTCTTTTTCTATTGATTGGAATAGTTTCAGAAGGAATGGTACCAGTTCCTCCTTGTACCTCTGGTAGAATTCGGCTGTGAATCCATCTGGTCCTGGACTCTTTTTGGTTGGTAAGCTATTGATTATTGCCACAATTTCAGAGCCTGTTATTAGTCTATTCAGAGATTCAATTTCTTCCTGGTTTAGTCTTGGGAGGGTGCATGTGTTGAGGAATTTATCCATTTCTTCTAGACTTTCTAGTTTATTTGCATAGAGGTGTTTGTAGTATTCTCTGATGGTAGTTTGTATTTCTGTGGGATCGGTGGTGATATCCCCTTTATCATTTTTTATTGCGTCTATTTGATTCTTCTCTCTTTTCTTCTTTATTAGTCTTGCTAGCAGTCTATCAATTTTGTTGATCTTTTCAAAAAACCAGCTCCTGGATTCATTGATTTTTTGAAGGGTTTTTTGTGTCTCTATCTCCTTCCGTTCTGCTCTGATTTTAGTTATTTCTTGCCTTCTGCTAACTTTTGAATGTGTTTGCTCTTGCTTTTCTAGTTCTTTTAATTGTGATGTTAGGGTGTCAATTTTGGATCTTTCCTGCTTTCTCTTGTGGGCATTTAGTGCTATAAATTTCCCTGTACACACTGCTTTGAATGTGTCCCAGAGATTCCGGTATGTTGTGTCTTTGTTTTCGTTGGTTTCAAAGAACATCTTTATTTCTGCCTTCATTTCGTTATGTACCCAGTAGTCATTCAGGAGCAGGTTGTTCAGTTTCCATGTAGTTGAGTGGTTTTGAGTGAGTTTCTTAACTCTGAGTTCTAGTTTGATTGTACTGTGGTCTGAGAGACAGTTTGTGATAATTTCTGTTCTTTTACGTTTGCTGAGGAGTGCTTTACTTCCAACTATGTGGTCAATTTTGGAATAGGTATGATGTGGTGCTGAAAAAAATGTATATTCTGTTGATTTGGGGTGGAGAGTTCTGTAGATGTCTATTAGGTCCACTTGGTGCAGAGCTGAGTTCAATTCCTGGGTATCCTTGTTAACTTTCTGTCTTGTTGATCTGTCCAATGTTGACAGTGGGGTGTTAAAGTCTCCCATTATCATTGTGTGGGAGCCTAAGTCTCTTTGTAAGTCACTCAGGACTTGCTTTATGAATCTGGGTGCTCCTGTATTGGGTGCATATATATTTAGGATAGTTAGCTCTTCTTGTTGAATTGATCCCTTTACCATTATGTAATGGCCTTCTTTGTGTCTTTTGATCTTTGTTGGTTGAAAGTCTGTTTTATCAGAGACTAGGATTGCAACCCCTGCCTTTTTTTGTTTTCCATTTGCTTGGTAGATCTTCCTCCATCCTTTTATTTTGAGCCTATGTGTGTCTCTGCACGTGAGATGCGTTTCCTGAATACAGCACATTGATGAGTCTTGACTCTTTATCCAATTTGCCAGTCTGTGTCTTTTAATTGGAGCATTTAGTCCATTTACATTTAAAGTTAATATTGTTGTGTGTGAATTTGATCCTGTCATTATGATGTTAGCTGGTTATTTTGCTCGTTAGTTGATGCAGTTTCTTCCTAGCCTCGATGGTCTTTACAATTTGGCATGATTTTGCAGTGGCTGGTACTGGTTGTTCCTTTCTATCTTTAGTGCTTCCTTCAGGAGCTCTTTTAGGGCAGGCCTAGTGTGGTGACAAAATCTCTCAGCATTTGCTTTTCTGTAAGGATTTTATTTCTCCTTCACTTATGAAGCTTAGTTTGGCTGGATATGAAATTCTGGGTTGAAAATTCTTTTCTTTAAGAATGTTGAATATTGGCCCCCACTCTCTTCTGGCTTGTAGAGTTTCTGCCGAGAGATCCACTGTTAGTCTGATAGGCTTCCCTTTGTGGGTAATCCGACCTTTCTCTCTGGATGCCCTTAACATTTTTTCCTTCATTTCAACTTTGGTGAATCTGACAACTACGTGTCTTGGAGTTGCTCTTCTCGAGGAGTATCTTTGTGGCATTCTCTTTATTTCCTGAATCTGAATGTTGGCCTGCCTTGCTAGATTGGGGAAGTTTTCCTGGATAATGTCCTGCAGAGTGTTTTCCAACTTGGTTCCATTCTCCCCATCACTTTCAGGTACACCAATCAGACGTAGATTTGGTCTTTTCACATAGTCCCATATTTCTTGGAGGCTTTGTTTGTTTCTTTTTATTCTTTTTTCTCTAAACTTCCCTTCTTGCTTCATTTCATTCATTTCATCTTCCATCACTGATACCCTTTCTTCCAGTTGATCACATCTGCTCCTGAGGCTTCTGCATTCTTCACGTAGTTCTCGAGCCTTGGCTTTCAGCTCCATCAGCTCCTTTAAGCACTTCTCTGTATTGGTTATTCTAGTTATACATTCGTCTAAATTTTTTTCAAAGTTTTCAACTGCTTTGCCTTTGGTTTGAATGTCCTCCTGTAGCTCGGAGTAGTTTGATCGTCTGAAGCCTTCTTCTCTCAACTCGTCAAAGTCATTCTCTGTCCAGCTTTGTTCCGTTGCTGGTGAAGAACTGCGTTCCTTTGGAGGAGGAGAGGCACTCTGATTTTTAGAGTTTCCAGTTTTTCTGCTCTGTTTTTTCCCCATCTTTGTGGTTTTATCTACTTTTGGTCTTTGATGATGGTGATGTACAGATGGGTTTTTGGTGTGGATGTCCTTTCTGTTTGTTAGTTTTCCTTCTAACAGACAGAACCCTCAGCTGCTGGTCTGTTGGAGTTTGCTAGAGGTCCACTCCAGACCCTGTTTGCTTGGGTATCAGCAGCTGTGTCTGCAGAACCGCGGATTTTCGTGATCCGCGGATGCTGCTGTCTGATCATTCCTCTGGAAGTTTTGTCTCAGAGGAGTACCCGGCCATGTAAGGTGTCAGTCTGCCCCTACTGGGGGGTGCCTCCCAGCTAGACTGCTCGGGGGTCAGGGGTCAGGGACCCACTTGAAGAGGCAGTCTGCTCATTCTCAGATCTCCAGCTGCATGCTGGGGGAACCACTGCTCTCCTCAAAGCTGTCAGACAGGGACCTTTAAGTCTGCAGAGGTTACTGCTGTCTTTTTATCTGTGCCCTGCCCCCAGAAGTGGAGCCTACAGAGGCAGGCAGGCCTCCTTGAGCTGTGATGGGCTCCACCCAGTTGGAGCTTCCCAGCTGCTTTGTTTACCTAAGTGAGCCTGGGCAATGGCGGGTGCCCCTCCCCCAGCCTCGCTGCCGCTTTGCAGTTTGATCTCAGACTGCTGCGCTAGCAATCAGTGAGACTCCGTGGGCGTAGAACCCTCCAAGCCAGGTGTGGGATACAATCTCCTGGTGCACCGTTTTTTAAGCCCGTCGGAAAAGCGCAGTTTTAGGGTGGGAGTGACCTGATTTTCCAGGTGTCATCTGTCACCCCTTTTTTTGACTAGGAAACGGAACTTCCTGACCCCTTGCGCTTCCCGAGTGAGGCAATGCCTCGCCCTGCTTTGGCTTGCACACGGTGCACTGCATCCACTTTCCTGCGCCCACTGTCTGGCACTCCCTAGTGAGATGAACCCAGTACCTCAGATGGAAATGCAGAAATCACCCATGTTCTGTGCCGCTCACGCTGGGAGCTGTAGACCAGAGCTGTTCCTCTTGGGCCATCTTGGCTCCACCTCCCCTCAATAATTATTGAAACAAATGAAATAAACAGCCTGAATAGAATGGAAGCTAGAAACAAAACGAAGGAGGAAAAGAAGAAAAGAACGAAAGACAGAAAGAAAGACAGACTGGGAGAAAATATGGAGTGAAAAGAGAAATAGAAAAATATTATCTCTTCCAAACACATTTAATACTAAGGGCAAGAAGAATGAAATATGAGGGATTGTAGGAAGAATTTATCAGAAAATTAATGAGGGTAATGAGTAAAAAGTAGGTAACACAATATAAAGATCTTGAGTCAATCAATTGCTGTTTTTAAAAACTATCTAGTTTAAAATGGAGACTGTGGGACTTGCTTTGTAATGCGAATTATTAAATGAGAAGACGTAGTGTGAAGTAGTGAATCAGACACATACTTCTAGGTTTTTTAAGGCACAGAAAGAAGGCACACACACACAAACACACACATAATCTGAAATGTAACTGCTGCTGCTATTTTTCTGAAGTCTTTGAAGGATAAATGTAGAGGTGAAGTGTGCACTGTCTAGGAACTGTGAGTTAAAGAGGACAGTTCTGAACCTTAGAGACTGTCAGTTCATATGAAGTGTTCCTAATGTGCTCTTTTAAAGATGAAGCAGGCAGCTACAAGATAAGATGGAAGTTGTCAACTGCATGACAAAGGTTGCAAAGTAAGTGGATAAAATTGGGGATTAGGGCAGGTGTGAGAGCAGGTGTCTGTGGACTTGAACAAGTGGGTGAAGGAACTGAGTTCTGAGTCTGGAGGGTAGAGGCAGTGAGTAGTAGCCAAATATCCTGCGAAAGAGAGTTGGAGTTTTTGGAAAAGTTGGAGATTGGAGTGGAGATAACTACCTAACCTACACACACGCACACACACACACACACACATATACACACACACATTCAACTTAGCCGTGGTTCCTTCTCTAAGAAGATTCCTTTTAAGTCACTGTTTAAAAGGAAACTTCAGCTTCGTTAAGAAAGACATACTCATGTCCCACATACATACCAATCACATTATCATAGGCAGATATGAAGCTGATGATTTGAAAACAAACTTATCTCACCTGTACAATTTTACATCCCTATGGGGTAGCTATGATTTTTCTGTCTGAAAAACTCCTTCAATTAACATGGTAGCATCTTAACATCTTAATCCCATGTATATATTATATATTTTGATAAAATAAGGTAATACATCTCTTTTCTTCTCTAAATGATTCTCCGTAACAGTAACATTATGTACGACACTGGGCCTCATCCAGGGTCATTAATATGTTCTTGTTAATACATACAGTATTTCCCCTTTATCCACAGTTTTGCTTTCCAAGGTTTCAGTTACCTGTAGTCAGCCCCAGTCCAAAAGTATTATATGGGAAATTCCAGAAATAAACAATTTATAGGTTTTTAATTGTGCAGCATTCTGACTAGCATGATTGCATTTCGCACCATCCATCTCCATCCTGCCGTAGATATGAATCATGCCTTTGTCTAGCATAGCCATGCTGTACACACCACCTGCTGCTAGTCACTTCACAGCCATCTGGAGAATTTGATTGTCACTGTATTGCAGTGCTTGTATTCAAGTAAACCTTACTTTGCTAGTAATGGCCCCAAATCATAAGATTAGCGATGCTGGAAATTTGGATATGTGAAAAAGAGCCATAAAGTGCTTCCTTTAAGTGAAAAGGTAGAAGTTATTGATTTGATAAGAAAAGCAAATAAATTTTATGTTGAGGTTTCTAAGATCTACAGTGCCATAATATATTTTGGGAGGGAGAGAGAGATATCATACATCATTCACATAACATTGGAGTATATTGTTATTATTGTTCTATTTTATTATTGTTCTTGTTAGTCTCTTCTTGTGCCTAATTCATAAATTAAACTTTATCATAGGTATGTTTAGGAAATATTATAATATACATAGGGTTCAGTACTATCTGTGGTTTCAGGAATCCACTGGAGGTTTTGGAATGGATCCCCCGCACATAAGGGGGAGTACCGTAATCCAAATCTCACGAGCTCTAGTTAAATCCTTCTTTGTCTTGTGCTTCCTTTTTTGAATAGGAATAACAACTCAGTTTCCCTGGGATTTGCTAGACCAGGGCAGGTGCAAACACAGCAGAAACTTTCTTCATACAGGGTACTACTAATTCTGCAAGTTCTCCACTTTTCTGACTCGGTCTATGCCGAGGCTTTATATCCTTTTGAGGCAGTAAAACAATTGCAGTTGTGTGAAACCCTGATCTTAGTTATTGGCCAAATCTACAAATGACCATGTTTCCCCATAATGGAGTATGCAATTGCTCTACCATTTTCCATCTTTCTAAAATACTTAGGGATCCACTTGTGTTTTGAACATATGCAATTTGCTTTTTTTTTCCCCCTGGGAAGAAATGTCCCAGAGGCTCTACTTAGATCCAGAGCTAAGAGCAATAAGTAAAGTATTCCCCATTCCCATCAGACACATTGTCTCTCTGTTTCCTTCCCACTAAAACCCCTTATATGCCTCCTAATCTGTTACATCAATAACACTACACAGAAAGGAGGAGAGGCCCAGAGATGTTTTTCTCTACTCAGGAGGGAGCTGGACAATTCAGGGGAATTAGAATAAAAATAAATAAATGTTGGTGCAACTCATATGTAGTGACTGTCAGAGCATTGGCTTCCATGTCAAGAGTGGGCTCCTGTCCTGTAGCTGAGATGGAAGACAGAGACATTGGAAGAGACCTGTACAATTCTGATTCTCCTTCAGTAACAGAAAAGCAGATTTTTTTTTTCATATTCACAGGAACCCAAAGGCTGAGAGCAATCTCATGAATACGGAATTGCTACAGATACATGGCTCCTCCTTCCCAGGCAAGTTCTTAATGCTAATTCTTGATTACTCTGGCCATTTATTAACTTATTTCATCTGCAAGTATTTATTACTTGCTTGCTATGTAACACCACTTTTGCTAAGTTCTGGTTAAAATAATGTATTCTCCTCCCATATTCTGACTACCTTTCTTTAGGTAAGAAATACTTTGAATAAAAAATTACTTGTGATGAATGTAGCAGTGTAAAATGGAAGGTCAAACAGAAGGTTATAAAAATGAATACAATCTCTCTTGAGTTGGGAGTCATTGAGCCATTCTTATTTCAGTGATGTTTGCACAAGGCCACAAACGCTTCTGGCAGTTCAGTGAAATGAACCAAGGGGCGGATCCCTGGGAGAACAGCAAATATAAAGGCTGAGAGAAAGCAGGCCCTTTTGAGTTAAATGTAAACAATATATTGGATCTGGCATGCTGAGGGTAAATATGTTGGATCAGCACAATGTGAGTTAATCTGAGGTCAGATCTTAAATAGCCTGGTAGGCAACATAAGAAATATTCTCTATATTGAAAGTCATTGGGGCTGGGAGTGGTGGCTCATGCCTGTAATCCCAGCAGCACTTTGAGAGGCTGAGGTAAGAGGACTGCTTGAGGCCAGGAGTTCAAGGCTGCAGTGAACTATGATTGTGCAGAGACCCCGTGTCTTAAAAAAAAAAAAAAAAGAAAGAAAATCCATGAGACTGTCATAGAGCACCTTAAGCAGAACTGGATTTCTGATTCAATTTCCTTACTAGTTAATGGTCTGTTCAGATTTTCTATTTCTTCATGATTCATTCTTATTAGGTTATATGTTTCTAGGAATTTATCCATTTCTGTCAAGTTATATAATTTATTGGCCTGTAATTATGCATAGTAATCCTTTTTGTTTCTGGGGCATCAGTTGTAATGCCTCTATTTCTTTTTTGACTTTTTTATTTTTTACTCTGGATTTTTAAATTTCTTAGTTTAGCTAAGGGTTTGTCAATTTTGTTTACGTTTTTGGAAGACCAACTGTTAGTTTTATTTTTTCTAAATTTTAAATTCTCTATTTTATGTTTGTCTGCTTTAATCTTTATTTCCCTCCTAATATCTTTGGCCTTAGCTTGTTCTTTTTCTAGTTCCTTTAGGTTTAGAATTAGATTGTTTATTTGAAATCTCTCTTCTTTTTCTCACTTTTTTTTTTTTAGTCTGTCACCCAGGATGGAGTGCATGGCATAATTGCAGCTCACTGCAGCCTCGAACTCCTGAGCTCAAGTGATCCTCCCACCTCAGCTTCCCGAGTAGATGGGACCACAGGTGTGCGCTACCATGCCTGGCTAATTTTCTTTATTTTTGCAGAGATGAGGTCTCACTATGCTGCTCTGGCTTGAATATTTTCAAAATACCTTTCTTAGACATTTTTTCCAAGTTAGGACACAAATATGTTCTTCCAACTTAATCATTATATCTTCTAAGTTTTTTTTTTTCCATTCTATTACAGACATCCCCCTGCGTTTATCTCCATGTGTTTGGCTTAATGTGGAGTTCGAGCAATTTTTTCCCTTTTGAAATGTCTCACATTCTACATATGAATAATTGATTCCTCTGTATCTTTCTAACACAAATGGAATAGTCAGTATGCCTTTGGTAATTTATAATAGGTACGTCAGGGTTTCAGGAAGTTTGAAAGGTCACAGATTATTAGGATACTATAGGGAAATTACTTGACATCTTAAGAGTAGATAAAATATAAATTTATAAAAGTAGCTTTATCAGGCTACTTTTACTGTGACTGTAAATTCACCTCAGGAATGTTTATATTTCATAAGCTCTACCATTTTGTTAAAGGACATCTCTGTCCTGAGACTCTTGGAAACATTACAAAAGTTGATCAATTGGGTTGTGACAGTCTGTTCAAACTTCTTTAAACTGCATGTTAATAGTTCATTGATTATCCATTTATTCTCTCTCCTGAACAACATTCAAAGGCCCCCAGAATAACTTTGGGTTGTCTGGGCCTGGTATCTAAATATGGATCAACCAACTGGCAAATTCACATATCCAAGGGATCCTAATGAGCCTAGAAAAAAATCCTAAATCCTCATTTAAAAATAGATTAATTTAACAAATGAAAATAAACAAAAACAAATATACCCCACCCCCAATATGTGGGTATATGCACACACATACACACACACACACATGCCTACACACACTTTGGTATGCTGTAATAGATAAGTGAGTTCTTTCTTCTGCACCCTCACAGAAAATAATTAGGGAAATGTGGATAGGCTTTACCATTTGTCTTTCACTATGCATCTATTTCTCTAGGCCATTGTCTCTTAAATAAGTGAAGGAACATGCATACATATGAACATGCATAAATGGTTTTACACCTTCAAGTCTGTTTTTGAGTATTCTAAAATGTTTCTTTAGTTACTTACAGTGTTTTTCTATATCAGCCAAGATAATTACATTTATCTAATTGAATTTACAAATTATTTTGATTGTATTATTGATGTTGAACCATCCTTGATCTCATAGATCATGTTGTGCTTTTATGCACATTATTTTAATACAGAGTTCACATTGATTTACTATTTTATTTTCATGCAGCTAGATTATAAATTGGTTTGTGTGTGTCATTTTATTTTTTATGCCATTCTTGGTTTTTCATAGCAGCAAACAAAAAACAAGATGTGATTTTCAAGAGTTCATATTATAGGACATTTTTCATCATGGCAATTTGCTAAACTTAGACTAAAGACCTTAACAAACACCTCACCAAAGAAGATATACAGATGCAAATAAGCATATGAAAAGATACTCTACATTATATGTCATCAGAGAAACATAAATTAAAACAACAATGAGATACCACTGCACACCTATTAGAATGGACAAAATTCAGAACTCTGACAGCACCTAATGCTGGTGAGGATGTGGAGCAACAGGAATACTCACTCATTGCTGGTGGGAATGCAAAATGGTATAGCCACTTTGAAAGACACTTTGGCCATTTCTTACAAAACTGATCATACTCTTACCATATGTTCCTGCAATCATGCTCTTTGATATTTACCCAAATGAACTGAAAGCTTATATCTACATAAAAATCTGCAAAGAGATGTTTATAGCAGCTTTATTCATAATTGTCAAAACTTGAAGCAACCGAGATGTCCTTCAATAGGTGAATGGAAAAGAAAACTGTGGTATATTCAGGCAATTGAATATTATTCATTGCTAAAAAGAATTGGGCTATCAAGCTATGAAAAGACATGGAAGAACTTAAATTCATATTATTAAGTTAAAGAAGCCTATCTGGAAAGGCTACATATTGTATAATTTCAACTATATGACATCTGGAAGAAGCAAAAGTACAGAGATAGTAAAAAGATCAGTGGTTGTCAGGGCTGAAGAGAGGAGGAATGAATAGGCAGAGCACAGAGAATTTTAGGGCAGTAATAGTATCTTTATGATACTGTAATGGTGTATACATGGCATTATACATTTTTCTAAACCCATGGAATGTACATCAAGAGAGAACCCGAACATAAACTAAATAAAGACTTCAGGTGATAATGTACCAATATAGGTTCATCAGCTGTAACAAATGTACCACTCTAGTGGGAAATATTGATAATGGGGGAGGCTGTGCATGTGTGGGGACAGAGGCATATGGAAAATCTCTGTGCCTTTTACTCAATTTTGCTATGAAACTAAAACTGCTCTAAAAAATAAAGTCTTAAAAAAATTAGCTATACTTTGACAACTGAAGTATTTGTTAAATTTCTTAATCCTGTATTTTCCCAGGAGTAATTTCCTTTAAAATATGTTTTGAATTACTTTTGAAAGCTTTTATCTCTTTTTCAGTCGATTAGGAGATGTCAGTGGATTCTTTATTTTAAAATTTTGAAATCAATAATCCTTGGATTTACATATTTTTAATGTAAAAATGGAATGAAGTATAATATCATAGGAAAATGTTCACAGATTATATACATACAGCTTGATGCATAAACACAAATTGAATACAACTTTTAAACCAGCAATCAAATTGACTTTACAGAAATGGGATCATTCAGTAAGAGTTATTTTGTGTTTATTTTCTTTCATTCAAGATAATGTTTCTGTCATTCGTCTTTGTTGTTGGTGTACAGTTGTAATGTTTACAATTTCCCAACTAAATAGTATTATATTGAATAAATATACCACTATATCATTCTCCTGCTGTTGAGTATTTTCGTTGTTTTCAGTTTTTTAGCTCTTACAAATAGCTGTTGCTGTGAACACTCTTGAAAATGTTTTCTGGTTAACATAAATATGCATTTTATTGAGTGTACACCTAGATAAACATTTGTATATATTTTATTGTTTATATGTTGAAGCTCAGAAAATGATACCCACAAAAGAAGGCCTCAGAAACAGCCTCAGAAAGTTTCTCTCTGACCTTCTTCTTCCCTCCTGTCTGTCATTCCTCATTCTTCCCCAAGGCTAACCATGGAAACTAGAATCCCTCTTCCTCAAGATGGGTCATAGAAACCAGAACACCTTTGCCCTAAAGCCAGCCATAGCACCTAAACATATTATCTAACTTTCCCCCACCTTTCTATATAAGAACTAGCCATAAAGAAATTCTCTGATCTACCTTGGTCGATTGTAGGTCATAAGACCCTCATTCCAGAAAAGGTCCTGCCCCATACCTCGGGGAAGGAGTGCTGCACGGAGAGACCAAGAAGAATCTAAACAACAGGCCTTGCTGGGTTTCCTTACTCAGTCTTTTCCTGTTAGATCATACCCTTTTTGCTGTCCTTTCTTCATTGAACCTAGCACAAAATTCGATAGTTTTCTCTGTACCTTTGGGTCTTCATTCTGAAGGCTCCTGTCTCATGTGGAGCTATGATCAAATACATTTTTTTTTCTCTTGTTAACCTGTCTTTTGTTGTAGGGGTATCAGCTGTAACACTTATGATGGGAAGAAAAGACATTATCCCCTTTTTGCCACTATATATAAACCTAGAGGTCACGCTGCTAGGTCATCACATATACATAAGTCCAGTTTTAGACGGTATCAATAAATACTTAGATGACAGCAAATCTTTTTACTGATTTACACTACCAATAGAAGTATATGTAAGTTCTTTTTCCACATTCTTGCCAACACACGGTGTTTGTGCCTCTATCATTTTAGCCACAGAGTATGTAATGATATTCACATTGTAGTTTTAATCTGCATGTTCTTTGTAATGGTTGAAGTTGAATGCCCTTTCATATGTTTACTGTCGCTTTGCATATCCTATCTTGTGATGTGCTTGCTCATATATTTTGCCAACTTTTCTACTGGGTTGTCTCCATTGTTGGTGGAGCTGTAGAAGTTACTTATATAGTCTGAATGTTAGCTCTTTGTCAGACATATAGTATGGAGCATAATTATCTTCTTCCATTTTTGTCAGTTGCATTTCCACTAACATTGGTATTTTTTCATGAGCAGAAGTTCTTGATTTTAATTTAGTTCCATTTAGTCTTTTTTTCTTTGTTGTTAGCACTTTTTTGCATCTTAAGAAATCTTTGGTGTTTAATTAGATATGTAATCAATCTGAAATTAAGTTTTTCATATTGTATAAAGTAAGAGTCATGATGCATTTTTTTGTTGGATCCATTTTTTTTGTTTAATACTACTCTCATTGTTCTAGTATCACTTACTGAAAACAACTTTATTCTCTGTATTGCAATTGATGCTTTTGTTATAAACCAGGTGATTGCATGTGCCTTGGTGGGCTTCTGTACTCTCATCAGCCCTTTGGTCTACTTATCTGTGCTTGCAACAATTACTGCACCTCAGAATTACTATACCTTTATAATTGCTCATTTTTGATAAGTTCTTCAGCCTTACCTTTTATCTTCAAGAGTGCCATTACTATTTTTGGCCCTTCTCATTTTCATATAAATTTTAGAAGATTCTCATCAACTTCTACCAAAAAACCTTCCTAGTTTTAAAAATGAGACTGTATTCAATCTATAGATCAATTTCTAAGATTGCAATTTTCAAAATATTAAGTTTTCCAATCCATAAACATAGCATATCCTTGAATTTCTATTTTTATAGATGGTTTTAAAATTTCTTTTTTATAATGCTTGCATTTTTCAGGAAACATATCTTAAAATATTTCATTAGATTTATTCCCAGGTATTCATGCACCTATTTATTAATGAAGAAAGGACTCAACTATCCTGTTTAAATCTATAACATGGGTGCAAAAAACTGATTACTAATGTTTTTTCTCGTTTCTTAAAATCAACCTCTCTCTTGCTCTGGGTTTTCCTAAAAGCAAAGTATAAAACCTTGTGCATTTTATGCCACAAGGACTTGGGCATAAAAGATTATTTGGGAGCAAGAGAGAGTGAGGAAATGAGGGAATAGGGATAATGTAGCAAGGCAAAAAAGACAATAATATGTGAGTTATTCAGCTGAATGTTAATGTAGGCAATGTCACTCAGTCCCACTGGAACCCTTTGAAGAAATGTCTAGAATGTATATCGGAACTGCCTCTGAAAATCCCCCCCTGCATATATATATATATCAGAGTATTAAAAACACACCAAGAACTTAGACTTGATCTGACCAAAATTTTGCCACAACTCTACACTTAACACAACAAACATCATAAAGAAAATATAAGAACTAACTCACTCATAAGTGGGAGGTGAACAATGAGAACACATGGACCCAAGGAGGGGAACATCACACACCGGGGCCTGTCGGGGGGGTGGAGTGAAAGGGGAGGGAGAGAATAAGACAAATACCTAATGCATGCGGGGCTTAAAACCTAGATTACGGGTTGATAGGTACAGCAAACTACCATGGGACACATATATCTATGTAACAAACCTGCACATTCAGCACATGTATCCCAGAACTTAAAGTGAAATTAAAAAAAAGTTAAAAAGAACTAAATATATAAAGGGTATACCATAATTAAATGGAGAGATAGAGTCAATATTATTAAAATTAAAACAATCTCAAATAAATCTCAGCACAGACTGATGTGGAAATTGAAAGATAGATACTGAAGTTTATCTGAAAGTACATAGGACCTAGTATTGCCAAGGCAATGCTGAAGACTAAGAACATGGCTGTAGAATTTATACTACCAGATTTCAAGACTTATTACAAAGCTACATTAAATGAAATATTGTATTGGCTGGGCACAGTGGCTCTCCCCTGTAACCCCAGCACTTTGGGAAGCCAAGGCGGGCAGATCACTTGAGACCAGGAGTTCAAGAGCAGCCTGGCCAACATGGTGAAACCCCCTTTCTGCTAAAAATACAAAAATTAGCCTGGCGTGGTTGTGTATGTCTGTAGTCAGCTACTCAGGAGGCTGAGGAACTAACATTGCCTGAACCAGGAGGTGGAGGTTGCAGTGAGCCAAGATCATGCCACTGCACTCCAGCCTTGGTGATGGAGCAAGGGAATCAGTGACTATCTCAAAAAAAAAAAAAAAAAAAAAAAGAGTATTGTCAACACAAATAGAATAGAATAGATAGTTTGGAAACAGATTCAAATATATATAGTCATCTGATTTATACAAAGCATTCAGTACGAGTCAATGGGCAAAGGTGGTCTTTTCAACTCCTACATGTCAATTGCATATCTAGTAAAAAAAATACTATACACAAAATTATTTTGAGCTAAATCATAAAGTTAAAGTGGATTCCTTTTTATCAATTAGAAAAAGAAAGACCAATTAAAAATGAACAAAATACTTGAATACATACTTCCCCTAAAAGGATATCAAAATGGCTATTTTGACCCATTCCAATCATTACTTGTTCCTAGAGTAAATAATATCCTAAATTGCATGTGTTTAAACTTTATGTAAATAGAATCATACAGTATGACTCTATTTGAAATGCTCCCAACACATAGAAATGATAAATACTCAAGATGATTGTATTAGTGCATTCTCACACTGCTATAAAGAAATACCTGAGCCTGGGTAATTTATAAAGAAAAGATGTTTAATTGGCTCACGGTTCCACAGGCTGTACAGGAATCATGACAGTTTCTGGGGAGCCCTCAGGAAACTTTCAATCATGGTGGAAGGCAAAGGGTAAGTGACACATCTTAGATGGTTGGAGCAGGAGAAAGGTGGCGGTGGGGGTGGGGTGGGGGGGCAGCAACGAGGTGCCTCTCACTTTAAAATAAACAGATCTCATAAGAACTCACTTATTATCATGAGAACAGCACCCAGGGGGAAATCCACCCCATGATCACCTCCCACCAGGTCCCATCTCCAATATTGGGGATTACAATTTGACATGAGATTTGAGTGGGGACGCAGATCCAAACCATATCAGGATGGATACCCTAAGTACCTTGACTTGATTATTACATATTCTATACATGTAACAAAATATCACATGTATCCTACAAATATGTGAAATATTATGTATCAATGATCTAAAGAAGAATTAGTATTAAATGAACACATTTTGCTGAACATAGAGTAGGGGTCATGGAAGACAAAGTTGAAAAAAGCAAACATGGGAACCAAGATGGCCAAATAGGAACAGTTCCGGTCTACAGCTCCCAGCGTGAGTGACGCAGAGGACAGATGATTTCTGCATTTCCAACTGAGGTACCAGGTTCATCTCACTGGGGAGTGCCGGACAGTGGGGGAAGGACAGTGGGTGCAGCACACCATGCATGAGCCAAAGCAGGGCGAGGCATCGCCTCACCTGGGAAGTGCAAGGGATCAGGGAATTCCCTTTCCTAGTCAAAGAAAGGGGTGACAGATGGCACCTGGAAAATTGGGTCACTCCCACCCTAACACTGTGCATTTCCAATGGGCTTAACAAATGGCACACCAAGAGATTATATCCTGCACCTGGCTCAGAGGGTCCTACACCCACGGAGCCTCGCTCATTGCTAGCACAGCAGTCTGAGATCAAACTGCAAGGTGGCAGCGAGGCTGAGGGAGGGGGGCCTGCCATTGCTGAGGCTTGAGTAGGTAAACAAAGTGGCCGGGAAGCTTGAACTGGGTGGAGCCCACCACAGCTCAAGGAGGCCTGCCTGCCTCTGTAGGCTCCACCTCTGGAGGCAGGGTGCAGACAAACAAAAGGCAGCAGTAACCTCTGCAGACTTAAATGTCCCTGTCTGACAGCTTTGAAGAGAGTAGTGGTTCTCCCAGCATGCAGCTTGAGATTTGAGAATGGGCAGACTGCCTCCTCAAGTGGGTCCCTGACCCCCGAGTAGCCTAACTGGGAGGCACCCCCCAGTAGGGGCAGACTGACACCTCACATGGCCGGGTACTCCTCTGAGACAAAACTTCCAGAGGAACGATCAGGCAGCAGCATTTGCGGTTCACAAATATCCACTGTTCTGCAGCCACCACTGCTGATACCCAGGCAAACAGGGTCTGTAGTGGACCTCCAGAAAACTCCAACAGACCTGCAGCTGAGGGTCCTGACTGTTAGAAGGAAAACTAACAAACAGAAAGGACATCCACACAAAAGCCCCATCTGTATGTCACCATGATCAAAGACCAAAGGTAGATAAAACCACAAAGATGGGGAAAAAACAGAGCAGAAAAACCTGAAACTCTAAAAATCAGAGTGCCTCTCCTCCTCCAAAGGAACACAGCTCCTTACCAGCAATGGAGAATGACTTTGACAAGTTGAGAGAAGAAGGTTTTAGAAGATCAAACAACTCAGAGCTAAAGGAGGAAGTTCAAACCCATGGCAAAGAAGTTAAAAACCTTGAAAAAAAATTAGACGAATGGCTAACTAGAATAACCAATGCAGAGAAGTCCTTAAAGGACCTGATGGAGCTGAAAACCATGGCACAAGAACTGTGTGATGAATGCACAAGCCTCAGTAGCCGATCCAATCAACTGGAAGAAAGGGTATCAGCGATGGAAGATGAAATGAATGAAATGAAGAGAGAAGAGAAGTTCAGAGAAAAAAGAATAAACAGAAATGAACAAAGCCTCTAAGAAATATAGGACTATGTGAAAAGACCAAATCTACGTCTGATTGGTGTACCTGAAAGTGATGGGGAGAATGGAACCAAGTTGGAAAACACTCTGCAGGATATTATCCAGGAAAACTTCCCCAATCTAGCAAGGCAGGCCAACATTCAGATTCAGGAAATGCAGAGAACGCCACAAAGATACTCCTCGAGAAGAGCAACTCCAAGACACATAATTGTCAGATTCACCAAAGTTGAAATGAAGGAAAAAATGTTAAGGGCAGCCAGAGAGAAGGGTTGGGTTACCCACAAAGGGAAGCCCATCAGACTAACAGCAGATCTCTCGGCAGAAACTCTACAAGCCAGAAGAGACTGGGGGCCAATATTCAACATTCTTAAAGAGAAGAATTTTCAACCCAGAATTTCATATCCAGCCAAACTAAGCTTCATAAGTGAAGGAGAAATAAAATCCTTTACAGACAAGCAAATGCTGAGAGATTTTGTCACCACCAGGCCTGCCCTAAAAGAGCTCCTGAAGGAAGCATTAAACATGCAAAGGAACAACTGGTACCAGCCACTGCAAAATCATGCCAAATTGTAAAGACCATCGAGGCTAGGAAGAAACTGCATCAACTAACGAGCAAAATAACCAGCTAACATCATAATGACAGGATCAAATTCACACATAACAATATTAACCTTAAATGTAAATGGGCTATATGCTTCAATTAAAAGACACAGACTGGCAAATTGGATAAAGAGTCAAGACCCATCAGTGTGCTCTATTCAGGAAACCCATCTCACGTGCAGAGACACACATAGGCTCAAAATAAAGGGATGGAGGAAGATCTACCGAGCAAATGGAAAACAAAAAAAGGCAGGGGTTGCAATCCTAGTCTCTGATAAAACAGACTTTCAACCAACAAAGATCAAAAGACACAAAGAAGGCCATTACATAATGGTAAAGGGAGCAATTCAACAGGAAGCGCTAACTATCCTAAATATATATGCACCCAATACAGGAGCACCCAGATTCATAAAGGAAGTCCTTAGTGACCTACAAAGAGACTTAGACTCCCATACAATAATAATGGGAGACTTTAACACCCCACTGTCAACATTAGACAGATCAACGAGACAGAAAGTTAACAAGGATGTCCAGAAATTGAACTCAGCTCTGCACCAAGCAGACCTAATAGACATCTACAGAATTCTCCACCTCAAATCAACAGAATATACATTCTTTTCAGCACCACACAACTATTTCAAAATTGACCACATAGTTGGAAGTAAAGCACTCCTCAGCAAATGTAAAAGAACAGAAATTATAACAAACTGTCTCTCAGACCACAGTGCAATCAAACTAGAACTCAGGATTAAGAAACTCATTCAAAACAGCTCAACTACATGGAAACCGAACAACCTGCTCCTGAATGACTACTGGGTACATAATGAAATGAAGGCAGAAATAAAGATGTTCTTTGAAACCAATGAGAACAAAGACACAACATACCAGAATCTCTGGGACACATTCAAAGCAGTGTGTAGAGGGAAATTTATAGCACTAAATGCCCACAAGAGAAAGCAGGAAAGATCTAAAATTGACACCCTAACATCACAATTAAAAGAACTAGAAAAGCAAGAGCAAACACATTCAAAAGCTAGCGGAAGGCAAGAAATAACTAAAATCAGAGCAGAACGGAAGGAGATAGAGACACAAAAAAACCTTCAAAAAATCAATGAATCCAGGAGCTGGTTTTTTGAAAAGATCAACAAAACTGATAGACTGCTAGCAAGATTAATAAAGAAGAAAAGAGAGAAGAATCAAATAGATGCAATAAAAAATGATAAAAGGGGATATCATCACCGATCCCACAGAAATACAAACTACCATCAGAGAATACTGTAAACACCTCTATGCAAATAAACTAGAAAATCTAGAAGAAATGGATAAATTCCTTGACACATACACCCTCCCAAGACTAAGCCAGGAAGAAGTTGAATCTCTGAATAGACCAATAACAGGCTCTGAAATTGAGGCAATAATTAATAGCTTACCAACCAAAAAGAGTCCAGGACCAGATGGATTCACAGCCGAATTGTATCAGACGTACAAGGAGCAGCTGGTACCATTCCTTCTGAAACTATTCCAATCAATAGAAAAAGAGGGAATCCTCCCTAACTCATTTTATGAGGCCAGCATCATCCTGATACCAAAGCCTGGCAGAGACACAACCAAAACAGAGAATTTTAGACCAATATCCTTGATGAACATTGATGCAAAAATACTGGCAAACCAAATCCAGCAGCACATCAAAAAGCTTATCCAACATGATCAAGCGGGCTTCATCCCTGGGATGCAAGGCTGGTTCAACATATGAAAATCAATAAACTTAATGCAGCATATAAACAGAGCCAAAGACAAAAACCACATGATTATCTCAAAAGACGCAGAAAAGGCCTTTGACAAAATTCAACAACCTTCATGCTAAAAACTCTCAATAAATTGGGTATTGATGGGATGTATCTCAAAATAATAAGAGCTATCTATGACAAACCTACAGCCAATATCATACTGAATGGACAAAACCTGGAAGCATTCCCTTTGAAAACTGGCACAAGACAGGGATGCCCTCTCTCACCACTCCTATTCAACATAGTGTTGGAGGTTCTGGCCAGGGCAATCAGGCAGGAGAAGGAAATAAAGGGTATTCAATTAGGAAAAGAGGAAGTCAAATTGTCCCTGTTTGCAGATGACATGATTGTATATCTAGAAAACCCCATCGTCTCAGCCCAAAATTTCTTTAAGCTGATAAGTAATTTCAGCAAACTCTCAGCATACAAAATCAATGTGCAAAAATCACAAGCATTCGTATACATCAATAACAGTCAAACAGCCAAATCATGAGTGAACTCCCATTCACAATTGCTTCAAAGAGAATAAAATACCTAGGAATCCATCTTACAAGGGATGTGAAGAACCTCTTCAAGGAGAACTACAAACCACTGCTCAATGAAATAAAGGAGGATACAAACAAATGGAAGAACATTCCATGCTCATGGGTAGGAAGAATCAATATCATGAAAATAGGCATTCTGCCCAAGGTAATTTATTGATTCAATGCCATCCCCATCAAGCTACCAATGACTTTCTTCACAGAATTGGAAAAAACTACTTTAAAGTTCATATGGAACCAAAAAAGAGCCCGCATTGCCAAGTCAATCCTAAGCCAAAAGAACAAACCTGGAGGCATCAAACTACCTGACTTCCAACTATACTACAAGGCTACAGTAACCAAAACAGCATGGTACTGGTACCAAAACAGTGATATAGACCAATGGAACAGAACAGAGCCCTCAGAAATAATGCCACATATCTGCAACTATCTGATCTTTGAGAAACCTGACAAAAACAAGCAATGGGGAAAGGATTCCCTATTTAATAAATGGTGCTGGGAAAACTGGCTAGCCATATGGAGAAAGCTGAAACTGGATCCCTTCCTTACACCTTATACAAAAATTTATTGAAGATGGATTAAAGACTTACATGTTAGACCTAAAACCATAAAAACCCTAGAAGAAAACCTAGGCAATACCATTCAGGACATAGGCATGGGCCAGGACTTCATGTCTAAAACAGCAAAGGCAATGGCAACAAAAGCCAAATTGACAAATGGGATCTAATTAAACTAAAAAGCTTCTGCACAGCAAAAGAAACTACCATCAGAGTGAACAGGCAACTTACAGAATGGGAGAAAATTTTTGCAACCTACTCATCTGACAAAGGGCTAATATCCAGAATCTACAATGAACTCAAACAAATTTACAAGAAAAAATAAAACAACCCCATCAACAAGTGGGTGAAGGATAAGAACAGACACTTCTCAAAAGAAAACATTTATGCAGCCAAAAGACACATGAAAAAATGCTCATCATCACTGGCCATCAGAGAAATGCAAATCAAAACCACAATGAGATACCATCTCACACCAGTTAGAATGGTGACCATTAAAAAGTCAGGAAACAACAGGTGCTGGAGAGGATGTGGAGAAATAGGAACACTTTTGCACTGTTGGTGGGACTGTAAACTAGTTCAACCATTGTGGAAGTCAGTGTGGCGATTCCTCAGGGATCTAGAACTAGAAATACCATTTGACCCAGCCATCCCATTACTGGGTATATACTCAAAGGATTACAAATCATGCTGCTATAAAGACACATGTACACGTATGTTTACTGAGACACTATTCACAATAGCAAAGACTTTGGACCAACCCAAATGTCCAACAATGATAGACTGGATTAAGAAAATGTGGCACATATACATCATGGAATACTATGCAGCCATAAAAAATGATGAGTTCATGTCCTTTGTAGGGACATGGATGAAGCTGGAAACCATGATTCTCAGCAAACTATCGCCAGGACAAAAAACCAAACACCGCATGTTCTCACTCATAGGTGGGAACTGAACAATGAGAACACATGGATAGAGGAAGGGGAACATCACACTCTGGGGACTGTTGTGGGGTGGGGGGAGGGGGGAGGGATAGCATTAGGAGATATACCTAATGCTAAATGACGAGTTAATCGGTGCAGCACACCAACATGGCGCATGTATACATATGTAACAAACCTGCACGTTGTGCACATGTACCCTAAAACTTAAAGCATAATAATAATAAAATAAAAGAAAAGAAAAAGAAAAAAGCAAACATAATTACATTATAATAAATGAAGAAATAAAAAGTCATCCTAGAATAAATGTTACATATGTATGAAAAATTAACACAGATATTATTATCTGTGAAGAAGACAAACAGAATAATAAAGTGGAAAAATATTTAAAGATATAAACTTAAATAAATTTTTATTAATGAAAATAAACAGGCCAAAAATTACATAGTGCCTAAAAACAGTTGAAACAGAGCAGTCAAAACAAAGAAATAGACTTTGCCAGGCCGAGGCGGGTAGATCACGAGGTCAGGAGATTGAAACCATCCTGGCTAAAGTGGTGAAACCCCGTTTCTACTAAAAATACAAAAAAAAAAAAAAAAAAAAAAAATTAGCCGGGTGTGGTTGCGGGTGCCTGTAGTCCCAGCTACTTGGGAGGCTGAGGCAGGAGAATGGCGTGAACCCAGGAGGCGGAGCTTGCAGGGAGCCGAGATTGCGCCACTGCACTACAGCCTGGGCCCCTGGGCAAGACTCCGTCTCAAAACAAACAAACAAACAAACAAAAAACAAAAACAAATAAATATCCAACTAGGTATTGCTGGATTTTAAAATACAGTGAACAGAGACTTTTACCAGTCAGACAAAAAGATAAAGTCCACAAGGCATAAATCAGGCTTGCTTCATAATTCTTCATCCCATCACTTAATGTTACAAGACATTAGGGGAATGCCTATAAATTTTAAAAGCCAAAAATCTGTGACAATATTTTTAGATTCAGATAAAATGTAATTTTAATATCAAAGCAGGAATTAAAGAGATAACTCCTAGTAAGTCTTCATGAACACAACCAGAGAAAAGAGTTCGCTCAAGCAAGTAAAGAGTAGAGAAACTATGGCAGTAAGCAGTGAATCAGTTTAAATGCAGGCTTATGACTAAAATAAACACGATGTGTTTGATAACATGGTATGTTATCAAATACCATATAAAACAATATAAATTCTTATTTTGTAGAAATAATCTAAACAGGCCAGGTGCAGTGGCTCACTCCTGCAATCCCAGCACTTTGGGAGGCCAAGGAGGGTGGATATCCTGGGGTCAGGAGTTCAAGATCAGCCTGGTCAACATGGTGAAACCCTGTCTCTAATAAAAATATAAAAATTAGCCAGGTGTGGCAGTGCACTCCTGTAATACCAGCTACTCAAGAGGCAGGACAAACACTTGAACATGGGAGGCGGAGGTTGCAGTGAGCCAAAATCGCACCACTGCACTCCAGCATGGGTGATGGAGGGAGACTCTGTCTCAAAAAAAAAAAAAAAAAAAAGAAAGAAAGAATCAAAACAATGAAAGTTTGGAGGTGAAGAGAAATAATGTAAGAATGCTTATTTCTACAAATTTCACATCCAGTGATAAGAATATATTATTTTATATTGGTCACATCACTTAATAGAGATAAGTCATAAGCTAAGTGATATGTCCAATTAAACTAGATGCTAGAAAAGAATAAAACCCATGGAGGAAGGGGAAATACACTAATTTTCATAGTAGACAAACACAGATAGAACCAAATAAAAATAATCATTAGCATTAAAATGAAAACAAACATTTATTGATCTTTTTAGTGTACGTCTGATACTATTTCAAGTGACTGTAGTTGTTACTAACTCAAATTCTGACATTATACTTAGAAATTGTATACCTTATCTCCGTTTTGATGAGAAACAAATTGGGGCTCATAAAGGGTGAGTAATATGCTCATAACTTCACAGTGTTAAATGACAGAACTGATATTTAATACTATAATAAAATAATTGGATAAATTGTTGCTTCTAATAATATTCTTTATTGCAATAAACATAAAGGTTTTATACATAAAGCAATGAAACAGTCAATACTGTGTATTTGTGGAATTTAGAGCATGGAGTAACAGGGAGCATAGTCTCTTTTACAGATCATAGTTTTAAAATTCCAGTGTATACTTTTAAAGATTGGCACTTAAAAATATCAATAATGTGGGAGGCCGAGGTGGGCAGATCACGAGGTCAGGAGATGAAGACCATCCTGGCTAACACAGTGAAACCCTGTCTCTACTAAAAATACAAAAAATTAGCTGGGCGTGGTGGCGGGCACCTGTGGTCCCAGCTATTCGGGAAGCTGAGGCAGGAGAATGGCGTGAACCCAGGAGGCGGAGCTTGCAGGGAGCCGAGATTGCACCACTGCACTCCAGCCTGGGTGACAGAGCAAGACTCTGTCTCAAAATAAATAAATAAATAAATAATGCAGCATCAATAAGCAACTTTTTGATTGCATACCTGAAAATGTTTTGACCAGAATCAGAGGGGAGAGCAAATTAAAGTATGTGATAGATATACTATACTTTTATTATATTTATGTTTTTAAGTAAATACTAATAGTTTTTCCTTATTCTCTGATGACTGCTCCCTATTTCAAATTCTCCATTCACTTCTATTCCCAAAGTAGGATTAGTCTAATTTACTCTTTTGCATTTAGCTACACTAAGAACAATCCTAAAGGAACTCAGTTTCATTTCTGAAACATTTATTCATCATTACCTATTCCTTGCTAAGTCCTGTGCTTGCCATATACAACATAAATGTTGAATACATAAAATCCCTCACCTTGAGAGGTTAAAAATCTGAAACAAAATATATAATAAATTATGACTGTGAAAAACACCCATTTGAGAAAAAGGGATGTTACTATGAGAAAATAAAGGAAAAATATTGCCTAAATTTTGAGAAAAAAGCTCAAATATAAATATGAGTCAGAAGGTTCTATTATTTCTAATGGATACTTCAAAAATTTGACTGCAAACAAAATGTTAGGGAAGCAATGATATACTGGAGATCCCAAGATGCCAGAGTCCAGGCACTCTGTTTCCCAGTTGTTCACAGTCAAGCCATGTAAATAAAGAGAATTCCTAAATATTCTGTCAGTTTATCAATGCGAATAATGATTAAAGTTTTACACCAGTGGTGTAAAACAAAAGCAACACTTCCAACATTAAACAAGGCGTAGAGAATCCATAATGTTTATATTGAGGTGGAAACCAAAGAAATGAATAAATTCCTGGACACATAAAACCTACCAAGATTGAATTATAAAGAAATAGAAAATTTTGGCCAGGCACAGTGGTTCATGCCTGTAATCCTAGCACTTTGGGAGGCTGAGGTGGGTGGATCCCTTGAGGTCAAGAGTTCTAGGCCAGCCTGGGCTACATGGTGAAACCTGTCTCTACTAAAAATACAAAAATTAGCTGGGCATGATGGCGGGCACCTGTGGTCCCAGCTACTCGGGAGGCTGAGGCAAGAGAATTGCTTAAACCTGGGAGGTGGAGGTTGCAGTGAGCCAAGATTGTGTCACTGCACTCCAGCCTGAGCAACAGAGCAAGGCTCTGTCAAAAAAAAAAAAAAAAAAAAAAAAAAAAAAAAAAAAAGAAAAGAAAAACAAACAAACAAAAAACTCTCAATAAAGCAATAATAGTGAGATCAAAGCCATAACAAAAAGTCTCCTCTCAAAGAAAAGCCCAGGACCTGATGAATTCACTGCTCAATTCTATCAAATATTTAAAGAACTAACACTAATCTTAAACTCATCAAAAAAACTGAAGGAGAAAGACTACTTCCAAAGTCATTCTACAAGGCCAGCAATAACTTGATACCAAATCCAGAAAAGAACACAATGAAAAAGCAAACTATAAGCCAATATCACTGATAAGCATAAATGCAAAAATCTTCAACAAAATACTAGCAAACCAAAACAACACATTAAAAAGATCAAGTGATCACCGTGATCAAGTGAAATGCATTCCAGGGATGGAAGGATGATTCAACATTTGCAAATCAGTGAATGTGATATATCACAACAGAATCAAGAACAAAAATTATATAATTATTACAATAAGTGCCCAAGAAGCATTTGATAAAATTCAACATCCATTTATGCTAAAAACTCTCATTAAAATGGGTATAGGAGAAACATACCTGAAAATAAAAAAGCTCACATATGATAAACCCACTGCTAACATTGTACTGAATGGGGAAATATTAAAGGCCTTTCATATAAAGGCTGTAACAGGACAAGGATCCCCACTGTTGCTGCTATTATGCAAGGTAATACTGGAAGTCCTGGCCAGAACAATTAGGCAAGGAAAAGAAATAAAGGGAATCCAAACTGAAAAGGAAGAAGCCAAATTAGCCTTGTTCATAGACAACATGATCTTATACCTAAAAAAACCTAGACTCTACCAAAAAACTCTTAGACCTGATGATCTAACCCAGTAAAGCTGTAGAATACAAAATCAACATACAAAAATCAGTAGTATTTATATACATGAATAGCCAACAATATGAAAAAGAAATCAAGAAAGCAATCCCATTTACAATAGCTGCAACAATATAAAATATCAAGAATCAGTCTAACCAAAGATGTAAAAGAAAAGGTATAAAATGCTGATGAAAGAATGAGAAACACACATAAATGTAAAGATACTCCATATTCATGGACTGGGAGAATCAATATTGGAAAAATGACAATACTCCCAAAGCAATTTACAGATTCAGTGCAATCTATATCAAAATACCAATGACGTTCTTTACAGTAATAGAAAAAAAAACTTCTAGAATTTATATGGAACCAGAAAAGGCCCTGAATAGCCAAAGCAATTCTGAGCAAAAAGAACAAAGCTAGCAGTATCACACTACCAGACTTCAACATTTACTCCAAAGCCATAGTAACTGAAACAGCACAATGCTGAGATAAAATAGACACAGAGATATAAATTGTGTAGCTTTATATCTACACAATTACAACTAACTCTTCTTTCACAAAGATACCAAGGACATGCAATGGAAAAAGAACAATATTTTCAATAAATAGTACTGGGAAAACGGATAATTATATGTAGAAGAATTAAATCAGACCCCCCTCGCTCACTGTACACAAAAATCAAATCAAGCTGGATTAAAGACTTAAAATTAATACCTGAAACTATAAAATTACTAGAGGAAAACACTGGAGAAATGTTCCAGGACATAGGCATGGGCAAAGAATTTTTTTGTCTAAGATCTCAAAAGTATGAGAAGCCAAAGTAAAAAATAGACAATTGGGATTATATCAAGCTAAAAATCTTCTGTTCAGCAAAGGAAATAACCAACAAATTTAAGAGACAACCCACAAAATGGAAGAAAATATTAGCAAACTATTCATCTGACAAGACATTAATAAATGGAATATATAAGGAACTCAACAGCAAAAAATAAATAATTTGACCAGAAATTGGCAAAAGATCTAAACAGATATTTCTCAGAAGAAGACATACAAATGGCCAACAATCATATGAGAAAAATACTCAACATCGGTAATCATCAGAGAAATGCAAATCAAACCACATCATGATATCATCTCACCTGTTTAAATGGCTTGTATAAAAAAGACAGGTGATAATAGATGCTGGTGAAGACGTGGAGAAAGGGGAATCCTAGTACACTTTTGGTGGAAACGTAAATTAGTGCAGAAACTACGGAGAACATTATGGAGGTTCCTCAAAAAAGCTAAAAGTAGAACTGCCATATGATCCAGGAATTCCACTATTGAGTATGTATCCAAAAGAATGGAAGTCAACGTATTAAAGAGATATCTGCACTCCCATGTTTGTTGCAGCACTGTTCACAATAGCCAAAATATGGAATCAACCTAAGTTCCTATGAATGGATAAAGAAAGTGTGGTATATATATGCAATGGAATATTATTTATCCATAAAAGAGAATAAAATCCTGTCATTTGCAGCAACATGGATGGAACTGGAGGCCATTATATTAAGTGAAATAAGCCATGCACAGAGAGGCAAATATCACGTGTTCTCACTCATATGTGGGAGCTAAAAAAGTGGATCTCATAATGATGCAGTGTAGATTGGTAGTTACCAGAAGCCAGGAAAGAGAGGGGGTAGTCGGGGCGGATGAAGAAAGAAGAGGATATAAATGTATTTATATCCACTGAACTGTGCACTTAAAATGGTAAATATGGCAAATAAAAGATTTATGTGGTAGGTGACCCCTTTTGTTGTTATTGCACATGACTATTGTTGATGACATTGTTATTATTGTTATTCTTGCCAAAAACCATGTGACCCACAGATTTCTAGCACAGAGATGCCTCTGGATAAATAGTTGTTTACAGAAATAAAATAAATCATGAATTAGAGTAAAAAGGCAGAAACATAATAAATGGAAGGAAGAAGAAAGGAATAGAGGTGAAAGAGAGAAGCAAAAGATGGAATTATTCTAAGAGATCATATGGAGAAAAACGGAGAACAAAATTCCCTGCAAATTTTAATTCTAAGAACAAGAAGAGAAAAGCCTGCACATTTCAGTGAAATATTTATCAGAGAAATGTTAGAATAAAGATGAAAAGTTTGGAGTTGGAATAACTGAAGAACTTGATAAACCCATTTCTACTTTTTGTCTCTTTCCTTATTTTTAAACAAGGCTAGAACTGGTATAATCTTCAACTTGCTTTCACCTCCAATACTCTAAGAAGATAAAATAAAATATAAATAATCATACTTTAGCTCATTCTTAGTCCATGGAGGTCTTTGGTATATATACTGCAAGTGCACACCCACAGAGGAACAAAGATGTCAGAAGGCAAGGAGGAGCAAGTCACATCTTACATGGATGGTGGCAGGCAAAAAGAGAGAGAGCTTGTGTGGGGGAACTCCTCTTTATAAAACCATCAGATCTCATGAGACTTATTCATTATCACAAGAACAGCATGAGAAAGACCTGCCCCTGTGTTTCAATTACCTCCCACTAGGTACTTCCTAGAAATTCAAGATGAGATTTGTGTGGGGACATGGCCAAACCATATCATACGGGAAGGCTGAGAGACAAAAAACAAACAAAACAAAGCAAAAACCAACAAAAATGGAGAAAGTCAACTAAGAAAAGAAAGGTGTATATGTGGTCTTAAATGAACTCAAGGTCGAGAGTTTCTGAAGTTATAATCAGGAGTCAGTAGGGAGTGAGTGAACAGCAAGATATCCTGCAGTAGGAAGTTCCTACAAAATGTGTAAAGGAGGGTGAGAATACTAAGCCCACCTGTGAGCTAGTCACACAAAAAATAGGAAAATCTAGTCACAGTCTTTGAAAAACAACCTGGGCTCCCCTAAAAACACAACTGACAGGCTTTCATGTGTAGGCCACTCATTACCATTTTTACACTACATCCCAAGTGCTTAACATAAGATTAGGAATTAATTTCTTTTTTTTTTTTTTTTTTTTTTTTTGAGACGGAGTCTCGCTCTGTCGCCCAGGCTGGAGTGCAGTGGCGCAATCTCTGCTCACTGCAAGCTCCGCCTCTCAGGTTCACGCCATTCTCCTGCCTCAGCCTCCCGAGTAGCTGGGACTACAGGCAGCCGCCACCATGCTCGGCTAATTTTTTTTGTATTTTTAGTAGAGACGGGGTTTCACCGTGTTAGCCAGGACGGTCTCGATCTCCTGACCTCGTGATCCACCCGCTTCGGCCTCCCAAAGTGCTGGGATTACAGGCATGAGCCACTGCGCCCAGCCAGGAATTAATTTCTTACTGCCCTTTAGCATTTGCAGCATTTCTTGGGTGTAAGTCTAATTTGTTTCCTATAATTAAAAAAGTTTTAAAATAATTGTATGACCCTCTTACTCCCAAATAGGTAGTAAAATTACTGGCTGCTCTTTTTAGATGATTATCTGTGTGTAATAGATTTCTCATTTACACAATTGGACCAGCCATGATAACTAGAATCCTGCCAACATCTTTACAGTGTCTCTCCTGCAGTGGCTGATTTCCTGTGTTCTCTCTTGAATTCTCTTCTTAACCTGGGAGGTAGAGCTCATGTTTCTCTGGACACATGCAATTTCATAATTGCTTCCTCTCATACTAGGCTCTCTACTAATCACCTACTCTAAATCTAGCTCTCTGCCAGACCTATTTATTTCTTTAAGACACTAAAACTCTGCCGAATTAACAGAATTATAACAGAATTCATCAGTATTCCTGATGAACATAGATGTAAATATTCTTCAAAAAATACTAGTGAACCAAATTCAACAGCATATTCAACAAAAGACCATTCACCATGGTCAAGTGGGATTTGTCCCAGGGATGCAGGGATGGTTTAATATATGCAAATCAATAAACATGATACATCACTGTAACTATATTTTGTCTTTTAGCAGAATAAAAGACAAAATCAATATAATTATTTAAACAGGTGTGAAAAAAGAATTTGATAAAATTCAATATCTTTTTATTACAAAAACTTTCAACAAATTAGTTTGGAAAGAATGTACCTCAACAAACTAAAGGTTATATGTGACAAACCAACAGTTAACATTATACTCAATGGGGGTAAAGCTGAAAGCCTTTACTCTAAAACCTGGAACAGGAAAGCGATGTCCACTTTTACCACTTCAATTAAACACAATCATATAAGTCCTAGCCAGAGGAATTAGGCAAAAGAAAGAAATAAAAGGCATCAAAACTGGAAAGGTGGAAGTTAAATTTTCCCTGTTTGCAGATGACATGATCTTATATAGAGAAAGAAATCTAAAGAATCCACCAAAAAACTGTTAGAACTAACAAATGAATTCAGTAAAGTTGCAGGATACAAAATCAACATACAAAAACTAGTAGCATTTTTTTTGAACTTTTAAAAATGATGTTTATTTATATTAGTTTTTAATCAAAGAAAAACATATACATAGTTAAAAAGAAATCAAATAATGCTGCTGGATTGGTAGTGAAAACCAGCAAACCTTTGCCTTTTCTCTACCCACCCCGATTTCATTTTTCCAGAGACAATCACTTTTAACCCTTAGCAGTTTCTTATTGTAGTTTTTGTTTTGTTTTGTTTTGTTTTGTTCTGAAAAGACATGTGTATACTGCTTTTTCTGGACTTTTCTACAACAGACCTTGATTGGCTTGCCGCCATTACACAATCTCTCTTCTCTCCCATCCTCCCAATGTTATAGAATTATTTCTTATAAAATCAATATTCAGTAATTACATAATTATGACTAACTTTATATGGCTAGTATTGTTCACAGTTCAGATATACAGTGTAGTTTTTGAATTTTTATTTTTCCTGGGGTTCATAATTACCTCAGTTTTGTTTTCTTAACAAAAGAAAAATTTGCAGATCACTAATTTATCCCCATGCTCTCTGGAAAATGAAAGCTCTCTAGTCTATATTCAAATACACCAGGTACTCTATCAATTTTTATTTTTTCAAATATTCTACCTGAGTTCTCCATCTTTAGGCATTTCCTGTTGACTTCTTACTGTTCTCCCCTACCATTCTCCCTCTTTAATACAGTTATATTACTATTTTAGAAACTTTATGGTTACCTTGTAAGTAATAAATGTCTTTTCTCCCTCAACAACAGACCATATCTTTCAACTTCCCCCCGCCAACTTTTTTTTTTTTTTTTTTTTTTTTTTGAGACGGAGTTTCACTCTTGTTGCCCAGGCTGGAGTGCAATGGCGTGATCTCGGCCCACTGCAAACTCCATCTCCCAGGTTCAAGCTATTCTCCTGCCTCAGCCTCCCGAGTAGCTGGGATTTCAGGCGCCCGCCATCACACCCGGCTGATTTTTGTATTTTTGGTAGAGACGGAGTTTCACCAAGTTGGCCAGGCTGGTCTTGAACTCCTGACCTCAGGTGATCCCCCCGCCTCGGCCTACCAAAGTGCTGGGATTACAGGTGTGAGCCACTGTGCCTGGCTCAACTGTCCACTTTATAAGGACACTATCACCATTCCATTTACCTTTCTCTCTCTCCTTCAACGTTCCCACTTGTATTTCCGCTGATATTTTTAAAATATGGCAGATAACATTTGCATTCCACTTGGTAACCTTAATTAAGTAGGCCCCTAATCAATAAAAATCATAAACAGGATTTTTATTTTACGGTTATTTAAACGCTATTCACTGAACAGCCAAGCTTTGTGCTAGGAAGGGATTTCTTTTTCTTTGGCTCCAAGCTCTTGATTGACATCCTGCCACAGGAGCATTGAAATACAGCCCATTTTCTTACACTCTCACCATTCATTCAAAATCTTGCAGCATTTTATATTTGGTACTTGGAGGAGGATGCTTTTCCTGTACAGTTTTATTTTTTTTCACCTAGTTTCTAATTATTATTGTTTTCTCTTGTGGGATGAAGAAGTATATGCCTTCTATATCATATCCTTAATACCTTCAGCTTCTTCCTCCTTGAAGCCTTGCTTACGATCCAATCCAATATTCCTGAAGTTTACTGATATTTTTTTCCTGAAAATTTTAGCCTTTAGAAAAAAAAAAGCGTTCTTTGCCCTTTTTCACATCCTGAAATTTGTCAGGTGTTTATTTTAAGGTTGCATAGTTTCTTAGATCTTTTCAAGGTTCTTAACTGAAGTTCTCTGTTCCCGGAGTCGCATATTTCCTCTTTCTAGGAATTGCAGGCTCTCCGTGCTCCCAGAGGAGTTCCACTGGCAGTGAAGAGCCCAGCCACGAAGGGCGCCTGAGCACTCTCAAGACTGTGGGACTCGAGGTAGGCAGCTCTGCTGCGCCGCGGGAGCCCCTGGGAGTCTGCCATCATGCTGTCCCGGGAGGCCGAGGCCGGCAGCTCAGTGGCGGCTCTAAAAGTGTACCTGCAAGCAGATGTTGAGGATCACAGAGCCTGCAACGACATACAAGTATTGGAAGTTCATGAGTGCCAGGCCAGCTCAAAGAAGGCAAGGAGGGTGTGGGAGAGTCCCTTGCAGAAGACCCCGTTCGAGGTGGGGGCCGCAGAGGGGCTTGAGGCCCTGATGGCCAAGGAAGACGGAGCCAGGGGCAGGGCCATGGGCCTCGTGTGGCCCCCCGCTCAGGTCCTGGAGCCAAGGTCCGCAGACCTCCCCAGCGATGGCCAGGACTGGTGGCGAAGGAAGGCAAAGCAGCCGCTGCAGCTCCGTCCAGTGCAGCAGGAGCAGGTCCTCCAAACTAGTAATATTTCTATAGGTTAATAGTGAACTACCTAAAAAAAGAAATCAAGAAAGCAATCCCATTTATAATAGTGCCAAAAAACCTAGGTATAAATAATATAATCAAGGAGGTAAAAGATCTCTACAAAGAAAACTGTGAAACACTGATGAAGGAAATTGAAGAAGGCGCAAATAAATGGAAAGATATCCCATGTTCATGGGTTGGAAAAAATCATGTTAAATGTCTGTATTACCCATAGTGATTTACAGATTCAATGAAATCCCTGTCAAAATAGCAATGACATTCTTCATAGAAATAGAAAACAATGTTTAAATTTGTATGGAAGCACAAAATACCCTAAAGAGCCAAAGCAATCTTGAGCCAAAAGAACAAAGCTGGAAACATCACAGTACTGAATTTCAAAATATCCTATAAGCTATAGTAGCCAAACAGCACAGTACTAGCATAAAACAGACACATAGACCAATGGAACAGAATAGAGAATTCAGAAATAAATTTACATATTTACAGCAAACTGATTTTGACAAGAGTGCCAAGAACATACATTGGGGAAAAGACTGTCTTTTCAATAAATGGTATTGGGAAAATTGGATATCCATATGCAGAAGAACAAAATTAGACCTTTATCTCTCACGAGATACAAAAGTCAACTCAAAATGGATTAAATATTTAAATATAAGATTGAAAACTATGAAACTACTAGAAAAAAATATAGGGGAATACTTCATGATATTGGTAGGAGCAAGGAGCTTTTGGAAAAGGCCTCAAAAGCATGGGCAACAAAAGCAAAAATGAACACATGGGATTTCATCAAACTAAAAAGCTTCTGTAAAGCAAAGGAAACAATCAACAGAATGAAGAGTCAATCTACAGAATGGGAGAAAGTATTTACAAACTATACATCTGAAAAGGGTTTAATATCCAAAATATATAAGGAACTCAAATAACTCAATAGGAAGAAAACAAAGAACCCGATTTAAAAATGGGTGAAAGACCTGAATGGACATTTTTCAAACGAACTTTTGCAAATAGTCCACAGGTATATTAAAAAATGCTCAACATCACTAAACACTAGGGAAATGCAAACCAAAATCACAGTGAGATATCACCTCACTCCAGTTAGAATGGTTATCAAAAAGACAAAAAAAAAAAAAAAAAACAAGTGTTAGCAAGGAGTGGAGAAAAGGGAAACCTTACATACTACTGTTGGGAGTGTAAATTAGTACCATCATTATGGAAAACAGTAGAAGAGTCTTCAAAAAATTAAAAATAGAAATACCATATGATCTAGTAATCCCACTACTGGGTATACAGTCAAAGGAAAAGAAATAATATCTCCTGCACTCACCTATTTATTGCAGTACTATTCACAATAGCTAAGATATGAAATCAACCTGTGTCCACCAATGGGTGAATGAAGAAAATGTGATATATATGATATATATCATACATAAATATATACACACATATATTCACACATAGAATGGAATACTATTCATCCATAAAAAACATAAAATCTTGTCATTTGCAACAACATGGATGAATCTGGAGGACATTATTAGGTGAATTAAGCCAGACACAGAAACAAAAATATTGCATAATCTCACACATATGTGAATCTAAAACTGTTGATCTCATGGAAGTATAGAGTATAAGGGTGGTTATCAGAGGCTGAAGTGGTTGGGAAGAGGGGGCATGATGAGATAGTCATCAAATAATACACAATTACAGTTAGGACGAATACATTTCAAGAGATCAATTGTAGAGCAAGGTGACAATAGTTAATGATGATACGTGGTATTCTTGAAAAATGTAGAGAGTAGATGTTATTTGCTGTCACCACAAAAATGATAGCTATGTAAGATAATGCATCTATTAATTAGCTAGATTTAACCATTGCACAATGTATATGTACATCAAAACATCATGTTGTCCATGACATACTACATGTTGTTTATCAACTTAAATACAAATAAATAAAAAAAATCAGTTCTACAAAGAAAAAAAGTTTGATAGAATTCATTAGTAGAAAAAAAAACTAGTTGCCCCAAACCACAAATAATTTGCCCTCTCCTCTAATATAATTTTTTGGATATATTCAAGTTTCACATCTGCCCCATAAACCCTTCTTTTTGGAGAGCAAAGCCCTGGAGGCTCAGCATATGTTTTAAATTGGTGCTTAATATTCAGAGCCACAGTCAAAATGAAAGAAGCTGGCTCTGCTCAGATCACTTGTCCATCTGTCTTTCTGTTCTCTTTGCATTAACATTTCCACAATCTTTCCTAAACCTGCCATATCATTAACATGAAACATTCAAGTGGAAAGAAGCCAACCAGTATCTTCCTACAATCAAAGGGAGGCTGGGAAACTTAGGTGAATCAAATAGAGATAAATCTTCAATGCTACTCTCTTTCAGTGACAATGTGAAGGGCTCTGGCTGAAGTGACAGCAGTCGGTTGCTGTCCTGTGGCTAAAAGGAAAGATAAAGGTGTTGAGATGAGACACCTGCTATCTTAAATCTGTTGAGAACTGAAATGCCGAGCTTTATCTATTAGGTTAGGGCAAAAGTTGGCATTAGCTTTAATGGCAAAACCGCAATAACTTTTGCACTAACCTAATATATCCCTATGATCCCCAAACTGGAAGCATCCTAGTAAAAAGAGAGGTCCAAAAAAGTTCCAATACTAAGTCCTGGTTATTCTATTTATTTATGGTCTTTCTTTGAGTATTTAGTACATTCTTTCTATGTGACAGGACTGCGTTGGTGAATAAGATGATAGGTTCTTTCTCTTCCAAATGCTGAGGAGTATTCATTCGGAATCATAGACATTGAATAAATAACTACATATATGAATGTAACAAAATAAAATGAAGGGCCATAAGAAGGATTAAAAATGAGCATAAACTCTTTCCTAGCACCTCCACTGTGGAGAAATGGATTCAAACAGAAGAAATTATGGGAGTGAGTAGCCTGGCTTGATTTCTTATCTTACCTCACCTATCTGCATAATATGATAAACAAGTTCAATTCTCTTTTCTCCTGTGCAAAGAAGTGAAATTTTTCTCCTTTATGAGACAAAGAATAAAAGCAAGAATGAAGTGAAACTGGTTATCACTATTATTTTGACACTGGAAAACATGATAACTAATTAATGGTTTATACTTTCTCAGTGGCAAATGAAGCATGACTTCTTCCATACTCCCAAACCAGATAGCAGTCCCCAATATCCATGGATCAATCTCCTGAACACCAGAAATGATTTTTGTCATTCTTCTCTTAATGTATCCTTTTCTTCTCATTTATAACCAAGACCCTCAAAGAAGCGAATGGTTATGACGTCTTCTGGCATTTCCCAATGAAGACGTCTTCAGCTAAGAATTAGGGAGGAAATCATTAAGTTCATTGAAGGCAATACACAATTTATTTTTTAGTACAAATGCAGCTCTTCCTCTGGGCTTGGGAATGATATGTGGTACTCCAGTTTGTTGGTTTATTTGTGTCAAAACATGATACAGACATTTTCAGCTTTATCTACTGATACTTTCCTTAATCTGATACCCAAGCTAAAAATAACAACTTTGTTCTTTATAGCCAAATAACCAAGGAATCATTAATCTTGCAGTGCTACAAAATGTCCTTCCAGATTTCTAAATAAAATGCATCATTTAAGTAACCTATATTTGTCTGTATTTTAATACTCTACCATTGAACAGTATTGAAATAGAATGAATGTGTGGTCATTTATAAGTATTCTTATCATATATCCCTGTCAGTCTCTTTAAACTCCCCAGTGTCTCCATGACAATTCATAGGCCTCAGGAATATACTGACACTATGTAAAGAATATTACTACAATGATACCTCCTGTGAAAGTGTGATTACAAAGCATAAGTTCAGAAACTTACTAATTGTAGTTGTGTCTTCAGAAGAAATGATGGTCATGACCTCTGGAAAATAAATAAGATAAATTAAGAAATTACTGATACTCCTACTAAATAGTTGGCCAGCTAATTTCCTACCAACTCAGTTAGATTCAAATGATATAAACTAATGATAGATAAAAGGAACAGGAGTAATATAAGAGTATTCCTAAAAAGCATAATTAATAATAATAATTTCTAACTGTTTTTAAGATAAAACTTTAATTCTACTTAAAAATAATTTTTTACTGATGTGGCAGTCTTCTTTCCCTGGATATATAGTGGTTAAGAAAGAATAAAATTTCTCAATATCAAAACTTGTGTTTTCACCTCTATCATCAGTATTGAATGAAGTATCTTTAGATCCAGGGTGAAGCTGCTCTTAACTAGCTTCTAAAGAGTTCCTCAATCTTTTTTTTTTTTTTTTTTTTTTTTGAGACGGAGTCTCGCTCTGTCGCCCAGGCCGGACTGCGGACTGCAGTGGCGCAATCTCGGCTCACTGCAAGCTCCGCTTCCCGGGTTCACGCCATTCTCCTGCCTCAGCCTCCCCAGTAGCTGGGACTACAGGCGCCCGCCACCGCGCCCGGCTAATTTTTTGTATTTTTAGTAGAGACGGGGTTTCACCTTGTTAGCCAGGATGGTCTCGATCTCCTGACCTCATGATCCACCCGCCTCGGCCTCCCAAAGTGCTGGGATTACAGGCGTGAGCCACCGCGCCCGGCCGAGTTCCTCAATCTTTATTCCCATAGACTTACCACTGGAAACTATGAGGCTGGACACACCCGCCATCACAAGAAGAACCAGGAAAGTAAATGAAACAAATCTGTGAAATACAGAAGGCTCAAGTAGGTAATACGCTAAGTGCTTGGATATTAGTTGATGGTCCTTTTATATCAGGCATGATCTAATAGGACCTGCTTTTCATATTAAGGTTTAGTGATTTGAAACAAGGACAATAAGACTAAAACAAACAACATAGCCTGAGGCCCAATGACAAGGACATTGACTTCAAAGCACCTTAGGCATTTAAATGGAATGTGAGGCCAAGATGTCTAAACCAAAGAATTATCTAAAGAAGACTCTCATTTCTTAGGTAACCTTCAGATATTTTTCTGAGATTTTCTATCAAAAATTATTTGAACTTAAACTTTTAGCTTCTTATAGCCTGTTCCATATAAGTTAGAATGTTCCCCTTTTCCAAGATGAAGTTATCTTATCCTCCAGATTCCCTTCTCTTCAATATCTTCTAAATTATCCCCTTTCATTTCTCTTTCTTAAAGTCTATATTTCTTGTTATTCCTGACTTTTAACACATTATGTAATTCATTGTAAATCCTTCTTTTATTAATCATTAAAATAAACAAAACAAAAGAGAAATGGGATCTAGAAGTTAAATCTTCAAAAAGAAATTTTCCAATCTTTTACCCATCACTGTTCTTATTCCTTTTCAACCTTTCTTTATTCCAGAACACACTACATTTACTATCTTCTCTTCTTCCATTTTCCATACATTTCTTATCTTGTGTTAATGTAGTTTTCAACCCTGTAACACTATCTTACTTATCTGCTTTATGTAATACTATTGACTATTTCTTGAAAGTCCTTGATCAATTATTTTGTTCCAACTTCTTTGACTACACCTTTGCAGTTTTCTATTTTAGATTATTTTTAATAACCCATTCTTATGATTTTGTTCTGTTCTTCCTCTTCTCTCATTAATTTACTTTTTTCCTGTGTCAACTAATTCATACCAATATATCATTCATGTATTCATTTTTAATTTTTTAACATTTATATTTAACCAAGACTACCCTTCTTAGTTCCATAGACAGATAAGTAGCAAGGTAGGTGATAGAAAGTTAAAAAGATAGATAGAAATTGTTAGAAAAACTTCAGCCAAAATGTAAAGGAGTTTAATGGAGCAATGAATGACTCACAAATCAGGCAGCCCCCAGAATCACAGCAGATTCAGAGAGGCTCCAGGGATGCCTCGTGGTCAGAACAAATTTATAGACAAAAAAAGTAAAGTGACATACAGAAATCGGAAGTGAAGCACAGAAACAGCTGGATTAGTTACAGCTTGGCATTTGCCTTATTTGAACACAGTTTGAACACTCAGCAGTGTGTATGACTGGTTGAGATATGGCTGCTGAGATTGGCCAAGACTCAGTGATTGTTACAGGTGTATACTCCTGAGTTAGGTTTTCAATCTTGTCTACCTATTAAATTAGGTTGCAGTTTATCCGTAAGGACTCAAATATAGAAGTATGGAGTCTTTCTCCAGCCATATTTAGTTTGTTTTAACAATATTCACCTACTAAGCTGTCTTCTGTTGTCATGAAGACTAGTTTAAGATTTACACACACACACAGACGTGCACACACACACACACACACACACACACACCTCTTTTGCTTATGAGCAATCAGGCCCCTTAACCAGAGAAATGTAGCTATATAAGATAGCAATAGTTGCATCTTGTATATCCTTTTCTCAGGGCACACTTTTATACCTGAAGTAAAGTAAATCATCCAAGATTGGCTGGTAATTATATTTTCTATTTAATAATTTTTCAATTTTTGATTATTACAGTTGTCCCTCAGTATCCATCAGGGATTGGTTCCAGTACCCCCTCAGATACCAAAATCCATGGATGCTCAAGTCCTACAGTAGCCCTGTGGCACCCGTGAATAGAAAAAGTCAGCCCTATGTATTTATGGGTTTCACATCCCATAAATACTGTGTTTTCCATCCATGTTGGGTCGAATCTATAAATATGGTATCTGTAGATCAGGATGGCTGACTATTTGCACATAACCTATTCACAACCTCCCATATACTTTAACTCATCTCTAGATTGTTTATGTACCTAATATAATGTAAATTCTATGTAAATTGTTGTTATACCTCATTGTCTTAAAAAGTCTGTATATGTTCAGTACAAATCATCCATTTTTTATTGGTCAAATATTCTCAATCCATGTTAGTTGAATATGCAGATGCAGAACCCATGAATATGGGGGGCTGACTGTATTATAAATAATTCTGTGCCATAACAATAAGGCTCCAACTTCAATGAGGGGATTTCTGGTTAACATTAGTAGGAACATCTAAACGAATGGGCTTGGCATTATTGACATAAACAATGTAGGCAACTTTGTAGCAGAATTTGAAAAAGTGACACACACACACATGCACACACTTATTATACATATATTAGTGGTGTTTCTTCCAATGACTGATAGTGATGCTGTGGGAGTTGGGTGGGCATGAGATTGCAAAATCTCCAGTTCAGTGACTTAGAGATGTCTCAAATTCAGCTTTCCCCAAATCACACTTTTTATATTGTGAACCCAAAATATCTGAGACATGTCTCAGTCAATTTAGAAAGTTTATGTTGACAAGGTTATGGCATGCCCGTGACACAGCCTCAGGAGGTCTTGATGACATGTGCCCAAGAAGATTGGGATACAGCTGGCTTTTATACATTTAGGGAGGCATGAGACATCTATCAGTACGTACAAGATGTACATTGGTTCGGTCTGGAAAGGTGAGACAACTGGAAGGCGGGGGGGCCGTCCAGTTCAGAAGTAGATAAGAGACAAAAGGTTGCATTCATTTGAGTCCTTGATCAGCCTTCCACCGAATACACAATTTAGTCTGGCTCAGTGAATCTGCATTTTTACATAAACAATAAGGCAGAGGAAGCAATCAGACATGCATTTGTAACAGGCGAGCCTCAGAGGGATGACTTTGAGTTTTTTTCTGTCCTTTGTCCACAAGGAATTATCTTGCTGGCAAATTGTGAGGGAGTTAACGTAGCATTTTATCTTTGTAGCTATCTTATTTAGGAATAAAATGGGAGGCAAGTTTGCCTGACATAGTTACCAGCTTGATTTTCCCTTAGCTTAGTGATTTGGGGATCCAGAGATTTATTTCCCTTTCAAAATATATTGCTCCTTCTTTATTCTGTAATTTTAATTTAGGTACTGAGACGGTTTGGGTGTGTCCCCACACAAGTCTCATCTTGAACTGTAGCTCCCACAATTCCCATGTGTTGTGGGAGGGACCTGGTGGGAGGTAATTGAATCCTGGGGGCAGATCTTTCCCATCCTATTCTTGTGATAGTGAATAAGTCTCATGAGAAATGATGGTTTTATAAAGGGGATTTTCTCTGTACAAGTTCTCTTCTCTTGTCTGCCACCACATGAGACATGCCTTTCATCTTTCATGAGACATGTCATGATTGTGAAGCCTCCCTAGCCACGTGGAACTGCAAGTTTATTAAACCTCTTTATTTTGTAAATTGCCCAGTCTCATTTACGTCTTTATCAGCAGCATGAAAATGAACTAATACAATAAATTGGTACCAGTAGAATGGGGCACTGCTGAAAAGATACCCAAAAATGTGGAAGTGATGATGGAACTGGGTAACAGGCAGAGGTTGAAACAGGTTGGAAGACCCAGAAGAATACAGGAAAATGTAGGAGCTTGGAACTCCTTAGAGACTTGTTGAATGACTTTGACCAAAGTGCTAATAATGATATGAACAATGAAATCCATGCTGAGGTGGTCTCAGATGGAAATGAGGAACTTGTTGGGAATCGGAGCAAAGGTGACTCTTGTTATGTTTTAGCAAAGAGACTGGCAGCATTTTGCCCCCGCCCTAGATATTTGTGGAACTTTGAACTTGAGAGAGATGATTTAGGATATCTGGCAGAAGAAATTTCTAAGCAGCAAAGCATTCAGGATGTGACTTGGGTGCTGTTAAAGGCAATCAGTTTTAAAAGACAAGCACAGTATGAAAGTGTGGAAAATCTGTGGCCTGACAATGCAATAGAAAAGAAAATCTCATTTTCAAAGGAGAAATTCAAGCCAGCTGCAGAAATTTGCATAAGTAACAAGGAGCTGAATGTTAATCACCAAGACAATGGGGAAAATGTCTCCAGGGCATGTTAGAGACCTTTGCATCAGCCTCTCCCAGCATAGGCTGGAGGCCTAGGAGGTAAAAGTAGTTTTGTGAGCCAGGTCCAGGGTCCCTCTGCTGTGTGCAGTCTAGGCGCTTGGTGCCCTGGGTCCCAGCCACTCCACCCATGACTAAAAGAGGCCAAGGTACAGGTTGGGCCATGGCTTCAGAAGGTGCAAACCCCAAGCCTTGTCAGCTTCCATGAGCCTGTGGGTGCACAGAAGTTAAGAACTGAAGTCTGGGAACCCCCACCTAGATTTCAGAGGAAGTATGGGAATGCCTGGATGTCCAGGCAGAAGTTTGCTGTGGGGCAGGGTGCTCATGAAGAACCTCTGCTAAGGCAGTACAGAATGGAAATGTGGGGTTAGGCACCCCCACACAGAGTTCCCACTGGGGTGCTGCCTAGCAGAGCTACGAGAAGATGGACACCATCCTCCAGACCCCAGAATAGTAGATCCACTGACAGCTTGCACTGTGTGCCTGGAAAAGCTGCAGACCCTCAATGCCAGCCCATGAAAGCAGCTGGAAGGGAGATTGTGTGCTGCAAAGCCACAGGGGTGGAGTTTCCCAAGACCATGGGAACCCACCTATTGCATCAGCGTGACCTGGATGTAAGACATGGAGTCAAAGGAGTTCATTTTGGAGCTTTAAGATTTGACTACCCTGTTGGATTTTGGACTTGCATGGGGCCTTTAGCCCTCTCATTTTAGTCAATTTATCCCATTTGGAATGGGTGTATTTATCCAATGCCTGTACCCCCATTTTATCTTGGAAGTAGCTAACTTGCTTTTGATTTTACTGGCTCATAGATGGAAAGGACTTGCCTTGTCTCAGGTGAGACTTTGGACTGTGGACTTTTGAGCTAATGTTGAAATGAGTTAAGACTTTGGGGGACTGTTGGGAAGGCATAATTGGTTTTGAAATGTGAGGGCATGAGATTTGTGAGAGTCCAGGGGTGAAATGATATGGTTTGACTTTCTCCCCACACAAATCTCATCTTGAATTGTAGCTCCCATAATTCCCATGTGTTGTGGGAGGGACCTGGTGGGAGGTAATTGAATCATGGGGGTGGGTCTTTCCTGTGCTATTCTTGTGATAGTGAATAAGTCTCATGAGATCCGATGGTTTTATAAAGGGGAGATTCCCTGCACAAGCTCTCTTATTTTGTCTGCTGCCATGTGAGATGTGCCTTTCACCTTCCACTATGATTGTGAGGCCTCCCCAGCCACGTGCAACTGTGGGTCCATTAAACCTCTTTCTTTTGTAAATTGCCCAGTCTGGGTATGTCTTTATCAGCAACATGAAAATGGACTAATACAGGTACCATAACATCAAGTATGACTCTTGCATGCTATCTGTATCATCACAACATGTAAAATGCTTGAATGTCCTTGGGCATGTTAGCAAGGTCATACAGAAACATAGACTAGGAATTTTTATTCATGACGATAAAGAAGATGTTAGGTGTGTTAACGTTAGTCTATGACTTTTTAAAAAATAAATAAATGTTAGTCAACTTCATTTATATCCTTTGCCTAGTTTGTCCATGTAGATTGTTTCCCTTTTTTCTTATCAATTTATAGGCATAGTTTTACCTTATTATGTGTTTGATATAATGAAAGTTTTATTTGATATGTAAATAATATCATGTAATTTGAGTAAAGCTTCCTCATGGGAAATGAAGCTCCTTTCTAATGTTGAGGATCTGGACTCCATCAATATCCTTTCAAATGTGCAAAGTGGGAAGGGGCAGGGATGCAATTCATACGAATTTTACATCACTAACCTGTTCTTACTTGTTATTCTCAGTGTATTAGCATTGGCTTAAGAAGACATAAAATCTAACCAAATTTGCAGCTCCAATATAATTCAGAGACATAATTATGAACTACAGTTGTAGTTTCTATGAAGAAATTTTTGGACATAGCAAACAAGTTGGCCCATATGAGAGATAATGAATGGCTTTAACTATTTCAGAATTTGGGTACCATAGCATGCCATTTTGGGGCTTAGAAGATAATGCTCCAAAATATGGTGTTTTGGCATGCTGAGTGCTTGAATTAAAGGAAATAAAAACCCTTAGAAGCAAGGTATCTCTCTGACTTTCCCCTGCCTTTCTGATCTTCTTTCTTTTCCAAGTACTGAGAAATTTCCTCTTCTGACTAGCGGAGTTTCTTTACAAAAGAAATACAATTGTTTTAAGATTTTCTCCCTGGTAATCTCATCAAATAACCAGGAAATATTAACTACCAGAGAAAAGACTGGGAGTCATCACATCCAGACAGGTTTTCATTTATTCTTCTGAGGGTAACTCAAAGGGTTTACATGGGAAAGTTTATCTACAAAATGAAATAACTTTTGTTTACCGTGAAATTCTACTCTTCCCCTTCCTGCCACCTCCCCTAGAGCACATTCTCCCTGAAAATCAATTACTCCTATACCCACTCCCCATCTCACCTTCTTCTATGAAGAAGGGTATATAAGCATCTGGACCTCATTGGGTTATTGGATAATCATTCCCTTGAAATTCCCTGGTGTGCATGCACATTAAATAGATTGGGAAGCAAATTTTTATGTCTTAAAACATTTAGCAGAGATAGTATTTGATCTGTTAAATTAATTTGAAGATGTTTCTATTTTATTTTACCAAAGATTTTAAAAACGATCTTTACCAAAGATTACTAAAGTCATGTGAACTGAAAGGTATTTGAGTTAAAGTTCTAATTTTTCTGATAAAATATTTGATTTAAGTACTTTTTTCTTTAAGCCAATTAGAGTTCTTTTATATATTTCAGTAGTAAAATTTTATATACACCTGACATATATAAATACATAGACATATAGTAGCAGACCAAAGTGTATCTTATAGATTTATAAGATCATTATTTTGTCAGTTTTCAAAATTTCTCTGCCCCATTGTAGACTTGCAATTTTTTTGAGAGCCTGTCTCATTGCCCTAGGCAATTGTCAGCTAGACAGCTCTAAATTTGCATTCTAAAGCAACAATTCTTAGGTGAAATCAGATCGAGAATTTACATCTCAAGGTACAGAGCTAAGAAGTTGGGCCTAAAAGATCATTTTACGCTCAAACCAAGGAAATAAAAAAAGAAATGGTGTAAGTACATTTTAGTTAAGAAGCCAGGAAAAGCACTTTGAATGGAGGCATGACTTATGACAATAAAGAGAAGTTTTAGATTTAAGAATCTCTCTTCTTGCAACTCTGAGGGTTCCATGAGGAAAACAGAGCTTCCTCCTAAAATGGAGTTTGTAGTGACTTTTCTGTTTCTCCCAAAGGAATCACAGGCTGTTGAAAATTATTTTGGGTCCTCTCATGCTGGCATCCAAGATGGCAAGAGGAGAGGGAGGCCAAAAGCCCAACTGGTAAAAACTTTACCCTTATGTGGGCATGTCAGGCTTTTTGGTTCCCTTCCCCTGAGCCCAATCCTAAGCCAACCAGTTTAGGGTTTGGGAAATCAACTCTTTCCAGTTTGGAGGATGCATCTGAGGGGAGTATCCCATAGTATGGAGACAGAATTATCAGTGAAGAGTGACAATGGAGGAGCAAGGAAAAAAGGTGCTTTTTAAGGGAGTCCCAGGATTTCAGGATACATTCAAGAGGGGTACAGACTGAAGATGACTGGCTACTCATCTAAGAAGGAAGTGTACTATATGAATCATTATCAATCTATTGCACAGGAAGATATAAGTAGTGAAAATAAGAGTGAGAACTCCCACTAATAAAAAGTGAGAGTCTCAAAGGGGGGAAATGAGAGAAGAGAGACAGGCCCTCTCATATTGTTTTATACTAAGAAAAAGAATGAGAAGCGAAATTAAAGGCAGGTAGCCCAGCTCCTAGGAACCAGACCTGAAACCAAGGAACCAGACCCAAAACCAGGCCTGGGCCTGCCTGACCTAAGTCTGGTAATTAAAGATCGATCCCTGACCTAACCGGTTATGTTATCTATAGATTCCAGACATTGTATGGAAAGGCATTGTAAAAATCCCTGTCCTGTTCTCTTTCATTCTGATTACTGGTGCGTGCAGCTCCCAGTCACGTACTCCTTGCTTGCTCAATCAATCATGATCCTCTCACACACACCCCCTTAGAGTTGTGAGCCCTTAAAAGGGACAGGAATTGCTCACTTGGGGAGCTCAGCTCTTGAGACAGGAGTCTTGCTGATGCTCCTGGCCAAATAAACCACTTCCTTCTTTAACCTGGTGTCTGAGGAGTTTTGTCTGCTGCTCATCCTGCTACACTTACAAGTTTTGGGATAGGCAGTGGAGTTAGGAGCAATGTTTTGCAGACAGGGGGTGGATCTCACAAACTACATTCTCAAGGGTGGGGAGAATTACAAAGAACCTTCTTAAGGGTGGGAGAGATTACAAAGTACATTGATCAATTAGGGTGGGGCAGAAACAAATCACAATTGTGGAATGTCATCAGTTAAGGCTATTTTCACTTCTTTTGTGGATCTTCAGTTGCTTCAGGCCATTAATAAGAAAAATAAAACAAAATAGTGGTAAAGTATTGGGGCAGCAAAAAGTTTTGGGGGTTGTTTGGAGAGAAATAGGCAATGTTTCTCAGGGCTGCTTCGAGCGGGATTAGGGGCAGCATGGGAACTTACAGTGGGAGAGATTCAACTGAAGAAAGATTTTGGGGTAAGGGATTATATTGTGGGGTTGTTAGAAGGAGCATTTGTCATATAGAATTACTGGTGATGGGCTGGATGCAGTTTTGTATGAACTGAGAAACTAAACGAAAGACACAAGGTCTGAGTAAAAGAAGGAAAAAAATAGGTATTAAAGGACTAATAATTGGGAGTACCCAGAACATCCAATTAGAGAGTGTCCAAGGGGGTTCAACATTATTGTTTGCTTGGTTGGTGAGTTTTTGGGCTCTATGCTTGAGTTTTTTTATGTTGTCATATACCAGGCCTGATTGATTTAAGTAAAAACAACACTCTTCATTTAAAAATATACAAAGTCCTCCTTTTTCAGCAGTGAGTAAATCAAGGCCTTGGCAGTTCTGTAGGACAACTGCAGCTAAAGAGTCAACCTGGGCTTGGAGAACAGATAAAGTTTGTGATATATCTGTAATGTTAGCAGAGAAGTCATTAGAGAGGCTGCAGAATGTCGTGGCAGTGGTTGAGATGCCTGCTATTCCAGTTCCAAGTGCAATAGTGGAGGCAGAAAGTCCTAGACCCACAAGTAAAAGGATTAGTGGGATGACTCTTTTTTGTCATGTTGATGTCATGAGGGGGACAGACAGTTGTTTGTTCCCACCTGCAAACTGGATTTTGGGGGTAAGGAAGACTGGAATACATGTGCCCGTCCAGTTGGCAGGTAGGCACATGTAGGTGGAAGAGCCACATAAAAAGAAGAGACCTTTTGCCAGGCAGAACTGGAAATTTAAAGTGAAAAGGTGAGAGGGTGTACTGAAAGAGGAATCCTGCACCCAAAATCCTAGAGATCCAGCGAGGGTAGCAGCTGTTAGAGGTTGTAATGGGGATTGATGGTGCAACTGTGTAGAGGGCGGGGTTCAGTTTTCATGGTGTATGAAAAAGCACATAGTGTTTACAAGTAACCTTTCACTGCTATTCATGGGGCTGGGTATAAGCAAGCAAGAGGAGGGGCTAGGAGGAGATTCAGATGAGCAGGGGGAGGGTAGCCAATGATGGAGTGAGATGCAGGGTAGGTGTCTTCCTAAACAATAGTGATTGCCAATGTTTTTTAGTTTGTCAGTAATGATAGAGGTCTTATCAGTAATGCAAAGTTGGAATGCTACCATCTGTTTGATAATGTGTGTGGCTGGGTTCTGGAGATAAAGAGTAAAGGAACATGTGGACAGTGGAAGGTTGCCTAAAAGGATTCCAGTAGGCTGTTGTCGGGAGATGCATAAAGGAGCGGCAACAGGGATAGGATAGTTGTTTGTGTGGTTAGGGGTCCAAATTTGGGGGGGGGGGGTGCAATTGACATAAGGAGAAAGGTGCCGTAAGTAGATGCGGAGAAGTGTGGCAGCTTGTTGGTGTGAAATGTCTAGGGAGTTCTCACCATATCTGTCTAGAAAGTAAAGAAGTTCCTCAGGCGGGTAAAGATGAGGGCTATTTTCACTTCTTTTGTGGATCTTTAGTTGCTTCAGGCCATCTGGGTGTATACGTGCAGGTCACAGGGGACATGATGGCTTAGCTTGGGCTCAGAGGCCTGACATTCCCGTCTTCTTGTATTAATAAGAAAAATAAAATGAAATAGTGAAGCGTTGGAGCAGCACAAAATCTCAGAGGCCTGACAAGTAAAGATTTTATTGGGTGAAAAGGGGGGGAAAATGGAAAAACAGAGACTCTTGGTGAAGTGAGAGAGTGTGCTTTCTGCCTTGCAGATTGAATCCCAGGTTCCACCCAGGAAGAGGAGAGGCCAGGCTCCTCCCCACTGCAAATGGCACGAACTTCTGTGGCTCCACCCCAGAGTGCACTCCTCCCAGTGTGCAGACCAGCTGGAGTTTTGCCAGGGAGCCCTTCCCACCTGGCTGTCTCATTATTACCAGATTTTAGCTGAGGCAAATAGCTGATATTTCTGGCTTTTGAGCATCTTTACAAAGGGTAATCTCCCCAGTGAAGCCAATAAGCATTAATAAGGTTATGACTTAACTATGGAAGCGTTCATACAATTTATATGATTACTGAGTACTCTAATTGTAAGGAGAAGTTAAGAATAGCTGGTTGTCAATCTTTATGTTAGTGGAAAGAGGGTTCTCAGATCTCATGAAAGAAAAATTAGGGGTGAGTCCACAGAGTCCACAGAGTAGAGTGAAAGCAAGTTTATCAAGAAAGTAAAAAAATAAAAGGGTGGTTACTCCATAGACAGAGCAGCCCTAATGGCTGTTGTTTGGCTATTTTTATTGTTATTTCTTGATTATATGCTAAGCAAGGGGTGGATTATCTATATGTTTTCCAGTAAAGGGGAAGGCAATTCCTGGAACTGATGGTTCTGCCCCGTTTTAGGCCATACAGGGCAACTTCCTGGCATTGCTGTGGCATTTGTAAACTGTCATGATGCTGTTAGGAGTATCTTTTAGCATGCTAATACATTATAATTAGTGTATAATGAGCAATGAGAATGACTAGAGGTCACTTTCATTGCTATCTTGGATTTGTTGGGTTTTGGCTGGCTTCTTTACCACATCCTGTTTTATCAGTGAGGTCTTTGTGACCTTTATCTTGTGCCAGCCTTCTTTCTCATCCTGTGACTAAGAATGTAGCCCAGCAGGTCTAAGCCTAATTTTACCCATCCCCTATTCAAGATGGAGTCACCTGGTTTGAATACCTCTGGCACTAACTTAGTCATTAAAGAGAATTTTTAAGACAAAATCTCAACTTAGCTGTTATCCAGGAATGAGGCTCAGGCTAAAGACTGCTCTCTACCATTGTAAAAGCAGGAAAAGTCACCTTCCTTTCCAGAAGCAAGCAGAACTCCAGAATGGAATTGTAATAGCAAAATAAACCTTAGATCTCACTCCAATTTTGGGAGATCAAGGCTTCACTGGAGAGGATGAAGCTCCCAGACCTCAGCAAGTTGTCCTATTGGTTTGAGCAATAAAAATAGCCCAAGTTAGTATCAGGCACCGTTAGGAGTTTTGCCACAGGTCAAGGGCCACCTCCACTCAGAATTTCATCATGGTTGCCAATTTGTAAACCTAAAACAGTGTCTCTATTAATTTAAAGGTTCATTTTGTCAAGGTTGAGGTTGTCCCTAGGAAGAAGAGACACAAGCCACGGTAGGATCTGTGGCCCACAATTTTTCCAAAGAGGATTTTGAGGGCTTCAATATTTAAAGTGGAAAAAGTGGGTGGGTGGGGAAAGGAGGAAGGAAAAAAAAGGGAGAATATGGTCACATTCTTGTGAGGCTTGGGTTAGCTATCACTGAATCTACCTGTTACATGTGAAAAGGAAAAGATAGAGGAATAGCCAATTATATATTTGTCTTGCACTTCATAAATCTGTACTTTGCTTAAGTTAAAGTAAACAAAGAGGAGAAGTCAAATATGCATTCATCTCAGGGTGGACAGGGGGACAATTTTTAGTTTCCTTTTGTTCCATACCTGTAAAGATAAGCTGTTAATTTACATTGTCACGGTGAGGGAGGCCCCTTGAGTAGATATATGTCCTCCTGTCTCATAACTATCTGTTTAGGAACAAAAGTAAAGTCAGCATTTTACATGACTCAGTTTCAAAGCTTTATTTTTCCCTTTGGTATAGTGAGTTGGAGTCCTGAGATTTTATTTCCCTTTCACAGGGGTACAGACACATTGAGGATGAAGAGGTTTCAACCATTTTTCTTCTAAGAAGAAAGTATAATAGACTCTTGGGTAGGACCTCAAAAATTGATCATCAGGAATTAATCATCCCTTTCCACTCCCAATAATTCTACCTTTCTACAAGCATAGTTGATTTTTAATCACATTTTTTTTTGAGACAGAATTTTGCTCTTGTTGCCCAGGCTGGAGTGCAATGGCACAATCTCAGCTCACTGCAACCTCCACCTCCCGGGTTCAAGCAATTCTCCTGCCTCAGCCTCCTGAGTAGCTGGGATTACAGGCACCCGCCACCACACCTGGCTAATTTTTTGTATTTTTAGTAGAGACGTGGTTTCACCATGTTGGCCAGGCTGGTCTCAAACTCCTGACCTCAGGTCATCCATCCGTCTCAGCCTCCCGAAATGCTGGGATTACAGGAATGAGCCACCACGCCCGGCCCACATTTCTTAATTGCCATGAATTCTTAAAGGTTTTTCTGAACTCACAGCCCTTTCAATTTTATGGAAAATTTTTGTTTGCAAGGATTTCCAAAGCAGAAGTTTTTAGCACTTGCTCAGTAATCGTCATGTGCTTCCTTATTATTACTGACAGTTAGTTCCCTCTTGGGTCCTTTCTTAACTTTGTTATACTGAAATCTTAGCTCTTTCTCTCCTCCAATTCTTTGGCAGGAAGAACATCCGTTCTCTGTTCTTTGCAGGTAACAACGTGGCTTAGACATGTAAGCAATGACTCAGTTCCTACTCAGTCTGCTCTTTCTTCAGCTGAGTCATCCTGACACCCACTGGACAAACTGAAATAGTCTTAGTCTTTTTTGTGTTGCTATAATAGAATACGTGAGGCTGAGTAATTTATAAAGAACAGAGGTCTTTTACCTCACAATTCTGATGGCTAGAAAGTTTGAGATTGGGCAGCTGTATCTGGTGAGGGCCTCAGGCTGCTTGCAGTCATGGTGGAAAGTAGAAAGGCAGGTCATGCAAACATATCACATGGTGAGACAGGAAGCAAGAGAGAGAAACCAAGGAAGTCAGGCTCTTTTTAACAAACCACTCTCCTACGAACTAATCTATTCCTATGAGAACAAGAGAGAACAAGAACTTGCCCCCACAAGAGAACATTAATCTATTCAGGAGGGATCTTCCCTTATAACCCCAAAACCTCCAACTAGGCCCCACCTCCCAACACTACCACACTGGGGATACAATTCCAACATGAGTTTCAGAGGGAAGAAACTCAAATCTATGGCACAGCCCAATGCATTTTTAAGGCATTTTTAGTAACAAATAAACTTAGAAAAAAAAAAATCTCAACCGTCTCTTTGCAACTGGGCAGGTTCACTTCCTTCTGAAGAACTAGACTCCTCAAGGACAGGAAATGGGCCCAGGCTTCCCTCATACTGTTCCATCGGGTAGCTTCTAAGGCTCTACTTTCAAATTGCTTACCTTGTTTCTTTGGGCATACCTATGAATAGAAGGGCCCAGTGCCTGCATTCTAGTAGTGATATACATTGAGAAACACATTGTATTCAAATGGATAACTTGAGATCTATTTCTGTTGTAGGAACTAACATAGAATTCATTTCAGTGTATAAGAAAGCCTTTAGATCTAACTTGAATCATTCTGGTTGTTTTTAAGCTCATTGAATGTAAAAGTATTTCTTATAATTCATTTGGGGGAGGATAATGCAAGGTAGAAAGAAACCACATGGAAAAATACCTCATGACTAAATCAAAGATTCAAACAATTAATATTGGTAAATCTGAGGTAATCTAGTTTAATATCCTTAGTCTTCATTCGTTCATGTATTTAGTCACAGAGCAACTCAGGCATAAAGCACTATTCTAGCCCTTGAGGATAATAGTGGACAAAAAGGACAAAAATACCTTCCCTCATGAGCTTACATTCTACTAAGGAGAAAGAGACAATGAACACATTAAATAAGTAAACATAAAATGTGAAATAGGATAAGTTCTATGGAGAAAAATTATGGCAGGAAAGGGGTAAATAGAAGATGTGGGCTGGTGCAGGTGGAATTGGAAGTGGATGAGAACACTGAGGCTGAAAGATGGAGAGAGACTTGTCCAGGGTCAGGCAGCAGGTTGGAGCCATGATGAGACAAGAATCAAGGTTTCTTTACCTTCAGTCCTGTGTACATTTCTCTACTCCTCCTGCATGTGCGAAGATCAGAAGGCACCCTTACGCAGATCACTGCATCCTGACTCACCCTGTTGAAAGTCAACAGGTTAAAATGCAGAACAATGTATTTTTTTCTTAAAATGTTGATACAATAACTGGTAAGTTTAGGGAGTGGTGGAATATGAAAAGGGAGTAACTGTGCCTTAAACTGCGACTTGTAAAAAAAATATAATTCCCTGGTATACATTTGACTTGGTTTAGAAAGCACTCTCTTATTCTTTTGTCTGATCTTCACAACAATAACTTGAGAGGAAAGCAAGCTTTATATTATTATCCCCATTTTAACAAATGAGGAAACTCTCAGGGTGCTCTTGAGCTGTCTCTGAATCTAACTAGAGCCAAATACCTGAGAATCTGGCTAACTTGAAGAGCTAACTTGAAATAAACACCCAATCCCTAGATTTTAGCAACTCTGGAGACCTTGTTAAAAATTTAGACAAATTAGATTTAAAAGAATTTATTTGAGCAAGGAATGATTCATGAATCAGTCAGCACTAATGTGATGGTTAATATTAGGTGTCAACTTGGTTGGATTGAAGGATGCCTAGATAGGGGGTAAAGTATTGTTTCTGGGTGTGTCTGTGAGGCTGTTTCCAGAGGAGACTGACATTTGAGTTCATAGACTGGGAGAGGAAAGCCCACCCTCAATGTGTGTGGGCACCTTTCAGTTGGTTGCTAACTCAGCTAGAACAAAGAAGGTGGAAAAAAAGTGGGATAAGCTGGCTTGCTGAGTCTTCTGGCTTTCATCCTCCTCCCATGCCAGATGTTTCCTCCCTTTCCTCCTGCCTTTGGACATCAGCCTCCAGGTTCTTTGGCCTCTGAACACTTGGACTTACACCAGTGGTTTGCCGGGGGCTCTCGGGCCTTTGGCGATAGACTGAAGGCTGCACTGTCGGCTTCCCTGCTTTTGAGCCTTTTGGACTATTGGCTCCTTTCTTCCTCAGTTTACAGGTGGCCTATTGTGGGACTTTGCCTTGAGATCATGTGAGCCAGTTCTCCCTACTCAACTCCTTTCATATATTCATATATCCTATTAGTAATGTCCCTCTAGAAAACCTTGACCAATACAACACAGAACCAGACAAAGTTCAGAAAGCTCAGCCAAGCAGTGTGAGCCGTGAGCTTTTACAGGCTACACACAGAAGCTGAGTAGAGATATCATCTGATAACTAGGAATCTGCCTTATTTGGACATGGTGTGATGAAACATTTGCCTTTTTTGGGCATGATGTGATGAGTTGGCTGCCTGTGATTGATCGAAGTTTAATTATTTATAATTGGCTTTTGTTACAAAAAAAGTTCCAGACATACTCATTTTGTTGTGTTTTATTTTATTGTACTTTGCAGATATTGAACTTATTACAAATTGAAGGTTTGTGGCAACCTTGCATGGAGCAAGTCTATTAGCACCATTTTCCCAATAACATGTGCTCCTTCACGTCTCTGTGTCACATTGTTGATATTCTTGTAATAGTTCAAACTTTTTCGTGCTATGGTGATCTGTGATCAGTGATCCTTAATGTTACTATTGTACTTGTTTTGGGACACCACAAACTGCCCAAATATGATGGCAAAGTTAATTGATAAAGGTTGTGTGTGTCTTCTGACTTTTCCATTGATTGGCTGTCACCTCACCTCATCTTTCTCCCTTTCCTCCGGCCTTCCTATTTCCTGAAACACAACAATATTGAAATTAGGCCAATTAACAACCCTGCAATGGCTTCTAAGTGTTTAAGCCAAAGGAAGAGTCGCATATCCCTCACTTCAAATCAAAAGCTAAAAATGATTACGCTTAGTGAAGAAGCCATATCAAAAGCTGAGATCATCCAACAGCCAGGCCTCTTGCACCAAACAGCCAAGTGGTGAATGCAGAGGGAAAATTCTTAAAAGAAATTAAAGTTGCTACTCTAGTGAACACACAAGTGATAAGAAACTGAAACAGCCTTGTTGCTGATATGAAGAAAGTTTTAGTGATCTGGATAGATCACAGAAGACACAACATTCCCTTAAGCCAAAGCCTAATCCAGACAAAGATTCTAACTCTCTTCTATGAACTTCATAAAACTCTTAGTTCTATGAAGGCTGAGAGAGGTGAGGAAACTGCAGGAAAAAAGTTTGAAACTAGCAGAAGTTGGTTCATGAGGTTTAAGGAAATACATTATCTCTATTGCATAGAAGTGCAAGGTGAAGCAGCAAAGTGCTGATGTAAAAGCTCCCGCAAATTATCCAGAAAATCTAGCTAGGGTAATTGATGGAGGTGGCTACAGTAAACAATGAATTTTCAGTGTAAGTAAAACAACCTTCTATTGGAAGAAGATCCCATCTAGGACTCTCATAACTAGAGAGGAGACATCAATACCTGGCTTCAAAGCTTCAAAGGACAGCCTGATTCTTGTTAGGGTCTAACGCAGTTGGAGGTTTAAGTTGAAGACAACCTTCATTGACCATTCCAAAAATCCTAGCGTCCTTGAGAATTATACTAAAACTATTCTGCTTATGCTGTATAGATGGAAAAAAGCCTGGATGGATGACAGCACATCTTTTTATAGCATGGTTTACTGAATATGTTAAGCCCACTGTTGAAATCTACTGCTCAGAAAAAAAATATTATTTTTCAAAATATTACTGTTCATTGACAATGCACCTGGCCACTCAAGAGCTCTGATGGAGATGTACAAGACAATTAATCTTTTTCATATCTACTAACAAAACATTTGTTCTGCAGCTCATTAAGGAGTAACTTCAACTTTTAAGTTGTATGTTTAAGAAATACATTTTGTAAGGCTTTACAAAATGGATGGATCTGGGCAAAGTAAATAAAAAACCTTCGGGAAAGAATTTGCCATTCTAGATGCCATTAAGAACATTTGTGATTCACGGGTGAAGTCAAAATATCAACATTAACAGGAATTTGGAAGGTGTTGATTCCAACACTCAAGGATGACTTTGAAGGGTTCAAGACTTCAGTAGAGGAAATAACTGTAGATGTGGTGGAAATAGCGAGAGAACTAGAATTAGAAGTGAAGCCTGAAGATGTCATGGAATTGCTGCTTTGATAAAACTAACAAATGAGGCAGGGAGTGGTGGCTCATGCCTATAATACCAGCACTTTAGGAGGCTGAGGCAGGTGTGTCACCTGAGGTCAGGAGTTTGAGACCAGGTTGGCCAACATGGTGAAACCCTGTCTCTGCTAGAAATACAAAAATTAGCCAGCCGTGGTGGAGCGTGCCTGTAATCCCAGCTACTGGGGAGGCTTAGGCAGGAGAATCGCTTGAACCCAGGAGGTGGAGGCTGCAGTGAGCCCAGATCGCACCATTGCACTCCAGCCTGGGTAACAAGAGTAAAACCCCATCTCAAAAAAAAAAAAAAAAAAAAAAAAGCAGTTATTTCATATGGATTAGCAAAGAAATTGGTTTCCTGAGATGCAATGTACTCCTGGTGAAGACGTTGTAAACATTGTTGAAATAACAACAAAAGATTTAGACTATTACATAATCTCAATTGATAAAGTGGCAGTGGGGATTGAGAGGATTAACTCAAATTTTGAAAGAAGTTCTGTTGTGGGTAAAATGCTATCAAACAGCATTGAAAGCTACAGAGAAATCTTTCACGAAAGAGTCAATCATCGCACAAACTTTATTGTTTTATTTTAAGAAATTGCTACAGCCACACCAATTGTTAGCAACCACCACCCTGATCAGTCATCAGCTATCAACATGGAAGCAAGACCCTCTACCAGCAACAAGGTTACAGCCTGCTGAAGCTTCAGATGATCATTGGCATTTTTTAAATAATTAATAGAATATTTGAATATTAAGATGTGTACTTTTTTTTGACATAATGTGATCACACACTTAATAGATGGCAGTATAGTGTAAACATAACGTTTATATGCACTGGGAAACTAAAAATTCATATGACTCACTTTACTGCGATATTTGCTTTATTGCAGTGGTCTAGAACTGAATATGCAATATCTGAGAATCCGGATGAGGTAGTCCTGTGCTCTTAAATTAGGTTGCAGTTTGTTAGAAAGCAACTCAAAGTACATTCACAGCCTCAGGCTAACAGCCTCCTACTTTTAAAATTTAACAGTCTGTATCTTCTCCAAGCCAGATGAATGCTTCCTCTCCCTCACTTCCCATCCAAGCCGTCCCCACTGCCGTATTCCACCCAGTAGCCTCAGAGGCCTCTCTGTAGCTCAGGAAAGTGATCTCCTAAAGGCTTCTCCACCCATGTCACTTTCCTTGGAATTAGCTCCCTGTAATGACCTTGGCTTTCCCTGGCCTCCCCTTAGAATTCACTTAGGAAGTCCAATTTGCATACATACGCTTGTCACTTTTTGTTTTTTTGGGCAGCACTTATGAGCTCTAGCCTGTTTCCTGAGGGAGCCTATCTCCCACATTGGCCTCTCTTCCTTCTACACGGCTTTCAGATAATGCAGGATAGAAATGGGAGGTGGGAGAAAGTCATGGCTGAGAAAAGTCAGCACTGAAAGGGGACAGTGAGGAATTGGGAGAAAGGCTTGGACAACATGGAGAATGCATGTAACAGTAAAAAAAAAGCACTTCTGCTCATGGCCATAGGTCCAGAGCTCTAGCCCTGGATGCCCGCCTGCGATCTTGATCACATTCCTTTGCTCTCTCTGGCCCTTTTTTGTTTCTTTACTAACAGACAACTGGGCTAGTCCTTTTGAATTGTGGTAGTCTGTAATTTCCAGCCTCAGTTTACCCATTGAGAATGGAAATATTAGCCCCTGCTTTGCTAAGTTCACAGTGTAACAATTTGCCTTACAGCTTGTAAACAAGCCTACAACCTTATCGAGACTGCAGTGCTGCGCTCTGCTTAAGAAACCACTGAATTGCCATGTGTCTAATCCATTATTCCTAAACAATGCAGCAGCTCTGCCATCCACCCAGCTTCTGTCACTCACATGGGAGAGAGGAGGGAACTGCAGAGTGGCCTAGAAACAATGAACAGTTGTTAAGCAGCAACCAGCCAGTTCCCTTGGAGTGTGGACTCCTTCCTCCCATCGCCCCATTGCCCCTTCACTTAAGGACAGTTTGTGGCTGGGGAGGCTGGCAGAGAAGCCTGGTCCTCCCTGGTAGCCAACTGGAGAAGGTGGAGCCAGGCAGATTCTGGAGAGACCTAAGGCAGCAGGGGAGAAAGGGAAGCCTTTGTTCTCAGGGCTAATAATAAAACTTGCTGCAAACTATTCGCACTCACCAACTCAATTGTTTCAGAATCTTTGAGGTGGGTGGAGAGGGTAGGGCAGCAGGGGAGCATATACTGTTTCTTTCTCCCTCCCTGGTGTTTCCCATGCAGATCCATTTGTCACTCCTCATGGTCTGTGTGGCCTGAGACTAGAGACTGAGGAAGCCCCTAGGGAAAAGAGGAGATTATCTTGATCATACCCCCGCTACCTCCAAAATGAGATCTCTGATAGACACACACTCTAGATGCCTTTCAGTTGTCCACTTTCAGTTGTGGAGGAGTAGTGTCTGGCAAAACTGAATGTGGGGATTGCCTCATTCTGCAGCCCCAACCCATTTCCTCATGGAGATGGGATCAAGGATGCTGTTAGTCTCTTAGGTTCTTAACATGGTTTGTGTCACATGGGTCTGAGTGAAGAGACCACCAAACAGGCTTTGTGTGAGCAATAAAGCTTTTTAATCACCTGGGTGCAGGCAGGCTGAGTCCAAAAAGAGAGTCAGCAAAGGGAGATAGGGGTGGGGCCGTTTTATAGGATTTGGGTAGGTAGTGGAAAATTACATTCAAAGGGGGTTGTTCTCTGGTGGGCAGGGGCGGGGGTCGCAAGGTGCTCAGTGGGGGAGCTTCTGAGCCAGGAGAAGGAATTTCACAAGGTAATGTCATCAGTTAAGGCAGAAACCGGCCATTTTCACTTCTTTTGTGATTCTTCACTTGCTTCAGGCCATCTGGATGTATACATGCAGGTCACAGGTGACATGATGGCTTAGCTTGGGCTCAGAGGCCTGACATTCCTATCTTCTTATATTAATAAGAAAAATAACATAAAATAGTGTTGAAGTGTTGGAGCAGCAAAAATTTTGGGGAGGTGGTATGGAGAGATAATGGGCGATGTTTCTCAGGGCTGCTGTGAGCAGGATTAGGGGTGGCATGGGAACCTAGAGTGGGAGAGATTAAGCTGAAGGAAGATTTTGTGTTAAGGGGTGATATTGTGGGGTTGTTAGAAGGAGCATTTGTGTATAGAATGATTGGTGATGGCCTGGATATGGTTTTGGATGAATTGAGAAACTAAACAGAAGACACAAGGCCCAAATAAGAGAAGAATAACAGGTATTAAAGGACTAAGAATGGGAAGACCCAGGACATCCAATTAGAGAGTGCCCAAGGGGGTTCAGCATAATTACTTGCTTGGTTGGCAAGTTTTTAGGCTCTATCCTTGAGTTTTTATGTTGTCGTATACTAGGCCAGATTGATTTAGATAAAAACAACACTTCATTAAAAAATATACAGAGTCCCCCCTTTTTAGCAGTAAGTCGGGGCCTTGGCGATTTTGGAGGAAAGAGAAATGCAAAGTCAGCAATTGTTTGTTGAAGAAGGATTAGAAATGGCTAGGAGAGAGTGAGTGAGATTGATAGTGTGGTAGAGATAGCTGGGGAGAGGTAGAGGGTGGCATAAGAACAGAAACGAGAATAAGAGTGAGTTTAAGGTAAAGAATAGGACTTCATCAGGGTGAAAGTATTGGAGGGTGCCCTGCCAGCAAAGATTATTTACTTTAAGAGGGAGTTAAGAGTGGTGGTTTGGGGATAGCACCAGGAGATATCAGCTGTGATGGCTTGGAGAAACAGTGTAAACCGGCAGTGTAAACAAGAGCAGGGCATTTATGAGTAGTTGGGAATGGTGAATAGAAGAATGACTAGACAGAAGATAGTAGGGATGACAAGTTTTTGGGGCACAATCCAAGTTGGGCTGGTGTCTGGAATGAGACTGGGGCCTAATAAAAATGAGCATCCATACAGGAGCTCAAATGGGCTGTACCCTGTAGCATTCCAAGAACAGGCCCGAATTCTGAGAAGGGTAAGTTGTAAAAGTACTGCCCAGTCCTTAAGTTGGAGGCTGAGCTTGGTGAGGTGTGTCTTTAAAAGACCATTAGTCTGTTTTGCTTTTCCTGAAGATTGAGGATGGTAAGGGGTATGAAGTTTCCACTGAATACCAAGAGCCTGAGAAACTGCTTGGGTGATTTGACTAGCAAAGGCCTGTCTGTTATTGGACTGTATAGAGGTGGGAAGGCCAAATCATGGAATTATGTCTGACAGAAGGGAAGAAATGAACACGGTGGCCTTCTCAGACCCTGTGGGAAAGGCCTCTACCCATCCAGTGAAAGTGTCTACCCAGACCAAAAGGTATTTTAGTTTCCTGACTTGGGGCATGTGAGTAAAATTAATTTGCCAGTCCTGGGCAGGGGCAAATCCCTGAGCTTGATGTGTAGGGAAGGGAGGGGGCCTGAACAATCCCTGAGGAGTAGCAGAATAGCAGATGGAACACTAAGAAGTGATTTCCTTGAGGATAGATTTCCATGATGGAAAGGAAATGAGAGGTTCTAAGAGATGGGCTAGCGGTTTGCAACCTACATGGAAGAGGCTATGAAATGACAAAAGAATAGAATGGGCCTGTGAGGCTGAAAGGGGATATTTTCCTTGGTCTAAGGACCATTTTCCTTGTGTGGGAAGAGATTGATAGGTGGAAGTTTCAGTGGGGGAGTAGGTGGGAGTGACCGATGAGAAGGAGAAAAACTGGCAGTTAGGGAGAGAAATTGGAATGCTAGCTGCTTCTTTAGCTATCTTATCAGCATAAGTGTTGCCCTGAGTGATGGGATCTGATGCCTTTTGATGGCCCTTGCAGTGAATGACTCCAGCTTCCTTTGGAAGTATAGCGGCCTTGAGAAGACTATTTGTTAAAGAGGCATTAATGATGGAGGACCCTTGTGTAGTGAAGAAACCTCTTTTTGCCCATATAACAGCATGGTGGTTCAGGATATGGACGGCATATTTAGAGTCAGTATAAATATTGATGTGTACTCCTTTTGCAAGAGTGAGGGCTCAAGTTAAGGCAATGAGTTCGGCTTGCTGAGAGGTAGTGGAGGGGGGAAGAAAGTATATGCATCAGATGTGAGGAAGAAAATAGATTTTGGAAGTTATGACAACTGCAGAGAGTGAGTTGAGCATAGTTTGTGATTTTGAGGACCTCTAAAAGTATTAAAGCAGTGGTACCTGCCACATGCAGACATGAGGGCTAGGCTAAAACAGTAACGTCAAGTTGTTTGGACAGAAAGGCTAAAGGGCGTGGTCCCAGCTCTTGTGTAAGAACTCCAACTGCACAGCCCTGCACTTCAGCTGTGTGTAGTGGAAAGGGAGTGATAAGTTAGGGAGAGCTAGTGTGGGAGCTGTTTTTTAAGGAATGGATAGGGGAGTGGAGAAAGGATTTAGGATCTATGGGGTCAGCTAGGTTTACCTAGAACAGAATAATGGGTTGTGGAGGGAGGTATTGAGGATAGGAGAGTATATGAGGTTTCACACCACAGGGTGGATACGCAAAACAATTTGGTTGATAAGGCACAGATCCTGACGTAACCTGTAAGACTTGTCCAGTTTCTGGACAGGTAAAATGGGGGAATTGTAAAGAGGGTTTATAGGCTTTAAAAGGGCATGCTGTAACAGGCAAGTGATAACAAACTTTAATCCTTTTAAAGTTTGCTGTGGGATGGGGTATTGGCATTGAGTGGGATAAGGGTTATTAGGTTTTAATGGGATAGTAATGGGTATGTGACCAGTTGCCAGGGAGGGAGTAGAGGTGTCCCATACCTGTGGATTAAGGTAGGGAGATACAAGGGGAGGATTTGAAGGAGGCTTTGAACTGGGGAAAAGGGTGGCAATGAGGTGTGGCTGTAGCCTAGTCAGGGAAGCAGATAATCTAGTTAAAATGTCTTGGCCTAATAAGGGAGCTGGGCAGGTGGAGATAACTAAAAAGGAGTGCATAAAAGAATATTGTCCAAGTTGGCACCAGAGTTGGGGAGTTTTGAGAGGTTTAGAAGCCTGGCTGTCAATACGCACAACAGTTATGGAGGCAAAGGAAACAGGCCCTTTAAAAGCAGGTAATGTGCAGTGGGTTGTCTCCATATTGATTAAGAAGAGGAAGGACTTACCCTCCACTGTAAGAGTTACCGAAAGCATCTGTGATGGTCCAGAAGGCTTCTGAGGCAAGTGGGCAGTGTCAGTCTTCAGCCACTGAGCCAAGAAGATCTGGGAAGGAGTCAGTCAGAGAGCCTTGGGCCAGAGTTCCAGGGGCTCTGGGAGTGGCTGCCAGGTGAGTTGGACAGTCCGATTTCCAGTGGGGTCCTGCACATATGGGACACAGCTTAGGAGGAATCCCAGGCTGTGGGCATTCCTTGGCCTAGTGGCCAGATTTCCAGCACTTGAAACAAGATACTGGGGGAGGAGGTCCTGAAGAAATGCCTGACTGCTGTGGCTTAGGCGTTTTGAAGTTCTTGTGTGCTGGAGATGTGGCTGGAGTTTCTCTCACAGCAGCGGCAAGTAATTGCAACTCTTCTGTATTATTGTACACCTTGAAGACAAGGTTAATTAAGACCTGTGTGGGGTTTAAGGGCCAAAATCTAATTTTTGGAGCTTTATTTAATGTTGGGAATGAATTGCGTAATAAAATGCATATTGAGAATAAGACAGCCTTCTGACCTTTCAGGGTCTAGGGCTGTGAAGCGTCTCAGAGTTGCTGCCAAATAAGTCATGAACTGGGGTGGGTTTTTACATTTGATGAAAAAGAGCCTAAACACTAACTGATTTGGGAGAGGTCGGATAAAGAAAAAGGAGCATTAACCTTGACTATGCCTTTAGCTCCAGCCACCGATTTAAGAGGAAATTGCTGGGCAGGTGGCGGGGGCTAGTCGGGGAAAGAAACTGTAAGTCGGACTGGGTGTGAGAAGGGGAGGTGATAGAAGGATTATAGGGTGGGGGAGCAGAGCCTGAGGAAGAATTGGAGCCTGATTCAGCCTGGTGGGGAGCGACCTGAGGAGGAGCAGTCTGGGGATGAGGGGAGAGGTCAGATGGGTCTGTAGAAAAGGAATATTGAAAAGACTCAGTGATGCTTGGGGTTAGGACTGAGGGGAAGGGTGGAAGGGAAAGAAGGAGGATTTGGGATGAGTCACATTGGGAAAAGAGACTAGAGAGGGACCCATGTGTAAAAGAATGCATGGACCTCAGGCACCTCAGACCGTTTGCCCATTGTACGACAAGAATTATCTAGATCTTGTAGGATGGAAAAATTGAAAGTGCCTTTTTCTGGCTATTTGGAACCATTGTTGAGTTTGTATTGGGGTTAAGCAGCATTGCAGAAGAAAATAAGGCATTTAGGTTTCAGGTCAGGTGTGAGTTGAAGAGGTTTTAAGTTCTTGAGAACACAGGCTAAGGGAGAAGAAGGAGGAATGGAGGGTGGAAGGTTGCCTATAGTGAAGGAGGCAAGCCCAGAGAAAAGAGAGGGTAGAGACACGGAGAGAAGGGGTGGGGGGGTGTTTGCACCCTAGGAAACTGGTGTTTGTCACTAAGGGTGAAGGATCAAGGCAGGCATCCCTGCGGTGATCAGGCATCTCTGAAACGTGGGTGAATAATCAAGCAGGTGTCCCTGCAGTGATTAAACACCAAGGGAAATCTGTCTTCCCAAGTCCCTGACCGGCACCGGAGTTTTGGGTTCATGGATAAAACACATCTCCTCTGTCTCTACCAGAAAAGGAAAGGAACTGAAATTAAGAGAAGGGAGAGAGTGAAGGATGGTGCCAAGATTGAAAGGAGAAAGAGGTTGAGGGATAGTGAGAGAGGTTGGAGAAGGCAGTAAAAGGAGGCCGCTTACCCAATTTAAAATTGGTGAGATGTTCCTTGGGCTGGTTCATCGGAGGACCAGAGGTCGTAGGTGGATCTTTCTCATGGAGTAAAGAGCAGGAGGACAGGGGATTGATCTCCCCAGGGAAGTCCCCCGATCGAAGTCACAGCACCAAATGTCACGGGCGTCCGTGTGAAGAGACAACCAAACAGGCTTTGTGTGAGCAATAAAGCTTTTTAATCACCTGGGTGCAGGCAGGCTGAGTCCAAAAAGAGAGTCAGCAAAGGGAGATAGGGGTGGGGCTGTTTTATAGGATTTAGGTAGGTAGTGGAAAATTACAGTCAAAGGGGATTATTCTCTGGCAGGCAGGGGTGGGGGTCACAAGGTGCTCAGTGGGGGAGCTTCTGAGCCAGAAGAAGGAATTTCACAAAGTAATGTCATCTGTTAAGGCAGCAACAGGCCATTTTCACTTCTTTTGTGATTCTCCACTTGCTTCAGGCCATCTGGATGTATACATGCAGGTCACAGGGGATATGATGGCTTAGCTTGGGCTCAGAGGCCTGACAGTTTGGATCTGTGTCCTCACCCAAATCTCATGTCAAACTGTAATCCCCATTGTTGGAGGTGGGGCCTGGTGGGTGGTGATTGGATTACTGGGTAGAGTTTTCATTAATCGTTTAGCACCATCTCCCCTTGGTACTGTATAATGAGTGAGTTCTTACAAGATCTGGTCATTTAAAAGTGTTAGCACCTCCCCTTTCCTTTGTTCCTCCTGCTCATACCATGTAAGATGCCTGCTCCCACTTTGCTTTCCACCATGAGTTAAAGCTCCCTGAGGCCTCCCCAGAAACTGATGTTGCCATGCTTCCTGTACAGCCTGCGGAACTGTGAGCCAATTAAACCTCTTTTCTGTATAAATTACCCAGTCTCAGGTATTTATTTATAGCAGTGTGAGAATGGACTAATACAGTTCTTTAAATGAAATATTGTCAGATATTTCTGTTCTCTTGTGACAAGATAGCCTTAACTTTCCCCTCAGCTTGACCAAATAGGTTTCTTCCTGACTTCAGGCCCTTGACCTCCCTTAAGAATATTTGCTTTAGAAAATTTGCTGTAGTTCTTTCTATTTCTTGAGATCTAAATCTTCTTCCAGCCTCTTCCCAGTTTTACAACTCAGGAATATCTTTCTCTAGGACCTGAGAACCACCTCTTTGAAATGTTAACATCAAGGAAGATAGTTCCCCTGTCTCCTGGTTTCTGTGGGTGGGAAGGGTAGGAAACTTGGAGTGGGGGGGCTTTTTCCAAATTGTGAAACTATCTTTTATCATGAAATAGGAGAAAGTTCATTTTGTTCTTTTGGTATGGGGAATTAGTAAACACAGATGGTTTAAAAATTTTTCCACCCTAGCCCTTTTGTCTCTGCCTCACTACGTATCAGACTCAGTTTGTGCCTTCTCCCCTAATGCTGGCAATAGCACCAGAACAAAATCAACTTCTGCTTATCATGTCTGGTGTAATTTTTTCCTTTAAACTTTTGGTTATGATTTCCCTCAAATTCCCTCAAGTCCCTCTCTTCCTGTTTTTTTTTTTTTTTTCTTTTGTCTCACAATTTATTAGGCAGCCAAATAATATACTTCTGGAAATGCGTGCATCTTACTTCTCCCATTCTATTAATATTAATATTTTCTCAGGGGAGAAATGTGTCCAAGATGCTCTGAAACCACATACTGCCTAAGAGAGCACTGCATGTGCTCAAGCCCTGTTTATTGACAAAACATTTAACTTCCAAAGCAAACTACAGCTGTTAGTTAACTTTAAAAACATGCCATGATTTAAAAAAAATATTTGTATTGTTTTCTGCCAACAGAAATAGCATTTTTTCCCCCCACAATGGCTAGGAGAAGAGACTCTGAATCCTACTTATCTCTTTTTCTATAAAGATGCAAAATTTTGGGTAGAGAAAGAAACTGGATTTAAGGAGGAGTCTCCAAGTTGATTTCTTCAAAGGAGGTCTCAAGAAGAAAAATAGGACTCCAGTGTTGTAGAAGATTTTCTGGAATTTAGTTAGGAATACAGGGATGAACAGAGGTGCAGAGGGAATCCTAGTGTGAGATGTACCATGCTTTTAGAGCCAGAAAGTGAGGTGTCCTTCCTCTCTTCACTTGGGCCTTTTGAAAGTATTAGAAAAAAACTTGTCCCCTAAACTTGATCCTGAAGTCTCCTAACTGCCCTTGGCAATGTCAAAGCTTGGGAGAAAATTAAGGCTTTGTTCAGTTTACTATCATCCACATTATATATTTTAATACACACATAGTAGAGAAACCAGTGTACAGAGAAATGAAGAGATGTGCCTAAGGTCTTTGTGCATGCAGCTTGTGGCAGCATTAGGATGTGGATTCCAAATCGCTCAGTCTGGTCTTCCTCCCCATGTACCATGCTGCCTTTCTCCTGCAGAGTTTGGGGGTTTGGAGGACCAAGGAGTAGGGGCTGGATGTTGAGGGCAGTGCAGTTTCCTGCAAGAGGTGGCTTTTAGTTTCTTCTTTGAAGCCAATTCTGTCAGACCACATGCTGTTGTGGTGGTGGAGAAAGCCTGCAATGGGAATAAAAAAGATACATATCATGCATTTTTTAAACAACTTTGGGTACTGAGGTTGGTAGGAACTTTCATACCTCAGCTGTGGAAATGTTTCTCAGTATTATAAGTGACATTTAAAGTTATTAGCAGCAGCAGCAAAGAGTCATGTGACTTGGGGTTTCTGCTCTTTTCATCATGAGGTGAGATTCCTGCAAGAGTTTACCTCTTACTGTTTAATACTTATAAAGGCATACATTTATACCTTTATTTTTTTGTATGGATTGCTGAACACTGTTGGAGAATATCACTAAACCACTATCAATTCATGTTCTGCACCTTGAAATGAGCCTAACATTATTCACCTATTCAACTAGCAATGCATTTTCTATTAATAAGTATTTCTCTTGTTTTTTCTACATAGTAGAATTCTCAAATTTTTACCATTCCTTTCCTGACTCACACTTTTTAGTAATGACCCCACAGGAAAAAGAGAGAAAGAAATAGGCAGAATTTTTCTTGACTTCCTCTCCAGATGACCAATATAACCATATTGACACTTAAAATTTTTTTCCATTTTTTTTTCCCTTTAATCTCAGAGAAATATCTGTCACACTACTTTATGGCTAGCTACACCCTCCAAAAGTGCCTTGAATCTCATCTCATCCCAGTTCTCAGTGACTTCACACCATTAACATCCCTGATATAGTTTGGCTCTGTGTCCCCACCCAAATATCATGTTGAATTGTGATCCTGAATGTTGGAGGTGGGGCCTCATGGGAGGTGATTGGATCACAGAAGCAGATTTCCCCCTTGCTGTTCTCATGACAGCGAGTGAATTCTCATGAGATCTGGTTGTTTAAAAGTGTGTAGCTCTTCCCCCTTCTCTCTCTCTCCTGCTGACCATGTGAATATGTGCTTGCTTCCCCTTCCCCTTCTGCCATGAATGAAAGTTCCTGAGGTCTCCCTAGCCATGCCTCCTGCACAGCCTGTGGAACCATGAGCCAATTAAACCTCTTTTCTTTACCCACTCTCAGCTAGGTCCTTACAGCAATGTGAGAAGAGACTCATACAATTCCTTCCCTCCTAAACCATAGCCTTTCCCATTCTATTGATTCTTTCCTTCCAGGGAAATATTTACTGTATGCTTAAACTTTCACCATCCTAGAAAAAAATTATTTACCTACTTTCTTTTCAACATTTCTTATTCACTTTTCATATTAATATTTTAAAGCCTTGTCACCCAAATAAAAATATTCTTATCAAGGTTAGTAATTGTTATCTAGTCACAAATACAATGGTATCTTTGCATTTTCCTTCCTATTGGATATTTTATGGTAAATGTTACTGAAGACTACACCCTCCTTCTTGAGAGAAACATCACTTGGTTTCTATTTGCAACCTTTTTCTAATCAATATTGCTCCTTTATATACGTTGTTCCTTGATAAAACTTTAAATATTAATATTTCTAAGTTGTTTTTTTTTTTTTACTTCAGATTCTGATTCTGCATACTTTCTTGGGTGAACTATCTTTCCTCATGCCGTCACCTATTATAAGTAAGCCTTGAACTCCAAAAAGCTCAATTCCTAGATTCCTTTATCCAAACTGCCTTATGGACTGTTGTTTGAGTTTGCCCTCCAAAATTCATGTTGGAATTTAATTGCCATCGTGATAGTATCAAGAGGTGAGGTCTTAGGGAAAAAATTAGGATTAGATAAACTCATCAGGGTGAGGCCCCATGATGGGAATCTTGGCTATATAAGAAGAGGAAGGGAGACCTGAGATGGCATGCTCTTGCTTTTTTACCATGTGATATCCTCTGCCATGTTATGATGCAGAAAGGAGGCCCTCACCGGATGTGGTCCCTCAACCTTGGACTTCCCAGCTCCCAGAACTGTAGTAAATAAATTTCTTTTATAAAGTAAAATACCTAGTTTGTAATGTTCTATTATAGCAACAGAAACCAATGAAGACATGAACCTCTTTATCACAGTATTTTAGAAGTACCTTACACTCACCATGTTCAGATATGAACTCATCAGCTTTTTCTAAATAGTCAAACAAGATGACTAGATACTCTTTCAGTACAGTGTTAATCTTGACTTTCTATTTACACTGCTATTTTATAGTTTTGCAAGAGCAGAGATTACCTTAGTGATTTATGTTGGGTAGAGATGCAAATAATTTCCATCCAGTGGAACCAGTAATCCCAGAGATAAAGTTTATGCTGTTATTGGATATTAACCAGTTTTGTATCTAATATGGCAATCTGTTAAATTCTCTCTCTGTATAAACTGACTTCTCAAATAGTCTTTGGACCAGGTCAAGCATATTGCTGGTGCCTTCAGTAATTAATGAATTGAGTAAAGTCTTTGAACATGTTTATCTACATTTGCATGAGAGTCATTATTTTACCTTTTTGAAAATTATACTTTAATATATTTGCCTTCCAAATTGTTATTCCTATTTTTACTTCATTCTTAATAAAATGATATTTACATCCATTTAGTTGCCCAAGAGGAAACCTGTATGCCCTATCTTTCTTTCTGTTCCTTATTCCATTTTTCTTCCCCAAACACAAGTCTAATCGGTCCTGGCTTAGATATTTTACCTCCTGAATATCTCAAAATCTCACTCGTCCTCCCCTCTATTCCCACTGCCTTCAGCTTGTTTCTGATCATCACATTTCTCCCTAGGTTTCTGCAGTAGATTCTTAAATTATTTTCCTTACTCTGCCGGCTTCCTACCCAGTCCATCTCCCATACTTCTACCAGAATAATCTTTCTAAAAGACAAATCTAATCACATCACTTCCTTTGTAAATTTTTCAGTGGATTCCTACCTTAGACTAAACCAAAACACTTAAAATAACATAGGAGACTCTGTTTTATAACTTCCTTTCTATTTATCTTTCTTATTTTCAGTTTTGATCTTTCTCCAGCACATCCCCTTTCTCCCACTAGGCATAAGGTGTAGTTTCCATAAGATATTGTGGTATTCCATTCATCTGTCTTTGAACTTACCTTTCTCTCTGCCTAGAATATCAATATTCTGCTTTTCCTTTTTCTACTCTCCTCAGCCACCTTCTCCCTGTTCAATGTTGGACACATCTGTCCAGACTTACCTTCTCTACATCTTTTTTTATTTACTTTTTTTTTTTTTGAGACGGAGTCTCGCTCTGTCGCCCACGCTAGAGTGCAGTGGCACGATCACAGCTCACTGCAAGCTCCGCCTCCCGGGTTCACGCCATTCTCCTGCCTCAAGCCTCCCGAGTAGCTGGGACTACAGGGACCCGCCACTACGCCTGGCTAATTTTTTTTGTATTTTTAGTAGAGACGGGGTTTCACCGTGTTAGCCAGGATGCTCTCAATCTCCTGACCTCGTGATCTGCCCGCCTCGGCCTCCCAAAGTGCTGGGATTACAGGCGTGAGCCACCGTGCCCGGCCTACCTTCTCTACATCTTTGCCAACACACATCGTTAAAAAAAGTAATGCCATCTTCTGAAAGGTTAATTTCTGGTCCCTATGGCATTTAATGAAAATTATTAATAATTACTGATTCTCTTGTCATGTTTTTCACTAAACTATGAGCTCAAAGCATCCTGTGAACATTTCTGCTTATTCTGTATAATGCTTCTCTTGCTGGTGACTTTATAAGAAGGCAAGTACATTTCAGTGGTGACAAAGGTAGTGAGAGTATTGGTACTTAGCATAAAGGGTCAAGGCACACAGTAAATGAAGCTCAGATCCAAGTACAGGTAGCGAGGCTTGCCCTGATCCACAGTAACAGCCTAAACTTCTGCTCAATCAGGGCCATATGCTCTGATGGAAACGGCCTTGGCTTGGATCTCAGGAGACCTGGGCCTTAGTTCTGGCTCTGACACTAACTAGTTGCATGATCTTGCTAAGTCCTTTTCTTGAGCCCATTCAAGTATAAAATGGATTTCAGGTAAATGAAATCACAAAATGCAAAACCACAGACAAAATAACACTTCTGTATCTTCTTTTCTCTTCCTCAGTCTTCCCTTTATCTATACTGTCTCATTCTTTCTTTGGCTGTGGAAGGCAGAAAGATAATCTTTATCTGCATTGCTTAATCCCCATTTTCTAAGTTGTAGTTCAAATGGATCACCAAGATTACTTCCAAGGCTGCCAAGGCACACAACATCAGGTGTCAACATTCACATAGAAAGCAATGTAAGAATTGCTTTTGAGGATGTGCAGAGAAGAGGAGGTCCTGGCTTCATCCACACCACTTTACACAGTCCTTCTGGTAGAAAGAGCCTCTAGTAATTATACTGTATAGCATTTTCAGAAATATTGTCTCATATAAGTCTTATATAGAGAGATGATGTCCACAGGATTATCCATGCCATCACATATTGCAAGGCTTCCTTTCTTTTAAAGGCTGAATAATATTTCACTGTATATATATGTCTCATTTTCTTTATCTATTCATCCACTGATGGACATTAAGTTTGTTTCCACATCTTAGTCATTGGGAATAGTGCTGCAGTGAAAATAGGAGTGCTAATATCTCTTCAAGATCCTGATTTCAATTCTTTTGGATAATTACCCAGAAATAGGATTGCTACATCATATGGTAGTTCCACTTTTTATTTTTTGAGGAAACTTAGTACTCTTTTCCATAGCCGTTGCACCATGTTACATTCTTACCAACAGTGTACAGAAGTTTCAGTTACTCTACATCCTTGCGAACACGTATCTTTCTTTTCACTAATAGCCATCCTAACAGGTTTAAGGTAATATTTCATTGTGATTTTGATTTGCATTTTCTTGATGATTAGTGATACTGAGAATCTTTTGATATACCTGTTGTGCACTTGTATGTCTTCTTTCAATAAATGATAATTCCAAAATATATGAGAAACTTCTTCAACTTAATAACAAAACAAACAAATAGATCATCCAATTAAAAAAATGGACAAAGGTTGACATCCATCCCTTTGAAATGTAATTATCAAGGAGGGTAGCACCTGTCTCTTCCAGTCTCAATGGGCAGGTGGGCATCTAACTTAAGCACTTTGTTTTAACTTGCAAAAACCACTTCCTGTCTTAAAAATATGAGGTTTATTTTTTTCTTTGCATAAAGCCAATTGACTGACACAGATGGCCACTCCAATTACCAGGTAAGTCTAGGGTGAACTGTGAGTGACAAATGATTCTGTTAAGTCTTCTTACTTGAGGACAAAGTATTGTTTATTTGACAACAGCCATGTAATGGGTTGTATCTGCCTGGCTATGTACAAGGGTAAGATTTCGTTCTGTGTTTGCAATCTGTTTAGTGGATGTTCTGTAATACATATCATAGTCTGCTTCAATGGTATTCAAAAATAAAACTTTCTTTCTTTTACACCTTTGTGGAGTGATTTCCTGGGGTGGGAGGAGATTTTGTTTTTAATTATATTTTCCCAACAGAGGCAAAACAACCTTGGTAAGAATTGTAAATGAGGTGGAAAAATATTCACAATTTCTTGATGTCCTCCCACTATCCCTCCCCCTTGTCTAATCTCTTCTTACACTTCACATCTGACTGTCCCTCTTCAGAATTTATTTTGATATAAAAATGTGTCCAGTATCATCATCTATAAAATGGGGAATAATGAAAGACCTTATGTCATAGGATGAAATGATTTAATATCCATAAGTGCTAAAGATACTGTCTGCTATGTAGTAATCCCTATATATATTGTTATTGGTAATATTATCACATAGGACAATCTTACATCAAAGAGAAGACTGTAGCTACCCAACTTACACAGGTTCCACCAAGTACAAACAGATAGTGCTTTGAGTTACCCACCATTTGGGGGTATCTCAAGCTAGTTTTCTTCTTTGTCTTGTGCTCTGAACGAGCATTCCCACCTAGTCCCTCCTGTCTCTTCTGCTGCCACCAGCAGGGGTGACCATAAAAATGAAAACTTCCACCTCTAGATATGGTCACTTCACAAAGAGAATAAATATTGACCTGTGCTACCTCAGATCTGGTAAAAGAAACAAAAAGAACGACAAAAAAATAAAAACTTTCTCCTTGGCTCTGCCGCTTATAAGTGTGATAAAGGTCAAGTGGTTTAAATGTCAACACAGGAAACCAATAGAAAGGGCTGTGAATTTGACATTTTTGAGCATGGTGGAAATTATGAGGAAAGATGTGGGTCATCCTTTCTCAGGAACTTGGAGGAAGATTAAAACCTCTTTCCCAGCAGAGACTAAATGAGAAGGTGGCAAGTGAAGAAAGCTGTTGGCTGCGGGTCAAGGTCCTCTTTTAATAGAAAAGGTGCCTGTTTGACTTCATTTCGTGTTGCCATGACAATACCACAGATAACGGCAATTTTTAAAGAAAAGAAATTTATTTCTTACAATTCTGGAGGCTGGCAAATCCAAGGTCAAAAGCCTGCATCTGGTGAGGGCCTCCTTGTAGCATCATCCCATGGCGGAAGATGGAGGGGGAAGACAGCGTGAGAGGGCAAGAAAGCAAGACACAGCCAAACTTGGTTTTATAACAAGCTCACTTGAGATAACGAATCCTCTCCCACAATAGTGACATTAATCCATTTACGAGGACAGAGCCCTCATGACCTAGTCACCTCTCAAAGGTTTGACCTCTCAGCACTGCATGGGGGGTTAAGGTTCCAATATACCAACTTTGCGAGACTCATTCAAACCACAGCAGTGCCCTTGTGCTAATTACAGAAAGGCACTCACCCTATGTGAATGAATTAGAAAAAAATGGAGCTCGCTCTTAGAAGATGAAAGCCCTAGAGTTTTTGGATGGCAAGCTCAGTAGGGCTGGATTCTAATTCCCATTTGCCTACTCAGCTGGGTGTCTCTGGGCAATGCATGGGCTGCACAACGCTACACGGTGGCTGGCTGAGTGCTGCTACCACTTCCTATCCACTACTAACAAGTAGTAGTTAATACCTGGAACTTAAAACGACATTATAATGGAAGATCACTAATCTCCAGGAAATAATTACAGACTCTGAAAAAGGCAGAAGTGGGACTATTTCCCAGCAGAACTGAAAAAAATTATCCCACTTAGCTCTGCCTTTGATTGTGGTGAGTGAACTTCCCCCTTCCATATTTATCACACAGGCTTTAATATTGGCAGTACTGAGCTGTTGCTATAGCTCTCTCCGCTTCTTGAGATTTCTTAAAGGGTAATAGAGGAGTGGATTGAGAGAAATAGGTTATAGCTTTGTGAAAAGATGGTTAAACAAATGCACAGGACATTGGAAAAATTTGGGAACTACTGTGACCCCTTCCTCAGCCAAAGACTGCGTCAGGAAAGAAGAGATCTCTTATTCTTCTAGGTAATCATAGAAAAAAATCACAAAATATTTTCCTAACTTACTTGAGAGAAAAAGTGCATTTAATTTATAAAGTTATGCTATTTCATTGATGATCATAAACCATTTTTTGTAAGACTCATAATTATTTTACATTCCACTTAAGGAGGCAAAAAAAGACAACTAAATTGGCTGACACTATGAATTTTAAGGCACAACCTAATTTCAGAGATGTTAAAATGTGGAAAAATGTGTGCCTTAGAATCAATAAAATACAGCATTTTAAACCATTGCCTCTCCTGCTGTAATGAAGCCCCATCACTGGCAGAAAATGGAATCTAGTTAGGTACTTGAAATGTATGACTCCTAGCAATACTTTCTCCCTAGCAATTCAATTCTGATATTTTAAAATACTGACCTTTAGACAAAGTTGGGACAGGTTTGTGAGAGGAACTTGTGTTCTGGGCATTGCATTGCATAGATTGCCCAGGAATGTATAACCATATAAATCCTGCACACAGCCTGCTTTGTGGAACATCTTGGCATTTTTTTTCTTGTGCAAGGCTGACATCTGCTGGACAAACAACACTTAAGCAAAGTGTTGCATTTTAGAGTAAATTCAATTCTTGGCAAGAACCTACTTGTGGAGTATATACTACACATTTTCTGAGGAGAAGTTGCATGTAATTCTTATCTTTGTTTTTTTATAGGTAAGGTGTTTTTTCCTTCTGGCTTCTTTTATGATTTTTCCCTTTACTTGTGATTTTCTGTAGTTTAAAAATTATAAGCTTAGGTGTAGATTTTTGCGTTTTTTTGTGCGTGTGTTTATTCTTTTCGGTGTTCTCTGAGCTCTCTGGATCTGTGGTTTGGTATCTGACATTCATTTGGGGGAATTCTCAATTATTATTGTTTCAGATATTTCTTTTATTTCTTTCTCTCTTTCTTCTCCTTCTGGAATTTCCATTATGCATATGTTACACCTTTTGTAACTGTCCCACATTTCATGGATATTCTCTTATATTTTTTTCAGTCTTCTCTTAGCTTTTCAGTTTTGGTGGTTTTTATAGCTATAGTCTCAAGCTCAGAGATTCTTTCCTCAGCCATGTCCAGTCCACCAATAAGCCCATCAAAGGCATTCCTCATTTCTGTGACACCATTTTTTATCTCTAGCATTTTTTTTACTCTAAGGATTTCCATCTCTCTGTTCATTTGTTCTTGCGCACAGACTACTTTATCCATTAGAGCCCTTATCATTTTAGTTGTTTTAAATTTCCAGTTTGATAATCCTAACATCCCTGTCATATCTGAGACTGGTTTTAACGTTTTCTCTGTTTCTTCAACCTGTTTTTGCCTTTTACTATGTCTTTTTTTTACAACTGGACGCGATGTACTGAGTAAAAGAAATTGATGTAAATAGGCTTTTAGTAATGTGGTGGTAAGGTTTAGGGAGAAGGGAAGCGTTCCATGGTCTTATGGTTAGGTCTCAGTCTTCCAGTGAGACTGTGCCTCTGGATTGTGACTCTCACCTGTGCTTCTCATCCTCTCTGTCCCCTTTAATGGGACGGGATGGCTAGAGTAGGCAGGAGTTGGGTGTTTCCCTTCCTTCAGGTCGGTTAGTCTCTGATAAAACCTCATCCGGTTAGGTTTTTGGTATCTAGTTTCTCCCGAGGGAAGACTTTGTTAAGAGGAATAGAATGCTCTGCTGCATTTCAAAATGGTTCCTTTCTCCCGCCCCCTGCGGGAAACACTAGGGGATTTTTCTCCAGTATTTCCTGTGAGAACATGGTTGAGCTCCTAGAAGTAAGACTCCCAGAAACAAGGGGCCTCCCAATGACTGGGTCTCCCTAGAGTTTTTATTTCTCAGACTGGTCCATGCTGAGCATCCAGTAATTCCTCGGTTATTGTCCGGGTTCTCTACCGTGGTTCTGATTCCTGGGGGAGTTTATGCTTTGGGGTTTTTGCTCTAACAAGTCATAAATCTTTGCATTTGCCTATTTCTCTAATTTGAGGAGAAGTGGTTTGCCCTGTGACCCACTTCTCTGATGGGTCTAGAACGGTTACTAATTTTTCAGTCTGTTCAGGTTTTTACTTGTTGTTTGGGTGGAGTGGCCGCTTCTAGCTCCTAACATGCCAGACCAGCAACTGAAACCATCTGAAACTTCTTGAAGTGCATATGACATATTGATGCCTTCTGCTATTTACCTCTTTTGTGACTAAATACATACATATGATTCATATACCCTGAGATGTAGGTAGTAGGTAAGAGAGAAACAAGAGTGATTAGATTCCTAAAACCACAGAGAATTAGAATTAAAACAGTTAGAATTGTAAATATCTTTGTGTGTCTGAGCAAGTACCACTGAAATTTTGGAGTATTAACTAAGAAAACAATTAGACTAGAAAATGTAGAAAATGGTACCAAGATATCCAAAATAAAGGAATCTCT